>NC_000007.14:23990242-25240242 GCF_000001405.40 Homo sapiens | reverse complement strand
AGAATCATTCAATAGGCCTGGTTCTCTCTTCTGTGCCAGGAAGAAAACCTAGAATATAAAGGTTCATCTTCTACCAACCTTTGAAATTATGCTCTCCACCCTTTCAAGCCTGAGTCTCACCTCCTCTTCTCTCCACCCACACACATACACACACACACACACACACACACAGTCATTAACTCTGGAAGATTGGAAGAATAATAGCAGCAGCGCTAGTGCCACCAGTAATTAACATTCACTGGGAGCTTACTGAGTTGAGCATTTGCTCAACTTTTTCTTTAAATGGGTTCTTCAGAAACCTTGACAGGCTTGTGCCTGTAATCACGTGGATTGCTTGAGGTCAGGAGTTTGAGACCAGCCTGGCCAACCCCATCTTCACTAAAAATACAAAATGTAGCAGGCATGGTGGGCACCTGTAGTCCCAGCTACTCAGGAGGCTGAGGCAGGAGAATCCCTTGAACCCGGGAGGCAGAGGTTGAGTGAGCCGAGATCGTGCCACTGCACTCCAGCCCAGGCAACAGAGTGAGACTCCGCCTCCCCACCCCCCGCCCCCCAGAAAAAGAAACCTTGACTGGGCCTGTGAACAAAGAACACGTGGACACTGAATAGTTGCCCTTCACCCCATGGCTTAATTTTGTTACAGAATGTGGCCAACCCACATCACCCTCTTCCACTTCAACTCTTGTCACAGTTTACCCATCAGAAGGCTCCCCAGAGAGGGGATGTGTTTCCTCTGCTCAAACTCACTCCTGAGGGAGAGGGGTCAACATACCTCAGAGCATCCCAAATGTTCTTTGCTAGTATGGAGTTAGAGGAGGGAGGCGTGGAACAAAATGGCCCCAGTCTCTTAGATGGTGGGCACCCACTGCTAGCAATGTAAGGGAGAAATTACCTGCCAGATTTTTCATTCAAAAAACTTTATAAATTTTTAAATCTTACCCTTTCAGAATGAGCCATAAATGGGTCAAATGATACAGAATAGTCTAATAAATGTGGTATAAATTCTTTATAATTATGGAAATGGTAGCTTCCTTATTGGTCACATGAGTCATATAACATGTAATTCCCTGTCTCAAGTTATTAATAATGGATACACAGTTATCAAATTGTTCTAATGAACACTTTTAAAATACTTTCTGTCACTGAAAGCAAATATTTTATTGTAGACAGATATGCTTGTATGAGTGAACTTAAATGTCCCATTATCACTACTACTAATTTAGTGTAAATGCTGTTTAAAAAAAATTGACAGCAATGACACACTAATTACCAAAATAATAGATACTTGTATTTGGAATTATACACAAGGGTCTTATTTTTACTATCTCTAAAATAAACACTCCTTACTGATCTGTACAGGTCATTATATAAAGAAAAGAAATTTGGGATTGTGTCTCCAAGGAAGACTACCCAACTATCAGGCAGAGACTGGCAAATCTGCCAACTTCATAAAAAAATTAACTTTCTTGCTCAAAAAACCATTCTACTTCAGGTCATAGAACTTACCCCACCTTGGTAAACTCAGCAGGAAGAAATAAGGCAAGCCAGTATCATCACAGCAAAATAAAGGGTGTAAAATGTTTAGGAAAGAAGCCCAAATTGAAAAGAGTTAGGACCATTTAGGGACCAAACCATCTGGTCCTGGAATTCTCTGAGCAGTGCTTCATATCTGGTGTGAGCATAACGCTGGAAACAGGAGCACCTCCAAATGCCAGGGAGAAACACCTGAGCCAAGGCTTTCACCTGCCAGGGGAGACCAGGAATCTTATAAGCTCTCAAAGTTGGCACTGCTTTTGATGGATATATGGAGAAATAGCTGGGAATTGTGCCCTCAGCTGCCCCTGGGGAAGGAAGATCTAGAATTTGTTTTGTTTTGGTATTTTTTTTTTACCATCAAAACCCCATATGAGCCACAAAAGTATCGCACAAGAACACCTGCTTGCAAAAACAAAGATCCAGATGGCACAGCTGAAAACACTGTTTCCTGGTATCACCAGGCTAGAATAGAGACCTCCACAGCATCTTCAGAGAGACACAGAGAAATACCTGCAGTGACAGAGAATGGTTAAGTCACCCTCTGATTGCAGGTCAGAACTTAGGTTTTCACCAGCTAAGGAAATAGTTTTTCTCAGCACAAGGAATTGGAGTCAGGGAGAGATGAGGCCAGATTCTACCTGACCTGCTCTGTCTCTCTAGCTGTATTGGACACCTTTTGTATTGTCTTCCCAGTAGTGCCACCCACCCCCAGCACTTCTCAGAGGGTTATATAGGATCTTCTATGGTAATACAATGTGGACCACCCCTGGCCACAGATGATTTGGTTCAGATGGGGCACCTTATCTAGACTGGGCCAATCAGAGTCATCCCCTGGTACTTTGAAACTGAGAAAGCTAAGGCAGTTTTTCACAGGATAGCCAGAATTGAGGATATGTAAACTCAGGAGGTTTTGACAAATAGATAGAGAAGTCTAAAAATCTAGATAGTAGTAAGAGGGGATAATGAAATAGACTCAGAGAAGAAATGAGAATCCAAGAGAAAGTCTCGATGGTGATTTGAGTCTTTGGTTCCAGATGTTCTATAGGCCCTAATCTCATTCATAAGACATCCCAGTATCCTCATAACAGATTCCTCATTTTGCTTAAATGCATTAGATATTTCAATAATGTGCAACTGAGGAGTGCTGAGTAATAATATATCAGGTAAATGAGAGCCTAGTTTTGCAGCTGTGCTGATAGGAAAGATTCAACTACACAACATTTACAAGAATAGGAAACTTGGCTGGGTGTAGTGGCTCACACCTGTAATCCCAGCACTTTGGGAGGCCAAGGCAGGAGGATTGCTTGAGCCCAGGAGTTTGAGACCAGCCCAGGCAACATAGCAAGACCCCATCTCTACACAAAATAGACAGATAGATAGATAGATAGATAGATAGATAGATAGATAGATAGATAGATTAGATAGATAGATAGGAATGGGTCTGGTGGCATGTGCCTGTGGTCCCAGCTACCTGGGAGGCTGAGGTGGGAGGATTGCTTGGGCTGGGAAGTTCAAGGCTACAGTGAGCCATAATTGTGCCACTGCACTCCAGCCTGGACAACAGAGCGAGACTCTGTCTCAAAAAAAAGAAAGAATAGAAAACTGCCCAAGAGGCAGGGAGGTCCAATGTGCACCCACAGTGGTTTCTCTCCTGTTCCACCTCTCGCTGTGCCCTGCTTAGTCTGTATGTTAGGGGCTCCCCTAGCATTCTGGGACTCCTTCTCCATGGATATTTTTATTCAAGTAAGATCAGATTAAAATATACATCAGAGGAAGTTTGGGAGTGGTAAATATAAATAAGCAATCAGCCTAAAGTGTATGAAAACATAGGACGAGCTATTCCACCTCAAGTTTGGGGCATGAGGCATGGACAGAAGGGCTGTTGACTGAAGATCCACATCACTCTCCTAATTGGATGCTTCTAGATTGTGGATCACCGCCTACCTCCATCAGCGAATCAGAAAGACATCTCTACTGAGGCAAAGCTCCCACTATTCTAAAACTGCTCTGGGTCATTCAAGTCTATGTTTATAACAGGCTATTGTCCCTAGAACTGCTGTGCCTACTTACGCATTTAAATATTCTCTAAAACCTTTACCGACGTATTTTATTTTTATTATAGGTTCTCAAAAGAGAAATATCTGATCTCTTAAACTCACCAGTTTAAAACCTAGGAAGTTTTAAAACCCAATATATAATTAAATCCATTAGGTATGTTAAAAGAAAAACTTGAGACAAATTAAATGTAATAGTTTAACTGAACAAGAATGAGCCTCAAAACCAGAACAGGTTCAGACAACATCAGCCTGCAATGTAGTCTGGTGGCATTTATGGACAAAAAATGTAAGTGAGGTACAGACACAGCTCAATTAGTTACAGCTTGGCATTTGCTTTGTTTGAATATGGTCTGAGGAGTCAGCCACCTAAGACTGACTGAAGCTCAGCTGCAGTGATTGGATGAGACTCAGTTGTGTGTTACAAAAGTACTCTCCTAAGTTAGGCTTTCATTTAGTTTATGTACTAACTTAGGTTGCAGTTCTTTATGTAAGGAATCAAGTGTGGAGGCATCCTCAGGCCAACTTAAGTTTCATTTAACAGGTATTTAATGCTGATTATATTAATATCTATTTAGCTCATTTTACCTCAATTAGTACAGAAAATTTCACTTTAGAGTTTGTCTTGTAGAATCAGGAGATGGCCAGAAAATCTCCCCCTTTAATTAAATTTATACCTAAAGTTGCTATAGGTTTAAAAGTGTATTTTTAAGTACTCTTCCAAAGACAGCAGTAATGATTTAGCGGAAGCTTTTCCTGTTTCCTTGCTTGGAATTGGTTGAGTTTTGTCATGGAATTGCTTGAGAACTGCTGTGCTGTAATTCCTGGCTATAGCATGAACACATCCCTTTGGGGGGATCCAATAAAACCAGTGTTGAAGGGAAGTGCCGACTCCTCAGTACTGAAGGGCAGTCTCTCTGACTCAGGTGAAAGAGGCACCCACTGGGTATGAAGTACTCATAGGTAGAGCAGAGGGGCATGGAGTGTTGCCAAAGCCAAAGGGCTAAAAACAGAAGAAAGTGCCAGTGTGTTCATGCAAGGTCGGCCAGAGCCAGGCCAGCTGCTATTCAGAATCCAGGCAATTGTGTGGATGCTACGTGGACCTTTGAGGAAATTCTTACCAACAGCACTCAGGAGCACAGCACCAACATGCCCCCCCCCAAAAAGAAAACAAACAAACAACAACAACCCCTTCATGTGGGCATTTCAATCAGTTCCCTTTTCATCAGAGATGAAAGAGCAGCTGGGAGGACCCACATTAGTGATGATGTTCATTCTGCCTTTATTCCTATGCTGGAGATGGGAAAACGGCTGTCTCTGCAAACATCCTCCACGAACCACATCAGTGTAAGTTTAAGCAACAGATTTCCTCCCCGATAAAGATGTGGCCAGGCACCGGGTACGGTGGCTAACGCCTGTAATCCCAACACTTTGGGAGGCTGAGGTGGGCGGATCAGGAGGTCAGGAGATAGAGACTAGCCTGGCCAACATGCTGAAACCCCGTCTCTACTAAAAATACAAAAACTAGCTGGGTGTGGTGGTGCATGCCTATCATCCCAGCTACTCAGGAGGCTGAGGCACAAGAATCGCTTGAACCCAGGAAGTGGAGGTTGCAGTGAGCTGAGATCGCGCCACTGCACTCCAGCATGGAGACAGAGCGAGACTGTCTCAAAAAAATAAGTAAATAAATAAATAAATAAATAAATAAATAAGATGTGGCCAGGCTTGTGGAAAAGGGCAGCCTAAGGATTAGGCTAGGTCCTTCCTAAGCCACTCAAAGTCTTAAATTTTCCTTTTTTATTAAAGCAAATTATTACTTGAAGAGTACATTCTACATTTTAGAGCAGAATCCTTCAAAAAAAAAAGATAAATCAAAAACCCCCAAGATATTGAAAAAGCACACACTTTACAAGAAATTAAATTGTCCTGCTCAGGTTAGAATGACAAGATGGCTGCTTGCTTATTTTAAAAATATCAAAAGCAAGACTGGTCAAAAAGAAAAAAAAATACGAGGGAAAGTTTTGGTTTCCATTACCTATATTTGTGTAAAAGCTACGTGTTGTTTTAACTAAACATCTGGTCTTTGTCTCTCACGTACAGAATTCTGAGTTTTCTTGACACTTTGGCAAGAGGTACCACAAACCCCTGCCAGGCCAGTAAAAATCACACATTTTTCCTGAAAGAGAAAAAAAAGTCAATAAAAATGAAACATTAAAAAACGTAAAAGCTTGAATTGGAAAGCTGTGCTGTAGAGAGCCTCCTTCCTAATCAGCCTTACACAATTGCTTTAAAAAATCTAAAAAAATACTACCATTCTCTATTGTTTGAAAGATCTAATAGAGATACTGAATGTTTGCTCAATATATTGCTCTAAAATATGTCCTGTAGATATAGGGACCTTGCCATTGATTCAATTTTCCAGAGTAAATCATGTGAATTAATTTTTATAAATATTTAATGTTTATTCTTGTACAAACTGATTCTTTAAGTTACTTCAACTCGAGATGAATTTCAACTGCTTTTACTAGATGGAGGAATAATCTTTGTCTTACATTCACATCAGCACCTTCTAAAACCCTGGCGTTATAATCTGTCGTAGTAAAAAGCAGAGAAGTAAATACAATCCTGCTCTCCAAATATGACAAGCTGATTATAACAAGCCACTCATAAATCCTGAAAAAAAGTACTACCATACTTTTTTTAATAAGAATTTTTTACAATTTGCATAGGATGTTTTTATTTGGAACAAAGGCAGGTATTTCTTTCTCCTTGCCACACATAATGCTGAAATGAATTATATGGTAATACTACCATCCGTCTCTAAAGAAGGCCTGAATTAGTTCCCAAATGGTTGCAAAATACTTTGCAAACATGAAATGCAAAATAAGACTCTAATGCCTATAAATACTTCCTTATAACAACTAGGTTATACTTAGATGGAAAAGAAGAAATAAACATTATAAAAAGGCAAGTGCCCTGGAAGTATGCTGCTGGGTTGAGGAGAAGGGCTCTGTAATGGGGCTCCTCCAGATATTAAATTAACCACCTTTTTGGTAGCCCTCACTATGACCTTAAGAAGCATGGAACTATGCATAGAGTGAGCTGCCCCTTCTACATAAAGATTTAAGTAGAAACTTGCAGCCCATGGCACAAAACCTCTTATTTTAAATATTTACTAGAAGTGCAAATAGTCTAGAATCTCACAAAGTCAAAAACCCAAACTCAAGTCAGCTCCTTTTCTGACTGGTGAAATTGAACTCCCATTCTACCTGCCTGCCCGAAGTTAGGATGTGGCTAGTGGGCATAGAGAGATAATAAGCAAGCAGAGAACCCTTTTCTGTTCTGAAGTCGGCCTAGTGGGAGACCCTGAAGCCTCACCAGGAAGCACTCCTTGGGGCTGCGCAGTCCCTGTTCCTACCCATCCTGGTGTTTGGGCACAACTGATGGCCATCAACACAGTAAGATCCATCAGAACATATTGAACTTATCAAACTGCATATTAAACTAGAAACAGAATAAACCAAAACTCACATTCAACCTACTTATACTTAATTGTATAGAGCTCAGTCTGGGAAAGTCTTCAATGTGAAATCCCAAAAAGATAATGTTAAGACATTGTGATTTCACGACAAGCCACAAACCTAGGCCAACGCTGGGGAAAAATAACTAAACAACTTCAGTTTTAACTCCTATTTCCCATAATAATAAAAAAATTACTAATTCACTTAGAAATAAAATTTCCTGGGCATCTGTGCAATAGACAATGAAAATACTCCTACATTCTACACAAGCAAGCTCCTTCCCTCACAAAGTTTGCGGAGCCATGGATGGTTCAGGACAAGTTAGAGTGATAAGAGCAACGATTAGCAAAGAAAAAACAGCTATGTCTTAGAGACGGAAGTCAAGAGAGACTTTTCACAACATATCATACCTCAGCTGAGGCCCAAACAATGAATAGGTGTGAGAAGGAGAGAGGCCAGTGGATGAACATTAGATGCACCGGAAAATCATGGGCAGAGGCCTGGAGGCGAGAGAAAGCTCATCTATTTGGAGGAACAGAAAGAAGTTCATCGTCAAGCAAGGAGCTGGTAGGGAGTGGCAAGAGTCCATGCAGGTAAATAAACAGAGATAAATAGAGTACAGATCATGAAGGGTAGGCGACCTGAGTGATTCTGAGGGAAATGGGAAATGACTGAAAGACATTAAGAACGAAAGTCATAAATGTACTTTGGGAGGCCAAGGAGGGCAGATCATCAGGTCAGGAGATCAAGCCCATCCTGGCTAACACGGTGAAACCCCGTCTCTACTAAAAATACAAAAAATTAGCCAGGCGTGGTGACACATGCCTGTAGTCCCAGATACTTGGGAGGCTGAGGTAGAAGAATCCCTTGAACACAGGAGGCGGAGGTTGCAGTGAGCCAAGATCACACCACTGTACTCCAACTTGGCCACAGAGCAAGACTCCGTCTCAATTTTAAAAAAAATTGTCTGATTACACCATGGAGAAAGAATTGGAAAAGATCAAGAAAAGGATCTAGGCAAGAGAAAAATGATAAATTGAGTTATGGCCATGGGAGTGGAAAGAAGTGAGCAGATTTAAGAGCCATTTAGAAGTTGGAAGAGAACAGACTTTATCAGGCAAACTAGTAGTCATTAAGTTTAGACTGTGTTCATACCCTGGTTCTGACACTTACTGGGAAAGTTGTTTAATTCCTCTGCACCTCAGTCTCCCTTTTTGAAGAGTAGGCACAATAATAGTAGCTGCTCATGGGATTATTATGAAAGATAAGTGAGTTAATTCACAGAATGCTTAGAAGAATTTCTGGAACGTGATAAATGCTTTTAAAAATTGGCTTTTATTATTATTGAGTGTAACAGCCCAAAACTAGAAACACAATTATCATCAACTGTAGAATAAGATGTGGGAGGAAATAGGGATCTCACAAGGGAATTTAGCCTGGATAAATGAATGGATGATAGTAACCTTGCCAGTTATAGACCTATTGCAATAGCTCTACATCTACCCTTCAATGCATGCTTTGAGATAAGGGAGATGGACCCAGTAAGAATTTCTCCTTTGCAGCAGGCATAATTTTAAGTTCTGTCAGTAGAAGGTACTGAAGGGTTACTAAAGCAAAGAGGTACTTTTCCTGATCCAATCATGCATCTGCTTGCTTCTCTGTGTGCAGCTGCCAGTAGTACATGTGGGGTCATCCAATGGTGCTCACCCCCATCAGGTTTCAGTGGGAGATTCCTAGGAGTCTCACAGATATTCCGGAAGTTGCCTGACCTACCTACATTCCAAAAGGTTTCCTGCTTGAGACTACAGATAAGTTCTGGCCAGGAGCAATGCAGCAAACTTCCCTGCCATCACACTTTCTCCAATATGATCTAAATTCCAACCAGCTTGTTCTTTCCTTGGATATTGTCTCTCAACTGTAGTGTATTCTTCACCCCTTTATAGTTAATTTCCTGTTATAATTAATAATTATTTGTATTAATCACTTCCTGTTCAAGTTACTGTGTGTTTTCTGTCTCCTGATTGGACCCTGACAGATGCAGTACTATTCATCGAAATGAGAAACATAGGAGGAAAAATAGGTATGGAAAAGATAAATTCCATTTCAGACATACTGAACTTGAAATGTTTGTGGGATGTCCAAACAGCACTGTCTGGTAGGAAGCTGAGTGGGAGGTTCAAAAGCTCAGGAGAAGTGACCAGCCTGAAGAGATAGGCTTAGAATTGAGTAGTCCTAGAGCCACTAAAATCTTAGCAAATGAAGCATGTATTTAAATGCCACAAGTCCGAGAGAGAGATTTTTTTAAATTTTTCATATCCTCATATGTCTCACCAAGAGACCCTAAACCAATTAATCTGTATGTGTGTATGCAGTAGCACATTTCAACAAAAGATTTATGGTGATTTCATACTTTGTATGTTCTATATCTGTTAACACTTTCAAAGTTAAATGAAGATATAATTGAAAAGAGCCAAGACCCGTTTTTTTTTTGTTGTTGTTTGTTTGTTGGTTGGTTGTTTTTATTGAGACAGAGTCTCGCTCTGTCATCCAGGCTGGAGTGCAATGGTGTGATCTCAGCTCACGGCAACCTCCACCTCCTGGATTCAAGCGATTCTCCTGCCTCAGCCTCCTGAGTAGCTGGGATTACAGGCATGTGCCACCATTCCTGGCTAATTTTTGTATTTTTAGTAGAGATGGAGTTTCAGCATGTTGGCCAGGCTGGTCTTGAACTCCTGACCTCAGGTGATCTGCCAGCCTCAGCCTCCCAAAGTGCTGGGATTACAGACATGAGCCACGTGCCTGGCCCAAGCCCCATATTAATAAGATAATTCTAATTACCTTCCAAACGTGGAGTCCTAACCTGGTGGAGGCAGGGAGCAATTAAGTCATATGTGTATGCTGATTGTCATCAGGAAAATTCTAATGGATCTGCCAACACCCATTAGTAGCAGCACTGAAAACTGGTGAGCTGCTTAATTTGCATTTTATCTGAAAATGACAACTAGATAAAAATACATTTTGAAAAAGACTCAGGCTGATGCCTTCTGCTTTTTCTGGGGTGTGAATTCAGTCAACAAAACTTGCCCCTTGATTCATTCATTTCTCAAAAGTTTGGATCTACTGACTACACACACATACATACACACACACACACACACACACACACACACACACACAAAGAAATTCCATCAGCAGTTTGCAAAAGAACAATTTGGAAGAGAAATGTATTAAATCCTCAGGGAAATTAAACCCAAATAATCCAATAATGGCATTACAAAATTAACGATAGACTATGAATTGAATTAATTGCCTCCTACTGTGGGGTTCTTGGCTACTACAAACCAAAACAAATGAAGCCAATGATGTCAAATGCCTTAAGAGAGACCATAGGCAAGTTTGTATCACAAGAGTTCACCCACTGTGGTTTTTCAACTTTCTGGCTTGTTCTGGAGATCAATATGAAGAAAGATCTTCACTTCTGCCATCTCACGTCTCAAATTACATACGGTAGGTTGGTGAGAGAGGTGAGAGGTGGCACAGTTCTAGACACAACAGAGCAATTTTACAACTCTTTGTGAATTACCTCTAACTGTCTGTGTCTAGAAGTAGCTGGACTGTAGGAAATCCATGCAAGTCTTTTTCTCCTGAAAGGGCTGAAGGGACTGGTGGGAACAAGTAAAGGTGTCTCTAGAACCCAGGCAGTCTAGTGATAAGGCAGATATTTAAGAACAGTCAGCTGCTCCAAAAGAGATTCGCTTTGGCATTTCAGTAAATGCGCATTTATTTCTGTAAATTCTCTTTTAATGTCATGATGACAGCACACCTTTGGCAATACGCGATTACCTAAATAATATGCGTCCTGGGACCAATAGAGTTAGCATGTGTATGACTTACCAAGCCCCTGCTAGTCTCCCTAAGGACTTTGAGAGGGAAGGTAGGATGCAGCATCTTGATAGAAAGTTTTGGTGATTGACACAGCTTTACCAAATAAGACCCATAGAGCAAATACAGAGGGCCTGACTGCCTCCAGCTTCTCCTGAGACGCCAGTTTGTCAAAATGCCTATCAAGTATTTGCTCATATACACATCCTTCATGTTACGGCTAACATTGACCCCTGAAGCTTTTTAATAACCAAACAGCATTTTACAAAAAAACTAATTCATGGCATTTTGTTGGGATATTATAATTTTTTTCACATTCTTAATTTTGCTTGACATTTTGAAAATACTACGCCTAACTCTTTTGTGCAGATTAAAAAAAAAAAAACATAGCTAGCATGGATTGAATACTTCCTTTTCCTTCCCTCAAGAATTGACACAAACACCAAAAACAAAATACTTTTTGTTTAAGCTTAGAGAAATGAAGCATTCTGTCTGTTTGGAATCTTAATTACTATCCCCCCAAACTTACCTAATTAGAAGCTCTTTTATAATGAGGAAAATTATTTTCAAAGTTAATGAATTTGCAAGCACAAACATTGCTGTCTTCCCAGAATGAATTATTCACATTCCTTACATGCATATTTTAGTTGTACACTCTAATTAATATTAGTACTTAAAATGTGTGAGATTGATTTCACTGTTTAAAAAAAACTTTCCTTTGTTTTTAGACGATATAAAAACACCACAATTTTTTTCTCCTCTCATAAACATTGGGCTGCACATAGAGACTTAATTTTAGATTTAGACAAAATGGAAATTATTTCATCAAAACTATTCATTTTATTGACTTTAGCCACTTCAAGCTTGTTAACATCAAACATTTTTTGTGCAGATGAATTAGTGATGTCCAATCTTCACAGCAAAGAAAATTATGACAAATATTCTGAGGTAAGTTTTTTAAATCTCTCTAATGTGAGTAGCATTAATTACATAATATTAATCCTAAGTCTAATGATTTTGTAAAGACTAAGAAGTAAGTTGGTGTGTACTCTGTTTTTTTGTGAAATTTCAGCCTTCCTCTGACAATGTATAAATGTCACTTGTTTATTTAGCACGACAGCAATCAGGCTGGCCTCTGTCATGACAATTGTACTGGTGAGTATGGTACTTAGCAAGCATACAGCGCATTAATAATTTTCAATCAACTCACAAGTGCATATTTGTAATAAATGGTTGGCAGAAATAAGATTTGGGTACATTTCAGCTGGACATTCAAATTGTTTTAAACTACAAACAAACAAACAAAAAACACATTTCTTTTGGGCTTAGCAATTACAAACTGGCCAATGTGTACTAAATCTATATCTTAGTAAAGTGTTTACCTGTAGATGGTAAAATTGCAAATTGTTTTTATTTTCTTTTATGTGTTTTCCAAATCTGATGAAATTAGCGTGTATACTCATTTTACTCAAGGGATAATCAGAAAACAATCATTTAAAAATTTCCATATGGACAAGCTCCTATGGTAAAGACTAAATCTAATTAAATATTCTCTGTATTTGAGATGGTTCCTACAAAGTTGGCATACTTGTGATGCAGTAACCCATAAACCAATGAGTTCTTTGCTAAAAATGTATTTTATATTCTAATAAAAATGCAATTGGTTTCTTGAGAAAGCTTTAGAGTGGTACCCTGAGTAAGATAGAATAAAAAAGAAATCCACTGGGCCTTCTACAACTATACCCCAAAACCTGGCCAGCATCTCTGTTTTGATGTACCGTGTTTCCATGTGCCACTTTGGCCTTTAAAGAGAAACATGAAAAATGAGTGGGAGGTTTCTCTAAAATCAAATTATAAAAATATATAAAATATTCCATAAGCAACATGAATCAAAAAAACCAAAAGAGAATAACTGCAGTAAAATAAACTTTTGCCACATTTCAGTACTTCATTATGTTCCTGCTGCTTGAACTCATTGCTGTATTCACTATATATATTTTATAAATATTTTATGGTTGTCTTACAATAGTCTAGGGACAGAGAAACTATATTGCTTTAAAAAGCTTAATACAAATCATTTAAAAATTCTGCACATATGAACACAAACTTTGTTTATAGCTTTAACAATTCTGCAGATTAAAGTCTAGATTTAAGTTAATTGGGGGTTTAAATCTGTTGCTTATAACAACAGTATGTTATTGTAATGGTCATTTCTAATTATAGCCTAGAGGATACCCAAAAGGGGAAAGAAGCCTCAATTTTGAGGAATTAAAAGATTGGGGACCAAAAAATGTTATTAAGATGAGTACACCTGCAGTCAATAAAATGCCACACTCCTTCGCCAACTTGCCATTGAGATTTGGGAGGAACGTTCAAGAAGAAAGAAGTGCTGGAGCAACAGCCAACCTGCCTCTGAGATCTGGAAGAAATATGGAGGTGAGCCTCGTGAGACGTGTTCCTAACCTGCCCCAAAGGTTTGGGAGAACAACAACAGCCAAAAGTGTCTGCAGGATGCTGAGTGATTTGTGTCAAGGATCCATGCATTCACCATGTGCCAATGACTTATTTTACTCCATGACCTGCCAGCACCAAGAAATCCAGAATCCCGATCAAAAACAGTCAAGGTAAATACCTGGAAACCAGTCAAAGTGCATGGGCAGTTATATAGAGGTGGTCTAGAAACTTTAAAAATGACTACATCTTTTCAACATAAGTTTCTAAGACAGTAAGTTTCCTAGCAGGAGAGAGAGGCAAAGACACAAGGAACTAAATACCTGTAAATTGGGAACTATAGAAGGCCAGGTATAATAAGCATGGCTCAAGGTATAAAATCATAGGATGGCTTCCCCTAAGCCACATATAAGCATCAATCTCCTTATCCTATAGCTGCTCACTAAGTCCATGCAATGACAGTATATTGTCTAAACGCTGGACCTCTCCCACATAAAAAGTCTCATGGGAGAGAGTTGTTCAGGTGCAAAGGACCCCATCTCAATAATCTAGGTCTCAAATGCAGCAGGTTTTCTTTCCTAACTTTTAATCAAAGTGTTTTCTTTTATCTGGATCTCATCTTATAAACTCTGTTATAATCATTATTTATATTAAGAAATATGTATTATCTCCTATGTACACATCAGAATGTAAGATTTAAAAATTAATAACCTACCTACCTGTTCTTTTATAGTAGAGAGCGTATGCTTAAAAAAAATTTTTTTTATATGAAGTAGAACATGATGCTTTAGTTAAGACCTGAAGAAAGTACAGTGGCAGATTGTGTCACCTTATCTGAGAGACCTTCTCAGGACACTCCAGGTTTGTTCTTTTCCATGGTACTTATCCCATCTGACATATATTTAGGGTTCATTGCCTTTATTAGAATTTCAGTCCTACAAATCCCATAATTTTTGTCCACTGCCATATGCCCAGAGCCTAAGAACTGTGTCTACCACATAGTAAGCCCTCAATATCTGACGGGATGAATGAAATAAGAGAGGCACTAATAAGGTCCTGCAGAGGGTCAGAAAAAAAGAGAGTGTTTCTGTATGTGGAAACCTGCCTTTCAAAAGCAGCTTTCTCTTGAACATTCGGAGACTGGTGAGAAGAGGGAGGTCATTTTTAGGCACTAAAGCAAGGTGAGCCAAGAACAGCCGAGGCGCCCTTTGGCAAGAGCAAAAAGGATGTGAAGAAGAGAGGAAAGAAGTCTAGACCGTTAGAGTAAGAGCAGAGAGCGCAGATATTGAGGACCCGGACAAGGACTTGGGGCGTCATTCATCAGGAGAGGGAGAACCACTGACATTTCTGCTGAGGTTGTGGGATGTTATACAGAGGCAGAATTGACAGCTAATCAGATGTTGGGAGTGGGGCGGTGTGGAGGGAGAGAGATGAATCAATGATAAGTGTTTGGGACTGAGTGCCCATCACAGATTCAGCATCCCCCCAATATCTCACTCATTTCAAGTGCAACACAATTCAACTCAAGTATAATTAGGCAGTTAGGACTATGGCTTGTATTTGTATACACACTTGCATGCTGTTGTTCTGATGGGTGACAACATTTTATACTGCTTACATTTTAGGAGACTGCTATTCAAGAAAATAGATGATGCAGAATTGAAACAAGAAAAATAAGAAACCTGGAGCCTGTCCCTAAAGCTGTGGCCTGTAATCTACAAATGGCTCTATAGCGAAGACCACACGGAAGAGTAGCTACATACACTTCATCAGCTATGGATCATCAACGGCAATTTTTCCTTGTCAGTACAGCTATAATAGTATCTTGAAAGTTGTAAAAAAATTAAAGCATATTTGTTACGTAAAGTTAAAATGATTTTTGTCTGAATAAAAAAAAAGCATTGCAAATGCTTTAGAAATCTCTGATAATGGAGAGAGAGACAGAGGACCCTCCTCACTACCCTATATAAAAATCATTGGCACAGTTACACTTAATAAAAAAAATTAAACAGAAGAGCACCCTGAAAAACATTATGATGGAAATTAAATAGTATGCCAGAATAACATGGTTGACAAATAAGTGAACAAGGATTAAAAATCACTTACAAACGTGTTTCTGTACACCCTTTCTATCGTGTCAAATGTTAATGAATCTGTGATCAATTGAAATGTAAATGTCTGTGTAAAACTACAAAATAAAAACTCTTAGACTTTAGGGAGAAAAGAAAAAGGCAACTATGAGTTACCTCTTTTAGTGTCTCCTCTATCTACATCCAGAAATTTGCCTCTAGTGAGTTTCTTTCCTCCTCATTTAACATTTCAAGTTTTTGATTTGCAAAAAGATCTGGCTATTCCTCAACTAAGAATTTATAAATTCAGTACACCACAACACAATGCAGTGACTTTCCTTTAACCCTAAGGATATGAAGTCCTTCATCAGATATAGCTAGTTTATTGAACAGTCTCAACCCCACTGGGTGCACACAGGAAATGGTTTTATTTTTCTCCCAGTGTGCCCCGCGCTGGGCTGTGGTGAATCTCCCGCCCCTGCTGATTAAAGGTCCCTTAATGCTACCCTGGACATACTGCATAACTCCCTCGGTCACTTCCTGGTATTAAAAAACTTCGTCAAGTCCAGTTGAAGACTCCAACCTCATATCCAAAAATAAAGTGTCCCCACCCACCTCCATGGCTGGCTGGGCTGGTGGAAGGGCCTAAAGTGGGAAAGGGGCAGGTCTGCTCTTTCTGTCTTCCTCCCCTTTCTCACCTCAGAGGTAGGGTGCTGGGAGGGAACATGGTAGGCTCTGAAAAACAATCTCCCCTCCTATCTTCTCCAGGGCAAGGGAGGAATTGGGATGGTGGGGGTGGTCAAGAGAAGCGGTCTCCTCCTCTCTATATAAAGTTGCTGCTTCTACAGGAGCGTTCTTCGGGAAGACTCGCAGGGGCCTTCACACAGGTCACCTACCTGGGGGCTCTGGATGCTACTTGATCTCTTCCAACTACCCCCGTCTCATCTGTTCTCCCCATAGTTTTTATTGCCAGACAGAAAGGCTCAAGCCAGCTACCCTCCCAGCGACCGCTTGGAGCATAGAAAATGCAGACATCCCCCCAGCCAGACCAAGGGCGGACTGCAGGCTGCCCCTCCACTGCCCGCCGTCGTCTCCACCCCTCTGCCCCTGTTTGGGAGGGGGCAGGCAGGTCATAAGTCTACTGCCTAAGCAAGCAGCCAGTCAAAAGTAGCATGCAGGGCGCCTGTCAAAACCCCATACTCTAGAAGTGGTTTTCTAGGAATGCCTCTTACTTGGCTTCCTGGGGGAGCAGCAGCTGCAGCAGACCCCCTCCAAGGCAAACCCTCATAACTGTACATGTTGGAAGGGCACAGCCAAGACAGGGAGGGCTGCTGTGGCTCTGCCGGGTCTTAGCAAACCACAAGCAGGTGTCTGGCTCTTGCCATCCATGGTTCTCTTTGCTTAGCATCTCTGCTAAAGTATTTAGCCTCTCTGTACACCTCCAGATGTGGTCCCCAGTTGCCAATTCTGAGTGACAGAGAGAGTATCCTGCAACGTCCTGCTACACTAATAAATAAAAGATCACCTGGTCCCGCGAGATTATGTGACACAGGGAAATTTCTTGTCATAGAAATGGATTCTTTACCTAAGCCCCTAATTTATGAGAAATGTTAGCTGAATAGCAAAGTGTTGGCTGTCCCCTCATCTGCTTGGCTTATTCTGTTGTGACACCACACCGGCTTCTTCACCAGCTTCCATAAGAACCCCATTCACGTAACTCAATGTGGAGCTTGCGATTTTGCAGAGAATTTGCAAGATCACATGGTGCAGCATTTCACTGGGAAAGTCTCCATCAGGCCTCTTCCGGCTCTCTCATTAACTGGACCCCTGGCAAGCTCCCCTCCTCTCTGACCTCTGTTACTCACTCCAGAGTGGCTTCATGGGTGTGCAATCCCTGCAGTCACACAAAGCCCCACACTTGGCTCAGTGCTCTGCTGTCACTGTCTTGAATTTGTTAAGTATTTCAAGGGGCCCCACGTTTATACTTTGCACTGGACCCTGCATATCATGCAGCCTGTCTTGCTTCCCCCAGAATCAGCCCTGCTGGATCCCACAACATCCCATTCCCCGCCACCCATGTTTATTAATCAGAGCAGCTTCCATTTTCTACATCAGACCCAAAAGCCAGCTTCATGCAGGCCTGGGAGGTCTGCTTTCATCCTACAGTGGGTATAAAATACAACTGCGTGACTCATGAAGTGTGCTCAAAATGCAAATTTATTTTTGTGTCCCACTGCCCCTTTCTAATATAAGGGATGGGGAAGAGGGTGTGCAGAAATCTTCCTCTGACCCTCAACGGAAACTTGGCCAGATGCCATGAACTTCACCTCTCTCTTAAGTAATGTTAAGCCTTTGGCCTCTCTGAGTCAAAAACACAGTCTCAATTCCATTGTCATCAACCTTTCAGCCTGCATTCAGCTGTTCATACATTCATTCTGCACCCTTCCCATGCTGAGGCCTGAGTCTGGAGACAGGACTGTGGTTGGCTTCCGTTCTCTCTTCCACCCTCATCTGCCGCTTCTCTCCCTGGCTGCCTTTTTGGACTCCACTGGGAGTTAAGAGAATTTGGGATGAGAGGAGAGGGGATGGGACAGTTCTCACCTGGATGGACTCACTCTCAGGAATGAGGGGATGGCACTGCCGACCATTACCGGACACTCTCCCTGCCATTCTGTCATCCTGTGAAATCTTCCGGGCCCCACAGTGGCCTCAGCCCTCAGCCCTGGGGCATGGGCATCCACTCCATACATGCCTATTTCTCTTCTGGGGTCCTCTTGAGTAGGACTTGAAATATCTCCAGTAACTCTCTGTCTGCTGCAGCCTGTGTCTGGTTGTGCGCAGCTCACCCTCCACACCTGGCTGTGATCCCAAATGGCTCCTCTGTCCTGCTGCCCCCAGGCTCTTCAGCCTTTTTGGCTTTTGTTTTTCTCAACCTCATAGAATACATTTCCTCATCATGTGGAAGCCCCTCCCTGATGAAGGGTGAGGACACAGTAATTCCAGACCCCTGGGCATGGACACAGGTTTCAGCTCACAGCGAGGTAACAACTCTCTCCAAAGGAATCTCTCCTGAACCCAAATCTTATCCTTTTATTGTCTCCAAGTGAGTGAAGGAAATGAGCATTGGTGGAACCAGTTTCCAACCACATCCTTCAGAAAGTCTGCAAATAGTGATCTGACTTTGGAATTATATGTCTATCAGTTTTGGTGGTTTTGGTTAAAGCTTCACTTTTCACATCCTTTGCAACAAAGATGAATCTCTCCTTAAGAGGAGTGCTCACGGCTGCTAAAATGATGTTTTCTCTGAATCAATAAGCGTATATATACATTTTTGTGGAGAGAGAGTTCATAATGCTTGTGGAGATTCTCAAAGCGGTTTGTAATCCATAAAGTTTAAGAATCACTATAATAAAAGATTATGGCTAGAATTATTTTAAGTTAATATCTAATCCAACTTACAGATGAATACAGTTATCTGATTGGCCATTTAGGTGTTGAGAACATAATGCCGGAACAATCAAAATCATTTCAGTAATTTAGCTTGAACTTCCTCCAAATACTGGCATTGACAGTGGCATAAAATAGAAGTGAGGTGGTAATTGTGTTCTTCTCCTTAATGTGCTTTTCCAGGTACTTCCTTCCCAGTATCCATTCCACTTTTCTCTTCTCTTCCAACACTTCCCTTTCCCAAGGAAATTCCATCTGGACTGGTCCTAACCCAAGCTTCAGCTGGCCTGTGAAGAGAGCAGAGTGTGGGGCTTCAGGGGGACGCGGGATGGAACACACCCCACACAGCAAGGGTTTTCATGGAAGGCGGCTTTCACGTGCTCCCAGGTCTGCATTTCATACATCATACTATGACAACGACCTTGAGAAATACACAAAGGAAAAAAAATGTATTGACTCTGGGACAAATTTCTCAGTGAGAAAAATGAAAGGTCAGTGTTCACCTAACTGTGACCGACAAAATGAAATGGACAAGGAAGGTGAGTGTGTTGCCCTCCGTGTGTTTATTCTTTTTTTTCCCTTGAAGATCTTCTTGGGGACTTTATGTGAGGCTCTGTGACCAGAGTTTTCTTATTACTTAATTAACACACCAATCCACAAGTTATTTCCTGAAAACATGCACTTTCACATTTCCATGCCTTCATTCCTGCTAATTCCTTCAGCTCAAAGGCCTCTTTTCTACCGATCAAAATCCTTTGAAACACAGGTCAAATTTGGATGTAGCTGCATATAATAAAAACCTAAATAATACTGTTTTAACCAAGAGAAACTTTTTTTCTCCTCACACAAAATGATTGGGAAGGAAGCAGTTCTGGGCTGCCATGGGAATTCCACACCCTCATCCAAGATCCAAACCCTCCCATCCTGCTGCTGCACCGGCCTAAGTACATGACTCCACCACGCCGGCACATCCCTTTCCAGGCAGTAGAAACAAAGGGGCCAGGTAAAGACTCCTTCTTTTAAAAAAAAAAAAAAAAAAAAAAAAGCCTATTTAAAGAGCACCATCCAGTGGGGTGGAAAGCAAGGGGAAGGACAGCATTAGGACAAATACCTAATGCATGCGGGGCTTAAAACCTAGATGACGGGTTAATGGGTGCAGCAAACCACCATGGCATATGTATACCTACCTAACAAACATGCATGTTCTGCGCATGTATCCCAGAATTTAAAATAAAATAAATAAAGAGCACCATCTGACTACTTCCTCTTTCATGTAAGTGATCACTCCACTCTGCAGGTGAGACTGGGAAATGTCATTTCTCCATTAGGCGCATTGTCCCAATCACTATGACACAAAAAAGAGCATGAATATCAAGCGGACAACTTGACGGGTCCCCCTCACCAAATACGAGGTGACTTCTTTGTTATAGAAAATATGGAACATATTTTAATGGTTTTTCTTCACTAAACCAGGGTTAACAGTGGTTGTATGGACATTTGGGACTGTGTCATTCTTTGTTGTGGGGACTTCCTGGTGTATCGTAGGATGCTTAGCAGCATCGGAAGCCTCTAACCACCAGAGGCCAGTAGGATCGCTCCCCTACTGTGACAACCAAAAATATCTCCAGACATTGCCAAATGCTCCTGAGGGTGGAGTGGGGGGTCATCCCTAATTAGAAACTGCTGCACTAGACTGTTCTAATCATCTTTGAATCCCCTCCTCCCAGCTTAAAAATAATAGTAATTATTAATTGTTATGATAACTATGTATTTTAGCATTTAAGGCTATTTTAACCACTTCTGTTATATTCATTTTTATGTATGAGAACTGAGCTCAGAAAGAACTTTCCCAATAAATGGGAGCTAACAAGTGGGTTCAACCAAGGTCTGATTTTTAAGTGTTGCTCTTCTGAACCATCATCCACTGCCCTGTTCACTACCACACAACCAACCCTGCAGCATAATAAGCATTCAGGAAACATGCGTTGAATTATGTTTAAATAAGAAAAAAGTGGATATACTGAAGCCCAGGAATAAATCCTTGGAGTTTTAAAACACTATATAAAGATTTTAGAAGGAAGGGAGGGAGGGAGGAGAAGGGGGGAGAAAGGAAAAAAGGAAGAGAGGGAGCAAGGTAGGAAGAGGGAGAAGAAGGAAGAGAGGGGAAGGGAGGAAGAATGGGAAGAAAGAAGGACCATAGATTCCTGAAGAGCTTTAGTTTAGTTGTTCTTTAAGGTATCTACTTCTAGAGCAGGCAAGGAGATGCCTACCTTACCAGTCATGAGTGACTGTAAAAGGTAAAAGCATCACAGAATACAAGCTGGACCACTTTTATCTTAGACTCTCAAGGAGCAAGTCATGTTTTTTGATTTTTATCCTTTAGCAAAAAAGGTGCTATTGTTGGTGATAAAATTTGACTGTCAGTTTCTGCTTCAGTAGTAAAATTGAAGTGGTCCAAGCCAGGCACCGTGGCTCATGCCTGTAGTCCCAGCACTTTGGGAGGCTGTTGGGTGGATCACTTGAAACCAGGAGTTTGAGACCAGCCTGGGCAACAAAGTGAGATCCCATCTCTATGTTTTTAAATTTTGTAATAAAAGGAAATTGAAGTGGTCCAGAGAGCCACTGAAATATGCATTCATGGCAAATGGAGTGAAGGCAAAGGCGGCCAGTAGGTAAACTTCTGCCTGGATGGGTCTTGCCTCCCTGGGTTATTTGCAGTCTGCGACAGATCTCATTCATGAATTAGGACAAAGCAGTAAAGGAATTAAAGTAAATCAGAAGTAAGTTTGCTCCTGCGCACTGGCATGAATTGTACTAGCTGTTCCCTCCCTCTCACTCAGATGAGTGTGTGCTGGTGAATGCTCTGTGGAAAATAGAATCACTTTGCTTCTTGGAGTCAGGCCTGAATTCGGAAAATATTATGTGGTGAGCATTTGTCCCTCTTCATTATATCCACTGTTTACTTGGATTTCTTATTAAGTGGCCCAGAGTTCCTGAAATGTTTATTAGATGTTGCACATTTTATTCACCATTGCTAGAAATACTAAAAATCAGAAAGATTCCATTTGCCCTTTTTAAATTTTTTAAATTGTAGTAAAATATACATAACATAAAGTTTACCATTGTAACCATCTTGATGTGTACAATTCAGTGGCATTAAGTACATTTCACTTGCCTTTTTACATAGTCTGATGCTATTCACTAATTATGCTCACACTATTAATACCTACAAAATCACACCCAAAGCTTAAGTGCTATTTTGGCTACCATAAAAAAAATCCTATGAGAAAAACAAGGTTTTATAAATGACAGACTTATTTAGTAATGTCATGTTTTTCACCAGAACATTAAATTTTTCCTACAGTCCCGTTAAGCCTATCTTAAAAGGGGGTAGTTGTTGCTAATTTTTTTTCTCCCGAACTCTTTTATCATTTCACCAGTTTATAATATATTAGATTCACCTGAGACAAGAGCTACTGCGTCTTTGGAAATGCCTGGGACAGCAAAGGTTTCTGTTAGCAGTCAGAGATGGAGAGACATTAATTTCAGCACAGTAATGAAAATGAAGAGTTGATTAGTTTAATTTTCCTAAGAAATGAAGAATGGTCAACAATCACTCATCTGCTATTTTATAGCACTTTTCTTTGACCTTCTGGGCTCCTCCACATCCTTCCTAATAGCCTATTTATACTTTGCTTCTCATCTGCTTCCCTGATCTTTTTATATTGCAGTCAATAAAATTTAGAACCTTTACACCTAGTATCTTAGAATATATAATAATAACAATTAGTCAAATAGATGCCCAAGGATAACTAATAAAAATAATTGCTCATAAAATATGCCACGGCATTTTCCTTTTATAATATAACACAAATGTGATACATATAATCCTATATGTAGCTTAGGAAATAGAAAGTATTATCACCCATTATTCTCTTCCTAAATATAGGAACTAAAGTATGAAAGAAGCCAAACAGGAAAATTACGATTAGAATCAGGAGTGGAATTAAATTATAACTAGATTAATGTCAAATTAATACTCTCTTTGTAGAAGTAGAGAAATATTATTTTAATCCTGAAAAAAAAATTATCTTAAAATTTATTTCACTTCTTGCCAGATTTCTAGGCATTGGTATATTGTGGTTAATAAATAAAACATAAAACTATTGTTTCTCTTTCTTAAAATATGCAACAACAGTAATTAGCTACAGCAACGCACCAACATAATTTTCAAACTGCTTTTAAAATATCACCTAGCTTCTCCTTTGTAATTGAAAGCACTGAGATGTGACAATATTGCAAAATTACTTTTGACCACTAGAGGGCAGAAAATACTCCACGTTTGTACATAACTAATTTTAAATTCTTAGACCAAAACAATAAACACCACCAGCACAACAAAAAGGCCTTCTTGTTTTATACTGTACACTTAAGGCTCAGTTAATAACCTTTAAACTTTTTAAATTTTAAACTAAAATATAAACATCAACAGTTTAAAGAAGGCAAAAGTAAACATGTTTGTTGCATCTTAAGTCTAGTTACACGTTAAGGATCATTTCTCAGCAGTGAGGAATCAGCACATCCTCTAGAAAAGGCAGAGGACTTAAAACAGCACCCACTGAGAATAAGCAAGACCATTTTTACATTAAAATATCTACAGTGGAATGCAAAGGTGGTATTTATTATAAAATTGAAAGTCACCAAAGTCCCAAAGCAATCTAATGCAAAACTATTTACATTTGAATCTTTAATTTCTACATATATTCTCTTTTACTACAAACCAACTAATTGTGGCAAAGATCTAATTGTGGCAAAGATGGTTTTGGTTTCCTCCTAATTTATCTATGTGACCTAATTAACTTTTGCTTCCCTCCCAATGAAGCCATTTGCATTTCAGTAACTAAGGCATTACTTTGTTTGATTAGAAAGTACAACCTCTTCACTTTTTCACTCTCATTAATTAAAACACATCGTGGTAAATTAAGCCATTTGGATTTCATCGTGGGTGGGTGACATTTTAACTACTGCCCCTTCAACCTTCTCTCTCTGTCAATCTCAGCTATGTCCTACATCACGGGAGAGCGAGAGGGCAATGGCAGCAGGCTGATGGAGGAACGGAGCCAGCAGGGAGCCAGGGGTTATACATCACTGCAGTCGGTGACTTCTCTGATGCATGAGGCACTCACTTGCCAATCAAACCTGATACAGCTTTTACCTTGTGGGGTTATGCGTGACTTTATCCAAGACATGAAATCATTTCTGAGGTCTAGTTTCTTAACCTACACAAACCTGCTCTCCCCACTTTTCAGGTCTCCCCACTCTTCACTCTAACACTAGTAAACACAGCACAGTGCTACAGCTAAGGTGGGGTTGGGACAGGGTGGAGGTGTCACTCCTAGTGGACTAAGAAAAGCAATGCACTTTTAAAAGCAGGGCTAGTCACAGAAGAGAAAAGCTTCTGTATTATCACCTATTGGTGGCAGTTACATACTGGCAAATTTGAAAGAATCTTCTAACAATTATAGCCGCCAGAAATAGATCTAACATGAGCCACAAGAAGGTGTTCAAGGATGGTTATACAACAGGAATATCACAGATGCCATTTCTGCATGAGATGTGAAGATTTATGAGTTGACTTCTAAACTCTTATAATTCTTCTTTTAAAATTAATTTTCTCTTTAACAAAGAGATACATGTATAAAGTTTTAAAATTCCAAAGAATTCCGCAAGGCTTTTAATCAAATTAATCACCCCGGTTTCCCAGGGACAGTTCTGATGTGTATGAGTCAGCTTGAGCTGCCACAACAAATACCATAGACTGGGTGGCTTAAACAACAGACTTTTAATGTATTTTTTCACATTCTGGAGAATGGAAGTCTGAGATTGGGACACCAGCATGGTGGAGTTCTCGCGAGGGCTATCTTCCTGGCTTGCAGATGGCCGCTTCTCACTATATGTTCGCATATCTTTTCCTTGGTGCATGTACATGAAGAGACAGCTATCTGTCTCTTCCTCTTCTTATGAGGACACAGTCCTATAGGATTAAGGACCCATCATTATGACTTCACTGAACCCTAAGTACTTCCTAAAGACCATCTCTCCAGATACAATCACATTGGAGGTTAGGGCTTCAACATATAAACTTGGGGTGGTAGGGGTGGGGGGCATGACTTAATTAATAGCAAAATTTATGCCTATTATCCCAGTGTAATTATTAACAGTGACCCCTTTCACTCTCAAAAATGTCTCAGTTGGATGGAAAATGACCACCCCAAGTCTCAATTTCATCCAATCCGAATTCCTCTTCCCCAGAAGCAACTACTTGCCATTTGTTATGACTTCCTCTATTTGGCTACAAACGTCTGAAAATCATGATTATACCAGGTGCATCAGTTGAAATTTGTGTTTGGATGGCGGGGCATGGTGGCTCACATCTGTAATCCCAGTACTTTCGGAGGCTGAGGCGGGTGGATCACCTGAGGTCTGGAGTTCGAGACCAGCCTGGCCAACATGGTGAAACTCCGTCTCTACTAAAAATACAAAAAATTAGCTGGGTGTGGTGGCGGGCATCTGTAATCCCAGCTACTCGGGAGGCTGAGGCAGGAGAATTGCTTGAATCTGGGAGGCAGAGGCTGCAGTGAGCTGAGGTTGTGCTATTGCACTCCAGCCTGGGCAACAAGAATGAAACTCCATTTCCAAAAACAAAAAAACAAAAAAAACTGCATTTTGATACTAATTTAGAGACCAAGGGGGAATATCACTGACTTAAACAGATAGAAAGGAGTGCCTGAGAGGTAAGTTGCATGAAGATTTATTCATCTGAAAATAAATTTTCCTACCTCTAAATTTTGTTAGAATTTTATATCCAACCAAAATCTCAGCAAAGTGAGGGGATAGGAAAAGTTGTGTCCTTGTTGAGACATGATACATACATCTCCCTTCAGGGTAGGATTTGCTACCCAAGCTGTCAGATCTAGCGGGGAACGTTCAGCTGCAGAGAGCTACCTGGCCCACCAGAACGCCTTCCCAGGTCAATGGCATCCAATACCCTGTCAAAAAAGGGGTATAAAGGCCATTTACACCCACCTGGGATTGCTCTGGTAGGCCATATGTGCTCTGGAGCGCCACAGAGGGTTAGCCAAGGTCTTGCCAAGGTTTCCTCACAGATGGACTTCTTTTTCTGCCCAGTTCTTCTTTTCCTTATCTTTCTTCCTCAGGTGTTGATCTTTAATAAACATCTTGTACTCCAAACTGCATCTCAGCATCTGCTTCCAGAAAAACCAACCTGTACCAAATGAGTAACACAGTTCAAAATTCAAAAGGTGCAAAAAAAAAAAAAAACAAATATATATATTTGCAAAATTCAAAAGGTGCAAAAAAACTAAAAATATATATATTTGTTAAAAATATATATATTCACTATATATATATTCACTATACATATTCACTATATATATTCACTATACATATATTCAATATATATATTCACTATATATATATTCACTATATATATTCAATATATATATTCACTATATATATTCAATATATATATTCACTATATATATTCAATATATATATTCACTATATATATATTCAATATATATATTCACTATATATATTCAATATATATATTCACTATATATATATTCAATATATATATTCACTATATATATATTCACTATATATATATTCACTATATATATATTCACTATATATATATTCACTATATATATATTCACTATATATATTCAATATATATATATTCACTATATATATTCACTATACATATATTCAATATATATATATTCACTATATGTATTCACTATATATATATTCACTATATATATTCACTATATATATATTCACTATATATATTCACTATATATATTCACTATATATATTCACTATATATATTCAATATATATATTCACTATATATATTCACTATATATATTCAATATATATATATTCAATATATATATATTCAATATATACATATTCAATATATATATTCACTATATATATTCACTATATATATTCACTATATATATTCACTATATATATATTCACTCTATATATATATGTGTGTGTATATATATATATATGTGTGTGTGTATATATATATATATATATATATATATATATATAGTGAAACCTCTCCCTCTCTCCATTCAATTCTAGTTACCAATTCCCCTGGCCAAAGTCAACCCATGTGACCAGGTTCTTATGCATATTTCCAGAAATTTTCTATGGGTATATAAGAAATGGTGTGTGTATGTAACTTATAAGAAAATATGGCTCTCTCTTCCTGCCACCCAAGATGCCGAAAGGAAAGAAGGCCAAGGGGAAGAAGGTGGCTCCGGCCCCTGCTGTCGTGAAGAAACAGGAGGTTAAGAAAGTGGCGAGTCCCCTGTTTGACAAAAGGCCTAAGAATTTTGGCATTGGACAGGACATCCAGCCCAAAAGAGACCTCACCTGCTTCATGAAATTGTCTGTATTAGGTTATATCAGGTTGCAGTGGCAGAGAGCCATTCTCCGTAAGCGACTTGAAAGTGCCTCCTGCGTGCGATTAACCAGTTCACCCAAGCCCTGCACCTCCAAACAGCTACTCAGCTGCTTCAGCTGGCCCACAACTACAGACCAGAGACAAAGCAAGAGAAGAAGCAGAGGCTGTTGGTCCGGGCTGAGAAGAAAGCTGCCAGCAAAGGGGACATCCCCACTAGGAGACCACTTGTCCTTCAAGCAGGAGTTAACACCGTCACCACCTTGGTGGAGAACAAGAAGACTCAGCTGGTGGTGATGGCACACGATGTGGATACCATCCAGCTGGTTGTCTTCCTGCCTGCCTTATGTCGTAAAATGGGGGTCTCTTCCCCTGCATTATCAAGGGGAAGGCAAGACTGGGACGTGTAGTCCACAGGAAGACCTGCACCACTGTTGCCTTCACGCAGGTGAACTCGGAAGACAAAGGAGCTTTGGCTAAGCTGGCGGAAGCTATGAGGACCAACTACAACAACAGATAACGATGAGATCCACCGTCACTGGGGAGGCAATGTCCTGGGTCCCAAATCTGTGGCTCACATTGCCAAGCTTGGAAAGGCAAAGTTTAAAGAACTTACCGGCCGGGCGCAGTGGCTCACGCCTGTAATCCCAACACTTTGGGAGGCCGAGGCGGGCGGATCACGAGGTCAGCAAATCGAGACCATCCTGGCTAACACGGTGAAACCCGGTCTCTACTAAAAAGACAAAAAAATAGCCAGGCATGGTGGCGGGAGCCTGTAGTCCCAGCTACTCAGGAGGCTGAGGCAGGAGAATGGCGTGAACCCGGGAGGCAGAGCTTGCAGGGAGCCGAGATCATGCCACTGCACTCCAGCCTGGGAGACAGAGTGAGATTCTGTCTCAAAAAAAAAAAGATATATTTTGGAGGTTTCACATTAGTACATAAAATGTATCATCAATAACGAAACCTATGGGATACAACAAAAGCAGTCCTAAGAGGAAAGTTTATAACAACACACACCTACATCAAAAAAGAAGAAAGACTGTAAAATTTGTGACAGTGAAAAAAAAAATTTTTTAAGCAGAAGATCCCAAATAAACCATCTAACATTACACCACAAGGAACTAGAAAAAGAACAAAACACACATTTTTGTTTTCTTTGAGACATGGTTTCATTCTGTCACCCAAGCTGGTGTGCAGTAGTGCAACTGGCTCACTGCAGCCTCTACCTCCCAGGTTCAAGCGATCCTCCCACTTCAGTCTCCCAAATAGCTAAGACCACAGGTGTGTGCCAGCCACCATGTCCAGCTAACTTTTTATTTTTTGTAAAGACCAGGTCTTGCTGTGTTCCCCAGGCTGGTGTTGAACTCTTGGGCTCAAGAGATCTTCCCACCTCACCCTCCTAAAGCATTAGGATTACAGGTGTGAGCCAGCATGCCTGGCCTAAACATGAAATTAAACAGAAGGAAGAAAACAATAAAAAGCAGAACATAAATAAATCAAATTAAGCACAGAAAAGCCATAGAAAGAATCAACAAAACTAACAGTTTTTTTGAAAAAATAAACAAAATTGACAAACCCTTAGCTAATTTAACTAAGGGAAAAAAAGAAGACTCAAATAAATCAAAAATGAAAGTGAAGAAATTGCAATCGATGCCTCAGAAATAAAAAGGATTATAAGAGATTATTATGAACAATTATTTGCCAACAAATTGAATAACCAGAGGAAATAAAGTCTTAGAAACCTACAACCTACTAAGACTGAGTCAGGAAGAAACAGAAAACCTGGACAGACCAATAATAAAGAGAGAGATTGAAGAAGTAATCAGAAACCTCCCAACAAAGAAAACCAGGGTCTGATGGCTTCACAGCTGAATTCTACCAAACATTCCAAGAGGAATTAATACCAGTACTTCTTAAACTCTTCTGAAAAATAGAGCCCCTCTTTTTTTTCCATCCTGACTAACACAGTGAAACCCTGTCTCTACTAAAAATACAAAAAATTAGCTGAGCGTGGCAGCATGCACCTGTAGTCCCAGCTGCTGGGGAGGCTGAGGCAGGAGAATGGCGTGAACCCAGGAGGCAGAGCTTGCAGTGAGCTGAGATTGCCCTACTGCACTCCAGCCTGGGCGATAGAGCAAGACTCCATCTCAAAAAAAAAAAAAAGAAAGAAAAAGAAAAATAGAGCCTGAAGAAATATATTTCCAAACTGATTTTATGAGGTCTGCATCACCTTGACACCTATGCCAGACAAAGATATCACAAGAAAGTAAAACTACAGACCAATTTATCTGATTAAAATTCATGCAAAAATTATCAATAAAATATTAGCAAACCCAATCCAACAAAACATCGAAACAATTATACATCATGATGAAGTGGGATTTATCCCTGGCATGCATGGCTGGTTCAAGATATGCAAATCAATCAATGTCATACATAACATTAACAGAATGAAAGACAAAGATCACATGATCATCTCAACTGGTACAGAAAAAGCATGGGACGAAGTCCAACATCCTTTCTTGATAAAAGTTCTCAACAGTTTAGGTATAGAAAAAAACTTTCAACGTAATAAAGGCCACTTACAAAAAATTCACAGCTAACATAATCAATGGGGAATAACTGAAATATTTACCACTAAGACCTGGTACAAGGCAAGGATGCCCACTCACCTTCCCTTATAAATACAATCCTAAAATTCAAATGGAAGCATAAACGACCCCAGAGAGCCAAAACAATTCTGAAAAGGAAAAACACAGTTGGAGGCATTACACTCCTGACTTAAAACTATATTGCAAAGCTATAGAAATCAAAACAGTAGGGTACTGGCATAAAAGCAGACACATATACTAGGAGAACAGAATGGAAAGCCCAGAAATAAATCTGAACATATACAGTCAACTAATTTCTAACAAGGACACCAACAAGGCAAATGGAGAGAAGATAGTTGCTTCAATGAATGATGCCTGGGAAAACTAGAATTCTATATGCAAAGAACAAAATTAGACCCATATCCATCATATACCATACACCAAAATCAACTCAAAATGGATAAATGACATAAATATAGGATCAGAAAGTATAAAACTCCTAGAAGAGAACATAGGGGGAAATCTCCTGGATATTGGCCTCAGCAATAGCTTTTTGTATATCACACCGAAATCTCAGACCTAAAAATAAAACTAAATAAATGGTATTATATCAAACTAAAAAGCTTCTGCACAGCAGAAAAAAAATGAAACAGCAGCCTATGGATTAGGAAAAAGTATTTGCAAACCATATATCTGATAAGGGGTTAATAACCAAAATTCATAAAAAACTCACACAACTAAATAGGGGGGAAACAACCTGTTTATAAACTGGGCAAAAGAGATGAGTAGGCTTTTCTCCAAGGGAGAAATAAGAGTTTCAAATAGGTGTATGAAAAGGTGCTCAATATCATTAATTATCATGGAACTGCAAATGAAAACCACTGTGAGATATCATCTCACACCTGTTAGGATGGACATTATCAAAAAGTCAAAAGATAACAAATGTTGGCAAGGGTGTGGAGAAAAGAAAATTTTTGTACACTGTTGGGGGATTGCAGATTGGTGCAGCCATTATGGAAAAGAGTACAGAGGTTTCTAAATAAATTAAAAATAGAACTACCACATGACCCCACAATCCCTCTTCTGGGCATATGATATACCTAAAAGAAATGAAATTACCACCTCATAAAGATGTCTACACTCCCATGTTTATTGCAGCATTACAATAGCCAAGCTATGGAAACAACCTAAGTCTCTGTGAACAAGTGGATAAAGAAACTGTGGTACACACGTACAGTGGAATATTATTCTACCTTAAAATGGAATGAGATCTTGCCATTTATCACACATGGATGAACCTGGAGGACATTATACAAAGTGAAGTAAGCCAGACACAAAAAGAAAAATATGGCAGGATCCTAATCTCACTTACATGTAACATCAAAAAAAAAAGTTAAATATTTAGAGATAGGGAACAAAACAGTGGTTAACAGAGATGGGGTGGGGAGGACATGGGGAGATATAGGTCCAAAGGTACAAAACAGCAGATATGTGGGGCAAACAAGTTTAGAGATCTGATGTACAACATGAGGACTGTAGGTAACAAAATTAGACTGGATATGGGATTCATCCTAAGACTGTAGATTTTAGCTGCTCCTGTCAAAAAAGCAAAAGAAAATGGGTAATTATGTGAAATGATGGATGTGTTAATTTGCTTCACTATAAGAACTTCTTTACAAAATATATATATAAAACCATAATAACATCATGCTATGTCTTAGACATGCACAATTTCTTTAAGTATCTTTATTTTTAATTGGTATTCCATTACAGAGATGTAACATAATTTATTTGGTGGACATTTAAGTTATATCAAAGCTTTTCCTATTACACACAATGCTGAACTGAATAATCTGTGTGTGTTCAAGCCCTGTGAGTGTGTGTGTAAAAGAAAAATTCCTAGAAGGGTAATTTCTAGGTCAAAATGCTAAACAGTCATAACTTTGATAGATATTGGTAAATTGCCCTCCATCTACACTGTACCGATTCACACTCCCTTGGAAAACATATGAAAGCCTATTTCTCCATACCCTTCCTTTATGTGTATAACTGAATTAAGAAAGTACCATATTAAATATAAACAAAAACTAGCCAAGTGCAGTGACTCACACCTATAATCCCAATGCTTTGGGAGGCCAAAGCACAAGAATTGCTTGGGGCCAAGAGTTCAAGACCAGCCTGCGCAATATAGTTAGACAATTTTTTTTAATTAGCCAGGAGTTGAGGTGTGCACCTTTAGACCTAGCTACTCAGGTTGCTGAGGCAGGAGGATTGCTTGTGCCCAGAAGTTCGAGGCTGCAGTGAGCTATGATTGCACCACTGTACTCCAGCATGGGCAACAGAATGAGACCCTGTCTCTATATAATAAGAATAATATAATGAAGATATAAATTTAAATATAACTTTCAGTGTTTTAAAATTAAAATATAAATTTAAAGTGTTGGGATAAAATTTAAAGTGTTGGGATAAAAATATATAGTATTCTAATATTTTCTTTCCAGGCCCTATTAGGTCATCTTGTGTCATCTTGGTTATGTCTCACCTTACTTTGGAAGCCAATGGTTTGCTAAACTGAAGAGTTTTCTGGGATCAGGGATCAGGCCTGAACAGTAGTTGTTCAAGTAACATTTATGAAATGGACAAAGTAATGGCAAAAAAAAGAAAGAAACCAGGTAGCCATAAATGCAAATATATGGTACGCCTCATTGTAAGTGCATATTTTACTATAAATATGTGTAAGAGTTGTGTCCATATGTATAGTATATATTAGTAAAGAGATATGTGTGTGACTAAAACACACACACACACACACAGGGCCTAATGCACAAATTCTTTTACTGAGTGTATAATCAAAATATTTTAAACATCTCTTTGCCCACATCAATAAATTTCTATCAATCTTGCTTTCTGGGCGTCAAAATCTATGATATGCCTCTTTAGATTAAGTAGATTTTTATAAAACCTCTCCACCTATTCTGCCAAAAACTACTCCCATCTTCAGCATATTCCACTGAAATGCGTATCACTTTGCCATCCACACTTCACATAGGTCCAGTTCATTTTTGATCAGCAAAGATTTCTTAAGCTCCTACTATGTATGCTACCCTGGGGCTTCATGTGCATAATAAAAACCTTGGTGTTCATAACCCCTTATCTTAACCCAGACACTTCCTTCTAGTAATTCCAAGTCTTTAGATAAACTCTTTCAAGCAACTGCCAATCAATAAATACCACTCCCTGGAGTTGTCCCGCCTTTCTAGACCAAACCAGTGTACGTCTTGCATGTACTGATTGATGTATTATGTCTCCCTAAAACATATAAAACCAAACTGTAGCCTAACCACTTTAGGCTCGCATTCTCAGGACCTTCTGTGTCACAGGCATGCCATTAACCTTGGCAAAATAAACTTCTAAATTGATTGAGACCTGTCTCGAAAACGTTTTGGTTTATAGCTTCAATGCTGGCAAACTGACCATATTCAGTACCTCCCTATCATTTTTCTATCTTGACATTTGATTCCATGATTATTACATGTAAAGTGATTATGCTTGAATTTTCATCAATTATAAAATATATTGCCCATTCTCCTGTCTGCTTTTTTTTTCTCTTCCTTCTCTATTCACTTTGTCACATAAATGGACTGATCCTGCAAAAAGATGTACATGGCTAATATTGTGAGATATTAATTTATATATTTAGCCCTCCCAGTATTTCTCCTTTGCTCTTTCTTATGCTGCATGCCTCAGGGGAGGTTTGTGGTAAGGTGGAAAGTGAAGAACCAACTTTCTAGCCCTGTTTCCTAAACTATATGCCTCAGAGCAAGGATAGCATTTTTTTTAAGAAGAAGCAGCAGAATGTCTGAAAAGAGGAGAATGGAGCAAAGCATTCGTTCAAGCTGAGAGGAGCAGAAAGAAACTCTTGTGGATCCTGAAGCAGTGGGAACCAGGGAACTGGAGTGAGGCCACAGCCAGTTGGGTTTCCCATGCATCATGGAGTGAAGACATACAAATATAGAAAATTGACATCACGGTGAAAATTGCCAACTTGACTACCAGAATGGTGCTTCTGGTCACTGCACAACACCCTCCACAATCTCCATGAAATCCTGATGAGGGAGGATATACCCAAGAGTAACTGATGTAAAATCCTCCCACACCCTGCAGGCTGATCGCTCAGAAACAAAATTAAATTTATATATAAAAAACAGATACAGTTTGTTTTTGAGCTCCTGAATTTTGTATCCTAAAAGATATACCACCTACAATGGAAATAACTGAGTTGCTCTGGATATAGAAAGTCAAGATTGTGTCTTAGTGCTATTATTTTCCTCCATGGCATAGGAGACAATGTGGATAGTCCTGATGTGGAATTAAGCAATGAATAATGATGCTTGCATTTTCCATATCAGGGAATCGAAAATTATTTCCTTCTTACTTTACCCATGACCTGCATCGGATAAGATGCTTTTGTTATAGCTTTCCATTTTAGTCAGATTTGCTGACAATAATGTTGATAATTTGCCTAGCTACTCTTAAATTTGCCATTTTCCTCATTGGAGCACCTATTCGCCAAAGGCTGTTAGCGTAATAATTAGTGGCCCGTTCTTGACCCTGATGTGGCCATTCATTTATCTTTTAGAATAGTTTAAATGTTTTGAGATAAATGGTTTTCTTTTCCTTTTCTGACATCTGATCTTTATCTTTCTTCCAAGGAATTGCCTTTCCAAAAAGACAAATCACGCTAACATACATCAGAAGAATAGCACTTTTTGGTTGTTATTGTTTTGCTTTCTTTTATTTTGGACATCAGGTGCTTGCAGACAGTTGGGTTACTTGTACTCCTGAATTCAGGGCTTGCTATCATGCCCCTCTCATTTTATTTTATTTCTTTTATCACTGACTACCACTTCCATTCCCTCTTTCCCCCATAGGCTCTAAATGGATTCAATATAAGTCTTCAAATATGCATGCATCCTCTATCTGTGTGTGTTTAATTCAACTCAGTGATAAAGTGCCTTAGATCTCATTCTGTTTCTTACTGTTTCGGTCAACATTGTTTTCTATCTATCCATGGTGCAATATGCACAGTTAGGAAAACAGAAAACAAACTAGGCATTTCAGCAGAGAGAATTTAATACAGAAAATTGGTTATACAGATGTTAGAGGCCTGAGAGAAAAACAAAAAGAGGATATAGGAAACCAAAAATAATATTGACAGTAAGCAGGTAACACCCATACAGCTGGGGAAGCAGAGGAAAAACTAGAAATTAGCGAATCCTAGAAGCTCAGAGAAGATGCACGGAGCTTGGATTCAGACCTCTTGGGGTGGAGGGCCTCAAACATAGAGTAAGACTCCAGGAGCCCGAGAAGAGAACAGCTGCCGGGGTGCAAGCGCTAAGCAGAGATTCTGGACACTTAACGGTGCTGAGGTGACAGTGGAGTTCAGGCCCAGCCAGAGGGACTTTGAGGAATATCCTGACCCTTTAGTTGAGATCCTTTTGTAAAACGCCATGTCCTGGAAGTGGGGGCAAAACTGAAAAAACCTACCCTAAAGCCTAACACGAAGCCTCAACAGAATCAAAGCAATGTGCTGGTGATTTAACTGCTGCCAAAACAAAACTCAACACTTTTTAGAGGATCATAGCATAATCCAAAGCTTCTACAGTCTATGTCAATAATATTTGCAGTACAATTTTAAAAAACTTCTAGATATGCAAAGAAGAAAAACGTGTCTGATAAGAAATAAAGCGGTCAATGAAGCAGACCCAGGAACAATCTATATATCAGGTCTTAAAATAACTGTGATTAATAGCTTTTAAATACATTAGACTCCTAGTTCCAGCTCTGACGTGTGAAGAGCATAAAAGGTGTCATTCCTGTTCTTACAATAAAGGGGGAAAAAAGCTGAAAAAATGGAAAATCGATGACTGTTCTTGGACTCATTAGACAACTGAGTCGACAGAGAAAACCACCATCCTGAAATCTAAAGAGACATTTGAATACAAACACACACACAGACACACACACACACACATGCACACACACACAACTAAGTTTATGTTTACCTGGAGCAGAAGCCACTGAGCCACTGGAGCTATAAACTGGTAGTAACACACAAGTAGTAATTTTGACAAACTGTTGAGAGCTGAGTGTAGATTAGCATAAGAGTGAAAAATTCCTGGGGGCTACAGTCTGAGACATAACCTTTCATAGATTTTACTTCCTCAAACCCAACTGAGTTCTTATGGTCAACAGTCAAGAAAGATCCCCTTGTGGCTCTAGTAGGAGAAGGGGAATTATAACCATTTATAACCATATGCCCAGATCCTTGCCTAGCATTACTGTCTCACCTACTCAGGAGAGGAGAGTGATGGCTAAGTAATACTCGTGAAGGACATTGTCCAGGAACACAGGCCTACTATGAAAATGAAATTTAATTATAATATTATAGATAACTTCCCCTCCCCTACACCTTACCACCATATCAACAGCCTCCAGTATAATAACAATGAATTATATCTGAAAGAACTGCAATGTGCAGATTCTATTTAAGAAGGCATTCTGGCCGGTTATGGTGGCTCACACCTGTAATCCCAGCACTTTGTGAGGCTGAGGCGGTCAGATCACTTTAGCCCAGGAGTTCAAGACCAGCCTGGGCAATATAACGAAACCCCATCTCCATTAAAAGTACAAAAATTGGGCAGTCATGGTGGCATATGCCTGTAGTCCCAGCTAGTGGGGAGGCTGAGGTGGTAAGATCCCTTGAGCCCAGGAGGTTGAGGCTGCAGTGAGCTGAGATTGCACCACTGCACTCCAGCCTTGGTGACAGAGCGAGATGCTGTCAAAAAAAAAAGAGGGAGTTCTTAGAGAAGCCCAAAGACCACAGAGGAGAAATCATGGACACTGGAGTAATTTGAAGCCTCTGGCACCTACAGCTACAGAAGCATTAAATACAACCCAACTATTAGCCAGATCAACATAAAACTTCACAATAAAGACCTAGTTAACCTCAATTCTTATTATCCAACCTAACATAGCTAACTTTAAACAAAAAATTACAAGACATGTCAAAAGAAAGAAAAAAAACACAGTCTGAAAAGACAAAACAAGCACCAGAACCAGACTCAGATATGACACAGACTCTGGAATTACCATATAGGGAATTTTAAATAACAATGATTAATATGTCAAGGGCTCTAATGAAAAAAGTAGACAACATGAAAAGCAGATGTAAGCAGAGATGTAATTTAATGTAGGCAGAGAGAGAGAGAAACTCTAAGAAAGAAACAAAAAAGAAATGCTAGCAAAAAAAAAAAAAAAGCACTGTAACAGAAATGAAGAATGACCTTGATGGGCTCACTAGTACACTGGAGATGAATAAGGAACAACCAGTGAGTTTGAAGACAGGTCAACAAAAACTTCCCAAACTGAAATGCAAAGAGAAAAAAGAATAGGAAAATAAAAAAAAAAAAAAACAGAATAGGACATCCAAAAACATGGGATAATTTCAAAAGGTGAAATATATGCATAATTGAATAACAGAAGAAAAAAGAGAGAATGGAGCAGAAGAAATATTTGAAATAATCATAGTCAAGAACTTTCCAAAATGAACGATAGACACCAAACCACAGATCCAGGAAGTTCAGAGAACATCAAGCAGTACCCAAAAAGTCTACATCTAGGCATCGCATACTCAAACTGCCAAAAACCAAACACTTGAAAACAGCCAGGGGAAGACAAATAAATTTTTAATGGGCAGAACAAATAAAAACATGGAGTATTTTAAAACATAATTTAAATCTATAAAAAAAATCAAATGATAAACTGCAAAATATGAAATCTGAAATTTAAAATCCTTTGGATGCCGCTTAACAGCCAACTAAACTCAGCAGAAGACAGCATGAGTAAACTTCAAGCAGATCAATAGACAGTATTGAAACAAGAGCAGAGATGAAAAATAATGAAAATAGAACAGAGCAGAAGAGAAATGTGAGACACAGTCAGAAGATCTCCAAAGGGTAGGAGAGAATTTGATAAAGCCAGTACTTAAAGAAATCCTGGCTGAGAATAATCCAAAACTGATTAACTACATCAATCTAGAGAGTCAAGAAGTTCGAAGAACACTAAGCAGGAAAAATAAAAACAGACCTACACCTATGCACATTATAATCAAAGTGGAGAAAAACAAAGTTAGAGAGAAAATCGTAAAAGTAGACTGGGCGTGGTGGCTCACGCCTATAATCCCAGCACTTTGGGAGGCTGAGGCAGGTGGATCACCTGAGGTCAGGAGTTCAAGAGCAGCCTGGCCAACATGGCGAAACCCTGTCTCTACTGAAAACACAAAAATTAGCTAGGCATGGTGGTGTGCTCCTGTAATCCCAGCTACTCTGGAGGCTGAGACAGGAGAATTGCTTGAACCGGGGAGGCAGGGGTTGCAGTGAGCCAAGATCGCACCATTACACTCCAGCATGGGTCACAGAGTGAGACTCTGTTAAAAATTACATGTTATCTTCAGTGGGAAAATGCAAATTACAGTTAACTTCTCAATAGAAACAATGGAAGCCAGAAGACAATGAAGAGACACCTTAATGTTTAGAAACAGTCAACCTATACAGTGAAAACTTCTTTCAAAAATGAAGGCAGGCTCAACGCCTGTAATCCTAGCACTTTGGGAGGCGAAGGCTGGTGGATGGCTTGAGCCCAGGAGCTTGAGAGCAGCCTGGCCAACATAGTGAAACCCCATTTCTACAAAAAACACAAAAATTAGCCAGGCATGGCAGCACACACCTGTAGTCCCAGCTATTCAGGAGGCTGAGGTGGGAGAATCACATGAGCCTGGAAGGTCGAGGTTGCAGTGATTCCAGACTGTGCCACTGCATTCCAGCCTGAGCGTTGAAGTGAGACCCTATCTCAGTAAAAGAAGGAGAGAAGAAAGAAGAGGAGGAGGAGGAGGAGGAGGAAAGAGGAAAGAAGAGGAAGGAGAAGAAGAAGAAAGTGGCAAAGTAAATAAGTTGTCAGACATTCTCAGACAAACAAAGGCTTAAAGAGCTCTTCACCATTGTGCTTACTCTACAAGGAATACTAAATTCTTCAGGCTAAAAGATCATGTTCCTAGATGGAAACATGGAAATGCAAGAGGCAGTACATGCCAGAAAAGGAAAGTATGTGGGTAAATCTAAAATTATTGATCATTTAGAGAAACAATAATAGCAATGTCATGTGAGCTGTGTAACAGAAGTCAAATCAATGACAACAATAGCAAACAAGGTGAGGTCGAAGGCAAATGGAATTAAACTTTTGTAAATTTTCTGCATTGTTCAGTATGCAGGAAAAGCACTAATTACTAATGTACACAAACTGTAATAAAGATATGTTTTGTAATTTATTTTGCACCCACTAACAAAATGACACTAAAAGATACAATAAAAAGGTTAATGGAGGAGATAAATTGAATAACACAATCTTGATTAATACAAACGGCAGCAAAATAGGCATAAAGGAATACAAAAGAGATGAGATAGAAAACTAAGAGCAAGATAATAGACCTAAAAGTATCACTTTGGCTTCTGAGTGGAATACAGGCTGTAGATGGCAAGAAAGGAAGCAAGGAGACTAGTTAGAAGACTTTAAAAATAACACAGAATAGATAATGGAAGTTGGATCAGGTTGGCACTTCAGAGGTTGTGCAAAGTGGCCAGATTCTGAGTGTATTTTGAAGGTAGAATTAATAGGACATGCTATAAATTGGATGAGGGATATGAGAAAAAGAGAGGTGCTGAAGATAACTCCAAAGTTTTCTACTTGAATAACTAAAAAGATAGAATGTGAATCTGAAAGAAATTTAACAGAATGGTCAAGAATAGAATCTATCCATGAGTGTGAACCAAATGGTACTATTATGCTGTGGGCTATTATTTTGAAAGAACTCAAAGCTTTGTAAAACACAAAAACATATCAAAGACATTTGAAATTGATATAATTTTTTAACATTTTATAATATTAATAAATAAACCAAACTACAAAAAATAAAAATAAAAAAAGGAATTTCCAGCATTCCCTATTCCCAAGACTCAACAAGAGCTGACTTGCTCAATCCAATGGCAAATACTCAATGCAATGGATTTATTAAGCACCTACAGACGTGTTTCCAGAGTTACTTACCTCATTGGCATTAACTGCAAAGATAAAACATCCAACCAATTGTTCTTTTGGTGGACATTTAAGTGCCTGTTAGGTACCAAGCACTAATCATAGGCATTTGAAACCCGAAATGAATAGAAAAACACAGTTCCTGCTTTCTAGGTACTCCTGGATAAACTCCATATAAACTGGCCTGCAGCCAGGAGTGGTGGCTCACACCTGTAATCCCAGTATTGTGGGAGGCCGAGGTGGGCGGATCACCTGAGGTCAGGAGCTTGAGACCAGCCTGGCTAACATGGTGAAACCCCATCTCTACTAAAAATACAAAAATTAGCGGGGCGTGATGGTGAGCGCCTGTAATCCCAGCTACTCAGGAGGCTGAGGCAGAAGAATCACTTGGACCCAGGAGGCAGAGTTGCAGTGAGCTGAGAACACATCACTGCACTGTAGTCTGGAAGACAGAGCAAGACTCCAACTCAAATAAATAAATAAATAAACAGACCTGCTCATGTCACAAGGGGGAAGACAAGAGAGAATATTTAACTTTCCAAAGACAGGAAAGGAAAATCAGGATAGCAGAGTGGACAAGAGCACAGCTTTGATGCCCAGACAAACCTGGACCATTTTTCTCACATGTCACATGGTAATAATATCTATCTCACAGGTGTGTTATAGAATTTAAAACTACATACACTTACACACATTTACAGACATATAATTGTATCACAGCACCAGGCACATAATATACATTAAATAAATTATCATTATTATTATGGTGTGTGAGTTATCTGTTTATTGGCTCTCAGGTCCAAATCAACTCTTCTTCACCCTGCTTTGTGAGACTCTGCAAACGTTTCTCCTGTCTTTTAAGCTTCACCAAAAGACAGCACTGGAGTGACCTTAAAAGGCAAAGATAACAGGAAGACACCTCAGTTTCAGGTTCTTGTCTTCTGATGTTTTTATTATTACTATTATTATTATTATTATTCAGCATGGGAGTCCAGTGGCCTCATGTTCAGTTCCAGCTCTGCCCTCAGGCCACTCCCTCCACCAGCAGCCACATCCACCAGCAATGGCAGGCCACATCTACAGACCAGTTCTGCTCAGCTCACACCCTCCAACAAGAGCGGACTACTTCTAGGGACTACCGCCGCCTGCACCCTGGCAAGTTTCTTCTCCATCTGAAGGCTTGGAAGCCATGCTGTCTTCCAAGAAGTTTGCATCTCAGCCTTCGTTGAGGCAGGGAGACCCTTCTGGTCCTAAGTTTCTTTATTGTTTACTCTACCTCAGCCTACAAGTTATAGCTTCTTAAAGTCCTCTTTGGTCCCTCTGAGTAGTTAAGCACTTTCCTCTAGTAAACAAGCTTTTACTTATTAAATTTGTCCCGTTCAAATAATGGGTGTGGTTTCTGTCTCCTTGCTGAACACAGACTGATACATAAGGTTTACCAAAGAGAATGAAACTTGGTATGAATGAATAGCAGGTGGAAAGGTATGCAGACAAGAAAAAGGCTGTCAGGAAATTGCAAGTAGGTAGTTCAATAGAACTGGAGAGTGGGCTGTGGGTGGGACAGGGCTGATGAAGACAGATCTGATTCTGAAGGAATTTTTTTAAGTTATGAATTCTGCTTTCATTCTGTAAACAGGGATCCATGGTGGATTTCAAGCAAGATTCATGACAGATTCGCATTTTAGAAAAATCTCCCTGGTGGCAGTGTAAGAATAACAGGATGAGTATAAAACTTAGAGGTAGGCAGAGCAGTAAAAGAATACTGACTGACATTTCTAGAACTCACGAACACCTCCAATTGCCTCTATTCCCAGGACACAGGAACATTACACTTCCCAGCTTGTTAATTTTATGCATGGCCCCCTAATTTCCTTTGGCTGCTGAATTATGAAGAAACTGATGTGAATTACTTATGAGTCAAAGCGGTTAAGAACCGATGCTTAATAACCCATGCTCCCTTCTTCTGCTGATACAAACCCTGAAGCCTCATATTGAGAAGACAGAGTTAGGAGACAGTGGACTCCCCACCAACCTGGGCCCTGAATGACACAATATGACAATACACAGCCCCTTGCTGTCTTGGTTTAAAGAGAACAAGGGGAGACAACCCACTGGGATTTTAGGCCACTTAGATTTGGGACTACATGTTCCTGCAGCATGAACTTGTCTATCCTGACTCCATGCAGAGACTTTCTTCTCTCTCTTTTCAGCCAGAATGATAGTTAAACATGGAGTTTGTGACATAGATGACAAACTCTTGGATGAATACACTGAAGTGTCCCTGAGGTTAATACAGAGTTCTGTGTCTCTCAGTCTGGAAACCAGTCTTGAAAGAGTAAACACCAACTGCCTGGCACTTCACAGCCTCGGTTCAACCATGGTTGTCATCATTTGCCATCACATCAATTCACACAAAGATCAAATACTGGTGATCCACAACAGCTTAAAATCATCCTTTATATGTATACATATACATATGTATGTTTTTTCTATACATTATTGTTATTAGGAGAAGAATTTTACAGACAGCTTTAACTTCAAGAGAGCAAAAAAATTATCCAAGCTGAGTATTGTCAAAAGAATTTCCCCCATAGCTCTCAAACACTGTCCTCAGATCACTGCTATTCAAATTGTGGTCTCTGTCCAGTAATAAATACAGATCCATGACAAGATAAGTAAAGAAATTGAGCTGACTTGGTGGCCGGGCACGGTAGCTCACACTTACAATCCCAGCACTTTGGGAGGCCGAGGCAGGGGGATCACTTGAGGCCAGGAGTTCAAAACCAGCCTGGTCAACATGGGGAAACCCTGTCTCTACTAAAAATACAAAAATTAGCCAGGTGTGGTGGCTCAGGAGGCTGAGGCAGGAGAATCACTTGAACCCGGGAGAAGGAGGTTACAGTGATGCAGTGAGCAGAGGTCATGCCATTACACTCCAGCCTAGGCGACAAGCGCAAAACTCTGTCACCAAAAAAAAAATAAAAAACTATTGGCCATCATCTCTTCAAACTGTTTATGTTGTCCCACAGCTTTGGTGCCCTATTTTTTTGTTTTGTTTTGTTTTCACTCTTTTCTTTGTGTCTCAGTTTAGGTTATTTGTTTATTTATTGTTTTGAGACAGGGTCTCACTCGGTCACAGTTTAGGTAATTTCAATCAACTTTCACGTTCACTGCTTTGTTCTTCAGTTGTGTTTGACAGAGCAGGAGCACCATCATCTCAGACAAACACCGTCACTTTAAATCCCAGCTCCCTTTCTAGCCTCATGCATTTCAAGGAAATCATTTCTCTTCTAACTACAATCAGCCAGAAAGAGCAAACAGTAAAACACAGATAACACAGCCCCGGCACAGAGGAAAGTAGGGGAAAGTCTCTTGGGTAACTGCCAAACTTCACTCTCATACAATAGGCCCAGTAAAACAGTGGGCCTTAATAAGCACATTCCTTTCCCTTCGGGTGCACTAAGATAGGGAAGCTAAATGCAAACTCAGGGGGTATGCCTGCAGCTGCAAAAAAAAAAAAAAAAAAAAAAAAGTGTGGAAACAAACACACAACTCTCCCTCCCAAATAAACACAACAAAAAAACACAAAAGTGTCCAAGCCTCCAACAAACTCTCTTACCCTAAATCCTTAAACACTCTTAGTCTGTAAAAAAATGTGCCTCTACCCTAACTCAGCCAAAAGCCCCTCTCAGGTTCGTTTTCTCTAAAATAAACCTGTCCTTAACTGCCAAGCCACCTTTTGTGTTTCTTTCCTCTTTCTTTAATTCTTACAGGGTTGAGTCTACTGATAGTCCTGTCAAATGCATACTTCATCTCTGCTACCATCACTTTTTTTTCTTCTGGCATTCCCATTAGACTCTTCCTTACAGCTTCCATCTCTCTGTTGACATTCCCCATCTAGTCATGCATGTGGTCCACCTGAGTCTGTTTCTGTTGATTGATTTTTCCCCTGACAGTGGGTTGTTTTCAGTTGCTCTTGTGTGTCCTGTGATCTTTGATTGAATGTTTGACATGTGTAAGACAGTAGAGACTGAAGCAAGAAGTATTTATGCCCGGAAATGGGCATGCCTTTCCTTCTACTACCTGCTGGTATGAGGGGTTGAGTTGATCTAGTGATGAGTTCAACTGGGTCTGGGTTTTGCTGTTGCCATTTTAGTTCAATGCACCACTGGCTTCAAATCCCCCTAGTGCTACTGCGTCCCTGGGTAAGGGCTGGGCTCACAATATTCATGCTCCACCCTCAGATTTACACCTTCCCCGTGTGCCCATCCACATTTTTTGGCTGTCCCTTGCTGTAGACTGCTATTACTTGTTACTTGGTGCTTGTTGACCTGGTGTGGGGTCAGGGCCACTGTCTGTCGTTTTGTTCCAGACTCAGTGTGAGGCAGGCCCAGTGTTCCAGGGCCCAGAGAATGAGGCTTTTTTATCCATCCTTTCTTCCCCAGGACAAGGGGCACTCTAATGGACTGGGACAATTTCCTGCCTGCAATTGCCATGAGCATTTTTCTTTTCCTTCCCAATATGAACTCCAAATATCTGAGACAGGTCTCAGTTAATTTAGAAAGTTTATTTTGCCAAGGTTGCAGACAAGCACCCATGACACAGCCTCAGGAGGTTCTGATGACAGGTGCCCAAGGTGGTAGGGACACCCCTTGGTTTTACACATTTTAGGGAGACTTGAGACATCAGTCAATATGTGTAAGAGGTACATTGGTTCAGTCTGGAAAGGTGGGTCAATTCAAGGTGAAGATGGGACAACTCGAAGCAGGGAGGGGCCTTCCAGGTCATAGGTATATAAGAGACAAATGGTTGCATTCTTTTGAGTTTATGGTTAGCCTCTCCAAAGAAGGCAATCAGATATGCATTCATGTCAGTGAGCAGAGGGGTGACTTTGAACAGAATGGGAGGCAGGTTTGCCCTAAGCAGTTCCCAGCTTGACTTTTCCTTTTAGCTTAGTGATTCTGGGGCACCAAGATTTATTTTCCTTTCACACCACCAACCTCAGTGGGATTTTCCTGCAGCCTGAGGTCAGCAGGGTTTTCTGCCCTTTCCCCAAAAGGTATGGCTTTTGTTTGTTCCGGAAGAAGAGTCTGGAAGAGCTTTGTGCATTTCCTGCAGTGGCAGCTGCTCCCCTGCCCCAAGCTGGCACTGTTGTGGGAGGCTCTATCTGGTCTCCCACTCTGTGCCCAATACATTCATGTGTGAGTGGGGCTCAGTGGCCTTCTATAGAGAAGCACCTGCAAGAGAGTGTGAACTCTGCTTGTCCAAAGATCCCAGGAGGTCCACACTTTCATGCTGACTCAAACACAGCCTTCAGTGATTCTTTAAAGGCATCGACTGAGCCAGTCTTCCCCACCTGTGTGGCAGGGCTGTCTCCTTCTCACGCTTGGCCACAGACAGCCATGTTCACACCTCCTCTTCTCAGAGGCTCCTGCCTTCCTTCAACCTCAGGCTGAATGTTTGCCCTGTGACTTCAGCTTCTGATGGGTTCAGGGAAAGGTATGATCTTGTAGATTATCTGTTGTTTTACTGTTACCAGAGGAGTGAGACCCATTCTGATTTTCTACTTCCTAGTCGGCAACTGGAAGCCAGAGCAATGTTTGCAAACATCAGTCAGATCACCTCCTCATTGCTGAAAACCATGCTGAACACAGTCAGAATGAAATCTCCATTTGGTGCGGGGGGCTTTCAAGCTCCACACGGCCTGGCCCTGGTGTCCTCTCAACCTCAGCCCTCCTGACTCTCCAGGACCCACTGTCCCAGGCCATATGAAGCTCATTCTCAGAGAAGTCCTCCACTTCTCATTCCTGCCCTGAGGGCTTTGCCTGGCTTTTCCCTCTGCCAGGAATGCTATTTCCTCCATTCTCACTCAGGTCAGAGGGAATGTTCCTTATCCTGCAATCCTCAGTTCAAAGTTTACCCTCTCTGAGAGCCCTCCCCTCTTTCCAAGGTTTCCCCCTCCCAGATCCCATAAAAGTTCAAACATCTTACCATATTACATATGATTTTGGAAGCTTCTCAAAATTTATTTTTGGAATAAAGGAGATGGATGAAGATGAGATTTCTCCCAGCCATATTTATTTGGTCCTCAATATTTTGCTCAAATTACCCAGGTTGGTAGTTCTCAACCTTAGCTGAGACAACGGCATCCACCTGCCAAGGGTGAAGGCCCACGATAGGCTGTTCTGGGCACCTGGAGGCAGAAGGGGTCAGGGACCAGACGTCTTTATAGGTTCAGCCTCCTGGGATCATTCAGGGACCACAAAGATATCCAGTTTTCTGTAGGAAGCAAGACATCTGGTGACTGCTCTATTCTACTTCAATCCTCACTCACTCTCACCAGTGAAGCTGCCTTAGGAACAACACCAGCCAAGCAAAGAGGGTGTTTGGTTTGGGGAAAAAATGATCTATTGACTCCAAAGCAGCCTCTGTGCTAGTGGAGACCCCATCTCAAGAGGAGGGATGGCAGACTCCACAATTCCCAGCTGTCAATACAGGAGGGGGCTTCGTTTTCCTGGGTCACTGAAAAAGAACAAGAGAACTCTGGGGCCTTGGTCCTGGAGAAGACCCAGGGGGACCATCCCTCCCAGAAACACTCTGGAAAAAGGTTGTGGAGTTGTTTTTATCTGTAAATGTCCATATCTGATAGTTCAGGATTTCTTGCTTTTTAGGGTTTCACTAAAGTTTTAGGTTACTAAGAATAAAAATTCCAGTTAACACATACTTCTGTATACAAAATATGCTAGAAAGGGTTATGTTATTAGTGAAAAAAAGAATAATTTTGTCTAATTCAGAAGTTATCTGAAAGTTAGCTTAAATTACAGATTTGAAAAGGTTATTTATGAAACAATGTAGTAAGGAATAATTAAGTAGGGGAGAAAGATGAAAAAAATTTAAATAATAAAATATTCTTTAAAACCTGATAGAGAAATGGAGACATTTGGCTAATTAACATTTTCATTGTTAAAGCCAAGTCTTGATTAAAGTAAAATAAGAAGTATTGTAAAGAAATGAATCAGCAGTTTGGCAATTCTTTTTTAAATATAGTTAAGTATGAAGCTGGGTTTAGTGTGGAGCCAAATTTCACATACATGCTTGCATTGCTTCACTCTGTTTACTGTTTTGCTTGGATAGTGCTAGAGTACTTACTGGTCATGTGCCTAAAGTGAATTTCTTAATTGCACAGAATTTATAATAATATTGATGAACTTAAGGATATTAAATTGTGTATCAGGAATAAAATATGTAATATGTGGGTTTTGGGGATCAGTAACACTGTAGCCTCCAAGGTATATTGAGTAGGAAAATTTAGGGTTGGTCTCCTGTTTTTTGTTTCTGCTTCTAGTTTTCATTCATTTGCTGTTTATTCTCCTCTAGCTTTGTGTGTATGTATATGTGTATGCATATATATAAAACCATGATTTTTTTTTTTTAGTTCCTAGTGGAAGGCTTTTACTTGGTTCTGTGAATACTTATTTTGTTTCCTATGCATTTCTAGCAAATCATTATTTGTTCCATTTATCTGGAATTTCTACACTGCCTTTGTTGGGCCACAGGAGTTAATGGAGCACACCAGCTTTCTATCCAAAACTAGTTTTTTGGATTCTAGGCTCCCTGATACTTTAAGTGTGTTGAGTATACTCTAATAAATAGAATTTGAGTCACATTTCTCTCTCTCTCTGCCTAATTTCTCCAAAATTTGTAAACTATTTGTGAATATTCCTAATTCATGGCAATGTGTTTGTTTGCATACAGTCAAGCGGGGTCAACTAGGGCCGGTCAGGGAGAGAGAACCCAGAAACGTGGCAAGCTGGCAAAAGGGTAAGAATTTCTTACCAGCCAGTCACTGGCCTCTTTCTCTCTGTACAAACTGGTTAAATAAATAGTAAAAGTCACTGTTTATCTCCTCTGTAAAGTTTTAATTGATACAAAAGAGCTTTAATTAATTGGTTTAATAATAATAAGAGCTTAAATCAAATATTTTGTCAAAAAAGTGAAAAATGTAATGCCTTTTATTTAGTTCATGTGACTTGTGTAATCTTTGGGAAATAAAGACAGTCTTAAAGATTATTGGTAAAATACAAATGTCTTCAAAATGTAAACATGTGGCCTAAGTTATGCTCAAATTTCAGGTTTGCTAAATGCTTTAAGGTCATAAACTGCTCCTTTAGCTTTTGAAAGTTGTTTAACTTGTCTGCTTTCCACCAGGTAAGGCCTGAGGACATGTGGAGGTGGCCGCACCCCTGGCTAATGCTGGAAATAGTCAAACCTTATCAGAACATAACTTACCAGGTTTTACATTAAAATTAAAATTGCTGAGAGTCACCATTATAACATGTAATTAAGACTACTAGAAACAGTTTTACATGCAAGGTGTGTAAGAACAGAAGAATTTTTTTTTGTAAAAGATTATAAAAGGTTTTCGCTTCTTTAAAATTTCTGAGTTATCATTTTGGCAAAATAAATAGTTTATGGTAATCTGGAATTCCAAAATCAAACTTCAGTTTTAAAATTTTCTTTCCTGATGCCTAGCTTTTTGAATTGATCAGAGGGCCCTTGAAAACATCTGGAAAAGAAGTAAACGAGATTATTTGACATGTTTAGGTATATGGGATTGCCAAAATGATGTTCAATCTTCTTTAGGTTATGTTTTTGTAAATAATACTAATATATATTCCAAAATTGTATGGGATTTCTAAAATTCTAATGTGTAAGTATATGCTATCAATTATAATTATGGTTATTATGTTAAGTTACTGTAAACCACAGAAATAACCAAATTTCCTTGTATAAAGCTACTAACCCAAGTAGAACAAAAAAAAATTAAATGCCAAGAAAAGTCAGATTCTCATGTTAAACCAGCTGATACTGAAATTGTTTAGATATACAATTTGAATAAACTTCACAGTCTAAGTCAAATTACCTTTGATAACTCATCAGTTGTCAGTGCTATGCACCTAATTTAGAAAAACTACTGGTATTCGAGAGGATATACATCTAATGTTAATAAGCATGGACTCATGGAGAACCAGGATGACCACCTTGTCCTTCTTGAGTCCTTAAAGTTTTTATTATTAAAAGTTCTGCATTCCATGACTCATCATGGAAAAGATAAAATAATCCAAAGTGAATACATTCATGTAGTAACTTACAAATTACTAAAATAGTTTATAACCAATGTTTGGCTCTATATTCATGGGAAAACAATTAAAGCTTCAGGTACATTTGGTCACCTGGTGGGCCATTTGAACATTTCGTAAAGGGATTTCACGCAACTGTTATTTTCAGTGCATGTTTTCTGATTGTATAAAAGCTTTCCTGGCCAGGCACGGTGGCTCATGCCTGTAATCCCAGCACTTTGGGAGGCTGAGGCAGGTGGATCGCCTGAGGTCAGGAGTTCGAGACCAGCCTGGCCAAAATGGCGAAATACTGCCTCTACTAAAAATACAAAAAGTTAGCCAGCCATAGTGGCGGGTGCCTGTAATCCCAGCTACTCAGAAGGATGAGGCAGGAGAATCACTTGAACCTAGGAGGCAGAGGTTGCAGTGAGCCGAGATCGTACCATTGCACTCCAGCCTGGGTGACACAGCAAGACTCTGTTTCCAAAAAAAGAAAAAAAAAGCTTTCCCATGCCAGAGGGCTGATGTTATCACAGCAGATTATTATGCTACAGTGTAGTTTCACCAGGTAAAGAAAACTTTTTATGGTTTGGATCTTCTGAGAACGTCAAAGAAAAACTGTCCTTGCCATCCACACTATTACAAAATTTCAGGACCTTGAACTTTGGGTTCATAATCTCACAACTGAGAAAGGTCCCTCATCACTCTTGGAACTCTACACCCATTGAAATCCTTAAGGTAAAACTAGCCAGGAAAGTTTCTCCCCAGAAGAAGATGGCATCTTGATGTGAACAGCTTTTTCCATGTTCACAGATTAAGACTTCTATTATCATGAAACTCTAATCTTTGAATATTTTTTCCTGCTTATGCTTCTATAAACAATAGAAGTGGTTAGGGGGTCAGTCTGTTATGTGCACTTGTGGGGTATACTTTTATTTGTGAAGAAGTTTACAGCCAGCCTTATACATGGATAAACTTATACTTTGATAGATAAAAGATGAAGACCCAATGTAGGTACAAAACTTTAATGGTACATACATTGCCTCGTAATCAGTTATGAACAAAACATTGGTTCATTCCTTTTAACCCACATCATGGGTTAAAAAGTACACTGCCAGGAGGTCTTCACTCTTCTAGAAGGGCATCATTTGTCAGGCCCTTTTTCCATGGTTTAAAGTAAAAAAAGCAATGATTAGAAATGTATCCCTCGTGATAGACTCTGTAGCAAATTATAAAGGTAAGGACACAGAAACTTTAAATTCTCTTGTGTAAGTTATGATAGAATTGGCAGAACAAGAAGTATCTGTGCCACTGCTGGCACTTGTGGCCTATGGAAAAATACATCAGGTGAAAATTATAGAAATTCAGTGGTAGGGGATTAACAAAGAGACTACTTGTTAAGTGAGTAGACTCTTTATCTAGCTCATTCTTTGCTCTATTTGATTTTAGGATGTTTGACTTATGGGGACCTTGGGTAAGGAGCAAACTGCAAACTCTTTGTTTTATCCTCCCAATAGTCATAAGAATAGTCTCCCTTGTGCACTGTATTGTCTCGAAGGTTTTAAATGCTTGCATGCAGCCGTCTCTAGAACATCACATGGTCTCCCTTCAACCAGAATGACAAGAGCTGAAAGAAATATGCAACCTTGAGGACACCGCAACCTATCAATGACGTGCTGAGACCAGAAACCCAAAATGATGGTAACTGAGAGTAGCGCGAAGGCCCTAAGTTTTGGTCACACTCTTACCTAAGTGAGAACCTGACCAAAAAGGGGGAATATTTTTAAACAAAATTCTGGGAGGCCATTGTTTTGTTCCTCCCACCCAGAGCACAACCGTCACCTGATCCATCTTCAGCACAGTTCCTGAAGCCTCCCGATCCATGTGGTCTATCCTGACCCCACAGGTGGGGCCTAGTGCATGAGCTTAGTCCAAAACAAGGCAAGAAGAATGGACACTGAGCTTTCCAGATGGAACCTCCCTTCTCCCAGCACCCAGGAGTTGAGATGGGCTCCTCCAACAGGAGGGAGCATCTGTGGCGCCGCATGGAGCAGCCTCTCCTAGCAGAGCCGCAGACAGCCAGGCAGGAAGCTGGTCAGTGGCAGGAGCTCTGCTGGGCGCCCTGCAGGGCAGACAGGAGCCCACCCTTGGCTCTCCGCCACAGGCCCCTGACACCTGCACCGCTGAGCACCACTTACTTGTTGTTATTGAGACTGTCCATGGGCTGCTGGGACTGTCCATTCATCCCGCTCTCTTTGCTATAACAAACAACAGCAGAATTCAGCATCATTTAAAATCATCAGACACAGAGACACAAGGCTCTCATGATACCAACACTTATCCGGGCCCGACCATGCAGACACTGCACTGGGGTGCACTTTATGTTTCAGGTAAATATCACCCCACGTTTTGTGAGGATACCGAGACAGAGCCCACCTGGGTCCCAGAGTCACCTGGCCTGGACCCTGGCCCTTCCAACTTGGGTCCTGAATGGGCCTGGTGATGGGAATTGGATCTGGGACAAATGTGACTTTGGTGTGTGACACAGAGATGGTGAAGGCACTCTTCCTCCCACATGTAAAGGGTTCATTTGAAAAGGGTAAGTCAAATCCATTCCACAACCTAGACAACTGCTTCCTCAAAAGGGGCAAAGATTGCTGCTCATTATTTCTCCACCAGCACCTCTCCTGGTGAGATGGGGGAGATGCGGGTGCTGGGAACAGGAAGTCCCACGCGTTATTGCCGTGTTTTCCCATGGCTGTGGTTGGCCGAAAACACAAGATCTTTGAGACCCTGACCTTAGCAACAGTACTGTCACCTCCCTCGGTATGTGACGTCGTGGTCAGGCTGACAACACAGAGCTCTGACTCTGGTGATCTTGTGTTATTCAAGAGGACATCTGTGTGCCACAAGATGGGTGGGACAGCCATGAGAAAGGACACCAGGAAGAGGCTGATAACTAACAAAAGGCAACATGCTTTTTACAGTGCTGGCACTGGGACGGTGGCCCTCTAAAAAATAACATCCTCCAAATCATAACATCCGCATCTCAACCCTCAGAACGTGAGACTGGGACCTCATTTGTGAAAACGGTATTTGCAGATGGAATCAAGGTAAGGATATCGAGATGAGACACTCCTGGAATGATCTGCCTAGGCCCCGAATCCAATGACCACTGTTTCTGACAGAGAAGCAGAGGGAAATTGGACACACACTCGGGGGAGCCGGCTGTGTGACCTGGAAGCCAGGGAAGGGACACGGCCACAGAAGGAACATATGGAAACACCAGCAGCTGGAGGCTGTGAGGAATGGAATCCCCCTAGACCCTTTGTAGGAAGTGGGGCCCTGCCAACCCCTTGATTTCAGATTCCCAACCTCTAGAACTGTGAGAAAATTAATTTCTGTGGTTCTAAGCTTCCAAGTTTTTGGTTGTTTGTCACAGTTCCATAGGAAACTCATATGTGTCTCACACATTAGTAAACAGCATGGTATTCTGGAGGCTTAAATTCCAAGGGCCCCACGATATTACATATTTGAAAAGGAAAATGCAATCTACAACTGCAAAAGCAACGATGTCTGTCTGTACTTCAACACCTGTTCCACCAATTAAAGCTCTGCCTTCTCGCTGTGATCCCACCTTGATGACTTTGCCAGTTTGAAAGTGGATTCAAAATTGTTAGAGAAACATTCAAAGCAAAAACAGTGTACCTGGAAAAAAAAACTCATTAAAATGTGTCTTATCTTAGGATTAGGATAAATAGGTTTTTGGAAGGTGGGGTTTATATTAATATCAACAGTCATCTTATCACAGGAGCTCCGAGCTGGGTTCCTGTCCTGATCACAGTCCCTCTGGACACAGAACAGGCCAACACCCCCGCCTACCTGGAGGCCATGAAAGGGGTCATGTCCAGCTCCAGGGCAAGGAACATGTACGTGGTGATTGTCCGCTGCAGCTTGGCTGAGTGTTCAAATCACTGCAGAAATAGGAAAAAGGCAGAGAGAAGAGGAAAGAAGACCAGAAATGTCACTGGAGGCTTCAGGGTCTTCCTCCGATAACATGTGCCTGTGTATCTCATTGTATTTTACTGAATTGCCTTTTAGCTACACATGGAATTACAGATTCAATAACACAATGGTAATCCATACAAGTCCTCATTTACAGGGTTCCAGTCAAGTCTTCAAATGATGGGATTGTTCCGTGTAACACCAAGGATACAAAAAGTAATCTCACAGCAAACACAGCAAAGCATAGACAACCAAACAAAGACCCATGACTCGTGGCAGAATAAATGAACAACTTGTTTCTTTCACCAGACAGAAGACAGTCTTTTGCCTAGATCGGGAGTCACGCATTCCAGCCAGTGAGCTAGGAATGGGTGCTTTCCACATTTAAAGAGTTGTAAAATGAAAGAAGAACATGCAACAGAGACTGTATGATCGCATGTGGCCCGTGGAGCCTGGCACCTTCACTATCTGGGCCTTTGGAGAAAGAGCTTGCCAACTCCTGTACTGGATCCTAATGCTGAGGGCCTTTGTTCTAAAGTAAAAGAACAACAGAAAACCTGAGGAGGGAGTAGCTGGAGGAATTTGGGTAGAAGTAATAAAAACACAACCACTCTCTCACAACCACTCCCCTCCCCTAGAAGAGTAGCTCACATCCTACTTTCACTGTGAGGCCACTGCTTTTGTTTACCACAGCACAGACAGAAGGACAATTCACTCACACCCTCTTGTTTCCTCTGTGTTCTTGCTGACTTGCCGCAATTATTAAAAATGTTGGCCAGGCGTGGTGGCTCACGCCTGTAATTCCAGCACTTTGGGAGGCCGAGGCAGGCAGGTCACCAGAAGTCAGGAGTTCAAGACCAGCCTGGCCAACATGGCAAACCCCGTCTCTAATAATACAAAAATTTGCCGGGTGTGGTGATGCACGTCTGCAATTCCAGCTACTCAGGAGGCTGAGGCAGAAAAATCGCTTGAACCCAGGAGGCAAAAGTTGCAGTGAGCCGGATTGTGCCACTGTACTCCAGCCTGGGTGACAGAGTGAGACTGTGTCTCAAAAAAAAAAAAAAAAAAAACAACTCTGCACACCAAACCAAGAGGCTGCAAGTTGTACTGTGGGCTAAAAACCGAGTCTGCCACTAGAGTTGGCTTTCTGGAAAGCCAACTATTTTGAGATAGGAACAGTCTACAATGGGCAGTTTCTTCATGGTGAGCTGATTCGTGAACTCCTGTTACTTATGGCAATCACTGTGCTTGATCTTGGCACTGCTACCCAAGTACTCTGGTCTGGTGAATCTACAAGGTGTTTTAAAAAGACAGAAGTGGTAAGGGAGATGTAAGAGACAGGAAAAAGAGAGGAAAGGGGTATTTTATCTCTTTCAATGGGTTGATTTTCCTACAAAAAACGCCCACATACAACTGTGAATGTTTACAATTTCACAATGAAAAAAAGAGAAAATGTTTTCCACCTTTGCTGCCTATCTCTTTAAAGAATATTTATCTTAAATATTTTGTTTCAAGAAAAGACCTGGGGAAGTGATAATTTTCTAAGTACCATATGACCCAGCAGTCAAATTTGAGCCAGAAAAATGAAAACTAATGTTCACACAAAAACTGTCCAGAAATGTGTACCACAGTGTTACTCATAATAATAATCACAAAACTGGAAACAACCTCATTTCTTCCCATGGATGAATAAAGAAATTGTGGAACATCTGTACCATGGAACACAAGTCAGCAGCGAAAAGGAAGGAACTACTGACCCCAGCCGCACCCTGGATGCATCCCCAGAGAGTTATGATGAGCAAGAAAAGCCAATCCCAAAGGGCTCCCTGTTGTATGATTCAGTTGACATGACATTCTGGAAATGTCAGGTTTATGGAAATGGAGAAGGAGTCCCCGGTGGCTGGGGTTACAGAGCGAGTGGTGAGGGAGGAGGCGATGAAGATGCTGGGTACTTACCGCATCTTCCCTCCCTGACTAGGTATCACCATGCCCTGAGTACAGAATGTGACACCACAGGATGCTCCCGGACTGTCCTCATCAGCTGGAGCCCCCGGGGGACAGCATGTCTTCCTGTCAGTTGCATCTAGAAGTGCCATGCCCACCCTCTCTATCGAATACACGTTTCATCCATATTTGTGTGTGTGGATCAGTGAAGAAGAAACTTAAGTAGTGGAACTTAATACATATGTGGAAAACATATTCTACATAACTTCACTCAACCAGGCAGTAGGGATAGCACATGGGGCCATCTGTATATAGGTCATAGTTCAAAGCATTGAATCATGACAGAGGAATAGAGACTGACCACTGAGTCTTCTGAGCAGAGGTTTAAGATTAGAGAGAAAAAGGCTACCCAGAAGGAACTCAAATTCATGGGACAAAATGTTAGAATATCCATGTAGGAAGATGCAAAGAAAGATAAAAGGAAAGATGCCAGGGAGGCCACAAGGACAAACAACTGCATGTAACCAAGGGCACATGGCCGGGTCACCTCGCTAAAGGGTCCTGATGATCATGTTTCTAAATAGAAGAACCTTACATTGCTTTTCAGACATTTCCAAGGGAATGATATCAGAAGCACAAGAGTCTTGGTTAGGTGACCATGGACCCCTACAGCAAGAGTGCTGGCCCCAGTCGAGCACTTACCTCACTGATTATGACTCTCCATGGCTCCATGTCCCCATAGATTGTAGGTGCTAGGACAACCCCTGATGCATTCTAGGTAACTGTTTACTAAATAGCACATTTTATAAATGTGTGCATCAACGTCACTTCAGTGTTCACTACTAAATGACCACCTAGTTCCTTAGCTACTCAAGGCAAAAAAAAAATTATTATTGTTTTTCACACAGTAAATTTTTTATTGGAGGAGGAGAACATCTAAAATCTACATTCTTAGAAAAATTTTAGTATGCAATACAATATTATGAATATTATAATCCTTGTGCTGCACATTACATTTCTAGGCTTATTCAATTGATCATAGTTGACATGACTACAACCATAAAGACTGTTGAGATTACAATGCTCTTTAAAAATAACCCTCTTCAAGAAAAAAATTGAAATGACACCCACAAAAAAGCTGATTGCGTTTTTATAATAAACAACTATGAAAGAAAGAAAATATGTTTTGAGAAGAATTTAAAGTACTGAACTTAGGTTAAATTATTTAGTACCAAAAAAGTATTAAAGTGTAATTTAACTCATTTGTAGTTTAAAGTCAGCAGAATATACATACTTTTAATTGTCATCCTACTAAGAAGATACATATACTGAAATCAACAAGGCTTTAAGTTTTTCAATTTTTAAAGATGCATATTTTAACGTTACTGAGACACTTTCCAACACATCTTCTAAGCAAGGCACCAGACTCCAAATTGTTTTTTCATGTAAAAAATATTCACTGGGCCGGGTGCATGACTCACGCCTGTAATCCCAGCACTTTGGGAGGCCAAAGCAGACGGATCACCTAAGGTCAGGAGTCTGAGACCAGCCTAGCCAATATGGCAAAACCCCGTCTCTACTAAAAATACAAAAAATTAGCCAGGCGTGGTGGCGAGCACTCGTAATCCCAACTACTTGGGAGGCTGAGGCAGGAGAATTGTTTGAACCGGGGAGGCGGAGGTTGCAGTGAGCCAAAATCACACCATTGTACTCCAGCCTGGGCAACAGAGACTCTGTTTCAAAAAGAAAAAAAAAATCATGTTCCTGGTCTCTTCATTCATTTTACTGGTCTCTATAACAGACTTAAAAGAAAGGTTATAGACTGTAATTCATGCTTTATGTTATTATCTACCTCCTACTTATTCTTTACCTGAAGGTGAAAGGTCTAACTGTGATTTGGAATTGTCATCAACCCACAGTATTCTAAGCATATATTATTTTCATTGCCAAATTTCATCTTCCCTGCTTGAAGGATTACTAGCAAAATGAGGTGGTGACAAGATCAACATGTGAGAAGTCAAAAGAAGGCAATCTGAGGCTACTGGCCCCCTGGCCATGTTATACCTAAGAAATTCGTCACTTGAGCATCCCTGGGTAGGAGGCTACTTTGTGTTGTTGAGATCACATCCTGGCTGAGATGGAGTGAGTTAAATCACAAAAGCTAAGAGTAACGAGTGTTGGTCAAACAAATAGACCCAATCCTGATATCCCTGAAAATTTCAGATGGAGAAGCATTTTCAAAGAAAACAATTGTTTTACAACGATCTGACAATGAATTTTTCTTGCCGGTACATTTTATTTGAAAAACGATAAAGATAAAAATAATTACATTTATCTGCCTTTTACACTCATCTGACCTAAAATAAAATTTCAAATCCCCTAGAACCTGGAGGCTATCACATGGCATATCCTGATCATTCAACCTGGAGTTGACACACTTTCTCCGGTGTCACTACCATCCATGTACATACATGGCTAGTGATGCATCTTCATCAGATGCCTCTGATTAAATCTATCATGCTCAGTTATTCCTCCCAGGAAGAATCAAGCCATGGGAAAATAGGACTAAGGTTGAGGATGAGAAAAAGGTGAAGTATAGAAAGTACTGGAAGACTGGGGACATGAAATGGGCTGGGGAGACAAGGAATTTAATGGGAGATCCTGAACACAGAGGAGCAGAAAAGGGGCAAAAGCTTACAATGAACTACCAGAAATTGGAGGGGAAATAAAGATGTCAAAGATAAAAGCCAGTTTCACCTAATACACAACTCTGTCTCCAGCAGGATCTATTCCTCTAGGCTTAGTGGGTGGTAACTACTGGAAGGTCGGCAGAGGTGCAGGAACTAAGAAATAAACCAAGACTACAAAATTACCACTGTGCCTACTTCAATACACCTTTCTTCCCCCACTCCAGGTAACACTCACATAGAAGGCACAGCACAAAATGAATGCCCACTGGTTGGTTAGTAGAAAGTTGTAAAGTAGGCAGAGAATAGCAAAGGCACCATCATACTGTTACCAAGCAAAGGAGGCTCGCTGCCCGAGGCACTAGAAGTCAATACTATAACACTGGGTTTTTGATAAAATAAAAACTTTTATTGCATGTCAACCAACAAAGAAATAGGAAGTCCAGCTCAAATCTGTCTCCCTGTGCTGGCTTTAGGACAATTATTTTATTAGAAATGGTTTTGAGTGTGGATTCTGGGATTAGCAGGTGCTTGGTGGAAGGAAAGAGGAAGTCTGGAAAGTCCTTGCGCATGTGCTCTTATTTCTTCATGCTACCTAAGGGTTCCACGTGCAAATTCAGTGAGGAGTTAGTATGAAACATGGCAGTAGAAATTCAGCTGTAAGGTCAGCAAGCTGGATCTGTGCAGACTCTAGTTGGCCTTATATGTTCCAGTGGATTTCAGCCAGTTTTATTAACCTACAAGCCCAGGCATTTCAGCATTTCAGCAATTTGTTTCTTTTATCTGCCATCCTGTAAACTCAAGAATTTCTATGACTGTTTTCTTTAACTCTTTGGCACACAGTTTCAACGCCCTTCTTCTCAGAGGTGGTCATTCTCACCCTCACCTTCTGGTTCCTGCAGGCTCATTTCTAGCCTCCCACACTGTATTAGTCTTTTCTCACAATGCTGTAAAGAACTGCCCAAGACTGGGTAATTTATAAACGAAGGAGGTTTAGTTGACTCACAATCTCACATGGCTGCGGAGGCCTCAGGAAACTTACAATCATGGCAGAAGGCCACGGAGAAGCAGTTACCTTCTCCACAAGGGGGCAGGAAGGAAAAGTGCTGGGAGAAGGGAGAAGAGCCTCTTATAAAACCATCAGATCTCGTGAGAATTCACTCGCTATTACGAGAACAGCATGGGGGAAACTGCCCCCATGATCCAATTACTTCCACCTGGTCTCTCCTTTGACAAGCGGGGATTATGGGTATTACAATTCAAGATGAGATTTGAGTGGGGACACAAAGCCTAACCATATCACACATATACACACAACCTAACCTCCTCACATCCCATTCCTTGATGGGGTGGCAGGTGGCGAGGGGGGGGTGACATCCCTTATTGTCAGCCATCACAGGAACTCATGACCCTGTAGGTGCAGATTCATGGCTCACATTTGTATCTTTTGGGGAAAACTGAGGTAATCAAGGTGGGGCTAGGCCCTGGGGACGAGGCAAGTAAAGGACTTTGCCATGTCCGCACCCACCAGGGAAGGAGCAGAGACTCTGTTAGGGCGCCATGCCAGGGGCTGCAGTTTCAGAATCCTGCAGACTCCACCCTCTATCTGGCCACACTGTCCCCAATTTTTGCGAGGTGACCTGGGGAGGGAGGACAGGTCGGATGCTCCGACCTCACCAGGGACTCCACTGGACCGGAGCTCTTCCTCCTCCGCCCAGTCCACATGAGAGAGCTCCCTGGCCGGCCCTGAGACAGCTCCAGACCTGGTAGCCCTGGAAAAAGAAACTGGTATCGCCATCGCCGCCGCCGCTAGAGGGCGCCTGGGGGCGGGGCGCGGGTGGGGCAAGGCGGGGTCCGACTGGAGGCAGGGCGGTGAGCCGAGAGGGGCGGGGCAAGGGACCGGGAGGCGGGGCCAGGGGTCGCAAGGCGGAAGAGCCCCTCTCGCCTCCGACCCGGCGCCTCGCACTCCGTTCACTCTCGGTTCCTCTTCGCATTCTTGCCAGTCCCGTAGCGCTGGGCTGGTTTCCTCCGAGGTCTCTAAGAGCCTCCTACTGCGCCCCGCTCGCCGCCCGGAAGCCCCCAGCCCCTCAAGGACGCATCACCTAATGCCGCGGTCACGGCCACCGTCACAAGCGCCCCCAGCCCCACCCCACCCCGGCCTGCCCGCCGTCCTTCTCCCGCCCCCGCCCCTGCCTGCCAGCTCCACCGGGCCGTAGGTGCGGACGACCTCAAAATTCCTCGGCCCGCGAAGGCCGCCAGCTGCGGGGAGGGGAGGGGAGGCGCGGTCCCGCAGCGCCCCCAGGCTCATGTCCCAGGTATGTCCAGACCCCCGAGGCACCGCTTGCAGGGCAGTGACAGCCCGTGAGGCTCGGCCTCGACCCCTGGCACCCTTGGTCCCAGCTACGCCGGCTCCTGGCCTTCCCCCAAGTCCGAGAGAGAGGTGGGATTCTCCCCGACGCAGTTGGAAACCGGGAATCCCCTTTAGGGTCCCGTTCGTGCTGCACTACTGACTCCACCATCTGCAAAGGGATTCTTGTCCAGAATCCCCGAAGGCTTTAGGACAGCGCTTATTTTGTTGAATGAAGAGTCTCTAATTTTCGGAAAGACCACAGGCTAAAAGTCAAGTGAGTTTTCTTGAATAGTTATAGTTAAATTTAAGGCAGGAATTGAATGTCAGTTGATGGCCACAAAGTAGCGGACTGGTACGAACCTACTGGATGATCATTCTGGTGACTACTTGGAGGCACCGTCCACTTTGTGGATTTGTTTCAGTTGAAATTTATTTCCATAGAACTTATTTAGGTCTCTATTTATTACTGATTTGACGGCTTTCAGTGCAGAGGGAAGCCTGTGACGTCTGTGCAGCGTCAGGTTGAACAATTTAGCAGTGTAAAATGTGTTTTCTGCCTGCCTTGACTCGACAAGCCAAATGTGCCCTCCTTTTCTTTTCCAGGTTGTGCCTTTTTAGCCAAGAAGCATGGAAGTCATTCACGGCAGGCCCTACTGTTGCAGGGAGCTTGAAGGAGCTGACATACTGTCCAACACCTTTTACTCTAATGAATTGCACAACCCCCTCCAGACGGTTACTCGCCCAACTGCCTCAGAGGACAGGTAAAACAAAAACTAGAAAAAGCAAACAAGAAAAAGCAGTTTTAATGTATTCGTGTATTTTATTATGTGAGGAAAAACATTTATTGTTCTGGGGCTCTTCTGTTTCTTGTTTGTTTGTTTGTTTGTTTGTTTTTGAGACGGTGTCTCGCTCTGTCGCCCAGGCTGGAGTGTAGTGGTGCGATCTCGGCTCACTGGGACCTCTGCCTCCCAGGTTCAGGTGATTCTCCTGCCTCACCCTCCAGAGTAGCTGGGATTACAGGCATGCACCACCATGCCCAGCTAATATTTTTGCATTTTTAGTAGAGACAGGGTTTCACTATGTTGGCCAGGCTGTTCTCAAACTCCTGACCTCAAATGATCCACCCACCTCGGCCTCCCAAAGTGCTGGGATTACAGGCGTGACCACTGCGCCGGGCCGGGGCTCTTCTGCTTATCATATAATAGGGAAGGCAAAACGTGGCAATTATCTGAACCTTCAAGTGTCTGTAAGGAACTCGAGAAGTAAGTGGCTGTCTACTATAAAAGCCACACATCAAATTCATCCACTACATTCTAAAATCTTAGAATGGTCCGTTCCTTCATTGGGAAATTAATATGTTGTAAGCAAAGACTTTTATAAATAGTACTGTATTGGTTCCCTAACATGCCCTTCTACCATCTGCCCAAAAATACTCCCAGAATTTGCTGCTTATACTTGTGTAAATTTTTGCTTCACCAAATTCCCTGTAACACATTAATTATACATTATGATTTAATTTATGAAAAGCAGTTTGGTGATTTCTCAAAGAACTCAAAACAGAATTACCATTTGACCCAGCAATCCCATTATTGGATTCTAAGTTGTTCTTATAAGTTGTTCTATCAAAGGAATATAAGTTGTTCTACCATAAAGACACATGCACAAGTATGTTCATCACAGCACTATTCACAATAGCAAAGACATGGAATCAGCATAAATGACCATCAGTGGTTGACTGGATAAAGAAAACATGGTACATATACACCATGGAATACTATGCAGCCATAAAAAAACGAGATCATGTCCTTTGCAGCAACGTGGATGGAGCTGGAGGCCATTATTCTAAAGCAAACTAACACGGGAACAGAAAACCAAATATCACCTATTCTGACTTATAAGTGGGAGCTAAACATTGAGTACACATGGAGACAAAGAAGGGAACCACAGACACCAAGGCCTACTTGAGGGTGGAGAGAGGGAGGAAGGTGAGGATCAGAAAACTACCTCTTGGGTACTATGCTTATCACCTGGGTGACAAAATAATTTGTACACTGAACCACTGCAACATGCAATTTACCTGTATAATGAACCTGCATATGTCCCCCTGAACCTAGAAAAAAAGTTTAAAAAAAAAAATTACAATGAAAATAATTGCACCTATCTAGTGATTACTGTGTGTCAGCACTCTACCAAATGCTTTGTATGTAGTAATTCTTTTAATCCTCATGACAACCCTATAAGTACTACTGTTATCTGCATTTTACATATGAAATAACAGATACACACAAGTAATTTGCCAAGATCTTAGTGTCAGCATTTCCTGTATTGTATTTACTTGAATCATTTTGAGAAAAGGAAAAGGAAAAAACACCTCAAAACACCTGGACAGTGAAAAAATAGCCTGAGTGGTTGTCTACTTGTTTTGTGTTTTTTGTTTTTTTGTTTTTTTTTTATTAGACGGAGTCTCACTCTGTTGCCAGGCTGGAGTGCAGTGGCACAATCTCGGCTTACTGCAACCTCCGCCTCCTGGGTTCAAGCAATTCTCCTGCCTCAGCCTCCTGAGTAGCTGGGACTACAGGCACACACCACCTCGCCCAGCTAATTCTTTTGTATTTTTAGTAGAAATGGGGTTTCACTATGTTGGCCAGGATGGTCTCGATCTCCTGACCTCGTGATCCATCCGCCTCAGCCTCCCAATCATTTAAGAATTCTCTAGGAAACCAGACGGGAAGTCACCCAGCCTCAGTTTAAACTCTTCCAAAAAGGATAGCACTTCCACACCAGGCAGTCCATTCCATTTTTGAATGCTCCTGATTGTTAGATCATTTTCTTTCTAATGTGAACAATTTTTCCCTTGTAATTTCTGCCTGCTGATTCTGGTTCTTCCCTCTGAAGCTATGCAGAATAGTCATTCATCATCCCATGCTAGCAGCCCTTCAAGATCTGAAGATTCTCTTGTCCCATGTGAGAATTCTGTTTGCCAGACTAAACACTGATTCTCACAGATTCAGCTCCTTTTTCTTCTTGCGCTTAGCCTTTCACCATCTCGATCAGACTTCCACAGATCTTCTCCGGTTTACAAACATGCTCTTTATACTAATAAAGAAAAAGAATGATTTTTCCGTAATTATAAAACTAACACACATTCCTCATAATGTAGAAATCATAGAAATTTGTAAGGAAAACAAATTCTTTATTTTTCCAACAGAAAAATTATGAAAATGAAGCACAGGAAAGAAGCCCTCTATATTTCCTTTATCCAGAGATAATAACCACTGTGTTAACATCTTAATATGTGTCCTCTCCAATTTTTTTAAATGTAAAGATCATATTCAACATTTTTTAAATCAATTGCTATTTTCACTTAATGAAAAGAAATATTCTTGTATTGGAGGAAAAGGAGCTCTTGTCACTTCTGGGTCAGTCCTTGCTGCCCCTACTCCTCTACCATTGACCTGATTCACAAGAGTGGTTTTCAGCCCTAAATTCCTGTTCAACTCCAAGGGTTATCACATTAGGCAGAGCTTCCCTTGAGTCAAATAAAACCCTTAGTGGATTGTGTGTGATCTGGGAATGGGCAGTTGTCCCTGGCTCAAAAACAGCAATGTGAGGTTTTATATTTGGCCTAAAGGAATCCAAGAATTTAGGGCTGCCATATCTGAATGCACCATCAAAAAGCACTGTCAAAGGCTTTTCACTGAAATGTTGATCCCCTCTACCTAAACGGTCCTATAGTTGGTTAGTGATCAGCTCCAAAACCCTTAACTGGCATGAAATTTAAGAGAAGCACGTTTTTTGTTAACTGACTATAAAATTCAACACGATATATGGCCAACTATAAACTACAAAAAGGTATTATTTGAAGCTCTATCTAGGTATAACCATGCTCCTGGCTCCTAATAACTACAACTTGCTTTCCCTTTTATTTCACGTGAATTCTTTCCTTTCACAATCACCAGATTAAGAAAACCAGGATGATCATGTGTTCTCAGAACCCCTCCTCTTAACCCCCTCTTAAAAAGCAGCCAGACAGCTTACAAAAGAGTGTCTTTCCTCTCAGTGTTAGTGATGGAACGGCTCTGGACGGTGATAACAGGATACTGGTGGTAACTCTGTTCTATCATTGCTGAGCCTCACTTCTTCAGACCAAGTGCAGGGTCCGTGGCTCCCAATTTGAATCACAAGGTATCTCAACAGCAAAATAAAACAATACAAAACAGAAAGCCCCTGGTTTTTCAGGATTACCTTCATAATGGTAAGGGTGAACGTGAGCCCTAGCATACGTTTGCACTCAGCAGCTTAATTTTCTAAACACAGATGTACTTAAAGGGACACCCTTTTTCAATATCATGATGTATCCAGGTACAACTTAGATCATGTAGGCCATACCTACAACCTAGATGCAGCCATCATGGCACTCACTTGGCAGTTTTAACAGTGACGCAAAACGATTTCCTCACATCAGCCTACTTTTTTTTTCTTTTCACAATAGGTGAGGTGAATACAAAAATTAGCCAGGTGTGGTGGCTCACACCTGTAGGTCCCAGCTACTTGGGAGGCTGAGGTGGGAGGATCACTTGAGCCTAGAGGCAGAGGTTGTAGTATGCCAAGATCACACCACAGCACTCCAGACTGGGCAACAGAGCGAGACTCTTTCTCAAAAATCAAAACAAAATAAAACAATACAAAAATAGGTGACACGGCCTAGCTCCCCTGTTACCCAGGACTGGTCTACAGACAGGGTACTTCAAAATCACCTGAGGAGCTTTCTAGAAAAACAGATTCCCAGGCTGCCTCTATATATGGACATTCTGACTCCCCAGGTCTGAGGGGGTGCAAGGGAATCTGCATTTTTTAGTTTTTCAGCTTACATTGAGAACTACTGGGCTAGCAGCACTGAAAATATAAGAAAACCAGGACTATGGATCTGGCTTACCTGATGACCAAGAGCAAGTTAGTTGCTACACTTTAATTACTTTACTCAAGTGGATTTTTTGGGACAATTATGCTAGCCACTATTTTATATAAACTTGCTTGATCTCCATTAAAAATATTAAGTATATAAACAGGTGGTAATTTTTTCTCATTTCTTCTGTTGAAAATTTAACTGGCAGGAACAGCTACTCAAAATCATCAAGATTCCTATCCTCTTTTTCATTCAGCTGACTTCTCCTTAACTTCTAGCAAGTTCTCTCAGCTCACAGGGCAAACAAACATATCCATTAAGGAAGTGCCTTGAGAATTGCTTAGGATTTCATTATATAATAGGATTTCATTATAGAATTTCATTATCAGTTCCCATTTTGTTTCTGGATTCACTTTGCTGTTGTCCGACTCTTAAAACATTTTTTTAAATAATAGTTATCTGCCAACTAAAAATGCGGGTCATGTTTATCTCGAGCTTTTCTCTAGTCACGCCTCCTAGTAGTTACTGGCTAAATTACTGAATTTGGGGTTTGATGCATAAAATCTTGTACAGTGACTTTAAAATGAAATACTGGCTCATCTATAGGGAATGTGTCCTTTTCAAAAACAAGTAAACAATTTTCTATCGCTAGAGATGGTAGCACCAATAATTTGATAATTATTCTCTTTGTTATAGAGATGTATTTTATTTACATTGAGAACTACTGGGCTAGCAGAAAGGGAGAGAGAGGGAGAGAGACATGGAGAGAGAGTGAGAGAGACAGTGAGAGAGAGGGGGAGGAAAAGAGGGAGAGAGAGAAAGGGAGACGGAGAGAGAGGGGGAAAGAGAAAGGTTTAAAATTTCATTAAAATTATTAAAACATAGCCCTCATTTGGAGTTGGCAGATAACTATCATTTTTTAAAAATGTTTAAGAATCAGAAAGCAATGAAGTGAATCCAGAAACAAATGGGAGCCTATAATGAAATCCTATCATGAAATCCTAAATTATTACATCCTAAAATGTCAATTTTTATTTTAATTTGGTTCCTTCTCTACAATTCTGTGAGTATTAAGGCTAAGGGGAGGGAGACATGATACCTTAAAGTAAGAGGGAAATATGACTTATTTATGCATTGTCTTTTATTTTAAATGATTTCCTGCAACTTTCCAGCTTTAGGTGGATGCCAGCCCAAATGATTGATTAGCATTTTCTACCGGCTCATCTTCTGGGGACGATGTAATATACGGGGGTCAGATGTTGAGAAATTGACTCATTTAGGTTTTGAATGTAACTTTTACAAACTTAGATATTAAAGCTTAGGTTGTCATTAATCAAATGCATTTAAATATTTTTCACTTGTCATGTCCCCCAAATCGTGTCTGTTGATCGTTGTCAGACAGCTAGGGAGGACGTAGAGGTCTGAGAGCTGAATGCCAGCATCCCTTCTGCAGCACCCCAAATCAGTGGGCCCAGGACTCTCCTTGCCTAGCCAGTGCGGGGTTAGCAAACTTTTTTTCTGTAAAGAGCCAGATGGTAAATATTGTAGGCTTTACGGTCTCTGTCCAACTATTCAACTCTGCCATTGTGGGGCAAAAGCAGCCATAGACCGTATGTATATAGTCCATAAATGAATGGTCATGGCTGTATTCCAATAGACTTTTGTTTACAAAAACGGGCAGGGAGTTGGATTTGGCCCATGGGCCATGCTTTGCCAACTCTCAATCTAGTGACTTCACAAGATAATACATTCCACTTATAGTCCTGAGTGTTGCTTCTTCATTCTATTCAACAATTATTACAGGTGGGGGAGGAGGGGTTATGTTAAGCCAAGCACTGTACTGGTAAAGAGAAAAAAGTAGCTCCACAGTCCATACCTCTTTCTCTTTCCCTCTCTCTCTCTTCCTGTCTCTCCCCTTCTCTCTCCCTATCTACCTACCTATCTCCCCTTCTCTTTCCCATTCTCTCCCCCTCTCTCTCCCTCCCTTTTTCTCCCACTTTCTTCCCCCTTCCTTCTCTCGCCCTCCTCCCCCAACCCTTCACCCCACCACCCCCTTCCTCTCCTCCATGTTTCTGACTGGATCCTACTGTTCTCAGGGTATAGTCCAGAGGATTTAGAAGGCCCCACAGGATACTGTCCTTGTTTTCCTCTCATGCTCCACCTCTCACCATGGCCCTTGTCTACATGCCCCAAGTTCTAGAATTCTATATCAACTCTTCTAATATAGTTCAAAATTCAACTCTATTTTCTCAGCCCCTAAGATCTGGGTAAGTTCTACTGAGATCTCAGATCTTTACTCCATGCCTTGTGGAATTCCTCCAAATTTATCCAAGTTCCCAGGACAAGGATAGGGATAGCATTTGAAAGTCTCATGGTCACTTCTGACTTTGGGTTCCTGGTTCCACTTAAAACAACACACTGACCCAGATGTGAAACTCAGTCATCCCTCATTTTTCTCTAAGGACCTTGTCCATGCAGAGCATTTGTGAGCCTGGTAAACTTCACTGAACTGTTGGGGATCAGGAAGGAGAGTCACACCATGCCATGCTACATGTAACCAAAACACCTTGTTAGCCATAACTTCCACATTCTTAAAAGGTCTTTAACCAGCTGTCGCCAAGGGTTTCTCCCTGGGTTTTCAACCAGTGCAGTCCCCAGTAGCCTCACCATCCTGCTGGCTCCTCTCATCTCCCTCTTCCCTTACTCCCCTTTCCTCTCCTCTCCCTCTTTCAAGAGCAAACAAACAAGTTTCTCCCACTGCAGAGCAGTTTAATCAGTCTGAGCTTGCTTGAGCTCCTACCACCACCCATACTTTCAGAGTCTCTGTGTCTGCAAGGGGCTTAACAGAATATTTTACCAAACAAAAGTAATTCTTCCCTAAGAGAGATTCTACACTGAAGTCAACACTGTCAGGAATTTTCCAGTCTATTAAACTCTAGGCCTTTTTACCTGCTATTCCCTTGCATGCCACAGTATTTCTTCTGTTTCCTCTAGATAACTCCTACTCATCCTTTAGAACACATCTTGTGATTTCCCGCAAGAATCCTTCCTACTGAAAGGATTCCTGTTTGTCCTGCAAAGTGCCTTATAGGTATATACCATAATACCAATCCAGGACCACTTAAATCCAAGCTTAAGTTTAGGGTAGATGCAAACTGGGGCCACAGGGGAACTGGTTAACTTCTGACTCACCTTGAACATGAGAGGGTAAGCATTTTAAGGTCCCAGCTTCTTGTGTAGATGGTCTCCTTTAGTTTCCTCACTTGGCTGATTTCCATATCCCTCACCTTAAAACAAAAATGTAAATTTGCCAGGATCAGCCCTGCCCTAAGGGCAGAAGTGGCTTCCCTGCTTGCTTACTTCACTGGGTTCCTATTTACCCTCTATGTAGCACTTATCCCTTTCTGTCTTGTCAAAAAGCTAGTTGTTTTTAAGATTTTTTTTTCTCCTCCCAGTATTTTTAGTTGTTTTCAGTGGGAAGTTTGGTCCAAATAACCTAGGCCGCCATTACTGGAAACTGAAAGTCATTAAATCCTTCCTAATTAGGAAGCAGAACTTTTGCCAGATGCATTTGCAGGTGTTTTTGTAAGGCTGTGTTCCTAACCAGAAGATTTGATTCCTCTATCACAGAAAGCAGTATAGGAAACAAATCCATCTCTTTGGCCTTACTCATTTATTCAATAGTATTATTTGAGTGCTTCCTGTGTGCCAGGCACTGGGGTAAAGGTTACAACAGTGAGCCAGTAGAATCCCTGCCCTTCACTCCTTTGTTAAGAAAAAGCAGAGTAAATCATCTGAGCTACCAGTTTCAAGATTAGATAAGCCCTACCAACCAATTTAGGAAACCGCCAGTCCACTGCATAGTACTGTTGTAAGGGGTGGGACTTGGAGACATGATTAACTTACAAGGTAACAATTGAATAGAATAGTGCTTCTAAAACTTTAGCATGCACAAGAATCACCTGGAGGGCTTCTTAAAACATTACTGCACCCCATCCCCAGAGATTCTGATTCTTAGGTTTTGAGATGGATCCTGAGCATTTGCATTTCTAAGAAGCTCTAAGGAGATGCTTATGCAACTAGTCTAGGGACCACTCTTTGAGAACCATTGTTATAGTAGCCCTAGATAAAACTTATGGGTAAGTAGCTCCTTTACAAGATTAGGAATATTCCTTTACAATACTCTCCATTTCTGAAAATCCAAAGATAATCTTTAGCCAAGACCATTTAATGAGGAAGAAGGATTTTCAACAAATAGAGCTAGAACAACTGGATATCCACATGCAAAAGAATAGATGCATGAGATCCCTTATCTCATATTGTATCCAAAATTAACTTATCCTGAATCAAAGACCTAAGCGTAAGGGCTAAACTGTAAGATACTTAGAAGAAAACATAGCGATAAATCTTTATGGCCTTGGATTTGTAACTGTGTTCTTAGATATGACTCCAAAAGCACAAGCAATAAAAGGAAAAACAGATCAAGTGAACTTCGTCAAAATTAAAAAACTTTTTTGCTTCAAGGGACACTATCAAGTAAGTAAAAAGTAATTGCACAGAACAGGAGAAAATATCTGCCTATTATCCCTGACAAGGGACTTATATGTAGGATATATAAAGAACTCTTGTAACGCAAAAATAAGACAAATAACAAAAAATGCAAAGGATCTGAATAGATATTTCTCCAATAAAGATATTGCCAATAGGTACATGGAAAAAAATGCTCAACATCATTAGTCATTGGGGAAATGCAAATCAAAACTACAATTAGATACCACTTCACATCCACTAGAATGGCAATAATTTTTTTAAATTTTAACAGAAAATAGCAAGTGTTGGCAAAGATGTGGAGATACTGGAATCCTCATACAATGTTGGTAGGAATGTAAAATGGAGCAGCTACTGTAGAAAACAGTTTGGCAGTTCCTCAACAAGTTAAACAGAATCACCATATGACCCACTTCTAATTTAATTCCCCAAAGAATTAAAAACAGGTATTCAAACCAAAACTTGAACATGAATATTCATAGCAGTATTATTCACGAGAGTTAAAAGGTGAAAATAACCCAAATGTCCATCAACTGATGAATGGTGAAACAAAACGTGATATATCTATACAGTGGAATATTACGTAGCCATTAAAAGGAATGAAGGGCTGGGCACAGTGACTCACGCCTGTAATCCTAACACTTTGGGAGGCCAAGGTAGGGGGGATCACCTGAGGTCAGGAGTTCAAAACCAACCTGGCCAACATGGCGAAACCATGTCTCTACTGAAAATACAAAAAATTAGCCAGGCGTGGTGGTGGGCACCTGTAATCCCAGCTACTCGGGAGGCTGAGACAGGAGAATCACTTGAACCCTGAGGTGAGGTAGAGGCTGCAGTGAGCCAAGATCACGCCATTGCACTCCAGCCTGGGCAACAAGAGCGAAACTCCATCTCAAAAAAACAAATAAATAAATAAATGGAATGGAGTATGGACACATACTACAAAATGGATGAACCTTGAAAACTTTATGCCAAGTCAAAGAAGCCCATCACAAAAGGCCACGTGTTACATTATTCTACTTACAGGAAATGTCCAGAATAGGCAAATCTACAGAAAGTAGATTAGTATAATAGTTGCCGAGGGAAAGAGTGAGGGTGGGGAGTATAGGGGATGATGGCTTAGCAATACAGGGTATTCTTGAGATGATGAAAATGCTGTAAAGTTGACTGTGGGGATGCTCGCACTTATCTGTGAATAAACTTTAAAGCCATTGAATTATACACTTTATTTTTTAATTAATTATAAATTTATAAAATAGAGACAGGGTCTTGCTATGTTGCCCAGGCTGGTCTTGAACTCCTGAGCTCAAGCAGTCCTCCTGCCTTGGCCTCCCAAAGTGCTGGGATTACAGGCATGAGCCACTGCACCTGGCCTGAATTGTACACTTTAAATCGATGAATTGTGTGGCAAGTGAATTAAATCTCAATAAACCTGTTTTTAAAAATAAACACATGGGCAGATGCAGTGGCTCACACCTGTAATCTCAAGCACTTTGGGAGGCCGAGGCGGGTGGATCACCTGAGGTCAGGAGTTCGAGACCAGCCTGGCCGACATGGTGAGACCCCCGTCTCTACTAAAAATGCAAAAATTACCCGGGTGTGATGGCACGCCCCTGTAATGTCAGCTACTCGGGAGGCTGAGGTGGGAGAATTGCTTGAACCCAGGAGGCAGAGGCTGCAGTGAGCCAAGATCATGCCACTGCACTCCAGCCTGGGCAACAGAGTGAGAACCTGTCTCAAAAAAAAAAAAACGAAAATGAAAAAAATAAACACACTATAACTGATGACCAAAAAAAGGATAATCTGTAAGTCCTCAGAAATTTAACCTCATTCTTTCAGCAGTCCCATGATGCCTAAATAACCAGTATCATAATCTACCTGACACTGAGAATTCTGTGTTCTGAAGATTTAATCTGAAAATACTTATGAAGTGGTAGGAATTTTATGCAATCTGTTATGCAATTTTATGCATCTGTTATGTTGCTGAGGCTCTTTGAAGTCTCTCTTTTTTCACAGGTATCAGGAATTAAGGGAGTCACTTCAACAATGTAGGCTTCCTTGGGGCGCTGAAAGAGAGTATGGTGGGATAATACCGATTTCACTCCCCGAGGACCACAGGCCAAAGTATGAGCCTCCTCGTGTCATGGGCAAAGGACATCAGCATTATGGATTTGGTGGAGAAACCTGGCCAAGGTAAATAAACTTTCTGCCATTCACAGAAAGGTCTTTATTATCCATTTTTCTTTACTTCCATTGTGAGTCCTTTGTTTGCTTAAATCTGTCTTCAAACTTATTTCTCTTACTATTTATGAAAAGACACAGAATGAAAAATTAATTTCTAATTGTGAAATAATAATAAATGAATGGTTTTTGCTGTCCTTAGTGATGTTAAAATATTGTGATCAGAAATTTTGATTCATTTAATGTTCCTGAGATAGAAAGAGAGAAAACAATTAAATTTTAAATATTTTTGTTTGAGCAAAGACCTGGCCTAATCTGTACAGATGCTCTTGGTTTTTGGAACTTTTGATTTGTAATTTGTCAGTCTTTTTGATAGTCACTAGAATCTACTGGGCATTGTTTTCAGGTGATAAAACCTTTCAATAATAGTTTATAAATCTTAAAGTTACTCAGCAACTCTATTCAAAACACATTAAAATTCAACAGAAAGCAGAAAAAAATCTGAATAGCAAATGTTATATTAAATATTTCCTAAGGATTTACTCAGAGCAGAGTCTATCATACACTTGGCACAGAGCCTGCTTCCTCCTGCTTTATCTAACAATCCTGATTATCTGGTTTATGAACACTCTAGTTAACTAGTTCTTTGTTCTAAAGCAGGTAAAAGAAATAAATTAAGGCAGACAAGCCACAGCAAGAGAGAGAAACATTAACAACAGGGACATGTGCCGCCGATGACCTTATCAAAGCCTCAGAAAAGCAATAAAAAGCAGACAAATAAAAAGGCCTGACAGTCACAGGCCAATTAGAAAGATTCAGACATCAACATAAATAATAGATAGTGAGGACCTCACATTCATTCATTCACTCAACAGGTGTGTTTAAGCCCACGCTCTCATGGAACTGTAATGTCTTTCTGAAGCAGATACTGCCATCCTTGTTTTACAATGAATAAACAGACCCAAGAGATTCAGCACCTTTCCTTGGGTCAGACAATTATAAAGTTGTGGAATAGGGATTTGAATCCAGATGTATTGACTCCAACACCCAAGTTCTTTTCATCTGTTCATTTTATTTGTGCATCTGTTTATTCATTTATCTGCTCAGTAATTTAAGTATAGGAAGCATTGTTCTAGAGACTGGGGAGATAGCTCTGTATGGAATTTACAGCTACTGCCCTCCCAAAATTTAATTATTAAAAAATGCACAATACTTTATAAGAATTAGAAATATTCATACAGAATTCCAGTGTGTAAAAAGAAAGCCAAAGACTTGTTTCTTAAGGATGATCTACTTCAAAATGATATTTGTGCATGATCTCTTACTGAATGTGACAAGGAGAGAGAAAATACTTGTTCCACTTAGAATGCCAGTTACACTTGCATATCTCTTAATTTTTTTTTTTGAGGTGGAGTTTCACTCTTGTTGACCAGGCTGGAGTGCAGTGGCATGATCTCAGCTCACTGCAACCTCCCCTTCCTGAGTTCAAGCAATTCTCCTGCCTCAGCCTCCCAGCCTAGCTGGGATTACAGGCGTGTGCCACCACGCCCAGCTAATTTTGTATTTTTAGTAGAGACTAAAACATGGGGTTTCTCCATGTGGATCAGGCAGGTCTCGAACTCCCGACCTCAGGTGATCCACCTGCCTCGGCCTCCCAAAGTGTTGGGATTACAGACATGAGCCACCGCGCCTGGCCAATCCTGTTTTTATTTTTGAGACAGAGTCTTGCTGTGTTGCCCAGGCTCGAGTGCAGTGGCACGATCTCAGCTCACTGCAAGCTCTGCCTCCCAGGTTCATGCCATTCTCCTGCCTCAGCCTCCCGAGTAGCTGGGACTACAGGCGTCCGCCACCACGCCCAGCTAATCTTTTGTATTTTTAGTAGAGACGGGGTTTCACCGTGTTAGCCAGGATGGTCTCGATCTCCTGACCTCATGATCCGCCCACCTGGGCCTTCCAAAGTGCTGGGATTACAGGCGTGAGCCACCACGCCCGGCAATCCTGTTCTTAAACTAACCATTGCTCTCCAGCCTGGGCAACAAGAGTGAAACTCCGTCTCAAAAAAAAAAAGAAGACGGAAAGAAAGAAAAAAGAGCAAGATTATGAGACAAAACTGTGGGATGCCTAGAGAAATAGGCTCATTGTTCGGCATCCAGGAATAGTGGCCAGACTCACTCCCAGGACTGGCCTCATCAGGGAAGAAGTGCCTCTTTAACTGGACACCTCTCCTGCAACCTTATTGGTGGTTTGGATGCCCCTCATGAAGCTCATGTTCTCAGGCTACTCACAGTCAACTCAAAATCTAGTATAGATATGGATGATTGGCAGAACTTAGGGCACATTTGCACCCTGGCTGCTAGGAAGGCTGGGAAGCGGGGTGTTCCAAATGTGGGAAACTAGCAAAATGTAGAGAGGGTATTGTAAAGATGACAGTCTTGAGTGCCAGTGGACTGTCACTCTAAACAACAGCAGCAACAATAGCATGCTTTTCTATTCAATACACGGTACATCGGCATCACCTAGGAAATGGCGAATGCCACATCTCAGCCTCCACCCCAGATTTACTGAAACAGAATCTGCATTTTAACAAGATAACCTCAGATAATTCCAACGTGCAGCAAAGTTGGAGGACCGTTGCTTCAATGTAAGAAAATGCGGCCAGGCGCGGCGGCTCACGCCTGTAATCCCAGCACCTTGGGAGGCCAAGGTGGGCAGATCATGAGGTCAGGAGGCTGAGGCAGGAGAATCACTTAAACCCAGGAGGCAGAGGTTATAGTGAGCCAAGATTGTGCCATTGCACCCCAGCCTGGGCGACAGAGTGAGACTCCGTCTAAAAAAAACAAAAAAGCAACAATTTTCATACAAATGAAAATATACTCACCTCCCCAAAAGCAGAGGCCAAAGGAAAGTGGTTTCCAACTTTGCTATATCCAATTCCAAGTGCCCACTCCTGTCTAGTTCAGTTGTAATCTTGTCCCAATATTCTATACCTATGCTCTCTAATAAAGTTAACCATCACCAATGCATCCTATATGAAATAATAAGGAAAATGAAGAGGAAAAAAGAAAATACATAAAAGTATATAAGACACATCAAGGCAGAAAATAGGAGAAGCGACTGTAGTCCTCATTCCCACACCTGGTCATGAGGCTATCATTGGTGTTATAATTTCCTTCCTCCAGAAAAGAAGTCATTATATGAAAAAGACACTTGTACACACATGTTTATAGCAGCACAATTCGCAATTGCAAAAATACGGAACCAGCCCAAGTGCCCATTAACCGAGTAGATGGAGAAAATGTGGCATAGATATACCATGGAATACTACTCACCATAAAAAGAAATGAAATAATGGCATTCACAGCAACCTGGAGGGAGTTGGAGACCATTATTCTAAGTGAAGTAACTCAGGAATGGAAAATCAGACATTGTATGTTCTCACCTAGAAGTTGGAGCTAAGCTATGAGGATACAAAAGCATAAGAATGATACAATGGACTCTGGGGACTCAGGGGGAAGGTTGGGAAAGGGGTGAGGGATAAAAGACTACACATTGGGTACAGTGTACACTGCTTGGGTGATGGTTACACCAAAATCTCAGAAATCACCAGTAAAGAATTTATTCATTTATTCACCACCTGTTCCCCAAAAACTATTGAAATTAAAAATGCTTTTATAAATAATAATAATTTCCTTCCTTCACTACCTATTCCAAGTTCCCTTGCCCTCAGCAAATACCTGAGCTGGTAGGAGTATGTTACTTGATAGAACAACCCAAAAGTATGTTCTAAGAGATCTTAGCTCTTAGTGGTTCTGCCTGTGTGTAAGGCTGCTATAGTGTTTCATTAACTCCATGCTACTGAAGACAATACTAGGTGTTCAAAAGGTTCCCCAGGTTCCAGAAATACTCCTTTCCCCCATCATTGTGTAATATCCTCTGGCCCTTGATATTCAGGATCAGTCATCCTGCCCAAAATTACCACATCATTATCAATTCAGCTTCCAATGCAATTGGAACCATTGTTGTACCCCCTGATGGAAGCATTTCTCCCTTGACCTCTAAACCACCAAAGCTCGAGGTAGCTGGGGAGGGAGTCAAATTTTCTCAAGTGTAACCATAAGTATAACAGTAAGACGCACCACTCCCACTTCCACTCTTTGGTTTTCAGACCATGCATTCTGGCTAAGGGGGAATCTATTTATTGGTCACTGGTTCAGAGCGTGTCCCACACTCTTTAGGACAACACTTAGCCATAATTGAATATTCAGTAAGCCATCCTAATGTTCGGTAAGTATGGCAAAACCTAACATTCTATCAATACGGTGAATCATTTGAATTCAACCAACTGTTGCCCAATGTCTTTTGCAGTACATTGAGTTCCTTAGTCAAAAATAATATTGTTTAATACGTCATGGCAATGAATGAGACATTTAGTAAGTTTACTGATGATGTTACTTGCAGAGGCACGGTGAGAAGGGAAGGGAAATCCCTATTTTGAAGAAGTGTCTAATCTTATGAGGATAAGTTATCTCTTTGATGATGGAAGGGGTTCAATGTAATTATCCTACCACCAGATGGCTGACTAGTACATCCAGGGATAGGTCACCCTATCAAGTGCTTATGATTGGTCACTTCTGATGGCAAACTCAAATTTGCCAATAGCCAGGTGAGTCTTAGTGAGGGAAGTTCATGTCACTGAGTCCATATGTGATAATTTCTGTGCTGCCGCCATGATCACTTCGTTATGAAGCCACTGAGCAAGCACCAGGGTGACTGGAGAAAACCTGACACACACACAGCTGGTCGTTTTATCTACCTAATTATTGAGAACATACTCAATGGCGTGTTTCTCTAGGTGAGCATTCTTGTGGGGTACAAATAACCCTCACACTCCAGGGCCATTCGGAGGCTGGAAAAAGCAAGTTAAAAAGAATGATGTAGATCTATGTTTGTCTACATTTACAGACATATGGCTATTTCTAGATTATAGAGAGAAAAAAAACCAAAATTGCCTAATACTATGTATCCAGTGATTCCACACATACAGGAAATGACACTATATTTTCAATGGGTACATTGTTTTTAATTTCTCACAGTATTCTACAATACGGATGCATCATAGATTATTAGCCGTCATGTATTCTTTTCTCTCTGTGTCTCTTTTTACATTAACCGTACTTTAAAAAGCATCCTTGTACAAGGCTTCTTGAGATCATGCTCAAAGGTTTCTAAAAGGCAAATCCAGCTGGGCGCAGTGGCTCATGCCTGTAATCCCAGCACTTTGGGAGGCTGAGGTGGGCGGACCACCTGAGGTCAGGAGTTGGAGACCAGCCTGGCCAACATGGTGAAACTGTCTCTACAGAAATTAGCCGGGCACGATGGCGGGTGCCTGTAATCCCAGCTACTCAGGAGGCTGAGGCGGGAGAATCATTTGAACCCAGGAGGTAGAAGTTGCAGTGAGCTGAGATCACGCCATTGCACTCCAGCCTGGGTAACAGAGCAAGACTCCATCTCAAAAAAAAATTTAAATAAATAAATAAATAAATGCCAAATCCTAAGTGGGTCATAGTATAGGGATTTTTTTAAACCTTAGTGCATGTAGCACAAATGATTTATATTGTCATGGTAGTGTCTAAAAGTATTCATTTCCTCACACTCCCGGCCATCTATATTATCAAAATGTATAGTTTTTGCCTATCTAATGAATATAGAGGGTATCATGGTTATGAGAATGCATTTCTCTGCTTACTAGTTGGGTTGAGTACTTTTCTTATCCTTTAGGTATGGCCATTCTACATTTCCTTTTCTACGTTTATTCTTCGCCCATTTTTATTGTTTGTATTTTACTTATAGATTCTTGTTGGTTCTTTATGTTCTGGAAACAATCCTTTATGTGTTATCTTTATTAATATTTGCAAGTATTTCTTCTAATTTTTATTTTATTTGAACTTCTACGGTTTTGTCTGATAATTTAATTTGGGTTTTTTAGTTTTTTTATTTTTTATTTTTTTAATTAATTTTTTTTTTTTTTTTGAGACAGAGTTTCACTCTGTTGCCCAGGCTGGAGTACAGTGGCATGATCTCAGCTCAGTGCAACCTCTGCCTCCCAGGTTCAAGCAATTCTCATGCCTCAGCCTCCCGAGTAGCTGGGATTACAGGTGTGGGCCACCACACCCAGCAAATTTTTTCTATTTTTAGTAGAGATGGTTTTCACTGTGTTGGCCAGGCTAGTCTCGAACTCCTGGCCTCAAGTGATCCGCCGACCTCAGCCTCCCACAGTGCTAAGATTATAGGCGTGAGCCACCACTCCCAGCCTTATAATTAAATTTGATGATCAAATTTTCTTTCAGGCTTTTGACTTTTAAAATAGAATTATTGTTTTAAAGGTCCTTCCTACCACCAAAGAAAAAGCATATTCCTATACATTTTCTTTTAATTTTTGTACAGGTTTTTCCCCAAATACTTTAGATTTTTAAATCCATCTGAAATTATCTTTCTGAATAATTTCAAATGAATACTGAATTTTTTCTATATTAAAAAATACATCCTGGCTGGGCATGGTGGCTCATGCCTGTAATCCCAGCACTTTGGGAGGCTGAGGCGGGAGAATCATTTGAGTCCAGGAGTTTGAGACTAGCCTGGGCAACATAGCAAGACTGTCTCTACCAAAAAAAAAAAAAAAATCTATAAATAAAATAAATAAAAAGTTCTAACATTTTAAAAAAGAAAAATACATCTTTTTTCCCCTGGTTTAAAATGACACCTTTGGCCAGGCACAGTAGCTCATGTCTGTAATCCCAGCACTTTGGGAGGCCAAGGCAGGAGGATCTCTTGAGCCCAGGAGTTCAAGATAAGTCTGGGCAACATAGCAAGACCTCGTCTCTATTTATTATAAAATAATAATAAATAAAATGACACCTTTTCATATATTGAATTTCTACATATATGTGGATATGTTATTAATCTATTTGTCTTTTACTATCTCACCATTATATTGTGTTAATTTTAAAACATGTTTAATTTAATCTTTTCTTTCTTTTCAGAAAGCTTCCTGTTGAACAATTTTATTATTTGACCCAGAACAAAAAAAGTGATGTCTATGGAAATGATTCTTTGTAAGTCTGGGTTTTTTTCCTTATATAAAATCAAATAACATTTTTAAGTGGAAATGAGTTATATGAGACATTTTTAAAGCCCCAAATGGGGACTTTTAGAGAAACAAATTATTTCTTTTTTAAAATAGAGACAATGCCAGAAACCAAGACCAAACAAACAAAAGCAAATAAATAACAAACCAATAGTTTTTAGTGTTTAAAGAAATCAAGAAAAAAAAACAGGAGCTGATGAATAGTAATGTTCAAAGGGATTCCTAAAAGTTATCTTGGTCCATTTTCCTGCCTTTGACCTACTTACCCAACCTAGTAAGAATCTGCTACATTTATTAAAATATCAATAGAAAATGCCATAGTGGCCCTCAATAAATTTTCAACCAGAATTTTACAAGGATAGAAGTTTTTTATTATCATCTACAAATAACTCTTAATAACACTTCCTAAGTATTATTTTTAACGTAAGGCATACTTGTTAATTTACCCGTCACTTAAAGGTATTCTTTTCAAGTGTATTATTTTGTTACACTTTTAAATAGTTTGTCGTGTACATTACAAAAGCATACATTTTTATTTTTAGATAAAAATAAAACACAGCTGGGCACAGTGGCTCATGCCTGTAATTCCCAACACTTTGGGAGGCTGAGGAGGGTGCATCACCTGAGGTCAGGAGTTCAAGACCAGCCTGGCCAACATGGCGAAACCCTGTCTCTACTAAAAATATAAAAATTAGCTGGGCGTGATGGCAGGCGGCTGTAATCCCAGCTACTAGGGAGGCTGAGGCAGGAGAATCACTTGAACCCAGGAGGCGGAGGTTGCAGTGAGCCGAGATCACGCCATTGCACTCTAGTCTGGGCGACAAGAGCAAAACTCCATCTCAAACAAACAAACAAATAAATATTAAACACGACAGCATAGAAGTAATAATGGAACTATCACTTCTTTATTAAGAAGTACTAGTTGTTGATAGGTAAAAATTTAATATAGAAGTTAGCCACTAGATGGCGCCAAAAAGACAAAATTTGTGGTTGTCTCGGTTTATCCCTTTGGTGATTTTTGCAAAGCAGATGTGAAGGGTGGCAGTAAAATTAATGGGCTGATTTAGGTCAAGGAAGAGGTGTCTCAGCATTTGTTACTTTCATTTTATCTTTTCAGATCTTGAAGTTTTAAAAAAGATTTTATATTTTAAATTTATTTTTTTTTTTCATTTCGAATCAAATCAAAATGGCATATGCTTTTAGGCATATGCTTATCAATATTGTAGTGGAATTTGTCACATAAGAATAATTTTAGATGCTAGCTTAATGTATTATATATAGTTGCCAATCTATTAATAACAACTCTAGATTCCTTGGATTCATATATTCATCACTTCCCTGCCCTTTGTGCCCCCACCATCTTTCCAACTCAGTGATGTTGATGGAAGATAGAACATGCTTTTTTTAGTTTCGTGCCCACAGATTTAGAGTTGAAATTTAAAAAGATATAAACTTTTATAGTTCATGAGAGTCAGGTGTTTATAATACATTACAGGATAATAAATTTATATGGCTTACATGCCACTTTCTAGGGAGTATCTGCTAGCATGGAGGAACATCTAAAAAATTAAACAGTGTATTCAATTTTACTGACTTTTACTATCAAATTGATAACATTCTGTTCATTTTTCACACCTGGAATCTTTCAGAATTTTATTTGCATAGGCTGAAACGAATTGTTGAAATCCAATGTAGGTGGATGATTACCCGTCTTTAGTCGACTTTTTTCCAGGGCTACAGGATTATTTCTTGGCATGCAAGGTTCGGAGTAATTAGTAAATGCACAGCCTTGGAATGAACTGCTTCAGAAAAGGCATGCTTCCAGGAACTTGGTCAGTTTTGTTCTATTCCCTCTGCTGACCGGGCAACATTTACTATCATGAGAGATCAGCAACACAGAGCAAAGGTAGAAAGCATACATGGTACTTAAATATCCTCTCCAGCTGGGCCACACTCGCGTCACTTTAGGCTATGAAATTGCACCCCATGTATAACGTCAGGCTTCCTCAGAGCACTCTGGCTACTGCCTGACTATGAGAGTAAAGGTCAGAAAGAACCAGAGCTCTCTTATCATTAGAAGTAGTCATCCCTTGTATCTTCACCACAAATGGAAAATGCAGAAACAGTGGTGAGGTTAGAATAAATGGATGGAAAAATTAATCAACAGACAACTGAGATAAGGAAACAACATATGCCTGTCTTGTCAATATTCAGGAATCCAGAAAGTTAATCAAGAACATTATCTTAATGACATTACAGTTTGAAAATGGGGTATATCATTATTATTATTTTTTTTTTTTTTGAGACAGACTTTTGCTCTGTCACCCAGCAACCTCCACCTCCTGGGTAATCCTGAGTAGCTGGGATTACAGGCATGCACCACCATGCCTAGCTAATTTTTTTTGTATTTTTGGTATTTTTGGTATTTTTCTATTTTGTATGTTGCCCAGGCTGGTCTCGAACTCCTGAGCTCAAGCGATCCGCCCACCTTGGCCTCCCAAAGTGCTGGGATTACAGGCATGAGCCACCATGCCCAGCCTATATCATTAATCAAGTTTCTAATAGGGATATAAACCTTTAAAAGCCCTCAATATAAGTTAGAACTTGTTTCCTGTTTTTATTCTAGGATACCCAAGCCGCCTAATTCAACAGTAGGGTAAGTAAATAACTTATATTTTCCTTCTCTGTTATAATCAAAGAAAAAAAAATTGACATTTCCTATGTCTTAGAAGTGTGAAAACAAGTGAGACTTCCCATGAAAACGTTTCTTTTTTTTTTTTTTTTTTTTGAGACAGAGTCTCACTTTGTCGCCCAGGCTGGAGTACAGTAGTGCCATCACAGCTCACTGCAGCCTTGACCTCCCTGGGATGAGGTGATCCTTCCACCTTCACCTCCCAAGTAGCTGGGACTACAGGTGTGCACCACTATGCCTGGCTAATTTTTGTAATTTTTGTAGAGATGGGTTCTTGCTATGTTGCCCAGGCTGGTCTTGAACCCCTGGGCTCAAGTGATCCGCCCACCTCGGCCTCCCAAAGTACTGGATCACAGGCGTGAGCCACAGTGCCTGGCCTGAAAACTATGTCTTAACAGTTGGAAGGAAAGGCTGGTACAAGTCCAGGGTAACATTACTTTGATTTCTCTCCTGTTATATCCCCTGAAAATCTTTTTTAGTAAATGTTTTATTTTCGTATAATTTTAGGTTTATAGAATTATTAGAAGATAGTGTGGAGAGTTCCCATATACATCACACGCAGCTTCCCCTATTGTTAACATCTCACATTAATATGGCACATTTGTCACAATTAATGAAACATTGCTGATGCATCACTGTGACCCAAAATCCATGCTTTATCCAGATTTCCTCAGTTTTTCCTTCATGTCCTTCTTCTGTCCCAGGATCCCATCCAGAGTACCGCATTACATTCAGTCACCATCTCTCCTTAGGTTCCTCTTGGCTGTGACAGTTTCTCAGACTTCCCTTGTTTTAATGACCTTGACAATTTTTAGGATTATTGGTTAGATATTTTGTAGAATGCCCCCAAATTGGGCTTTGACTGACATTTTTCTTATGGTTAGACTGGGATGATGTATTTGTGGAAGGAAGACCACAGAGATAAAGTTCTGTTTTCATCGCATCGTAGCAAGGGTACATGCCGTTGGCATGATCTATCCCTGGTGATGTTAACCCTGACTGCCCGGCAGAGGTGTCCTCAGCAGGTTTCCCCGCTGCACACACACTCTTTCTTTCCTCCTTTCCACACTGCACTCTAGAAGAAGTTCTCTGTGTGTCTGTGTGCAGCCCACACTTAAGGCATCTGGATTTATACTCCACCTTCTTGAAAGCAGACTACCTGCATAAATTATTTGGCATTCTACATGGGAGATGTATCGATTCCACTCCATTTGTTTATTTATTCAATCACTTATTTCTCTCAGTATAGACTCATGGAAATTTATTTTGTGCTTTAGTACTTAGGTAGCAATCCAATACCACTTTCTTTTGTTACTAAGATTGGCAATGAGGAGCTCTTTGAGTTCGCTCCTATATTCTTTTGACATTTCCCCATCATCGTGGGGTTTTGGCTTTCTTTTTTTTTTCCTTTTAGCATTTCCTTTCTTTCTGTCACTCTGCAATAATCCAGGCTCATCTTATATAATAGCTTCCAGAGTGGCCGGGCGCAGTGGCTCATGCCTGTAATCCCAGCACTTTGGGAGGCCGAGGCAGGTGGATCACAAGGTCAGGAGTTCAAGACCAGCCTGGCCAACATGGTGAAACCCCATCTCTACTACAGATACAAAAAATTAGTTGGGTGTGGTGGTGAGCACCTGTAATCCCAGCTACTTGGGAGGCTGAGGCAGGAGAATCCCTTGAACCTGGGAGGCGGAGGTTGCAGTGAGCTGAGATCCTGCCATTGCACTCCAGCCTGGATGACAGAGCAAGACTCTGTCTCAAAAATAATAGTAATAGTAATAATAACTCCCAGAAACCCTGACTCCTTTGATTGGGGACAGGTGTTAGAAGCCGAGATCTGAGCACCCAGTATCCTCCGTGCCACAGGAGTCCTCTATCAAGCTTAACAGAAATTATTAAGCTGCCATTTAAAAAATTGTGTTTCAGCTAAAGACCTATTCAAAAGGCTATTAAAATTAACTTCTAGGTTTTTTTGGTCTTTCTATTTTTTAAAAAACGACAAAGTGAAGAACCCTTGTCTTGAGCTTTTCAAATTCTCTTCATAAACAGTTTGAAAAGTAAAGTCCTTTTTGTTAGGTCATATTTCTTGGATTCACCTTTCTGCTTGTAGCCTGGCAAGTTCCAAGGTGGGAGGCCGGAAGTCTGAGATGAAGACCTCAGCAGGGTTGGTTCCTTCTGAGGACTGTGATAGAGACTCTGTCCCGTGCCTCTCCCCTGGCTTCTGGGCTTTGCTGGTGATCTTTGGCACTCCTTGGCTTGTAGATGCATCATCCCGATCTCTGCCTTATCTTCACATGGCATCCTCCTCAGGTGTTTGTCTGTGTCCAACTTTCCCTTTCCTAAAAGGATACCAGGCATCTTGGGTTAGGGGCCCACCCTGCTCCAGTATGGAATAACTCGGTCTTAACTAAGTATATCTGTAATGACCCTATTTCCATACAAGGTTACAATATGTGGCCCTGGAGACTAGGATTTCAATATATGGATGAGGGCGGAAGGGAGGAATTCAACACATAAACACTTGGTCTTGCTTTTTTCTGCTTAATTTTCTTGTTATGAATAACATTTCTCTATCCCATGGACTTCCTAATTTTGCTTTTCTTCTAGTTTAGACAGCTCCCACATGGTTTTTTTTTAACCTCTGCCAGTTCTCCAAATGATAGGAAAATTATATCCCTATGGTCTCTTTAACATGTTTATTTTTTCCTTCAGTGTGCTAGCTGTTTTTGGCTTTTTGATTTTGAAGCAGTACTGTGTATATAAACAGGGGTTATATTTTGTTGATTGTTGATTGTTGATTGATTGCTTAAAGAAACAGATGGCCTGGGTTGAAAGTTCATTCAAAGATGGTTAGAGATCACTTTGCTGAAGCAGAATGCCCAAAACAATTCCTGGGAGCCTCTTAAAATAAGACACAGTAATTAAAAGCAACTATACCATTCTACAAACACAAAACTCATTTATTTTTTGCTTTATATTTTTTATACGAGTTATGAAACTTACTCACTGACAAAGAATTGGGCATGATTTATTTTAAAATTAAATTTAGTTTTGTCTAGCAAAATTAAGAAAATGTCCTGTTTTGTGGTATACATTCCAAGAGAATGCTAATTCCATGAGCACAGGGACATTGACTCACTGTCCTATCCCCCAGCATTAGAACAGTTTCTGCCATTTAAAAAAGGGTCCCAATAAATTTTTGATGATTAATTTTTTCAACCATACTTCTTTCTGTTCTTTTCATTTTGTTTTGTTTCCTCAATAAATCTTAGAGAGATCTGCTTGCCATATCCAATTGAACACCCCTACCACACACACATCTGTCGCGGCGCCATGTTCCCCACCTTCACGTCACCTGAGGACCTCTACACGGGCATTAAAGCCCGCACCCAGCAGCCCTTTCCTCCCACGGTGCCAACCAAGGCTTATGATTCAACAGTTTTGAAGACAAGAGGTAAAATGTGACCTGGAATCAGAACTGTATTAATTCTTATTATTGGGATTTCTTCAATAATAAAATTAAAGCAAGGAGCACAAAGGACTCAAGTCACAAATGTGTGACTCAATAGATCAGGAAACTTGTTCACAGCTGCGACTTTACAAATCAGCTGGCGCGCCACCATGGACCCATCAAATCAGACTCTCTGCAGGTGCTCCCAAACTTTCCCCTTGACACAGCCTCTCATGTTACAATCAGAAACCAAAACGTTGTAGAATTGGTGGTTTTTATTCCACTTCTATTTTCTATTTTTATTTCTTTCCTGCTCTCACGGTTTAGCTTTTAAAAATTTCATCCTAGCCCAGGTGATCAGCACAAGGGACAGTGTTTGCATCAATCACAGAGTCTGGACGTGGATGCAGCAGTGATAGAATTGAAAGATCCCCATTGAAATAAGATGCAGAAAGCAATGGGAGTAGTTTGTTCAGTCCTTCTTAACACCCTGGAGCAGGTTCTCCCAGCTGCAAACCTTGGAGTCTTTGTGAATGTGTTTTATCAGGAATCCCGTACACTAGTCATCGAATCTCTCCCACACTAGACACCTCGGTCTTTGCTGAGGAGTCCTACACATGTGCGTAAACAGAGAGGCCACCTCTGGAGAAAGAGTGAAAACACTTGAGAGAGGGACAGAAATGATACATGGTAGGCAAAGACAAATATTTGTTGAGTGCATTTAGGTGAGGTAGAAAAGACTCAAGAATTGTCCTATCCTGCAGTTCCTCTATACATGAATATTTGGACCAAAATGCAAGGACAGAATATTGCCATCGTCAGCCTCAACCTCGGTGTCTTATTAGCAGACAGTAACGTTTTGAAAGCTAACATAGTGGAATATGTAAGAGCATGGATTCTAGAGTCAGACTGCATGAGTAGAATTCTGGATCTGCCACTTACTCACCTGCGGTCCATGGGAGAGTTTCTGAACTCCTCTGTTCTGCTTCGCAGTCTGCAAAATGGGAATATTATTAATAGAACCTACTTATCAAATAACAGAGATAAATGTTAGCAGTTATTCTCTTACCCTGCTAGCGTATAATGACTGCAGTATGTGTGTACCATGCTGAACTTTCCCATTGCCTCTCAGACTAGGCAGCATTGGAAAAAGGCAGTGAAAGCTGTATCAAGTATACTGGCTGTTAGTATCGAGCACCATGCTTAGCTCTATAGCAGAAGTGGGGAGAGATGGTGCCATGCAAAAGAACTATAAATGTTCTAAAGGAAATGATAAGTATGATACATAAACAAGTAAAATTTTTATGACTTTGTTACGTAAATTGTCAAAGTAGATTTCTTTTTCTCAATCCTGAATTCAGTAATTTCTGAAATTATCTGAAGTACACATAGTTAGCAAGAAATCACAGAAATATGTGTTGAATTCATAACAACACTTTTTTTTTTTTTTGAGACGGAGTCTTGCTCTGTTGCCCAGGCCTAGAGTGCAGTGGCACTTTCTGGAACCTCTGCTTCCCGGGTCCAAGTGATTCTCCTGCCTCAGCCTCCCAAGTAGCAGGGACTATAGGCACGTGCCACCACACCCACCCACCCACCTAGTTTTTGTATTTTTAGTAGAGACAGGGTTTCACCATGTTGGCCAGGCTGGTCTCGAACTCCTGACGTCAAGTGATCTGCCCGCCTCAGCCTCACAAAGTGCTGGGATTACAGGCATGAGCCACCATGGCCAGCCCATAAAAACACTTTTCAGTGCAGTAACATAAGGGACTGAAAAAACAAGTTGTCATCTTAATTTCCTGCTCTTCCAAGCCTCTACCTCTCTCCAACCATTCAGTCACTATTAGGGAATTTTTAAAAGATGAGCATCCTCTAACAACCCTTATAAAAAAATCTTTCCAGGAACTAGTACAGCATTAGGTTTCTACTCTTCCACTTATTTTAATTCTTCTTTATTAGAACTAAGAAGCATGGGCCAGGTGTGGTGGCTCATGCCTGTAATCCTAGCACTTTGGGAGGCCAAAGTGGGCAGATCACTTGAGGCCAGGAGTTCGAGACCAGCCTGGGCAATATGGCAAAACTCTGTCTCTAGTAAAACTACAAAAATTAGCCAGGCCTGGTGGTGCATGCCTGTAGTCCCGGCTAATTGGGAGGCTGAGGCATGAGAATCTCTTGAACCCAGGAGGCAGAGGTTACAGTGAGCTGAGATCATGCCACTGCACTCCAGCCTGGGTGACAGAGAGACTCTGTCTCAAAAAAAAAAAAAAAGAGAGACAACGAAGGGAGGGAGGGAGGGAGGAAAAGGAAGAGAGAGAGAAAGAGGAAGGGAGGGAGGAAGGAAAGAAGGAAGGAAGGAAGGAAAGAAGTTAGGAAGTTAAGAGTGCAGACTCTAGAATCAGATTGCCTGAGTTTGAATTCTACCTTTGAGATGTGGACAAATCACTTATTCTCTCTCCGCTTCAATTTCTTTATTCACTAAAGTTGGAATAACAGTACCTTTCTTATAGTAATGTTAAAAATTGCATGTGATGATGTATATAAAACAGTACAGTGACTGGCACATGGTAAGTGTTCAATAAACACCAGCCCTTGTTCTTATTACATATGAAGATGGGTGTTCAGAACATTCTTTAACTTGAAACTTATCACGAGAGCAAAGCGAGCCATGCTGTTTGGTAAAGCTTATCAGATATAAAACAAAATCTAAAAAGCTGTATTGTTTAAGATGTTCCCTTTCAATACCTTTTTGGTAAGCAAGTACTAACTCAGTTTCAGAAAACTTGATATTTAGGCAGAGAAAAGCCAAAACAGATAATATAGAAATGTATTTGTTGAGCCCCCAGAGGCCAGAAAAAAAGATCAGAAAGAGGATCCAGGAACACTTACTATTTACCTAAGATCTCTCTCATTAAGAAGAAAGGTGAAGTACTAGTGACTCCTATTACTACTGAGAGCACTAGGGTTAAAGACTCATTCACACTCTGTGTGGCCCACATGCTGCTCCTGCACATGCTCAAGAATTCAAGAGCAACAAGCCAAGTGTGGTGGCCTGCCCTGCCCTGTAGTCCCAGCTACTCAGGAGGCTGACGTGGAAAGATCATTTGAGCCCAAGGGTTCAAGTCCAGCTTGGGAAACATAGCAAGACGCTATCTTAAAAAAAATAAAAAATAAAAAGAATTCAAGAGCAAGCTGAATCTCTCTAAAGCTGTAACTACATAGGTAAAATGTACACCAACATCCATCTCTACCTTGTATTATCTCATTTCTATTTATTGTACCTATTAATCCTCTAAAAGACTGTTCTTATTTATTGCTTTTCCTGAAATTTTCAGGTAATCCTTATAGATATGAACTGATTGATATTCCCATGGATTCAAAGAAGAAAGCACTGACTTGGCCAGGTCAAGGTGTATATTATGATGTAAGTATCTTTTTAAATGTGTGTTTAAAGGAAAGTAACAAATATTTTTAGTCAATACCTTTATAAAAATCTAGGCTTGACATGGTGGCACATGCCCATAATCCCAGCACTTAGGGAAGCCAAGGTGGGCAGATTGCTTGAGGTCAGGAGTTTGAGACCAGCCTGACCAACATGGTGAAACCCTGTCTCTACTAGAAAATACAAAAATTAGCCGGGTGTGGTGGTGCATACCTGTAGTCCTAGCTACTCGGGAGGCTGAGGCATGAGAATCGCTTGAACCTGGGAGGTGAAGTTTGCAGTGAGCCAAGATCATGCCACTGCACTCCAGCCTGAGCAACAGAGTGAACTCTGTTTAAAAAAAAAAAAAAAAATCTAAAAGTTTATTTTCATTTTCTATCTGAATGTAAAATTTGAGATTTTGACTATGATTTACATTTTTCAGTTTTCTTAGCTGATTTCATGTGCTGTTGGTAGTTATGGAACATTCCACAGTTACCAAAAAAAAAGATTGCCCCCAGGAAGATGGTGGAGGAGGGCTGCATTTCTCACACTGTGTTCCTCCAACCCTATTCTTACAACTTATAATACCTCCAGTCACTCCAAATATGCAGAGAGTAAATGGGAGATTTCCAGAAAGATTTGCAAGCTATTATTGTTCCAGCCATTATTATCATATTGGTGTCAAGTTTAAAATGAAATAAAGCAATAGCCACCATTTATTGAGAAATTGCTACACATCTAACCACTCTAAATACATCATTTAACCCTTTCAATAACCTCCTAAGGTTAGCATCATCATTTCCATTTTATAGATAAGGAAACTGTGACTCAGAATTTGTGACTATGTCATGATCACAGAAATCTGGTTTGTGAAGTTCTAGTCTCTGACCTTAACCTCTGTCCCATAACTCCACATGGATAAAAAGAGAAAATTATAAATCAAGAGGGAAAATATCTAGACGTTTGAAAATAATAATAGCTAACATGGTTGGTGAGAAGCAGTGCCAAGTGTTCTCCATATATTATCTCTTGGCATCCAGCAATCCATGAGATAGGCAAGTGATAATTTTGGGAGGTTGAAAACATTTGAATTTTACCTGGCAAACCACTGTGACAGGCCCAGCATGTGGTCATCGCCATGTCACAGAGTCATCTATAAAGTAAGTCATTTCCCGTTTGTTTTTTTATAGTTAAATGTCAAAAAGAAGTCCTAACGAAGCGTCTGTTTTACTGGATCTCTTTCAGTTTTTAAGCAAAATCTATATCTAAACAACCCAGAAATATGAGAGTTATTCTAGAACCCATCCTATCATTACATGTTCTTATAGCCAAAGGCTCCAGATCTGTAGCTAAGTTTCTTCCTAGTCATTAAAATCCTGTTTTCCTCATGTCACATTCCTTGGCAGCCATCCTGAATAGCTCCCCTCTGCCTGAGTGTAAATCCCTATGCCTTAACTGAGGTGCAGAGACCCCTCAGGATCTGCCCTTACCTCCAGCCTGCAGCCTGGCCCCACCCACTGGTTCCCAAACAGGTTCATGCCATTTCCCTTCCTGGAATGCCCTCCTCCCAAGGCCTCTCTGCCCAACACTTGCTAATTCAAGGCTCAGCTCAACCCTCTTTGTTTCTGTTATGTAGCAAAGAGAACCAGGTCAGGAGGCCTGTGTGCTTGCTGGTCACTCCTCTGTTGCCATTTACTGTGTGAGTGATACTAGGCAGATTATTTCCCTTTTCTGAGCTTCAATTCATAAAACGTATCTGGGTAATTTCACTAAAAATCTGTCCTGTAAATTTCACAAGATAAGAGGATCATATGAAAGATTCAAAACTAGAAAATACTATAATTTATAAGGCATTATTATTACTCCAGCAGCAGAAATGATATCTCCCTCATCTGACTTCTGCCACACATACTGTAACCAGTAACTTTTCACGTATTTCATATTTCATCAATTAAATTATGAGTTATTTGAGAACAGAATGTGTTATGTGTATATCCCCACAGTGCATTGTACATAAATATTTTTGGCTGATTTATTTATTTATTTCTTATTTCTGATGATTAATCCCACTTTCTTAATCTTTATTAACTGCTCTTAATTTTCAACCTTTCACATTTTCTTCTGGCTCATCCCTAACTCTAATCAAGTTTTGCATTTCCCTGGACAAAGAAGTAAAAATAAAATAGATGCTGAGCTTCGTGGGAGTAACTCATGACTCACCTTTTTTTCTCTCTAATCTCTAGGATAATACCCTATACTTGTCCTTCCTATTTTTCCTGCCTTTTGTCATTTAATTGGGGAGGTAATCTACAGTGTTCTTTATCTACAATGTTCTATTCCTATTAAAGGATTTTTTTTTAAGAGATGAAGTCTCATTATGTTGCCCACTAACCAGAAAGGGGGAATTGTTAAGTATAGCCTACAGCTACCTCCTCATGTCTTTTAAGTTTGGCCTAAAGATTTCTCCATACAGAATGAACTGCAGCCTAACTGGATGCATAAACAGACTGTAACCTACTCTTGTGCCAATCACCTAGTTTTGGCCAATCAAAGGCAGCCAACTGTTCAAACCGTGTTCAAATAAGACAAACATTAAGGTGTAACCAATCTGGCTGTTTCTGTGTCTCACTTCTGTTTTCTATAGGTCACTTTCCTTTTTCTGTCCATAAACCTTCTTCCACCACCTGGCGGCGGCAGAGTCTCTGAACCTATTTTGGTTTGGCGACTGCCCAATTTATGAGTTGGTTTTTGTTTAATTAAATGCTTTAAATTCTAAAATATTAAATAAAAATGAGAAACAAAAGAAAAAGAGATGGCCAGATGCAGTGGCTCACGCCTGTAATCCCTTTGGGAGACACTTTGGGAGGCCAAGGCAGGTGGATCAGTTGAGGTCAGGAGCTTGAGACCAGCCTGACCAACATGGCGGAACACTGACTCTACTAAAAATACAAAAATTAGTTGGGCATGGTGGGGCATGCCTGTAACCTCAGCTACTCAGGAGGCCGAGGCAGGAGAATCGCATGAACTCGGGAGGCAGAGGCTGCAGTGACCCGAGGTGGCACCACTGCACTCCAGCCTGGGTGAGAGTCAGACTCTGTCTCAAAAAAAAAAAAAAAAAGAGGCAGATTCTGTCTCATGCTGCCTTTCTCAGATCTATTAATTATTTAACACCAGGCTGGAGTGCAGTGGCTGTTCACAGGTGCAATCATGGCACACCATATCCTCAAACTTCTGGCCTTCTGCATCCTCCTGCTTCAGCCTCCTAAGTATCTGGGACTGCAGCTGTGCACGACCACACCAGGCTCAGGAGGATATTTTTTATAGTATTTACCTTTCCTATTGCCAGAGCAGTGGTCCTCAACCTTGGCTGCACATTAGAATCACCAGGGGTGCAGGTTGCACCCCACACCAATTACATCATTCTCTGAGAATGGAACTCATAACAAGAATGCCTTGTTTTTCAAGGACTTGTAACTTGCATTTCTGGGATAATAGTCTTCTCCCTCCTTCTGCTCTACCCAGGGAAGGAGAAGGGACACTACTAACCTGATAAGCAGGTCCAAAAATGTGTAACTTAGCTGCAAAACAGAAAACTCCGGGAACCGTATGTTAGTACTTTCCCTCCAAGCCAATAAGAAAATATGTATAACATACTGCTCTAAAACTTATCAGTTCTGTGACCTGGGTAACATACTTAATCCTTCAATACCTAGTTTCCTCACAGATAAAGCAGGAATAATAATAAAATCTACCTGATAATGCTGTCCTGAGAATGAAATACACAGAAAAGCACCCAGCACAATATTGGTACATCGTAAGTTCATAATAAATATTAGCTGCTATCGGTATTATTATTACAATGGTTATAATACTTTGTTGACCTAGCAACATAAAGAAATGGGTAACCTTGGAAAGGAGAATATTCCACATAAGAACGTTAACCTTTTAAAAATTAAGTCCCGGGGCTTCATGTTAACAGTGTGTTAAATGTCGTTTTTCCCTCCTCCTTTCACGTTGCATGTGGATGCAGCAGCTGTGCCTTGAGCAGCTACTGAGATCAGACGCCCCTTTCCCACCCAGACCCCAGAGCTGCCCTAGCTTTGCCTCTTTGGACTGGCCCAGTTTTCCCCACCAGAGTCATTAGTGATCATTGTACTTATCACTCTATTCGGGGCCTCTCCTGCTACCCTTCTCTTCCCACTGAGATCTCTTCTCACTGACCGTTTCCATCTGTTACCAAACCAATCAACATTCCTTTTCCTTTTCCAATTGGCAAACATAAATAGGTTTTATTTTTATTTTGAAATGGAGTCTTGTTCTGTCACCCAGGCTGAAGTGCAGTGGCACAATCTCGGCTCACTGCAGCCTCCGCCTTCCGGGTTCAAGCAATTCTCCTGCCTCAGTCTCCAGAGTACCTAAGCCCACAGATGTGCGCCACTATGCCCAGCTAATTTTTGTATTTTTAGTAGAGATGGGTTCACCCTGTTGTCCGGGCTGGCCTCAAACTCCTGGCCTCAAGTGATCCTCCCTCCTCGGCCTCCCAAAGTGCTGGGATTACAGGTGTGAGCCACTGTGTGTGGCCCATACATAGGTTTTAATACTTGACTCTTCTGGGCTGTTGGTTTCATTGCTTACTCAAGTGAAGGCTTTTGTCCTGTTTCTCAAGAACTTGAATGTCTAGCCTTAGCTTTTAGGATATGAGAATAGTCTCTAGGATGTAATCTACCTTGTAATCATTTTTTGATAAGATGAGATATAATCACAAAGGTCAAGTGCCATAAACCTCCTTACTTTGGACTTTTTGAAATGTTTTTAACAAAACCATTTTCAAAGCCTCACTGAGAATAACACAGTGTTCATTACAACCCAGCTTTCTGCAAACCTAAATATTTGGACAGACCCTTGGCTTCCCTTTGAAAGAGAGCTCACTGATATCACCCCTTCAAAGGGGAGCAGTTTTTCTTCTTGATCCACCTGCCATCTTTCCAATCTAAAATGCCCATTCCCATCCTAGAGATACTTTCCTCATTCCAGGGACAATTCTCTCTCCAACATACCACCCATACTCCACACTCATCCTTAAGTGGCCATAATGAATTTGGTGATCATGCAGGGACCTCCTTTAGAAAGGAGTCATCTTACCAAATAACTGGATGCCCACAGTGCACCTCTCCATGACTGCCAGCACCCTGTGCCCCCTCCCACCTGCTCAGGCCCATTGACAGACAAGGTGCCCAGAATGGGAAACAAACTGTCTCTCTCTCTCCTCATCTTCTGTCTCACACCCGCAGTGTTCCCACCATTCCATCTCAGGCAGCGCTGTTATCCAACCAGGCGTCCTCTTCTCCCTTCAGCCGTCTCTCTTTCCCAAGCCCTGACTAGAGGCCAAAAATAATTCTCTCTGCCAGTCTCTCATTTGCTCCCTCTCTCCATCTCTCTCTCTCTCTCTGTCTTCATTCCAGATGTAAATGAACGAAGTGCCTTATCATAACCTGTTAGTGTAAAAATGGTGCTAATAGAATTAATTAAAATATCTAATAAAGAACCAGTATTCCCAAATGCTAAAGCCTCTGCAAATGGCAATGTGGTCTCCACAGTAAACCTTTTAACCTCCCCTATTTAACCTGGTTAAGCCCCATCATTCAAGACTAAAATAAAACAAAAAAAAAAACTATATTTGCTTTTTTTGTTTCATTTAATATATTACAACCATGTTATTTTAGTGACAATTTATGGAGTTTTGGTGCCTAGCACAGAACTCTCAGAACCTTGTACATGGTTTTGCATGCAATAGGTATTCAGTAAATGTTTATTAAATAGGTTATGAGTTACATATATTATATGAGCTATGCTGGGAATGTAACCACCATTTATATAGTACTATTCCTCTGAGAATATATTCCAAATTCAAAACAACTAATGTCACTTCTTTGTAGACTGGAGTGTCTGTCTAGAAACTAACATCTCAGGAACTGGAATTCCTTTCTGCCGTAGGCTTATCTTCCATATCAGATATAAACTGTACCCTGAGTTTAGTGTATCGAGCCAATGAATACCTTTGGAGTGAATGACTTCCACCACCCCTCTCTCACTATCCTCTCAGAGTAACATCCCTTTAACATACTGAAAATTGGCCAGTTCCCCTCTCAAATGTTTCCTGCCTCTTTAGCCCCTTCTCAAGACATCACACGCTACAGTAAAATTTCACATTGCTTATTTCCTTTCCCGTGCCCTTGAATGTGTTTCAGTAGATCTCTGTTGTTAGTTCAACCAGTGTAAGATACAAGATTAATCCAGCCTCATAGAACAATATTTTTTTAAAAGTCCTTCTTGGCCGGGCATGGTGACTCATGCCTGTAATCCCAGCATTTTGGGAGGCCGAGGCAGGCAAATCACCTGAGGTCAGGAGTTGGAGACCAGCCTGGCCAACCATGGTGAAACCCGGTCTCTACTAAAAGTACAAAAATTAGCCGGGCGTGGTGGTGCACATCTGTAGTCCCAGCTACTTGGGAGGCTGAGGCAGGAGAATCACTTGAACCCGGGAGGCATAGGTTGTAGTGAGCCGAGATCGCACCACTGCACTCCAGTCTGGGGGACAAGAGCAAGAGCAAGACTCCATCTCAAAAAAAAAAAAACAGTCCTTCTTATTTCCAAGTAAACTGGCTCTGCAAATAATGAAAAAGATAAGGAGATCAAAAGGGGCTTTCTTTATCCCTGAATAAGTAAGCCACATATTTGTTAAAGGTTTATAGGGGTAGCAGTGCCTTTTACCATGATTACTGTATATGTAAAATGGAATCACTCTAATCTCACAGGGTTGCTATGAACAGCATAACCCTTAGGCCCAGGAACTTTAGAAGGCCCCACACTTTAGAGGGCCAGTTCTGGCCTTCCTCTGGCTGTGGCCCTTTCTGTGGAGCAAGAGGATATGTTCGTCTGGAGCCCATGCTCCTCTGTCTCCCTCCCCTGACCATGATCTTGAACCACAGAATTCCCTGACCAAATGGCTTTAAACCCAATCCTAGGCCCTTCTTAGGGTCTCTTCCTTATGTCCATCTTCCCAAGGGTTGGCAGTGCTGCCAAGCTGGTATATACCTCATGGCCAAAGGAGTGACCAAAACATGACTGCATGCCTGTTTGCTAGAAGTGAGGTGGTGGGTAAATGGGGCGGGTAAAGAAGAAAGCAGTCAGGGTGCTGAGGCCAGGGGCCAGCGGCTGGCTCTCCCTGAACCACCCTGTCCCAGTGCAGAACTCGAAGTAGTCCAAGAAGTCCAAATTTAAACCTGGTCTTCCAGGTTGTTCCAGAGATATTTTGTCAAAGCAGGTGAAAGGAACATATTTTATTTAACATTTATTTACTTGATTTATAAATTTAACTATTTAGTGAAATGGAATACAGACTTCCATTTGTACTTTCATCCCAGGCCCTCAAGTGTTAAGGGTGGGCCTGGCTGTGAGGGCACCCAGCAGCCTAATGTTGAAGAAATGCTACTTCCACACTTGCCACCACTATCCATACCTCTGCTCCTGCTGTTCCTTTGGCCTCCACATCTCTGCACATCATTCAAGGCCCAGTTTCTGCATATAACATGACATGGCCTCTTGTCTTCACCCTCCCTCCCTGTTTCCCAGCTCCACTTCCCCATTCAGGTGAATTCAATCTCTCCCTTCTTTGAACTTTCAAATAATTGTGTCTCATGGTCGAGCATGGTAGCTCATGTCTATAATCCTAACGCTTGATAGGCTGAAGTAGGAGGATCTCTTGAGGTCAGGAGTTTGAGACCAGCCTGGGCAACATGATGAGACCCTGTCTCTACAAAAAGTATTTTTTAAAGAAAAAGCCAGGAGTGGTGGTACAGGCCTGTAGTCCAGGCTGTTCAGGAGGCTGAGGCCAGAGAATCACTTGAGCCCAAGGGTTGGAGGTTTCAGTGAGCTATGATTGTACCACTGCACTCCAGCCTGGGTGGCAGGGTGAGACCCTGTCTCTGGAAAAAAAAAAAAAAAAAAAAAAAGTGTCTTTACTTCTTTTATGACAAAGAATTACTTGTTAAAATCTTTTTGTCATTTGTGTTTCATGGTTTATCTCCCCTACTAGCCAATATGTTCCTGGATGGCAAGATTTGTTTTGGATCCATGCTTGTTTGCAGCCACTACTGTGCACATATAGGTGCTTAGTAAATATTAAGTATCATAAGAGAGATACTGAGAAAAGGTGAATTTCTAAGTAATCAAAAAGACTGCAGTGAAACTCACTTATTCACTCATGTTTACATGCATAGCTCTTTTGAAAATATAAAATAAAACTCTCTAGTTACGTCTGAAGAATGAAAATTTTATTTGAATTTGAGTGATTTAAACTTCATTGGAAATTCATAAAAGACATCAAATGGTTTCATTTCAGGCATGGAAGGAAAAGTAGAAGGCACACAATTTTAGCTAAACTTAGCCAAAAGACCACCTTAGAGCCCTTTGTATTGCTAATAAAATTTCACTGGAGGTAGAATATTCAGGGACATTTCTCCAATACACATTATCAAAGTCCCAGCTAAGGCAAAAGACTTTTAGAAAAGACCTTACCATTTATTTGATAGAATATTGTGTTTAACTCTATATATGGTTCCAATTATAGCAATTAGTAATTAACTAGTAATTAATGACAAAAAAAAAACCATTCTGACGTCAGCCTGGAATTTCCTTTGCCTCTTTCCTGCTGAGATCATGAATCAGGTCTTATTCTACTAGATGACATTAACAGCAGTAATCTTTATGTTCATATTTTAGTTTCCCAGAGGTGTTGAGAAAAATAAGCCAGTATTCTACCCAAAACCTCCTAAAACCTTCGCTCCTAACACTTCTTTAAATTCATGGGACCCTATTTGCTCTGCCAAAGAAGCCAACATACAAAGAAATCTTGAGAGGTCCCACTGGCTCACTTCGTACACTCATGATTTTACAGGTATGAGTTCACTTTCATACAAGTAAAAATTAGAACAAAATTGGAATATTTAACAAATGCTATGACAAGCTTTCAACTTCTCATGTTTTTGCCTTTTTCTCAAAGTATTTAAATCCTAAAGTATTTAAATAAGAATTAAGGTGGGTGGTAAATTTCTCTTCATAGGTAGCTGGGAGGTAGGGTTGGTTTTCATTTTATTGGTTCTAATTATATTACAAAAGGAATGGGTAAGTTTTCCTATAAAGGGTAATATAACTGTCGTTCTTCGTTTACCCTAACAAAATAATAAGGTGATGTTTCCATTAAGGTCTGGGGCCCATGGACCCCCTTGAACTGGATGATTACCATGAAAAGATGGTAGCAGAGTTAACACGAAAGATAGGATTTGACCCAGAGCCGGTAAGTAATTGCAGTCAACTCTCAGTTATTTTGGGGGAGAGTGCTGGGCTCCTTCTTGCTTTGCCACTTTTTGTGTCCTGGGTTTTAGCAACCAAGTTAGCAAATGGAAATTTTTACTTATTTTAGAAGTGAATTCTGAGCTGATTTGAACTGGTTTGAATACTTTGTCTGCTGTTTGGGAAAACAAGCAAGATTTCTTTTCTTGGGCCAGGCGCAGTGCCTCACACCTGTAATCCCAGCACTCTGGGAGGCCGAGGCGGACAGATCACGAGGTCAGGAGTTCGAGACCAGCCTGGCCAATATGGTGAAACTCTGTCTCTACTAAAAATACACAAATTAGCCAGGCGTGGTGGCACTCGCCTCTACTCCCAGCTGCTCAGGAGGCTGAGGCAGAAGAATCGCTCGAACCCAGGAGGCAGAGGTTGCAATGAGCTGAGATCGTGCCACTGCGCTCCAGCCTAGACGACAGAGCGAGACTACGTCTCAAAAAAAAGAGATTTCTTTTCTTCTTCAGAGTGGTTTTTTTTTTTTAACAGATTTTCTACTATGCTACTGTTGCTGAAATAACTTACAAAAGAAGCAGTTTACAAAAGAATTTAACTAGTGATTTAATGAGATTCCTAGTAAATTCCGTAGATCTTTGCTTTTTTTTTTTTTTTTTTTTTTCCTTGAGACAGAGTCTCACTCTGTTGCCAGGCTGGAGTACGGTGGCACGATCTCAGCTCACTGCAACCTCCGCCTCCTTGGTTCAAGCGATTCTCATGCCTCAGCCTCCAGAATAGCTGGGATTACAGGCACGCACCACCACACCCAGCTAATTTTTGTATTTGTAGTAGAGACGGGGTTTCACCATGTTGACCAGGATGGTCTCGATCTCCTGACCTCGTGATTCGCCCGCCTCGGCCTCCCAAAGTGCTGGGATTACAGGCGTGAGCTACTGCGCCTGGCCCTTTGCATATTTATATATCTTGTACATTACCATTGCTTTTGAAGAAATAAAGGCTTCCTCCTGATATTCATAATAATTGAGAGCTGGCTGAATTACAATGAAAAGCCAATACGTTCTCTGCAGATATCAGTAGAGACTTTTAAATTGATTATGCGAAATGGCCTGGAAGAAATAATCAAGCCCTTTAATGAGCAAAAGTATAATCTGTTGGTTTAATTATGTAAATGAGATGAAATGACCTAATAGTTTGCATATGTGTTGTTTTATTTGAGGCCTAAATTTTATTCTCGACGACTACAAATTTTGAAAACAAAATTAACATTTTAAAGGTATATAAATTGTGAAAAACACAAGGAAAAACATCTGTAAGATTATTTCAGTTTGAACACTTTAAAAACTGAGCTGGGTCAGGCTCGGTGGCTCATGCCTGTAATCCTAGCACTTTGGGAGGCTGAGGCGGGTGGATCGCCTGAGGTCAGGAGTTCGAGACCAGCCTGGCCAACATGGTGAGACCCGTCTCTACTAAAAATACAAAAATTAGCCGGGCGTGGTGGTGGGCGCCTGTAATCCCAGCTACTCTGGAGGCTGAGGCAGGAGAATCGCTTCAGCCAGGGGGATGGGGCGGAGGTTGCAGCAAGCCAAGATCATGCTGGGCGGGGGGAGAAAAGAAAACAAAAAAACTGAGCTGAGGGCCGGGCGTGGTGGCTCTTGCCTATAATCCCAGCACTTTGGGAGACTGAGGCGGGTGGACCACCTGAGGTCAGGAGTTGGAGACCAGCCTGGCCAACATGGTGAAACCCTGTCTCTACTAAAAATACAAAAATTAACCGGGCATGGTGGCACATGCCTGTAGTCCTAGCTACTCAGGAGGCTAAGGTGGGAGAATCGCTTGAATCTGGGAAGCAGAGGTTGCTGTGAGCAAAGGTTGTGCCACTGCACTCCAGCCTGGGCAACAGAGTGAGACTCCATCTCAAAATAAATTAATAAATAAAATAAAAACTGAGCTGAACATACTGATTTTACATTTGCTTCAGCATTTCCTAAGGTGATATAAAATCATAACACCAGGAGCAGGTTTATAGGCTGTGTTTTATCATTCACTGAAGGGTTTTTAATAATTTTTTTGTTGAATTTGCAATGAGCATTCTCTAAGTATAGAAAATATTATATGAACATATGTTGTCAGGTGTGTTCAACAACTGTCCAGATTTCCAGAGATTCGACCCTGTATGGTATGTACAAAATACATATTCCATTATATACAGGATGTTTGCCAAATATGTTATATGCAAAATCATTGTGCAAGCAAATCAACTCTTAAATATTTATGAATAACGAGATAAAATATACCTAAGATAATTGGAAGTTTAAAAGAAAGTTTTAGTGACTCTTGCTGGTTTCTGATTAAACCATAAAGAACAGACTGGGAAAACATGTTTTAATGGTAATAAAAATGTGTATGAAATATTTTATTGTAGTAGTGTAAAATAAAAGCACTAAAAACTGCTTCTTGCATACAGAAATATATATGGTCAAAGTACAATATGATAAGTCCTGTCCTTTTTTATGACAAATTTAACAAAGCACGTCAAAGAGCTGAAGTTTTTTCATCACAGTATTTACTCAAACTTGATTAGCTAAAGGCTGTAACAAATTTGTTACCTCAATATGGAAATTTCTCTGACTATGAACAGATTAGCTTTCAAAAGGATGTTCCTAAGTCCATTTTTTTAAGTCCAAGCTACAGTGATTATTTTCTCACTACTCTCATTTGTATTATCTCTGCTGTCAATTCCATCATCATTATACATACATTCTTTGGTAGTTTTTTTACTTTAACATATTATTATAAAATGTTTGAAACATACAGAAAAGTAAAAAAAAAAATGTATAATTAACACCCATATACTCACCACCTAGATTCTACCACTAACATTTTGCTATGCTTGTTTTATCACATAATCTATCCATCTTTCCATCCCTCTAACCATCCATCATCCAGAAATAATAAAAATATATTATTTGTATGCATTTTAGAGTAAATTGCAGACATTAGTATACTTCACTCCTAAACATGCAGCATGTATATTATCAACCAGAGTTCAATATTTGTTTGCGGTTTTTTTTTCTTTTAAGATGAAATAAAGTTCAATGCAATTGCACAAATCTTAAGTGTACATTCATCGAGTTTTAACAAACACACCTTTGTAACCCAAACCCCTATCAAGATACAGAATACTATCATTCCAGAAAGTTTCCTCCTCATACCCCCTCCCAGTCAGCTGCATCCTCTTCCCACCACCCAGCGTGTATCTATTAATAGCACTTTAAATACACTCACTACTTTCGCAGTTACCAGACATAATTGAGTTCATATTTATAAAACAACTTAAAAAGAAGCACAGACATGACACCTCAGACCAGTGTTTCTCAAAGCATAGCAAATCTCCAGCCTCACCATCACCTGAAATGCTCGTTGAAAATTCAGCTTCCATATATTTACATGCAAATCTGTGTATGGACATATGTTTTTGTTTTGGGAGAGTAGTTATATGATTTTAGGAAACTTCAAAACCATTTTTCAAAGTGGCTGTAACTCTTTACATTCCAACCAGAAATGTATGAGGGTTTTTATTACTCAACATAAATGCCAACAGTTATTTATTTCTCTCTTTTTGATTATACGGTGACTGTGGAGTATTAACTCATTGTGGTTATTTTTGGTTTTGTAAATAAATTTTATTAGAACATGGCAACAGTTGCTGGGCACAGTGGCTCAGGCCTGTAATCCTGTCATTTTTGGGAGGCAAAGGCAGGAGGATTGCTTGAGCCTAGTAGTTAGAGACCAGCCTGGGCAACATAACAAGACTCTATCTTCACAAAAAGAAAATAAAAGAACTCAGCAATATTCATTTGTTTATGGATTGTTTATGGTTGATTTTATTCAACAATGGCAGAGTTGCATTGTTACAATGATGATCACATGGTCCACAATGCTTACACTAAATTATGAGCTTATTACTACTTGGCCTTTTACAGAAAAAAGTTTTCTGATCCCTGGAATAGATCAACAAAATTGACAAACTTCTAGTTAGATTGATTAAGAACAAAAGAATACACACATAAATCACAGTTATAATGAATTTTTTTAAAAGATTATCATTACATATTCTCCAGGCATTAAAAAGATCATAACTTAAAATTGACAAGTGTCCTTAAAAAGTGGTCCTCCCAAAATTGGCATGAGAAGATAAAGAAAATCTGAATAGTCCTATACATAATAATAAATTGAATTTATCAAAAACCCTCCTAAAATGGAAAGTCTAGACCCAAGTGGTTTTACTGGTAAATCTTTTCTAATCTTCAAGGAGAAATAACACCAATCTTACACAAGATTTTTAGAATGTAAGGAAGGTTAAATTACCCCATATTATGGGTAATCTCTTTTGTTGAAGTTGTAGCATAATCCCAAGTACCTCAGAATGTGACCTTATTTGGAAATAGGGTCATTTCCAAGGTAATCAAGTTAAAATGAGGTCATGAGGGTGAATTTAATCCAATCTAACTGGTGTTCTTATAAAAAGAAAATTTAGAGGTAGACATGCTGCAGAGAGAATGTCTTGTGAACATGAAAGCAGACAGTGGGGTCATGCCTCTACAAGCCAAGGGACACTAAAGATTTCCATTAAACCACCCAGAATCTTGGGAAGAGGCAGGAATCAGATTTTTCTTCACAACCCTCAGAAGAAACCAACCCTGCCAATACACTGAGGCTGAACTTCCAGAACTATGAGACAATAAATTTCTATTGTTGAAGCCACCCAGTTTGTGGTACCTCATTATGGCAGCGCTAGCAAATTAATACACTCCGCAACTTGTTTCATGAGGTTCGCATTACTCTAATACTGTCAAAACCTGCCAAAACCATAAGAGAATGAAAACCAAAGAGAAAGGAAAGAAAAAAGAAAAAATAAAAAAAAAAAAAAAAAAGAAAATTCAGCTTCCTGGGGCCCACTACAGGCCTTCTGACCCACAGTCTTGGAGGGTCTTAGGAGTCAGGAATCTCCTGCCAGCTCTGCAGATGATTCTGACTCAGCCAAGGTTTAAGGGCACTTGCTAAGGCCTAATAAAGGAGACTTTGGCTGAGATTAAATAACTGCACACGCGGCTAATGCCATCTGTTAGTGATGGACAGAAGTTTTATTCCAGTGATTGCTTTATATCTTTGAAGTTTAAAAGCAGAGTTCCCACACAGAAAGAGTTCTGTATAGCCAAATAAAAAACATGCCCCTTTCATACTCTCTAAAACCAGTAAAGGAGGAAAATGTATTTGGACCCAAATTTCAATGTCTTTAAATTAGTATCAAAGAGCATTGCAATGTACACTCCTATGCCCATCTCGTGTACTCAGACAATGAAAATGGGTATGACTTTTGACCTACCATTTGTGGCAATATCCCTGATCAATTTTTTTCTCCTTTTTATCCCACAACTACAGCAAGAAAAATTCCACCCTGTCTTCAAACCTCCCAGACCGTTGGAAGGACGAATTGCCCGATTAATTCAGAACCGACGTTCTCTGGAGGCTATAGTCCAGCAAAGACCACGTTCCTGTCCAGATTGTACTCCTAGAGTTTTGTGTAATTTTCATACCTTTGTACCCAGTTCTAAAGAAATGGTGGCACTTAGTGATAACATACCAGCCGGTGTGACCCATAAAAACCAGGATATTGAAGAGAAGATCATAGAAGAACAGAGCTTGCTGTCTACCTATGAACTCCCATCTTGTTACCCAACAAAAGACCTAACTAGCATTTATGACATAAAGCCATTTCCAAAAATCACAGATACTAAAAAGACAGAAGATTTATACTGGAGACAGCAGTCACTAAAAACCCAACCCACACCTTACTGTAAACCAGACCACTGGATTCACTATGAAAATCTTAAATCTCCCCTACGTGATCAGTATAATATGTGTCCAGACCCTGTTAGCCTTAGTAAACCTAGTGTTTTACAAAATAAACAAGACACGGAAGCTTTCACTTTAGAACATTTTTTAAGTAAGCCAGAAGAAGAGTTGTTCTTGAATATGGAAAACAATGAAGAAACAAGACCTGTTCTTGGTTGGATTCCTAGAGCTGGAGTGACCAAACCTCAGACCAACCTGCTGGAGCTTAAGAACTCTTTTTCAAAAACTGGTGCACAAAAGCGTTTCCATAAATCAATTCTAGAAGACCATAAAGACCTCAGGGATAATGAGCATTCGGGGATGAAGCACCAATTCTATGGCCATAATTCCTATTATTTCTATAATTGAGATACTCATTCTTCCCTTCAAAACCCAGCCTCTTGCAAGAAGCTAAAAAATATAACAGAATTTCCTTCGTATTGCTGGATTCTGTTTTCTAGATTAAACCACAAGGACCTTGTTAGTGAGGTTTACATTTTCAGGAATTTAAGTTAGTATCTGGTTGGAGGAACCCAGAAAAGGTGATGTTATGACTTCTTGAAAAGTTTAACAATTTGGCAATAAAATATTAGAACTAGAAAAATTTATAGTCTTTAATCTCTCATCTTCAGATTATACAAGGAAATTTTCCAAAATCACAAAAAGCAATGTGTACAACAAAGTTTACATCATTGTTTCACCAAAAAAAATTGAAAAGCTGGAAAGAACTCAAATGATCAATAATTAATGAATGACTATACAAATTATAGTATCTTAATAAAAATGAGAACACTGTCCCTTTATGTAAATTTTTGTACATAGTAGCATTAGGTAGAAAAGACAAAACCCAAACACCTAGTTAATTGAGGGATGGACACCTCTAAAAACTATATTGTCTTAAAAGTATGTGGACTCTGTTCCTTTATGTAAACATGTAAAGAAAATAAGTCAGCGAAAAAAATGAAACCCAAAACTCTCTGCATGTACACATTACAAATTGAATTGTTTGCTTACCCTTAACCTTCTGATTGAGAAACATAACTGTTTCTTTTATGCAGATAAAATTATTTTACTGAAGATCTAGCAATGGCCTTAATTAGCAACTGGTGAGTTCTAATTATAGCAAGAAAGGATGGCTTGGTATCAGTTATTACAGAGCCCCAAATCTTCATTTCTGGAGTGTGTTCTCTAAGAGTTTGGCTAACTCCCATATGCAAGTCAATTCATTTAATGTGCCAAGAGGTAGATTTTAAACATAGTCTATCGTGGAAGTTCAAGAGGAATTTCTTTAAGTATTTTGTGAATATTTATTTTAATTTTATGACCAACATGTCATTTGGTTGTAACCTCCTTAAAACTATTCTGGGCTAAAGTTAGAGAATTTTTTTCCAACTGCATTCTGTACAGCACTAGTTACATTATGACAGGAAGTAAAAGTTTACATGGTGAAATAATACTGGGGAAATCGGAGCAACAATGTCAGTTGCATGCCTTGGTCACTGGGTTCTCTATAGCCTTTAATATGTAATGCAATTGGGAGTGTCTGAAGTGAGGGAGATATAGTGTACACACTTTTTATCACAGAGTAGATCACTGGAATGGAATTCCAAATAATAAACTTTGGAAGGTGTAACTCTCCAGTATAAAAATTTGAGGTTTTGATTGCACTCCTAGAGTTTTGTGTAATGTTCATACCTTTGTACCCAGCTTCCCTGGGTTGCATGGAAATTAGTTAGAAATTACATTCTAAATATGGTGTTCACTCTGCCTACCTCCATGCAAGGGTGGCACAGCCTTCTCTTTAGGCATTGTCATAGTCATGCTTCTCAACTAAGAGGAAGTCAGCCTTTCCTTTAACTCTGCTGATTGTTAAAGCTAATGAATCTGCCCTTATTTGATGACAGAAAATACCAAACTCCAAGCATGCTCATCAAAAAGCTCAATTTTTTTGTTTTGTGTGTGTGTGTTTTTTGTTTTTGTTTTTTTGGTTTTTTTTTTTTTTTTTTTACAAAATGTGTTAGTTTACTAACTGGTTCTTTTGTGTGTGTGTGTGTGTTTTGTTTTTGTTTTTGTTTTTGTTTAAGTCAGAGTCTCACACTGTTGCCTGGGCTGGAATGCAATGGTACAATCTTGGCTCACTGCAACCTCCGCCTCCTGGGTTCAAGCGATTCTCCTGCCTCAGCCTCCCAAGTAGCTGGGATTACAGGCACCTGCCACCACGCCCGGCTAAGTTTTTGTATTTTTAGTAGAGAAGAGTTTTCACTAGTTGGCCAGGCTGGTCTCGAACTCCTGACCTCGTGATCCACCTGCCTCGGCCTCCCAAAGTGCTGGGATTACAAGCGTGAGCCACCATGCCCAGCCTAGTAACTCTATTTTTGTCATACATTGGCAACGTCTTTAATATCCAGAGATTCGGTATTATAAAGTTAAGACTCACTTGTCCAGTACATGCACAATATATACAGTACAGAAAAGTTAAATCAAAAGAACATAATATATAGAGCAATGGATAAGCTGAAATGTTCTAGTACACATTAGCAAAACACCTTTTGCAATTTCCTCCCTCCTCCCTCAACCCAATGAATGATACAGAGAGTACACTGTTCACAGAGGTGGTTTAACATTCTATTATACTTCCAAACACGGTATTTTCCATTAATTTTTAAAAGCTATTTACAAAAAGCGTTACTCTACTACTTCTGCTTTTAAAACATTAGGCACATCCGAATATCTACAAAGACTAGATATTTCATATCAGAACTTGTCTACTATATACACAGCAGTTAAATTACACACATTACAAGGGTCACAATCTGAGAGATCTTCTAAATATGACCACTTTGGCCTTGAACCATTCTATCCTCACTTCCTTCTCTCTGCCTTCAATCCAGTGGACAAACATAAGCATGTGTAATGCTTAGAGATGGTTGAACAAATTCATATCCAAGTCATTTACAGAAGACAACTTGCTATTTCAACACAAAGTGTACAAAACTGTGCTAATTCTAAGTGCTTTCATACACTGGCAACCTCTTTAACATCTAGAGACTGGATGTTGCAAAATTAGGACTCATTTGTCCATTATATACACTATATACACAGCAAAACAAAATGCACAAAACATACAGAAAAAAAGTTCCTGAAAATGTCCAAATATGAACACACTAGCATATTACCTTTTGCAATTCCTTCCCTCCTACCTCCTCTAAACCACTGAACAAGTACAGACAATAATATACTGCTCACAGAAGTGGTGTAACAATTCCATTTCCAAAAGCCAATTTTCCTATGAATTTTAGCAAAAAGTGATATTTTACTACCTCTACATTTAACATACATAAGGAGTTAATTTGTCCACTATGTGTACAGCAGTCTTGAATAAATTGCACACATGTAAGAGTAGTTATAATTTGAAAGAGCCTTTAAAATATGAACATTCTGGCCTAAAACCCTTCCCATCTCCATCAACTCAGTGGTCAATAATGCTCAAATTTTCGGAAATTTGAGCAAAATGTATAAAACATACTCGTTTACTAAACTTACTTTTGTTATACACAAGCAACTCTTTAACATCTAGAAAGACTAGATGTTGTAAATTAGGTATTGTTTATCCTTTATATACACAGATAAGTACAATAAAATGCATAGAAGTAAGGAACAGTGGTTAATCTTGCCTCACTGTGGACATCAGCATAGAGCTCTTTGCACTTCCTTTTCCTGTCTCCTCCCCTGAAACAGTGCACAAACACAATGTGTACTACTCAAGGGGTGGTTTGGCCATTCTCCCCCAAACATTTCTTATGGAATTTTAACAAAAAGACATTTACAAAATGTATCATTTTACAACCTCTACTTTTACTTTTAACAAATGTATCAGGCACTGAATACCTACAAAGCCTAGATATTTCAAAAAAGTACTTAGCATTGTCAATGATATATACAGTAGTGAGGAATAAAATGCACACAACAATAGTTATACTGAGAGACAGGACTAGCTGGATTTCCTAGGTCGACTAAAAATCCCCAAGCTTAGCTGGGAAGGTGACCCCTTCCACCTTTAAACATGGGGCTTGCAACTTAGCTCACACCCGACCAATCAGATAGTAAAGAGAGCTCACTAAAATGCTAATTAGGCGAAAACAGGAGGTAAAGAAATAGCTAATCATCTGTTGCATGACAGCACAGCGGGAGGGACAATGATCGGGATAGAAACCCAGGCATTCGAGCCAGCAACAGCTACCCTCTTTGGGTCCCCTCCCTGTGTATGGGAGATCTGTTTTCACTCTATTTCACTCTATTAAATCTTGCAACTGCACTCTTCTGGTCCATGTTTGTTAAGGCTCGCTCGAGCTGAGCTTTCACTTGCCGTCCACCACTGCTGTTTGCCGCCGTCGCAGACCCGCCGCTGACTTCCATCCCTCCGGATCCAGCAGGGTGTCAGCTGTGCTCCTGATCCAGCGAGGTGCCCATTGCCACTCCCAATAAGGCTAAAGGCTTGCCATTGTTCCTGCAGGGCTAAGTGCCTGGGTTCGTCCTAATTGAGCTGAACACTAGTCACTGGGTTCCATGGTTCTCTTCCGTGACCCATGGCTTCTAATAGAGCTATAACACTCACCACATGGCTCAAGATTCCATTCCTTGGAATCTGTGAGGCCAAGAACCCCAGGTCAGAGAACACGAGGCTTGCCACCATCTTGGAAGTGGCCTGCTGCCATTTTGGAAGTGGCCTGCCACCATCTTGGGAGCTCTGGGAGCAAGGACCACTCCTCCCCCACCGTAACAATAATACGAAGTGTTTTCTAAATATGACCAGTCTGGCATAGAACCTTTTTCTCTACCTTCTCAGGTCTTCCAGCTCCATGTCCTCTAACCCAGCAGTCCACAACCTTTCTGGCATCAGGAACCAGTTTTGTGGAAGGCAATTTTTCCATGGACCGGGGCATGGGGGAGGATGATTTTAGGATCATTCAAGTGCATTACATTTATTGTGCACTTTATTTCTATTATTATTACATTATAATATACAGTGAAATAATTATATAACTCACCATAATGTAGAATCAGTGGGAGCCCTGAGCTTGTTTTCTTGCATCTAGATGGTCCCATGTGGGGGTGATGGGAGATAGTGACAGATCATCAGGCATTAGATTCTCATAAGGAGCATGCAACCTAGATCCCTTGCATGTGCAGTTCACAATAGAGTTCAAGTTCCTATGAGAATCTAATGCCACCATTGATCTGACAGGAGATGGAGCTCAGGCAGTAATGTGCGTGAAGGGGAGTGGTAGTAAATACAGATGAAGCTTCATTTGCTCACCCCCCACTCACCTCCTTCTATGTGGCCCTGTTCCTAACAGGCCACAGAGCAGGGATTGAGGGCCCTGCTCCAAACCACTGAACAGATATGGATGTGTGTTGCTCCCAGTGTCACTGAAACTGCATTTGCAAAAATGATGAAAGTCAAATAAATCTGACATAGCTATTTCCATCTTGCTTCTAACCTCACAAGCTGTGTGTTCATTCCTGGGCATAGGCCAAGCTAACTACGGGAGGAATTTATAGTTTAACTGTAAGGCAAAGACAATAATAGCTCCTTCCTTCCCAAAACTAACCCCCTACTTGTTCAGGAACCAAAAATCACCCTTGAAAAACTAATGAAAGGTCACAAGGTTAGGATTATGGGAGGGGCCTGAATTGCTAAGAAGTAGGTGTAGTTAAGTGATAACTGGCTGGGCGCGGTGGCTCACACCTATAATCCCAGCACTTTGGGAGGCTGACGTGGGCGGAACATCTGAGGTCAGGAGTTCAAGACCAGTCTGGCTAACATGGTGAAACCCTGTTTCTACTAGAAATACAAAAAATTAGCCGGGCATGGTGGCACACACCTGTAATCCCAGCTACTTGAGAGGCTGAGGCAGGAGAATCTCTTGAACCTGGGAGGCAGAGGTTGCAGTGAGCCGAGATCGCGCAATTGTACTACAGCTTGGGCAACAAGAGCGAAACTCCGTCTCAAAAAAAAAAAAAAAAAGAAGTGATAACCAGCCACTGTCCCCAGCTTGCTTTTCTTTTTTCTTTTCTTTCTTTTTTGTTTTTTTGAGATGCGGAGTCTTTCTCTGTCGCCCAGGTTGGAGCGCAGTGCAGTGGCATGATCTCAGCTCACTGCAACCTCCACCTCCCAGGTTCAAGTGATTCTCCTGCCTCAGCCTCCCAAGTAGCTGGGATTACAGGCATGCACCACCACACTGGGCTAATTTTTTGTATTTTTAGTAGAGACGGGGTTTCACCATGTTGGCCAGGCTGGTCTCATACTCCTGACATCAAGTGATCCACCCGCCTCGGCCTCCCAAAGTGTTGGGATTACAGGCATGAGCCACCACACCCAGCCACCAACTATCCTTGAAAAACCCTAGCTTCCGTATTCTTAGGGAGGCAGATTTGAAAATTATCTCCCATCCTTCTGCTTGGCTGGCCCTCTGATAATTAAACTCTTTCTCTGCTCCAAAAACTGTTGCTCTCAATGCATTGGCTTTTCTAGGCAGCAGGCAAGAAGAACCCATTGGGCTGTTACAGCACTTCCAGAGGTAGTCTAATAACTCCTCTCCAAAAAGTCATTTTGGTGGAGAGGTGGAGCAAGATGGCCAAATGGAAGCCTCCAGGAATTGCCCCCGACATAGGAACAACAAATTGAACAACTATCCACCCAAAAAAGAACCTTCATAAGAACCAAAAATCATGTGAGCAATCACAGTACCTGGTTTTAACATCATATTAAGGAAAGAGGCACTGAAGAGGGTAAAAAAGGCAGTCTTGGATTGCCTACACCACCCCTTCCACATCCCCCAGCAGTGGCCACATGGCATAGAGAATCAGTGTGCTTGCGGAAGGGACAGGGCAGTGATTGCAGGGCCTTGCATTGGAACTCAGTGCTGCCCTGTCACAGTGAAAAACAACACTGGGCAGAAATCAGCCAGTGCCCAGAGGGAGCATGTAGATGAGCCCTAGCTAGAGAGGAGTCATTCATCCAAGCAGCCAGAACCTGAGTTCTAGCAGGCCCAGCTACCGTGGGCTAAAGTGCTCTGGGGGGGTCCCAAATAAACTTGAAAGGCAGAATAGGCCAAAAGAACTACAATTCTTGGGCAAGTTCTGTTGCTGGGCTTGGAGCCATTGGGCTTAGAATGTACATGACCTAGTGAGATGCTAGCCAGGGAGGCCAAGGGAATGCTTGCATCACCCTTCTCCAAGCCACAGGCACTGCTGCTGACAGTACTGGGAGAGACTCCTTCCCACCACTTGAGGAGAAGAGAGGGGAGAGTAAAGAAGACATTGTCTTACAACTTGAATACCAGCTCAGCCACGGTAGAACTGTGCACTAGGGGGAGGCCCCCATTTCATGCCCTAGCCCCCACATGAAATTTCTAGAGACACCCTGGGCCAGAACGGAACCTGTTGCCTTAAAGGGAAGAGCCCAGGCCTGGCAAGATTCATCACTTGCTGACTAAAGAGACTTTGGGCTTGAATAATCAGTAGTAGTAGCCAGCCATGCTGGCTTCAGGTGTGGTGGCTTCAGGGGAGAGACTCCTATTTGAGGAAAGGAGAGGGAAAAGTAAGGAGACTTTGTCTTGCGACTTGGATACCAGCTCAGCTACTGGGGAGTAGGGCACCAAGCAGGCTCCTGGAGTCCCTGATTCCATGCCTTGGCTCCTAGACAGCATTTCTGGACATGCCCTGGGCCAAAGAGGACCCCACTGCCCTGAAAGGAGAAACTCGGGACTAATAGCATTTATCACAAGCTGACTGAAGAGCCCCTGTGCCTTGAGTGAATGTTGGCATAGCCAGGAAGTACTAGCCATGGGCTAGTGCAATGGTGGTCATGGGGAAGGACTTTGATGCTTGAGGAAAGAGGAGGGAAGAGTGAGAATAACTTTATCTTGTGGTTTGGGTGCCAGGTCAGCCACAGTGGAATAGAGTACCAGGTAGATTCCTAAGGTTCCCGACCCCAAGCCCTGGCTTCCAGACAGCATCTCTGGACCTACTTGAAGATGGAGAGAACTTGTTGCCCTGATAGGAAGGACACAAGGCTGGCTGAATTCACCAGCTTCTGAATGCAGGCCTTGAGGAAACATAAGCTACTGTAGCTAGACAGTGGTCACTGCAAGCCTTGGACCAGACCCAGTGCTATGTTGGCATCAGGTCTCTCCTAGCACAGTCACAGTGGAGGCAGCCACAAGGGTGCTTGTGTCACCTCTCCCCTAGCTCCAGACAGCTCAGTGCAGAGACTCCATTTGTTTGGGTGAAAGTAAGATAAGAGAACAGAGTCTCTGCCTGGTAATCCAGGTAATTCTCCTGGATCTTACCCAAGACCACAAATGTCATACCCCTACAAGTCTGCAAAAGCTATAGTTTTACTGAGCTTCGGATGGCCCCTAATGCAGATATAGCTGCAGTGACCAAAGACTTAGATCACAACACCCAAGTCCCTTCAAATACTTGGAAAGCCATCCCAAGAAGGGTGGATACAAAAAAATAAAAAGCCCAGACTGTGAAGACAATAATAAATACCTAACTCTTCAGTGCCCAGACACCAACAAAAATCCACAAGCATCAAGACCACCCTGGTAAACACGACCTCACCAAACAAACTAATGAAGGCACAAGTGACCAATTCCAGAGAGAAAGAGATATGTGACTTTTCAAACAGAGAATTCAAAATAGCTGTGTTGAGGAAGCTCAACAAAATTCAAGATAACACAGAGAAGAAATTCAGAATTCTACAAGATAAATTTAACAGAGATTAAAACAATTAAAAAGAATCTAGCAGAAATTCTGAAGCTGAAAAATCCAATTAACGTACTAAAAAATGCAGTCCCTTACAGGCAGAATTGATCAAACAGAAGGAAGAATTAGTGAGCTTGAAGATGGGCTATTTGAAAATACACACTCAGAAGAGACAAAAGAAAAAAGAATAAAAATGAATGAGGTACACCTATAAGATCTAGAAACTGGCTTCAAAGGGCAAATCTAAGAGTTACTGGCCATAAAGAGGAGCTAGAGAGAGAGATCAGGGTAGAAAGTTTATTCAGCGAGATAATGACAGAGAACTTCCCAAACCTAGAGAAAGATATCAATATTCAAGTACAAGAAGGTTATAAAACACCAAGCAGATTTAACCCAACGAAGACACCCCAAAACATTTAATAATCAAACTCCCAAAGATCCAGGATAAAGAAAGAATCCTAAAAGCAAGCAAGAGAAAAGAAACAAATAACATAAAAAGGAGTTCTAATAAGTCTGGCAGCAAACTTATCAGTGGAACTTTACAGGCCGGGAGGGAGTGGCATTACATATTTAAAGTGCTGAGGGAAAAAACTTTTATCCTAGAATAGTACATCCAGTGAAAATATCCTTCAGATGTGAGGGAGAAATAAAGACTTTCCCAGGCAAACAGAAGCTGAGGGATTTCATCAACACCAGACCTGTCCTACAAGAAATGCTAAAGGGAGTTCCTCAGTCTGAAAGAAAAGGACATTCGTAAGCAATAAGAAACCACCTGAAGGTACAAAACTCACTACTAATAGTAAGTACACAGAAAAACACACAATATTATAATACTGTAATTGTGTGTAAACTGTTCATATCTTGAGTAGAAAGACTTAGAGATTAACCTAACTTATCAAAAATAATAGCTATAACAACTTTTCAAGACATAGTATAATAATATATAAATAGAAACAAGAAAAAGTTTTAAAAGTGGGGAGAGTGAAGTTAAAGTGCAGAGTTTTTCTTAGTTTTCTCTTTGATTTTTGTTTATGCAATCAATGTTATGTTGTCATCAGTTTAAAACAATGGGTTATAAAATATTATTTGCCCTGGGCGTGGTGGCTCACACCTGTAATCCCAGCACTTTGGGAGGCCGATGCGGGTGAATCACCTGAGGTCAGGAGTTCGAGACCAGCCTGACCAAATAGTGAAACCCCATCTCTACTAAAAATACAAAAATTAGCTGGGCGTGGTGGTTTGCTCCCGTAGTCCCAGCTACTTGGGGGGCTGAGACATTAAATGGCGCCACTGAAGAAGAATGAATAAGGTCTAGTAATACAACAGGGTGACTACACTCAACAATAATTTATTGTACATTAAACAAACTAAAAGTATAATTGGATTGCTTGTAACAGAAAAAAAGGATAAATGCTTGAGGTGATGGATAGACCGTTTACCCTGATGTGATTATTATACATTGTATGCCTGTATCAAAATATCTCATGTACCTCTTAAGTATATATATATATTTACCTACTTCGTACTCATAAAAATTTTAAAAGGTACATAAATGTTATCATTGCATCCTCTTAATTTTATTTTTCAGTTCCAGAGGGATAATCCTGTCTCTGCCGCAAATGCAGCACCTTCCTCAGTCTTGGGGCGTCCATCAAGCGGAGAGCTGGAATGTGACTGAAAGTAACAGAGTATAGGTGGAACTAGAACAAGGTCACGAGCTGGTGCCCAACTCGTGTAACTCCTGGTTCCAGGCTGTCCCTCTAGGATGCTGTTGGCGCCAGCCGTGGTAGTAGGACAGAGTCTGGGTAAAGGTCGCCTGCTGACAAGATGGTAGCTAGGAGACCTCTAGGTGCGCCAAAATTAGGGCGTCTTTTCCTGGACCGGCAAAACGCCCTGCTCAAAGCTCATTACATCACCACGCCCAAGAACTGATACTTTAGCAGGGCAACGCACCAACCAAGCGACTCCGCCCCACCCTCCCCGCTCCTCCAGCACACGCAAGCGCACAGAGGCCCGCGAGTGACGTCACCTCTCCCGACACCACCTCGTTGTCGTACGACCAAAGGCCTGTCGTAACGGCCGGGAAAAGCCTCGAGAAGAAGGGCACGCACGCCGTACACCCTAACATGCTCGCCAGCATGCGCGCGCAGGTCCTTGGCGCAGGCATTGGGACTGGAGCCAATGAGGTGCGGCGACGTTACTGCGTAGCCGCCAGCTCGGCCGCACGTCAGGGCGCGGGAGCGCGGAGCGAGTTTGGTTGCACTTACACCGGTACTTAAGCGCGGACCGGCGTGTCCTTGGACTTAGAGAGTGGGGACGTCCGGCTTCGGAGCGGGAGTGTTCGTTGTGCCAGCGACTAAAAAGAGGTGAGAGCGGGTCGCGGAGGCCGCACCTGGTTAGAGGCAGAGCTGTGGGAGGCGCGCACTTGCGAGCGACCGAAACCCAAGCGGGGAGCATTCGAGTGGAGCCCGCGCTGGGTGGGAGGGCGGGGAGTGAAGACCCTGGACTGTGGTCAGACCGAGCTGGGCGAGTAACGGCTTGAGGTGCGGCGGAGCCCTAACTAGGGACAGGTATGGTCTCGGTCAGGGACTGGAGGCGGCTTGGATACAGATCCGAGGAGGAGGCGGCCTCTTCCGTAGTGGTTGCTGAAGGGCTATGGAAATGATAGGCAAGACTTCCCTCCTGGAAAGCCGAAGCTTAGAGCTTCACGTTCTTCTTCAGAGGGCAAAAGCTGTTGCTCTTCTAATAAGGGGCCAGTTCTTTTCGTGGGCACATGTTTCTTCCGTCAGTCGTTCTGACATCCTAGAAGGAGTTTCATCAATCACCTTGAAACCGACCTGGACGGGTGACCTCGTGGTCGCCCCAGGAGATCACAGGTAGGGGAGTTGGGATGTCCCCGGGGGACCGTGCAGCCTGCCCCTGAGCTCCCATTCACAAGTTCGAGTGTCAAGCTACTCCTGTGACCTGGGCAGATAGAAACAGCCAGGACCGCTTTTTAAACATTTGTGTGCTTTGCGTTATCCTCAGGGAGAGGTGGCTTTACATTGTAGTAAGATTAAATGGTTAGGTCTTTTTAAAAGTTGCGGTTGTGGTGATTTTGGCTTAATGTGTTCGCCCTTGAGCTTCAGATCTGTGACTTCGTGACCATGATTGTCTCTTCTGAAACTGGAGTTTGAATTAGGTTCCCTCTTTGCTTGGGCTTTAACGTTCCTTCACGTATACACACAAAAATACGTTTTTGAGGAGGTACTCCTAAAAATGTTTTTGGTATTAAAGAATATTTGGTATAAAGAGTATTAAAGCAAAACAAGATTCATTCTGGTATTTAATGACATAAATTAGCAATGGATTGGTAATTAAGTGGCTAGAGTGGTCATTCATTTACACTGTATTTGTTACCTGAGGAAAAATTTACTAAGTTGAAGCTTTCGTTTTTAGAATTAAATATGGGTGATGTTGAGAAAGGCAAGAAGATTTTTATTATGAAGTGTTCCCAGTGCCACACCGTTGAAAAGGGAGGCAAGCACAAGACTGGGCCAAATCTCCATGGTCTCTTTGGGCGGAAGACAGGTCAGGCCCCTGGATACTCTTACACAGCCGCCAATAAGAACAAAGGTAAGAGTCACTTGTTAAATAAAACAACACAAAATGCAGGAATATAACATGTGGCAAACTATCAGGAGTGTGAAATAACCGATGCATTCTTTCTTGTTTAGGCATCATCTGGGGAGAGGATACACTGATGGAGTATTTGGAGAATCCCAAGAAGTACATCCCTGGAACAAAAATGATCTTTGTCGGCATTAAGAAGAAGGAAGAAAGGGCAGACTTAATAGCTTATCTCAAAAAAGCTACTAATGAGTAATAATTGGCCACTGCCTTATTTATTACAAAACAGAAATGTCTCATGACTTTTTTATGTGTACCATCCTTTAATAGATCTCATACACCAGAATTCAGATCATGAATGACTGACAGAATATTTTGTTGGGCAGTCCTGATTTAAAACTAAGACTGGCTTGTGGTTAAATGAATATGTTCAGTTTTTGAATTTTAATAGTAACTCCAATTCAGTAAATGGTATCACTGTTTACCCCTTTTAAAGATATGATTAGACTTCGTTAGTAATGTTCAACTTTTCACAAAGATGGTGAGTGCCATCTTAAAACTTACTGGAGATTGGTTTTATATTTAGATTTATATAACTGGTTATGTGAATATATTTAAATACTGGGGAAATTGCTTCACTGTCTTAGAACCAAGCAAGATTCACCTGTGTTTTGTGTTCATGTTCATTTGCCTCTTAAAGGCAAGGGTTGAAGATAAATAAGGTAGCAATGTCTATAGTTTTGGCCTTAACTATGCCAATCTAATTATAATTCCCTGTATTTAAAATGGTTTCTTTTACTTATTGAAAGGCATTTTAGTGTGGTTTATGTGTAATATTAAAGATTATTCAACACCTCTCACATCTTACAGATCTATAAGGTCACATGCTTTTAAAATAGTAGCAAGTTAAACTTCACTCTTGAATTCTTTACAATCTAAGTCAAACTAAGTTATAATTTAGGATTGTCTTTAAACAGCCATTCAGAAACAAAACTGTAGAACTGTGTATTTGATTGGGAATGGTGCTTTTGCCAACTTAAAAGGATTAAAGTAACGGAGATATACACAAATTTTAAAATTATGTGTGATCACAAGACTAAAGATAATTAAAAAGAAAACCACAGATCATGACTTTTTGACTGTGCTTGATTTCATGACTGATGCACAAATTTTAATGATTAAAAAGTGCAGGAGCCCTAAATGTCAGTGCAGCAGCCCTAAATGTCAGTGCAGCAGTGTTAACCAGTCATGGTGCTAGATTGTTTACTTGGTTTTCTAGGACTGCCTCAACTAGAATAACACTTCACTAATTGACTCTTAGTTTCTTTGCTCAGATTGAGAACTGCAGCATTTATGCCAGACATGGACAGAGGAATGCCTGTGGTCATAGTTTTGTGATGTGTAACAGTGTATAATTACATACTGAATTATTTCATGCATAGTCTGTGCCATACACATTTAGAGTAGTCCTTGGAGATTTTATGGAGATGGTGAGCACAAGGTAAGTCATAAAGAATAATGAGAAAATAAATCTATGCTGGTGCAGCTGAGAACTGTATCTTTGTGGGACAGTGAGAAGACTGAGAAGATGTGAATCCATGGTCTCAAAGGTGATAGGGACGATTAGATAGGTGTTTTAAGGCCTGAAAGCAATTTATAACATATGAGTCTTATTTTTATTTATAGAAATGTGGAAAGCTTGCTGTAATTCATATTTGAAGTCCTAGTCTGAGTTCTGGTGGGGAATTTAAAAATGCATCCTGGAAATCCTTTAAAGATTTCAGACTTTGAAAGGCCTTGTAGCAGAGGACTTGGTGACTGTATAAAGTTAGTGGTATTCAGGGACAGTGTAGCAAGTAGCTTACAAGGGGACAATTCTGGACTAATGAGAAAGACCTGAAGTGAAGGCTAGAGAGTTGATTTTTTTTTTTTTTGGCATCCTGGAAATGATACAGGAAACATATTAAGATAGATACAGAAATGTGTTCAACCTTCCATCTTGGCTAGTTGTGGCGTTTAGTTTGTTTTTTGAGACATGGTCACGCTGTGTCGCCAAGGCTGGAGTGCAGTGGTGCGATCTCGGCTGGCTGCAACCTCTATTTCCCAGGCTCAAGCGATTCTCTCACTTCAGCTTCCCAAGTAGCTGGGACTACAGGTGTTCGCCACCATGCCCAGCTAATTTTTTTGTAGAGATGGAGTTTTGCCATGTGGTCCCAGGCTGGTCTCAAACTCCTGAGCTCAAGCAATCCGTCCACTTGCCTTGGCTCCCCAAAGTGCTGGGATTACAGGCGTGAGCCACCAGGCCCTGCCTGGTTTTCAAATTCAGAAATCTTATTATTTAACCCAGAAGTAATCAGCCCAGTAGTAACTTAGGTTTAATTTTTTTTCAGGTTTAAAATTTTTCTCATTTATTTTTTCTGAGACGGAGTTTCGCCCTTTTCGCCCAGGCTGAGTACAGTGGTGCAATCTCACTGCAACCTCCGCCTTCCAGTTGCAAGTGATTCTCCTGCCTCAGCCTCCTGAGTAGCTGGGATTACAGGCACCCGCCACCACGCCTGGCTAATTTTTGTATTTTTAGTGGAGATGGTGTTTCACCATGTTGGCCAGACTGGTCTTGGACTCCTGACCTCGTGATCCACCCACCTTGGCCTCCCAAAGTTCTAGGATTACAGGTGTGAGCCACCACGTCCGGCCAATTTTTCTCATTTCTATGCCTCCTATATTAAGGTCTGTGTTGGCACAGATGAGTAACTGCCATGTTCTAGGTCAGTTATACCCAAGCACTTCTGGTGGTTTAAAATGTGATTCTGTAACTTTTTTATTTTTATTTTTTTGAGATAATTTCACTCTTGTTGCCCAGGCTGGAGTGCAATGGCGTGATCGCTGCTCACCGCAACCTCCGCCTTCCAGGTTCAAGCGATTCTCCTGACTCAGCCTCTCAAGTAGCTGGGATTACAAGCATGCGCCACCATGCCCAGCTTATTTTGTGTTTTTAGTAGAGACAGGGTTTCTCCATGCTGGACAGGCTGGTCTTGAACTCCCGACGTCAGGTGATCTACCTGCCTCGGCCTCCCAAAGTGCTGGGATTACAGGCGTGAGCCACCACGCCTGGCCAATTATGTAATTTTTTAAAAAGGACATTTCTATCAGGGATATATACCTTCAGAAATAAGGAAATAGGGGAAAAAAAGAGCACTATAAACCACATGTTTTCATTTCTAGTGCTTCGCTGTAAGTGGCTAGGTTGGTAGAATCAAAAACAAGGGCCAGATGTATTTAAGGGGTATTCAGATGCCACCTACATGCTTATTTTGTCTAGAACAGTGCTGTCTAATAGAACTTTCTGTGACGATGGATATTTTGTAGACTTTTGCTGTCCAGTGTGGTAGCCACTAACCACATGTGGCTGTTAAGCCCTTGAAATATAGCTAGTGTGACTAGAAAGTATTTTATTTTAAATTTACATAGGCACAAGTGGCTAGTGGCTACTGTATTGACATTCTGGGTCTAGGACTAGAACCAGTGGTCTGTAACAAAAGTACTTTCTCTTTACTCTATTAAATCTAGAATTAGCCGGGCATGGTCGCTCATGCCTGTAATCCCAGCACTTTGGGAGGCCAAGGCAGGCAGATCACTTGAGGTCAGGCGTTTGAGACCAGCCTGGTCAACATGGCGAAACCCTGTCTCTACAAAAAACATAAAAATTAGCCAGGTGTGGTGGTGGGCACCTGTAATCTCAGCTACTTGGGAGGCTGAGGCACAAGAATCACTTGAACTTGGGAGGTGGAGGTTGCAGTGAGCCAAGATTGTGCCACTGCACTCAAGCCTGGGTGACGAGTGAAACTGTCTCCAAAAAAAAAAAAAAATCTAGAATTCTTGGAAGTACATTATATTGCCCTTCAGAATAGATTCCAGTTCCTGTTGTGCTCACCTTTATAATTTTACCATAAGTTTTACCTATTCGTAAGTTGGCAGTTTTAGATAGATAACATTCTGGTGGTAGCTAGGGATTTACCTTTTGTCATCCTTTTCCTGCACTTCTCTTGAATTCCTTTATAGATGTACAGTTTTGCTTTAACCACTGAAGATTGCTGTAAATTATAAAGGGTGTGATAGAATCCACATGGCTGTCAAGAAGGAGATCTTACCAAGGACAGTTGACTGACTAGTCTCAGATTGTTTCATATCATTTATACTTGGGTAAGAGTAAACTAGATAACTGGGCGTCGTGGTGCACACCTGTAGTCCCAGCCACTCTGAGGCAGGAGGACTGCTTGTGCCCAGAAGTTCGAGGCTGCAGTGTAGCTGTGATTGTGCTACTGCACTCCAGCCTGGGCAACAGATAAAGGAAACTCCATCTCTTTTAAAAAAAAAAAAAGTGGTCTGGGTGCAGTAGGTCATGCCTGCAATCCCAGCACTTTGGGAGGCCAAGGCAGGCAGATCACCTGAGGTCAGGAGCTTGAGACCAGCCTGGCCAACATGGTGAAACCCCATCTCTACCAAAAATATAAAAACTAGCTGGGCGTGGTGGCGGCACCTGTAATTGCAGCTATTTGAGAGGCTGAGGCAGGAGAATCGCTTGAACCTGGGAGATGGGGGTTGCAGTGAGCCAAGACCGCCCCATCGCACTCCAGCCTGGGCAACAATAGTGAAACTCCGTCTCAAAAAGAAAAAAAGTTTCCTTAGAATGGAAAATATTCATTCATGAGCTCTTTTGGCAATCCGTCATCAGTATATTCTGAAAACCAATAAGATGTTGCCAAGTTGGGGGCGAGAGCTATGTAATGCAAGGCATATGCCTGATGAAGTATACAAATACACCTGACCAGAAACTTTGTCTCCCACATAAGTCTCTTCTAGGCACTGTCGGGGTACATACTGAGCTGCTGCTTTGGCTGTATTTTCTGTGCCTCAGAATAACCATTGTCCTGGTGTTCATATCCTTAGAGTTCAGTACAAAATGTTGGATATCCATTTAATAGGTTCCAGGTTATCTTAGTTGGAGTTTGGGGTATTTGAAAACGTCATGCCTTCAGGCTATCATTTCCCTCAGAAAGCTAAGTAAATTTACTGCATTCATTTCTCAAAGAGTAAAAGTGCAGGTTGTATGTGTCTATGAACATTTAAACATGTTAAAATGTTAAATTTAACATTTTAAATTTAAACATTTAAATATGTCTGTAACTTGAACAGTGTAGTTTCAGAAAGGACCACTGGGCTAGTGTAATGCAGAAAATGCTGGGTCTAGGATTAGGAGAAAATTGTGTTTAGTGTGTATCAATAAACAGCCCGTGGACCCAATCTGACCAGATGCCTGTTTTTGTAAAGAGAACTTTATTGGGCTTGGTGCAGTGGCTTATGCCTGTAATCCCAGCACTTTGGGAGGACAGGGCAGATGGATCACAAGGTCAGGAGTTTGAGACCAGCCTGACCAACATGGTGAAAGCCCGTCTCTACTAAAATACAAAAATTACCTAGGGGTGGGGGGCGGTGGGCACCTGAAATCCAGCTACTCGGAGGCTGAGGCAGGAGAATCGCTTCAACCTGAGAGGCAGAGGTTGCAGTGAGCCAAGATCACACCACTGCACTCCAGCTTGGGCAACAGAGCAAGACTCCGTCTCAAGAAAAAAAACTTTATTGGATCACAGTCACATTCGTTAGTGTATTGTTTAGGGCTGCTTTGGGCTACAACATTAGAGGTTAGTGGTTGTGACAAAGCCTAAAATATTTAGTGTGGCATTTTACAGAGTTTCTCAGTTCTGTGTTTAGAGCTTTGCTTTATCAATCTGATTAACACAACGTTGTATTTGTGGAGAATGGGAATAAGCACCTCAAAAGATTCACTGAATGATGTGTGAATGCCTGTAACTGGCAAGCACAGAAAAATTTGTTCATATCTATGTCAAATTCCTTGAAAGTCACATAGTGAAAAGTCACTACTTCCAAGGTTAGCAAGAACCTATTTGTCGATATTTTCTATTCTCAATTGACTCAATCTGTGTGACATCTGACACACTTGACTGCTCTTATTTTCTCACTTCCCTCAGTTTGTTAGTTTCACATTCACATAGAATGAAACAGACATAAACATCGTTATGTATGTGTAGCTGTAATAATCTCTTGATAACCCACATACTTCAGCATGACGTTTTGCCCAAATTCTAGTCCCTGAACTTAAATTGCTTTGTAGTTATAAAGTGCGTTCATATCTCAATTCATCCTCAGCACCTCAAAAGGCACTGGGGACAGGCTCAGAGGTTGTTACTGCTAAAGGTCACACAGATACACTTCCTCGTTAGCAGTACCACATGTACTGACACCAACCCTTCCTCCGTGCCTTCTAAAACGCCACATAAACTGGGTCATCTCTTTTAGCCTCTTTACAGAATGTACACACTTTGTTAATAGAAACAGGGCTTTCTCCAGGCCCATGAACTTCTCAGCCCTCACAAATAGAGACTGCTTCCACACAGTCCACAAAAGAGGCCATGTAGTCTTGGCATCTTCCAAATCATCACTCTTCTCTCACAGGCAGAGCTACTTGTGTGAGGTTTCTGACATCTGCATGGACCTTTGGACCTTTTGCTGTCATCTGTGTACTTCTAGACCATTACTCACTGGGCACTTCACCTGGCTTATGATCTCTACTGCAACCCTTTTTTATTTTTAAAAGTTATCCTGGTAATAGCTGTATACATTCAAAGAACCTATCCTTAATGCCACTGTAGCCTCAATTTTTTACTTGATTTTAACTCTTCTGAGGGCTTTCCCATCATTATAATTTAGACTTATCAGTACTCCAGAACTACTCCACCTCTGAAATTAGAAATCCCAATACACCAGTCTTTGATCACAAGCTCATATTGTTCCTTGTCTCTCATTCTTATTTCTGTTGTATCTCCTTGAACTCACCAAAACCCCTAGGTCCCGATCATACTCTTCAGCCTCCCTTCCTCGGCCAGCCTCTCAGTGTATCTCTTCCATCACTGCATTGCCTACATCCTCTACCTTTGTCACTTGTATTTCCTTTTGTGGCATCTGTCCTGCAAACAGCCTGAGAACAGCCCAGCAATCTTTGCTTCCATACCTGATCTGAACACCGTAGGAGAAAATCACACTGCTGTCCGTCAGCACCACTGTAAACTTAACCGTCTCTGATTCAGCTGAACCAGCAGAAACCTTGCGCAGCTGTCCTTTTATGTATCCATTCTTATCCCAGTCTTCATTGTTATTTTAGATGTTCATCATGCTCCTCATGATTCTTATCCCCACTGCCTTTCTTATAGCAGATGGCCTTGCCTCCCATTTCAGATATGAATTATTTACTTCCTGACTACGAGGAAGGTTTCTGCTGTACCCCATCCTTCACTTTGAATGTTGTTCTTAATTCAGATATGTTTCAGAATGGTCAATCACATCAGAACAGTCGCTCTACATATTACACCCCAACATGGTCATTCTAACACCCATTCTCAACCCCCTTGTCCTCTGCCTCCCTCTCCCATAAAAGTTGGAAGGACTACATGTCTACTTTCTTTTTAGCCCAGGAACTTTGCATGGGAAGCCACATTTAAACAATATAAATTCTGGAAATTAATATTTTCTAATTCAGTTTAACAAAATTATAGTTGTCTCTACCTGAATTGGGCATGTGTAGTGCGTCCAGACCAAGAGATGATACATCTTTGCAATTTGGGGATAGCAGGAGAAATCTGTAGATTTTCTAAGTCACCTGCACTGAGTTGGGGCATGTTGTGTTGTCAGTAAGATGAAAACTTCTATACTTGTTTACTGGTGAATGGTAGAGGAAGACAGCCCAAGGATCTGAGACCTCCACTGACACTGCATAATGGAACCTTAGGCACATTAACCTCTCTGTATTTTAGTTTCCTCATCTGTAAACTGGCACTAATTATTTTAGCCCTTAGGGTGGTTTTAAGGATTAAACAAGAGAATGTACTTGGCATGTTGCCTGGCAGTCAGTAAACATTCAAAGATTAGCTATTCTTGAACTAGATGGGCAACAATTTATCAAATTGTTTAACAATTGGACATATTGCCTGGGAGAGAGGGTGCTCACTGAGATGATTCTTCCAAGTGAAGTGAACAGGATGGTTTAGTGGGAGAGAAGTGCCTGGAATTAGGGATTTGTATTCCTGACTCTGGCCCTTAATTCTAACCATTGACTCATCAAGTGATGTCTCATACACTTTTAGTGACCTGGACCAAGAATCAATTAAGTTCAACCTCCACCAACTTCATTTACCTTGAAAGCTTTTCTAAGGGGGGGGTCCAAGGCTTGTAGTCAAATGTATGTATACACTGATATGTATACATTCTCATCTTCTAAGTGTGCCTAGTTTCTCTAGTAATCTACGAAAGGCATAGTTTTTAATATCCCATTTACTGGTATAATGCCAGCGCTAGTCAATTTCTCCTGAATCTTAAAATCAACATGAAGAGAAACAAATTGAGTTGGGAATATGTGCATTAGAGGCAGCTTAGAGTGGGAAATGTTTAGGTGGTTGGCTGCAACCCTCCACTGTTCCATCTCCCAGGAGGATTTATTAGGATGTTCCATCCAGGTCATAGCAGGTTGCCACCTGGAGGGCCCTTACCTATGAAGAACTAGTGGTTCTGCCTCTCGTCCTGTCACAATGCCTTGCTAACTTGTGTTTAGCAATGTTCAGTAGTTACCTTGTTAGAGTTTTGATTCTGGAACATTAGCACTTCCTATAATTTTTTTTTTTTTTTTTTTTGAGATGGAGTCTTGCCCTGTTGCCCAGGCTAGGGTGCAGTGGTGCAATCTCAGCTCACTGCAACCTCCACCTCCTGGGTTCAAGCGATTCTCCTGTCTCAGCCTCCCAAGTAGCTGGGATTACAGGCACACCACCATGCCTGGCTAATTTTTGTATTTTTAGTAGAGATGGAGTTTCGCCATGTTGGCCAGGCTGGTCTTGAACTCCTGACCTCAGGTGATCCACCTGCCTTGGCGTCCCAAAGTGCTGGGATTACAAGTGTGAGCCACTGCTCCTGGCCCCTCCTGTAATTCTTTTTTTCTTTTTCTTTTTTTTTTTTTTTTTTTTTTTTTTTTGAGACAGAGTCTCGCTCTTTTCGCCCAGGCTGGACTGCAGTGGCGCTATCTCGGCTCACTGCAAGCTCCGCCTCCCGGGTTCACGCCATTCTCCTGCCTCAGCCTCCCAAGTAGCTGGGACTACAGGTGCCTGCCACCATGCCCGGCTAATTTTTTGTATTTTTAGTAGAGATGGGGTTTCACCGTGTTAGCCAGGATGGTCTCGATCTCCTGACCTCGTGATCCTCCCGCCTCGGCCTCCCGAAGTGCTGGGATTACAGGCATGAGCCACCGCACCTGGGCACCTCCTATAATTCTTGAATGGGGCATATGTGATGGTGATAACAAAAAATCACTGTGCTAGCCGGACAAACACTGTATGTTGAGTACAAAGGTTAGAGTTGGTATAGGAAGAGACCTATGGGAGAGATTTTTAATTTATGAGTCTCCTGAGTTAGACTAGGTTAAGATATTTAAAAAACCAGTGCTTAGTGGGAAGTGACAGGGCCAGCCCATTTCACCCCCTCCTAACCTGGTATGTCTCAAAATAAGAATGAAGGAGGGTTTTTTGTGCGGTACCTCAAGGTCAGGGAAAGATTCATTTAGGCTGAGCATGGTGGCTTATGCCTGTAATCCCAATGCTATGGGCTGAAAAAGAAGGATTACTTGAGGCAGGAGTTTGAGACAAGCCTGGACAATACAACAAGACCCCACCTCTACAGACAATTTCTTATAAAATTAGCCATGCATGGTGGCATGTGCCTGTAGCCCTAGCTACTTGAGAGGCTGAGGCAGGAGCATCGTTTGAGCCTAGGAGTTAAGGTTTATAATAAGCTATGATTGTGCCACTGCACTCCAGCCTGGGCAACAGAGTGAGACCCTGTCTTAATAAAAGATTCAGAGAGTCTTTTACCATTATAAAGCAAATGTAGGCTGTACATGCCAGATTCCTTTTGTAGATATCCTGCCTGAAGATTCTGATAGCTTCCTACTCATTATGCTAAACTTGATGAAGCAGGTTAGCACCAATGCCTGTATTAGATACAAGAGAATACAGCCAAGGTATGTGATTTCCTAAGGGACCCTGTCAGCTGAAGCAGTTCCCCGCTCCACCCAAGTTGGTTCTCCATCAGAATACCTTGGAAGTGGAGAGCTAATGTCTTTACTCTTGGCCTTCTACACAGCAGGGGCTATATTAAAATCTAACTACCTTTTGAGTTCATAGGAAGGCAGGGAACTGCCCTTCAGGAAACAGCCTCCCCACCATTGGTTCTTCTAATTTACTGGTCATTCCTTCTCAACTTCATCTGCAGGCCTCTTTTTTGTCCAGTCTTGCAGAGATTGCTGTTGGTCTACTCAATACCCATTCTCTCCTTCATTTTTAGTAACAGAACTTTGGTTCTTTTCAGGGAAAAATGTACCTGTAAGAGATTACATTGTCCAACTTCCATAGACGTGATTAATGGGTCAAGTGGAAGTCAGTTGGGTGGGACTTCTGGGAAATCTTCTGGAGACCTGACTTAGATAGGAGGACTGCCCTTTTGCCCTTTGCTTTTCCTTTTCCTGCCTAGAACCGGGATGGAGTGGCTGAAGCTCCACTGGCAGCCAACTGGGGTTTTTGGCACCACTGAGGATGGAAGCCACACACCTGAGGATGGCAGAACACAAGGACAGAAGGACCTGGCACACTGGGGAAGTGATGAAGCTGCCATGCTGACTCAGACTTCTTTAACAATTTAAGAATTGCCCTTCTTATTTAAACTATTGTCATTTCAATTTCTGTAATATGCAGCTGATACTAATTTTTTTGTTTTTTTGGTTTTTTTTTTTTTGAGATGGAGTCTCACTCTGTCACCCAGGCTGGAGTACAGTGGCACGATCTCGGCTCACTGCAACCTCCACCTCCCAGGTTCAAGCAATTCTCTGCCTCAGCCTCCTGAGTAGCTGGGATTACAGACGCCCACCACCACACCCGGCTAATTTTTGTATTTTTAGTAAAGAGGGGGTTTCACCATCTTGGCCAGGCTGGTCTTGAACTCCTGACCTCATGATCCACCCACCTCGGCCTCCCAAAGTGCTGGGATTACAGGCGTGAACTACCACTCCCGGCCACTAATTCTGATACACTCACTCCTTATGTAATAGTGACTCATAAAGTTATGCCTTCAAAAATTTTTCTGTATATTTTTTTCCCCTGGCAATATCCACACGCATGCCTTAAGAACACCAATGACTTCATATCCACAGTGCAAATCTGTCTTGAGCTCAACGGCTATACACTCAACTGTCTTTTAGACATATTTATCTGAGCTCTCCCACGGACACTGTGGAAGGCTAAATAAGGGCTCAAACGTGTCCATGCCCTAATCCCTGGAACCTGTGAATGGTACCTTGTATGGCAAAAGGGACTTTACAAATGTGACTAAGTTAAGGATCTTGAGATAGGGAGTATACCCCACAGTATTTAGATGGGCTTGATATAATTACAAATATCCTTATAAATGGGGGAAGCAGGAGTCAGAGTCAGAAGGCAGCAGTGTGACAGAGGAAGCAGAGACTGGTGTAAGGTGGCCACAGTCAAGGAGTACTGGCAGCCTCTAGAAGCTGAAAGAGGCAAGGAATGTTTATTAGTCCGTTTTCATGCTGCTGATAAAAGACATACCTGAGACTGGGTAATTTATAAAGGAAAGGGGTTTAATTGACTCACAGTTCCACAGGGCTGGGGAGGCCTCACAATCATGGTGGAAGATGATAAAAGAGCAAAGGAGTGTTTTACATGGTGGCCAGCAAAGAGAATGAGAACCAAGAAAAAGGGGTTTTTCCTTATAAAATTGTCAGGTCTTGTGAGACTTATTCAGTACCATAAGAACAGTATGGGGGAAACCAAACCTATGATTCAATTATCTCCCACAGGGTTCCTCCCACAACACATGGGAATTATGGGAGCTAAAATTTCAATATGAGATTTGGGTGGGGACACAGCCAAACCATATCATTCCACCCTGGGCCCTCCAAATCTTGTGTCCTCACATTTCAAAACCAATCATGCCTTCCCAACAGTCCCCCAAAGTCTTAATTCATTTCAGCATTAACTCAAAAGTCCACAGTCCAAAGTCTCACCTGAGATTAGGCAAGCCCCTTCTGCCTATGAGACTATAAAATTAAAAGCAAGTTAGTTACTTCCTAGATACAATGGGGGTACAAACATTGGGTAAATACAGCCATTCCAAATGGGAGAATTTGGCCAAAACAAAGGGGCTAAAGGCCCCATGCAAGTCTGAAATTTAGCAGGACAATCAAATCTTAAAGCTCCAACATGATCTCCTTTGACTCTGTGTCTCATATCCAGGTCATGCTGATGCAAGAGGTGGGTTCCCATGGTCTTGGGCAGCTCTGCCCCTGTGGCTTTGCAGGGTATGGCCTCCCTCCTGGCTGCTTTCATGGTCTAGCATTGTCTGCAGCTTTTCTAGGTGCGCAGTGCAAGCTGTCAGTGGATCTACCATTCTGGGGTCTGGAGGATGGTGGCCCGCTTCTCACAGCTCCACTAAGCAGTGCCCAGTGGAGACTTGTGTGGGGGCTTCAACCCCACATTTCCCTTCCACACTGCCCTAGCAGAGGTTCTCCATGAGGGCCCTATCCCTGTAGCAAACTTTAGGGACATTTCCACATATCCTCTGAAATCTAGGTGGAGGTTCCCAAACCTCAGTCTTTTTTTTTTTTGAGATGGCATTTCGCTCTTGTTGCCCAGGCTGGAGTGCAATGATGCAATCTCGGCTCACCACAACCTCCACCTCCTGGGTTCAACCGATTCTCCTGCCTTGGCCACCTGAGTAGCTGGAATTATAGGCATGCACCACCACGCCCAGCTAATTTTGTATTTTTAGTAGAGACGCGGTTTCTCCATGTTGGTCAGGCTAGTCTCGAACTCCCGACCTCAGGTGATCTGCCCACTTCGGCCTCCCAAAGTGCTGGAATTACAGGCATGAGCCACTGTGCCTGGCCAGTTCTTGACTTCTGTGCACTTGCAGGCTCAACACCACGTGGAAGCTGCCAAGTCTTGGGGCTTGCACCCTCTGAAGTCTGAGCTGTACCTTGGCCCCTTTTAGCCATGGCTGGAGTGGCTGGGACACAGGGCACCAAGTACTTAGGCTGCACAGCACAGAGGGGCCCTGGGCCTGGCCCACAAAACCATTTTTTCTTCCTATGCCTGCAGGCCTGTAATGGGAGGGGCTGCCACAAAGGTCTCTGATATGCCCTGGAGACATCTTCCCAATTGTCTTGGCAGTTAACATTTGGCTCCTTGTTACTTATGCAAATTTCTGCAGCGGGCTTCAATTTCTCCTCAGAAAATGAGGTTTTTTTTTCTATTGCATCATCAGGCTGCAATTTTCCAAACTTTTATGCTCTGTTTTCCTTTTAAAACTGAATGGTTTTAACAGCACCCAAGTCACCTCTTGAATGCTTTGCTGCTTAGAAATTTCTTCCACCAGATACCCTAAATTATCTCTCTCAATTTCAACATTCCACAAATCTCTAGGGCAGGGGAAAAATGCCACCAGTCTCTTTGCTAAAACATAACAAGAGTCACTTTATTCCAATTTCCAACAAGTTCCTCATCTCCATCTGAGACCGCCTCAGCATAGATTTCATTGTCCATATCACTATCAATCAGCATTTTGGTCAAAACCATTCAACAAGGCTCTAGGAAGTTCTAAACTTTCCCACATTTTCCTGTCTTCTGAGCCCTCCAAACTGTTCCAACCTCTGCCTGTTACCCAGTTCCAAAGTCACTTCCACATTTTTGGGTATCTTTACAGCAGCACCCCACTCTATACCAATTTACTGTAGTAATCCATTTTCATGCTGCTGATAAAGACATACCTGAGACTGGGTAATTTATAAAGGAAAGAGATTTAATTGACTCACAGTTCCACATGCCTGGGGAGGCCTCACAATCATGGCGTAAGATGAAGGAAGAGCAAAGGGGCATCTTACGTGGCGGCTAGCAAAAAGAGAATGAGAATGTGAACCCCCAAAATTTGAGACAACTCTCAGTTAATTTAGAAAGTTTATTTTGCTAAGGTTGAAAATGCACACCCATGACACAGCCTCAGGAAGTCCTGATGACATGTGCCCAAGGTGGTTGGGGCACAGCTTGGTTTTATACATTTTAGGGAGACATGAGACATCAATCAATATATATAAAAAGTACATTGGTTAGGGGGTTTCCAAGTCACAGGTAGGTGAGACAAATGGTTGCATTCTTTTGACTTTCTGATAAGCCTTTCCAAAGGAGGCAATCAGAATATGTATCTATTTCAGTGAACAGAGGAATGACTTTGAATAGAATGGGAGGGAGGTTAGCCCTGAGCAGTTTCCAGCTTGAATTTCCTTTTCCTCAGCTCACTGCAGCCAAGATATTTTCCTTTCACAAGAGCCAAGTGAAAGCGGTTTCCCCTTATAAAACCATCAGATCTTGTGAGACTTATTCACTATCACGAGAACAGTATGGGGGAAGCCACCCCCATGATTCGATTATCTCCCACTGGGTCCCTTCCACAACATGTGGGAATTATGGGAGCTAAAATTCAAGTTGAGATTTGGGTGGGCACACAGCCAAACCATATCAGAATGGATTCCCTTATCAAATCCCCAGATGGAACCAGCTTTGTTTTCACCCTGATTTTTAGCCCACTGAGGCTCATTTTGGCCTTCTAACCTCCAAAACTGTAAGAGGATAAAGTGTACAGTAAGTTGTTACAATAGTGGTGGGAAATTAACACAAGCACCTCAAACCTAACATATCCAAAATAAATTCATTAATTTTCTCCCAAAACCTGATCCTCTTATATTGCCTACCTTTACACCATCCAAACCAGAAATTACTCATATATACTAAATTGTCTTATTCTCTCCTCCTCACTCATCACTGGGTATTTTTGGTTCTATGCATTATCCTTCAAATCAGTTCCTGATTCAAGCTTGCATATCTTCCATCTGTGCTATTACTGTAGCCCAGTGGTTCTCAACTGGGGGCAAATTTGTCACCTAGGGAACATTTGGCAATGTCTGGAGACATTTTGATTGTCACCACTGTGTGGGGGGCTGCTACTCACTGGCATCTAGTGGTTAGAGGCCAAAGATGCTCCTGAACATCCACAGTGCACATGACAGCCCCCACAACAAAGAATTATCTGGCCCAAAACATCAATAGCACCAAGGATGAGAAACTGCTATAGTCTTATAACTAGTCTCCCTACCTCCCATATTAAGCCATTCCAGTCATGATCATTATAAATTCCAATTCCCTGATTAAATCTATTTTGTTATTAATCATAACTTGAAATCCCTTTTCTTTTCTTTTCTTTTCTTTTCTTTCTTTCTTTCTTTTTTTTTTTTTTTTGAGACAGAGTCTCGCTCTTTTCGCCCAGGCCGGACTGCAGTGGCGCTATCTCGGCTCACTGCAAGCTCCGCCTCCCGGGTTCACGCCATTCTCCTGCCTCAGCCTCTCGAGTAGCTGGGACTACAGGTGCCCGCCACCGCGCCCAGCTAATTTTTTGTATTTTTAGTAGAGACGGAGTTTCACCATGTTAGCAAGGATGGTCTCGATTTCCTGACCTTGTGATCCGCCCGCCTCGGCCTCCCAAAGTGCTGGGATTACAGGCTTGAGCCACCGTGCCCAGCCGAAATCCCTTTTCAATAGCATCAATATCTGGATCATTTGTGAACTTGTTGGCTTTTATTTCTCTCCGTTTTCAGTCATTTTGTCCTTTTTCTTGAAATGCCAGGTCATTTTTAATTGAATGCTGACTTGGGCTATGAAAAGTGATAGTGGCTCTGTAGGTTATCTTACTCCAGGGAAGGTTTACCCTTTCTTTTGTTAGATGGAATGATTATCTTAATCCGTTTAGAGACTGTGCTGACTCAAGGCTGGGTTGAAAATGTGGAAAGACTTTTACCTCTGGCTCAATTCCACTTTTTTTTTTAAGATGGGGTGTCATTCTATCGTCCAAGCTGCAGTGGCACGACAAGGGCTCACTGCAGGCTCAGCATTCCAGGCTCAAGCAATCCTCCCACCTCAGCCTCCTGAGTAGTTGGGATTAAAGGCACTCGCAACCATGCTCGGCTAATTTTTTTTTTAATTTTTTGTAGAGACGGGGTCTCACTATTCAACTCCACTCTTCTTCTTCTTTTATTTCTTTTTCTTTTTTTCTTTTTTTTTTTTTTTTTTTTGAGACGGAGTTTTGCTCTTGTCGCCCAGGCTGGAGTGCAGTGGCGCAATCTCGGCTTACTACAACCTCCACCTCCCGGGTTCAAGCGATTCTCCTGCCTCAGCCTCCAGAGTAGCTGGGGCTACAGGCACACGCCACCACGCTGGCTGACTTTTGTATTTTTAGTAGAGACGGGGTTTCCTCGTGTTGACCAAGATGTTCTCAATCTCCGGACCTTGTGATCTGCCCGCCTCGGCCTCCCAAAGTGCTGGGATTATAGGCGTGAGCCACCGTCAACTCCACTCTTAAAGTGTAGCTTTTTGGAGTTCTAACAGAGCCTAGGGAGTTGACTGGGCCTATCCTAAGGCAAGTCTTTAACTTTATTTCTTTGACAAAAACTCTGTTCAGCTCTTTAGGAACTTTCTGCTGGGCTTCTTAGCCTCCTGCCTTGTTCAGCTTGAAAACGTAGCAAATGTCTTTTTTTTGAGACGGAGTTTTTGCTCTTGTTGCCTAGGCTGGAGTGCAATGGCACAATCTTGGCTCACTGCAACCTCCACCTCCCGTGTTCAAGCGATTTTCCTGCCTCAGCCTCTGAGTAGCTGGGATTACAGGCATGTGCCACCATGCCCAGCTAATTTTGTATTTTTAGTAGAGACGGGGTTTCTCCATTTGATCAGGCTAGTCTCGAACTCCTGACCTCAGGTGATCTGCCCACCTCGGCCTCCCAAAGTGCTGGGATTACAGGCGTAAGCCACTGTACCCGGCAGCAAATGTTTTAAGGGTAGGCTGTTGGGCACATATTCTGCCCCTTCCTTCTCACTGAGATATTCCTCCTTCAAGTCTCTGGTTATTGTTTCTTTATCCCCAAGATACTGCCAAGAGCTCTATGGTTTCTCTGCCTTTCAGGAGAGGGTCTCTACCCCAGCCCTGTCCCTGGGTTCTTAGGCTTTTGCTTCACACCCAGAACTGGTAATCACTCAGAGGAAAAATGTAGCTACAGAATGTCACCTCACCTCTCTTTGCAATTCTTTCTCCAAGGTCTTCTCCTTTCAAGTCCTGATTTCTTCTCCATTATCTTCAAGCAGATTTTTAAAAAGACAACAAAACAAAACAAACAAACAAACAAACAAAACCCTAGTTGGGTTTTTTTACAGGCGCGGTGGCTCACGCCTGTAATCCCAGCACTATGGGAGGCCAAGGCGGGCAGATCATCTAAGGTCAGGAGTTCCAGACCAGCCTGGCCAACATGGTGAAACCCCATCTCTACTGAAAATACAAAAGAATTTGCCAGGTGTGGTGGTGTGTGCCTGTAATCCCAGCTACTCAGCATGCTGAGGCAGAAGAATCGCTTGAACCCGGGAGGTGGAGGTTGCAGTGAGCTGAGGTCGCCCCATTGCACTCCAGCCTGGGCAAAAAGAGCGAAAATTTGTCTCAAAAAAAAAAAAGAAAGAAAGAAAGCAACGCTGGTTTTTCTTACCATTCTCAGTAGGAGTGCTCTGCTGCAAGATACTTCATCTTTGGCTCCACACAAGAAAGAGGTGGACCTCAGGCCTCATCAACTCCCCACAGCCCTCCCTCTTTATCTTGGACCTGCAGGTTCACTTACAGATGACCTGCCCTTATAAAGAACTTGCCTAACATCTCAGCCCTGCCTTAATGCCAGCAGAATAACATTGTCTTTCCTCACAATCTCCCAGCATCTCAGTCCCATTTATTTCCAGATCCCCAAACTAGCCTCCCTCTACATCCCAGGCCAGAGTAAACAATACTTGGACTTTCTTTACTTTTCTCAAAAGCAGGATTGCCTGCTTTCTAAATCCTGTGATTTTATTTTGTAGTGGTTCCCACTCCTGTCTCCTTGTTAAAATTCTGTAGTAAATGCTGTGCCTGCTCCAAATAAATTATGGAAGAAAACACATTTGGACACTCACAGATATATCGCATTCTGTTTTTCCATTTATTCCCAAGATAAAAGGTTTGATAGCCCTCTCGTAGGTTGAATTCTCTTCTATGGATTGTAAATTAGTCAATTTGTGACTATTTTGCTAAGCAGAGTCAAAGATCCCTATTAAAAACAATAATGGTGGCCATTTTATAACTATGGTATTTTGTGCTTCAATTGCATGGATACCAGGGGTTTTCTATGCCTGGTCTCATTTAGCACTTAATCCTGTGCATATTGGGGGCGGGGGCAGTAACTGTTGAATGCACTTTATTTAATCAGGAAACAGAAGCTAAGCGATGTTAGATTGCTCATTAGTAAGTTATAGAACTAAGATTCAAAGTCAAGACTCTCCAACGTCAAAACTCTTGCCCTTCCTAATACAGTTCTGCCTCCTAGCCCTTAATTCTCAGTATCTGATGTTACATAATTTCAAACCCTGGTCAGTCATTGTAACTACCCATGGGTCCCCAGAGAGAATGTGGATGTCTCAGAATGGTCCATCACCTTGACTGAACAGTTAAAATGCAGTGACAACATAGGACATGTTTAGAGGCTGATAATAAAATTTAAAAATATTATGCCTTCCATCAACAGATGAATGGATAAAGAAAATGTGGTCTATGTACACAATAGAATACTAGATAGCCTTTAAAAAGGAAATTCTCGCTGGGCACGGTGACTCATGTATGTAATCCCAGCACTTTGGGAGGCCAAGACAGGTGGATCTCCTGAGGTCAGAAGTTCGAGACCAGCCTGCCCAACATGGTGAAACCCCGTCACTACTAAAAATACAAAAATTAGGCTGGGCACAGTGGCTCACACCTGTGATCCTAGCACTTTGGGAGGCTGAGGTGGGCAGATCACGAGATCAGGAGTTCGAGACCAGCCTGGCCAACATAGTGAAACCCTGTCTCTACTAAAAATACAAAACGTTGCCGGGCATGGTGGTGCACACCTGTAGTCCCAGCTACTTGGGAGGCTGAGGCAAGAGAATCGCTTGAACCTGGGAGGCAGAGGTTGTGTGTTGAGCCAAGATCACACCATTGTATTTCAGCCTGGGCAACAGAGCAAGACTCCATCTCAAAAAAAAAAAAAAAAAAAAACTAGCCTGGCTTGATGATGGACACCTGTAATCCCAGCTACTTGGGAGGCTGAGGCAGGAGAATCACTTGAACCTGGGAGGCAGAGGTTGCAGTGAGCTGAGACTGCGCCATTGCACTCCAGCCTGGGCAACCAGTGAAACTCTGTCTCAAGAAAAATATAAATAAATATAATCCCAGCACTTTGGGAGTCCAAGGCAGGTGGAGCAGACGGTCAGAAGTTCAAGACCAGCCTGGCCAACACAGTGAAACCCCATCTCTACTAAAAATACAAAAATTAGCCGGGCATGGTGGCCGTTGCCTGTAATCCCAGCTACTCAGAAGGCTGAGGCAGAAAATTGCTTGAACCTGGGAGGCAGAGGTTGCAGTGAGCCGAGATCACATCCCTGCAATCCAGCCTGGGTGACAGAGCAAGACTCTGTCTCAAAAATAATGATAATAAATAAATGAATTAAATTAAAAATAAAAAGGAAATTCTGCCATTTGTGAGAACATGGATGAACTTGAAGGGCATTATGCTAAGTGAAATAAACCAGGCTCAGAAAGACAAACACTGCATAATGTCACTTGTATGTAGAATCTGAAAAACCCGAACTCATAGAAGGAAAGAGTAGAATGGTGGTCACCAGAGGCTGGCCGGTGGGTGGGACGAGCGTGAAAAAAGGGGAAATGGTCAAAGCATACAAAGTTTTAGTCATTTATTGCACAGCAGGGTGACTATAGTAATGTATATTTCAAAATTGCTATTAGAGTAGATGTTTAAATGTTTTTACCACAAAAATGATAAGCCGTTGATGGATGTGTTAATTACCTTGAATTAATCTTTCTACAGTGTATGCATATATCAAAACAACACATTGAACCCCATAAATATATACAAATATTATGCCTAAGTACTAGTTAGTGACTGAGAACACACAAAGAAGATTGGAAGCTTTAAGTACATTATCTCTCAAAAGAAAAAGAGATTATTGGTACAATCGTTGCTGACTTGCTGATGGGGCAAGGGGCACTACTGACCTCCTCTGGGCTATGCATAGATGAGGAGCAAAAGATGTAGACAAAGAAGTGGAATCGTGGCCTATGCAAATACCCAGCTAGTCCCTCACTGGAGTGACTCCTTGGACTCTTCCAGGTAGGTCTACATGTGCTGTTAGTTCCCAAACCCAGTTAACGTTTGTGTCACTCCTATAGCTGGAACTGCCTTTTTCTCCAGCACGATTTGTTTTAAATATGTTCTAGTCAGGGCTCCTAGCAAAGAAAAGAGATTTCATCAAGATATCTCAGATAAAGGAAAGTTTTGGAGGTTTGGGTTTTTAAAGAATAAGATATACTATCAATAATGAAAAGTCTGAAGGCCAGGCATAGTGGCTCATACCTGTAATGTCAGCACTTTGCGAGGCTGAGGCAGGAGGATCGCTTGAGCCAGGAGTTCAAGAATGCAGTGAGCTATGATTGCACCATTGCACTCCAGCCTGCCTGGGTGACAGAGTGACACCCTGTCTCAAAAATATAATAATAATAATAATAATAATAATAATAATAATAATAATAAAGATTCTGAGGTTTTACTCTACTTGGAAGCTAACAAGTTAGCCTGCCACCATTTTGTGGATGCTGGCAAAAGACACAAGACTCTTGGTCAGAGACAAGGGATAATTTATTAATTGCTAGAATAGCAAAAGCCAGAGTATCATCATTTCTGTGTCAGTTCCTTAACTCCAAGTCCCACAGGGTGACACAAAGATGGCCAGATATTACCTACGCCTGCAGTGGGTTACATTACACAAAGATCCCAGAGCACAGGGAACCTGAATCTTTTATAATGAGCCTAAACCTGAATGACTTTGCCCCCTTGGGAGAAATTATCTTTATTTTCCTAGTCGGTAAACAAAACGTGCCTTTTGCTCTAGAGGAACACACTATCTTTATCTTCCAAGGCTGTTCATTATACAAACATCCTTGAAAAAAATCATCCAGAACTAAGTCTCTATTCTCCAGAACAGTACCTCTGTTCACAAGATGAGTGGATGCATGAGAGACTCATGGAGAACTGTCTCCCAACACACGCAACCCATGGAACGTGTGGAAATTCAAGGACAAGCCTGGGCCTCACAGAGTCAGGAGCTAGAGGATGGCAGGGTTTGGGGATCTTAACTCTAGAGCACTACTATTACTGGGATTCAGCCACAATCCACATGTCTTACTGCCCTGCTACCAACTGGAAAATCCGTTTTTAAATTTCAGTGCAAAATACAATTGACACAGATCCTTTTTTATCCCGGACCTTAAGGCATATATTGCTGATTAATCTGTGTTCTGGCTTTGGTCCGTGTTCATCAATGACTTAGACAGTAGTGGTTGGAAGAGTTCATATGGTCTTAAAAACCTCCAATGTGGGTGTTGATGCCTCTAGGAGGGTTCAAATAATGATCTCTCTTTTCCCCACACAAGTCCTGAATAAAATGAAAAATAAAACAAAGAACAAGTTAGATGGGAAACTAAATACCACCTCATCTACTGATAAAGATGAAGCTGGGAAGCTTAGGGCAAGACCAAGCAAGCCTACTAGCTGGACCCCAGAGTTAGACAGATTTCAGCACCCACTTGCAGGCAGTGCTGGACAGAGGAGTTAGAATGTCTGCTTCCTTGAAATGTTAGCTCCCAAAAGGAAAGAGAGATTCAAACCATATAGGCCTATTTCAATTCTCCCTAAATTTACAGAGGAAGAGGTAAAGGAGTGAGGAGATGCCATGAGTTCTATTAACTGAGCTTCCTCCACATAGATGGACACATTGGGTAGTATTTTTTTTTCTAATAGTAGGAAGCAGTAACCACTGATACTGGAATCATCTTCAATCTCTTACCCACTCCCCCCACCCCCATTGCATGCTAGGCATCCCCTTCATATCGTATATTTCCCATCACAGTCTCTGAGGCCCTGGAGGACAGGGTCAATGTTCTATTTATCTTTGTAAATAGAACAAAGATTTTTTATATCCCTAACAATATACTATTTGGCAGTATGAAACTAGTAAATATTCTATGAATTAATATATATGATCTCCCCAACAATAATTTAAGCTCTGGGATGGCAGAGACTACCTCATTTAATTTCTATTTCTCACACTGCTGTCAATTAATCTTATTTGATTGCCTGAACCAGAGATCTCAGACTCCCTCAAGAAATGGGGGTTTACTGGAAAAAAAACTTACTGTAATGTTGGAAGCTGGAATGGCATAGGCCTATAAAAGTAACTCTATTCACAGTCTGAAGCAGCTTTAGGGACCAGATTAACAGTTTTGCCCCTTCAGCAGTTGTTGGATCTTTCTTTTCTTTTCTTTTCTTTTTTTTTTTTTTTTTTTAAGACAGAGTTTTGCTCTTGCCGCCCACGCTGCAGTGCAATGGCACGATCTTGGCTCACTGCAACCTCCACCTCCCGGGTCCAGGCAATTCTCCTGTCTCAGCCTCCTGAGTAGCTGGGATTACAGGCACCTGCCACCATGCCTGGCTAATTTTTGAATTTTTTAGTAGAGATGGGGTTTTACCATGTTGGCCAGGCTGGTCCTGAACTTCTGACCTCAGGTAATCCACCTGCCTTGGCCTCCCAAAGTGCTTGAATTACAGGCGTGAGCCACTGCGCCCAGCCATTGTTGGATCTTTCATCTAATTTGCTACTGTTAATATGGCTTCTCTTTTTAGTATTTGTTTCTTTTTGATGTCTTCTCTGTGCCTGCTATTGACTAGCTGACCCTGCCCCCATTCAACCACGTAAGTGAGAAAATTCAATTGACTTGATTAACTCTCCTTGACAGGTAGAGCTTTTTAAACCAAGCCACTTCATAAGTTGCTTGGTGCCCATCTTTGTCCTGATAGCCTTCTCTTACTCCAAAAACCACCTAGGGCCCATATCAATTAATTCAGGGCTCTCAGGAAGGTACTTTTCCTAGGAAGCAGTTGGTGGGCCTGACAGACCTTGTGGCTGGAATTTCTAATAAGGGTCTTACACAGGGCTTAAATTAAATGTTTATTTATGTTATCTGAAGAGTGAGTCTGAAGAATTTCATGACTATGTATAATTTATTTAATCCTGTTTAGTAAATTCTAGATATTTGTTTGAGCCTTAACACTGAGCTAGGGTATAAATATTCTATTCTGTGACTAGTATCTGTCAGTTATTTTGAGATTCTGGAAGAGTTTGTGAATCTTTCTCTTCACAGTCAGTTCCCTGCCTTTGACTAAAAAGCCAACTTTTTTTTGAAGTTAAACATTTTCCCCAGTGCATTGGAGAGCTATGGCACTTTGTTTTCAAATGATCATTCACCAGGACGATATGTTCTTTCCTCTCTCAGAATCATTCAGGACAGCGCTTTTACAAATATAAGCAATTTCAGGTTAGTCTGATTTGGCCTTTCAGTATTGCCTTATGTCTTTCTTAAAAATTTAACATGAATTTATTTATTTATCTATTTATTTTTCTAAAAGGTTTTTGAAATGGAGTCTTGCTCTGTTGCCCAGGCTGGAGTGCAGTGGTGCAATCTCTGCTCACTGCAACCTCCGCCTCCCCAGTTCAAGCAATCCTCCTGCCTCAGCCTCCCAACTAGCTGGGACTACAGGCATGCACCACCATGCCCAGCTAATTTTTTTTTTTTTTTTAGTGGAGATAGGGTTTTGCCATGTTGGCCAGGCTGGTCTCGAACTCCTAACCACAAGTGATCCACTTGCCTTGGCCTCCCCAAGTGCTGGGATTACAGGCATGAGCCACCGTGCCCCGCTAACATGAATTTTTAACATACATTTTGGCTGGGCAAGGTGGTTTACACCTGTAATCCCAGCTACTTAGGAGGCTGAGGTGGGAGGATCACTTGAGGCCAGGACTTTGAGACCCCCATCTCTAAAGATGAATAAATAAAAATACACATTTTGTATATTCTATCAATATTTTACATACATTATCTCAGTCTTCCTTACAGCCCTATGAAGTAAGTGTTTTTAGTGTTTTACAGATTAGAAAATTAGAGCTCAGGGGTCAGATGTGGTGGCTCATGCCTGTAATCCCAGAACTTTGGGAGGCTGAGATGGGTGGATCACTTGAGGCCAAGAATTTGAGACCAGCCTGGCTAACATGGTGAAACCCCGTCTCCACTAAAAATACAAAAATTAGCCAGGCATGGTGGCACGCACATGTAATCCCAGCTACTCGGGAGGCTGAGGCATGAGAATCGCTTGAACCTGGGAGGCGGGGGTTGCAGTGAGTGAAGATGGCACAACTGCACTCCAGCCTGGGCAACAGAGTGAGACTCCATATCAAAAATAAATAAATAAATGAAAAAGAAAATTAGAGCTCAGGAAGGTTAAGTAATTTGTCCAAGTGTGCACAACTGATGAGCACAGGAATGGAGGTTTCAAACCCAGGGCTGTCAAGGGCTATGGTCTTTACACTCACCTATGTTGAGTTATTTTCTAGGCTCTTTCGGAACACAGAGTATTATGTGGTGGATCACAGAAAAGTGAAACTGCCTCGCAGCTCTCTTCTTTCTTGCTCACCACCTCTCCCTCCCATAGTTGCATTACCTGTTGCAACTAACTGGATTCTCTTTGTTCCATCCATCCACCAATATCTACTACATATTTTGATGCTTAATACATAAAAATACCTATTGGAAGCCTAAAAATTACACAAATTTAAATTTAGATGATTTAATAACACATTATAAGGTCAGATATTATCTAGGAGCTCTGAAGGGAATAAATGAGGAAATTAAAAGTATAACAAAAATAAAAAAATAAAAAAGTGTTCTTGAGAGTAGGGTGAAAGAAAAAATCAGGGATCTTAAGAACTTCATATTATTCTCAGTTTTTCCTGGAGCTGGCTCTGTATACACGTGATTCTGAGGGTGACAGCAGCTTTTAAAAACTGGTAGCCAAAATTCTAACACTTCGCATAAAATAAAAATGCATTGAAAAATACCCCTTGGCAAATCAGGGCGACCTGGCATTGCTTGGCCTCATAGTGAACACAAGAGGGCGCTGAACTCCACAGTGATGCACAGGCCACAAGTAGCGTGGCAGCATGTATACAAATAAGCAGCATGTATACAAATAGTTGTTTTCAAGCGATATTTCTTAAAAGTTATACCAAGTGTTAAAAAGACTTATAGCTTCTCTCCTAGTTATATCTACCTCTAGTTTAGTAGATATCCATCTCAGTTAATTTTATGATTTTATGTGCCTGGAAAATTTGCCAGAGACCAGATTGAAGGTCTTTTTTTTTTTTGTCTTTTTTTTTTCTTGAGACAGTCTCCCTCTGTCACCTAGGTTGGAATGCAGTGGTGCGATCTTGACTCACTGCAACCTCCACCTCCCGGGCCTCAGCCTCCCGAGTAGCTGGGATTACAAGCGTATGCCACCATGCTTGGCTAATTTTTTTTGGATTTTTAGTAGAGATGGGGTTTCACCATGTTGACCAGACTGGTCTCAAACTCCTGACCTCAAGTGATCCACCCTCCTCGGCCTCCCAAAGTGCTGGAATTACAGGCGTGAGCCACCACACCCGGCCGGTCTTAACATTTCTGAAGAAATCAAAAAAAGGTTGGTGAGGCATGGGAGCATAGAAAGAAATGTTGCAGAAGCATCAGTAGGGACCATGCAAGCTTTCTTGGCGAAGGAGGAGCCTTAGCAATGACTTCAAATATTGCAATTCCATAAGAAGACCTGCACCGTCTTAGCTGGAGACCATTAACTTCCCTAAAACCATTAACTCTTCACATCAGCCAACCCCTATGCTCTGGTTCCATACTCACAAAGCAACCTCTGACAATTATTTAGCTTCTCGTGGGTGTCTGTGTCCAGGGATGGAGTGCTCAAGAACAAAACAAACATTAAAAATTCTCATTTCCCATGGCAAAACAAAACAAAAATGGGAATATTATAAATAAGTACTGTCCGGGTGCAGTGGCTCACGCCTGTAATCCCAGTACTTTGGGAGGCCGAGGCAGGCGGATCACCTGAGGTCAGGAGTTCGAGACCAGGCTGGCCAACATGGTAAAACCCCATCTCTACTAAAAATGCAAAAATTAGCTGGGTGTGGTAGCTGGTGCCCGTAATCCGAGCTACTTGGGAGGCTGAGGCAGGAGAATTGCTTGAACCCGGGAGGTGGAGGTTGCAGTGAGCCGAGATTGCACCACTGCACTCCAGCCTGGGGGAAAAGAGCGAGACTTCGTCTCAAAAATAAATAAATAAATAAATAAATAAATACATAAAACTACATTTGGTAGCAGTTATATTTCTTATTTTGGGAGAGTCAAAGGACAAAGAAGATTTTTAAATGATACCCAGATTTTAAATCTGTGTGTCAGAGAAAACCACTAATAGAAATAGGAAAGAGTTGGGGGACAATGGGAATTAAGGTTTTGCCATGAATATGAGGTGCAGGTGGCAACTATCAACGAGCCGTCGGAAATGAGATATTGGTACTTAGGAGAGATAGGGAGGAAGATACCTGTTTAGGTCTCATTGGCACGGAAAGATTATTGCATGGATGGGATTACTGGGGAGGAGCGTGGAGAAAGAAGAAATGAGGCCTGAGGGGCCAGGCGCAGCGGCTCACGCCTGTAATCCCAGCATTTTGGGAGGCCGAGGTGGGCGGATCACTTGAGGCCAGGAGTTCATGACCAGCCTGGCCAACATGGTGAAACCTCATCTCTACTAAAAATACAAAAAAATTAGTTGGGCATGGTGGCATGCACCTGTAATCCCAGCTACTCGGGAGGCTGAGGCAGGAGAATCGCTTGAACCCAGGAGGCGGAGGTTGCAGTGAGCTGAGATTGCACCACTGCACTCCAGCCTGGGTGACAGAGCAAGACTCTGTCTCAAAAAAAAAAAAAAAAAAAAAAAAAGTCCGGGCACGGTGGCTGACGCCTGTAATCCCAGCACTTTGGGAGGCTGAGGGGGTGGATCACCCAAGGTCAGGAGTTCAAGTCCAGCCTGACCAACATGGTGAAACCCCGTCTCTACTAAAAATACAAAAATTAGCTGGGCATGGTGGCGGGTGCCTGTAATCCCAGCCACTCAGGAGGCTGAGGCCGGAGAATTGCTCGAACCCAGGTGGCAGAGGTTGCAGTGAGCCAAAATTGCGCCATTGCACTCCAGCCTGGGTGACAAGAGCGAAACTCCATCTCAAAAAAAAAAAAAAAAGAAAGAAAGAAAGAAATGAAAAAAGAAATGAGGCCCAAGGACAGTTTTAGGGAGCTAGGAAATAAAACCCAAGAAAGGCAATGACAGGATAGGGAGGATAGATGTCATTTGGAAAAGGAAAGAGTAAGAGAGTAGTATCAAATGCTGCAGAAAAAAACAAAAAGGACAAGGACTGGATTTTTCCATTTAAAAATCACCAATGACATTCGAGAGGACAAGTTTCAACAGATACGTTGGGTTAGAAGTTAAATATTAACCAGTTAACCCGTAGGTGGCCCTGGAACATCTTGTCATATCAGGAGCAAGAAAACCCTCATCTTGGAAGTCAACTTGAAAAGGATAACACTGGCCAAAGATGGGTTAATATGAGTGTCAATAAGGATAGTAATGGTATTAGTTCTCTATTGCTGCTGTAAAAAATTGCCACAATTTAGTGGCTTAAAACAACACAAAGTGGCACTTCTATAGGTTAGAAATCCAACCCATGTCTCACTGAGCTCACATCAAAATGTCAGCAGGGCTGTGTTCCTTCCTGCAATTCTAGGGAAAAATCTGTTTCCTTGCCATTTTCCAGCTCCTAGAGGTTGTTGCCTGCATTCCTTGGCTGGTGGCCACCTTCCTCCATCTTCAAAGCCAGCAATGGTAGAGTCTTCATATTACATCACTCTGCCCTCCTCTTTTGCCTGCCTTATCTATTTGTAAAGACCTTTGTGATTACGTTTGGCCCACTGGGATAATCCGGGCTAATCTCCCTATTTTAAGGTCAGCTGATAAGTAACCTTAATTCCATCTGGAATCTTAATTCCTCTTTGCCACATAACAGCATACAAGTTCCTGGGATTAGGACATAGATCTCTTTGGGGGAAGCATTATTCTGTCTACCACAGCACTACAACAGATTGACACACATCAAATATGTTTAAATGCATGAGTTCAAGATAATATTATATTAAGACAAACAAACAAAACTCACTGCCAGGAAACTGACACAGTGCTTTTGAAAACTGGTAAATAAAGAGAAACGATCAACTATTTGTCCTGCCTTTCCTGTAAGGACTCTTACCTTGGTAACCAAAAAGTTGATAAAGTTTTCTTTATAAAAGTTACTACCTGGAAAGCTAATACATGAGCAGCAGGTGCCACCATTTCCCAATGCTCAGTGAATTAATGAATCTGAGCAGTGATTATCAGTGATGGCTAACATCACAAAAACAAAACAGATATCAGGATATTCTGTCTTCTGACAGGAATACAGAATACCACCTGCAACTCCTTCTTGCCAACACAACTGATCCCAAAACTAGTGAAGCCTCCAGCTTCAACCAACAGTTTACAGGAAATACAGGGGATAAAGGAACACACGAAATGACCACATAGGTGCAGTGAACAAAACCCAGACTGTGGGAAAGTCCACGGGACAAATGACCTATTTCTTCAAGAAATCGTAAGAACAACAACAACAAAGATAGAGGGCAACTTATTGTTGGAAGACTTAAAAATGAAACATATCAACAATGACAATGCATGGATTTTATTTGGGTCCAAATTCAAGCCAACTAACTTAATAATTTATAAGGCAATTAGGAAAATGTAAATAATGACTGCATGAATAACTGATGATATTAAGAAAGTGTTTGATTTTCTCAGGTGTTCCAATGAAATATTTACAGATTAAATGACATAATGTCTGGGATTTGCATCAAAATAACCTAGAGGCAAGGCCAGGAGTAGGTTGGGGAACAGATGAAACAAGAGTGGACAAGATGGAGACGATTACCATAAACTGATAATTGTTGAAGCCAGGTAATGGGTTCAGGGAGTTTCATTATACTGCTTTCTTTCTCTTTTTAAAAATACTTGCAGTTGTCTACAGTTAAAGAAAAATATCATTTAAAAAGGTGGTTGAGCCCGGGCGCAGTGGCTCACGCTTGTATTCGTGTTTCCACTGAGTCAGCTGCAGGCTGAGGGGAGAAAGCTCTGCCTGATCTAAGTACTGCATTACATTTTGTGTCCACTGGGCGGCAATATCAACATTTGATCCTGCCTGCCACTAAATCCTCAGGAGGCAGCAGTGCCAGATTACATCTGTGTCTGTGAAGTTCCACCTTTCCCGCTTCTGATCATTTTCTTCCCCCATTCTCCACCCTGTCAAACGTGGAGCTGCCAGAGCCACGGTGACTGGGAAAGAGGAGCAGACGGTACAGGCTAGGAAACAGAGAGGAGGCTGATCTTCCCACCTTTCCTCAAGTTGGGGTAGAGGAAAGGCTTTCATCTTAAAGACTTGCATTTTTGTTTTGTTTTGTTTTGTTTGTTTTGTTTGTTTGTTTGTTTGTTTTTTGAGACGGAGTCTCGCTCTATTGCCCAGGCTGGAGTGCAGTGGCGCGATCTCGGCTCACTGCAAGCTCTGCCTCCCGGGTTTATGCCATTCTCCTGCCTCAGCCTCCTGAGTAGCTGGGACTACAGGCGCCCGCCACCATGCCCGGCCAATTTTTTGTATTTTTAGTAGAGACGGGGTTTCACCGTGTTAGCCAGGATGGTCTCGATCTCCTGACCTCGTGATCCGCCCGCCTCGGCCTGCCAAAGTGCTGGGATTACAGGCGTGAGCCACCGCGCCCGGCCTAAAGATTTGCATTTTGACTAATGCATGAGATAAAATTTTAACTAGTGGCTTGGCCCTAGACAAGACCAGAGGATTTTTTTTTATTACCTAAGAGTAGAGCTGATACTGAGCCAGTCCACACCATTATGGCCGGACCCATTGTCAAAATACTCAAATCTCCTGTACTAGTTGGTAAATAGCCCCAGCCTGCACCCCTGGTGTTCACTCACCCACCGCCCTGGCTGCCATGACCCTGATGCTGGAACCCTCCATGAGCCCTGCCATGCAGAAACTAAAGAGGTCACACTTGGCCCAGCAGGGGGCCCCCAAGAGCTGCTCCACTTTGGCCAGTGTGAGTTCCAATTGGGGTTGCAGCTGAAACAATTATTAAGATTGGCCAGAGAAATCACGGGACAGGGAAGGGCAGGAACCAGTCCCACTAAGCCTGTGGGGGAAAGGAATAAAGTTATTTTCACTGTACTTCCTTTTGGTTAAAGTACTGATTACACAATTATTGACATACTTAGGAAAATCAACAACCACAATGACAAAATGAAGGAAATGAAAAAGTCAGAGTTGCAGGGTATAAGATACACCTATGCAAATAAACTGCATTTCTACACCAAGTTAAATTTTAAATGATTAAAAATTCCATTCATAACAGCAAAAAGGCACTAGTAATTCAAGACAGGAGATTTTGTCAAGGAAGTAATTTCTTTTTTTTTTTTTTTTTGAGACGGAGTATCGCTTTGTCGCCCAGGCTGGAGTGCTGTGGCGCGATCTCGGCTGTTTGCAACCTCTGCCTCCCGAGTGAAAGCGATTCTCCTGCCTCAGCCTCCTGAGTAGCTGGGATTACAGGCGCACGCCACTGTGCCCGGCTAATTTTTGTATTTTTAGTAGAGACGGGGTTTCACATGTTGGTCAGGCTGGTCTCTAACACCTGACCTCGTGATCCGCCCGCCTCAGCCTCCCAAAGTGCTGGGATTATAGGCATAAACTACCGCGCCCGGCCGGAAGTAATTTCTAAATCCCGGGAGAAGATAGAAAAAAAAAAAAAGCAAGCCACATGAGCATGAATGGAAGAAGACTAAACATGGGAAGATGGTAATAGGATCTAGGTCACTGGTTTTCAAAGCACGTTCCTTGGATCAGCTTCTCTACTAAGAACTTGAATATGGTATCTCTCACCCTTCACAGCATCCCTATCGGCTGGACATCATCACCCACACTTACCAATGAGGAATGGAGGTTAGAGGGGGTAAAGTGCTCAGCGCCTGAGGTCCCTCCCAGAGTTTCTAAGTGGCAGCACCAGGGTTCAAATACAGCTCTGCTTGACTCCAAAGCTATATTTTTCCTACCAAACAAGGCTGCCTCCCAATTTTAATAGGATGTGGTAAAAATAATTTCGTAGATGGTAAAGAGCTACAGAATCGAATCCTGATTAAGTACAGCATGCTCTACTCCCCTGCTCCTGAATGCCAAGAAGCCCTAGGCACTTCCACACGTCTTATGTGTGTCACTTTCTTTGGGTTTCTATTAGCACAAGTTTAGATCACAACATTTTCAGAGCTGGTAAATCAACTGATTTGCTTGCATTTGAGCAGGAAACGTAGGCTGAGTACCTTATGGCCAATCGGTTCTCACTGCAAAAGGGCAAACCAAATTGCATCACTGGCTACACTGGAACCAGAGGAAGAAGACGACTTCAATGAAGAACTCAGACCATTGTCTGAGTGGGCTCACATGCTGGCTCCATTCAAACAAACCTGTTCTAGCACAGCTCAAATTGGCCCCTCTCTGTCCTTAGCAAAGCATAGGAGAGAGGATGTATTTCACCTTGGTAGCCACATCAGGTGACAGATTTTAATCCCCTGGGGAAAATACTCAAGATTAATGTGGCCAGTTGGGTGACAGTGCTGAATTACCTCACGCTCAGATTTCTTTCACAGATCAAGTGCTAATTAACATGATATAGACCAGTGACATATTGTAGCTATGGTAATTTCCAGGAAAAAGTCCATGCCTATGTATATACGTATATATATGTACGTTCCTACATATATATAAAAGTACATATATATAATTTTCTTTTTAAAAATTTACCCTTTTAACATTTGTTTTAAAAATTATCTTAAGCAGAATCATATGAGTTTACTAATATTATATTCTGTATTTCAGCTTTTAAAAATCCTGGGTCTTCCGTTTAACAAAATTTAACAAGATTTGCCAATCTTGCCTTTGTTCACGACCAATATTCCCCAAAGCCCCTGGTTTCACTAACACTAATTATAAATGGGCTTTTGATGGTTCAACTGTTCCCTATGGCAAGATGAAAAGGCTTCCAGAGAGAAGGCAAATCTCAGATTCTTTGTCCTTGTATCCTTTTTCTTCTCTCAGAAGTGCTTTTACCTGACATCTCAAGAGTTAGAAATTCACAATCTAGTAGAAAAAGTAACACCCACTACCAGATTAACAATTAATTCAGCACTGCCCACGGAGTGAATCACAGGATTTCCAGTAGTGCACAGAATACTCAATGGGACTTCACTGCTGGCTGTAGCTAATATAGCTGGGGAGAAGTCCAGGAACAGAATTAAGAAAAGGAAGGAAGTTTCTCTTGTGAGGACAGTCAAGCAGGTTTAATGCATCCTTAAAATTACACATTTTAAATGATTAGTATTTAAAGAGAAAATGTATATGATTCTCTCTTTCATAATTCTAAGATTTTCAGTCTTCATTTTCTTATCTGTCTCCTTTTTGATCTGTAAAAAACCACATTTTATCCAGAGAAGCCTGGGAGATGGGTCAAAGGTTTGTGCCCTGCCTCAGAAATTTTCAACATCAGCTCACAGTCACATATGTCAGCAGCTGTTGCACCTTGCACTTGAGTTAGGGGGCCGTCTTCTAAATCAGGACTTCCCTAGGGCACATGAGAAGCCAAGGGCAAGAAGAGCTCATTTTTCAGGCGTCTTTCTGATCATATTAGAAATGTTTAAAATAAGGACAGGCTCTGATATCATTAGATTTAAGGCCCGAATGTCATTTCAGTCTCAAGAGGACTCTTAAAAATAGGCCATTATATGGAGAGCACTTGCAAGGCTCCAGGGGAAAAGGTGCTCAGAGTAAAAAGGATTATGATATTTAACAGGCACATTTTGCACATTCTAAGAAGTTGGGGGCGAGGGAGAAGCATTACCAAGTCCATCATTGTGCATATATTACAGCATATAAAGGTTGCCATTGTACTTGAGTTTGAGTTTCCGTCTGTCAAGGTTACATTGACACACGTACATTTGCTATCAGGAATGTCTGGACTCCCTTGACAATGAGAAAAGAAAACACTTCTGTGCTTATGGTTGTTGGTAACAATAATGGGGTTGAAATCTGTCAAAGCTGGGGGTGAATGGTGAGGAGGGCCCTTGCACTAAGTCACATATAGTTAAGCTGTGAGTGGCGCACTTGGGAGGGTGTGTTATCCTATCCCACAAAAGAGGAGGGCTGACTTGTGTACCTAGCATTCAGCAGCTTCAGGGTCTTTTCCTGTCACTGCAATTTTCTATACGTGATCTTTAGAGTTTTCACTATTACAGCTTTTCTATCTCTAATAATGGAGCAATCTAGCTTCTTCACATTTGTGTTGATAGTGTGTTATGTGTACTTGTTCTGGCCTGATCTAGCAAATGAAGTTTGCTAGCTGTCCTCTAGCAAACACACTGAAATGCAACATTCACCTCAAGACCTTTGCTAAAGATGTTTTTCTTCCTTGAGACAAAGTGTTGCTCTGTCCCCCAGGCTAGAGTGCAGTGGTGCGATCTCTGCTCACTGCAGCCTCTGCCTCCCAGGTTCATGCTATTCTCCTGCCTCAGCCTCTCAAGTAGCTGGGATTATAGGCGTGTGCCACTATACCTGGCTATAATTTTTGTATTTTTTAGTAGAGACGGAGTTTCACCATATTGACCTGGCTGGTCTTGAACTCCTGACCTCAAGTGATGCACCCACCTCAGCCTCCCAAAGTGCTGGGATTATAGGACAGGTATGAGCCACTGCTTCTGGCCTAAAGATTTGATCAAAAAGACAGAAAGCTCTGTGACTTTGGTGAGCCTTTGAGCCTCTGTTTACTTGTGAGAATGATATTCATAATATCCACTTCTTATGGTTGTGATAACATGATAGGACTGTAGTTTGGATTATCTGGGTCTTTTTTAAAGCTAGAAAAAAAAGTCTGGCTAGGCACGGTGGCTCATGCCTATAATCCCAGTACTTTGGGAGGCCAAGGTGGGCGGATCGCCTGAGGTCAGGAGTTCAAGACCAGCCTGGCCAACATGGTAAAACCCCGTCACTACTAAAAATACAAAAATTAGCCCAGCATGGTAGCAGGCGCCTGTAATCCCAGCTACTCAGGAGGCTGAGGCAGGAGAATTGCTTGACCCTGGGAGGCGGAGGTTGCAGTGAGCTGAGGTCGCACCATTGCACTCCAGCCTGAGCGACAGAGCAAGACTCCATCTTAAAAAAAAAAAAAGAAAAAGAAAAAAAAATTCCTCTGAAAGTTCCTGGCAGTCTTTTGTCTCTAGAAGTAGAGGAGCTATCGATCCACCTTTGGAGGAGTCTTGCTTTATTTTGAAAAGAAAAAAACACCAGAAGGGACAATTTTACTTTAAAAACAGCAAATCTCCGGTATAAGTGCGTTTGTATATACAGTGATGCGCCACTTAACGATGGGAATATGTTCTGAGAAATGCATAGTTAGGTGATTTCATCATTGTATGAACATCATACAGTGTACTTACACAAACCTAGGTAGTGTAGGTTTAGTAAAGGCTACTGCACACCCAGGCTAGATGCTATAGCCTATTGCTCCTAGGCTACAAACCTGTATGGCATGGTACTCTACTGAATTCTGTAGGCAATTATAACACAACAGCAAGTATTTGTGTATCTGAACATATCCAAACATAGAAAGGGTACAGTAAAAATATGGTATTACGATCTTATGGAACCATAGTTGTATAGGTGGCTCGCCATTGGCCAAAATGTCATGCAGCATATGACTGTACTAATGCATTTAATCTTTCCAACATTTAGAATTGTTATATTTATTTGATTTAACAAGTATTTAGTTGCACTTATATGCCAGTTATTGATCTAAGTGCTTTGCAAATTTTAACCCATTCGATCTTCATAGCAACTCATATTACAGGTATGAAGTAAAATCACTTGCTCAAGGCTGCATAGCTAATAGGGAACAGGCCAGGATTCACACTCAGGTAGGCTAGCAGCAGAGCCCGTGCACTTAGCCACTCTGCCACACCCCAGACGCTCTGAGTGTAGTGTCTGCCCTGTTTACCACCATATCCTAGCCCCTAGAAAAGTAACTGGACTCTAGCAGGCACTCCAATATTGATTGAGCCTGGCTGCCTGGCACCATTCTAAAACACTTTATCCGTAACAACTAGCCTAATTGTTTTAACAACCCTGTAATACATAGCTACTGTTATTAGACTGAGCACAACATTTATCACCCTAACCAGGATATTATTAATAATCATAGTGGAAGAACAAGGGTAAGCCAGGACTGTCCCAAGCGAGCCAGGACATATACCAACCTGTATTATTATTACTGTGACTATACAGATGATGAAAGGGAAGCAAAGGGAGGTTAGTTCACTTGCCAAGATCACATATTGGTGAGTGATGGCATCAGGATTGGAAACCAGATAGTTGGACACCAGAGGCTTCAGTGGTGACCCTTCAATGGGGAAGTGAAACTTAGAGAGGTGGAGCATCTTCTTCAATGTTACACAACCAGGTAGCCCCAAATCCCGTGCTATTTCTGTTATACATACTTCCCCTTCTAAGGCATTTATACCACAGAGATCATTCATGAACCTCTTAGTCTTCCAAACCACCTTTGAAGAAAGAAGTGCTCTGAAGGAAATAAGCACTCTCCATACATGGGAATGGGTTTTGCTAAAACCTGTGGGAAAATATTCAGGCAATATTTATTACATATTAACTCACAAATATTTGGGATTTCCAGATATCTTTCTGTTATTGATTACTAGTTTAATTATCTCCTGATCAGAGAACACACTTTGTGTGATTTCAATTCTTCTCAATGTGTTGATTGTTTTATGAACCAGAAAATGGTTTATCTTGGTGAACGTTTCACGTGCACTTGAAAAGAGTGTGTGTCCTGCTAAGGTTGGGTAGAGAGTTCTAGAAATGGCAGTTAGATCCAGTTACTTGACAGTGTTGTTCAGGTGTTCTCTTTCTTTGATCAGTTTCTGTCTACTTATTCTAACAATTACTGAGAGGAGTGTTAAAGACAATTATAATTGTGAATTTGTCTCTTCTTCCTTGCTGTTTCATTGGTTTTTGCTCCTGCAATTTGAAACTCTGCTATTAGGTGTGTACACAGTTACGATTGTTATGTGGTCCTGGAGAATTCTCCTTTATCATGATGTAATCTCACTCTTAACTTGTTAAATTTTAATTTAATTTTATATTTTAGGGACAGGCTCTCGTCCTGTTGCCCAGGCTAGAATTCAGTGGTGCAATCATAGCTCACTGCAGCCTCGAGTTGGGCTCGTATGTTTCTCCCACCTCAGCCTCCCAAAGTGTTGGGAATATAGGCATGAGCCTCTGTGCCCAGTTTATAATTGGGTCTTGTTTTTCATGCAGTATGACAATATCTTTTAATTGGTATATTCAGATCATTTATATTTAATGTAATGATTGATGTGGTAGGATTTTTGTCCACAATTATTATTTTGTTATTTGTTTGTTGCTCTGTTTTTTGTTTCTCTGTTCTCCCTGTGCTGCCTTCTTCTGCGTTCTTGGAATACTTTTTGGTATTTCATTTTAATGTATCTTTTGAATTTTTGTCTATATCTCTGCATTTTTTTCTTTTAGTGATTACTCTAGGGCTTATAATTACATTTCTAAGCTTTCATAGTTTATTTAGCATAATTTTTTTTTTTTGAGACAGAGTCTTGCTCTGTTGCCCAGGCTGGAGTGCAGTGGCACGATCTTGGCTCACTGCAAGCTCCGCCTCCCAGGTTCACGCCATTCTCCTGTCTCAGCCTCCTGAGTAGCTGGGACTACAAGCACCTGCCACCACGCCCGGCTAATTTTTGTATTTTTAGTAGAGACGGGGTTTCACCGTGTTAGCCAGGATGGTCTCGATCTCCTGACCTTGTGATCCACCCGCCTCAGCCTCCCAAAGTGCTGGAATTACAGGCATGTGCCACCGTGCCCGGCCAGCATTAATATTTACAAGGCCAAGTAAAATGTAGAAGGCTTGCAATTGTATATAGACTTCTTTGAACCACCTCCCCCTAGAATTTTGTGTTATAGTTGTCACATATATTACATGCATTACATTGAAAATCCCACCACATAATTTTATAATTTTTTGTTTTCAGTAGTCATAAATATTTTAAAAGGCTTAAGAGGAAAAAATAATTATATATATACACACACATATATACATACATATACATATGTACATATACAGATTCATACATATATATAAATATATATATATAAATATATATATATGACAAAACAGACAGCTCTCATTCCTGTTACTTTGTCTTCACTCTTGAAGATACAGATTTCTCTCTGGTATTATTTCCCTTTCCCCTGAAGGACTTGCTTTAGCATTTCTTTTAGAGGAGGTCTGCTGGAGACACATTTCTTTAGTTTTCCTCCTCTTAGAATGTCTTTATTTCACCTTCATTCTGAAAAGCTATTTTTTCAGGATATAAAATCCTAAGTTGACAATTCTTTTCCCTCATCACTTAAAAAATATGTTGTGGTTCCATAGTTTCTGATGAGAATTCATGATGATTCCCCTGTGTGTAACATGTCATTTTTCTATAGCTGCTTTTCGATTTTTTTTTTTTTTTTTTTTTTGAGACAGAGTTTCACTCTTGTTGCCCAGGCTGGAGTGCACCATCTCAGCTCACTGCAGCCTCCACCTCCTGGGTTCAAGCAATTCTCCTGCCCTCAGCCTCCCGAGTAGCTGGGACTATAGGCGTGCACCACTACCCCTGGCTAATTTTCTTTTATTTTCTTTTTTTTTTTTTATTTTGAGACGGAGTCTTGCTCTGTCGCCAAGCTGGAGTGCAGTGGCATGATCTTGGCTCACTGCAACCTCTGCCTCCCAGGTTTAAGTGATCCTCCTGCCTCAGCCTCCCAAGTAGCTGGGACTACGGGCATGTGCCACTATGCCCAGCTAATTTTTGTATTTTTAGTAGAGACAGGGTTTCACCATGTTGGCCAGGATGGTCTCGATCTCTTGACCTTGTGATCCACCCACCTTGGCCTCCCAAAGTGCTGGGATTACAGGTGTGAGCCACTGCACCCAGCCCAGATTTTTTTTTTTTAATTTCAGAAATTTCATTATGGTGTGTTTAGACATGGTTTCCTTTCCATTCATTCTGTTTGGGGATGACCAAGATATTTGAATCTGTAAGTGTATGTTTTTCATCAGATTTGAGAAGTTTTCAGCCATTTTCTTTTTAATATCTTTTTCTCCCCCCAGTTTTTTAACTTCTTCTGGGATCCTAATGATAAGTATTTGACCTTTCAATAATGCCTGTATTAGTCAGTGTTCTCCAAAGAAACAGAATCAATTGAATCTATCTATCTATCTATCTATCTATCTATCTATCTATCTATCTAATCAGAGATTTAGTACAAGAATTGGCTTACATGGTTATGAAGGCTGAGAAGTCTCATGATCTGTTGTCTGCAAGCTGCAGAAGCAGGAAAGCTGGTGATGTAATTCATCTGAGTACAAAGGCCTGAGAACTAAGGGAGCCAATGGGATAAGCTCAGATCAAGTCCAAAGGCCCAAGAAGCAGCAGCAATATCTGAGGGCCAGAGAAGATGGATATCTCAGTTCAAACAGCAGTGAATCAGCCTTTCCTCAGCATTTTTGTTCTATTCATGCCCTTAATGGATTGGATGACGTTCACCCATATCGGTGAGGGTAATCTTCTTTACTCAGTCTACCGATTCAAATGTTAATCTCTTCCAGAATCACACCTTCACAAACACACCCAGAAATGTTTTAGTAACTATCTGGGCATCCATTAACTCAGTCAAGTTGACATATTGAAATTAATCATCACAGTGCATACATATCCGAGAGTCTCGGTTTATTTTTTTCAGTCTTTTTACTTTCTGCTCTTTATATTAAAACATTTTCATTGACCTATCTTTAAGTTCACTGATTCTTTTCTCCATCCTGTTATTGAGCATATTCAGTGTACTTTTTATTCCATAAATTGTAGTTTTCAGTTCTAAAATAATTGGTTTTTTCTATAGCTTCTGCATCTCCCCTGAAGAGTTCTATCTCTCGAGATAGAACTGTTTCAGGTGTGTTTGCTTTTACTTCAGATGCATGCTCGTGTAGCAGTCACATGGCTGCTTTAAAGTCGTCTTTGGGCCGGGCGCGGTGGCCTGTAATCCCAGCACTTTGGGAGGCCGAGGCGGGAGGATCACGAGGTCAGGAGATCGAGACCATCCTGGCTAACATGGTGAAACCCTGTCTCTACTGAAAATACAAAAATTTAGCCGGGTGTGGTGGCAGGTGCCTGTAGTCCCAGCTACTCCGGAGGCTGAGGCAGGAGAACGGCTGCCTGAACCCAGGACGCGGAGCTTGCAGTGAGATGGCTCTACTGAGCTCCAGCCTGGGCAACAGAGCAAGACTCCATCTCAAAAAAAAAAAAAAAAAAAAAGCGTCTTTGGGACAGGTACAGTGGCTCACGCCTGTAATCCCAGCACTTTGGGAGGCCAAGGTGGGTGGATCACCTGAGGTCAGGAGTTTGAGACCAGCCTGGCCAACATGACGAAACCCCATCTCTACTAAAAATATAAAAATTAGCTGGGCATGATGGCGGGCGCCTGTAATCCCAGCTACTTGGGAGGCTGAGGCAGGGAGAATCGCTTGAACCCAGGAGGCAGAGGTTGCAGTGAGCTGAGATCATGCCACTGCACTCCAGCGTGGGCAACAGAGCAAGGCTCTGTGTCAAAAAAAAAATAAAAATAAAAATAAAAAAATTAAGTCATCTTTGGCAATCTTGGTGTTGGCATCTATTGTCTTTTGAGAACTGGTCACATTTACCTGGTTCTGTGTCTGTCAAGTAATTTTGCTGCTAGATATTGTTAATGTTGTATTGGGTAGACTCTGAGTCCTGTTATAATCCTCTGGATTCCCGGGCAGAAATAAAAAAAAAAAAAAAGAAAAAAATCATTTGGAAATTACTTTTTTTCCTGTTCGTTTTAGCAGACAACCTAACTGGTTACTTTCAGACTTTAAGTTCTGTAGACAACGGCTTCAATGTCAGTTCAGTTTTCTAAACCTTTGTTGTACTTCTATGGGTATGTCTGATTCATCTACGACTCAGGGAGAGCCTGAGGTTTGTGCAGGTTGATGCACAGATTTGGAGAATCCGTATCTCCAATTCTCTTCTCTCTTGTTCCCTCCCACTCTCTCCACAGCCCACAGAGACCCCTCCCACTCCTTTGGTCAGAAAGATGAGTTTCCTGTGGGAATTTTAACCATCCAAGCTGCTGCTCTACCATGCAGCTTTATGATTGGAATCTCCTCTCTGGGCAAAGCTATGAAAGAAAAGAGAAAAAAATGGGAAACTCATTCCCTTACAGGTTGCTTCTTCAAGTTTTGACTCCTTTTCATAATCTGCTGCTGTTGTTTACTTTTCAGAACTTTTGGGTAGTTGCTTTTTATGTTTTGGACAGTGTCTTGTAATCAGCAGAAGAAAGAGACTGTACAGGGCTTATGGGGTGGACCAAGCCAGGATCAGAACACTCTATAAAATCTTAAAATACATTTATACTTTGACCCACTAATCCCATTTCAGGAACTCTGTCACTAAGAGAAAATCACCTGTACATAAGGATATATATATATTAATGGTTACTGCAGTATTTTTTGCAATGGCAAAATTAAATTAGAAGCAAACTGAATGATCATCAACAGGAATGGTTGAATATTCCTGCACTGTGGAATATTTTGTAGCTATTGAAATGAATGAGTTGAATCTATATCCACATGACAGATGATTGCTAGTTGTCCCTCAATATCAATTCCCCTCTTCTTACATAATATTAGATTTTTTTCCCCCAGTGAAAGACTACATTTCCTAGCCTTCCAGATATGGTTTGGATTTGCGTCCCTGCCCAAATCTCATGTCAAATTGTAATCCCCAGTGTTGGAGGAGGGGCCTGATGGGAGGTGATTGAATCATGGGGCTGACTTCCCCCTTGCTGTTCTCCTGTTAGAGTTCTCCTGAGATCTGCTTGTTTAAAAGTGTGTAGCACCTCCCCCATCTCTCTTCCTCCTGCCTCCTCCCTCTTCACCTTCTGCCATGATTGTAAGTTTCCTGAGGCCTTCTCAGCCATGCTGTACAGCCTGTGGAACGTATGCCAATTAAACCTCTATTCTTTATAAATTACCCAGTCTCAGGTAATTCTTTTTAACAATGTGAGAACGGACTAATACACTTCCTTGGCTAGGCGGTGTTATGTGACTAAGTTCCAGCCAATAGGATGTGAGTGGAAGGAATATATGCAAATTTTTGTCTTGCTCTTTTTTTTGTTGTTGCTAAGACAGATGGTCTGGCTCTGTCTCCCAGGCTGGAGTGCAGTGGCGTAATCATGGCTCACTGCAGCCTCAAACTCCTGGGCTCAGGTGATCCTCCTGCCTTGGCCTCCCAAAGTTCTGGGATTACAGGCATGAGCCAAAGTGCCCAGGCTGCCTTGCTCTTAAAGGGAAGGAGCTTGTCCTCCTTTCCATCTTTCTTCCAACTGACTGAAATGGGACATGATAGAAGGAGTTGGAGTAACTGTCTTGAATAATGAGATGGAAGCTTTTTGTTGAGCCACAATATGAAAGGACATAGGTCTCCAGCATAGTCAAACTACTATACCAGTCCTGAATCACTGATCCACATTTTCAACTGGGAGATATATAAACTTATATCTCATATAAGTTTCTGTATTTTGTTATCTCTTTAATGTAGCAACCAAATTTATATCCTAAAAAATGTATCTATTGGCCTGAAAAGACATACATGAAATATTGAGAAAAGCAAATTGCAAGTAATGTGTACATTATGATTCTATATTTGTAAATATCAAATGTAACCCATAAATATTTGTGTGTGTATATAAATGTGTATATATGTATATATATGCACACACAAATATATATACATATGTATATATGTATGTGTGTATGTATATGTATATATATACACATAAGGTTATACATCAACTATTAGCTTTGGTTACCTCAAGTGTGAAGAATGGAGAGATGTTGGAGAATATTTAATATTTGCAATTAATATATGTATTTGGATTATATCATTTATGAGCAAATATTACTTTTTTCACAGCAATCGAAGTCTTTTATTGTTTTTTAAATTAACTAATTATTTTACAAAAACTATAGAATAAACGAATGAAGTAAGATTTATTTAGGATTCCCCTGGTGCCATCTCTCCGCACTTATAAGAGTTGTGTCCAGTTAAGAAAATTTATATCCTGGCCAGGCATGGTGGCTGATGCCTGTAATCTCAGCACTTTGGGAGGCTGAGGCGGGTGGATCACCAGAGGTTAGGAATTCAAGACCAGCCTGGGCAACATGGTGAAACCCCGTCTCTACTAAAAATACAAAAATCGACTGGGAGCTGTGGTATGCACTTGTAATCCCAGCTACTTGGGAGGCTGAGGCAGGAGAATCACTTGACCCCAGGAGGCAGAGGTTGTAGTGAGCTGAGATCGAGCCACTGCACTCCAGCCTGGGTGACAGAGTGAGACTCTGTCTCAAAAAAAAAAAAAAAGAAAGAAAGAAAGATAGAAGAAAGAAAACAAAATTTATATCCCTTCTTTAGATGAAACAGGGAGAAGAAAAAGAGCCATTCCTCTGCTTGCTACTTCTTCATTGCTTTTAGCTGAAAATATTTGTGTCAAAGAGGCATAATCTGGAATGTCCCTTCCTGACTCCTTTCATGGCTAGTTTTGTTTAAGAAGCAATTCAAGCATAATTGCTAAAAACAAGTAAACTAGGTGAATGTAAATGGCTTCCAAGTTTATAAATCAAGTTTTCAATGACAATTGTTTTATAAACTATGTCTACTTAAAATTACGCCCAAAAAATTTGGGGGGGAAACTTGAAGTCTTAAAATGAAATTAAATAATAGATATTCATAAAACAATTATTTTAGTTGACAAAAATTATATATACTTATTGTGTACAACATGATGTCTTAAAATATGTATACCTTGTGGAATGGCTACATCAAGTTAATTAACATATGTATTATCTCACTTTTTTTGTGTGATGAGAACACTTAAAATCTTCTCTCAGCAATTTTCAAGAATACAATATAGTATTATTAACTATAGTAAATATGTTGTAGAATAGAGTTCTTGAACTTATTTCTCCTATCCAACTATAATTTTTTATACTACTCAGGAGGCTGAGGCAGGAGAATCACTTGAACCTGCAAAGCAGAGGTTGTAGTGAGCCGAGATCATGCCACTTCACTCCAGCCTGGACGACGGAGTGAGACTCCTTCTCAAAAAAAAAAAAAAAAAGAAAGAAAGAAAGAAAGAAAGTGATTTATGCAAGAAAGATGGCAGTACACGAGTCAACAGATGACATTGAAGATGAAACTTTGTTTGGCTCTGCCTCAGATGACTGGCAAAATAAATGTGCATTTATATGTTACATGATAAGATATTGAAGATATGTACATACCTATTTTAATGATCCTCCTCTTTAACTGAAATTTTTGATCAGCTGATCAACTGTAGATCTTGATATGTTAATAGAATATTAGTTATATTACTATAACTTAAATAGAAAATATGTTGGATATCAATCATGTATAAATATAATAAATATAAAATAATTAAATATATTAATATGAAATATTACATAATACATATGTAATATATATTATAGGTCAGACAAGAAGTTTCTTCAGTATGATGTCATTTTCTCAAGGGAAGCATTGCCAATGTCTGTGTGTACCTTCCCAGGACACAGATTACAAGATTGTTGTTACACAGAAGAGTGCTTGTGATATTTGCAATTTTCCTGTGAAAAATTTCTCTACAAATATTGTGATGCTCATTTTAAAAATACTTCTATTAGGCCAGGTGCGGAGGCTCACGTCTGTGATCCCAGCACTCTGGGTGCTGGGCGGATCACGAGATCAGGAGTTCGAGACCATCCTGGCCAACATGGTGAAACCCCGACTCTACTAAAAATACAAAAATTAGCTGGGCACGGTGGCACGAGCCTGTAATCCCAGCTACTCGGGAGGCTGAGGCAGGAGAATCGCTTGAACCCAGGAGGCGGAGGTTGCAGTGAGCCGCGATCATGCCATTGCACTCCAGCCAGGATGACAGTACAAGCCTCCGATTCAAAAAACAAACAAACACTTCTACTAAAGAAAACAATCATGCCCATCATTGTCTGCAAGAGAAATGACTGGATATCTCATTTAGCTCACATTTTCTGCCCTGAAGAAGCAATAAAAAGGAATCAAAATACTCTTCCTTTTTTGGAATAGTCACCTGCTCACACTGGCAGAGTCTCAGGAGCCTAGAGTGGGGACAGACCTCACCACCATCCTATGTGCCCAGGTTCTGGTGCTTTGGGCTATTTGGGAAATGAAGACTCGCTCCTTCAGGCAGAGGCCAGGAGCAGGGCCTGTAACATCCAGTTAATACTTGACTCTGCATTTGGTTGGAAAGAAAGGGATTGGAGCCTCCTTTCAGCCAGTCTCTGTCTCAGTCCCATTTCAACAACAATGATAACAATGATAACAACAATGACAAGAGGTTCGACCTGGAGAGAGAAAGCTTCTCCCAATTTTCACAGATCATAAAATAGAGCCTTGGGGTCAGATGGCAGTTTCAGTTTTCCACTTAGTTAATTTTATTTGTTACAGCTGTGCTTGCCTCTAAGGCAAGATTATGATTTGGAAAAAAAAATTATAACAGCAACAAAAATGTTATTATGGTTGGCTCTTGACAAGTAAGATTTTATTTTATTAGTAATTTTTGCACTGAGAGAAACTTTGGTTGACAGTTTCATTTTGTAAGATCTCCCTCTCTTAGACAGCCGTAGATTTCTTCTCCTTGATCGGAAAATCTTTAATCCAATAAACATAAAAGACACTCTGCATTATAGTCGTCGCTTGCAAAATGTTTTGTTTTCACAAACATCATATTTCACATAAAATTTTGTGAAAGATTTAGCAGAGGGAGTTCAAGGTTGCCTTAGAAAATGGCACTTCCTAAAACTGCTCCCACAAATCAGATTTTTCTTCCCCTGTTGAAATCTCTGTGGTCTTGGCATTGTGAACATCCTTCTTTAAACATCTTCCCTTGCTTCTTTTTCTTCCGTGCCTGCTTCTCTAATCACTCCAAGGGTTTTTTCACCGCCCTCTTTCTCATCCCAATCCTTAGCCATGGAAAATCCCTGAAATTCCTTTTCTTGCCTCTTAGTAATCCCCAAACCCTTCCCATCTGTCCACTCAACTCTCCTATCTAACTGATGCTTCACACATAGTAAATGCTCATCAAGTTTTGAATGAATGAATGACTGCTAAATCTCACTCAATCCCAAGCTCCAGTCCCTCTGCAACTTCACACTCAGCACATCTGACCTACACAATAGGTCCTGCTCCTCCCTACCTAGCCAGTTGGTTTTTTATCTTCCAGTTCCTGTGAAAGACAGAAATGTTCTTTGTTTTTCCTTTGTTTCGGCTTGCCCAAAGCCACACAAACTCATTAGTACCTGGCCCGGGATCTTCTGACTCCAGGTCTGGTGGGGCTCTTGGCTTCTACTTTCAATCATCCAAACTCGGAACTTTAAAGCCAGTGTTGGTTCATCTCCATTACTCCTCCCTCAGAACCATCTAGTCACCAAGGCATGGTGCTTCTGTTCTTAAAATGTCTCTCTCTTTTTTTTTTTTTTTGAGACAGAGTCTCACTCTGTCACCAGGCTGGAGTGCAGTGGCACGATCTTGGCTCACTGCAACCTCCACCTCCTGCGTTCAAGTGATTCTTCTGCCTCAGCCTCCCGAGTAGCTGGGACTACAGGCACGTGCCACCACATCTGGCTAATTTTTGTATTTTTAGTAGAGACGGAGTTTCACCATGTTGGCCAGGATTGTCTTGATCTCTTGACCTCCTGATCCACCTGCCTCAGCCTTCCAAAGTGCTGGGATTGCAGGCGTGAGCCACCACGCCTGGCCAAAATGTCTCTTATATATCTTTTCTTTCTTCTCCATCTTTCTGGCCACCACCTCCATCCAGTCCTAACACCATCCCCTGGTGACTGGCCTCCTATGACAATCTTTATCAGCGCTCTATAACTCTGGCTGTCCTTAATCCATCCTGCACACTGCCACCCTCCCTTTGCCACCTCCTTTCTCTTCAACAAATTGAGTTTTAGGCCCAAGAGAGTCTTTATAGATTAGAAAGCTCAACCCATTAATTAAGAAATGAGAAAGTGAAGGTCCCGGGAATTAAAACAACGTGTTCAGGGAGTCACACAGCTAATCATTCATTTCCTACACAAGAGCTTTCCATGGCTCCCTAGTCTCTGCTTCGTGGATGTTCAGCTCTATATTCCATTCCTTTTTTTTTTTTTTTTTTTTGAGACAGAGTCTCTCTCTGTGGCCCAGGCTGGAGTACAGTGGCGCGATCTTGGCTCACTATGACCTCCACCTCCTGGGTTTAAGCGATTCTCCTGCCTCAGCCTCCTGAGTAGCTGGGATTACAGGCATATACCACCATGCCCAGGTAATTTTTTTGTAGTTTTAGTACAGACAGGGTTTTGCCATATTAGCCAGGCTGGTTTCAAACTCCTGACCTCAAGTGATCCACCTGCCTTGGCCTCCCAAAGTGCTGGGATTACAAGCATGAGCCACGCTCCCAGCTTGTATTCCATTCCTTTTCCCTCTTCTGCCTCATTTTTTTCCCCAGAACAAGCCCACAATGGGGCAGATATAAAATTCAAAAAATCTACCCGTCTCAGTACTAGAAAAAGATTCATTTTTTGGAGAGAAAGGTGCAGGGCAAGATTCTTACTTCCAGGAGACCAGATTAAAATGGCCTGGGGAAGGGAAGAGAGAATAACTCAGAAGCCCAGGGGAGAAATGAGAAATATTCAACACAAAGGTGGAAGGTAGAAGAGACGCTGCTATCACAGGGCAGAAGAGAGGCTAGGAACCAACTTCCTGGAGCTGCTCCTGTCCTGTTCCCCATATCACACACCTCTGTGCCTTGCTTCACACAAAAAATAAGCCATTTTCCTGCAAGCTTTTGTCTTGGGCTCTGCTTCTTGGAAATTCAGACTAAGACAACCTCTCACCACAGGCCACTCATCACCTGTGAAAATCTGCAATTTAACAGTCTGAACATATATAAATTCCACAGAGGAGTGAGGGCCTAATGACTAAGGTGGACAAACAGAGGCAGAGGAAGGATTTTCCTATGAGTGGGACAGCAGTGGGCTGTCCCACCGATAAGAGTGTTTTAAAATAGCCAGGCGTGGTGGCACATGCCTGTGGTCTCAGCTACTCTGGAGGCTGAGGTGGGAGGATCACTTGAGCTCAGGAGACGGAGGTTGCAATGAGCCGAGATCGTGCCACTGCACGCTAGCCTGGGTAACAGAGAGAAACCCTCTCTCAAATTAAAAATAATTTTTGAAAAAGGGTGTTTTTGTTTACCTGGGAGACTTGAGTCACATCAGAGTGTCTAACAATGTGATTTATGGCAGGGGCTTTGGGCCACCTGGTATCTGTTCTACCTCCAGAGCGGCTGGAAAATAAAGGACAGCCTTTAGTCTATGACACACCGTCTGTGTGATCCAGCCCCAGTAAGAACTCTGGACATGAAGACTCAGGTGAGCTTCCCTGGTTGGCAATACTCCGTGTATATTTCAAACATCATTGCCAGGAAAGGTAGTGATGTCCATGACTCCACTGAGAGTAGACAACTGGGAGCTCCATGTTTGAAACTTTCTAGGTGATATGGTTTGGCTGTGACCCCACCCAAATCTCATCTTGAATCATAGCTCTCATAATCCCCACGTGTCCTGGGAAAGACCCAGTAGGAGGTAATTGAATCATGAGGGCGGGGTTTTCCCATACTGTTCTCGTGACTGTGAATAAGTCTCACGAGATCTGATGGTTTTATAAAGGGCAGTTCCCTTGCACACACTCTTTCGTGCCTCCACGTAAGACATGGCTTTGCTTCTCCTTCACCTTCCTCCATGATTGTGAGGCCTCCCCAGCCATGTGGAACCGTGAGTCCACTGAACCTCTTTTTCTTTATAAATTCCCCAGTCTCGGGTATGTCTTTATTAGGAGCATGAGAACAGACTGATACACCTGGACTCTGCCCCATGTGTCTCTTCTTTTCACTGATTCTAATCTGTATCTTTTCACCATAGTAAACCAAAACAGTGGGCATAACAGTTTTGGTGCATTCTGTGAGTGCTTCCAGTGAATTGTCAAACCCAAGGATAGTCTTGGGGACCCCCTGAACTTACAAGTGCTATCAGAATAAAAAATGATCCTCTACGCTGTCAAATAGGACAGACTAGGGAAGCCAACCTGTTGTAGGAAAAAGGGGAAGATGAGTAAACGATATTCTTCTGTCAGATCTAGTTGTACATTTCTTTCTGTGTTTGTTTCAGCTAGATGCCACCAGGCTTGTCACAGAATTCAGAGATTCGTTGTACCTATGACGAGGCCAAAGCATTAGAGATAGATCAGGGAGGTCTCTGTCCTCAATGCGTCTTCACCCCATTGTGGGGTGAAGCTGGGAATCTCTCTTAGGAAAAGGTGAGTTGGGAGGTAGGTGAGTGAAATGGACACTTGGAAGTTTTGACAACTTTTTCTCCATGTGAAAATTGTTCCTCGTTAATCAAACTTGAAAAATCTGAGTAAGCTAACAGGTTTCCTTATTAAACTCCTTTAGGCTGAGGACTCTGTCTTAGTATTTCTGCGTTCATAGCACCAAGTACAATATACAGCATAGGGTAAATTCACGGTCATTCTAATTTTTAAATTAATCATTTGGTATGTAATTTCATATAAGGTAAAAAAGAGGACTTCTGAACTTAATCTGAAAAGATGTCTCAATGTATTCTTACAAGCTCACCTTTGTTTGATGCTAATTTTAATTTTTCTGATTTGATTGAAAAAAACATTTTGAAGAAAAAAGCACCCATAATATCCTCTTATTATGAAAATTTTCTATATTATTATGTAGCCTCCATATTATCTGAAATCCCTGCTGAATATTCTGTATCGTTCATAAATATTCTGTATAGTTTGTAATCAAAGTATGCCTAAAGAAGATAACGCTGGTGCTGTGCAGAAGACAGTTTAGACAGTTGCACTGTTGATCAGGACCCAGTAATAGAGCCAGCAGACAGAAGAACCTGAGTCCTTTAGTCATCCATGGAGGAGAGCCCCACCATCCTGGAATACCCTGCTGGACTGATATAAGCATCAGAAACTCGATTTTTTTTTTTTTTTTGGCTGTTACATCTTGGTTCTGTTTATTATAGTAGTTGAATCTACTCTAATAATGCAAAAATTGATACCATGCTAGCCAGGTGTGGTGCCATGAAGAAGGGTACTGCCATAAGAAAGACCAAAAATATGTGATATCGTTCAGGTGCAGTAGCTCACGCCTGTAATCCCAACAATTCAGGAGGCCGAAGCAGGCGGATCACGAGGTCAAGAGATCGAGACCATCCTGGCCAATATGGTGAAACACCATCTCTACTAAAAATATAAAACTTAACCAGGCGTGGTGGCGGGTGCCTGTAATCTCAGCTACTTGGGAGGTCGAGGCAGGAGAATCACTTGAACCTGGGAGGCGGAGGTTGCAGTGAGCCGAGATCATGTCACTGCACTCCAGCCTGATGACAGAGCAAGACTCCATCTCAAAAAAAAAAAAAAATGTGCCATTGGCTTCACAGTTGAGCAGCAGGAAAGGAAAAAATAGTATGCTATAAATCTGAACATTCTAAAGTCTATGCTGTCAACCACACTGCAGAGCCAAAATAGGGCTTCCTGACTCACTCGCTGTGAATGGTTACAAGTGTGCTGATACTTTGATGCCCTCTGCTTTCCAAGGGAACTCAGAGTTCAAGGTGGCCAAGCTCCCCAGCCTGGCTGCCTCCAGCCAAGAGCAGCCTCGTGTTTACCACTAGTGAGCCATTTAAATACTAAATAAATATAAAGCATTTTTTTCATTCCTTTTGACTGAAAAAGAAAGCAACCTCTGTAAACTCTCTTATAAAACCACTCAGACTTTTTTCTGTCTTGAGTTATATAAATGATTAAAAACCCTAGCCAATTTCAAACTAGTTTCTTCTCCCCCTTTTTCCCCAACTTCCTAAATCAAAGACTGTCAAAGTCAGCATATATCATGAGTCTCCTGTATTAAGTAGATTACTTTTTTTTTCTGCCCTGCTTAACTATAATCACAGGTAGCATGAGAATTACAAGGAATTTCATCACTGAATTTCCTTTTCAAAAATTTACTTAAATCAAGAATTTGTGGTTACCAAGAGTGACAGTAGGAAGTGGGGTAATCCATGCTGTCTATACAAGTAGGGCATATTATTAATGCGCTTTGTTCCAAATTGTGAAAACAGGCCAGCTGGTGAAGACCCAACAACAAACTAAGGCCCAGGTGGGTCAAATTCCAAACTTGAGACATGGCTAAGACATCGATTTTTCTTGGTTCAGTTGTATATTCTCAAGGAGCTCTCATATTATACCTTTTTAAAAAGTGTATGCCTTAAAAAGGATTAAAATGGCAAACTTTGTTATGTATATTTTACCACAATTTTTAAAAAGGTATATGAGACAAGAAGCTTTACTTCTGACCTGCCTATTCCCAGATGCATAGAATATCATAGACTATCAATGTGAGAACCTTAGAGATTGCCTAGACATTTTGATTATTAAGCACTGGATATTTACTCATTTATACCTCAACTTATTTCAGGAAGTTCAAGGCAACTTAAAAGCTATATAAAATATAGTGAGACAGGCCGGGCACGGTGGCTCACGCCTGTAATCCCAGCAGAATTTTATTTTGGGAGGGCTGAGGTGGGGGGAATCACTTGAGGCCAGGAGTTCGAGACCAGCCTGGCCAACATGGTGAAACCCTGTCTCTACTAAAAATACAAAAATTAGCCGGGCATGGTGGCACATGCTTGTAATCCCAGCTACTTGGGAAGTTGAGGCAGGAGAATCACTTGAACCTGGGAGGTAGAGGTTGCAGTGAGCCGAGAACATGCCACTGCACTCCAGCCTGGGCGACAGAGCAAGACTCTGTCTCAAAAAAAAAAAAAAATATATATATATATATGTGTGTGTGTGTGTGTGTGTGTGTGTGTATAGTGTGTATATATATGTGTGTATATGTGTGTGTGTGTACATATGTGTGTGTATATATGTATATATAGTGAGGCAATATAAAATAGAAGTAGTAGGTAAGAACTTTATAATTATTTTGATACTTTCAAAAATTACCATTTTTAAAAGATAATTTTCAAAGTAGGATAGAATCACAACATAAATTCATATGTAAAAATTAAACTGTATATTAATGGGGAAACTGGTACAGAGATTGTAAGCAGTTTAAGGGAGAAGTTGAAAAACAGACATATTTACAGATCAGGAATATTGAAATGACTGTTCAGATGGAAGTAAAACTGTCCTCTTCCTCTGTGGAAGAAGGAAGCCAGTTGAACCTCTACTATACAGGACAGAATTTGCTTGTCCATAGATAAGAAGTATTCTGCGTTGCTACCAATACCAATAATCTACAATGTACAGAGTTACAAAATGGCTTCCACATACTCGAAATCAGATAACCCTCAGAGGGGTGTCCTATAGAGCCTAGACAATGCACAGTTTCCAAAGGGAAGAACAAATATTTCCCTGTATATTAAACATGCCAAGAATAAAGCTAATATAAAACTACATACCAGGTTAGAATAGGATATAATTATATTTTCACAAACACAAATCCAAACTACTGCAAATCTAGAAATTTACTCGCTCTTTTCTTCATGCTTTATTTGTATCAGAATCCAACTGGAAAATTGATTTGCAAGTCTAACCCATGAACTTTATTCGTCTTCTTTTCGTTTTGAGATAGGGTCTCACTTCCATTTCCCAGGCTGGAGTGCAGTGGTGCAATCTTGGCTCACAGTAGCCTCGACCTCCTGGGCTCAAGTGATCCTCCTGCCTCAGCCTCCCAAGTAGCTGGGACAACAGGTGCACACCACCATGCCCACCTAATTTTTTTGTATTTTTTGTAGAGATGGGATTTTGCCATGTTGCCCAGGCTGGTCTTGAACTCCTGGGCTCAAGCAATCTGCCTGCCTTAGCCTTCCAAAGTGCTGGGATTACAGGTATGAGCGACCATGCCCAGCCTATTTATCTTCTAATCCCTGTAATATTCTCATATGTATGAAAATGTTTTATTATATTATTTTGGATAATACTTCAAGAAAGAAACTTTTTTTTCAGCTGTGTGAGCTTCCTCCTCTATTATTTTGGATGTTTTCATCTATTTGTATGGTTTATTCTTTTCATTTTTTAAAATAAAGACTGAGAATATGATGTGCCTGACACTAATGGGATTGGATTAGTTGTCACATCTGGGGAATTGCAGATTTTTGAGAACCCTCTGTAGCATCAAGCTATTGTCAGAAAAGGTGAAATTTAGAGGTACCTTTAAAATTGACTGCGGCACCTCTTTTTTTTTTTTTTTTTTGAGACAGAGTCCTCACTCTGTCACCCAGGCTGTAGTGCAATGGTGCGACCTTGGCTCACTGCAACCTCCACCTCCCGGGTTCAAGCAGTTCTCCTGCCTCAGCCTCCTGAGTAGCTGGGATTACAGGCGCCCACGACCACACCCGGCTAATTTTTGTATTTTTAGTAGAGTCGGGATTTCGCCATGTTGGCCAGGCTGGTCTTGAACTCTTGACCTCAGGTTATCCACCCGCCTCGGCCTCCCAAGGTGCTGGGATTACAGGCGTGAGCCACCGCCCCCGGCCTCGACTGTGGCACCTCTTTATGGGTCTTGGGAGCGGCTATAAATTAAGAGCCAGCCAAAATCATTGGAACTGAACGTCTGCTACTGCCCATTGTTCAAAGCCATAAGGTGAGACCCTGTTGGCCAGAGTTCATTCTGACCTCCGTCTGAGTTCGTATAGCAAAAGAAATGTGTGTAACAGCACAAATCGCTCCTCGGAAAATTCAGGTCAGGGGAGAACCCAACCCTCCAGATTACCAGAAGAGCAATTCAACTCTGAAGATGAATTCAGTTTATCCTTCTGACTCAATTTAAACCCTGGGCTCACATCCAGTCCACCAGGAAAATGGTTTTTTCCCCCTCTCTGGGGACCTCCCTCCTCAGATGACTCCAAGCACCATTAGGGATGTTTATTCAGTACAAAATGGGTGGGTCCTGGATACTACTCCTGAGGGGAGAAAAAAAAGAAAAAAGAGAACAAAAAAAACCTCAGGCTGTCAGGAATTCAATTCTTTTCAGCTACTGCTGATCACTGCCACTAGGTGTCGCTATTGAAAGCTAAGTTATCCACCCGACCCTTGTCCAATTCAATTCTTTTCCTGCTGTTTTCGATTTTTTTTTTTCTTTTTTCTTTTTTAAGACGGAGTCTCACTCTGTCACCCAGGCGGAAGTGCAGTGGTGCAATCTCGGCTCACTGCAACCCCTGCCTCCCAGGTTCAAACGATTCTCCTGCCTTAGTCTCCCAAGTAGCTGGGATTACAGGCGCCCGCCACTACGCCCGGCTAATTTTTGTATTTTTAGTAGAGACGGGGTTTCACCATGTTGGCCAGGCTGGTCTTGACCTCCTGGCATTAAATGATCCACCCGCCTCAGCCTCCCAAAGTACTGGGATTACAAGTGTGAGCCACTGCGACCGGCCCATTTTCTGTTTGTTTTTTGTTTAAGGGACGGATTGAAGAAAGTAAACAATTAAATCTAAAATCCTGTCGCTAAATGTCACGATGTAATAAGGTAATAATTTACAAGAGAAACTTGGACATTTGAGTACATGCTTTGCCTGTTGTGGCCACCTACCTGCTCTAATCTCGGACCCTTACCTATAATTTTGTATATCCCAGGTTTTCATGAAGCAGATGGGGAAGATTGGGAGCACCCATGCTGGGATCCAAGATATTTGACACACTGAGTTATTTGTTCTGAAATTTTCTTTGACTGTCTTGCATCATTCCTTTTTTCAATTCTACTGACTCCTTCCCATAGGCAAGCAAAACATGCTACAATATTTCCCACTTGCAAAAGGGTCTTCCTTTGACTCTGCATCACCTGCAGTTTCTGCCTAATTTCTCGGACTCTATTCACAGAAGAGTTCAAGCGTTGACTATTCTCACTGTCCCCACATCCTCTCCTCCCATTTGCTTTCCAATCAGGCTTTTATGTCCTTTGAAAAACACTTGTTACCAGATCCAATGTTCAGTTGATCACAATCCTCATCCATATTGGTTGTCATTGCCATGGTTGGCCACATATTCCTTCCTTCTGAAACACTCTCATCTGGCTGCACGCTGCTGACTTATTTGTAGCCTCCCTGGGCTCTCTTTCTTAGTCTTGGCTGCATCCTTCTCACCCTCATGATCTCTTGCAGTGGGCGCTCCAGGTCTGGGCCAATGTCTCTAGACAGGCCACGCCCTAAGTGACCTCATCCAGCCCTGTGACTTTCTACCATCTATACACTGTGACTCCCAAATTAATGTCTCATCCCTGACCTCCCCCCCCATTCCAGCCTCCGCATTCAGCTGCCTGTTTGACATCTCTACGTGGTTGTCTAACAGGTGTCTTGAATTTACTATCAGCAATCTAACTCTTGCTTTTTCCCTCAAAACCTGTTCCTCCTTGAGTCTCACCCATTTCAGTAAATAGTGTTCCTAATTCACCCAGTTGCTCAGACCAAACACTGTGGAGCCATCTCAGACTCCTCTCAGACTCCATCCCCAAATCCAATCCAACAGCAACTCCCATTGGCTCCAGCTTCAAAATGCGTTTTTGGTTGTTATTGTTGTTTGAGACGGAGTCTCATTCTGTCACCCAGGCTGGAGTGCAGTGGTGTTATCGCGGCTCACTGCAACCTCTGCCTCCCGGGTTCAAGGGATTCTCCTGCCTCAGTCTCCTGAGTAGCTGGGATTACAAGAACACACCACCACGCCCAGCTAATTTTTGTTTTGTTTTGTTTTGTTTTGTCTTGAGTGGTTCGGTTTCTTAATTATTTTAAGCAGTTGTTTTTTGTATTAAAATACTGCAACTCATATCTTTGGCAAAGTTTCCACTTTCTTATCAGAGACAAAAGCCAGAATAATACAAAAAGTGTTCCTTTCCCCAGTTCCTCAAGCATCACGTCCAACAATTTGGCAGCTGGAAGCTGTTTTTGACAGTTGTGACTTGTATTTGGTGATATAAACAAGATTATAGAGGCACTAAATCATAAATATAGTTTCTTTTTTTTTGGTCATTACTATCATTTTACAAAATATTTAACTTCTATTTTGAACATTAAAATGTCGTCCAGCTTTTTAAAGCTACAATTAACCACCACATTTTTTACAGGACCAAAAAGTTTGTGCTTTAAAAAATGATCATTTAGAATCAATTAATTAGAATTAGGAATGCTTAATGCCTACCTTAAGTGGATACCTAATTGATTGCCCCCCCAAAAATTGTAGTCTCTTTAATGATGTTCAAGTTGCAACATTGAAGCTGCTTTGGTGGTGCTATCTAAATGATAATGTGTTTGCAAATGCCAAATGAAAACTCTTTGTTGGCAGATTGAGCTGTGTGCTGAATTAAACACAAATCAGTTTAGGCATCTTCACTTATCTTATGTCATTGGAAATTATACATAATGTAAACAGTAGAACCCGATTCGCTGATTTTTTTTCCTTAGTTTAATACAAGTGTGCCTCACTTTAAGCAAAATATACAAAATGATTTCTGAAACAGGAGTTTCCTTACTTTTTCAGTTAAAAATATTTGCTTACAGAATTTCTTTAAATAACAAGGCTTCTTTGGCCTGTTTGGAGTATTCAGATTACAGAAATTCATTTCACACACAACTTCTTTGAAATACCTACATTGCATAAAATGAGGCACACAGATACATGTGCCCATTCCATCAAGATTACCTCATTATTTTGTGGTTATTTTATATTTTTCATTTTGTCACTATTAACACTTTAGTATGCCAGGTTCATTCGCTCCCTATTTTAGTTGAGATGAGCTAGTGTTTCTAAGGAGTGTTTCATAATCTCTTGTCCCAAACTAGGTTGGTTTGGGAATCCAGTGAGAGTGACTGAAAACTGAAATTCAAGTCCTGAACATCCTTCCAGAACACAGCCTATCACCTGTGGAGATAACACACAAACTATCTCAGAGGACCCCCACCTGTGGCAGTGAAAATCATGTGAGAGTAATAGTTCAAAAGAAAAAAGTGCTGGGCACCGTGGCTCATGCCTGTAATCTCAGCACTTTGGGAGGCTGAGGTGGGAGGATCACTTGAGCCCAGGTGTTTGAGACCAGTCTGGGCAACATAGGGAGACCCCGTCTCTACAGAAAAATTGGCCAGGCATGGTGGCTCATGCCTGTAATCCCAGCACTTTGGGAGGCTGAAGTGGACAGATCAGCTGAGGTCAGAGTTTCGAGACCAGCCTGGCCAACATGGCAAAACCCCATCTCTACTAAAAAAAGCAAAAATCAGCCAGTTGTGGTGGCACACACCTGTAATCCCAGCTACTCGGGAGGCCGAGTCAGGGGAGAATTGCTTGAACCTGGGAGACTGAGGTTGCAGTGAGCTGAGATCATGCCACTGCACTCCAGCCTGGGAGACAGAGCAAGGATCCATCAAAAACACAAAAACAAAAACCTGGGCCTGGTGGCGCATGCCTGTATTCCCTGCTACTCGGGAGGCTGAGGTGGGAGGATCACGTGAGCCTGGGAGGTCTAGGCTGCAGGGGGCTGTGATCCTGCCCCTGCTCTGCAGCCTGGGCTATACAGCAAGACAAAAGAAAAAAGTTAGTGGTAACAGGATAAACTGCACAACCATATATTATTCCTTCACATTCATGAAGCAGGTCAATCTGAAGCTTGAGGATGACTTCCATTCCTCTAGGTGAATCTATCAAGAAATGCCTTGGTAGAACTAAGAGTGCCAATGGTATCAGCAAGGCCAGTCTGGTTCCCTGTGATTCATGGTAATTCTCAGTATGAATTTGACATGGTCTTCCTACACAGTGCCTATCAACACTTGCAGACACACTGTATAAGCATTTGTTACATTTACTTTTCCTTTTGTCATTAGGTCTTTTATTACAGAGGCCACTCTGCACTCCACAATCACACACTTATACAGCTCCGCCTTGCCAAGCAGTGTAGACCCTCACAGATTTTGGATAGCTATCCTTGCATCGTTCTCCACACCGTGTCCCCAGTGTTGAACTGAAGCAGCTCCTTCCACGTTCCCTGCCCGTTAATTAGCCAGGCCACTGTCCACATTGTCACAAACATTATATTAACAGAAAAACTGGCCCATGCCATATTCCATTATGAGCGATTATTTTTAATTCGATTAAATTCCAATGTTGATTGAGAGAACCTGGTAGAGATTGAATTGCTATATGTACTTTCTTAGTCTTCTTCTTCATATCATATTCTGACCATTTATCTTCTACACCTGGCTGACCTGCATGTTCCTTGTGGTGTAACTTCTACTTGGTGTTTGTGCTTAGCTTCGTTTTCCAATTTAAATTGTGAGATACATTTTTAAACCTATCTAAGAAATAGCCCTGATATTGAAATGGCTTCTGTGGAATCGGTTTGACAGATGTAAGTCTGTGATTCTTTGGCTTTGGTTTTTGTGCCTGTTACAGTTTTACACACATTCATTCAGAGGAAGACATTACCATCAATGTGTTGTTTCTTTTTTCAAATTCCAGTGTGTTTTTAAAGACCTATATTTCACTAAGCAGTGTACTTGTTGAAACTGATGCGAGTGACTTTGTTTCCACATGTGATAGAGCATCAGATACTGGAGTTTGCCAGGGATAGAATGGTTGGATTCAGGAATGTTTAGCTGACTCATTGCAGGAAGTTATCCTGTAATCCCAGCTACTCAGGAGGCTAAGGTGAGAGGATCACTTGAGCACAGGAGGCTACAGTGAGCTATGATCATACCACTCCACTCCAGCCTGGATGACAGAGCGAGACCTGCTAATGAAAGATTTATGTTCCAAAAGCCAGCTAAGCATTTGTTTGAATGAGAAGAGTTTGTGTTTCATGGCAGCTTCAAAGAGGGGGAAACATGAAGAGGAAATAAATGAAGATTATCTCGGTTTATTAAGGACATCGAAAAGGATTCTGATGAACACCCGGTGGAGAAGATGCATAGGGCAATGCTGTGGGGAGGGGCACGGAGTCTCCATCCCCTCTCTGGGCACACCACCTGCCAGTCACCTCCACATGTTCAGCTGCATCCTAATTTTTGTATTTTTAGTAGAGATGGGGTTTCGCCATGTTGGCCAGGCTGGTCTCGAACTCCTGACCTCAGGTGATCTGCCCACCTTGGCCTCCCTAAGTGCTGGGATTACGGGAGTGATTCACAGTGCCCAGCCCAAAACACGTTTTGAACAGACCTTTCTCACCACTTCCACCACAGTTCAAGTCACTAGTCTCCTTTGGTACTGCCCCCAGCTCCGACCCTGGCCACCACTCACAATCCAATCTTCACATGGCACACAGAGTCAACCTTTAACAAAGCAAATCAGAATGGGTCGCTCTCCTGCTGGGAACACTCCAGTGGCTTCCATTTCTATATCATGAAAATGACCTACACATGTCTCACTGTGGCCTGCTTAGGTCTTGTCTGACTCGGCTCCTGATTATCTCTCCTACTTTATCTTGTATGACTCTTTGACCCACTCACTTGACTCCAGCCACAGAGGCTTCCTGACTGTTCCCTGAACCACCATGGAGCCTGTCCCTAGCCACTCCCTCTGCTCAGAATTCTCTCTTCCTTCAGGGCCTGGCCCACATGTGGTCTCATCAGGAGGGCCTCCCTGACCACACTCTCTAAGGTGACATTTTTCCCTCCCCTTCCCTGCTTTATTTATCTTTTGTTTGTTTGTTTGTTTGAGATGGAGTCTCGCTCTGTCGCCCAGGCTGGAGTGCAGTGGCACAATCTCAGCTCACTGCAAGCTCCGCCTCCCGGGTTCACGCCATTCTCCTGCCTCAGCCTCTTAAGTGGCTGGGACTGCAGGTGCCCGCCACCACGCCCGGCTAATTTTTTGTAGTTTTAGTAGAGACAGGGGTTTCACCATGTTAGCCAGGATGGTCTCGATCTCCTGACCTCGTGATCCACCCGCCTTGGCCTCCCAAAGTGCAGGCATTACAGGCGTGAGCTACTGTGCCCAGCCCTGCTTTATTTATTTTTGTGGTACCCATCACCACCTGACATTAGGCTGTATGTTAACATGTTTGTTGTTTTTCTTCTGCTATAAATATATGTTTCATGAGGACAAGACTTTGATGAATGCTGTATCCCCATCACCTGACCAATAGCTGAGATATAAAGGACAGTCAGTAGGAATGAATGAATGAAAAGGCAATATTTCAGCCGGGCGCGGTGGCTCATGCCTGTAATTCCAGCACTTTGAGAGGCTGAGGCGGGCAGATCATGAGGTCAGGAGATCGAGACCATCCTGGCTAACACGGAGAAACCCCGTCTTCTACTAAAAATACAAAAACAATTAGCTGGGCGTGGTGGCGGGCGCCTATAGTCCCAGCTACTCAGGAGGCTGAGGCAGGAGAATGGCTTGAACCTGGGAGGCGGAGCTTGCAGTGAGCCAAGATTGGCCACTGCACTCTAGCCTGGGTGACAGAGCAAGACTCCGTCTCAAAAAAAAAAAAAAAAGAAAAGGCAATATTTCTTTTGGAGATAGCTGGCTGTGGCTGGAGATAGACTCTGGGAACTGGAAGTTAAGACTTCCTCAGGATATTCTGACCTGCTTTCAGTGTTGCTGTGTGTTAAACAGAGCATTACCTTGTACTGACCAGGAATTTTGTTCCTGAGCCTCTAAAGCAGCGGTCCCCAAACTTTTTGGCACCAGGAGCCGGTTTTGTGGAAGACAATTTTTCCATGGACCAGGGATGGGGGGATGGTTTCGTGATGATTCAAACACATTATGTTTATTATGCACTTTATTACTATTATTATTACACTGTAATATATAGTGAAATAATTATACAATTCACCATAATATAGAATCAGTGGAGCCCTGAGCTTGTTTTCCTGCAACTGGATGGTCCAGTCTCAGGCTGACAGTGACAGATCATCAGGCATTAGATTCTCATAAGGAGCTCGCAACCTAGATCCCTTGCATGTGCAGTTCACAATAGGGTTCATGCTCCTATGAGAATCTAATGCTGCCACTGATCTGGCAGAAGGCAGAGCTTAGGCAGTAATGTGAGCAGTGGGGAGCGGCTGTAAATACAAATGAAGCTTCGCTCGCTTGCTCACCCGCAGCTCACCTCCTGCTGTCCAGCCGGGTTCCTAACAGGCCACAGACCAATACCAGTCTGTGGTCCCAGGGCTGGGGACCTCTGGTCCAAAGCCAGCCAATCACTTTCACATATTTCCCACATACTCTCATCACCTACATGCAGATGCTTCCAACATTCTAACCTTCTCAGTCTAACACTTTCAACAATAAACCAACACCAACAGTTACAACATCATCTTACAAAAGCTTTCTCAAAAAACATCCATTAAATGTATTGCATTTAAATATTTAGTTCTTGTTACCAGCCAATTGAAAACAATTCAAAATTACTTTGTTAGAAATTCACAACAGCATTGTTATGATTTCCAAGCTCACTAGTCATTTTTCTAAACTATCACCCCAATTATTTTCAAAGCTTCCTTCCAGGGGCAAATTGATTCTTACAAGAGACTTTCCACCATTCTCCCCAGCACCCTCATGAAGCCATAATGAAATACGGGCCATCTGGTATCCTCTTTCTAGCCACTGTCAGGGCACCTGTGGTGCCCTGGGCAGAGATATCTCCACTGATAACTTGTAACCTTGTAATCTGATAAGATCTCTGCCCATCCACATAAAAAGTTTGATGACCTAGAACCACTGCTAAGATCACAGTCGCTGGTCTGCCATTGCTCTTCTACCACTATGTCACACAGAAAAGGGACTCTCTGTCCCTTGGCTCAGGGATGGGTGCTCTCGGCCAGCGCTGTAACCATCTAATGACATTATTCTTTGAGTATAAGCCCCTTTAAAGGAGTCCTTTACCCTCAAGACACCCCCTCAGGGCTGGGGGAGCTGGATGCACAAAAGGTTTCTAGCTGCACCCCAAGGAGTCCTAAGGAACCGCCCCTCCCCCAACCTATGCATCTGGAGGTTAACGGTAGAGGGATCGATCCCTTTCTCTCTTCTCACCCTAGAGCCGGATCCCATTTCCTATCTCAGGATCTGACATTCTTTGGGAGAGGGAAAACCTGCTTCTTGTTATATAACCATAAGTTGCTTTTAAGCAATAATCAAATAAGCCAGAAAACAAAGTGACAAAAAGTGCAAGCTGCCTCTCCTTGTTTAAAGAGAGAGAGTCAACCACTAACCTGCCAATTTGTAACTGTAAGGTAAGGTGGGATTCACTCAGCCAGAAGACAGACAGCAAAAATTAACTACTGAACCTGGCTTGTTCTTTTGGAAAACAAGTAAATAAAAATGTAGGTGGTTTTCAACATTTTGGATTATGCGCTAATTATCATAGTTGTTAAAAGGATAGGGGGAAAATCTCTTGGGTACAGTTTCCTGCCAGGGGGTGAGATGATATGAGGTGTGGGGAAAGGGGGTCTCCCCAGGAGAAGCATGAGTCTGAATATCAGCTAAAAGGTCAAGAAAAAAAAAAACAGTGTCACAAAATGACTTTGTGAAGGAGTTAGTGCCATTAAATGTTACTATTGCACGCTTTGTTCCTGCCTTAAGAACCTGTTCTAAGGCTTTTCTATCCACTTGTTTTGAAACCTCTGCTCGACTCCGTTAAGTTTAGCACAGCGACATTTTTTAGAAACAGAACAATTTAGGGGTGGGGGAGACTGATGCTAACAGATTTTTATGGTGGCTTATTTATGGTGCAAGCTAATCACCTAAGGCTATTTTCCTTTAGAACACTACCAGGATGACTGGTTGGTATTTAATTATTTACAAAGCTCTTTGCCATTGCTATTTGTTTTTCTTCACGGTCCCCTTATATTGATAGCTTCATATGGGATAATGTACGGGGGATAACGGATGGTTACAGCGTTGGCCTAGAGCACCCATCCCTGAGTCAAGGGACAGAGAGTTCCTTTTCTGTGTGACATAGTGGTAGAAGAACATGAAGTACATAAAGTCAGATGATATTATGTCATTATATTATTATTATACTTCTTTTCTATATCACTGTTATAGCTATTAATCTTTACAGAGAGCAATGTGACTCAAACTATAACTGAGACTTACTCCATGTCCAAAAACCCCCCTAAGAAATGGGGTATCTTCTTAAAACTACTCTCTGACAACACGGTCTAGGACACAAGACCGAAGGGTCTCATAGGATCCCCGCTGGTGCGGAGCGTGTGTTTGTGCATACACATTTGTGAGCACATGCACGTCTTCATCAACTCAAAGTCTTGAGAGAAAGAGGGAAGGGAGTCTGGAAGGTTTCGCCATTACAGGAATGTCTTTGCTGTTTGCTGAGTTGCCACTCATGGCCAGCTGGAAACGTCATCATTAATGTCTTTGACAGTCACTAACCAGCTCATTCCCCACAGACTGTGTTCTTCACAGAAATCGTCTCTCTCTGCTGTCACCTGTTCCACTAATCCACGCGGCTACTAATTGACCTAATGAGCGACTGACAACTCGTTCTCTCTGAGGTGACAGTCTCACCATTCTCCTGGTGGCCTGAGCCTTCATGGTCGGTGGCTCCCTGCCACACCACACAGCGCAGCCTCCTGGGGGCGGTGAGTGACAGTTAAGCTGTCACAGTGCTCCGGGCTGCGCGCTTGAATATTTCACAGTCTTTGCTCAGTGGGACTCAGTCTATAAAAACAAGCAGGCTAGGCATGGTGGCTCATACCTGTAATCACAACACTTTGGGAGGCAGAGGTGGGTGGATCACTTGAGGTCAGGAGTTCAAGACCAGCCTGGCCAATGTGGTGAAACCCCATCTCTACTAAAAATACAAAAAGATTAGCTGGGCATGGTGGCACACGCTTGTAGTCCCAGCTTCTCAGGAGGCTGAGGCAGGAGAATCACTTGAACCCAGGAGGCAGAGGTTGCAGTGAGCCGAGATCACACCACTGCATTCCAGCCTGGGCAATAGAGCAAGACTCCGTCTAAAAAAAAAAAAGAGGCAGTCTGAGCTTTCTCATGCCTCCTGTGTCATTCTGAGTACATTCAAGGCCATGCAGCAGACCCTTGCCTGTTGCTCTCCAAGGCCTGTGAGGGCTCCCCTTGACTGCAGTGCCTTCTGGAGCCATGGAGCCAGAAAAGGATCTTTTACTACCTGAGAAAATGACACCAATCCCTGATCCAAATCAGTGACGGGGGTGGGGCAGGCAGGGGGGCTGGGAGGTTTCTTCCCTCATGTGGCACAGTGAGACAGAGAACTTCTCTAGCAGGTGCCATGCAAGGGACAAAAAGGAGGGATAGGGACTTGGGGGCGGGGACAGCACAGCAGGGGCATGTCCTTCCTTCGTGGGAGGGATGCCGGGCATCTTTGTGCTGGTCAGTGTTTGTACCTTCTCCCTGGGTCCCCTGTGTTTGAGATGACATCCGGAGTAGACAGCATGGGTCCTCAAGGCTGACTCGGCCTCACGCATTCCAGGAGAGAGGTAGTAAGCTCTCATGCCGCCCTCCTTGGCTGGGACCCTGCTGCTAGCCCTAATGGCATCTTTTTGTGAATTAGAAAAGGCTCTGTTTCCCCAAGGCTCTAGACTGTCATCTACTGGAAAGTGGTTTTAGTAAATACACACACAATACAGCCACTAGGATGCAAATGGCACCTTGAGTATTGTGCAGTGTGGTCGGAGCAGGTGGCGGAGGGGACGATCATGAGGCCTGGCTTTGGCGACTTTGGTCAAGATGAGGCCAGGCCAGGTCCCACAGTCCTGCAGAACTAGCATAGGGGCCATGGTGGTAAAGATGTCACCTGGGGCCCAGAGTAGGTAACAGAAGTGGTGGCCTGGAGAGGGTTACGTGTGCAGGGGTCTGATGGTGGCTGGGCTCAGGACCTGGCCACAGTGTCACAGGCTTCTCTGAGGCTGTCAGCATGTCAGCAGAGGAGGAAGGAAGCTGCCTTGCATGTGACAGAGAGCACAGGTGGGGCCGACTTTGGGGGAGCAGCAGTTAGAAATGTGGATTCTGGATCAGGTGCGGTGGCTCATGCCTGTAATCCCAGCACTTTGGGAGGCTGAGGCAGGCGGATCGCCTGAGGTCAGGAGTTAGAGACCAGCCTGGCCAACGTGGTGAAACCCTGTCTCTAGTAAAAATGCAAAAATTAGCTGGGCATGGCGGTGGGTGCCTATAATCCCAGCTACTCGGGAGGCTGAGGTAGGAGAATTGCTTGAACCCAGGAAATGGAGGTTGCAGTGAGCTGAGATCATACCACTGCACTCCAGCCTGGGCAACAGAGTGAGACTCTGTCTCAGAACAAAACAAAAAAATCCAAAAACAAAATTAGTCGGGCGTGGTGGTACATGCCTGTAATCCCAGCTACTCAGGAGGCTGAGGCAGGAGAATCACTTGAACCCAGGAGGCGGAGGTTTTGTTGAGCTGAGATCACACCATTGCACTCCAGCCTGGGTGACAAGAGCGAAACTCCATCTCAAAAAAAAGAGAAAAAAAGTGGATTCTGCAGTGCAAGCAGGGAGAGCTTGTTCATTGCCCCAGAACTTGCTGGGATCAGAAGGGGTGAGGGTTAGGGGTCCCACAAGTCTGCAGGTTGGGCCTCAAGCCAGAGAAAGCCTGTTTGATTGCTGTTGCCATGGTCAGGTGTACCCTCAGGAGGACATGCTAATGCCTGGCACGCCCTTCACTGCTCATCATCATCGCCAAGCTAAAAGGGTTTGACTGCTTTTCTCCTCCTCCTCCAGAACTCTGCTACTCCCCATCTGGACCCTCTCCTCTGCCAGTGTTGCCATACTGATGTAAACAGAGGAAAGACTGGCAAGAAAATAAGAGGCAAGAGACCCCTGTTCTCCAGACCCTTCCAAGGGAGGAAGGGAAGGGAACGGTAGTTGCTGAGCTCCACTCACCTTATAATATCAGTATCTATTTCTTGAACTGTCTCTACGAGCCAGGTCCTTTATATTTCTTTACTTTTAATCCTCACAACAACCTTACAAAGTGGTTCACACAATAATAAGAATGCTCCCCAAAGGTATCTGCATTTTGATCCCCAGAACCTGTGAATATGTTACCTTACATGACAAAAGGGACTTTGCAGATACGATTAAGTGAAAGACCTTGAGATGGAAAGATTTTCTGGATTATCCAGATGGGCCCACAGTCATCACAAGTGCCCTTACAGATGAAAGTGTGAGGGGGGCCGGGCACGGTGGCTCACACCTGTAATCCCAGCACTTTGGGAGGCCAAGGCGGGTGGATCACGAGGTCAGGAGTTCAAGACCAGCCTGGCCAAGATAGTGAAACCCCGTCTCTACTAAAAGTACAAAAATTAGCTGGGCGTGTTGGCAGGTGCCTGTAATCCCAACTACTCGGGAGGCTGAGGCAGAGACTTGCTTGAACCCAGGAGGCAGAGGTTGCAGTGAGCCGAGATCGCACCACTGCCCTCCAGCTTGGAAGACAGAGTGAGACTCTGTCTTAAAAAAAAAAAAAAGAAAAAAGAAAGAAAAAGAAAATGCGAGGCAGGAGAGTCAGGGCCAGACAAAGAACTATGACCACGGAAGCAAAGGCAGAGTGATGTGTGGTGAGAAAGACTCCATCTGCCATGACTGGGTTTGAAGATGTAATGGGGGGCCATTAGCCAAGGAGTGTGGGCAGCCTCTGGAAGCCGGAGAAGGCAAGGAAATACAGAAGGAACATAGCCCCACCACCATCTTGAATTTATCCCAGAGGGACCCGTTTTGGACTTTTGAATTCTGGAACCATAAGACAATACATTCGTTTCTTTTAAGTCAACAGGCTGGTGGTAACTTGTTAGAGCATCAATAAGGAACTGATATAAGAGGTATCCTTGTCTCCATTTTATAGGCAAGAAAGTGAAAACTTGTAAATTTCTGGTAAGCCAGGATTCAAGTCTAATTGTATGTGGCTTCAAAGCCTATACCTTCCCCACACTTTATTGCTGCCTCTTTTAAATTTTTATAACTAATGTCCTTACTGAAATCATCAAATATTTAATTGCACAGCAACTACTTTAGAAAGAATCACTAATGCATACTTCTAAATATCTCTGCTTGCCACAAGTAATTTGTTGATAGAAAAGAAAATATCAGCTGAGCTTGGCCTGGAGAGCTATGAAAAGAAAACTAGAATATCCCAACTTCCCTGCAGAAGCACTTTAATCTGAGAAGACTAGTAAAACCATCACTCTTTAGCTTGCTATTCATTTGGTTAAATTAATAAATTATCCTATGTGCTTTTAATAAAGCATTGGTCATCAAAAGATGCACAACTGTCTTAATCATCAGGGAAACAGAAATTAAAGTCATAATGAAATAACACTCCACACCCACTAGAAGGGTCACAATTAAAAAGACTGGGAAAACAAATGTTAGTGAGGATGTGGAGAAAGTGGACTCTCATAAATTGTTGGTGGATTGTGAAAGAGCACAGCTACTTTGAAAAACTGTTTGGCAGTTCTTAATAAAATTAAATATGCACCTACCCTAATACCCAGAAATTTTATAGACATTTACGTATGAGAAATGAAATAGAGGTCCATAAAAAGATTTATACAAAAATGTTCCGACCAACTTTATTCGTAATAACTGATACTGGAAACAATCCAAGTGTTTATCAACAAGTAAGTGTGATGTCTATACAACGGAATACTACTCAGCAATGAAAAAGGATAATTGTTTTTAAAAAGAATGCACTACTGATAAGTGCAAAAACATGGATGAATCTTAAAATCATGTGGAGTGAAAGAAACCCAGACTGAATGGGCTATATACTGTATGATTCCACTTATATGAAGTTCTACATGGGGGCAGAAACCTTTCATGGTAGAAAGCAGGATAGTTGTTGCCTCTGGTCAGGTGGGGGAATGGGGAATGATTGCTGGGGAGTCATGGGGGAACTCTCTGGGGTGATGGAAATGTTCTATATCTCAATTAAGGTGGTAGTTACATAGGTGTATACATTTGTGAAGACTCATCAACCAGTTTGCTTAAAATCTCTGAATATAATTTGTATCTCGAGTTCTGAAAAAAGAATCAGGAATGGAAACAAAATAACAGCAACATTGAGGTCCTTCAAATAATTGGGATGTGTCAAATTAGGACTTTTGTAAGGCAGGGGAGTGGAGTGGTGGAAAGAGCACCAGGCAGGAACCAGAGGCTTCCTCGGGTCTCAGTTCCTTCACTGCCTTGGAGACATGTATGACTTTGCAGGATTTGCCTCACCTCTCTGGCTCTTGCAGGGCTTAACTGCAAAATAAATGAGTTGCATTAGATGACCTCAAAGTTTCCTTCCAGCTCTAAAACTCCATTATCTACTATTTTAAGTGGTAAATCAAATGACTTGAGAAGTTTCTAGTTGGTACAGCACTGCTTTTCCAACATGCTCTGATTCTAATCTATGATTCAATTGATACTCGGTCCCCAGTTAGCAACATAATTCTCGGAGATTGCATTTTTCTATGGGAAACTTGGATCCACTTTATCAGATAGTTTCCAGGAATACATCTTAGAGAAGAGCAAATGTGGGCTGCGTACATTGAGATTATGGGCATTTTCCATATTCAGATAGAGCAGATATGTGCATATTCATGGAGTTATGAAAGTTACTGAGAACATGCACTTTAAAAAGCTTTGGACAAAAGGGTAATATACTTCAGTAAAAATACCACTGAATGTATAGACTTTGTGACCTCGGACAAGCCACTTATGTGTTCAGATGACATATCAGTCTCCTCACCGTTTGCTTCCTCAGTGTTGTTTAAAGATGAAATGAGGTCTTGTAAAATAAGTGAACACATGTTTTAACTTGCAAAATGTTGTGCAAACATAAACGTGACTTTTTAAAATGTGATTGGGGAGAGGGATGGGCCGGGTATCTGTGAGAGGACCGTTCTACAAACTAGGTCTGGTCAGTACCAATCATTAGGAAGAAACAATCCCCTCTACAATGTTGGTGACTCAGATGCAGGAGACAATGAGAGTGAGGCTGGCTTTTTGGACACAGAGGTAATAATATTTTAGAAGGATTTCCTGGGTTGCACTGAACTCATCCAGATTTCTGCTGCTTCCTGTGATCTCTCAGCTCTGTTCCATACATTGTTCCAGCCCCACCTCATGTGCAAGGTGACTGACCTTTGATTTACCAGACCAGACTGAAAACAACTCAGGAGAGTCAAATGTCCATGACTAGGGGAGCCATGGAGGGTGCCTGGGGAAACTGATTGCATAAGACTGTGGAGGCTGCCCAGCGTGGAGCCTGCGGGTGGGTGGTGCACTCAGAGAGAGAGAGAATCCAAAGAAAGCTTTATGGCAGATGGGGGAGTGTATGTTGAAGGAAGCAGGGCCCAGGAGAAGGAGGGATGGGGAATGGCTGTCTTCCACAGAGCACTAACTCTCTGAAAAAACTGTGGCTATTTGATGGTGATGTTTCCCCACTGCTACATTCCCAAGACCTAAAACACCATTAGCCATGCAGTAGGTGTTTAATAAATAGTGGTTGAATGAACTAAATGAATGGAAAGGAAAAGAGGGTCGCAAAGGGAGTATTGGCAGTGCCCACCCACCCCTACTGTGCCCAGAGGAAGAGCATCCTGGCCCATCCATCTCTCTAGACTTGGAGGCCGGGACAGAGGAGTCAGCAGGTGATTGCCCAGATACCTAAACCGTGCAAATCATGCAGCATTAATATCCTTTTTTTTGAATATCCGAGCCCAAGAGGCATACCTGATCTTTTCCTTTCCTCTACATCCAATCAAGGAGCCCCGTCAGCAGAACCTCAAAATGTTTTTTGAGTCTTTCTGTCTTCACTGTGGTGCTTTTTTTGAGACAGAATCTCACTCTGTTGCCCAGGCTGGAGTGCAGTGGCATGATCTCAACTCACTGCAACCTCCACCTCCTGGGTTCAAGTGATTCTCCTGCCTCAACCTCCCAAGTAGCTGGGATTACAGGCACGTGGCTCCATGCCCGGCTGATTTTTTGTATTTTTAGTAGAGACGGGGTTTCACTGTGTTAGCCAGGAGGGTCTTGATCTCCTGACCTCGTGATCCACCCGCCTCGGGCTCCCACAGTGCTGGGATTACCGGCATGAGCCACCACACCTGGCCTTCACTGTGGCTTTTTAATGCAAACCCTGTCATCTCCCATTTGGACCACTTCAATGGCCTTCTAACTGCTCTACCTGCCTCCACGCTGCCTTCCCGTTCTCTCTCTATGTATCATTTATATATATATTATAAATCATTTATAGATATTTATATATCATTTAGACAGACATCTATATAATTTACATATATATTCATATATATATCATCTCTATAGTGACTCCTCTGCCTGAAATCATCCAATTGCTTCCAATTACACACAGAACAGTGTCCTAACTCTGACTGATAGCCCTTGAGGTCCTGTGAGGTCTGACCTACGTTTTTCTTCTCTACTTTGTCACCTACCACTCCGCCCTTCCCTCACTTTCCCATAACTCCGGTTTTCCCTCTTTCCTCAAACTTGCCAAAGTCTGCCTGCCTCAGGACCTTTGATCTGCTATTTCCCCAGCCCCAGCTCATGTGGAATGAATGACAAGCTTGTCCTAGTCACTCAGACAGCCTTTCCTCATGAATGTGCCTTGCCCTTGTCACCCAGTGGTCCCTATCTCCTTATCTTACTTTATTTTCTTTGTAGAACTTAATCTTAATTTGAAGATAGTTTTTTTAATTGTTGTTTATGTATTTCTTGATTCTTCTTGAGATTTGTAAATACTATTGGCTGCTGAATTCCTTGCTTCCAAATGTTGTCTGATACATAGTAAGCACTAAATAAAAATTTCTGAATGAATGCCTGCTTACCAAGTGATGTGATTCAGCCAGAGGACAGGGATGTCCTGCCTCCCTAACAGCCTCCTGCCTCCCTAACAGCTCGATTTCTCATGTAAGTAAATACATGTATGCTTGAGTTTGTATACTTCAGCATCTGTGAGTTTGGTTAATGTGAGTCTGTCCCTAAAGACGGATTCCCTTTTGGAGCACTAATAAATCAGGTATCTGAGCCTGCTCACCTTAAAGCCATATTTCACCGAGGAATGGCACCTTATGATGCCTTCCCTGGGTGAGCTCATGACCTTCAGAGCCTTACCGTGAGTGTCCTGTGGGCTTCTTTTTGGAAATTTTCAAGGAATAAGCAGAGGAGAGCTCCTGATGGGAAAATCCCCAAAAAGGAAGGATAGGCTGTGTAAGTCTTCAACAGCTCTTTTATCTTGAGCTTTTATGCTTTGTGGAATCTTTCCATTCTATCCCAACTGCCTCACCACATGGCATTCTCCTTTTTCCTATTTGGCATGACTAAGACAAGTTTACCCTCTTCTGAAGAACAAGAAAAAGGAAAACCCATTAGCTATTGAGTGCTGACTGCCAAGCACTATCAAGCACTAAGGACTCACAAATATTATCTCACTTGAAGCAATGTTTCTAAAGACTAAGGGAAATAGAATATAAACTACCTTGAATAGTCCAATATTCAACATGAGGTAACACCTTTGAGCCAAATCAGACTCTCAGCAATCAGAGACCGTACCCAGTAACAAGCATTACTGATAATTTCAAGGATACAGGTAATTGTGGGGTACAGGTGGATCCTGGACACCTTGGTCTATCAAAGCTGCTCCCTGGTCCTTTCTTGCCAAATTAGGATGTGCTCTGGCCCAGGTATTACACATGAGGCCTCTAAGCAATGCATATCATCATCACTAAAGCAAAGGAACAGCCTGGGTCATGAAACGTCTTTTTTTTTTTTTCCCATGGCCATCTTATTTATTTATTTATTTATTTTTATTTTAGTTTTTATTCTTTTGAGATGAAGTCTCACTCTGTCACCCAGGCTGGAGTGCAGTGGCACGATCTCGGCTCACTGCAACCTCTGTCTCCCAGGTTCAAGCGATTCTCCTGCCTCAGCCTCCTGAGTAGCTGGGATTATAGATACCTGCTGCCATACCCAGCTAGTTTTTGTATTTTTAGTAGAGACGTGGTTTCACTATGTTGGCCAGGCTGGTCTTGAACTCCTGATCTCAAGTGATCCACCCGCCTTGGCCTCTCAAAGTGCTGGAATTACAGGTGTGAGCCACTGCACCCGGCCTATTTATTTTTATTTCAATAGGTTTTTGGTGGACAGGTGGTGTTTGGTTACATGAATAAGTTCTTTAGCAGTGATTTCTGAGATTTCAGTGCACCTGTCACACAAGCAATGTACACCGTACCCAATGTGTAGTCTTTTATCCCTTACGCTTCTCCCACACTTTCCCCCAAGTCCCCAGAGTCTACTGCATCATTCTTATGCCTTTGCATCCTCATAGCTTAGCTCCCACTTATGAGAGACATCTCATTTTTATACTGATATATTAATAGTTACATAGTTTATTTGGCATTTTCCAATGAGCTGTGCCTTATAAACCCATAGATTCTAGGTGAATTTATCATAAGCCATCCTAGACTGACCAGGTACATTCTGCTAAAAGTTGTTGCTTTTTGTTTTTTTTGTTTTTTTTTTTTTTTGATAGATAAAAACTCTCACTAGTAAATACCGCTAGTTTCCTTTCAAGGAGGTCTGTATTAGTATGTTTAGAAAGAGATTTGATCAGATCAACTAACACACACACTTTCTCTCTTCCTCTCTTTCTAGTAGCTTCCCAGGAAGGTTAGCCAGCTACTCACTTTTTTTCTTCCTCTGAGGACTACGTTTCTGACCCTAAGAATTCCCCTAAATCAATGCAGTGCTTCTGTCTCCAAAGCCTCTCACTTTAGATTAACTCAGCCTCTGTCCAGGAAGAGCAAGCATAAATTCACAAACCTTCTCCTTAGCCAGCCTCCCACTAAGTTAATATTGGATTATCTTTCCATATAGGTGTTTTTTTTTTTGTTTTGTTTTGTTTTGTTTTTTGAGTCAGAGTCTCACTCCATCACCCAAGCTGGCATGCAGTGCTGTGATCATAGCTTACTGCAGGCTTGAACTCCCTGGGCTCAAGTGATCCTCCTGCCTCAGCCTCCCAAGTAACTGGGTTTACAGGTGTACACCAACACACCCCACTAATTTTTTTATTTTATGTAGAGATGAGGTCTTGCCGTGTTGCCCAAGCTGGTCTTGAACTCTGGGCTCAAGTTATCCTTCTGCCTTGGCCTCCCAAAGTGCCGGGATTATAGGCATGAGCCACTACACCCAGCCAGTTCTTTATTATTTAAAAAATAATTTGTCTTTCAAACAGCTTTTAATAGTAATGTTTTGTTTCTTTTGTTCCACTGACTGGCATCTACCACCACTCACCAGTGGGATTAAGGTGATATAACAGTGCTAGTACTTGGAGTCCAAATTCCATTCAAATTAAAAGCCTACCACATGCCTACTAGGTACTGAGGATGGAGGGGACATAATTCCTGCTCTCAGGGAACTCACAGTCCATTGGGCAATAACATTGTGTCTATCCCAAGTCCTCCACTGTATGGAGTCACCCTGCCTGTATTATTTAACTAAAAATGACTCGTAAAAGAGGACATAAACATAGTTATCTTCCTAATGGTGTTCTAGAACCAATTTAAAACAAGCATTTTGGTCTTTTGAACACACCAGTAAATAAGTAACAGCAATGGGATATGTTCCGTGCCACAATATAAGAACAAATATAAAACACATAGGAAGTAAATAGTAAATTCTAACTGGGGGTGTGGAAGAAGACTCAGAGGAGCGGCTGGCTAAGCTGGGTCAGAAAAAGGATAAGGCCTCTATCAAGTGAAGGAAGGGCAGTTCAGGCAGCATATTTGTATAAACACAAAATATGCGCACAAAGAAGCAAAGAATATTTAGGGACCTCTGATGGTTTCGTATGACTAAAGCATTCAGTGAAAGGGTGAGTGAATAATGGTGAGGACGGTATAATATACAAAAGGCAGCTACTGTCCTCAGCATTTTGCCAACATAAGAACTAGTCTGAGATAATTATCCTAAACAACCCAGGAGTACCCCAGGCAGGGCCAATAGTACGGTTAGGCAAGTGAGATACTTACCTCCGGTGCAAAATTTAAGGGGGTGCCAAAAGGCTTAGACGGCAAGATACATAATTATTTTAATACAAAATTTTAAATAAAAGACAGGATCAGTATTACGAAGTTTTCTTTTTGCTTCAGGGTCCAATATAGCTCAGCAAAGCACTGCTATATTTAAAATTTTGGCACTAGTTCATGATAATTTTTTGTTCTGATTTTGATATTTTAAAATATTGCATGAAAATATTCCTTATCTTTTTGACTGGGTTTTTTTGGCACCCCTGTAAAAACTCTGCACCCAAGATGAGTGCCTGGCTCATTGCACCCTAGTCCTGGCGTTGATCCTGCCAAGCCTTATTTGTTAGCATGTGTGGAAGGACAAGTGTGTCACCCTAACAAAAAGACATAGATAGGAAAGGATAAAATTCACAGCACTGGTTGCTGATGGGATATGGAGAATTAGAGAAAAGGAGTCAGTATGGCAGTTCCACAAAAAATCAGAAATAGATCTACCATACCATCCAGTAATTCCACTTCTGGGTGATATCCAAATGAATTGAAAGCAGGGCCTTGAAAATATATTTGCACATTGAAAATTCAATGAACGTGGGTCACAATAGCCAAGAGGCAGAAGCAACCCAAATGTCTCTCAATAGATAAGTGGATAAACAAAATGTGATGTATACACACAATGGAGTATTATTCAGACTTAAAAAGAAAGGGAAGCCTGTCATATGTGACAACATGGATGAACCCCGAGGACACTATATTAAGTGAAATAAGTCATCAAAAAACAATTATTGTATTATTTCACTTATATGAGGTACTTAGAGTAGACAATATTATAGAGACAGAAAGTCAAATTGTGGTTATTAAGGGCTGAGAGAAGGGGGAGAGGGGAAGTTGTTCAGTGTAGAGTTTCTATTTGGAAGAAGAAAATATTCTGGAGATCTGTTTCACAACAATGTGAATGCCCTTAACACTCCTAAGCTGCATTTTAGAATGATTGATAAAATAGCGACTCAAAGTACTATAAAACGTAAAAGGATGGTTGAGATGATAAATTTTATGTTATGGGTGGGTTTTGTTGTTGTTTTGTTTTGAGACCGAGTCTCTCTCTGTCACCCAGGCTGGAGTGCAGTGGCACCATCTCAGCTCATTACAACCTCCGTCTCCTGGGTTCAAGCGATTCTTGTGCCTCAGCCTCCCAAGTAGCTTGGATTACAGGCACACGCCACCATGCCCTGCTAATTTTTTTTTTTTTTTTGGTAGAGACGGAGTTTTGCCATGTTGGCCAGGCTGGTCTGGAACTCCTGATCTCAGATGATCTGTCCCCTTCAGCCTCCCAAAGTGCTGGGATTACAGGCATGAGCCACCACACTAGGTCTGTGTGTGGATTTAAAATTCTGTCTTGAGTGACTAGACAGTATAATACCAAAAAAACCCTCCAGTATATCTGGAGGGAAGATTGTAGGCTTAGTTTTATGCATGAGTTTGTAGTGTTGAGGGACATCTAAGCAGAGATGGGAGGTGCAGTAATGCAGTGATTAAGAGCATGGGCTCTGGAGCCAGCCTGCTGCAGTTCAGGCCTGGCTCACTCACTCACTGTCTGTGTGAGCTGGGCCTCATTTCTTCCTCTGTAAAATGGGGAAAATAAAAGCACATACGTCAAGTATTGCTATCAGGATTAATGAGACAATCCATATAAAGCATGTCATGTCATGCCTGGCCCACAGTAAGTTCTTAATAACTTTACCTATTATCATAATTTTGTGTTTAATAGGCAGTAGAAACCAGTTAGAGGTTGGAAAACGAATATAGATCTGGTATTTATTAACTGCATCATGATATGCCAATCAAGCAGCCAGACAAAGTGACACACAACTGCAGTCCCAGCTGCCTGGGAGGCTGAGGCTAGGGGATCACTTGAGCTCAGAAGTTTGAGGCTATAGTGCACTATGATCTCTCCTATGAATAGCCACTGCACACCAGCCTCAGCAGCATAGTGAGACCTTGTCTCTAAAAACAACGATACACCAGCCAAAATCAATTATGACACTGGACATTTTCATGAGCCCAAGTGTCCCTGTCATAGTTAAATACATAGTTTGTATTTCAGTTTTTGGAAGTATTGGAAACTAACTGGAGTACACTCACATCTGCCTTTGCGGATACTCAATAGTCCAGAACAATTGACCTCCTTAACCATTATTCCCATTTGAAGGACAGATGGTAACTTTCGAACAGCTTCTTCTCCCACATCTTCCCTCTGAGTTTCAGTTTCCAGGGAGAGGGACACTGAGTTTATAAAAAAGTTTGAGTTGGGGGAGGAGCCAAGATGGCCGAATAGGAACAGCTCCGGTCTACAGCTCCCAGGGTGAGCGACGCAGAAGACGGGTGATTTCTGCATTTCCATCTGAGGTACCGGGTTCATCTCACTAGGGAGCGCCAGACAGTGGGCGCAGGCCAGTGTGTGTGCGCACCGTGCGCGAGCCGAAGCAGGGCGAGGCATTGCCTCACCTGGGAAGCGCAAGGGGTCAGGGAGTTCCCTTTCCGAGTCAAAGAAAGGGGTGACGGACGCACCTGGAAAATCGGGTCACTCCCACCCGAATATTGCGCTTTTCAGACCGGCTTAAGAAACGGCGCACCACGAGACTATATCCCACACCTGGCTCAGAGGGTCCTACGCCCACGGAGTCTCGCTGATTGCTAGCACAGCAGTCTGAGATCAAACTGCAAGGCGGCAGCGAGGCTGGGGGAGGGGCGCCCGCCATTGCCCAGGCTTGCTTAGGTAAACAAAGCAGCCGGGAAGCTCGAACTGGGTGGAGCCCACCACAGCTCAAGGAGGCCTGCCTGCCTCTGTAGGCTCCACCTCTGGGGGCAGGGCACAGACAGACAAAAAGGCAGCAGTAACCTCTGCAGACCTAAATGTCCCTGTCTGACAGCTTTGAAGAGAGCAGTGGTTCTCCCAGCACCCAGCTGGAGATCTGAGAACAGGCAGACTGCCTCCTCAAGTGGGTCCCTGACTCCTGACCCCCGAGCAGCCTAACTGGGAGGCACCCCCCAGCAGGGGCACACTGACACCTCACACGGCAGGGTATTCCAACAGACCTGCAGCTGAGGGTCCTGTCTGTTAGAAGGAAAACTAACAACCAGAAAGGACATCTACACCGAAAACCCATCTGTACATCACCATCATCAAAGACCAAAAGTAGATAAAACCACAAAGATGGGGAAAAAACAGAACAGAAAAACTGGAAACTCTAAAACGCAGAGCGCCTCTCCTCCTCCAAAGGAACGCAGTTCCTCACCAGCAACAGAACAAAGCTGGATGGAGAATGATTTTGACGAGCTGAGAGAAGAAGGCTTCAGACGATCAAATTACTCTGAGCTACGGGAGGACATTCAAACCAAAGGCAAAGAAGTTGAAAACTTTGAAAAAAATTTAGAAGAATGTATAACTAGAATAACCAATACAGAGAAGTGCTTAAAGGAGCTGATGGAGCTGAAAACCAAGGCTCGAGAACTACGTGAAGAATGCAGAAGCCTCAGGAGCCGATGCGATCAACTGGAAGAAAGGGTATCAGCAATGGAAGATGAAATGAATGAAATGAAGCGAGAAGGGAAGTTTAGAGAAAAAAGAATAAAAAGAAATGAGCAAAGCCTCCAAGAAATATGGGACTATGTGAAAAGACCAAATCTACGTCTGATTGGTGTACCTGAAAGTGATGTGGAGAATGGAACCAAGTTGGAAAACACTCTGCAGGATATTATCCAGGAGAACTTCCCCAATCTAGCAAGGCAGGCCAACGTTCAGATTCAGGAAATACAGAGAATGCCACAAAGATACTCCTCGAGAAGAGCAACTCCAAGACACATAATTGTCAGATTCACCAAAGTTGAAATGAAGGAAAAAATGTTAAGGGCAGCCAGAGAGAAAGGTCGGGTTACCCTCAAAGGGAAGCCCATCAGACTAACAGCGGATCTCTCGGCAGAAACCCTACAAGCCAGAAGAGAGTGGGGGCCAATATTCAACATTCTTAAAGAAAAGAATTTTCAACCCAGAATTTCATATCCAGCCAAACTAAGCTTCATAAGTGAAGGAGAAATAAAATACTTTATAGACAAGCAAATGCTGAGAGATTTTGTCACCACCAGGCCTGCCCTAAAAGAGCTCCTGAAGGAAGCGCTAAACATGGAAAGGAACAACCGGTACCAGCCGCTGCAAAATCATGCCAAAATGTAAAGACCATCGAGACTAGGAAGAAACTGCATCAACTAATGAGGAAAATCACCAGCTAACATCATAATGACAGGATCAAATTCACACATAACAATACTAACTTTAAATATAAATGGACTAAATTCTGCAATTAAAAGACACAGACTGGCAAGTTGGATAAAGAGTCAAGACCCATCAGTGTGCTGTATTCAGGAAACCCATCTCACGTGCAGAGACACACATAGGCTCAAAATAAAAGGATGGAGGAAGATCTACCAAGCCAATGGAAAACAAAAAAAGGCAGGGGTTGCAATCCTAGTCTCTGATAAAACAGACTTTAAACCAACAAAGATCAAAAGAGACAAAGAAGGCCATTACATAATGGTAAAGGGATCAATTCAACAAGAGGAGCTAACTATCCTAAATATTTATGCACCCAATACAGGAGCACCCAGATTCATAAAGCAAGTCCTCAGTGACCTACAAAGAGACTTAGACTCCCACACATTAATAATGGGAGACTTGAACACCCCACTGTCAACATTAGACAGATCAACGAGACAGAAAGTCAACAAGGATACCCAGGAATTGAACTCAGCTCTGCACCAAGCAGACCTAATAGACATCTACAGAACTCTCCACCCCAAATCAACAGAATATACATTTTTTTCAGCACCACACCACACCTATTCCAAAATTGACCACATACTTGGAAGTAAAGCTCTCCTCAGCAAATGTAAAAGAACACAAATTATAACAAACTATCTCTCAGACCACAGTGCAATCAAACTAGAACTCAGGATTAAGAATCTCACTCAAAGCCGCTCAACTACATGGAAACTGAACAACCTGCTCCTGAATGACTACTGGGTACATAACGAAATGAAGGCAGACATAAAGATGTTCTTTGAAACCAACGAGAACAAAGACACCACATACCAGAATCTCTGGGACGCATTCAAAGCAGTGTGTAGAGGGAAATTTATAGCACTAAATGCCTACAAGAGAAAGCAGGAAAGATCCAAAATTGACACCCTAACATCACAATTAAAAGAACTAGAAAAGCAAGAGCAAACACATTCAAAAGCTAGCAGAAGGCAAGAAATAACTAAAATCAGAGCAGAACTGAAGGAAATAGAGACACAAAAAACCCTTCAAAAAATCAATGAATCCAGGAGCTGGTTTTTTGAAAGGATCAACAAAATTGATAGACCGCTAGCAAGACTAATAAAGAAAAAAAGAGAGAAGAATCAAATAGACACAATAAAAAATGATAAAGGGGATATCACCACCAATCCCACAGAAATACAAACTACCATCAGAGAATACTACAAACACCTCTACGCAAATAAACTAGAAAATCTAGAAGAAATGGATACATTCCTCGACACATACACTCTCCCAAGACTAAACCAGGAAGAAGTTGAATCTCTGAATAGACGAATAACAGGCTCTGAAATTGTGGCAATAATCAATAGTTTACCAACCAAAAAGAGTCCAGGACCAGATGGATTCACAGCCGAATTCTACCAGAGGTACATGGAGGAACTGGTACCATTCCTTCTGAAACTATTCCAATCAATAGAAAAAGAGGGAATCCTCCCTAACTCATTTTATGAGGCCAGCATCATTCTGATACCAAAGCCGGGCAGAGACACAACCAAAAAAGAGAATTTTAGACCAATATCCTTGATGAACATTGATGCAAAAATCCTCAATAAAATACTGGCAAACCGAATCCAGCAGCACATCAAAAAGCTTATCCACCATGATCAAGTGGGCTTCATCCCTGGGATGCAAGGCTGGTTCAATATACGCAAATCAATAAATGTAATCCAGCATATAAACAGAACCAAAGACAAAAACCACATGATTATCTCAATAGATGCAGAAAAAGCCTTTGACAAAATTCAACAACCCTTCATGCTAAAAACTCTCAATAAATTAGGTATTGATGGGACGTATTTCAAAATAATAAGAGCTATCTATGACAAACCCACAGCCAATATCATACTGAATGGGCAAAAACTGGAAGCATTCCCTTTGAAAACTGGCACAAGACAGGGATGCCCTCTCTCACCACTCCTATTCAACATAGTGTTGGAAGTTCTGGCCAGGGCAATCAGGCAGGAGAAGGAAATAAAGGGTATTCAATTAGGAAAAGAGGAAGTCAAATTGTCCCTGTTTGCAGACGACATGATTGTTTATCTAGAAAACCCCATCGTCTCAGCCCAAAATCTCCTTAAGCTGATAAGCAACTTCAGCAAAGTCTCAGGATACAAAATCAATGCATAAAAATCACAAGCATTCTTATACACCAACAACAGACAAACAGAGAGCCAAATCATGGGTGAACTCCCATTCACAATTGCTTCAAAGAGAATAAAATACCTAGGAATCCAACTTACAAGGGATGTGAAGGACCTCTTCAAGGAGAACTACAAACCACTGCTCAAGGAAATAAAAGAGGAGACAAACAAATGGAAGAACATTCCATGCTCATGGGTAGGAAGAATCAATATCGTGAAAATGGCCATACTGCCCAAGGTAATTTACAGATTCAATTCCATCCCCATCAAGCTACCAATGACTTTCTTCACAGAATTGGAAAAAACTACTTTAAAGTTCATATGGAACCAAAAAAGAGCCCGCATCGCCAAGTCAATCCTAAGCCAAAAGAACAAAGCTGGAGGCATCACACTACCTGACTTCAAACTATACTACAAGGCTACAGTAACCAAAACAGCATGGTACTGCTACCAAAACAGAGATATAGATCAATGGAACAGAACAGAGCCCTCAGAAATAACGCCGCATATCTACAACTATCTGATCTTTGACAAACCTGAGAAAAACAAGCAATGGGGAAAGGATTCCCTATTTAATAAATGGTGCTGGGAAAACTGGCTAGCCATATGTAGAAAGCTGAAACTGGATCCCTTCCTTACACCTTATACAAAAATCAATTCAAGATGGATTAAAGATTTAAACGTTAAACCTAAAACCATAAAAACCCTAGAAGAAAACCTAGGCATTACCATTCAGGACATAGGTGTGGGCAAGGACTTCATGTCCAAAACACCAAAAGCAATGGCAACAAAAGACAAAATTGACAAATGGGATCTAATTAAACTAAAGAGCTTCTGCACAGCAAAAGAAACTACCATCAGAGTGAACAGGCAACCTACAACATGGGAGAAAATTTTCGCAACCTACTCATCTGACAAAGGGCTAATATCCAGAATCTACAATGAACTCAGACAAATTTACAAGAAAAAAACAAACAACCCCATCAAAAAGTGGGCGAAGGACATGAACAGACACTTCTCAAAAGAAGACATTTATGCAGCCAAAAAACACATGAAGAAATGCTCATCATCACTGGCCATCAGAGAAATGCAAATCAAAACCACTATGAGATATCATCTCACACCAGTTAGAATGGCAATCATTAAAAAGTCAGGAAACAACAGGTGCTGGAGAGGATGCGGAGAAATAGGAACACTTTTACACTGTTGGTGGGACTGTAAACTAGTTCAACCATTGTGGAAGTCAGTGTGGCGATTCCTCAGGGATCTAGAACTAGAAATACCATTTGACCCAGCCATCCCATTACTGGGTATATACCCAAATGAGTATAAATCATACTGCTATAAAGACACATGCACACGTATGTTTATTGCGGCACTATTCACAATAGCAAAGACTTGGAACCAACCCAAATGTCCAACAATGATAGACTGGATTAAGAAAATGTGGCACATATACACCATGGAATACTATGCAGCCATAAAAAATGATGAGTTCATATCCTTTGTAGGGACATGGATGAAATTGGAAACCATCATTCTCAGTAAACTATCGCAAGAACAAAAAACCAAACACCGCATATTCTCACTCATAGGTGGGAATTGAACAATGAGATCACATGGACACAGGAAGGGGAATATCACACTCTGGGGACTGTGGTGGGGTGGGGGGAGGGGGGAGGGATAGCATTGGGAGATATACCTAATGCTAGATGACACATTAGTGGGTGCAGCGCACCAGCATGGCACATGTATACATATGTAACTAACCTGCACAATGTGCACATGTACCCTAAAACTTAGAGTATAATAAAAAAAAAAAAGAAAAAAAAAAAGTTTGAGTCATAGTGTTTGATACCTCTTGTTTCCATTGAAAGATCAGGGGCCACCTTAGCTAAGGTTATTAATTTCCCTATTTCTGAAGTAGTCTGTGAAGATTTACCTAGAACTTATACATCAAAATCAGCAGAAATATTCTTGGAATAGTGAATTAACAATATACCAATATATCATTTCATAAAACAATCTAATATCTCCATTATAAAATAACATAAATATAGTCATAAGAGGGTTGTTCTCCCATAGAGGTAGTCTTTTTTTTTTTTTTTTTTTTTTTTGAGACAGAGTCTCACTCTGTCACCCAGGCTGGAGTGCAGTGGCGTGAGCTCAGCTCACTGCAACCTCTGCCTCCTGGGTTTAAGCGATTCTCCTATCTCAGCCTCCAGAGTAGCTGGGATTACAAGCACATGCCACCATGTCCAGCTAATTTTTGTATTTTTAGTAGAGATGGGGTTTCACCCATCTTGGCAAGGCTGGTCTCAAACTCCTGATCTCAAGTGATCTGCCCACTTCGGCCTCCCAAAGTGCTGGGATTACAGGGGTGAGCCACCGCACCTGGCCCCATAGAGGTAGTCTGTCTAAAAATTCTTAATGATGTAGATAGTTAGAGCTAAGTTAGAAGTTACAAATACAGAAAAGGATAAGACTGGAATGAACCCACTGGTGGTGTGTTGAAATCAGATGTATCTTGATAGAAACCCATAGTTTAAAATGCATACACACACACAAAGCCATACATAGATATATAGATGTAGAAATAAATGCAGATGTGTGGGTGTATACATGGGTTAGTACACAAACATGGATTTCCTATCTCTGCTGAGACAGTCTAGGGGCAATGGCACTTCAGTAAGCAAAAAAGGATGAAGAATCAGTTGCTGTCAAGGTTGAGAGCCTTATACATCTCAGTAATTCTTGAGGTCATCATGGTATCACTTCAATAACTGTTAAAGAAATAGTGACACTGAATCATAAGGAAAAGGCTAAAATTTAGTCTACTGTCACCATTTTCTGGAGAAAGCATAAACACTTTGAGAGGCCAAGGCAGGATGATCGCTTGAGCCCAGGAATTTGAGACCAGCCTGGGCAACATGGTAAAACACATCTCTACAAGAAATATAAAAATTAGCCGGGAGTGGTGGGACATGCCTGTGGTTCCAGCTACTTGGGAGGCTGAGGTGGGAGGATTGCTTGAGCCCAGGAGGTTGAAGCTTCAGTAAGCCATGATCATGCCACTGTACTCCAGCCTGGGTGACAGAGGGAGACCCGTCTCAAAACCAATAAATAAATAAATAAATAAGCATGCATGCAAAAGCATGCAAAAGCCTGTGAGGACTGGGGACCCTACTGAGTATTGCTGCTTTAAGCCTCACATCTCACCCATCCCCCAGTGATGCCCCTCACTCCTGCATCTTCAACCTCTTCCCCTCTTCTGGCTCCTTCCCTCATGCTGCCAACATGTAGCCATGCCAGACCTGGTTCCATCAAAACTTAGCAACCAGGTCTTGGTTTCTCAATAACCATTTTCCAATGTAAGGAGCCAGGGCTTCTTGGAGAAGTGGTTTATTCCAGGGTAGGAAAAATTCAAAATGAACTTGGAACATTTTATGATGCGAAAATATAAGGAAGTGCTTGACAAAAAGATGGGGCTTGTCAAAAGAACACAAAAGCCAGTGAGAGGAGGCTCCCAGAAAGCAAAGATGAAACAATTTGAGGAACAAAGTAAATAATGATAGAATTGATTATACTCAATAAAATAAGAGTATCCATGAGTCCTTGCTAATGAAATAACTAGTTAGTTAATTGGTTAACTTTTAAAAGGAAGAGAAGGAACAATTCTTTCTTACAGAAGAATTCTAATTTAGAAATGAAGAAAAAATGAGGGAAATAGAAAGTTATCATTAGGCAAGCGATGACCATAATACTATAGTCATCACTATTGCAAGCAAAAGCCACCAATCAATGCTAAAATCTGTGGGTAAATGCTTGAGGAAAAACAGTTTATAAGCATAGTCTGAAAGTATCTAACCCGATATTAGATTAATGATGAAGAAATCCAACAGACACCATCTGAACTAAGCAATCAAGGTTAACATCATCTGGCATAAGAGACACGGGCATTATATGCCCCTGATACTGTACACCGAGAAGATTACAATATCACTTCCATGGTATTCCTCCCAAAAATAGATAACCTCAATCTAATCACTTTTAAACATCAGGCAAACCCAAAAGATGGACAATCTATAAAATCACTGACCACTACTCTTCAAAAATGTCAAGGTCATGAAAGACAAGAAAACATTAAGGAACCATCAGATTGAAAAAGACTAAGGAGACATAACCACCAAATGCAGTGTGGGATCCTGGACTAGATCTTACCACAGGAATAAGACATGAGGAGGGTAAACAGGCAGAATTCAAATACTGTGCATAATTTAGTTAATAGTGTTACACTCATGTTAATTTCTTGGTTTTTCATAATGGTACTATGGCTAGGTAAGATGTTGACATTTGGGGAAACAAGTTGAATGCTAGGTGTGAACACTCTGTGCTGTTTTTGCAACGTTGCTGTATGCTTAAATTTTGTTCAAAATAAAAAGTTTTAAAAATTCTTTTTTTTTTTTTTGAGACAGTGTTGCCCAGGCTAACGCATAGTTGCACAACTACGTTCACCACAGCCTTGACCTCCTAGGTTCCAGCAGTCCTCCCACCTCAACCTCCTGAGTAGCTGGGACTATAGGCACACACCGCTACCCCCAGCTAATTTTAAAATTTTTTGTAGAGATGGGGTCTTACTATGCTGCCAGCGCTGGTCTTGAACTCTTGGGCTCAGGCAATCCTCCTGTTTCAGCTTCCCAAAGTGCTGGGATTACAAGTGTGAGAAAAATTCTTAATAAATACAACTTCACTGGGAAAAACCCCACAACATATTTCATTGTTTATGAATTAACTCCAAACGCACTTCTGACATTTTGTTAAAATACACATTTCTCAATATATAGTTACAACCAGTATGTATATACTGGTGTTCACCTCCCCCTGGAATATAATTTCACTCATTCATCGAATAATTCATTCATTGAATATTTTAATTTTTATTTTTTATGTATTTATTTATTTTGAGATGAAAACTCACTCTGTCACCCAGGCTAGAGTGCAGTGGTGCAATCTCGGCTCACTGCCTCCCGGATTCAAGCAATTCTCCTGCCTCAGCCTCCCGGGTCACTGGGATTACAAACACATGCCACCAGGCCCAGCTCTTTTTTTTTCCTTTTTGTATTTTTGGTAGAGATGGGGTTTCACCATGTTGGTCAGGTCTCGATCTCCTGACCTCAGGTGATCCACCTGCCTCGGCCTCCCAAAGTGCTGGGATTACAGGCTTGAACCACCGTGCCTGGCCTCATTCATTGAATAATTAGTACTTGGTCTTTGCTCTTGAAAAATTTACAGTACTATGAGGATAATAAAAATGAAAAAAGAAATCAGTATAATATGATAAGCTTCATAACAGATAGATGAGCAAAGGGCTGTGGGATATAGAGAAGCTACTGTCTTTCTCTTTTTAAAATGAATTCGGAGTCTAACAAATTGTTATAATCTGCATAATTATGTATAAAGAGCATACACTCTTCCACAGTGTAATACACTGCAGCTGACAGAGCTATTCTTTAACCAGAACAGAAGCATTGGGTTTTTTAGCTCTTCTCACTTTTGGGAGACAAGAACATTTACCCAAGTTGTGCTTGGGGTCAGCAAGCAAGACCAGTAAGAGGAGGTAGAGAGACTTTCCTTTTCAGAGAGGGAAGATGACTCCCCAATTCCCACCTCTGCAATTGTACATTTGCTGTTGAGAGCCCATCGATTGCAATTTAAATCAATTAACCTAAAAGAAGGTGAGTTATGGGATGAACAGAGCTCACTTAATAAGGGGTGAGGTCAATCAGATTCTCATCAAAGAGCTCAACTAATTCATCTCATTTCTGAGATGCAGCCTCCCCGGAGAACCACCTATCACACCACTTTTCATAATTGCAGGTAATTGAATAATTGGCACAATTCATTTCCCCAGCAAGGCTTCCCTGTCAATTCTGCCCCTAGATAACCATGAGGACTGGGGACCCTACTGAGTATTACTGCTTTAAGCCTCCCATCTCACCCATCCCCCAGTGATGCCCCTCACTCCTGCATCTTCAACCTCTTCTCTTCTGGCTCCTTCCATCATGCTGCCAACATGTAGCCATGCCAGACCAATCTGGTTCAACTTTTATGTAACAAAGTTATGAGTTGTTTTTCAGTTGCCATGGACTCAGGTTGCATAACCTAAGCGTGCTCAGATGAACCAAGCATACAAGCACAGGGGGAACCTAAGTGCTTGGACAGAGGAGGGGGACTGAATTAAGATGTGAGCACCACAAGGCAGGATTCAGGATCCAATCAGATCATGCCTCATTACCCTATGCTTATAAAACCCAACCCAGCCAGCTTGGGGAGGCACTGCATCAGGAAATATCCCAGGTATTTTACTTACTTGTTGCAAGCAATAAAATCCCCTTGCTAAATCCTCCTTGGTTGTGACCATTGGGTTGATACCCACCAAGTGACCTAACCCACCCACTGTCTGGGTAACAAACATGTCCAGGTCTCTCTCCCTTACTTCCTGGGACCCATCTGGAGTTGACTCAGATCTCTTTGAACAAAAGACAGATGGCTAGGAAGACTAAAAAAATATTTTGCTCTGCCCAAAGAAATAAATAAAGGTAGTAAATAAATAAATGAACAAATAGAAACAATTCCTCCCTTGGACCTTTACCCATCTATAGCCACTTCCCTATCCATCTCCTTCCCTTCTCCAAGTCTTTGGTGCCTCAAAGTCATTGGGTCAAACACTGAGCTCATAGTTTATCTCCACACTAATGAGCAAACAACCCTCCCAAGCCACAGTTTCCTTCTATTCCATGATCTTGGTTGGTGGCTCTTCTATCACCCAAGTCACCCAAGCTAGACCCTGTATGTGGTCGTAGACACTTGCCTATCTCTTTCTTCTCATATCTCAGTGTTCATCAATTTCCACCAGTTCTACCACCGTTCTTCCAAACTCATTCTTTACCACTGACTCCCAATCCCTACTGCCATTGCCTGGACTCAGGCTTCCTCATTTTTGCCCAGACTATTGAGATAGCCGTCCCTCTGCTCTCCTTGCCCTCTCTCTTACCTGACCTTCCATCTGTCCTCCATATGTTATCCAGGTACAGCTACCTCCCCAAGCCCTGGAATGAAACATTTCAGGTTTCTCTTAGTGTGGCCTGCACAGCCTTTCTTAATCTGGCCCTTCTCCACTTCAAATCCTCGTTTTCTACCTCCATAAGAATTTTTATTGAAGGCCTCCCTCATGCTAGAAAGTGTAATAATGATAGAGGCAGAAGGCAGACAAATGTCTAGGCAGATAGGGGCAGGTGTCTGGTGAAACCCGACCTTCAAGCCAGAAATTGTCCCAAGTAAATCCTTGGACTGTATTGAGAACCTGGCTTCCCATTTGGCACACTTTCCTCTGATTAATTCGCATCCTTCACCTATTTTACATATACCTACCCTTTCCTAATTGATTTTCTCCACTGCCGTACCCACTTTTGAGTGGTATCTTCTCTTTGACCTTTTTGTCTACTGTCAAACCAATCAGCACACACTCCCTATTCTGAGTCCATAAAAAGCCCCAGGCTCAGTCATATTGGGAGAACTTTCCTGTCTTTAGGTAACAGAATCACCCCCCTAGAGTCCCCACATTTTGCTAAGAGCTTTCCTTTCACTTAATAAATTCTACTCCACTCACTCTTTGATGTCCATGTGCCTAATTCTTCCTGGTCATGAGACAAGAACCTGGACCTAGCTGAGCTAAGGAGTAAAAATACTGCATCAATGCTCTGTATTTTATGTGAGTTATTTGATTTAATATTCACAAAAGTCCTTAGGTGATGGCATTATTTTCTCATCCCTTCTCCCCTGTCCTTATAGAAAGATAATTTTTAAAGTGTGGTCAAGAATTGCATTCAATTCTTTCCAAAGGCTTGTGAGAAAAAAATAAAAATGTAAAAAGAATTTTGTTCAAATTTACACAGATTTTTTAAGTGGTAATGCTGAGACTTGAACCCAGGTGTTCTGGCATCAGGGTCTGCTTTTGACCATAAGCGCCCAACCTCCCAAGCCCCCAACCTGGACATGCACACACCAGCAAACCTGAATGGTCATGATTTGCATATACACAAAATACAGTATTATTTCCTGACTTTGCATGTGCTGTTTCCTCTCTTGGAATACACTTCTTCCACTTATTTGCCTGACGAACTCCTATTTAGCCTTCAAAACCCTGCTCTAATATCACTTCTTCTATGAAGATTTCATATTCCCCTTCTCTGTAGACCATTATCCATTTTTGTTATTACCTTTTTCCTTAAATAGATATATATTTTGCAATGCTGAAATTGTTTACTTTTCTTTCTCATCATTTGGTTAGGACACGTTAACAGTCTTATTTGTCTTATTTCCCAGCAACCGGCAAAGAGTCTGCTACACAAAAGGTACATTTTTTTTTTTTTGAGATGGAGTCTCACTGGGTCGCCCAGGCTGGAGTGCAGTGGCGCTATCTTGGCCCACTGCAAGCTCCGCCTCCCAGGTTCACGCCATTCTCCTGCCTCAGCCTCCCGAGTAGCTGGGACTACAGGTGCCCGCCACCATGCCGGGCTAATTTTTTGTATTTTTAGTAGAGACGGGGTTTCACCGCGTTAGCCAGGATGGTCTCGATCTCCTGACCTCGTGATGTGCCCGCCTTGGCCTCCCAAAGTGCTGGGATTACAGGCATGAGCCACCGCGCCCGGCCAAAAGGTACATTTTTAAAACTGTTTTTTAACTGAAAGGATCAGTTTCTATGCAGGTTTTAGTACCTTTGGGTTTTTTGGCCTTCTTCCAGGAAGTAATGTAGCAATAATATTTGACAATTTAAAAGTCAATTACATACAATAGCCCAAAGGTGTAAACAATCCAAATGTCCATCTTGGATGAATAGATAAACAAATCGTGGTGTATACAAACAATAGATTATTAGTCACCTTTAAAAAAGAATAAAAGACATGTTACAATGTGGATATACCTTGAGAACATTATATCAAGTGAAATAAGCCAAACACAAAAGGACAAATACTATATGATGACTTTTATATGAAGTACCTAGAATAGTCAAATTCAGAGACAGAAAGTTGAATGGTGATTGCCAGGGTCTTGGGGAAAGGAAGGATGGGGAGTTAGTATTTAAGGGGTAGAGAGTTTCAGTTTGAGATGATAGAAAAGTTCTGGAGATGGATGGTGATGATGGCTACACAACAGTGTGAATGTACTAATGCTGCTGAACTGTACAACTTAAAATGGTGAAAATTTTAAATTTTATGTTATGTATATTTTAACACAATTTTTAAAAATGAACATCAACAACACAAACACAGAAAAAGTATCAAGGTCAGCAAAAACAAGGAAAACCGCCACAGCCAAGAGGAGCCTAAGGAGACACAAGCACTGACTGTAACATGGTGTCCCAGTGAGATCCGGGGACAGAAAAAGGGTATCAGGGAAAAAGGAAAAGTATAGATTTTAGTTAATAATAACATATCCACACTGGTTCATTCATTGTAACAAATGTACTGTACTAAAATAGGTCTAATGTTACTAATTAATTAATGTTAGTAGGGAGAACTGAATGTGAGACATATAAGAATTCTCTGTACTATCTTCATAATTTTCTGTAAATTTAAAACATCCTAAAATTAAAAGCCTATTAAAAAAATCAATTAGATTGCCCCTTTATTAAGGGTATTCCAGTCCAATTAATCAAGAGTATGTATTTTTTAAACAAATAAGAATTTGTATTTAAAAACTCAAATTTCAAATTAATTTTATACATTGTGATCAAGAAGAGATTTAGAAATCTATCTACTCTGCAGCTTTTAGCTACTGACAGTGAATATTTCACGTAAAGGGCATAATTTAAGTGGAAAATATGGAACAGATGACTTTTATGCTGGGTCATGAAAGAGGACTCGATGCACTGACAGGGAGAAAGGACACTTCCAGGGAAAGGTAACAGCACATGCGAAGGCTTGTATGTGTGGAGGAGCTTGGTTGGCCCCGGAAGTGGGGAGCAGCTCTCTTGGCTGGAGCTTAGCATCTGTGGACTTTCAGCGGGAAGGATGGGTTTGGGCTGTTGGGTTCAGGGCCTTGGGGGGCCATGCAGAGGACCTGGATTCCATCCTAAATGCCTCTCTCATGTGTCATGCCTTTCCATCCTCTTCATCCCTGCTGCCATTGTCACAATCCAGCTCTTGCCTGTGGTACGACCACAGCTTGCTAATGGCTCTCTCCCATCTATTCTTGCTCTCCTCTGATCTGTTGTCCACACTGCAGCCTGACAGATCCTTCAGACCCCTTTCTTTAAATCTATAGCAAGCAACAGTTGAATCAGAACAAGGAACAGCAGTTACCAGGGGCCAGGGACTAACTGCAAAGAAGCAGGAGGGAATTTCTGAGTGATGTGCTGTATCTTGGCTGTGGTGGCTACTCAATGAGCCACACACTCAACAAAAGGGCATTTTACTGTTTTTAAATTATACCTCTGTGAAGTTGATTTTAAACCAACAACTTTGTTTGTCTTGGGATGAAGGCCAGTACCCTTGCTGTGACCCCATCAGGCCCTGCATGACCTGCCTCTTTCTCATGCCCCCTTCTGGAGCCCACCCCTGCGCCCTCCACACTCAGCACTCTGCCCTAGCCTTGCCAGGTTTCTTTCTGTTGTGGGACTCCACGTGCCCTGCTTCTCATCAGGAACTGTGCCTATGTGGCTCTTTCTGGCCAGGATGCTCATCCTCTCTCCGCTGTCCACTTCACCAGCTGAGTCCTGCTCATCCTGCGGGTTGCAGCTTAAATCTTAGATCCTGCAGGGGCCGTTCCTGGTTCCTCCGGCTCCTGTTGCCCCCCACTCACACTTCTGTGCAACACTGAGCACATCTGTGAGCAGCTATTCGGCATCTCTCATGCCCTCTACACAGTGTGCTTCATGAGGATTGTTTATTCACCAACTCTTCTTACTACCTAGCCCAGTGCGTGACATGGTAAGGGATTAACAAATATTTGTTGAATGCATAAACCTATTTGAGGGTTTTAAATAGATTTAAGGGAGTTGATTTGTGTGTGTGTGTGTGTGTGTGTGTGTGTGTGTGTGTGTGTGTGTGTTTAATAGAGATTCTCAGCTAAGCGGTCTGAAAATGTCTGGGGCATCTGTTTCTCACAATGACTGAGAGGTGCTATTGCCATCTAGAAGTCCAAGGCCGGGCATGCTAGATGTTCCTCAAGCCTCAAGGCAGCTTCCTTGGGAAATGCTGTTTTAGAAAAACCATGCTACCTGTGCTGGGGTACGTTTGTGCAGGATGGAGGAAGAGGAAGGGGAGGTTGAAATCAGAGTGACTGGCTAGAAAACTATGACAATCATCCAAAACCAGGAGTGGCTGGTGACAGGGGAGGAAGCCTATACTGGGTAAAATAGAAGCAGGATGAAAAGAGCCAAGGGGGCAAATTGAGGAGTATTTAGGAAATAGAACCAACAAACCTGGTGATCAATGGGATGAGAGAGTCACCCTTTGAGGAAAGAGAAGCGATGTAAACATGAAGGTGGGTGAACAGGTAGATATAAGATGTGTGGCCTTAAGCAGTTGACTTAGCCTCCATGTGTCTAGTTTCCTTCCTTGGAAAATGAGAGAATACCCACATCACAGGGCCGTTGTAAGGACTACATTAATTGAGTTCATCAACATAAAGCACTTGGAGCACTGCCTGACACATAGTAAGCACTAGATAAGTATTTGATGTTAATAGCTGTAGATATAGGAATACATAGGTACAGAGAATAGCAAGAGATATATGAAGGGAGGGAGGGATGGTGAAGAGATGGACAAATGCCTCCTAGATGTGGGAGATGAAGGTAGGAGCATGGTTCCCAGAATGTCTTTGCAAAAGCAGTCACACATTTGAGTAAATCTAGCCACACTCTCCCCCTTCTCCTCTGTCCAGTGTCCAGGATAACAGGTGCTCTTTGTTTTGTGGGACAGACCACAATGACTAATCAACACCAGACCACTGCCCCACATGAGGCAGACAGCAGGCAAAGGGCTGATGTGACAGAACTGTGCTATGGCACCCCCTGCAGATGGCCCTGTAAGGCCCATTGGGCAGAACAGTCAGAAAGGGCTCCAGCCACCTTGGTTCAGGGCACTCACAGGGACTGCCAAACAGCTTCATACTTCTCAACTCTCTCACCTTTCTTGTTCCGTAAACATTTTGTCATATGCCCACTTTCTCCATTCTGTTGTAACATTTATCCACACATGATAAATGTAGGAGTCCATGAATATTACCTAAATCAACACTGACCTGGGAATCAGACCTGTGCTCCAGTGTGGACTACGAAACTAATTGTTAAGCCTTGAGCTGGTTATTTCATCTCTCTGCCTTCAGTATTTGCATTTGTAACCACACAGGGCAATGCCTTTTTGCCTGCAGATTACGCCTGAAGCTCCGTGCAGCCCTCAAGTGCATGGGTCTTTGACTTAGCACCTGCAACCTGGGCAGTGTCTTCTCTCAAGTTTCAGTGTGAGTCATTCCTCGGCTTCCTTGAGTTTAGGCGCTCACTCCTCTATGCTCCCAGTGCACCGGCTATGTACCTGAAAGTGCATTACCCTCATAGATTTGTTCACATGTCTATCTCCCCAAAAGGCTGTAATACCTTTAATGCAGGAATTACATTTGGTAAGTTTCAGAGAACAGAATCCACTCTAACCGGTTTAAGCAGGAATGGATATTAAATGGCTTGTAGCGTCATTGGGAGGGGAAAAGAAAGACTCAAGATGAAGCTTTCAGGAACCACTCACGGAGCTACACTGCTGAACTGGGCCACTAAAGGAGAGCTGCTAAATCTTTTGGTATCAGGAAGTCTCCAGCTTGACAATTGCCCCACCATTAACACAATGAGGAATTAAATTCTTTCTACACATATCTCACAGTCAAATTCTCAAAAGGAGCTAGAGTCTGTTTAGCTCCCTCGTCTCTGTATGGATGGTATTTCTTGCACCAGGCCACTCCCTAAATTTCGGACCAATTTAGAGATTGTTTGCTCTTGGGTTAGATGCTAAGTGTGTCCAAAGAGCTTCAGCCAAAGAAAGTCAATTTCATCTGGTACAAACATGGTGAAGGGTCATTGGGGATGAGAGTGTGGCCAACACATTTCCTCCTTCCTACTGTTAAGGAGATTAATTTTCCCATTATCAATACAGTTCTTCAGTGGCGATTGGTGACAAGTCGATCATCTGGTTGGATATCAATTAAATTAAAATCTGCTCTTAACCCTAATAGTCTCTTCACCTAATGCCCGACACAGAACCACAACCGCTTTAACGAAACAGGCCAAGATCGTAGAATCTTAGGACTAGGAAGAAATTCAGGGGTCATAAAATCCAGTGCTTACCGAATACCACTTTGTAACACATAGAGAAAAATAGGACAATGTAATGAGTTTTATTTTATCTAAATGAATTCAACGTAAAGACCTGGCTTTATTCTGGGATTTTTTTTTTTGTTGTTGTTCTCCTATTTCTTCAGCGATATATAGCTTTTGTTTGTTTAGGCTTTTCTTGGCAAAATAAAAATTGGGTTTTCCTTTGGGAATCCTCTCTTCAAGTTTCCTGTTGCTTTTTGATCTTATTCTGTTCATGCCCTCAAAGGCCTATACCACAGCTTTACTGTGACCTCGTGTCACTGTTTCTTTGTCAATTTCATCCTTTATTCCCCATCACCTATCAGGACATGGACTCCAGCCTCTCAGCACACCGAATTTGTGCCTGAGTGTGTGGTAAGACCTCAAGATAAAGGTTTGTCTTCTGTGATTCTTTGTCACTGCTTCGTCCCATGTCACATCTCACAGGGAATTATTTTGACACTCTCCCCTTATAAATGAGGTCCAACTCATTTGTGAGAACTTGAGCTGTAATTTGCAGTTTGTCGTGGCATGTTTTATCTACTTTGACTCGGGTTGTTTCTCTCCGTCTTATCATTTAACAAGTACATAGTCTATTTTTACTTCTCCTAACTCTAGCTTTTATTCCACCTATCCTTCGCCTGATATATTTTCCAGGACTTCTTTTTCTGGAATGATTTCTCGTTATCTCACTTATCTTAAATCCAAACTTAGTCTTTAGGTACAAGAATCTGTGACTTTTTCTATCCATTCACAAACATTTACTTATTGATGATTTCTTTTTAGGTTGCTTCCTTGGGCCGGTGAGCTCTTGGATCCATTTCTTGCCCTCCCCCAGTTCTGCCTTATGTCACAGGGCTGTGTGACCCCATGCAGGCTGGGCTTTTCAGGGCCCTGAGTCCCTTGGTTTCCAGCTGGGTTTGTGCAATGGGAGACTGGCTAGGGGGGCGGGGAGAAGCTCAGGCTCCAGCAGCCATGTCTCTCCCCACTGGTCTCACCACTGCCAGGCAGGCCCATCAAGGTCCCAGCTCTGATGACACCACCTGTCACCCAGGTCCCCTCAGCCCAGCAGCTAGAGGGCTTCTTGGTGGTGCTCAGCTCTGGGGTGCACCCCTTACCCTAGCAACCACTTCCCTGCATTGATCTCTGCTCTGAACACTCAGAGAGCTTTCTCTTTTCCAGGTTAGACCCTGACTGACATAAAGGTAAATTCTCAGAAGTTTAATTGCTGCATCACAAACTTTAAGACTTTAAAAGGAAGGTTAAAGAGATGTCTTTATGCTTTCTTACTCTCCCCAAGGCCTTTCTTCCACCTGTAACTTTCTGAGCAAGCTCAGGGCCCTTCCCTTCTACCATCTTCTCTGTTTACACATCTCAGCCCCTGGGCATTGGAATATCTGTCTGATCACAGTTCATTTTTTAAAATGATAAACAAAGCAAAGAGGTGAGATGGAAAGTCACCACTTCCTGTGGTAATTGTTATCTAGGCTTTCAGAACACGCCTAGGCAAGTGGAAAGAATAAGCAATTATCTGCGTAATTCAAGCAAACATTGACTCCCCTTATTTGACATGAGTGGCTAGTGGAAGGAAGGGAGAAGTGGAATTAATTACTAATGCCTTTGAAATCTCAGGAATTAGCTAGGGAGTTGCTGAACTCACGACGTCATTTTTTCACGACGTCATTTTCTATCGGGAGTCTGGTGAAGGAATGGCATCTGGCTGGCCATTTCAACGATTTCACCAAGTTTTGAATTTTGGCAGGACTAAGTCAAAGAACAAAGTGACTTTTGTGGTTTCTGGAGCAGAAAGACTTAGTGACTTTGACTCAGCAAGCCAGATGAGAAGGCTCCAGGCACTGCCTCCCCAGGCATGGAGATGGCTGCCTATAAATCTGAGTTACTGCATTTTTCACTTGCATCAGACAGGGCCCTCATTAGAAACAAGGCTACCATCAAATTTGGGTCAAGGTCTGGCTTCGTGTTGTGATTTACCAAATAAAGACTATCAACTGTCTTTTTCAGGCTGCTGATTTATCTTTAGCTTTCTCTGAATTTGTGACTCTAAAAGACCGTGCTTATTTGGCAATGTAACATAATCACGAAAATAAATTGTATAGCAAGCCATTCTTTGAATGCAGACATAGGGAGGCAGCTGCGGTGGAAAGAGCCCTGATCTTGCAGTCAAGAGATCTGAGTTTGAGTCCAGACCTTACTACTCACTAGCTGAACAACCACACTCAGCCACCAAATCACAGTGAGTTTCTTATCGATTAAAATTAAGTGCTATGAAAGTGAAGAAGTTAACATGAAAGAGTAACATACAAGCACAAATTAATATTATTATTAAATTCTTCAGTTCCATTTTTTCAGTGTTGGTTATGGACTGGTGCTAACTCTCCGGCTACTTGCATCCTTTCATTAGCCCATTGTTAAAAGCAACGGATGAAATAGCAGGCGTGTCAGGGTAGCTAGTCAGGGGCTACCATTGACATGGCTACACGGGGACCAGGGTCTGAAAGCCACAGCTAAAGTAACCCTCTGTTTGATAGTCGGGTTTCAAAATTATAAACTGAGAGATCCTAGTCAGGCTCAGATGGGAGCACATCCCATTTCCTCTGCTTCCTCCCTCAGCTCGCCCTTCCTGACTTCCTGTGAGTGCCACTATTTGGACATTTTGAGGTCCTAGCAGCTCTCCTCCCATACAGCTGTGGGGACAGGCTACTCTCAGCAAGCCAGACCATCTCAGGCCGACTGGACACAGTGAGCATGAACACAGTGAACAATCTTTTAAAACAGACCCAGAAAATAACATGAAGCCAAGAACAAGGTAGATACCATTTGCAATTTAAAGTGTGATATCATAGGAACAAAAGCGTTTTGACTGTCACTGAAGCTTTGTTTTCCCAGGCCAGAAAAACTGTGAAAGAACAACTAGAAATGAATGTACACGTATTTTGTTTTGTTCTGATAAATGCTGGATCAGAGCACATTGCCTCAACTGTCTACATCCTTTCAGTCCAGAAGAATAGCCAGCAGACATCTATCTTCTCTGCAGGATGAGAAACTAAGTTTCACGGACATTCTTCAGAGGTTGTTTTCATTCCTTTTTTTTTCCCTTGAGACAGAGTCTCGCTCTGGCACCCAGGCTAGAGTGCAGTGGCACCATCTTGGCTCATTGCAACCTCCGCCTCCCAGGTTCAGGCAATTCTCATGCTTCAGCCTCCCAAGTAGCTGGGACTACAGGTGTGTGCCACCATGCCCAGCTAATTTTTGTATTTTTAATAGAGACAGGGTTTCCTCATGTTGGCCAGGCTGGTCTCGAACTCCTGGCCTCAAGTGATCCACCCACCTCAGCCTCCCAGACTGCTGAGATTACTCCAGTAGGATTTTTCTGAGTGTTCCTAGGTTTGTGATCAAATATTATAAGGCCATGAAAATGGCATTGATCTAGGCTTAATGAACTGATGAAACAAACACTTATGGATATCTTCCATATGCCAGGTGCAGTTCTAGTCAGTGCACTGAAAATACAGCAATGGATAAGAAAGGTGATCCCAGACCTCAAAGAGCTTATATTCTGGTGGGGACGGGGGGAGGTAGATAAAAAAGTATACAAATAAACATGCAATATAAATTCTAGTAGCAATAAGTTTTAGTAAAAATAAATAAATATGTAAAGCCTAGAAACTTAATATTTATAGTAAGTATACAAGAAAGAATTTAGAGACTATTTTAGATGAGGTTGTCAGGGTAGGTATCTCTGAGTGACATTAGAATTGAGACCTAAATGAGGTGAGGAAGTGGCCTCTAGGGCTGTTTGTGACAGGAGGAGCAAACTCTAATAGGATCAGCATGAGCTCCTGAGGTCGGTGTATTTGCAAAACAATGAGGCAGCCAGGGTGGCCACTCAGAGTGTGATGGAGAGAGCGCTAGGAGATGGGTCTGAACCCAGCTCCTACTGCTAAGTAGCCACAGGACTTGGCTCGATTTACTTAAATTCTAGGTGCTATGGATTTCTTGTAATTATTAAGGTTTTTGATAGCTATTAACAGAACCCAATTTTGAGCTAGGTTAACTAAAAAAGAGAATGTATAATAAGTATACAAGAATGCCTCCCAGAAAGCAAGGGCAGGAGACCATCTAGTCCTCAGGACAGAACTAGAACCAGAACTAGTGGCTAACAAGACATCACCACCACCCACAAAGCAAGACTTTCACTCTTTCTCTCACCTTTATTTCTCTCTTAATGGCATATTTCTTCTTTTCTCTCTACTGTCCAGCTTTATCTGTTCCTCTGCCAAGAGGTACCTCCTATAACATCTGAGTTGGCCCATTTAGCCCAAATGCCAGCCGTTCCCCTGTCCAGCCCCTGTTCTTGTCTCACACAAGCATGGACACAGGGCTCTGCACTCACCAAAACATAAGAGGCCCATCTGACTTTACTGAGGAGTTCGCAGGACAATGCAGGGGTTACCCTACATACTCCCAGGCAAATTCTTCAAACCCATTCTCTGCCTCCAAATCTTCCCAGCAGCACCTCTAATTAGGGTTCTTCTCTTTTGCCCCTACTCTAAATACGTCATCCAGTGTGCTCCTGGGTCACCCCCTTCTGCACCCAATTCCACCAGGCTCCTCAATCTCTCAACCCTTCCATGCAGGGGCACCAACTTTCTCCTGGCTTCTACAGCTGGATGTGAACACTCAGCATTGCCTGTCCTATCTTGGGAGTCAGCAAACAAAGATTCTCCAGACCAGGACCCAGTCTCTCAGAGGGTTAACTCACTCACAAGTTACAGTTCCAGCCCCTGCTATCACTGAACCTTGATTCCAAACTCCTGGAAGAGAATATCTGATTGGCTTACCTCATGCCATATGCACACTGGAGCAAGCTGACTCTGGTTCAGTTCACTCTGACCAGAAAGGAAGGACAGATATACCAAAGGTCACATTACATTCCTCATGAATGAAACAGAGGCAATGATACATTCCTTTCAGCAATGTTGTGCTAGCTCAACAAAATAGTATCTGATAGGGGGCATTCCACAGTAACTTGCACTCAGTGTTACTCTCCTCTTTTCAAGAAACAAACCAAAATCAATGTACACATATCACTAGCACTGCTATAAACCAACAACTGCCAAGCTGAGAATCAAATCAATAACTCAGTCTCTTTTACAACAGCTGCCAAAAAAATAGAATACCTAAGAATATACTTAACCAAGGAAATGAAAGATCTCTACAAGGAAAACTACAAAACACTGCTGAAAGAATACATAGGTGACACAAACAAATGGAAACACACCCCATGCTCATGGATTGGAGGAATCAATATGGTGAATGACCACACTGCCCAAAGCAATCTACAGATTCAATGCAATTCCCATGAAAATACCAACATTATTTTCCACGGTATTAGAAAAAACAATCCTAAAATTCATATGGAATCAAAAAAGAGCCTGAATAGCCAAAGCAATCTTAAGCAAAAAGAACAAATCTGGAAGCATCACGTTACCAGACTTCAAATTATACTACAAGGCTATAGTTGCCAAAACAGCATGGTACTGGTATAAATGTAGACACATAGACCAAAGGAACAGAATAGAGAACCCAGAAATAAAGCCAATTACTTACAACCAACTGATCTTTCACAAAAGCATACAAAAAATGTAAATTGGGGACAGGACAGCCTATTTAATAAATGGTGCTGAGAAAACTAGACAGCCACATGTAGAAGAATGAAACTGAATCTCTATCTCTCACCTTATACAAAAATCAACTCAAGATGGATCAAAAACTTAAATCTAAAACCTGAAACCATAAAAATTCTAATGGCAAACCTAGGAAAAACTATTCTGGACCTCAGCCTAGGCAAAGAATTCATGACTAAGACCCCAAAAGCAAATGCAACTAAAACAAATAAATAAATGGGACCTAATTAAACTGAAAAGCTTCTCTACAGCAAAATAAATAATCGTGAGAATAAACAGACAACCTACGGAATGGGAGAAAATATTTGCAAACCTGTGCATCCAACAAAGGACTAAAATCCAGAATCTACAAGAAGTTCAAACAAATCAGTAAGAAAAAATAAATAATCCCATCAAAAATTGGGCAAGTGACATGAATAAACATTTCTCAAAAGAAGATATACAAATGACTAACAAATATCCTCCTGCCTCAGCCCCTCAAGTAGTTGAGATTACAGATATGCACCACTACACCTGGCTAATTTTTTGTGTTTTTTTGTAGAGACGAGGTTTCGCCATGTTGCCCAAACTGGCATTTAAGTATTTAAAGCTGTATCCCCTAAATATAGTATTTGCGTACATGCATACACATAGGTATATATGAATATACTATATATTACATATATAATATGACATATAATATATATAGTTATGTAATATATAATATTGGATGGGGGCATTTCACAGTAACTTGTGAAGTAATTGCATAAGTAATTATATAGGCAGGAGCAAACAAAAATGCTCAACATCACTAAACATCAGAGAAATGCAAATTAAAACCACAGTGAGATACCACCTTACTCCTGAAAGAGTAGCCATTATTTAAAAAGTCAAAAACAGTAGATATTGGGGTGGATGTGGCACAAAAGGAACACTTATACACAGCTGATGGGAATGTAAATGACTACAACTGGTGAAAAACAGCATGATTTCTTAAACAACTAAAAGTGGATCTACCTCAATCTAGTAATCCCACTACTGGGTATCCACCCAAAGGAAAAGAAGTCACTTTATCAAAAAGACACCTGCATGCATATGTTTATTACAGCACAATTTACAATTGCAAAGATATGGAACCAAATTAAGTGCCCATTAACCAATGAGTGGATAAAGAAAATTTGTTACATATACACCATGAAATACTACTCAGCCATAAAAAAGAACAAAATAATGTCTTTTGCAGCAACTTGAATGGAGCTGAAGGCCATTATTCTAAATGAAGTAACTCAGGAATGGAAAATCAAATACCATATGTTCTCACTTACAAGCGTGAGCTGTGGGTACAAAAGAAGCATACAGAGTGATATAATGAACTTTGGAGACTCTGAAGGGGGAGGGTTGGGGGATGAGGAATAAAAAACTACATATTAGGTACAGTGTCCACTAAAATCTTAAGACTTCACCACTATGCAATTCATCCATGTAACCAAAAGCTACTTGTACCCCACAAGCTATTGAAATAAAAAAAAGTTTTAAAGAAAAAAACCAGTAAACAACCCTCAAAAATCTCTCCCTTGATTTTCCAAAATCCAGCTTTAATATGCTGCCCAGTTCTAGACCTTGTATATAAAAATTCATCTGAAAAATATAGTCTCTGTAGACATATTTAGCAAGTACAAAATATTATGACACAAAAGTGTCTAGATCTTATTCCATCTCTTGTGCCCTTTTCCCTTGTGCTGAGGAGCTCTTGGTGTCTGATAGGATTGTCTCCTTCCATCTCCTGGTCCATCTTCCCGTCTGCCCCCATTCTAGGATCCTAAACTACAGAACCCAGGAAATCCAGTGGGGAAGAACAGAGAAGCAAGGATGGGAATTGACTTTGAAAGGGGAGGGACTCTAGGCTTTGAAAGGGGAGGGACTAGAGTGAGCTATAGGGAGAGAGGCTCTTGGACAGATTTTTGTGGTGAGGGGCAAGAAGAGGAATAAGGAAAGAGCATTTGTTGTTACTATAGGCTATGCATTGGATCCTCTCTAATGATATTTGAGAGATTTGAGAGATGCCAGTAAGATTGGGATTACTTCTAATTACCTTTCACTGCTGGGATCAATCTGCGACACCCTGCTGAGACCAAGCCAGGTGAGTGCCTGGGGGAGTTAATTTGTCTGTGGGTGTGTGTATAAAACCTTTATATATAAAAAATATTAATATATTGTACATTAATATATAACAATAACATGTCATATTATATATGCAATATATAATCTATTCATATATACCTATGTGTATACATATACTATATTTAGGGAATACGGGTTTAAATACTTAAACACCAGCCTGGACAACATGGCAAAACCAAAACCCCGTCTCTACAAAAAATACAGAAAATTAGCTGGGCATAGTAGTGTGCACCTGTAATCCCAACTACTTGAGGGGCTGAGGCAGGAGGATGGCTTGAGCCCAGGAGTTCGAGGCTGCAGTGAGCTATGATTGCACCACTGCACTCCAGCCTGGGTGACAAAGTGAGACTCTGTCTCCAAAAAATAAATAAGTAAATAAGTATTTAAATTAATGAGGCGTGAGATGATTGGAATATACGACAAGACAGAACATAGTAATGTAGTGGAACTGAGTATAATAAAAAATTTAACGTATATCTGGGGGGTAGAGGCAAACCTGATTTACAAAATCTTAAACCAACTGCTGTTTTCTGGGTATGAAGCGTATTTATGAAAACTATGGAAATTCCTTTGACATTTAGACACATAATCCATTCTGTGTGAAAAGCAAGTTTCCTCAGGGGAGTTTCTAAATAATAATTTTGCTTTTCTACTGTACAAACAGGAGTCTTTATTGATGTAGCCATTCAGTATAAGAATGCCTTCCAGATCACCACTGCACCCTTTCACAAACCATCTTTGATGAAAAATTAAACAGAGACTAAGAGACTTCCTGCTTCACAGCTAATGAACAGGCAGGGACACATTCAGGAAACTTGAAGCAATTTGAAAATTTGCATCTAAACCCTTTTAAAATAAATCATGTGTACTTTTCAAAATTCTGATTATAAAAGCAATGTGTACTATTGAATATTATGTAGAAAAGAATACTATGTATAAAAGATCTAGACATATTGACATGCAAACAGCTTATTTGGGGTGTGTGTGGGGGTGTTTTGAAGCATTTCACAAAATATTAAGGAAATCCAAGGTGATAAACACAAAAGCACAGAGGCCAACAGATATGAAAATGTGAAGGGTCAGGCATGTGACAATAGGTGTTAAACAGTTTATTTGGTAGGGAAGTACTACTTGTGTAGCTATGCGACTGTTAAATTATTGTGTGTGTTAAACAAAACACTATACTAGAAGTATATAGCTCCTCTACAGTTTTCTGTAAGCAATAAATTAAAAAAAAAAACTCTGCATATGACTGTTTCCTTACATATGTATGCATGTTTATATATGCAATGTAAAATACCTAAAAAGATAAATCCATAAATTGCTATTGGTGCTTATTTTTGAGAAATCAAACCCACCATGGGGGACTGGTAAGATAAAATGTTAAAGGAGAATTTTTATATTTTGCTCTTTTTTAAATTGCTTGACTTTTACAATGGGGGTGTAGTTATATATTAATGAGTAATTTATGCTTTATAAAGATTAAGATGTAAATCATAAATTTTGTGTTAAATTTGGAAAATGAGAAGGATAGACAAAAATCACTCATAATCTTACAAACTGAGATATAACTAGTGATCAATGTCTTCATCTGCTTGGGCTGCTGTAATAAAATATCATAGACTGTGGTGTAAACAACAAGCATTTGTTTCCCACAGTTCTGGAGGCCAAGAAGTTCAAGATCAGAGTGCCAATAGGGTCTGGTTCTGGTGAAGGCTGTCTTCCAGGCTTGCAGATGGCCACCTTCTTGCTGTGGCTTTACATGGTGAAGAGAGAGAGAGAGCTTTCATCTCTTACAGGGGTACTAATTCTATCATGAGGGCTTCACCCTCAGGACCACATCTAAACTTGATTACTTTGCAAAGGCCTCACCCACTAATACCATCACGTTGGGGGTTAGAGATTCACCACAGGAATTTGCGGGAGACCCAAATGTTGAGCCCATCTGAACGATAAAAGCTTGTTGGATGAACAATCTTTCGTGGTATATTTCCTTCCAGTCTTTTTTTTTTCTAAGTGTATTTAGAATAGTTTCGATTATATTGTATGTACATAGTTTTATACACAGTTTTGTATACTGTCATAACTTCTTTCCTTATTTTATCATTATCACCTTAAGATAGAGTCATGTAGATGGAATTAGTGGGTCAAAGAACATAGACTTTATATATTTCTTTTTTTTTTTAATTTATTTTTTTATTGATAATTCTTGGGTGTTTCTCACAGAGGGGGATTTGGCAGGGTCATGGGACAATAGTGGAGGGAAGGTCAGCAGATAAACAAGTGAACAAAGGTCTCTGGTTTTCCTAGGCAGAGGACCCTGCGGCCTTCCGCAGTGTTTGTGTCCCTGATTACTTGAGATTAGGGATTGGTGATGACTCTTAACGAGCATGCTGCCTTCAAGCATCTGTTTAATAAAGCACATCTTGCACCGCCCTTAATCCATTTAACCCTGAGTGGACACAGCACATGTTTCAGAGAGCACAGGGTTGGGGGTAAGGTCACAGATCAACAGGATCCCAAGGCAGAGGAATTTTTCTTAGTGCAGAACAAAATGAAAAGTCTCCCATGTCTATTTCTTTCTACACAGACACGGCAACCATCCGATTTCTCAATCTTTTCCCCACCTTTCCCGCCTTTCTATTCCGCAAAGCCGCCATTGTCATCCTGGCCTGTTCTCAATGAGCTGTTGGGCACACCTCCCAGACGGGGCGGTGGCCGGGCAGAGGGGCTCCTCACTTCCCAGTAGGGGCGGCCGGGCAGAGGCGCCCCTCACCTCCCGGACGGGGCGGCTGGCCGGGCAGGGGGGCTGACCCCCCCACCTCCCTCCCGGACGGGGCGGCTGGCCGGGCGGGGGGCCGACCCCCCCACCTCCCTCCCGGACGGGGCGGCTGGCCGGGCAGAGGGGCTCCTCACTTCCCAGTAGGGGCGGCTGGGCAGAGGCGCCCCTCACCTCCCGGACAGGGCGGCTGGCTGGGCGGGGGGGCTGACCACCCCCCACCTCCCTCCCGGACGGGGCGGCTGGCCGGGTGGGGGGCTGACCCCCCCACCTCCCTCCCGGATGGGGCGGCTGGCCGGGCAGAGGGGCTCCTCACTTCCCAGTAGGGGCGGCTGGGCAGAGGCGCCCCTCACCTCCCGGACGGGGCGGCTGGCCAGGCAGGGGGGCCGACCCCCCCCAACCTCCCTCCCGGACGGGGCGGCTGGCCGGGCGGGGGGCCGACCACCCCACCTCCCTCCCGGACGGGGCGGCTGGCCGGGCGGGGGGCCGACCCCCCCACCTCCCTCCCGGACGGGGCGGCTGGCCGGGCAGAGGGGCTCCTCACTTCCCAGTAGGGGCGGCTGGGCAGAGGCGCCCCTCACCTCCCAGACGGGGCGGCTGGCCGGGCGGAGGGCTGACCCCCCCCCACCTCCCTCCTGGACAGGGCGGCTGGCCGGGCAGAGGGGCTCCTCACTTCCCAGTAGGGGCGGCTGGGCAGAGGCGCCCCTCACCTCCCAGACGGGGCGGCTGGCCGGGCGGAGGGCTGACCCCCTCACCTCCCTCCCGGACGGGGCGGCTGGCCAGGTGGGGGGCTGACCCCCCTACCTCCCTCCCGGACGGGGCGGCTGGCCGGGTGGGGGGGCTGACCCCCCCATCTCCCTCCCGGACGGGGTGGCTGGCCGGGCTGAGGGGCTCCTCACTTCCCAGTAGGGGCGGCCGGGCAGAGGCGCCCCTCACCTCCCGGACGGGGCGGCTGGCCGGGCGGGGGGCTGACCCCCCCACCTCCCTCCCGGACGGCACGGCTGGCCGGGCGGGGGGGCTGACCCCCCACCTCCCTCCCGGATGGGGCGGCTGGCCGGGTGGGGGGCTGACCCCCCCCCACCTCCCTCCCGGACGGGGTGGCTGCCGGGCGGAGACGCTCCTCACTTCCCAGATGGGGTGGCTGCCGGGCGGAGAGGCTCCTCACTTCTCAGACGGGGCAGCTGCCGGTCGGAGGGGCTCCTCACTTCTCAGACGGGGTGGTTGCCAGGCAGAGGGTCTCCTCACTTCTCAGACGGGGCGGCCGGGCAGAGACGCTCCTCACCTCCCAGACGGGGTCTCGGCCGGGCAGAGGCGCTCCTCACATCCCAGATGGGGCGGCGGGGCAGAGGCGCTCCCCACATCTCAGACGATGGGCGGCCGGGCAGAGACGCTCCTCACTTCCTAGATGTGATCGCGGCTGGGAAGAGGCGCTCCTCACTTCCTAGATGGGATGGCGGCCGGGCGGAGACGCTCCTCACTTTCCAGACTGGGCAGCCAGGCAGAGGGGCTCCTCACATCCCAGACGATGGGCGGCCAGGCAGAGACACTCCTCACTTCCCAGACGGGGTGGCAGCCGGGCAGAGGCTGCAAAGGCTGCAATCTCGGCACTTTGGGAGGCCAAGGCAGGCGGCTGCTCCTTGCCCTCGGGCCCCGCGGGGCCCGTCCGCTCCTCCAGCCGCTGCCTCCCGGGCGGCGCTCGCCGGCGCGGCGGCAAAGACTGAGACAGCTCCGCTGCCCGCTGAACTCCATCCTCCCGGCGGTCGGGCGGCGGCGGCTGCGGTCGGTCGCCGACTTTATATATTTCTTATGCATATTCCTAATTAGCTTTCCAAGAAGGCTGAATAAATTTACAGTTCTGCCAACAGGATATGAAAGTACTTGTTTCCTATAAAATAAGTTTTTGTTATTGATTACTATTAAATGTTTCTATATTATGAAAAATTTTGCATATTTGGGCCTAAATATTTTTTGTAACTTGTTTGCCTTATAACTATTTATAATAGCTATTAAGATTGTCCAATCATATTTTTTGTGACTTTTTTTGCATTTACTTTAGGTTTAAAAAGTCTTTTCTTATCTAGCTGTTGGAAACAATATATTTTCTTCTAATTGTTGTGGCTTTTTATTTTTATTTTGTTTTTTATTTCATTTCATTTTTCTTCTTTACATTTAGCTCTTTGATTCATGTAGGATTTATTTGGATGATATTGTAAGGCAAGAATCTAAGCTGATTTATTTTCTCCTAATACCTTTGATTAAATTTCCTTTTATTAATTGGATGATTCTTCTCTTTTTAATTGATTTATAATGTCTCCTTTATAATAAATTGAATTAGTTTATATGCTATAATTTGCTTCTTAGCTATCTATGCTGATTCTTGATTTGTATGTTAGTTCTCATTTAGAATTTAGTTTTTAAATAGGTTTTTGGTTTTTCATAGGGTTTTTGTCTGTTTGAAGTTTTGTTTGTTTATATTTTTGCTAAGCATGTTTTCCCATAATTATTTAACCTTTTCAAATATTATTTTGACTATATTAGTCTCTTTACTCTTCTGGATCAACTTTAGAATTTTTTTTTTTGAGTTACAAAAAAAGTCCCTTTGGATTTTAGACTAGGATACTTAAAGCTATGAAACAACATATGGATAACTGTTTTTTTCTTTAATATTTAGTCTTCCATACAGGAATGTATTTTTTTATATCTCTTCATTTATTCAAAGCTTACTCTCTCTCTCTCTCTCTAGATATGGAGAAACATATATATGTATATATGTTTCTCCATATCTAGAGAGAGAGAGAGAGAGAGTAAGCTATATATATGTACACACACACACACATTCCATAATAATGGAAATTTGGATACTGTTTGATTGCTGATTGGCTCTTGACCCACCCACTTGTCAAATGTCAGCAAACTGAAGTTCCAGCAGACGGCTCCTTCTTGGGTAGGGAGAAGGCATTGAGTAAGGCTCTGTATTCCCAGTATTTTCCAGCATAGACTCCCTGAATTGGATCAGTGGAATGCATGCCAACTAACGAGGAGATTTCTGGAAACTTCCCTCTGTCCTGGAGTTCTCAGCCAGCCACAGGACCCAGAATTGTCACCATTAATATTTAAGCTAGAGTGGAATTGCTACCAGTCAACATCTATTAAAATCCAAGGAGTGGATACAGATTTGAATAAAGCAGCAAGAGAATCCAAGCCACCCTGCATAGGCTTATTCCAGTCACTTTATTGATCTTGCAGTCATTCAACACGCATTTTATACCGTTGAAATCATTGAACCCCACTTACTGTGCTATGGCAGCATACTACCTATATATGGCGGTATGGTTGACTTCAAATCACTATAATGCATGGCCCTTCACTATTCCAAATATTAAATCCACAGATACAAAGAATATTCTGTATTTGGATTAGGAAGAGACAAAAATATTTACCCCTGATTGTAATTCTGATTTTCTTGCTCTGGAAAAATTATTTGGACCCTTGGGTGGTTCATGAGAGTACTCGCACAGGACTTGGCCTCATGAGCTGATGTAGGATAGCAGCCACTAGCCCTTTACTCCACAAAGGGCTCCACTGAACTCTTCACTATGCCACTCACAGCCACCTGCCATGCACATTATTTCTTCCAATATGCCAGATACAAAGGTAGGATTCCCACGCCTATGCAGCTTCAATGACAGTGTTTTGTAAAGAGGCGGCAAGTACCAGTGGGATAGGTAGTCAACTATTTTGCTCAACTTGAGGGGACTCAGGAAGACCTCTACCCCAGATATCTCCCCCTACTCAGATGCTACAGTTCTCAACACCCACTATTAGAAATTCAGTACTTTTGGGCTAAACATTCTTGTTTCTCTTTAGATGTCATTTAATATGTAAATCTAGTTTTGGAGGTGCAAACTCATTAACACCTTACTTGAAAATAGTTTCTCAAAATTAAAGAAACTGACACTATTTAGAAACGTAAACCCTGGGGGTTGGAGAAATCCTCTGAAAGGGATGTTGGGGAGGAGGAAACGGGAGAAACTGTGGAAGGCAAGTTGACTATTTTGTGATTTTGCCAGGCACAGCCTTAGATACAGAACCATGACTGATTTCATATAAACCATTATACATGTTTATTGGTGTTATTTCCAGACATTTTATACTTTTTTTTTTTTTTGATAAAGAACCTTGCTGTGTTGCCCAGGCTGGAGTGCAGTAGCGCAATCTTGGCTCACTGCAACCTCCACCTCCTGGGTTCAAGCGATTCTCCTGCCTCAGCCTCCCAAGTGGCTGGAACTACAGGTGCCTGCCACCATGCCCAGCTAATTTTTTTTGTATTTTTAGTAGAGGTGGGGTTTCACTATGTTGGCCAGGGTGGTCTTGAACTCCTGACCTTGTGATCTGCCCGCCTCGGCCTCCCAAAGTGCTGGGATTATAGGCGTGAGCCACCGTGCCCGGCCAACATTTTATACTTTAATTAACATTATTAGTACAACTTTAAAAAAATTTATCTCCCCTTTTTTTAATCGCTTCTTCACCAAGGATTTATTGGCTGCTATTGTAAATCCTTTATATTTGAGAAGACTAATGTATTAGTCAGGGTTCCCCAGAGGAACAGAACCAATTAGATGTGTGTATATATCAGGAGAAATAGATTTATTTTAAGGGATTGACTCACACAGTTATGGAGGCTAGCAAATCCCAAATCTGTAGGGTGGGCCAGCAAACTGACTCAGGAAGAGGTGATGTTGCAATTCATGTCTGAAGGCCGTCTGCTGGCAGAATTCCTTCTTATTTGGAGGCAAGCCTTCATGTTATTAAAGCCTTCAACTGATTGGATGAGGTTCACCTACATTTTGGAGGATAATGTGCTTTATTCAGAATTCACCAATTTATATGTTAATCCCACCCACAAAAACACCCTCACACATATATCCAGAATAATGTTTGGCCAGGCCAGGCACGGTGCCTCATGCCTGTAATCCCATCACTTTGGGAGGCCAAGGCAGGAGGATTGCTTGAGCCCAGTGGTTTGAGTCCAGTCTGGGCAACATAGTGAGACTCTGTCCCTTAAAAAAATAACAAATAAATAATAATGTTTGTCCAAATATCTGGGCATCGTGGCCCAGCCAAATTGACACATAAAATTAACTATTACAACAAATTTCCCAAGTCTGTCTCAAATCCTTAAATTTAATATAGTGCAGATACAATTTAAATAAAAACTCCAAAGGTTGCCTTGAGCTAGGGCTCCTGGTAAAGGCCAGACTCACTCACTGGCTAAGTAACATGATGCTGCTTGCTATCAACTCAGAACCACTTGTCTCTCTATTTGTTAGACTAGTAGTTCTCAAAGTTTTTGTTCCAGGACCTCTTCACACTCTAAAAATTATTGAGGACCCCAAAGAACATTTTTTTTGCTCATGTAGGGTAAATTCTATGATATTTACCATATTGTACCATAAAACTAATACATTTTTAAATGTTTACTAATGCATATGCAGACAACCAATAACAAAGTCAGTCAATGTTAACATAAGCAACATTTTTATGTTCAATAACTATATTTCCCAAAACAACAAAAAATACTGAGAAGAGTGACATTGTTTTACATTTTTAGAAATTTGATGCAATGTAAAGTAACTGGATTTTTATAGCTGTTTCTGCATTCAATTTGTTACCATCTATTAAAGTATATGGAAACAATCTGGCTTTGCACAAACATGAAATTGGAAAAGGAGAAGTATTTTATTAGCCTTTTTAGATCCTTGGATATTCTTCTTCTAAACCATATGTTACATACTACCAAATACCCATTGTTTATCAGCCAGTAGTCTTTTTAAGCAAAGATAATGTTCCACGGGGGAAAAAGCGAGCAAATAAAAAACACCTAGCTCAACTCACAACTCCAATACAAGTAGTCTGGAACCACAGATGTAGTCCTGGGCACAAAGGAGAGTGCGGAACAGTGGGGAGCGACTCTGAAGAGGGGAGCAGATGAAACCCAGCCCATCCTCTTTAGAGCTGACGATGAAAAAGGATGGCTGTTTAAAAGGCTTGTCATTCTGGAGGTCATCAGCACATGTCCCGTTTGGTTGATTTGGGGCCCCAGAGTGCTCTCTGAGGCCCCCTGACCATTTTGGCTTCCACCAACTGCTTTGCTCAGATTCTAAGACCTGCGCACCAGGAGCCTGACTTTCACCTTAGCTTCACCATCTGGTTTTGGGGGCTTTGTCCAAGCTCAGAGCACTACCGTGCTGGGCTCAAGCTTGTCCAGCTTCTGACCCCGGACATGTTCTCCACAACCATGTCCCTTTGAGTCTGAAGTGCTGATCCTCCCTTTGGTTGTAGAGCTTTTTATTTTTCCTTGGAATTTATGACCCAGCAATTGCAAGACATGAGCCTGTCTTTTGAATTAAAAAAAGTTCTAAAAATGGATATTTTCTCTTTTTTAAAAATCTCTCAGTGGCTAAACAAATATCTACTACATGATATCTTTGGGGATGGAGAAAAATTTGTATTTCAATAGAAACTATACACTGTCTAGGGCATATCCTTCTAAATGATCAAATGATCAAATCCTTGTTCATTGTCCTTTTTTTTTTTTTTTTTTTTGAAACAGTCTCACTCTGTCACCCAGGCTGTAGTGCAGTGGCATGATCTCAGCTCACTGCAACCTCTGCTTCATGGGTTCAATAGATTCCTGTGGCTCAGCCTCCTAAGTGTCTGGAATTAAAGGCACGCCCCGCCACCACACCCAGCTAATTTTTGTATTTTTAGTAGAGACAAGGTTTCGCCACATTGGGGAGGCTGGTTTCTAACTCCTGACCTCAAGTGATTTGTCCAACTTGGCCACCAGAAGTTCTGGGATTACAGGCATGAGCACCATGCCTGGCCTCATTGTCTTTTAGCCCTATTTATTGTCTTTGTAAGTTGTAGGTAACTGATAGATATGTAAATTCTGTCTTGCCAGTCAGTGATTTTAATTAACTTCCTCCTTATGTGGAAAAACCAGCTTTGTCTTTCTTTGCAATTATTTTGTGAGATAAACAATGTTCCTTATTGCTTAAATTGGGTTTTCTATTACTTGCAGCCAAAAGCCTCCTAAATGACATATCCCCTGTGAATCAGGGTCAGTAATACAGTGCTGCCTGTCCCCACAGGTTTATTGTGTAAAAACTCTGAAAGATGCTTGATGAAACTTATTTTAAATGATGACAGATAGTAAGTGGGAAGGATGACACATGTGTGCCCTTAGGTGGCTGGATGCTTTTTTTTTTTTTTGAGTCCAAGGATTAGAAAAGAAATTATATATACTCACTCTAGGCTTTAACATAGTTGCAGTTGTTATTTTTGATACTAACTTACAAAACCAAGTCTCACTCACATATTTACATTAAACTGGAAGTAGCCATTGGAATTCAAGGAAAAATGGTCAAGTAGAAAAGTCTTCAGTTAATGGAATATTAATAATACAGTGATCAATACTACAAGGTGTAATTTATTGCCATTGCATTTCATTGTCAGCACTTCATCTGTTGATCATTTGTTTCAGTCCTGCAGGTGGCTGAGTTTGTAGCTCACCATAGAACTGAGTGCTAGTTTCTAGCATAATACCCAAGGCCCTTCTGTCATCTTTAAGGGATGATACTTAGTTACAGTTTGGGCAAGCTTTTAGTACATATACAAGAGACCATTTATGGATTCCCTTTGTTGATTACAGTTACCATAAAACTTCTCTCCAACTATAGAAACCACCCCTGCCCCCCAATTTGCAGGCACTTGTAAATTAGAGCCTTTCTTTTTTTTTTTTCTATTTGTCTAAGCATGCCCTGAAAATTGGGTTTCCATTTAGGGTGATAAAAATGCTCTGGAGCTACATGGTTGCTATGTTTGCACAAAGTTGTGACTGTACTAAACATCACTGAATTATACATGGTTGTACATTGGCTGTACATTGTAAATGGTTAAAATGGTAACTTTAATGTATGTATATGCATTTTATCACAATAAAAAAATAGCTTGGGCTGGACTCAGTGGCTCACGCCTGTAATGCTAGCCCTTTGGGAGGCCAAGGCAGGCGGATTACCTGAGGCTGGTCAGGAGTTCAAGACCAGCCGGCCAACATGGTGAAACCCCTGTCTCTACTAAAAATACAAAAACTAGCTGTGTGTGGTGGTGTGTGCCTGTAATCCCAGCTACCCGGGAGGCTGAGGCAGGAGAATCATTGGAACCTGCGAGGTGGAGGCTGCAGTGAGCCGAGATCGTGCCGCTGCACTCCAGCCTGGGTGACAGAACGAGACTCCATCTCAAACAAACAAACAAACAAACAAAAAATTACTTGAAAAAAACTTAAAAAACCCTTTCCAATTATTTTGATGTGAAGCCAGGTTTCAGAAGATCTGCATGAGAAATGGAAGATACACCTAAGAAATAGCTAATTCTAAGAGAAGAGATTTGAGGTACCCAAGCTTGACCTAAGAATAGTCCTCCAGCTCAGAGAGGAGGGTGAGTTGTAGGCACACTTGGTTTCTGTCACCAAGCCCTTATAGGTATGAATGTTCAAGACACCTTCAATAAAAGAGCAAATATTAATTAGAAGATGCAATTCAAAATGGCCGACTGAGCGGGCATTGACTTACCCTTCCTTTCCAATCCCTTTTGACAGAATGAAAATGAAAGCTAGGAGACAAAACAAGACAAACAAAATCTAATCAGCATCAGGACAGAAGAATGGACTCAGTTGAAAATCAAATCAGAGGAAGACTGAGCTGAGGGGTTCTCCCAAAATGATGGAAAATAAGAGAAAAAAATGAGTTATGAAGGATAGATCTAAAGTTTCTAATAACTTTATCATAGGTCATCCAGAGATGTTGAAAAGGTAAAAACAATCAATAGAATATTTCTTTTCTAAATCCCATAGCTGAAGAAACAAGAGTTCAGTTTTAAAAGGGCTCACTAAGTACCTAGCAGAATTAGTGAAAAAATAACTAGTCATTGAAACATCCTACTAAAAAATCTGAACTACAAAAATAAGGAAAAAGTCCTGAAAGCTTATAGTCAGGAAAAAGGAACAGATTACCTATATTGAATCAGAATCACCAAAAATAGATTGTCAGAGAAAATGGAGTAATGCACTACCCTGCCAAAATATAAATCAAGAATGAGAAAAAAATAAAGATATTTTCAGATATGTAAGGACTTGAAAAGTTTATCCTTCACAGACTCTACATTAAGAATTACTCAAAATTGAAGGTATCAAAATGAAAAATAAATCCAGGAAAGAGAAAGACATAGGATACAAGGAAAATGAACAAAGATACTAGTAAAACTTATATTTAAGTCCAAATAATTCTTGATAATATGGATGAAAACCTTAAGGCAATTGTTAGGAATTATTCCTAAGAAAATAAAAGCCTTATGTTAAAAATAAAAACTGCTATCACAATCCACAGTAGTACTGTTCAAGAAAAATATAATGCAACCTATAAATACGGGCCATTTATGTAATTTAAAATTTTCCAGTAGCCATATTAAAAACAGTAAAAAGAAACAGGTAAAATTACTGTTAATAATGTATTTTATTTAGCCCAATATATCAGAAATATTATCATTTCAAAATATCAGTATAAGAATTATTAGCAATAGATTTTACATTTTTTTCATACTATGGTTTTGAAATCTGGTGTATATTTTATTCTTACAGCACATCTCAATGCAGTCTAGCCACATTTCAAGTGCTCCACAGCCACAAGTGTCTGGACCTATCGTACTGGACAGCACAAATAGAGTTAAGAGTTCAGATGATTTTAAGAAAATGAAGATGTAGGTGGGGAGTAAAAGCATGTAAAGAGTCTTTTCTTATTCTCAGAGTAGGCAGCAAGGTAAAAATGCTGACCAAAAAATCTTAAGAATTAATATTAACCAATATAAATATAATGTATAAATTCTAAAATACTGAAGAAAAAAGTAGAAGTCATCAAACAAAAGGCAGAAAGTGAAGACAAAATTAAAAAACCCCAGAAATCATGGCTGATATTTTAAAAATTATAGTCCGTTCAAATTTTGGAATGCTGTGCTGCAGTTAGAAAGAATGAGGTATGCTGTGTATGTGTCATAGCAGTGTTGGACAGCACCCAGTGATTCCTGCTCATTGACGTTTATGCCCTTGTGTAACTGCCTTTCCTTGAGTGTGGGCTGGACTTACTGGCTCTCTTCTTGAACAGAAGTGATGAGATGTCACTTCCATGATTAGGTCATTAAAAGGATTTGGTTTCCATCTTGAGTGTACTCTCTCTCACTCTCTTGCACTCTCTCGGATCACTTACCCTGGAGGAAGCCAGTTGCCGTGTCCCGAGACAACTCTGTGGGGAGGCCTGGGTAGCAAAGGCCTGAGGCCTGGCAACAGCCACGTGAGTGAGCTTAGGAGAAGATTCTCTCGCTCCCAGTCAAGCATTCAGATGAGACCACAGCCTCAGCCAACAGCTTGCCTGCAGTCCCATGAGAGACTTTGAGCCAGGTCACCTAAGTGAGTTATATGTGAAACTTATCCACAGAAACTGTGAGATAATGAATGTTGGTTGCTTTAAACCCCTAAGTTTTTGGGTAATTTTTCTGCAGCAATGGATAACTAATACAGTAGCTATAATTTAACATTAAGTATAAAAACTCAATTACTGTTTAATACATGTAGTAGGATCCCATATATATATATTTCTTTTTCTTTTTTTTTTTTTTTTTGAGACGGAGTCTCGCTCTGTCAACCAGGCTGGAGTGCAGTGTTGCAATCTCGGCTCACTGCAAGCTCTGCCTCCCGGGTTCATGCCATTCTTCTGCCTCAGCCTCCCAAGTAGCTGGGACTACAGGCGCCTGCCACCACGCCCAGCTCATTTTTTCATATTTTTTTAGTAGAGATGGGGTTTCACCGTGTTAGCCAGGATGGTCTCAATCTCCTGACCTCGTGATCCGCCTGCCTCAGCCTCCCAAAGTGCTGGGATTACAGGCATAAGCCACCATGCCCAGCGGTCAGATCCCATATATATTAAAAACACAAAAATAAAAATGTGTGGGAGGTAGACAGAGTAAGATTAATTGATATGTAATTATTCCTGCCTTTCCTCTCCTCCTTATCCTCCCTCTACACACTAAAGTGAGTCTTTGCTCCTCCCACCCTGCTTTTAGATACTGAATTGAGACAAAGCATATAAAAGGATGTGCCTGAAAGTAGGGAGGATTTACTGAGAGGCCAAGCTAGTCTACCCAGTACAGAGCCGAAAATTAGGGAGAAGAGAGAGGAGAAAGACAGGTACAAACTGAGGCTTGAGAAGAGTTTTGTAATTTAGCATGCGAGATCCCTAGAGCAGCTTGAAAAGTGGAGTGTGTGGTGTGAATTGGGGCACCTTTAAGGGTTTTCAAAAGGTCAGTACAGGGGTTGGAAATGCTTTTTAATGAGCATTTCATGCATAGACTATATTTCTTTAAATTTAATTTTGTTTAGAGACTGGACTATGTGGAGAATAGAATTTATTAGAGTTATGTATGTATAGAGGTAAATATTGGCACATAAAAACCTTGTAAGGAAGCAATGAAAATTGTAGTCTATGTTCTTCTTTTAGATTTGAAATTTCATTAGCAAGCGTTTATTGATAAAAATTTGAAGGAGCTGTTTCATTAAAATCTCTGTAAGATGTTGATGGCATAAGAGTCATCAATTATGACATAATTTGCACCAATAGCTATGACACAGACAGGGATGAGTGTTGGTGGCCCCAGTGGTGACATGAGACACAGCAAGAGAGGAAAATGGTGATACCACCAGTAACCAAGAGGCCTTTGCTATAAACACCTGTGAAACACCCAGAATTCATTAAAAGGAACTTTGAGGGGTGCCAAAAAGCTAGCATTTGTGTACTGTGGGAGAGTCAGAGAAATTCTGTTTCCTGACTGACTGGTGATCCAGTTTTAACCCCAGGATTGCGAAGCCTGGAGAAATAACGATGACATTTTCATAAGACTACTGGCACCCCCAATTATCCCCTAAGCAATGCTCCAAAAACTATCAGTAAATGAGGTCAGCTCCAGAGTGCAGAGAAATGGGAACTCTCAAATAGTGTGATGACAGTATAAATTGGGAAAAAAACAACTTAGTAGATGGCAGCTTGGCTTTTAAAATATCTGAAGGAAGGTAATTCTCCATCCATATTCCCATTCCTGCATTCCCTAAACATCTTAATCGTCCTTTTCCTCTGAAAGGTTGCAAACCCCCAGGGCCATTACACTCCTCTGGTGTAATAGCTATGTGTTGCGTGTCTCCCTTGTGCTGAGCATGGTGCTGGAAGCCATGGGATCCAAACATCCTGCAGTGTATGTCCCTGCCCATCAGTTCTTATAATCTGGTCAAGGAGAAAACACACACCCGATGAACAGTCACTGACAGTGTTGGGCGTATAAGACTATCTACTGACTGCCAAGGTACAGAAATACAAGTAAGGAAAAGCTTGCTTTCTTCCTTCCCTACCTCTAGCCATTTAACAAACATTTATTGAGCACTTACTATGTGCCAAGCTCTTTACTAAGTCCTGAGGAAAAAAAGTTAGCAAAAACCTTGGCATTTGAATATGGTGATATAGGTTGGGGAGACAGATGGAATGATCATACAAATAAATATGAAATTATATAAAGTGAGGAAGAAAAACAACATAGTGATTTGAAAATACATATGTATGGATGATAACATGATGTAGTAGAATAACTATGGACTTTGGAGCCTGAAAGACCTGGCTTAAATCATTATTTCTCTACCTGGGGCAAAGGGCCATTTTTGTTCTCTGGGGACACTGGGCAATGTTGAGTACAGTTTTGGTCATCTCAGTTGGAGGTTGGGTTGGGCTGGGGAGATGCTAACAACATCTATTGGGATGCTGCTAAACACCCTACAACGCATACAATGCTGCACTCCCTGACAAAAATTATCTGTCCCAAAATGTCAACAGTGCTAAGATTGAGAAACCTTGGTTTAGACCCTTGAACATGAGATTCAAGTCTAACTTGACTCCAAATTCCCCGCTCCTCTTACCAACCACCCCTTGCCTCCTACTAAGTAACCAAAAGATGATATTGCTCATCTTGCTTCTAAAATTTCCTTTACTTCCTTGAATCTGTTAGGCTAGTTCCCTGGATTTGCATCACAGTTGTCATTGCTGTGGTGTAGCAGCATGAGGTCAGACTTCAGATTTCAAGAGCCCCTGTTTCAAACTTAGTCACTTTCTATCTCTGTAGTATTGGGCAAGTCATTAGACCTCTCTGAGCCTCAGTTTCCTCAACAGTAAGATGAAAATGATGGCACATGTCAAGCATGTGGGCATAATACACCTGTAAGAAATGGCTGCTGTTACGATTATTTATAGCAGAGAATGTCATTGCCTGTAAATATGGACTCCTAGATCCAGGGAAATAGGACAGTTTGTCCAGAATTAGAACCATATCTGACATGTAAATTAGAATTTTATACTTTTGTTCATAAAATCTTTTTGAGATATGAAATAAGTGTTGTAGGTTTGAAGAGAGAAAAGCATTGGAAATACATATCTGTAAAAGAAAAAGACAGGACCTTTGGCGTTTGTGTATACAGAGCCATTGTTTTCTGTTAAAGAAATCTATCTAAGTAAGAAGCTTCCAGCTAAAGCACTTTAGCTGTAACTTTTGGCAGCAGTGGTGTTGGGACTCTTAAACACCCGGTGTTTCTGGAAAGCTGGAGTCAGGGTTTTTGTTCCTGGAAGTGACATTAGATTCTCCATTTACATCCAGTAAGTCTATTAACTACTGATTGTAATGCATCACAGCACTCTGGAGATATTTGGGCATCAATTCTATCACATTCTTTCCTCCTGGCTACCACCCTTTTTGACACTTTATCCAGATGAGCAAGTTGTTGTCAATGATCTGCGTAATTCTGATCAGCTCTGTGCAAGGAGGCCATGGAAGTGCAAGTGACCCCTCCAACTGAATGGTCAAGGGAGCCATACACCCCTCAAGCTGGAGGCTCAGAGGCATGTAAAGGATCATATTTGGACTAGTTTCTAATCCTGCTCAGCCACTCACTAGTGGTAAAACTTGAGTTCACCAACCTTTCTGAACTTCAGTCTCCTTATTTTGGTTTCCTGTGCCTGGCCCATTGTGAGTACTTTCAAAAAGTTTTAGGTATTACCACTGTGACATAAGTATTATTCTCCCCATTTTTATGTGGGAATATTGAGTGATATTCAGAAGGGTAAGCTCAAAGCCATATATTTGGTTAGTGATGCAACCAGTATCTAAACCAAAGTTTCTCTTTTTCTTTTTTTTCTTTTTTTTTTTTTTTTTTTTTTGAGACGGAGTCTCGCTCTGTCGCCCAGGCTGGAGTGCAGTGGCGCAATCTCGGCTCACTGCAAGCTCCGCCTCCCGGGTTCACGCCATTCTCCTGCCTCAGCCTCCCAAGTAGCTGGGACTACAGGCGCCCGCCACTACGCCCGGCTAATTTTTTGTATTTTTAGTAGAGACGGGGTTTCACCGTTTTAGCCGGGATGGTCTCGATCTCCTGACCTCGTGATCCGCCCGCCTCGGCCTCCCAAAGTGCTGGGATTACAGGCGTGAGCCACCGCGCCCGGCCCAAAGTTTCTCAATCTTGAAGTACTATTGACATTTTAAACTGGAATGTCTCATTAATATATTCTCATTGGTTACATGTTGAAACAACATTTTAGGAACATTGTATAAAAGAAAATATGTTTTTTAAAAATAAAACCAGGCTGGATGGGTTGGCTCATGCCTATAATCCCAGCACTTTGGGAGACTGAGGTGGATGGATAACCTGAGGTCAGGAGATCGAGACCAGCCTGGCCAACATAGTGAAACCCCCGTCTCTACTAATAATACAAAAATTAGCCGGGCATGGTGGTGCATGCCTGTAATCCCAGCTACTTGGGAGGCTGAGGCAGGAGAATTGCTTGAACCTAGGAGGCAGAGGTTGCAGTGAGCCAAGATTGCACCGTTGCACTCCAGCCTGGGTGGAAAGAGTGAAACTCCATCTCCAAAATAAATAAATAAATAAATAAAAATAAAACCAAGAACCATAGTGAATACACATACTCATTTTTATTTGACTGGGCCAAGGCCTCACTGACATGTCTTTGACAAATTTTGAGCAGCCCTAGAAAGGTTTCCACACCAGCTCCCTCAGTCCAACTACACATATGTCCCAACAAAACATCGTTTCATTCCTGAAAGAAGCCGTGTGGGTCTTGCCATGAATACACAGCCAAGGCTATAAAGAGGTCCTTGAAAGTGCATCTGCTCAGTCTGCTCTTGAGAAAGAAAGAATGAAATTTGTTAATTCAATGGGGTTAGCATGTAGACAAGCCACAGCTGGAGTGTAGAGAAGAGGTGCAGAACAGATTTAATTACAGACCTAAGATCGCTGTCCTTAGGAAATGCCTGCTTGCAAGGTTAGCCCTGGGCTGGCATCTGGGAACTCAGATGTAGGGAGGGTTCCCACAATTCCTTAACTGGTAAAAGTGGCCTGAAGTGTCTGTGCAAACAGTGTGGTTGATGCTGTACACCAGCCTTCCTCTGGAAGTCTGGTATTTTAGTATATGTTAGGCAAAGGGTGCCTATGTGACCATCCTCCAACAAAAACTCTGGGCGCTTGGCCTTCTTGGTTGGTAGATCTTCACATGTGTTGTCACATCTTGATGCTGGAGAAATCAAGTGTGTCCTGTGTGACGCCACTGGGAGAGGACTCTTAGATGCTTGTGCCTAGTTTCCTTGAGACATCACCCCAGTGTATTTTCTCTTTACTGGTTTTGCTTTGTGTTGTTTTGCTGAAATAAATCATACCCATGCAGATGACTGTACACTGAGTCCTGTGATTCCTCTTAGCAAATCCTCCAACCTGGGGATGGTCTTGGAGATCCTTGATGCAGAAGAGCAGCTGTTAGCAGAAATAAAAGACCTTTTAAGCTAAATACTTAAAAAACTTGACACTTGACATCATTGGTACTTTTAAATTATTCAAGCAATAGCACTCCAGATGGGATTACTATAGCATACAATTGAGTACATAAACAACAATTTTCTGGATTAGAAGCAGCCCAAGGCAATCAAACATGTGGTAGGTTGTTTCTACCTTTTATGTAAGACTCTCCTGAGAAAACCATGAGAGAGCTGGAAGCAGGGACTAACCAGCTGAAAATTAATTAGAAACGTTTTTCTTCCTCCTAAACTGTTAAAAGTCACTCAATCTCAGGACATAACTTACTTGGAAAATTCAAATTTCTCTTGAAGATTTAGATTCAGCCCTTCTTTACTGGAGTAACAGCTACTGAAGAAAATGTATACAAATGTTGTTATCTGAGGCTTGAATGCAGTCTCTGGAAAAAACTTTAGAGTAATATCATTTTAAAGAACAGTCCAAAGCACTTTAAGAAAGGGAAATAAAAATGAATAGTGAATAATGAGTATGCAGGAAACTGAGGATGACTGTCCTGAGGGAATTATTTACTGAATCTCTGATTTTAATGTGTGGTTCTCAGAGATTCTTTAGAATTGAGCGTTCCATCCAGCCTTGGTGTTTTAGGACTTGGAACTCTGCACCAAACCCTGGAATTGCTCAGTGTACTTTCTCACCAGTTAGATCATACTCAGAGTGCTCAGAAGGGATGCAGGAGCCAAATGGTCTGCAGTCAGATATGTTAATGGAGTAGTCCACACTTCACCCATTTCCCCTCTTCTGGTGGGGAGAGCCACATGACACAAAACATGTCAGCTACAGGCACCAAAGATAATTCTCTACTGTCCAGTTTTGGGCATAAAAAGTCCAGGATGTTTCTGATGACTCTTGTGGAGCTGGAATACATGGCTGACAGTTTTTGTGTGCCCCATTTGCTTTCTCTGGAGAACAGAGAGCTGTCTGGAGTTGCACTGGCTAGGAGGGCAGAGCGAACTGTAAGCAATGGGACCACATCGCTGAGAGTCTTAGGTATACACAGCATGACCTGGGGAAGCAGGAACTGATCAAGATAGAGGAACCATTCATGGCCTTAAAGCTGTGTGCAATCTGACATGTGTATCATACCAACAGGATGAAAGGAATTAATCAAGAAGCATGGACTCCTTATTGAAAGATTGGTTATCCAACAATCTCAATTTTCTGGAACCCAGATAAAACTTAGAAATTAAACACAAAATAGAGTCCATTCCAAGATGGCCGAATAGGAACAGCTCTGGTCTGCAGCTTCCAGTGTGATTGATGCAGAAGATGGGTGATTTCTGCATTTCCAACTGAGGTACCTGGTTCATCTCACTGGGACTGGTTGGACAGTGAGTGTAGCCCATGGACGGTGAGCCGAAGCACAGCAGGGCATCGCCTTACCTGGGAAGTGCAAGAGGTCGGGGGGGATTTCCCTTTCCTAGCCAAGGGAAGCCATGACAGACAGTACCTGGAAAAACAGGACACTTTCGCCCAAATACTGCACTTTCCCCACCGTCTTAGCAACTGGCCGACCAGGAGATTCTCTCCCATGCCTGGCTCGGCAGGTCTCATGCCCACAGAGCCTTGCTCACTGCTAGCACAGCAGTATGAGATCAACCTATGAGGCTGCAGCCTGGCAGGGAGAGGGGTGTCCGCGATTGCTGAGGCATGAGTAGGTAAACAAAGTGGCTGGGAAGCTTGAACTGGGAAGAGCCCATCGCAGCTCAGAAAGGCCTACTGCCTCTATAGACTCCGCCTCTGTGGGCAGGGCATAGCTGAACAAAAGGCAGCAGACAACTTCTGCAGACTTAAACATCCCTGTCTGACAGCTCTGAAGAGAGCAGTGGTTCTCCCAGCATGGTGTTTGAGCTCTGAGAACAGACAGACTGCCTCCTCAAGTGGGCCCCTGACCTCTGTGTAGCCTAACTGGGAGACACCTCTCAGTAGGGGCCAACAGATATCTCATACAGGCAGGTGCCCCTCTGGGACGAAGCTTCCAGAGGAAGGATCAGGCAGCAATATTTGCTGTTCTGCCATATTTGCTGTTCTGCAACCTCCACTGGTGATACCCAGGCAAACAGGGTCTGGAGTGGATCTTCAGCAAACTCCAACAGACCTGCAGCTGAGGGACCTGACTGTTAGAAGGAAAATTAACAAACAGAAAGGAAGAGCATCAACATCAACAAAAAGGACATCCACACCAAAACCCCATCTGTAGGTCACCAACATCAAAGACCAAAGGTAGATAAAACCACAAAGATGGGGAGAAACTAGAGCAGGAAAGCTGAAAATTCTAAAAACCAGAGCACCTCTTCTCCTCCAAAGGATTGTACCTCCTCACCAGCAACAGAACAAAGCTAGACAGAGAATAACTTTGACAAGTTGACAGAGGTAGGCTTCAGAAGGTTGGTAATAACAAACTTCTCCAAGCTAAAGGAGCATGTTCTAACCCATCGCAAGGAAGCTAAAAACCTTGAAAAAAGGTTAGACGAATGGCTAACTAGAATAAACAGTGTAGAGAAGACATTAAATGACCTGATGGAGCTGAAAGCCACGGCACAAGAACTTTGTGATACAGGCACAAGCTTCAATAGCCTATTCGATCAAATGGAAGAAAGGATATCAGTGATTGAAGAACAAATTAATGAAATAAAGTGGGAAGACAAGATTAGAGAAAAAAGAGTAAAAAGAAATGAACAAAGCCTCCAAGAAATATGGGACTATGCGAAAAGACCAAATCTACATTTGCTTGGTGTACCTGAAAGTGATGGGGAGAATGGAACCAAGTTAGAAAACACTCTTCAGGATATTATCCAGGAGAACTTCCCCAAACCAGCAAGGTAGGCCAACATTCAAATTAGGAAATACAGAGAACACCACAAAGATACTCCTCGAGAAGAGCAACCCCAAGACACATAATTGCCAGATTCACCAAGGTTGAAATTAAGGAAAAAGTGTTCAGGGGAGCCAGAGAGAAAGGTTGGGATACCCACAAAGGGAAGCCCATCAGACTAACAGCAGATCTCTTGGCAGAAACCCTATAAGCCAGAAGACAGTGAGGGCCAATATTCAACATTCTTAAAGAAAAGAATTTTCAACCCAGAATTTCATATCCAGCCAAACTAACCTTCATAAATGAAGGAGAAATAAAATCCTTTACAGACAAGCAAATGCTGAGAGATTTTGTCACCACCAGGCCTGCCTTACAAGAGCTCCTGAAGGAAGCACTAAACATGGAAAGAAACAACCAGTACCAGCCACTGCAAAAACATGCCAAATTGTAAAGACCATTGATGCTATGAAGAAACTGCATCAATTAACAGGCAAAATAACCAGCTAATATCATACTGACAGGATCAAATTCACACATAACAATATTAACCTTAAATGTAAATGGGCTAAATACTCCAATTAAAAGACACAGACTGGCAAATTGGATAAAGAGTCAAGACCCATCAGTGTGCTGTATTCAGGAGATCCATCTCATGTGCAGAGACACACATAAGCTAAACTAAAGGGATGGAGGAAGGTCTACCAAGCAAATGGAAAGCAAAAAAAAAGCAGGGGTTGCAATCCTAATCTCTGATAAAACAGACTTTAAACCAACAAAGATCAAAAGAGACAAAGAAGGCCATTACATAATGGTAAAGGGATCAATTCAACAAGAAGAGCTAACTATCCTAAATATATATGCACCCAATACAGGAGCACCCAGATTCATAAAGCAAATCCTTAGAGACCTACAAAAAGACTTAGACTCCCACACAATAATAATGGGAGACTTTAACACCTCACTGTCAACATTAGATCAATGAGACAGAAGGTTAACAAGGATATCCAGGACTTGAACTCAGCTCTGCACCAAGTGGACCTAATAGACATATACAGAACTCTCCACCCCAAATCAACAGAATATACATTCTTCTCAGTACCACATCACACTTATTCTAAAATTGACCACATAACTGGAAGTAAAGCACTCCTCAGCAAATGTAAAAGAACAGAAATCACAACAAACTGTCTCTCAGGCCACAGAGCAACCAAATTAGAACTCAGGATTAAGAAACTCACTCAAAGCTGCACAACTACATGGAAACTGAACAACCTGCTCCTGAATGACTTCTGTGTAAATAACGAAATATAGGCAGAAATAAAGATGTTCTTTGAAACCAATGAGAACAAAGACACAATGTACCAGAATCTCTGGAACTCATTTAAAGCAGTGTGTAGAGGGAAATTTATAGCACTAAATGCCCACAAGAGAAAGCAGGAAAGATCTAAAATTGACACCCTAACATCGCAATTAAAAGAACTAGAGAAGCAAGAGCAAACACATTGAAAAGCCAGCAGAAGGCAAGAAATAACTAAGATCAGAGTAGAACTGAAGGAGATAGAGACACAAAAAACCCTTCAAAAAATCAATGAATCCAGGAGCTGGTTTTTTGAAAAGATCAACAAAATTGATAGATTGCTAGCAAGACTAATAGAAAAGAGAGAAGAATCAAATAGACACAATAAAAAATGATAAAGGGGATATCATCACCAATTCCACAGAAATACAAACTACCATCAGAGAATACTATAAACACCTCTATGCAAATAAACTAGAAAATCTAGAAGAAATGGACAAATTCCTGGACACACACACCCTCCCAAGACTAAACCAGGAAGAAGTTGAATCTCTAAATAGACCAATAACAGGCTCTGAAATTGAGGCAATAATTAATAGCTTACCAACTAAAAAAAGCCCAGGACCATATGGATTCACAGCCGAATTCTACCAGAGGTACAAAGAGGAGCTGGTATCATTCCTTCTGAAACTAGGCCAATCAATAGAAAAAGAGGGAATCCTCCCTAACTCATTTTATGAGGCCAGCATCATCCTGTTACCAAAGCCTGGCAGAGAACCAAAAAAATAAGAGAATTTTAGACCAATATCCCTGATGAACATCAATGCAAAAATCCTCAATAAAATACTGGCAAACCGAATCCAGCAGCACATCAAAAAGCTTATCCACCATGATCAAGTGGGCTTCATCCCTGGGATGCAAGGCTGGTTCAACATATGCAAATCAATAAATGTAAAAACAGAACCAACGAAAAAAACCACATGATTATCTCAACAGATGCAGAAAACGCCTTTGACAAAATTCAACAGCGCTTCATGCTAAAAACTCCCAATAAACTAGGTATTGATGGAATGTATCTCAAAATGATAAGAGCTATTTATGACAAACCCACAGCCAATATCATACTGAATGGGCAAAAACTGGAAGCATTCCCTTTGACAACCAGCACAAGACAAGGATGCCCTTTCTCACCACTCCTATTCAATATAGTGTTGGAAGTTCTGGCCAGGGCAATCAGGCAAGAGAAAGAAATAAAGGGTATTCAATTAGGAAAAGAGGAAGTCAAACTGTCCCTGTTTGCAGGTGACATGATTGTATATTTAGAAAACCCATCGTCTCAGCCCAGAATCTCCTTAAGCTGATAAGCAACTTCAGCAAAGTCTCAGGATACAAAATCAATGTGCAAAAATCACAAGCATTCTTATACACCAATAACAGACAAACGAGAGCCAAATAATGAGTGTACTCCCATTCACAATTGCTATAAAGAGAATAAAATACCTAGGAATTCAACTTACAAGGGATGTGAAGGACGTCTGCAAGGAGAACTACAAACCACTACTCAGTGAAATAAAAGAGGACACAAACAAATGAAAGAACATTGCATGCTTATGGATAGGAAGAATCAATATTGTGAAAATGGCCATACTGCCCAAGGTAATTTATAGATTCAATGCCATCCCCATCAAGCTACCAATGACTTTCTTCACAGAATTAGAAAAAAACTACTTTAAAGTTCATATGGCACCAAAAAAGCCTGCATTGCCAAGACAATCCTAAGCCAAAAGCACAAAGCTGGAGGCATCACGCTACCTGACTTCAAACTATACTACAAGGCTACAGTAACCAAAACAGCATGGTTCTGGTACCAAAACAGATACATAGACCAATGGAACAGAACAGAGGCCTCAGAAATAACACCACACATCTACAACCATCTGATCTTTGACAAACCTGACAAAACAAGCAATGGGGAAAGGATTCCCTATTTAATAAATGGTGCTGGGAGAACTGGCTAGCCATATGTAGAAAGGTGAAACTGGATCCCTTCCTTACATCTTATACAAAAATTAACTCAAGATGGAGTAAAGACTTAAATGTTAGACCTAAAACCATAAAAACTCTAGAAGAAAACCTAGGCAATACCATTCAGGACATAGGCATGAGCAAGGACTTCATGATTAAAATACCAAAAGCAATGGCAACAGAAGCCAAAATAGATAAATGGGATCTAATTAAACTAAAGGGCTTCTGCACAGCAAAAGAAATTACCATCAGAGTGAACAGGCAACCTACAGAATGGGAGAAACTTTTTGCAATCTACCTATCTGACAAAGGGCTAATATCCAGAATCTACAAAGAACTTAAACAAATTTACAGGAAAAAAACAAACAACCCCATCAAAAAGTGGGCAAAGGATAGGAACAGACACTTCTCAAAAGAAGACATTTATGCAGCCAACAGACACATGAAAAAATGCTCATCATCACTGGTCATCAGGGAAATGCAAATCAAAACCACAATGAAATACCATCTCATGCCAGTTAGAATGGCGATCATTAAAAAGTCAGGATACAAGAGTGGCTGGAGAGGATGTGGAGAAATAGGAATGCTTTTACACAGTTGGTGGGAGGGTAAATTAGTTCAACCGTTGTGGAAGACAGTGTGGCGATTCCTCAAGGATCTAGAACTAGAAATACCATTTGACCCAGCGACCCCATTACTGGGTATATACCCAAAGGATTATAAATCATGCTACTATAAAGACATGCACGTGTATGTTTATTGTGGCACTATTCACAATAGCAAAGACTTGGAACCAACCCAAATGTTCATCAGTGATAGACTGGATTAAGAAAATGTGGCACATATACACCATGGAATACTAAGCAGCCATAAAAAAGGATGAATTCATGTCCTTTACAGGGGCTTGGATGAAGTTGGAAACCATCATTCTGAGCAAACCATCACAAGGACAGAAAACCAAGCACTGCATGTTCTCACTCACAGGTGGGAATTGAACAATGAGAACACCTGGACGCAGGGCAGGGAACATCACACACCGGGGCCTGTCAGGGGGTGAGGGGCTGGGGGAGGGATAGCATTAGGAGAAATACCTAATGTAATTGACAAGTTGATGGGTGCAGCAAACCAACATGGCTCATGTATACCTATGTAAGAAATCTGCACATTGTGCACATGTACCCTAGAAAAAGTATAATAAAAAACAACAACGACAACAACAACAAAAAAAGGTATTATTTGGAAGCCTTGCATTTTGGATATTAAAATTCTACTTTTACCCTATTTTTCAAGGTATGAGATATCTTATACTTAAGAACTTTCAGTTTATAAAATGGTATAGATAAGAGGAAATCTATACAAGTGACTTAAATGCATGAACTCTACGGGAAGATTTGCAATTACTGATAATTGTGTAATTTTAGATTGATAAATACGTTTGGAATCTAAACATTGTAGAAGCAGAGAAGACACTCTCAAGTAGACGTTCAGGGGCTGGGTGGGGTTTAATAGATAAGGAGAGATCCCATTAGGTCCTACACAGTCACATTTGAGAAAAGCACTTTATTAGGTTTTAGACTTGCCCCTCTTCTGTTAGCTTGTGTTTTTAGTTTATTGAAGTGCATCATAGAACCCAATTAAAAAGAGAATAGAGCCAAAGGAAATTCAATTCTTATTTGACAATTCATTTCTCAGAGAATGAAATCATGTCTTTTTAAGGCAGCACAGATGAAACTGGAGGCCATTATCTTAAGTGAAACAACTCAGAAACAGAAAAAAAATACCACAGGTTCTCACCTATAAGTGGAAGCTTAATAACGTGTACACAAGAACATAGAGTGTGGAATGATAGACAGTGTAGACTCAGAAAGGTGAGGCGTGGGACTTAAGTGGAGGATGAGAAATTACTTAATCGGTACAATTGTACTTTGTTCTGATGATAGATGCCCTAAAAGCCCTGACTTTACCACTACACAATATATCTATGTAACAAAATTACATCTGTATCTCAGACATTTATATAAATAAGATGAAAACATGAAATTCATGTGTAAGCATGATTTCTTATTAAAAAAATGAGACAGCAACCAATATAAGGGCCAATTAAACAAAACAGAAAATTGAAAATATAAACAAAAGCAAAAAACTAAAAAGAGAAACATCTTTCTGAAGACAGAGTAAGAAGACACCTCATAAAATTATTTAATTATTAAATTATGGGTCAGAATATATTATTTGAAAACTCTTCAGCAGTTCAAAGTAAGAAAGTATAAATTCAATAAAGTTAAACAATTTTAAGGCATTAACAACTGAGCTAAAATGTAGCCAGGTAAAATGTATAATGACACAAATGAGATGAATATATGATAATAAACAAAAAAAGCATTAAAGTACTTAACAGAGAAAACAGGATTGAGAGTAAAATAAATCAAATGAAAATGTGAAGGTCAAGTTTATAAAGTTTTCTCAAAATGTATAAGAAAATAACTAGATGAAAATACACAGATAAGATGTTACAATTTAAGAAACCAAATACAAAAATTTTAAAAACCAATCATTAACATGTTCTGCAATATTTAAAACTGAAACTATAAATTAAAAAATAATAGAAATACCAAGTCAGTTGATTAACATTGTTTTCCAAAGAATGCCATTTAAAAATTGAACTGAATCCAATCCACAAATATTTCTTTTCTTTAATCTACTGAAAACTTTTTGCTTACTTTATTTCCATTTTTTCTAATTTTGTTCATGATTTATTATTGTAACATATTTAGAAAATCGAACATATTTATAATAGGTGCTTCTTATATATCTTTGCTTCCTAACTCTAATTTTCTGTCATTTCTGGCTCCTTAAAAACACACATTTTTACAATTCTGGAAGATAATTTCCTGTTTGGGAAAATGTGTATTAATATTTTATTAGATGACAGAATTTGTTTTCATACATAGTTGAATGCAGAATTTTGCTATATTTTAAAAATGATGTTGGACATTCTTTTAATCACAATTTCCAGAGAACAGCTGTAATCTAATGAAATTTTAGGAAATCCTTATTGTGCAAGAGTACATAATAAAGCTGCTAGTTGTAAACTTTTACTTATTTTCAATATTTTCATGTATTTTTAGGACAACAAATAAAATCTTGTGTGGAAATTAAACACAAAATACTTCTTAACAGTCAGAAAGAATGTCAAAAAGTTCATATGCTTTCCTCAAAAGCGTTGCTGCTTTGGTCCTCACCTAGAGTACATTTATTCTTATTTTATGGGAAAAAAAAATCTGACTTCAGCCTCCACTAAAACTGCTGTCAGTGGACATCAGTGCCTTCCTTGAGAAAATAACGTCCTTTCACTTATGAACTAATTCTCTTGGCAGCATTTTTAATGTTGAATCCTTTCTCCCTTTCTTATGACTTTTAATCAATTAAATAATTGGATAAAGAAAATGTGGTACATATACGTCACAGAATACAAAGCTGCCATAAGAAAAGAATGAAATCATGTATTTTGCAGCAACATGGATGAAGCTGGAGGCCATTTTCCTAAGTGAACAAACTCAGAAACAGAAAATCAAATACCGCATGTCCTCACTTACGCATGGGAGCTAAACAATGAGTACACGTGGATATAAAGATGGATATAACAGACACTGGGGACTCCAAAAGGCGAGAGGGTGGCAAGGGGACAAGGGTTGAAAACTTACCTGTTGGGTAATGGTGAACCCAAAGTTCACTATTTGGGTGATGGGTATGCTAGAAGCCCAGACCTCACCATATCTCCATGTGATGTATCCGTGTAATAAGCCTGCACATATACCTCCTAAATCTACAATTTTACAAAAGAAAAATGAATCATAATTAAGGTAAAATTTTAAAAATTAGGCTAGGCACGGTGGCTCACGCCTGTAATCCCAGCACTTTGGGAGGCCGAGGCAGGCGGATTGCCTGAGGTCAGGAGTTGGAGACCAGCCTGGCCAAGATGGTGAAACCCTGTCTCTACTAAAAATACAAAAATTAGCCGGGCGTAGTGGAGCATGCCTGTAGTCCCAGCTACTCGGGAGGCTGAGGCAGGAGAATCGATTGAACCTGGGAGGCAGAGGTTGCAGTGAGCCAAGATTGCGCCACTGCACTCCAGCCTGGGTGACAGAGTGAGACTCTGTCTCAAAAAAACAAAAAAACAAACCAAAACAAACAAAAAAATAAATTACCCATTTTCAAGTGTACAGTTCAGTGGCATTTAGAACATTCACAACGTTGTGCAGTGGCCACCTCTATCTAGTTCTTAAACATTGCTGTCACTCCAGAGTAAAACCCTGAACCCATTATGCAGTTTCCCCCATTCTTAGCCCCACACAGTCACAAATCTCCACTTATCCCTATGGATTTATTTATTCTGGACGTTCTCTATAAATGAAATCATGCAGTATATGGTCTTTTGTATCTGGCTTCTTTCACTTAGCACAAAGTTCTAAGTTTTATTTTTGGGAGGTAGCATGCATCAGTACTTCATTCCATTTTATGGCTATATTTATTATTTATGTATAATGTTCCATTTTATGGATATGCAAAATTGTGTTTATTCATTCTTCACTTGATGTACATTTGAGGTGCTCCCACTTTTTTGCTGTTATGAGCGATGCTGTTGTGCACATTTGTGGGGTTCCTAACTTTTCCACCTCAGTTTTCTCATCTCTAAAACCGAGTTGGTAATGGTAATTAGCTCATGAAATTGTTAGGATTAAATGAGGCTTAAGCACTTAGAATTGTGCCCAGAACATGGGAAAGGCTCAATAAATCTTTATTATTTTCGTAATACGTAAGCACTCAAAGTATCAGAAGTTGGTTTGTGGTAGGACAAATGACTTTAAACATCTCAATTCTTGAAGTCATCATTATCTTACTTTAATAATTAATGTAAGAAATAGTGACCCTGAATTATATGTGAAAGGTTAAAATTTCAACTATGGTCAGCATTTTTGGGAGGTAAAAAGGCAGGGATAAGTATGATACCATCTTGACGGATTTCCATCAAAACCTAGCATTAGACAGGGGAAATAAATAAGGCCTTACAGAGAGTCAAATGCCTTTTTAAAAGTAATAAGCTTTTAGTTTGAAGAGGCGGCATGAAGATTAGCTCATGTTCTAAGGGACTTTGAGTGCCATATCTCAAGCAGTAGAATTATGTGACGAAAATGATAAATGAAGAAGAGCACCCTGGAACTTCTGAGCCCAGTAGATGTGAGATGTGAGTGGAAGTAGGAGGACCAGAATGGATATTTGTACAGAGGTTGGGGGATTGTCCTGGAGAGGCGACTGGCCATATGAAGAAGAAGCAACGTACCTGGCAGCCACCTTGTATGAAAAATTGATAGAAAATGGGAAGAGACCCGCAGGAGAAGGGAAGATTCAGAACAAATGTTCTAAGCTTATGTGAGGGAAGGGCAGGAATGTCACACATGGGAATTAGAGAGTTGGAAAGGGCAGGAAGGACTGCTTTGACACCTCTGTCTTCCCACACGTTTTACTTTCTATTTAGGATTAAAAGGAGATATAGCAACACTCTTGGCTGCATTCGTGAGATCTATTTCCCATTTCCCCCTTGCTGTATCAGTCACAGTGGGTTGAGGTCTCACTGACATGGTTTAGCACCCTTTGAGCAGCCCTAGAAAGGTTTCCACACCAGCTCCCTCAGTCTAACATGCATTTCCTAACGAAACGTCATTTCATTTCCTAAAAGAAGCCATGTGGGTCTTGCCATGAATACACAGCCAAGACCGTAAAGAAATACTTGAAAATGCACTTGCTCAGCCTGCTCTTGAGAAGGAAACAATGAAGTTCTTTCCTTCTTCAATGGGGCTCAAGGGGCTTGGCTTGTGGACAAGCCACACTTCGAATGTAGAAATGTGCAGAAAAAATGAATGGCAGGCCTAAGACTGCTTCCTTAGAAAGGCCTGCTTGCAAGGCTGGCCCCTGACTGGCCTCTGGGAACCTAGATGTAGGGAAGGTTCTCAAAATTCCTTAACTCATAAGAGTGGCCTGAACTGTCTGTGCAAACTGTGTGGTTTATGCTGCACACCTGCCTTCCTTCTACATTTACGAATTGAACTCCAGTTTTTTGTTTTGTTTTTCAGGTATGAACCCTATGGTCTAAATCAGTCATGGCAGAAATTTTGTCTTGCCTAATGTCTGCTTTAAGTATGAATGGGCATGGGCCCCAATTCTGACCAATGATACACAAAGGTAATTCAGCTGGGGGCTTCTAGGAGAGGTTTTTGTACTTATAGAATGTGCTCAAGGAAGGTGTATTCTTTTCTGCCTCTGGACATGAATATTTCCTGACATGATATTGATAACTGCTATGTACATCCAGACTGAGGAGAAAATCCTCATGGTAAACTTGGCAAAGCAGAGATACAGAAAGAACCTGAGTCTTTTGCTGACATGTTTGAACCACTGAATGAACCCAGGCTGAAGTCACCATATCTCCAGACTTCTTGCTGTGTGATAATACATCTTTTTTAAGTGATCTTTAATTGAATTTCTCTTATTTGGAGCTAAAGTATCCTAGCAGACAATTAAAATATAATTCCACTACCTTGTTAAGTGAATTTAGATTGTAGTGTTTTGTTGTTATTTTTGTTGTTTCATAGAGAAGAGGCTCTTGCTATGTTGCCTAGGCTAATCTGAAACTCCTGGGCTCAAGCAGTCCTCCTGCTTTGGCCTTCCAAAGTGCTGGGATCACAGGTGTGAGCCACTGCACCTGGCCTAGATTGTAGTTTTTGAACAAAATGTATTTACGCATTTGTTTAACCAACAGTTTATGGAACGTCTTTTATGTGCTATGTGAATGGAGGACATCCAAGAAGAATAAGAAAAAGAGCTTACAATTCAGAAGGGAATATAAATTCCCACATTTATATGCCCAAATATAAATAAATATACAATTGTTTACCCAAATAAATATATAATAAATATCATATGAGGCATCTGAAGTCACATGAGACACTACAACATAATGCTGGTGTTATGTAAGTTGTTTCATACCAACATTGTTCTGAGTTCATGTTATTCAGGACACAAGTGATTCCAAATCCCTGAGCAGAGCTACCTTCCTGTCTTGCTGTCCAGAATTGGGGCATAAGCCCATTCATGCTTAGAGCAGTCACTGACAAGCGAATGCCCACCATGACAGATTGAGTCTCTGGGAGTGGTGATCAGGACAGAACTTGTAAAGTTGAGGTCTTTTTGGTCTGCTTCCCCCAGTAAGAAGAGTACCCACGTGAGGTACTCCCCGGGGTTCAAGCTCCTTAAAGTGACAGTTGCTTGTGGTTCAAGCACACGCTAGCTAGCCTTCAGCTAAACACAAATGGTCAATGCAGCGAAGAATGTTCAGCCTCCCAGAGCTCAGACTCCTTCATCCTACGGAGCTATTATGATTTTCCATTTCTGTTAGTTGGGAAGAGGTTGCCCAGGTACCATCCTATTCAAGGAATACATGGTTCAGCTTACTGGATAAACAAGCAGTATTTCTGACTCTTATTGGTTCAATGTATACTTATTGTCCACTTCCTTTAGAAATGTGGCTCTATAATGTGGGAGAGGATGGGGTGAGAGCAACAGGCTCCAACATCGCCACAGCAACACCAGCTAGCACAGGCTCGAGGAGAGCAATTTTCAGAGCCATATTCATGGCACATCTTTTAACCCAGTAACTCCACTCTAGAAATTTCCCTAAGAAGGAACTAGTGGGCAAATAGATACTTCACTGTAACATGATTAAAAGAGAGATCAATTAGATTTCTTTGTGAAAGGGAGGTTTATTAAAAGTGAAATTACTAAAAAATAAATTTTTATAAGTATCTTCCTTTCCTTAAGGACCTACCTCAGCTGATCATGTTATTGCTTTCAATCCCTGTAATAAACTGTGAGGCAGCTATTAGGAATTTCATTTTTAAAATGAAGAGGCAAAAATTGAGAAAGGTTAAATTACTTGCCTAAGATGAAAGAACTACTAAATTGAAAAAATAGTACTTAAACCTAGTCTTTTTTGTATTCAAACTTCAGTTATTTCTGTTATGGTACAAGTTAAATTGATATTATACATATTTTTCAGGGCTTTTTGTAGTCTTCATGATGATCATTTGAATGAATATATAATATTGTATTGATAATCATGAAATAACAATTAGGAAAACGTATATAATATCAAATCAGAAATATAACTTAAGTGTGTATTTACTCTAAAAATACAACTACATGAAAAAATATTAGAAGGAAACATTGAACAATAAAAATAGCTTTTTTGTAGGTAGCATTATAGGCAATTTTATTCATTTTCTTTAACTTCTATTACTATTATTATTAATATTATTTTAGAGACAGGGTCTTGTTATATTGCCCAGGCTTGTGTGCAGTGGCTTTTCATAGACATGATCATAGCCCACTATAGCCTTGAGCTTCTAGGCTCAAGTGATCCTCCTACCTCAGACTCCCAAGTAGCTGGGACTACAGGTGTGTGCCACCACGCTTGTCTAACTTCTATTGTTTTTTGTTTTTGCTATTGTTTTGATGTTATTTTGTACACAGTTTCTTTTGCAAGAAATACTGGGGTAAAGCAAACACTGAAAGATCATTCTTTTGGAATCATCAGACTTTCTTCCCCATCTCATAGTCCTAGCAAGTTGCACTCACCTTGAGGAAGGAAAAAAAAAAAAAGGATTATATAGGTATTGATATGTCTCATTCTAAGCATATACTCTTCATAGACAAGTTTATTTTTGGTTACAGGAATTCAGTTTATTATCTTAACAGTCTGTAAGAACAAGAGCAAGATAGTCACAGTTTCTTCCCTGAAGTACCAATTTCATCTGAGTGTGATATTCCAATTGCTGTGGATCAGTAGGGAATTGCGTGTAAGAAATAAGCATCAGGGAACAGGGCACTTTCTTTTGATGAAACCACAGGTTAAAAAAAGTTTTTCACCTTTGTGCTAGCCTTTTTCATATCTCCACAGTGTTGTTTAACCAGCAATATACGGAATGTCTTTTATGTGCTATGTGAAAGGAGGACACCCAAGAAGAATAAGAAAAAGAGCTTATAATTTAGAAAGAAATATAAAATGGGCACCCAAATAAATATATAATAAATATAATATGAGGCATCTTAAGTCACATGAGATACCACAACATAATGCGAAAACACAATTTTCACCTTTGTGAAATACTCTCAAGAATTATCGTGAAATGACTCTTACATACAATTCCCTACTGATCCACAGCAACTGGACTATCACACTCCACAGTGTTGTGGAGTTAAGAAGAGGCTAACACAAAGGTGAAGAATTTACTTCAAGTAAAGGTAACACTATACACAGACATGGAGGATTCCTAGTTTCCATTTCTGTAAATAGGGAAAGGTCTATGTGAACCCGCCTATGGCAGGATGGAGGCAGCCAAACTAAGCCCACTTCTGCCATTTCTTTTGATACATTTGGCAGAGTTGATGTGGACATTTTAAGGAATAAGGAAATATATTGAAAAGGAAAGGGATAAAATAAAAATCAGTTAACTTATGACCTTGGCAAAATAGCAACTTTAAAGGAGGCAGCATCTTTCCGTTGTCAAGTTGCTACAAAATTATCTCTGTGACCTGAACACTAGCACATTAACTCTAATAACATCTCTGCTCACTGGGCCTGGAATGGGCATCCACCTCCCATCTCCCCAGCTCCAGCCACCATTCAAGTTTATTCTTTGGGATTCTGTTTATTCATTCAACGAATATTTGAATGCTTACTAGGTGCTAGGTATTGAGACAGGCACTGAGAGTGTGAAAGTTGTCAGAATCAAAATGGAGTCATTTGTGTTAAAAACTCTGACAAACAGAGGTGGGGAAAGCCATGAAGGGAGAGTTCCCAGGCTTGTATGCCTGATACCCAGAACTGTCCCCAAAGACTCTGCAGAAACCACAACCTTGCACAAAAAAATACCTCTGCAAGGGTGTCTACCCAGCAACTGCCTGTCCAACCTCAAACTGGCACCACCTTTGTTATTGATCCTTGAAGCCAAGGATAATTATCTCAGAAACAATTAATGTAATGCTCTTCACTTTTCCCTTAAAAGCCTTTACCTCCCTGAATACACACATAGGTGACTATGGCACACATACTCCCACTGGAATGCCCTATCCATGAATAAATATCATTTTCTTTTAGAGAGCCTCTCTGTTTGTTATTTAGGTTGGCAGGAGACTAAAAATATACATGATCTTCACGTTGTGGAGCCTACAATCCAGCTAGAAGACAGAAATTAATCAGAAAAATCACAAAAAATAAACATAATTTCAACTGTGATAGGTTCTACCAAAACAAACAACTCCTCCACACCCCTCCAAAAAACACACACAACTTAGTTTCAACCAGAGCAATGATAGGCTGAGTTGACCTGACTGTGAACGTCAAGGAGGACTTCCCAGAGGAACAGATGACTGAAGGAGGTCTGAAGGAAGTCTGCGTTAACTAAATGAAGAGAAAGGAACAGCATATTCCAGCAGAGAGTGGGGCAAGTTTGTCCCAATGCCCCATGCCTGGAAGGAACAAAGTCCTGGAAGCAGATCAATGTGGAGAAAGGGAAAGGAAGAAGGGGGAACTTGACACAGGATGAAGCTGGTTAGATGTCAGACCACGTGGAACGTTGAGAACCATGTAAGTAGTTTAGTCTTTATCCTAAGAGCAATGGGAAACTGTGGAAGATGTTCATGATCAGATTTGGGTTAAAAAAAAATCACTCTGGGCCAGGTATAGTGGCTCATGTCTGTAATCCCAGCATCTTGGGAGGCTCACGTGGGCTGACAGCTTGAGCCCTGGACTTTGAGACCAGCCTAAGCAACATGGTGAAACCCCATCTCTAGCAAAAAATGCAAAAATTAGACAGGCATGGTGGTGTGTGCCTGTAGTCTCAGCTACTCGGGAGGCTGAGGCATGAGTATTGCTTAAGCCTAGGAGTTTGAGGCTGCAGTGAGCCATGATTCTGCCTGCCACTTCACTCCAGTTTGTAGGGTGGAGTGAGACCCAGCTTCAAAAAAAAAAAAAAAAAAAAAATCACTCTGGCTTCAGAGTAGAGAAGGGCTTATAGTAAGAGCAATGGTGGCTCCTGGTCTGTTGCAATTTTCCAGGCAAGAAACGATGGTGGTTTATACTACAGTGGTGATGTTAGTGGATATGGAGATGGGAAATGAGGGGGAATTCACAAAGGTCTTCTGGGTTACTCTATAAAAAAGGAAACATACTCGAAAGCATAACACATAACGACTTTTTCTGCCAACATATTTGTTGGAGATTTGGAGGAAAATATATGGTGAATGCTGTGGCTTGGATCACTCAACTTCTAACCCAATTTCCTTCTAATATGCTTTTCTATAGTGTAGAGGCCAGAGAGATAAAATTGCATTGCAAATCCCCCGCAGTTAGATTTGCAGATGTGGTTTAGAAGGTACCAACCCAATGCACTTACATAAGACATGAATTCAGGAAAGAGGTAATAAAGGAAGAAGCAGGATTCAAAGCACACTTTTTGCTGGTGTGGCTTGTAACAGAAGGAGTAGGGTTCTGGCAATTCTGCCAAATCTTTCTGATTTGACAGGCGGCCTCCTAATGGTGGCAGGAGCTATGGCAATTGGCAGCCCAGTTTGGCAATGCCTGGCACATAAATGCTTAAAACGCATGGGCTATTATTATTACACTTAGGATATACAGCAGATAATAATATAGTATGTCTATGTGCTACAGAGACAGAAACTAAAGGATAATTAAATGCTCACCCCAAATTCTGAGGTAGTTCAGTCGTGAAGGGAATATTGTTTCATGGTTTAATAATGTGTATGACATTGGTGTCCCTAAGCCCATGTTATATTCCTTTTTACAAGTAGCCTATGCTTCACAGTATAACATGCTAACAAACCTGATTCTGTCAAATGCTTGGGAGAAAGCTAGCCTGTTGAAACCAAAGGAGGCCTGGGTGCAGTGGCTCATGCCTGTAATCCCAGTTCTTTGGGAGGCCAAGGCGGGCAGATCACTTGAGCCCTGGAGTTTGAGACTAGCCTGGGCAACATGGTGAAACCCCATCTCTACAAAAAATACAAAAGTTAGCCGGGTGTGGTTAGTGGTGGTGTGTGCCTATAGTGCCAGCTACTGGGGAGGCTGAGGCATGAGAATCACTTGAACCCAGGAGTCAGAGGTTGTGACAAACCAAGATCACACTGTGGCAAGCCAGGTCTCACTAATGCAGGCCTCCATAACAACTGTTTCAGTACTGACTGAGTGGATAATTTAAATATTAAAAGCCAGTGCCCTTATACAAAGGCTGAGGTGTAAGAAAAGCCCACCAAGAGTTTTGCCTAGGCCTTTCCTGGGACTTAAAGCACGACAAAATAATGAAGGAATTCTTAACAGGACTCATTTAGGATTAAACAAGTTTTATTGTGGGTCTGAAGAAACTCCCCAGGCTTCCACAAACAAGCTTATTGGGGGGGTTGGAAGGAACTCCCCAAACTTCCATGCTTTAGCAGGAGACAAGATAAGGGTAATCATTCCAGCACCTGGACCCATTTAGATTAAGTAAATTTACTCAGGCTCCAGAGGAAGGTCTTCAGGACTCAGACCTTAGTTACAGATTAAAAGAAGTTAATTACTTATGTGTTAGATGAATGCATACTTACATGTAGACATATAACTTAGGAAGTATATAAGCTCTGGAAAACTTTGTAATTTGGAGTTGGTCTGGCGATGATCTCCAGGCCTTCTCCCCGTACCCAGTTGCAAAAATAAAAACTCTTTTCCTCCCCAGTTCATCTGCATCTCATTATTGGGCCACGAGAAATAGCAGCCCAACACTTAGTTTGGTCTGGGAACACCACCACGGCACTCCAGCCTAGGCAACAGTGAGATCTTGTCTCAAAAAAAAAAAAACAAAAAAAGAAAAGAAAAGAAAGGAAACTAAAGGTGAGCAATCTTCCTCTAGAATGTCCCAGAAATTGTAAACAGCTGATGAAAAACAATTTAGAATTAGAATAATCTGTGACTTTTAGTTGCACTGATCGTATTGACTTAAACTAAGCAGGAAATATATCTGAACCAGGAAAACTAACAATGTTGCAACTTCCTCTACAAGGATAACTTTACTGTAATAAATACATTTTTGTTCAAAAGTTAAAAACGTTAACAAAGACATGCAGGAAATGGCTCTCTGCTCCTAATTCCCAAAATAATTTCTCTCTGCTCTGAACACATTTTTGGTACCTCTTAGGACATCTTCCATTTTTTAGCTTGTGTTGTAGTTATTTATGTCCACATCTGATCTGCCCAATATAGAAAACTACAAAAGCACTGAAGGGACACTCACTGATTCATTTTTATTCACTTTAAAGTGCTTGCTAAGAATGATCCCTTACACAAAGCAGGCAATCTATATTTAATAAAGGAATTGGTGAATTTTTGAACAATCCTTGTCAAGAATTATACTAACAGTTGTAAAAGAATGCTTACAAGGTGTTCATATGCAACTAAATACTTTGATTCATTTTTCAGATAAAAGTGAAGGAGGAAGAAGATGAGTAGGGCTGTACAGGGTGGAGAGGGTGGCAACTCTGCTTTAGACAAGTGTTTTTCCCACTTTCCATAGGCAGTAGATGTGGCAAAAAGATGGCTCTTTAAGAGGAGACTTAGCCTCTGACCATTCATAGGCTGTATGATTATGGTCAAGACACTAGCAACTTTCTGGGCCTTGCTCCGCCACCCCTTCATAAAAGAAGTTGATGAAGTGATAAACAATAGTTCCTCCTCACTTGTAATCATATCAGAAGACTGACACTATTAGGGATCTTAAAGTTCATCTAGCCCCAGAATGGCAATTCAGCATTATCTTACATGCTGATCTTGGCCTATCAGTGGCAGCTTCTCGCAGTGTTGAGAACGATTCTGAGGCTCTATTTGGACTTAGCGGATAAGGCAGCCTTGACTGCCATAATGATGTCTGCTACAAGGCGGGAGGAAAGTGGCAGCAAATAAGTCAAGATGTGTCATCCCTAATTTAGCCCAATGCCTTCTCTTCACAGGAAAAAAAATGAGACCAGAAGCTTTTGAGTCTTTTGAGTTTACCATGTGCCAGGCACTATGCAAATTGCTTTTACATTCACAATTGTATTTAATCCTTAGACAACTTTAAGAAGTTAGCATTATTATCATTCCTATTTTACAGATGAGGCTTAAGAAAACAAAATTTGCCTGAGGTTCACACCTTAGAAACCCATATCCATAAGCATTTCCCTATATCGCCTCCTGCAGGCACGTACTATGTGTTATGCCAGTGGTTCTCATCAGGGGGGATTTTGCCCTCCAGAGGACTTCTGGCAAAAGTCTGGAGATTTTTTGTTGTTACAACTGGGGAGGACAGGGTGTTCCTTGAATCTAGTAGGTGGAGGCCAGAGATGCTGCTAAATGCACAAGACAGCACCCCCCCAACCTTTACCTCCAGCAGGAAAGAATTATCTCCCTAAAATGTTAATAGAGCTGAGGTTGAGAACTCTGCACTAGACTATGCGGAAATTGTTTGCAAATGGATGATCAAACTCTTCCTGTAGTCCAGCAGCTACATAAATATCTCCATTTTACAGACAAGGAAAGGTGATTGCAGAATCAGGTGGTCATCACAAGACAGGAACTGAGGTAGTCTGATTCTAGAGGCCCTCAGTTTCCTTTACTATCAAAACATGCAAACTCAAGTAGCACCCGCTTACCTATTACCAATTTCAGAAGCTAAGACCACTGTGTCACATGTGAAAAATTCCCACTGTGGTGGGCTTGTCTCCAAAGAGAAAAATTATTTGTTCAACAGTTCAAAGAAGAGGGTCTCTAGGAACTCTTAATATGGAACCACTGGTCTTTATTAGACATTCAAATCGTTATTTTAAAATAAGACGCTGAGGAGAAAGCTGATTTTAGAACATTAACAAACTTTTTCAAGAATAATTAGCTCTGCGTGGGTTTCAACTTTTATTTTTATTTTTTCCTTTTGATTTTAGGAGCTGGAGAGCCTGGAAGTTTATTTAGGAGTAGAAGAGGAAATGAAACTATGAAAAGCCACAGTACGATTCCTCCTTTACTTGGAGACAAGGCACAATGTGAATAATTCTCTCATCCTGTCCAATTAACTGCCTCAAGTACACACACACACACACACACACACACACACACACACACACACACAGAGAGAGAGAGAGAGAGAGAGAATGTACACTCTATTATTATTTGATTAGGAAGACATTAATGAAAAAGCTCGGAACGGGATGCTAAACAACAAAGCCCTATGCAAATCACTTCCTTTCGGATTGAAGGCTTGTCTCCTACAGAAAAACCAATGCTAAAGAAACAGGCGGAGAGGCTGAAGGTGGAGAGCAAAAGAAAAAGAAAGAAAATAGCTTGAACGAGGAAAGGGACTGGCAGGAGGAGGACAGAGCAAGCCTCTCTCAGAGAGAAATTACAGAAAGACGGAAGGAGGTTTGGGAAAACCCAGTCTAAGCTGCTCCGACGGCGGGGCTGGGCGTGGGCAAGGTGCCTCCTTGGACGGTCCGCGCGCCTGCCAGACGCGTCCTTCCACTACCCGTCCAGCCACCTGGCGCTGGTCGGGCTTTGCGAGGTGGTTTAGGAACCGCGGAGTCATTCGATTTGAAATCTTCTCCAATAAGCTTCTCCGTGTGCCGACGTGGGCAGCATGACAGTGGATTTGCTCGGCAGCATCTCTGGCGCCTCCCGCCCTCGCCCGCCGCCTGCCAGATCCGAAACAGACAGTCCCAGACATTTCGCGAGGGGGATGGTTCCAGAAAGCGAAGATCTGAGCGTGGTGAATGAAATGTGAACAGAATAGCTCCGGAAAGAGTCTCAGAAACCTTGAATTGGGGTCAGTTTGGAGACTGAAAATGCGTCGAGCGCTGCAGGTGGTGGTTGGCAGGGGGATTTAACACTGTGGAGCCCTTACTCCGTCCCAGGCGCTGAGCCCAGCGAGCCACGCGCGGTGCCCAGCTCGGTGAGGTCGGTTAGTTGGGTCTTCAGGGAGGCTAAATACCCTGTATTTGCTATTCCCTTCGCCTGGAACGCTCTGTGCGAGACTGGGTGTGGCAGCTCCTTTCCCAGGCTCAGGAATCTGGGTAAAAGCCACCCTCGCCTAGAGGCCCTCAGGGTGAGCGCCCCATCACGCGCTAAACCACTTTCGAAAGTGGACTTGGCCCTCCTCTCAGTACTAACAGTCTGTCAGCCTTTTATTTTTTGCATAGATATGTATTTTCTCTTCTTTATTGTCTGTCTTTCCACAAAAAATGCAAGCCCCGTGAGTACTGGAGCCTGGTGCGCCTTTCTCACAGTTGCAAGCTCGCAACTGCTCCTGGCATATACTAGGTGCTCACTAAATGCTCATGCCCTTCCCACCCGCCACCTGCGGCACTCGACACATTTGCAGTCTGCAAACTGACCCCAAACCATCAGCTGCTTGCATTCGTCCTAGGATCAAAGAAGGCCATTGGGCTAGTGGGAAGTCAAGTCGGGTGGACTTTTCCGTCTTTCAGGGAGATTTAATAGTAACGACGGTGCTCTCCCCACCTCCTACCCCCTTGCACATAAACTGCACAGAACAAAATCACCCCGGCACGAATCTGCACGACTGCCTCTGGAGGTAGGGTCACGGTCTCCGAGCCCCGGGTCTCACACTGATGCTGTCCTTTGTCATCTCGTGCCTAGAGTGCTGCCTCCCTATGTATTTCCTCTGTTCTCGACTCCTCTGCCACAGTCTGACTTTCTCGGGAGGTCGAGTTCTCCTAGCCTGTGCGACCGCAAGGGTCCCCTGGAGCCTTCTCCGTAAACCTGCCCCTCCCGCGCTGCCCTCACTTTTTCCTCCTTCCCTGGCCCGGAAAAGCCACTAGAGGAACATTTACCGAACGCCTACCGCGCGCAGGCACCGAGCTGGGCCACCGGGAGCCCCACCCAGTGCCTCGCCGCAGGACTCGCCTCCCTCCGCCCTCCCAACCCATCCGGAATCCGGGGTCCCTAGTTCCCCCGCCGCGTCATGGAATCCGCTGGCTTCTTCCGAGGACATCGCCCCACCTCCTTCCCGAAAGGCGACTTCTGATTGGTGAGATTGTGCATCACTCTGCCGCCCTCCCGCCCCCTCGGGGCCCCGCCCCTGGGCCTCTCAGGCCCCTCCCCTGCGCTCCCGCCCTTGCGCGGCTCCTCGGGCTAATCGCCGGGCGGCGCGCGCCGAGAAGTTCTGGGCAAAGTACTCAGAACTGGCCGCGTGCTGGTGGCGCCCGCCAGCCGGCCCGGGAGAGGGGACTTGAGCGCTTCGCGGCCGGTGCGCAGCGCGGCTCCGGCCCCGCAGTCTGTCTGCAAGTGGCCATCCCCGCCCCCGACTCCTGCGGCCGGTGCGGGAGCTGTCAGCTGCACGTTGCGGGGGTACCGGAGAAGCCGGGGTTGCCTTCTCCCGGTTCTGTGCGCTAACCCCGGAGCCCGGCCCCGGGGAACTAGGGAGCGTCTCCGGCTGCACAGCGCTCAGGTGAGTGGCGGGGCGCCCGCCTAAATGGGGCCTGGGTGTCGGGGGGCCTGGCGGCGGCGCGGGCTCGGAAGGGCTGCTGTTTGCGGGGCGCCGCGGTTCTCTGCCGGACCGGGGTCTGTCCGAGTCGCCCGGGGAGGCTCCGGCCCTGGGGCAGACCCAAGCCTGGGAGCTTGGGTGCCGGCTGCAGCTCCCGGGGAAGGAGGACCCGGGTCTCACCCACCCCAGGACACCTTCCCTCGAGGGACGGCTCAGAGGATTGACCGCCAGGAGGAGCCGAGCGCAGGGGCCGCGGCGCAGGTGCGGGAGGACGCGGCGCGCGGAGCTGTCCTGGGCAGCGGGGAGGCGCTACGCCGGGGCTAGAGGCTCAGGAAGCCTGGTAAATTGGGGCGAGCGCGAAGCTTTACCACATCCGCGGGATGGGGCGCGCCGGAGAGACTGAGACAACGCTCGCGGGGCAGGCGCTCCGCTCGCCCGCCTTCCCAACCCCGGCTTGCTCAGCTCCCCGGTGCTGGGCTGGAGGCCCAGGGCACATTCCTTTCTTGTCTGAATTTACATATTCATCAGCTTTCTGGCCCCTTCTGGAATTTTTTTTTTTTGTTAGTTTCCAATTACTACTGTTCAGATCACCTTCAGGCTCACCCTAACTCTCGTCTCAGTGTCTCTCACATTGGTCCTTTCCTGGAGGCCCTGCAGCGTCTTAGTTCAGGGTCTTAGGGACTTATGCACTCTGTCTGAACGTTGTCTACAGTTGGGTTTTCCTACCTCTGTCTCTGTTTATTCCGTGGTCAGGTAAATTCTTTAAGTACTGTCATCATAAGCCAGAAACTCCCAGGCAGCCTCTTAGCGCTGCCCAGCTTCCCGGGGAGCGTTTGTGGCCTCTGGAGTCGCTGATGGGCACTGTCGCAGGTCGTCCAGATACTTCTTAAGCAGGGGCGCGCCGCCCTTCCTTCGGCAACGCAACTTGCTTGCTGCCTTCTGCACACTTGTGCTTGTCCTTCTCCGCCTCACAAGCCACCAGTCTCCTCAGTCGGGACTCTTGGAGCTGAGGGGACTGTGAAGTTGTCGGTTTCCATGTGTCTGCGTACTGCGCAGAGGTGCTTGAGACCCCCTAGGTGTTGCTCTGACCCTCAGAGTTTGAGTATTGGGATGAGGGCATTTAGAAATATTTTAAACTACAGCTGCAAAAGAGATACTTCCACAGATGGGTGAAAGCGAAGGCCTGGCTTCTCATCATCTGCACTGTACCCCGCAAGTATCATACAAGGTGAGGTCCTTGGCTAAAGGACTATACTTGGCTAAAGGAGATCAGTCAAGCAGGCCTAGGTTCTTATGCATCCAAGCTAAATGACCATCCCCTCCAGCCAAGCCACATCACCCGTTTGCTGTTGCTCATAGCACTTAAATTTCTCTCTGAAATTGTCTCTTTGGGTTATTGGGTTATCTGCCTTCCCTCATTAGGATGTAAGTACCAGGAATGCAGAGACCTTGTCTGTCTTGTTCATCACTTGATCCCCTGTGTCAAGAACACGCAGTAGGTTTGCAGTAAACATTTATAGAATGAATAAATGAAACCTTCTCTGTAAATATGAGGAATGAGGATTTCATAGCTGATTTTGATTTTCATCTTTATCCTTTTTTTACTGTTGGGAAAATTAACAAATAGCAATACTAGGAACTTTTGTACATTACCGCATTAAACTTACAGAAGTCTGTTAGCTAGGTATTTTTAACCAGATGGGAAATTGAGGGTCCAGCAGGTTAACCTGTGTTGCCAAGGTTATCCTGGCAGAACTAGGATTCCAGCCCATTTTGTCTCTATTGTGCTTGACCTCTTCGAATAAACTAAAATGTGGTTTCCACCATTAGTTAATAGGCATTTAGCTTTATTTGTATCAAAAGCTATGGCTTAGCCAAAAGATTTACTGTTTTATTATTGAGATATATTTTCAGTAATCGTTAATAGTTACATCATAAGCCAGATACTCCCAGGCTGCAGTAAGCTGTAATTTTCTTTTTTCTTTTCTTTTTTTGAGACGTAGTCTCACGCTGTCGCCCAGGCTGGAGTACAGTGGCGCGATCTCGGCTCACTGCAAACTCCGCCTCCCGGGTTCATGCCATTCTCCTGCCTCAGCCTCCCGGGTGGCTGGGACTACAGGCGCCCGTCACCACGACCGGCTAATTTTTTGTATTTTTAGTAGAGACGGGGTTTCACCGTGTTAGCCAGGGTGGTCTCGATCTCCTGACCTTGTGATCTGCCCACCTCGGCCTCCCAAAGTGCTGGGATTACAGGCGTGAGCCACCGCGCCCTGCCCGTAAGCTTAATTTTCACCGTCTTGCTGGGCATTGTTGTGAGGTTATCTCCATTTTTCAGGTGAAGAATTGGAAAACGAGGTTTAGGAACTTGCCTAAGGTCACCAGTAAATTGCTGAGCTAGATTTTTTAATAGTCTGACTTCAATTCTCGCCCCACTAATTAGATGTTAACTCATGATAGAATCCAGTGATACAAATATTAAAACCATCTGAGATTGGGCTGTAAACTTTCTGGTGCTGATATCAAGTGTCTAGATGTACTGTTTTCAGAATCCCTGAGACTCTTACTGCCATTGATTTTTGTGCTTGGGTTTATGGTTTGTGGGCCTGATAGACTGGGGACTTTTAATACAGAAGGAAAGGAAATCCTCCTTTCATCTAAATCTAAAGAGAAATCTGATTTGTTTTACCCATTGTGGTAAATGAACCCTGAACAGTAATGCTTTATACCTCTTAAAGAAAGCGCTGGAAAGCCAGCTAGTTCCTCTGTTCTCTAATGCAGAGTAGAGAGTTAGAAACTGCTACTAATTCCAAAAGCTCCTGCAGTAGGCTTTCAGTAAAACAACTACATTTCAACTCTCTACTCTTACGCTGACACTGAGGGTGAGAAGTTGGGGAAGAGTGGCATGGGTACCACCTAAGGGGCTCATGGCAAAACAGAGGATGGGGAAGGAATTAGTGATTCCTTCTTTCTTCCACTTCATTCCAGTTTGGGTGCTGGTGTAACATTTCCCCCTGCATAAGAGTCTGGATAATGCAGTTTTATTTATAATGTGCTTCTCGGCAGTACTGTATTTTCCTATTTGTTAATTCTATTTCAGTAGTACTCCAGGGAGGGTTGGAGAACCCTGCAACCTAGAATGCCTGAGGAAGAGATTGAGGTGTAGGATACCAGGGAAGATGGAAACTGTTAGGTGGAAAAAGTCTTCCATGCATAATTGAGAGTTGTTTATGGTTCTCTGCACATTCCTTTCCTGTCTAAATTTACACATTCATCAGCTTTCTGGCCCCTTCTGGAATTTTTTTTTTTTGACTTTCCAATTACTACTGTTCAGATCACCTTCAGGCTCACCCTAACTCTTGTCTCAGTGTCTCTCACATTGGTCCTTTCCTGGAGGCCCTGCAGCATCTTAGTTCAGGGTCTTAGGGACTTATGCACTCTGTCCTAACATTGTCTACAGGTGGGTTTTCCTACCTCTGTCTCTGTTTTTTCCATGGTCAGGTAAATTATTTAAGCACTGTCATTATGTTGTTAAAAATTCTTGGGTGGCTTACATAGTGAATAATAACATTAATAACAGTAGTAATAGGTGCTGAACTTGTATGTGCCGGGTGCTGTCAGAAGTTCCTGTACATGCATTATTGCATTTAATCCTCAGGGCAATATCAAAGCAGGCATTGTTATTATATCTCCAGTCTCCAGATGAGGCTAGGAAAAGTTAAGTTCACAACTGCTTTGCAACTAACATATGGTGGATCTCAGACTCAATCCCCAAGTTATTTTCTCTACTTATTTGCATATAGATTCCTTAGCCTAAAGTCACGATCCAGCAGACTGGGCTCAGCTTTGGCCTCATCCTATCATTCCCCACCCCTGTGAGCTGGTAGTCTGAGTTTTATTAATCAACAAAGCGTTTTGCCTTTGTCCATGCACTCCTGTTGCCTAGAAAGCTCTCTGTTCTCTCCGTGTGAAAACCTAAGTCTTTCAAAGCTGAACTCATAAACTGCTTTTGTCAGCATAATCTCTCTAAACCCAATTTCCCAGATCATTTGTTTTTTTAAAATATGAGAAACTTCCCAGTTCAGTTTCTGATCACAAACTCTGTTGCTGATGTCCTTCCTTCCTTCAGCACTTCTTACCTTTTATCTTCCCCTATTCCTCTCACCCTGTTGCCTCCTGTGCTAGTAATGTATTCAAACTTATTGCCTCCCTTACTAGATTTTAAATGCCTTGAAGGCAGGGTGAGTGTGTATTCCTTAGGTTTCTATTCCTCACATCACTAAACATGGTGTCCTATCTATAGTAACTGCTCAATTGAAAAAAGTATTAATTATATTTGCTTAAATTTTGTTAGAGTATTCTGTGAAAAGTTAATTGGAATGTGACATTTTGTTTTCTAGTTTTCTGATTTGTTTTGATCCACAGTATTTTATCATTTTATGATGAAACAACGAATATGCCATCATCATTTTATGATGAAGCAATAGAATATGCCATCATCATTTTATGTCGAAGTAACAGAATTCCTTGTTAAGTCCATGAAAAGCACCTGTTCTGGTTGCTCTCATCTTTGGACCAAGGAGATATTGCAAGGAGATCTCAAATTCACACATGTAGTAATCATTGTCTGTAGAATAAATATTTTGCCTATGTTATGTACTATTTTTTCATATCTACGGTAATGCTGTTACTAAAAATGTACTAAAATTGTTATGGAATTCAAATGGAATTTTTGTGAATATTTTATGGATCAATGAATATTTCACATTTTAAAGCAGATTTGAAAGACCCTTTCTGAATTGGCTCCTGCTTCCCTGTCTAGACTCATAGCTCACCACTCACCATTGAGACACAATTCACATATTATACAAGTCATCCGTTTAAAGGTACAAAATTTAATGGATTTTAGTATATTCAGAGTTGTGCAACCATCACCATAATTTTAAAACATTTATCACCCTCTAAAAAAGTTTGCACCCATTACCAGTCATTCCCCATACTGCCCGTCCATTCCCCTAATCCCCACCCACTAATTTACTTTATGCCTGTATGGATTTGCCTATTCTAGACATTTCATATAAGGGGAGTCATATAGTATGTGGCCTTTCGTGTCTGGCTTCTTTCACCTAGTATGTTGTTTTCAAGGTTAATTTCTGTTGTAGCATGTATCAGTACTTCATTCCTTTTTATTGCCTAGTAATACCCCATTGTATGTATATACCACGGTTTTATTTATCTATTTGCTAGCTGACGGGACTGGCATTTCTAAAAAAGTTTGATTCTAATGTGACCCTAATGTGTAGTCCAGAAGTTCCTTTGGGCCCTGTTCGCTGTTTTATCTTGGGGCTAGAACAGAACCTGGCACAAGATAGATGCGTAATAAACATTCAGATGACTGCAGCATTTTACTAAAAGTGTAACTCCTATTATGTTGCAGTCAGCAAAATGTGTTGTCGTTAAAAAGAGGTCCTCATAGTTGATGGTTTACCTACTGATTTGAACAAACGAACTGTTAAAAAGAGTCAAGGAACTTTGAACATGGCTGCAATGCTACAGTTTTTAGGATTTGCTTTGAAATAATCTGGGGGTGAGGAGGGAGTACAGAGGAAACAAGGCTGTCCGTGAGCTGACGATCGTTGAAACTGGGTGATGAATTCTCTATCTGTGCTGTCTGCCAGGCAGCCGTTGGTCGCATGTGGCTATTCAGCCTTTAAAATGTGGCTAGTCCTTACTGAGAAGCGCCGTAGGATAACACATACACTGAGTTTCAAAGATTTAGTATGAAAAATAATGTAAAAATACCTCAATTTTTAAACATCACGTGTTGAAATGATAATATTTTGAATATATTGTAATACTGTGTAATTAAAACTAACTTGTTTTCTTTTACTCTTTGTCTACTTAAGAAATTAAAATTACATCTATGGCTCCTATTACATTTCAGCTGGGCAGTGCAGTGCTATACTTTTGTACATGTTTGAAATTTTTCATCATAAAAAGTTTAGAAATATCAAAGTCATCTTTTTTAAAGTCTGGAGTATAATATTTTTTATAAAGGATTCCTCTGGTATGAAAGGATTGGGAAATATTGATTTTTTTCAAAGATGCTTCTTTGCAGAAGCTTGTGCAGGCAGGCTGTAGCCTTCCAATATCATTCCTGGGCTTATTTAAGCTATGTGAACATTTAAAAATTCTTTTATAATAATAAATGGAATAGCAGTGTGAAGAATTGCTTCTTTAGTTATTAATCTAAATGATTTTGTTTTGAAGTTGGTGATATATTTCCTTCATCTTGGAAAAATACAGAAGACTCACTGGTAATTTCCTTGTTCTTAGCCACATTGTTTGTACCCCTGAAATTGAATTTTCTCTGGACTTGGTTTATAACTGCCTCTACCTAAGTCTGTTGTTTGAGAGCCAGAATATGGTTGTTTCTAGATGCTCCAAGACCCCTTGAGTATGAGTGGAATATGATTCTTAGGGAATAATAATAATATTGTGTGGGTTTAAAGCCAAGAAGCAAATTTCTTTCATAAAAGTTTCTTTAGATGAAAATTATGTTGCTGTCTATATGTCTGTGTTTACTTATGAAAAAAATATCTGAGGTAATCAGCCCAGTTCTCTGAGTGGGTGTGGGCTGGATGAACAATCTTAGTGGAATTTTCATCTGTGATTTCTGAGATTGTGTGAGAGTAGATCTGAGTTAAAAAAATAGCTTAAATGTAAAGCAGAGCAGAATCAAATTGCAATGAGCAATCCAGTGTGGGATTGGCAGAGGATCTCTGACAGTTACTATAACTAAAGTTTGCTATTTTGTTTACCCTCTACAGTTAAAATACTAAAATCTTTATTTTTAGTATTGTGTGGGTCAGATACTTTCCTCAATGTAACATTTCTCCAAATATGTATTAAAATGTAGTACTTGTAAAGATTCCCACACTGGTTTCCTGTCTTGATATCAAATATTGTAATAGTTACAAGAACTTTAAAATTATAGTTTACATCTTATAAAACAAATATTTCTCCCTCCCCAAGTAATTTGTGGTGGACAGTCATCTGAAATGTTTAGAAGCTAAAGCTAATATATATATTTTAATCTACATATATGTATATATATGTGTGTGTATATTTATGTATGTATATATTTTTTAATCTCAGCAACTCTTATTAAATTTGAAGTAGATGCCTCCCTAGAATTAAAGCATGCGCTAAGATTTTTGCTCATACGTTTCACAAATATTTATTAAGCACATGCCATGTGCCAGACACCAGGCTGGGTGCAGGGGATGTGGCGATGAATTGAACAGATGTGGAACCTCCCTTCAAGGAGCTTACAGACTAGAAGGGGATATAGACATTAAAGAGTTGCAGAGAATTCATTAATTACAGTGGGGAGATGTGGCTCAAAGGGAATGAGTCTGGCTTTTAATTGGGACCCTGGAGAGAAAGGTTCCATTTTTCTGTAGGTTGTGATTCAGGTTGCTGAAGGAAGAGAAAAGAGAATGTGGCTGGGGAATCCTCAAAGGAGGATGAGATGAGCAGAGTCCTGCCCTTTTGTGTCTTTCTGCCATTGCTGGAGGCCATGTAGAACTGAGTGGGAGGAGGCCTTAACTCCTCTTTTGATTTGAGGTTTTGAATTTCTCTCTCTGATGCGACACACAGGTTTGTTTATTTGCTAATGGGAGTTGAATCCAAAGTTGAGTTTTTAACACCTTTATAGCAGAAACGCAATGATATCTAGCAACCTGTCCTCCAGCATAGCCCTGCATGTAGCTTAAAATAACTTGCTGGCTAGATTCTAGTGTAGCTTAGTTGTCTGGCATCTGAGGCAAAGTGGGTTAGGGGTATGTGAAGCCTAAAAGAATACAGGGAAGCCCACTTGGGTTTTTCTCAGGTGTAGGGCTGCTTCATGCAAATTCCTGGCATATATAGAATTAACTGAGGTTTCCTTCGGAGCTTGTTGGAGCTATTAGGGAATGGGAAACCATCCTTCCTTTGAAGGTGGAGGTAATTATGAATAACAGTGATAACAGTGGCAGCCAGTAGCTGTTGGGCGCTCTCCATGTGCCAGGCTAAGTGCTTTACTTACGCTACCTCGTTAGATCTTATCACTTAGGAAGTGGTTACTATCATTCCAGTTTATCACTGATAAAACAGAGGCTAGCGAGCAGTCACTTGCTGTTTGGTTTTTCCAACATCCCTTTACCCTTCCTGATTTCCATTTGAGAAGTCACTTCTTGCCTTTGGATATAGTCTGCTGGGACCAGAAGGAGGGGCCCCATTCCCCTCAGCTGTGGCCCTGTGAGCCAGGTCAGTCACATGCCTCTCTCTGGACTCTGGGTGTGGGAGGGTCATGGAGAGTCTGCTGCGAGATGTGTCATGGCCAGACCATCTGTGCATACAGCTTTGTTGTGGTGTAGCTTTCCATTCCACGGAGCTGTGCCCGGGCTTGCCTCTCCAGCCTCCTCTTAGTTCCTTGAACTGATTTGTTTTCTAATACATTTTCTTTGGCTTCATTTACCAAATTGTTTTCTGTTGCTTCCACCCAAAGAACCCTGGTTATCCAGGCTTAGAGAGGGCGAAGTAGTTTTCCTATGATCACGCACACAGCAAGTGGCAGAACTGGGGTACAGTCAGGTCTTTCGGCCTCTATTGCCAAGCCCTTGATTAGAGACCCCCTCTGTGTGCTGAACAGCACTGGACTGGCAGTCCGAGGATCAGAGGATGGATGTAGTTCCTGTGGTACCTGCCTCTGGGGCCTTGGGCCACTGCCTCTTTGAGCTGGACAGGGTAGACAGGATGAAATCTATACATAACTAGGTGACACCCAGTTTGAGAGGATTTTCTTGTCCATGAGACTTTTGGACACATTTTGCCCCGGTTTTCTAAAGGCTTTTACTTTGAGGTTTGAGGAACGGTCTGAAGCAGTGGTTTTCAAAGTGTGACTCCAGGAGATGTATCAGTGTCATCTAGGAACTTGTTAGCAGAACTTGGGTGGGGCCCAAACCCATGGAATTGGAAACTCTGGGGGTGGAGTCCAGAAAACTGGTTTTAACCCTTCAGGTGATTATGATGCACACTAACGTTTTAAGCCCCAGACATTTTCGTTTTATTAAAAACAATTTATTATGTACAAGGTGCTACCTAGAAGTAGGGAGCAGGCAAATGTTAATTAGCCACAGCCCCGACCTCAAAGAATATTCACTTCAGTTCGGGATATATATGTTTATAGCACTCCTCCTTCTCTCTACAATTGTGTTTTTTATATCTATCTATCTGTATCTATATCTCTATATATTGATCCATCTTTTCTCTACTTATATAAACAAGATATTAAAGTGCTATAGGAGCTCAGGAGGAGTGAGGGAGATGCTTTTGCAGAGAAGTTGAGTGTTTGAGACACATCTTGAAGGGCACATGGGATTGAGATAAAGAAAGGGATGAAGGGGCTGAGTGCGATGGCTCACGCCTATAATCCCAGCACTTTGAGAGACTGAGGCAGGCAGATCACCTGAGGTCAGGAGTTCGAGACCAGCCTGGCCGCGTGGTGAAACCAAGTCTCTACTAAAAATACAAAAATTAGCTGGGCATGATGGTGGGCACCTGTAATCTCAGCTACTCGGAGGCTGAGGCAGAAGAATCGCTTGAACCGGGGAGGTGGAGGTTGCAGTCAGCCAAGATGGTGCCACTGCACTCCCTAGACGACAAGAGCGAGACACCGTCTCAAAAAAAAAAAAAAAAAAAAAAAGAAAGGGACGAAGGGAAAGGTAGGAAGGACATTCTAGGCAGAAGTGGTAGGTTAGCTAGGATGAAACAAGGCATGACATTTTAAGAGTTGGTGGACTATCCGGTTTGATGAAGAGAAGGACTGTGTAATGGGAAAAGTAAATGGAGAGGTAGATTAGGGCCCAAGTGGTATAAGTCCTAAATCCCATAGTAACTCCAAAGACTATGCTGTAAACAGTGAACAAGGAGGTGACACGGTAAGAGCTATCTTAGCAGAAAGTGTTTTGGTGGTGACAGAGAAGGGCAGAGGCTGGGAGTATAGGCACAAAGTGATGAGACCTGAACTGGGATGGTCACAGTGAGAGGAGAAAAAAGACAAATAATATCAAAATACTGGAAAGTTAGAATGATAGCCCCTAGGAACTAGGGGTTGGGAGTAGGGTTGAGGGAGAAGGCAAAGATGATTCCACAAGGGATAATAAATGGTGTTGGTAAAATCAGGCAAAAAATAAAATAAATTCCACATGGATCAAAACTTTAAAACAAATAGAAATACAAAAAAATACAATACACTTTTAATAATAAGATGAAAAATCCTTTCTAGATAGGACACAAAATCCAGATGCTATAAAATAAAAGATTGATTTATTGATTACATATCATTTTTGCGGGGTCAATTTTTAAAAACTATGTCAAAAGGCAATCAACACATTTAGGAAAATAATTGCAATGCATATCACAAAGACCTACTTTTATCAATATATAAAGAACTCCAACAAATCAGTACGAGAAAGGCCAGTTACTGTAAAGGCAAAGAGTTTGAACACATAGTTCACGAAATGGCATACAGATGACTCATAAACATATGAAAACTTTAACTTCACTCATAAAAAGAGAAAATGCAAATGAAAACTTCATTGAGATGCTATTTTTCACCTATCGGGTTGGCAGACATCACAAAATGTGGTAACAGTGTTGGCAAAGTTTTGAAGAAACAGGTATTCATACATCGTGGATGGAAATGTAAATCGGTCCAAACTGTAGCGAGCCATTGGCAGTATCTGTCAAAATTGGAAATGCATGCACTCTTTGAATCAGCAATAACAGTCCTAAGAACTTTATCCTACAGATATGCAAAATTCACAAAATGATATATATGCAAAATTGTTTCTTGGAGTATTTGAATAAATACCAGATTGCAAGTAACTTAATTTTCATCAGTAAGTACTAATTAAAAATAATAGAGCCGTTAAAAATGAGGCAGCTCTACATTTTCTGATATGGAATGATATGTGAGATTTATTGTGAAGTTAAGAAAAAAGTGAAGTATAGAATATCCATATATAATATATATTTTATATGAAAGTATGCATATACACATGGACATATATTCATGCATATATGCACACATGGATAAAATTGGTGGGCTGAGGCTGGCGCCGTGGCTCACACCTGTAATCCTAGCACTTTGGGAGGCCGAGGTGGGCGAATCACCTGAGGTCAGGAGTTCAAGACTAGCCTGGCCAACATGGTGAAACCCTGTCTGTACTAAAAATAAAAAAATTAGCTGGGCGTGGTGGTGTGTGCCTGTAATCCCGGCTACGCAGGAGGTGGAGGCAGGAGAATCGCTGGAACCCGGGAGGCAGTGGCTGCAGTGAGCCAAGATCACGCCACTGCACTCCAGTCTGGGTGACAGAGGGAGACTCCGACTCAAAAAAAACAAAAAAACTGGTGTGCTGAAGCCAGTTTACACCGGCATGTGGGAACCAACTGTGCGTGACTTCCCAAGCCCTTGGCTGATTACTTCATGTTGGTAGTTTGAAGCCAGCCACAGTGGGAGTATTTACACCATGGAAATCAGGAAACATAACACATGAGGACATTTTTGTTTTTGTTTTTCCAGAGAGCTGGTTGATAAACATTTAATTGTACTCACTGTATATATAAAAATATAAAATATCTTTTGAAGATTATACAAGAGGTTGCTATAACATCAGACTGTCCTAGGAAGGGGTAACGGAAGGCAGGATAGGTGTGAAGTTGAAATTATACCTTTTGAATATTATTCCAAGTAAATGTATTACTCCAAGTAAATATATAAAGCAAACCAAAAAGTAACTGCAGAGTTTCAGGCGTATGTGACTGTGTTATTTATGGTGCCATTGACTACTGCTGGGGAAAATAGGAAGATGAGTAGATCTTAGAGAAAGAGAGTGCTTTTGGTTTTGAATATGCTGAGCTTGAAGTGTATGGGTGGTATCAGCACAGACATGTCCAGCAACAGTGCAAGAGAGAGGGCAGAGCTGTTGATCAGTTCTGGGAGTCAGCAGTTTAGTTAAAATTGTGACAGTTAAGGGGGCCTTTACCTATAGAACCTTTGGGGCAGGTCCCAGGAGAGAAAGGGGGAAGCCTGTAGTACCTTGGGGAAGGTAAGCCAAGAGGTAGGTAGGGGAAGGGTAACTAGTCACAAAGATTGGAGGACCATAAAATAATAATAATGGTAGTTTCTTAATGAAGTATTTGCTGGAAGTGAGACACTATTCTCTGTACTTTTTGAAAGAACATCACCTGATTTAATTCTCACAATCATTCTCTGGGGTGGGTACTTTTTCCATGATAACCGTTGAGTTGGGGAGGGTAATGTCAAAGAATAAACCAGGAGAGATCTCATGGGAAGGGTGTTAATAGAGCAGGACCTTGAAGTGTCCTGGTACAATTTCAAAAGGTAGAGAAATGGGAGAGAAGGACATTTCAGGTAGAGGGGAGTGATGAGCAAAGGTGAAAACAGTGTTATCCCTTGCAGCTGTAGGGTAAGAATTCATGGGAACCCAAGGGTGGTGCATGGCTACTTCATCCTCTGGCCATTGGAGAGCCACAGAATGTTTTGAGCAAGGGAATATGTGTTAATCAGTTCAACTGGTAGTCAAATACAAAAATTAAATGTTGTATGATTGGAAGATTTCTGTGTGTACACTGTGGGAAGGAGGGATGATAGGAAACAGGAAAAATTACCATAAAAATTTGAGATAATGTAGATGACCTGTGAATACAGATTTAGAGTGTCTGCAAACAGGCATTGTGATGGCTCATGCAAATTCAGTCTCTTAAGCTGAATTTGCCTGTGTGGCAGTGTATTGCTTATCTTATGTATTAGTCACTTAGGGGATGTTTTTCATATATTTTCCAGAAGACTGTGAATGGGGAATAAGCAAAGTGGCGGTAAATAAAAAAATGATTATTTGTTGACATAAATTTGTATGTATGTGATTTATATATGAATTTTGCCTGGGAAATAATGATCAGCCTCATGAGGCACAACAAGCCCAGCCTCTTTAGAGAGGCGTTGTGTTTGTACTAGCAGTTCTTTTACCTTATAAACATACATATACACAAACATAGTGTAAAACTCCACCCTAATTAGGTTTTCAGCTCAGTCTTTCTCTGGGCCAGTGTCTTCTTTAATTTTGTTTTGTGTGTGTGTCATTAAGGAATGATACCAATAATAGGGTGTCAAAAAGGAAAGACTTTGGCCTAAACATGGCTCAGAAAAAGGACTGCCTGGCCTTCTTCATGCACACCTGCCAATGCATCATACTTCTGACTTGTAATTCCTGTTTTTCTAGTCTTTGATCGCGTGGGGCAAAATAACATTCCAGCTTGTTTGTTACTTTGAGTTCTGCATCATTTGTTCCTTGATTAAGGGCCTGGAAGCCCCACTTGTTTGTGGCATCCAGAGGTCTTATTTTCCTGGGTGTGTGTAGCTAGGTGTAGATAGATCTTTATATTAGATGACTGCCTTTTCTGACCCACAGATAAGACACCTTTGTCTGACAGATGCTAGGGGTCAGAAGGACAGGATGTGGGAGTTTGGTTTCTTTTGTAAAATGTGCAGTGTGTGGTCTCCGCAGGTGCTGGATTTCTCTTCGCGGCTAAGAACTTCCCAGTCTGGGGAAAATACCCATGTTGTAGGAAGCGAGATCTGTGGGTCTTGCTGTAGCTAGTTAACTCAGGCTGAGGTTTAGCAAGTCATGGACCTCCCACATCCTTTTAACAGTACTGTTTCTCCTCTCTCTCAGATGACTTGTGTGAGACTTAGCCAGGTGTCAATGGATGTGAAGGGGGTTTGGAGGAAACAAGGGCAAGACAACATTCTGGCTGGACAGGGAGCCAGCTGGAGGGGTGGGGCCACATGAATGGGACACACCCTTGAGGGAAGTGGTTCTAAACCTCAGCAGTGTCAGAGTGTCCTGGAGGGACTGGTAAAACACTTGAGTTGAGTCCGTCGCAGTGGCTAATGCCTGTAATCCCAACACTTTGGGAGGCTGAGGTGGGAGGATTGCTTGAGGTTAGGAGTTCAAAACCAGCCTGGTTAGAATACTGAGACTCAGTCTCCACAAAAACAAACAAATTAATTATTTAATAAAACAGATTGCTGGGCCCCACCCCCACAGTTTCTGATTTAGTGGGTTTCTGATTTAATGGGACCTGAGATTCTACAATTCTAATAAGTTATTAGGAGATACTGACTCTGGTTCATGGACCCCTTAGCAAATCCAAGCATTGGTTCAGCAGGCAGAAGACCAAGTCTTAACCAGCCTGGAGTCCATTCTGATTCCGAGAAGAACCAGAGAATTCTGGTTATCATTAGATTGTCATAACCCCCTTATTTTATATAACACTTCCACATTTGTAAATCACTTTAATATATGTTTCTTCTCACAACAAAATAACCCTGTGAGGTAGGCAGGGGATTTATTAACCTTGTTGGACGACTAAGGAAAATAAGATTGAAGACAGATGACTGACTTACCCTAGGGGCAAAAATAGTTGAGCTCATACTTATATCTAGATTTTCTTACTGTAGATTTATTGCTCCTTCTACATTGTCTTTTTTCCTTGGAAAATACTACATTTTATTCAAATGATTTTGAGACAAAACAAAATTAGGGAGATGTAGAATCCTTTCGCTCATGCATTAACAGTAAATATTTTTTGAAGACATAATACAGAGCACATACTTATTGTTGAATAAATGAATGAATGGTTTCCATAACTTCCCTAACTACTTCTGAACTCATGCACTTTAGTGGCCCAGTAGTCTCAATTACAAATAATAAGAAAAGCACAATAATTAATTAATACAACATGCCTATTAAAAATACTTCCCAAAACATTGCCTTTAAAGCTAGTAAAAAGCTTAGAGATCATCTGCTTAGGTATTGCTCAATGTTTGTCCAACTTTACTTATTTTAATCACAGCCCCCAACACAAAACAACTTTTAAGTTTAGAATAGTTTTAGAGGTAGAGAAAAGATGTGAAGATAGTACAAAAAATTCCCATATGCCCCAAGTGGTTTTCCCATTGTCAATATCTTACCTTAGTATACTTTTGTCACAATTAATAGACCAGTACTGTTGCAGTATTAATAACTAAAATCTATACTTCATTCAGATTTCCTTAGCTTTTCCTTAGTGTCCTTTTGCCGTTCCAGGACTCCATGTGGGGTTCTACATTATCTTGGTTGCCATGTCTCCTTAGATTCCTCTTGGCTGTAATAGTTTCTCAGGCTTTCCTTGTGTTTGATGACCTCGAGAGCTTTGAGGAGTAGTGGTAAAGTATTTTGTAGAGTATGTCTCCACTGGGATTTGTCTGATGATTTTCTTGTATTGGACTGGGGTTATGGGTTTTGGGGAAGAAGATTACAGAGGTAAAATGCCATTCTCATTACATCATATCAAGAGTATATGTTAGCAGCATGATTTATAGTTTTGGTTATGTTGACCTTGCTCATCTGGTTGAGGTAGTGTTTGTCAGGCTTCTCTACCATATGGTTATTTTTTCTTCGCCTTTCCATACTATACTCTTTGGAAGTAAGTTATTATGCACAGCTCATACTTAAGGAGTGGGGAGTTACACTGCACTTCCTTGAGGGTGGTGTAGCTACATAAATTATTTGACATTCTTCTGTGAGTCGGATTTGTTTCTTCTTCTCCATTTGTTTATTCAATCAGTTTTTTTTAATCAGTGTGGATCCATTGATATTTATTATATACTTTGGATTATAATTTAGTAGTACTTTATTTTGTTTCTGAAGTTCGTCCAGCTTTAGCTATTAGGAGTGCTTTCGGTTGGCTCCTGTATCCCTTTGATGTAAGTCCATCCTTGTGGATTTTTTTTTAGCATGTCCTTTCTTTTCGGCACTACAAGGTACTCAGGCTAATCTTGTATAGTCCTTGTCCCTCCTCTAGAATCATTTTTTTGCATGGGTGATATTGGTCTTGATCCACTAAATTGATTTCATCACCCACTACATGGTTTACTACCCACGGTGAAAAACACTAATCTGTTTCCACTCCTCACATGTTAAAGATAAGAAAATAGACACCTCAAAAGGTGAAATGGTTTATCTAAGGTTACGCCTCTTTGGTAGCAAATCCCAGGCTAGGCCCAGGTCCTCTGAACTTGTAGTCCTGCCCCTTTTTTACCACTCCATGCTATGCTGGCAGATTCCACCACTCAGAGTCTGGTTCAGTGTACTCCCATCTCACCCAGGGTCCTTGTGCATAGGCAGTCAGATGCGCACTCAGCCAGATGTGCTACTGTCTGCCCTGGGCAGATGTCAGCAAAAAAGGGAAAGTGGGTTGGCCGGATTCTTGGTGGAGGCTGCCATGGTGAGTCTGTGTTGCCTGGTTGGAATGGTGTTTTGTCATGGTGAACCAATTACAGACCCACAGAGTGGCACTGCTGACATCAGCATTTTGCAGCTGTGGTTTGACCACATGACTGGCCTCTGTGTTCTGGGGAAGTTGGCAGAAGAGTGGCTTTTAGACTCCAACACCCCCTTCTTTGGTTTCTGTTCCTTTCCATGGGGGAGGATGAATTCAAGAAAGAAGTGAATTCAAGCAGCAAACCCCTCAGATTTCACTTTATCCTGTGAGCTCCTGACATCCACAAAAATAGAACTGAGCAGACAGGTTTTTAGTGCTCTAAAGGCCCAATCAACCTGGTATTAGGATCGGGTGTGAAAAATCAGTTATGCCAAGAAGCTTATTTTCCTTTGTAAGCGGAAATAATTCAGTCATCAAAAAGTTCTGAAGATGCAGGGAATAATAAGGGACAACCTTATTTCATATTCATGTCTCAGAATGTTACATTTCAAAAATATTTAAAAACTTTTTATTATAATTGAGGGTGGGCACTCTGGCTGAAGAATTATTCCTATAAAGGGTTTTAAAAGAATTCAACAATGGTGCTGTATTAGGGCATTTGTTTGCAAGTGACAGAAACTCATCCAGCATAAGGACAGTGTAAAAGAAAATTTATTGGCTTATGTTGCTAAAACGTCCAAAAGTAGTGCTAGCTTCAGGCACGGCTGGACCTAGGGGCAAGTCATGCCATTAAAGACCTGTTTCTTGCCATGTCTTAGCCTGTTTTCACATGACTTCATTCTCAAGCAGGCTTTCTCTGTGTGTCTCTTAGCTACAGGCTTGTTTCCTATATGCCTAGCAAATATTAGTTCTACAGATGATTCTTGGCTCTGGTTGTTCCCACCTGGGTCGTGTGCCTAATCCTGAACCAGCTACTGGGGCCAGAGTTGTCAGGGCTGTTACTGGCCAGGCATGGGCCAAGCGTCTCCTCTGCTCTCCTCCTCTCTCCTCCTCTCTCCTCCTCTCTCCTCCTCTCTCCTCCTCTCTCCTCTCCCCTCCCCTCCCCTCCCTTCTGCCCTCCCCTCCCCCCTCCCCTCTCCTCTCCTTTCTTTTTCTTTTTCTTTCTTTGCTGTCTTTCTTATCTTTCTTGTCTTTCTGTCTTTCTTTCTTTATTTCTGATAGAGTTTCACTCTCGTCGCCCAGGCTGGAGTGTAATGGCATGATCTTGGCTCACTGCAACCTCCGCCTCCCAGGTTCAAGCGATTCTCCTGCCTCAGCCTCCCGAGTAGCTGGGATTACAGGCATGCCCCACCATGCCTGGCTAATTTTTGTATTATTAGTAGAGATGGTGTTTCACCATGTTGGCCAGGCTGGTCTCGAACTCCTGACCTCAAGTGATCCACCCACCTCAGCCTCCCAAAATGCTGGAATTACAGGTGTGAGCCACTGAATGTCTCTTTATTAAACAACAGGAAGGTTGATGTGCTGGTACCAAAATGGGGAGTTGGTTGGGCAGACAAAAATAATGTATGTCTGTCCTTTATGATGTTGTGAACACTGAGGATAAATGCTTGATGAATGAGTAAATGGCCAGCTCGATGCTATCCATGCATTTGTTTATTTAGTCCTTTACCAAGTTATACTCATTTATTGTATGGACTTTTGAGCCCTTCTAGAGAGATCTCCTTGTTTAATGCACTATGCTGACTGCCAGTCCTTGGTGCGCCCTGTCTTAGTGTGTTCAGACTGCTATAATAAAATGCCAGAAATGGGGAAGTTTATGAACAATAGAAATTTGTATCATTCAGTTCTGGAGGCTGGGAAGTCCAATATCAAGGCACCAGCAGATCTGGTGTCTGGTGAGGGCCTGCATTATCATAGAGGGCACCTTCTAGCTGTGTCCTCTAAATGGTGGATGGGGCATGGCAGCTCTCTGGGAGCTTTTTTGTGGGAGCGCTAATGCCATACAGGAGGGCTCCATTCTTAAATCACCTCTCAAAGGCCCCATCTCTGAATACCATCACCTTGGGGGTGAGAATCTCAACATATGGTTTTTGTGGGGTACATAAACATTCAGACCATAGCAGGACCTCAGCAGATGCTTCTTCTTGTTAATTTCAAGGTTAATTTCAACTAGATGTGGCTAGATCATGGTGAGCCTCTCTCCCCTGATCCTAGTCAGATACTGGTCTAATACTAACCAGGTCAGTATTAGACAGTTTATGATTGGTTTTGGCTGAATGGTCAGCCAAAAGACCATCTTTATTAAAGACATAGATGTCCTTAATAAATCTGCTTTGCTGTTGTGGGGAAAGAAGGTATCTTCCTTTTTCCCTTCATGCCATTCTTAGCTTACATTGTTAGTGGTTAATTCTAATCCTTCCTTTTGTAAGGGGGAGAAGAATTTTTTTTAAAAAAATCATTACATGAACAAAGAATTGTTCCAGGTTTAAAAAAATTATTTCGAAGTTTAATTATTCATATCCCTTGCTGGTTTTCCTTGTTGCTACCTGCCTTTTGCAAATTTCACTGCTTATTAGAACCACTTCCCGAAGGTGGGCAAGGTAAGATCGAGGGGTGTAATTAAAACCTTGATAGCATCCTATCTTTTTTCTTATTTCTTTTTGGAGGGACTATGTACTTGGTGATACTTCTGTGCAAAACCAGTTTTGTACATTGACCAAGATGAACTGTGATGGATTATCTATGAAATTCAGTTAATTATCTTTTTGTGTTTCCTTTTACAACAGGAAGTTTAAAGTTGGCTGTGAAGTCACCCCTGGTGACTGGTGGTCACCTAGACTTCACATCTTTTTATTTTTCTTTCCTTTTGAGTTTTGTTGGGATCAAATTAAAAATGAATGAATGCCAGGTTCAGAAGAGGGTAAGTGTTTGGGCCTGTTCATCTGTCTCGGAGTGCCTGTTCTATATTTCACAGCCCAATGGAAAAGATTTTTAAAAATCTGCCTCCATTAGCACAGATAATTGAGTTTTCGATATATTGATTTTGTGTTGTCCAGCTTCCACATTTATTTCTGCTCTGCTTGACTAGCTTAGCACCATCAATTTATTTTCCTATTTTTAATCTCCAAAGTATTTGTACGTGGGTTGTGGTCAAGATTCATAAAAACCATTTTGATTAGGTTTCTCATTCATTTATATACCACACTAGCGGGGCATGCCTTTGTATTATGAGAATATTTTTAGAAGACTAATGAGGTGGAAGGATCTGTGTTTCATTTCTCTTAGTTTCCCTCTATTCAGACACCTGCAGTTGCCATTGATTACTCCTCCTGTGGTACTCTCACACTCTCTTTGTCTGTTGTGCAGTGTTATAAAATAATATTGGGAGGGAAGCTGGGTGCTGAGGCATATATCTGCATTGGAATAAATAATTGGTTTTTTTCTTAGTAGTTCAACAGAAGGTTCATTTAAGAGTAATAGCTATTTTGGTACCATTTAAGGAAATTCTTTTCTTTTATCTTTCTCTGCAATCTTTGCCTACTCTCAGTAGCTGATCTCTGTTGGTCACCTCACTTTATTCTTAATCAAAAAATTTGAATACCATTTGTGACTCATGCATTGTTTCGGAAATAGAAAATTCTTTTTTGTTCAAGTTCGGTTTTCAGTGGTAGGCTCTTTGGTCAAACCAGTCCAGGTCAGCTGGGTTTTACAAGTGGCCGATAAGCATGTCAGCATTTAGAAAAACATTTATTCCTGAATGGCATTTTAAAAGGAATATATTTTCTTTTGGAAGTTTCACCTATTGATTTATTTTAGGAACATTTTTGTTAAAGTATAATATGCCTGCAGAAAAGTATACAAAGCATCAACATATAATCTAATGAGTTTTCAGAAGATAAATAACCTGTGTAACCAGCGTCCAGAACAAGAAACAGGTGATTACCAGCTCTTCCGAAGTCGCTATCCCTACCCGCAATGGGTAATTTCCATCCTGATTTGTAACACCATCAGATTAGCTTTGCTTGTTTTTGTAACTTATGTAAATTGACTCATGTTAACGCTTTAGGTCTGTGAGAGTCACTCATATTTTGATGTGTGGTTTTTAGTTTGTTTATTCCTATTGCTGTTAGAATCGCATTGTGTTAATATGCCAAAATTTATTTATCCATTCTACTATTGATAAACATTTGTTTTTTTTTCTGTTTGGGGTTTTTATGATTAGTGCTGCTGTGAATATTCTCGTACATAACTTTTGGTGAACAAATGTGTGCGTTTTTATTGAGTATATACCAAGGAGTAGAATTGCTGGGTCACAGAGTTAACATATGTTTAGCTTCAGTTGATTCCCCCAAACAGTTTTCCAAAATGGTTGTGCCCATTTACGTTTCTTCCAGCAGTTTATGATAGTTCTAGTTGCTCTACATCTGTACTTGTTCTTTTCTTTTTTATTTTAGCCATTCTAGTGAATGTTTAAAACTTACAATTCATGGATTATAGAAAAGAAGTCTGTAATCCCCTTAATACTTTGATCTTAGTTAGGTCCTTTAGTCATTCAAGTCCCAGCCAGAATTTCAGTGTTAAAACAAACATTAAACAAAAAACTTAGAGAAAAGATGATCAGCATTTAAGTGGTGATATGGATGTCTAGGCCAAAGAACAAGTCTGCAGATCTTCACTTTATTTTATTATCCCCATCACTAGATTTACAATATTGGTTTGGAAGTTGAAAACCACATATGCAGTTAGAAATGCAGTCTTTTTAATTCAGTCTTCCATGCCACATTAATTGAGTGAATGTGCTGAATATCACAGGGAATGCTAAGATGAAGAATATAATCTGGACCTTCAAGAAGTTCATATGTGTACATGGCAGAGTGAAGTGATACTGTTATGAAGTGTTAAAAATGCTCCCTAGGCACTCTTGAGGAAGGAGTGATTAAGTCCTATGAGAGGAGTACAGGAACACTTCATAAACATTGAAATGCCTTTGAACTTGACTGTCAAGAAATTTTGTAAGTGAAGTTGGAAGTAATGGGCATTTCCCAAAATGTAGCCCATTTGGAGAATAGCAAATGGCTCAGAGTAGTTGGATCATAGAATGTGCAGAGTAATACAAAGGAAGAAAGTTAAAGGGCATGAAATAGATTTTCTTAATATTCAAAGAGAGACTATCAATCAAAAAAAGCCAAAAAACCTCATTAGAAAAAGCAATTAAAACACATGGAGATAGCATTTTTTACTATCCTATTGACTGAGATTTAACAACAGTGTTTAATAAGAGATTTATATTGATCAGCATGTGGAGAAATGGTCTTCATTTATGGCTGGCAGGAGAGTAAATTGCTCTAAACCTCTATGGAGGACAATCTGGCAATCTTTTTAAAAATTGAAAACGTGCATACTTTTTGACCCAACAATTCTCCTTTTAGAAGTGTACCTTACAAAAATGCTTATATGTGAGCAAAAGATTATGACAGTAAAAGACTGGAAATAACCTAAATGTGGGAGAATGTTAAGTAAATAATGGCTTATATAGAGAATGGGGGAGCTTCCTCCTTATTGATATGGAACAGTCTCTAAAATTTATTGTTAAATGGAAAAAAGAATGTGTAAAACAGTGTATGATGGCATTTATGCAAAAACTGGGAAATGAACATGTTTCTGATAAAACAAGTACAGAATTGATTATATTAATTGCTTCCTGAGAGAACAAGATCATGGAGGACTTGAATTCTAGTCTGTTTTTTAGGTTTTATTGAATTCATCTGAGTGCCCTCCCTCCTTTTTGGTTGCTGTTCTCACAGTAACCAAGTGAGGAAGCAGTTTTTATTTGTGTTTTACAGATGAGAAAGTTGAGACTCAGGAATTTAAGCAAAATAATTCAGTGGTTGATATTAGAGAACATTAAGTGTATTATTTAAGAAATAACTTACATTTACTATATTTTGTTAGTAAAAGGACAAAAAGCAAAACAAGTTGAAGCGTAGTGATTGGAGACATGTTTATTATCAATTTTATCTGGATCCTTACCTGAGTACCCTATTACCACCATGATCAAATTTCAGCTGTTCAACCTAGATTAAAGCTTGGTTTCATACTCTCTATCCCTAGGTGGAAACGTTGGAATTCATTACGAAAGAAGTAATTGAGGGCTTGATAAGTTTTTGCTTAATGCAACCTGAAGATTTGTTTGTTTGGGGCATTTGGAACTGTAATCCTGTTTTTTGTTTTTTGCTTTTTTAATTGACCGGAAGGCAGGCATTGGATTTGATGGTGAGGTTTTTTTTTTTTTGTCTGTTCTGCCATGTCTCTGCAAAGTGTAGATTAATGTGACTTTAATAGTATTGGCCCCCTTCTTTTAGAGTATTAAATTCCTCTCTTATTGGAAGCAATGGGCCTATTCAAGTACAGAGACTGAAACTTTCAAGAGTGGCTTAAACAGCAGTTCTACCTACTTAGTCTTATACCTGCATAGCACCAGGCAAGGCAGATAGCATGACTTATTCTAGTTATACTGATGAGCAGACAGAACTCATGCTTGTAAAGGGATGTGCCCAAAATCTTACCACTTTAATTGATGGAACAGACAATGAATAAAAAAACTAGAAATTCAGTAGAACAAAGAGAACACATTTTAAAAAGGAATTTCAACAGACTAAAAGAACTCCATGAGAAGAAATTAATAATGGTTGAAGGGTGAAAGAGTTAAAAAAGGATAAAACCTGAATTTTCTTATAAAGAAACAAAACAGTATATCTCCATTGAAAAATAAAATTTTATTAAGGTAACACAAGTATCTAAAAGACAGATGGGAAAAACCTCAAAATGCAGAAAAAGGCCTGTTTTACAAGGAAGAATACAAAGAATCAGAAGTTTGAGGTCTAACAATGAGACTAACTTTATAAACAGAAAATCTTCCTTGATAGATGTATATATGCCTCATGTGCGTAAGACAAAGGAAGATGGCCATTTGATAGTGAAGCTATGAACATGGTAATTCTACTGCTTTACTCTTCCAGTGTTTTACTCTTCAGTTCTTCGTAACAACAAATACATGGAATGGGCAGGTGGGACATAAAGCCAGAGTAGAGAAAACTAATGCAGGATTGGTTTTTAAAAATTAGCTGTATTCTTTTCTGAGTACCCTTATCCCCTAATGAATAAAACAGTTCTATCCACTGGCATCCTTTGCGCATGTGGAAATATCTCAGAACAGGGAAGGGTTGGTTAACTGGGAGCCAGTTGGCACCTTTGAGGCTGAGTCAGGGGCAGGCTTTGCCCTGGGGCAGGCTTTGCAGTATTTCAGTCACAGAGCAGTTTTATTGAAGCTTTCATGGCTAAGTGGGTTTATGCATGATGGGAATCAGCACTGCGTTCACATCCAGATGTTGACTGTGGGTCACTTTCATCCTGGGAGGAGTCAGTGAGTATTTTCCGTGGAGACTGATCCAGGACCTGATGGAAATGGGCATTTTCATTAGTGATCTAGAATATAAAGTGGAAATTATACTCTTAGGGTTTGCATAATCTCATAGCTACAAATGAGAAACTCATAGGGTTTCCTCAGCAGGACCAAGAACTAGTTTGAGTGAAAAAGATCTGAAAGATCAGTGACTAAACTGCACAGCAGTGGCTGTGCTGAAGAAGCTCAATGATTGTATGTTTTTAAAAAACATTCATTCTGTAGATATTTATTGAATGCCTACTAATGCGTCAAGCCCCCTTGTGGGTCCAGGGGATACAACAACAAACAAAGTCCCTGCCCTCATGGAGTTTGCATTATAAGCAAATAAATATGTATGTCAGGTGATAGTAAGTGCTGTGGAGAACATTAAAGCAGGGATAAGTAGGTTAGAGTGTATAGGGGACAGGGGTGCTGCTGTTTGATTTTACATAGAAATGGCCAAAGGCCTCTCTGATAAGGTGACATTTGAGCAGAAACCTGAAAAAAGAGGGGAAGCACAGACTGCACAAACATCTACTTAGAGAAAACAAGAAGTGCAAAGGCCCTGAGGCCACCCCAGTAGCCTCTCCTCCACAGAACAGCCAGGGAGAATCACTAGAATGGAAGCTCTGTGAGAGCAGGAACAACATGTATCTTGTCTACCACTGTATTCCCAGCACTGGAAAAATTCCCAGCGCATTGTAAGTGCTCAGTATATTTTTGTTGTTGGAATAGATTAATTGCTAAATGACATGGTAGCCCCCAAACTCATTATGGGAAAAGTTTGCTTTCTTCCTTGTTGGTGGGGAATTAACTGGTAAATTAACCTGCTACTGGCTTTCAGCAAATTCATGAATGATTGAACTATAACTTTATTAATTCAAAAATAATTTTTTGGAAGTCTGTTATGTGCCAGACACTGTTCAAATGTTGGTAATATGTATAGTAGTGAACAAAAGAAAATCCCTGCTTTCATGAAACTTGAGATAAGGCTAACTCCGTGGCAGAGTTGACAAATGGTCAGATACTGAGAATCAAGAGGTAACCAAGGCACATTATGGATCTTTGAGGCTGTGATTATGGAGGGCATGATCACATTTCCCTTGCCTGCCCTGTTTGCTCACCCTCTACTCCATCCTTAGATCCATTCCTTTAGTACTGTCAGCATGAACCCTTGGCCAGAAGGACCACTTATCAGACCCCATGGGATACTTTTTATGCTCTTTCCAAAAAACCTTTTCAAAGTGTCTTCCACCTTTATGATTTCTAGGTAATGTGGTTTTGTCATCATATTCCTGCTAAAAATTTCCAGGTTTGAAATTAAAGAGAGGGTCAATGCAAAACGACTTTTTGTTTGTTTAGGGTCCACATCTTTAATTCTTTTCAACGTACTGTTGGAAGAACCTAAGTTTATTTGTAGGAGATGGGGTCAGGAGGATTGCAGACTTGCCTTTTTACATCTTGGCCCCCTCTGTCCCCACACCTTTTTTTTTTCTGATTTGTGTGAGAATTGACCAGGCAGCACTGAGTAACATGGTTGGGATAGAGAGAGTGCTGTTTGTCTAAACACTTTGTTTGCAGCAGAAATGCCAAGGTTAACTGGGTCTCTCGTGGATATGATTATATGAATTGAAGCAGTGTAGATGATTCTTGGCATAAGAGTAGCTATAACAACATTCTTAATTATATAGAACTTTTAAAGCTATTTTGGTCTGATACCTTACCTTGGGACTGAAAGATTTTGACATCCTTATGGAGAAAGGATTAAAAAGTAAGCCTCTCTTGGTGCAGAGAATAAATAACTTCACGTCTAAAAATACCTTAATATGCAAAAAGAAAAAAAATTAATCCAAAGTGTTTGGACAGACTTTTCAGCACAGCCAGATGATTCCTGGTGCTCAGGAGAGTACTTTGGCTTGAGTGATTCTGTGTTTGGACATTATTGCTACTTTGTTTGCCTGCATGAAAAAGATAGTTTTGGGAGAAAGTAGAAGAGTGGAATATCATGAAAGAGGAAGGAAGGTCTTGGATGAAGAGCTTCACAGGGCCTGTTTGGAGCTGCCACTTCCAGTGTACCCAGACCCCTTTCTCTCAGTTTGTTCTAAGGTTCATCTGGTGATTGAGAAAGTGTTCCAGACTGTTGATCATCATTGTGATGATTACCATAAGGATTATTTTCTTCATGAGCTGTTTTGTCTCACATTTTGTAGCAAAAGCTATTCCTGGGATACATGCTGCCTGCTTCTAGTTCATGCCGTTGAACATTTAATGGAGAGTCAGGCATTGACCATTTATTAAATGGAGCTCCAGTTGTGCCTTGATCTAAGTGACTTGGAGTTCTATTTTCATTCATTTGTTCAGCGTTTACTGGGCACCTACTGTACCAGGATCTGAAATAGGTAGTGGATACAAATCTGCAGCTTCTGTTTAGAGTAAGCTTCCTTCCCTGTCTGAACTGTTTGATCACTGATACAATCTGACTGCTTCCTAATGTGCCTAATTCTTTTTCTGATGATCTATTTAGTTTTCATACTGAGAGTAATAATGAATGTTCAATTAATAAACTTTTATTTAAGATGATTATTCAAGTCTGATTACAATTCAGCAGATACGTAATACTTTTTTTTTTAACACAATACTTTAATAAGACACATTTAAACTCAACTTCTGAGCAGCCTTTCTGGCAGGGATAGGAAATTAGAACCTGCTGGTATAATTTTTTTTGAAAGAAACCCCAGGGAAGAGTTGCTTGGTTAGGAAAGATGGGGCTTACTCCTTGGCAGAGCTGACAAATGATGGCATATTGAGAATTGAACTATAGATGGGTTGCCAGAATAATTAAAGTGATGAAGCAAAACTACTTAAGTGAAGGCTTTAATCTTTTAAGATAGTATTATTAGCAAAAGCCCAGAGTATGTATTTATTTACCTTTTAGAGACGGGGTCTCACTCTGTCGTCCAGGCTGGAGCACAGTGGTGTGATCATGGCTCACTGCAACCTTGAAATCCTAGGCTCAAGTGACCCTCCTATCCTAGTCTCTCAAGTAGGTGGGACTACAAGCATGCACCACCATGCCTGGCTAATTTTTAGATTTTTTTGTAGAGACAGTGTCTTGCTGTGTTGCCCAGGCTGGTCTTGAACTCCTGGGCTCCAGGGATCCTACCACCTCTGCCCCCTAAAGTGCTGAGATTACAGGCATTGGCCATCCCAGAGTTATTTTAAATGAGATTGGGGAGGGGAAGCGGGGTTGATAGGGAATTGGGTAGGGAAATATTTTAAATCTGGGAACCTTGATGGTACTCTTGTTTATAGATTCAGCTGATGGTTTGCATATTGGTAGGGCAGGCCTAGAATCCTGGAAATAACCTTACCATAATCTCTATAGAGTTGATGTAATGCACAGTTAAGAATGTTGCAGGATTTTGCATGTGAATATACATATGCCTGGCATGAACCGTATTGAGATACATGATAAATTTGAGTACCTAGTCTCCAAAGGTGGCTCATATGAGCATCTTTCCATATTTATAGAGCAACATCTAAAATTTCATCCAATTTCAGGATATTCTTTAAGGGTATTACAAATAATATTTTAGACATGTTAGATTAGACCATACCTTCTGAGGTTTCTGAGGTTTCGGTTTGCTACAGGGCATTGTATTGAATGTCAGGAGACCTAGATAACCGGTATATGATTAGTGATTACATGACATTGGGCAAAACTTGAGCCTTGTGGGCCTCAGTTTCTCTGTCCTTAAAATAAAAAGTTGGACTATTTATGTTGTGCTTAGCTTCTTAATTTTTTTTCTTAATTCTGTTTAGATTACAGATCCTAACCCACATGAAATATCAGCCTATTGAGCAGAATTTTGTGCATCATTTCAGTGTCTGGGTAGTTCAAGTGCCTCCTGCCTATTGCATTCCAAGACTAAGACTTTACTCAAAGTCTGAGCTCCTTTTTTGAAGCTTGAAAGAATGGCCGGTGGGGAGGCCCCTCTACATTCATTCGTGTTCTTCCTTTTAGTTATTAGATGTTATAATCCAGTTAATAATATCCCCAAGAAGTGTTGCTGTCAACAGTACTAGAGCTCTCTACAGTCTCATTCATGTTGGAATAAAATGATTCCTTTTTATGTTTTAAAAAAAAGAAAACATTTGAGGTCTCACTGGAAGTGTTTATTCATTTGAGCTGAAAGATGTACCGTGGGTGTTGTGATTTTGGAGAGCTTCTGCAGCAGGTTTATGTCTAGAATGTTTTGTCCCTGTTTGTGTTTGTTTAGACTGAAATTAATAGTTTTTCTTGCAAGCTATGAGGATCATTAATACAGGTTTCTCCCCCGTGGTGTGTTTGTCAGCCCTTACATGGAAGAACAAAATGAAAGAATATTTCTTGTTTTAAGCTCAAAGCTTACGTCTTTACCATTAAATTGGGGAACTTGGGGGAAGAAAATCCTGTGTGTGTGGGTAGGGGGAAGGGATTTGTGTATATGCACAATAATTAAGTTTAAGTCATAAATACTAATAGTCTTCTGGCTTTTGTAAACCAGATTTCTTTCCTGGATCTAAAAGTGTTTTTATTTTTTGTGCCCACATCTGTAGTCATGGATTTGATGTATATATTTAATAACATTCAGTGATTTATTTTTCGGTTCACCTTTTTCATTTTTCCCCTTTCTTTTTACCAGAAGGAATATGAAGTTACATATAAATTCTGCATAATTGAAAAAGTGATTTTGATTTACTTTTTACTTGAGCAAGGAGTTGCTTTTACTTAAAGGCATTTTTATTTTTAAGAAATTTGAAAAAACCCCACTTAAGGATCCACTTACATTAGGCCACTAGCAAATATTTTTAGATAAGATTTTGATTGATTTCTTTCAGTCTGATTCCATAATCTCAAATTTCTTCGTTTCTTTTCTCCTACTTTCCATCCTCTTGATGCTACAATCAATAATTTGATTTGGGAGATTCTTTCTTTTTGTTGGGGCTGGTGGTGGGGAGGGAGATCGTTGTTTTGAATATTAAATGATCATTTAATGGGGCTTTGACACAATATCATATAAATGCAACTTTAATCCATTCATTCAGATTTAAGGCTTAGCTTTATATAAAATATGAAGCTTAATTTTTTTTTTCAACTCAAGTTCAGTCTCCTCTGATTTTGTAACAGACTTCTAACTGTTGAGCATTGACTTTAAACAGTCCTCTGTGGTGACTTGAGTTCCAAATTACATAACCACTTTAATTCTGCACTAATTTGTTCTGAATGACCCTCTTTCTTTCATTTCACCCTTAACATCTTTGGCTAAGAAATTTTACATGTTTTTGTTTTGTTTTGTTTTGTTTTTTGAGACGGAGTCTCACTCTGTTGCCCAGGCTGGAGTGCAGTGGCACGATCTCCGCTCACTGCAAGCTTCGCCTCTTGGGTTCGTGCCATTCTCCTGCCTCAGCCGCCCAAGTAGCTGGGACTACAGGCACCCGCCACCGCGCCTGGCTAATTTTTTGTATTTTTAGTAGAGACGGGGTTTCACCATGTTAGCCAGGATGGTTTCGATCTCCTGACCTCGTGATCCGCCCGCCTCGGCCTCCCAAAGTGCTGGGATTACAGGCGTGAGCCACCGCGCCCGGCCTACATGTTTTGTGTATTGAACTAAATAGTTTCTGTTTTTCCCTTTTGAGACCTTTGATGAGTTTAACTCTTTCTATATTTCTTGGATTTCAAGTTGTAAGCCCTAGTTATAAGGACTTAAATGAATATTGATACAGGCATTTCGATTCTCTAGAGATCTGCTTTCACCAATATGTGTGTGTGTGTGTTTGTGTGTATTTTTGTATGCACATGTCAACGTGGATGGATATTTGTTCCTGGAGCCTTAATTGCATTACTAATGTTTATTCTGGTAAAGAAAGGCAGTGTGGCAAAATGACATGTTTTCTTAGGAGCTTTTGTGCTGGCACTCCATGCTGTTATGAATACTTTTTATGACCTGGCTTATGAATCTAATCATTTATAATAGCATTTCTGTGGGGAAAACAATGGATTGCAAATTCCAAGCTGTTGACTTATAAACATATTTTTGAAGCATGAAGTATTGATAAATTGGAGACTGTTGAAATAGTCCATAAGGCCTGGGCTTAGTTTGGGGCCCATGAAAGCAGAGCCTGAAGCAAGGAGTTGGGTGCAAATAATTTATTTGGGAGGTGATCTTAGGAAGCAGCGCTGAGGGAGCGGGGAGAGAGGCAGGGAAGGAGAAAGTCAATAATAACAGAGTGTGTTATAGTTAGAGCATTTACACAGCCATCCCTGTACCCCTCTGCTTGAGGTTGTGCACTGGGCCATTTGTACTTCCGCCTTTCTGGGTCACTCTTGCCTTCAGGCTGAGTTGATGCCACCCAGCTTCAAAGAAGGCTCTGGGGACAAAAGAGACACTTATGCTGTCTTTAGTGGGAGCTGTCAGCTTGAGGCCACCCTACTCTGAACTCCCCGCCATGGCAATGGCTGAAATCAGAGGTGGGTGGAGGGAATATGACAAGGGGACATCAAGAGGATCTGCTGCCAACATCCAAAATGGATTGATTATATACAGTTCAGCTAACCTATTTCATTGAATCAAAGACTGTCAATTGTAAGATCCCCCATTAATTTATGTACCACTAAGAAAGAAAATGTCCCACTGAGGAAGGAAAATATGCTGCCAGGTAAACTATGATGGCTGTTAAATGTGAGACACACCCAATGTCAGAGATATTAAAATATGAGAAAGAGTGTGTTCCAGACTTGGTGGAACACAGTATGTGATGAATACTGTGAAGCTATGCTGTAGGTCTGTATGTCATATTATGGAAAGATGTCAGGAATACATTGTTAAATGAAAATGGCAGGTTATACAGTGTGTAAAATGTGGTTCTGTTAACGTGAATAAGCAAATTGATAAATTCTAGGTGAATTTACGCTCAACTACTAATATGAATTCTCCCCAGTGTGGTGAGATTACTCACAATGTTTTCATGGTGAGATACGCCTGGTGTGACACAGTTTACAAAGGAAAAATAAAGAAGTAGAAGTCTAGAGACATCATGATATGCAGACTCTTTTGATAAGTCATTAACATCATAAAAGCCAGATCTAAAACCTCCTCCTGGAAATTGTTTAATTAATTTCTGTTTCTGTTGACTAGGAGCAGTGTTGTTATTACGAACAACTGATTTCCTGTGATGACTCATAATTCAGCCATATACTTTGTATCCACACCTCGGAAGAGCTTGTCCTGAGGGACCTCCATCTACCCTCTCAGTTAAGATACTTCTGATGTCTTTCTTCACTCTTCATGACAGAGGGCTTAGTGAGATTAGCTGGCTTCAGTATTAGCCTAGGTAGACAAATACCAAGTAAAGATGTAGAATTAAGGATCCTGAGATTTTTAATAGATGATTTGGGAATTATTTACTCAAAGAAAAGATGGAGACATCCTCTTCCATAGAATGGATAATAGAATAGGGCTGGAAGAAGGTATTGCATTATCACCCAATCCTATACACCATCTGATTCTGTAATCTACACAACTTTGCTGATGGACATCATTTAGCCTCTGAAAGCTTTTTCAGTGACTCAGTACCATTGCATGAAACCCATTCCAGCTGTGAGCTATCAAATTGTTAGAAGGGTCTTTTTAAAAAAAAAATGAGGTAAATCTGCTTGCTTTGACTTCCACCTGTAAGCCATAGGTCTACCTTCTGAAGTATTAATAGAAAAGTTTAATTCTTTTGTATAGAAGTACTTCAGCTATTTCCTCTGAAGTAGAATAAGTCTGATGTCTTCTGTACAACAATGCTTCAAATATTTGAAAATACTTTTCTGTCTTCTCCTAAGACTTTCTTTTTAGGCTATCATTCCCAGACTTGAAACCACTTGAGAATCTTCTCTCTCTCGCTTTGTCTTCCGTAGCCAAGGGAGACCGTTTCTCTGTGATGTGTCCTTGTTGTTAGCTCCAGCTCAAGGGATTTCTATATAGGTCTGTGAGCTTGCTGTATGGTATATGATAGGTCGTCTTAGTTTGATTTTTTTATTTCTTGAAAAAGATTTAGAAATGAACATTGGATTAAAAAAATCATTCTTAAAGCTTAATCTGTGATATAATCTCTTGCATCTTTGGCACACAGTGAATGGATAGAGCTCTTTGGGGACATTATATTGTTCCCCTGTACAGTGTCAAATTACCAACACCGATCACAGAATCTGGCACATGGGTAGTATGCAATGAGTGTGTGTGTGTGTGTGTGTGTGTGTGTGTGATTTAATTGGATATGTATGTATACATATATACACATGCATATATTACTTGTGTTCAGATTATAGTTTAGTTTGTAGCATATTTCTAATGTTCAAATTTCAATAAATACTGTGCTATCTACTCAGAAATAGTGATTCCTAGATATTTTTGGCAATATTTGGCTTCCTTCTTACCCATATAGATAAGTTGTTGGTATGGTTAGGGATTAAATATTATGCTAAAAATGTTACTTTGAAATTCATTTCTTGATAGGGACTGAGGAAAGGTAGTTTCTGTGAAATAAAAATATGCAGCTTTCAGGGGTAGTCACGTGGGGAGCAAAAGCAGCAGTCAGGAGTGATGCTCTGGAGGCTTCTGGTGCCTGGGTAAAGCCAGGCTGCACACATGCTGTGAGCTGATTCCTTCTGTAGCCATTGAACTCTACCTGGAAGAGCTTTATTCAGAGAATTTCCTAGCTGTCTTTTTTTCTATGTTAATACATTTTTGGCAGGAGGATAGTGAATAGTGACATCCCACACATTTATAGGAACTCAGTTTTGCTTTTATTTTCTAAATCCTTTGTTATGGAATTATAGAAGGCTTTCTTAGAAGGGACCTTAGAATCTTAGAACCTCCATCTGTTGTTTTACTCCTTTCTACAACACCTTGACTTGACCATCATCAAGGATGGGGCACTCCTGACTTTGTTTTTAGACAGCTCTATGCCTTGCTAGAACTCAGCAGTCCAGCCTTCTGTGGTACAGATTGTTTTCTTTGTTGTACAATTTAAAGACATGAAAGCGGCAAGAATAATGAACAATAATGCTTATCCTTTTCGTTTTGAGCACAAGCCAAACAGCAAACCTTTATTGGATTCCTGATGAGTGTTGTGGGAAAGAAAAAGAGTTAAGACAGTTCTTATCCTCACAAAGCAGATGATATAGATGGAGTCAATTTCTCTCTCTCCTCACTCTCCTCTTTCTCTTTCTCCCACACATCCCTGCTACTTCAGCTCATGAATCCAAAGCATATGATAAAAAATGATGTGAGCAGAGGAGGGAGAAATGTTTGCCACATGGAGTGGATAAGATGGACCTGAGCCTGCCCTTCTTAATGGCAGGACTCTGGTGGTGTGGCCTTTTGTTGCTTAGGAGTCCAAAGTCCAAAAGCAGCTTTGTAACCCTCTTGTTAGGCTAATAATTCAGTTAAGCTTAGCGTATTCAACAAAACAAGATACTTGTACTGAGCAAAATAACAGATAATGTCTGTTACTTCCCTCTTAATGTCTCATATCTAAAATATAGTCTTCTACCTAAACACATTTTTTTAACTAATGGAAACTTACCCCTTTAAGCACTGTGGAAGTTTTAAAAACTGACCAGAAGTTCTTTCATTGATAGGTGAGGTCTGTGTACCCTTCTCTTAAATACGAGTTGGTTTGTGTCTGCTCCAACCAATAAAAGTACGGCAAAAATAACGCTATGTGACAACTTAGTAGTCTAGGTTGTAAAAGGCTGTGCAATTTCTGCTTACTTCTCTTGGGACATTAGCTCTGACCATGCTAACTGCCAAGTAGAAGTATGGCTACTCTGAGATTCTATGCTGGAGAAACCATGTGTAGGTGACCCAGCCAGCAGCCCCAGCTGAGCTCCCAGCTGAGCTCCCAGCTGACAGCCGGCATTGACTACCAGCCTTGGGAGGGAGCCACCTAGGACACCTACCCAGCTGAGCCTTCAGATGACTCTAGCCCCACCTAGCTCCAGCCCCACCTGGCATCTGATTGCCATCAAATGAGAGACCCTGAGCCAGAGCTGCCCAGCCCAGCCTTTCCTGAATTCTTCACCATTTAAATTATGAGCCAGATAAAATAGCTGCTATGTTTTGGGGTACTTTGTTACTTAACAATACTAACTGGAACAAGTACTAAGAAATAAAAATGTTTGAAATCAACTGTTTATGCATCACTCTAAAATGTATTCTCCACTGTATTCTTTCTTTGAACAGAGCCTTAACATAATTCGAACCTCTTATGAACGAACAATCAGCATCTTACCTCTTACATTGTGATTAATGTAGTTATGTCCTCAAGCTATAAAATGAGTTGCAAAGGGACTCTAGACTGCTTAGCTTTTCAGGGTCTTACGTGTACTTCTATTTTTTTCCCCTTGCTGCCAGTAATCATTTCACCGTATCAGAGTGTGCCACTTTCAACATGTTCAACCACATTTGGAATCATTGTGTTCAAATTCAGATACTGCCCTTCGTGCAGGATGTTTTCAACAAGTATTTAGTGAGTGCTTACTTTGTGTCTGGCCTTGTTCTAGGTGCTAGATGAGATGTTAAGCTTTAAGATAGCAGTGATTTTTGTCACTGATATATCTCCAATTCCTAGAATAATATCAATACCTGGTGTCACTAAGTCTATGTTGAATGAATAAATATACAGGACACTGTGTTAGGTGGTCAGAGCACATACTCATGATGGATTCTGCCATTAGAAGAGTGAATAGGATGGAGAAAGAACTGGAAACCATGTTGTGGGAGAATGAATGAATTAAATGGAGATGTTTAGCCTGGAAAAAAGAAGGGTTGATTGAAGGAGGGAAGGATTATCATGTGGAAGAGAAATGGTACTAGATTTGAAATGAAGTGTTTTTCTTTTTTATTTGTTCCTTTATTATCAAGTGATAATATTACTTAAGATAATATAGGTGGTAAACTCCACCCAAGACTTGATACTCAAGTAATCAAATTTTGAGTAGGGTTTGCCACCAAAGGACCTGGCAGTGGCGGTTTTGGTTTAAGAATGCTGCTTTCTCAAATACGAGGAAAAATCTAGTCATGGAATCTATCAGGAAAAGAAAATCAGATGTTAACTCCATTGGGCCAGAATTATTGTTTCCTGTTTTCTGGTTTCTAAAATATTTTTTGAGAATGATGTGGTTGTTCATTCATTTAAAATGTCACTATTAAAGCAAATGAGAAGGGCCTTATAGAGGAGTTATGTACTTTGCTAGATAAGAAAAATACAAATACCATATTGTGGTACAAACCTTTGGATAAAATAGCACATACAGAAGAACCTTTGACATTCCTTCTCTTTTGAAAGGGAGAGGATAATTTGGTTTATTGAGATTTTATATTCTTAAACATCACCATGGCATTTTTTTTTTTTTGGAGTCTCGCTCTTTCACCCAAGATGGAGTGCAGTGGCGCAATCTCAGCTCACTGCAACCTCCGCCTCCTGGGTTCAAGTGATTCTCCTGCCTCAGCCTCCTGAGTAGCTGGGATTACAGGTACGTGCCACCATGCCCGGCTAATTTTTTTTGTATTTTTAGTAGAGACGGGGTTTCGCCATGTTGGTTAGGATGGTCTTGAACTCCTGACCTTCCGATCTGCCTGCCTTGGCCTCCCAAAGTGCTGGGATTACAGGCGTGAGCCACCGCGCCCGGCCACCATGGCATTTTTAACACTTGGAGTTTCTTCTTAACATCACCAACTTAGTCCCAGTAATGATCAGGTAAGTTTAAAGCAAATGAGAAAATAGAAGCCTTTGCTCAAAGTCTCACAATAACTTTAGGAGGTGTTACAGCCACTATTGTAACCAGACATCTTATTTTAGAATATGAAGAATCCAGTAATCTCTTCAAGTCAAGATAACTTTTAATCTTTGGTTTCTCCCTAATAAAAATGTTTTCTTAATTTTTTTTTTTTTTTTTTTTTTACTTTAGACTGGAAAATTTTAAATTTCTTCCTTGGTTTTTCTTTGCCGATGAAAGGAAATTATTGACTACTTATAGTCTCCTGTCCATGCCAGGAAGACTGATTAAGTAAAGGATTCTTAATTCAACTATTATTGTCTCTTCCAGTTTGTGTTTAATCTGAAACATAAGTAAATTTCACAAATTGACTTATCTGGTGGAGTACAATGATAAATATCAAGATTCAAAATGGACCAACCGAAGGCATATCTATTTATGATATTTATTCTGGATAATGACATCTTCAGCAGTCCATCCAATTTAGTCATGTCATAGTGAAGATATAGTCAGCACCAGGGAACGTGAAAGCTTTTCTTAGAGTCACATTTCCATTTTAGTAAATTCCACTTGCCTGATCTGTTTCAAAATTGAATCTGTTTCTTAGCATGACTCTAATAGTATATGGGTTTCCTTGGAGATATGTAGAGATACAGAGTTATAGTGTTAACTCTGATCTTATCTAGTTTAACGGAACTCTTCTTAGAAAGGTATGCTGTTATTTCAGTCATTAAAATATCCCACCAAAGCAAATATAGAAACTATGCAGGTAAGATTTGAGGTGATAAACTTCAATTTATGAATGTGGTGCTTGACTGCTTTTTGTATTGGAATGAAATAACTAAATGAACAGACTGAAATGTTTTTTGTCCTTCCTTTAAGCCTTTAAGGTACAAGCACATATGTACAGGCTGCCTCATAGCTTCAGTATTCTTGTCTCATTCACTGTGTCATGATTTGCTGTGGTGTGACCTAGAGTATTGGGGAGTGAGAGGGTCAGATTCGTCAGCATGGATCCAGCCAGTGTACTGGGCATGGCACTGCACCAGGGCAACCATGGAAGGGACATAAATTAGTGAATTCACGAACCCCTGGGCTGCCATAGACAGGACAGACTATAGTAAGGACTTAATGATCTACAGCATAATGTGGGAAAACTTTCTGATGTTCCATTTTACCTGGGCATTTCTTCTAGCCCTGGGTTGGTGTTCTGTTTGGAGCCAGAGAGAGGATGGCCTTTGCAGGTAGGCATTGCCATAGCATCTTACCTTTGCAGAAGAAGCAATAGCACTGCTCAGCTCCTTAATTTCCAGTGTCACACAGTTGTTTGTAATGTAGTTTCTTAATCACCGTTGTGAAATCTGTACAGTGACAGGTTTTGGGCTTTTTGTGGACTTCATTTGATGGCAAAGTTTGCCCTGTCCTGCCATGAGGCTATTCATGATCGTTATCCCACTTAATAGGGATGTTCATACGTGCAAAAATATCAGTGTTTTTGACTGTGAGGTGCTGCTCTAGGCCCTGCTGGAGGTGTTATAAAATATACGACATATGTATTGTATTACCTTAAAAAAGCCATTTTGAATATTCCTAGCCTTGAAGGTTTCAGAAAAGGAACTGAAGGCTTGCACCTAACAGGAAGAAAAATGGCCATCACCATAGAAACACAGAAGCTTTCATACTTTGCATTTGTCCTAATATTTCAGGGACTCTAAATTCTCTATGGTTGAGTAGATGAGACCTGATAGCAGGATTCCCTATTCTGCTGGTGATCAGCGTGGAATGCATGGATTACCATGACAGAGAAGAGGCCCGTGAAGGATCTAAATCCAGGAAACAACAGAAGCAGTGTCTGGAAAGGCACCAGACAGACATGGCTTCAGGCACTCCTGGCTACAAGTGCACTTAGTGCCGTGGTCAGGTGTGGGGGCCCTTAGCTGTATTTAGAACTACCGTTTCATTATATTAGTTGTATAAAAGAATACCTATGTTTAGATTGACTATTTAGTAAATGTGGTTTAGTTCATTCCGTATGGTATGAAATTCATTCTTTTCAAATAGCCCGTTTGTTTTCTTATAAAGTTCTGAGGTTAAAAAAAAAAAAAGCATCTTGAGATATTGTTAAGGGAAGGCTTCTTGAGTCAGCTGGACACAACATACATTTCTGGTGGTGCCCAAAGTACTTGGAGCAGATGGGCAGCAAGCCTCACAGAACAAAGCTTTTTCTTTTCTGTTGCGTTATGTGTTACAAAGAGAGATGTGAGCAAAACACAGCCCTGAGTCCTTAGAATGACACTGAAGTGTGGATACTGGTAACTATACAGCCTGCCTGGCTTGTCTTGCATTTAGGATAAGTGGAGTAAAATGTGAGTGATAAAGGGGGAAAGGAAGGTTGAGTTGGCGCTTAGGAGGCCTTCAATACCACCACTGTATAGTTGTACTTCATTTTATACATCATTTGTTCACAAGTTTTGCATTTAGAATTCCATGCAATGATGTATTACACTTCAGATAACTAAATGTGTTATTTTATGCTAAATCAGAGAGCTCTTCTATTAGGTGTGATTATGGTCAAGTGGGAGAACAGATTGTCATTACTTGATTTTAGTGGTGGGAATACTGTCACCTATCTTACGGGATGCAGGTGCTATAAGAGCTTGAAAGCCAGTGCTCTGGGTGAAGAGGAGTCACTGCAGGTCTTTGCATAGAGAGGAGTATTCAAAGAGATGCTTTAGGAGGATTCATTTGGCAACTGTGTGTGGCATCATTTAGTGGGGAGAGCTCACTACACCTTGGAAAGCTAGGTAGGAGATATTGTAGTCAGGTAGGCGAGAGATGATAATTGCTACCTGAACCTGGCAGGGAGCAGCAGGAGTAGAAAGAGGGGAAATGTTGGGAGTAGAGACTTTAAGAAATATCCTAGATGCATTGGATTCATCTCCACTTTTCTCATTTTATTCCTCCAGGGTTTTTCTAAATTGATAAGAAGTAAGACCCAATTAGGAGGAGTTATCTGATAGTAGACTGGAATTTTTAGGATTTTCCCAGGGTTCAGGGCAACATTTCTTATACATATGTGAAAGGTCATCTACCTGAAACTATTGCTAAGGCAAATAGAATTCTCCTTAAAAGAAAGCAATGTTGGCCGGGTGCGGTGGCTCACGCCTGTAATCCCAGCACTTTGGGAGGCCAAGGCAGGTGGATCACAAGGTCAGGAGATCGAGACAATCCTGGCTAACATGGTGAAACCCCGTCTCTACTAAAAATACAAAAAATTAGCTGGACGCAGTGGCAGGAGCCTGTAGTCCCAGCTACTTGGGAGGCTGGGGCAGGAGAATGGCTTGAACCCGGGAGGCAGAGCTTGCAGTGAGCCGAGATCGCGCCAGTGCACTCCAGCCTGGGCGACAGAGCGAGACTCCGTCACACACACACAAAAAAAAAAAGAAAAAAAAGGAAGAAATGTTAAGAAGAGCGATGTGGGAAGTGTGAGCTTTGGTTTGTAGCTGTCTCCTGTTTGCCTTAGAGTTCCTGGCCTGTTGTTATCCTCTGCTGTGCTTATATTGAGGACTTACCTGACATCTTCATTCACCGTTCCTCATCTCCTTGGTTTTAGGTACCTCCCATACCACCTCAGCCGCCCGCTCCAGTGGCCAAACACTGGTGCTCTCACTTTGAGATGGTTATCTCTGAAATACCCTTTCCTCCATCACGGCCCCTGTCTTTCCCATCTGCTTTCTCTCACTAAACCTTTTCTTCAGACTCATTGTGAATTTATTCCCTGATCTGCACCCTGTTCAGCCTGTCTGGTCTTTACTCTTCCACACTCTTTACTTCTCCCCTGGTGTACCTGGGCTATATAGTCAACCCTTTTGATGATCTGTCATTGGTACCAGTAATTTCTACACCTCCTGATCTTCTATAGGATTCATTTCTTTCTCCAACTGTGTTTCAACACAACAGTCCACTTCTTCTGTCTTTGTACTCAGTTTACCACTCTGCTTATTGGCTTTCTTACAAATTTATGATTTTAATATTAACAGAAGCTTTTGATCTGAAAATATATTTTCAGATCCAAAGTTCAAACCCTTTCCCATTTTTTTTGTAGCAGCTATTTCAAACCTTTATTATGCTCTTCAAGAATATAACTTTCTTTCACAATCTCATTTGCAGCATTTGAACTTGTTTTCATTTCATCTAGAAACAGAAGTCAATAGGAAGAAATTCTCCCAACTTTATTTATTTATGTATTTATTTTTCTTTCTTTCTTTTAGTTCTGGGATACATGTGCAGAACATGCAGGTTTGTTACATAGGTATACATGTGCCATGGTGATTTGCTGCACCTGCCAACCCATCATCTAGGTTTTAAGACCTGCATGCATTAGATATTTGTCCTAATGCTCTCCCTCCTCTTTCCTCCCACCCTCCTAACTTTAGTTATAGCCCCCTGTTACTGATTTTTTCCCCCTTCTCAGTGACTGAACTGGGTCATTCCATTCTAAATCTTCACTGTCTCCCAAGGCCTCTTGATGACATTTTGGCCTGTTAATGTTTGATACTGTTGACTATTAGGGTGATTTTGGCTGCAAGTAATGGAAAACCCAAATAGAAGAAACTACATTTAAAAAGTCTAAAATTAGGGAAGTTCCAGAGTTGCTTAATTCAGTGGGTTGACTGTGTCCTCAAGGACCCAGTTTCTTTAGTCTTTTCTTCCTGCGTGTTTAATTTTTTAAAACATGCAACATGTTAACTTTTTGTTTCCCAAACTTTCCCTAGAGTTCCATTGGCCAGGATTGTTTCAGATGCACTTGCTTAAGCCAATCAATAGCAAGGGGAAATGGGATTTTACCTGATAGGTTTAGAATTGTCAGGATTTACAGCTGGGGTTGGGGAGGAGCCCAAGCTCTCCTCAAGCACATAGCTTCCTAATAGCTGAACAAAATTGGAATTCTTGTCAGCCACAAAGAAGCACAGGAGAATGGCTACTGGGCAGACAATTACCAGTAGCTTACACCTCCTCCATCCTCAGAGACCTTGGTCCTTTGGATTATGGACAGTGTTGTTCTTCCTTCTCTGAATATTCTTGATGTCTTAGTTTTCTTCATTTATCTTTTCTCTTTCTTTCTCTTAAATACTGCATTTCCTGGGATACTTACCTCACCATCTCTTCTTGCTCAGTGCTGATTCCTTGGGCTATCTTAACTGTTCCTATGATTTCATCCAATATCTCTGTGCTAAAAATTCTTTAATCTTTATTTCTACACTGATTCCTACCCCTTGCACTCTGTTTCATTTGTTCTTGTGTTCTGCATCTTAATTAATCACATCATTTACTATGTCAAATAATGTTGCCTCCCATTATATACTTTTTCCTTAATAACAATCTTTTTTTTTTTTCTTTCTTGGCCACATTAGTTTTGCTCTCAAAACACACACACACACACACACACACACACACACACACACACACACACACACACACATCAAAACAAAACCTCATTATTCAGTTTTCCTTGCAGCTAGGTATGGCCGTGTGACTAAGGTCTTGCCTGTGTATGTTATTTAGGAGTATTGTATGGGACTTCCAGGAAGCCTAAAAACAAACAAACAAACAAACAAACAACTTCAGCTGGGAGGTATACCCTTTTGCTCTTCAACTTTTCCTTCTTCTGGCCTTCAAATTTGAGTGATGACTAGAGTTTCAGAAGCCATCTTGGTCCCTAAGGAGACCTTGAAAATTGAAGCTGGGATAGAAGGATCTTTGGTCATTATAACCATGAAGCTGCCATATCAGCTTTGGAATGCCTACCTGTGGATTTTCATGTGGCAATGTAGTAGTTCAGGCTGCTATAACAAATATCATAAACCGGGTAATTTATAAACAATAGAAATGGGTTGCTTACAGTCTGGAGACTGTGAAGTCCACGATCAAGGTGCTGGCAGATTCAGTGTCTGGTGAGGGCTGCCTGCATCATAGATGATGCCTTCTTTGTGTCCTCACGTGGTGGAAGGCAAGACAGCTCTCTGGGCTCTCTTTCATAAGGGTATTAATCCCATGCAAAGGGGGAGCCCTCATGACTTGATCACCGCCCAAAGGCTCCAACTCCTAATACCATCAGGTTGGTGATTAGGTTTCAACATACCAGTTTTGGCGGGACAGAAACTTTCAGCCCATAGCAAATAAGCCCTTGTATATTTAGGCCACCATTTGGAGATAAGGAGGAAGTATCTTATCGGTTGCAGTTAAATGTAGTTCCTAACAGATATTTCTACTTTTGTTACCCAAGCAGAACACTCCATAGTTTTCTTCTCTGTCCTTCACTGTCCACATCCTAATTCATGGATTATACTTTGGAAATACCTTTCGATTCTGGAAGCATAATATAAAACCAGAACAAGAATATCGTTTCTACACTCACAAATTTGTTCAAATTAAATAGTTTGACTACACCAAGTATGGGCAAAGACATGTAAGATGGGAGCTCATGTTTTATTAATGGCAATATCATTTGGAACAACCAGCTTGGAGAATGATTTGGTAATAAGTAATTAGTTAGGTTTAAGGTGTTTCATGTTTTATGCCTGATAGCACCATAAACCTCCAGTTCTATTTCCAGATATGTAAAAGTGTGGCACATGTATTGGGACGTCTCATGTATGCTCTGTTCACTGCTGTATTGTTTGTTAGAGAAAAACATTGGAAGCAACCTAAATGTCCATGAGTAAGATGGATAAATAACTATAATGGACTCAGTAAATTAAATTCTATAAAGCAGAAAGAACTAAAACTATATGTATCCTTATGGGTAAACCTCAAGAATAATGTTGAACATAAAAGTCAAATTGGGGATTATATACAGAATGAGCCCATTCATAATAGTTAAACAATTGAAATAAAAATTTACTGATATGGTTTGGCTGTGTTCCCACCCAAAGCTGCTACAAAACTTGAATTGTAGTTCCCATAATCCCCACGTGTTGTGGGAGGGACCTGGTGGGAGAAAATTGAATTATGGGAGAGGTTCCCTCCATCCTGTTCTCATGATAATAAGTTAGTTCTCACTACATCTGATGGTTTTATAATATAAGGGCCTTTTCCCCCTTTTGCTCGGCATTTCTCCTGCCGCCATGTGAAGAAGGACATGTTTGCTTCCCCTTCTGCCATGATTGTAAGTTTCCTGAGGCTTCCCCAGCCATGCTGAACTGTGAGTCAATTAAACCTCTTTCCTTTATAAATTACCCAGTCTTGGGTATGTCTTTATTAGCAGCACAAGAATGGACTAATACAGTATCCTTTTCTATGACAACTGCTGTTGCTGCCTCTAGTCAGGACCTCATTGTTTTTCACCCGGTATATAGTTTTAAGAGCTCAATAATTTATCTTCCTATTCCATTCTCTCATTCCAACTCACTTTTGATACTGATACCAGTCTAGTCCTCTGTTTAAAAGCCTTTGAGTTTCCTACTGCATATAGGATAATGCAGGCAAACTTTTATCATGTTATTCACGATTGTTTCCAGAATCATATCCCTTCACATCTTCCCTAACTTCTACATACCTGTTCTCCAGCAGGCCCTCAAAGTATTTGTGCCTGCAGGCAGTCTCTGTGACTAGAGTGACTCTTTCCCCTATTTTCATTTTCTCTTTGCCACCTGGCAGAAGCCCAAATAGGAGGTTTCAAGGCCCACAGCTAGGGTCCTTCCTTTCTCAGAGTCATTCTGCTTTCCCACTCCTAGACAGAATTGGCTGTTTACTTCTCCATATACTCCCAGGACTTTATTCTCATTGGTGGTGTTAAGAACTTGGCCCATTGTATTGCATTGCAGTTTTGACCTTGTTAAGAGCAAGATCTTTGTCTTGTGCATGTTGAGGTCTTGGAGAACCTTTGCATAATTTTAGTACATAGTCTGTGGTCATTAAAGGTTATATTGAAAGAACGTATTCATGTTTGTGGATTGTGAGAGGAAAAGTTAGCCCTAAGTAACAGCCTGTATTCACTGTCTCAGCTTCCTTTGAAATATTCGCATATGTTCTTACTTACTCACTCAGCTTCATGGGGAAGAACTTTTCAAGTTTATCTTTTACTGGAACCAGTAACTTAAGGCCCCTTCATTATGAAGTTGATAGAGGTTGTGTTTTAGGGGAGTGATACAAAAGATGGTAGTTTTCAACCAGAAGAAATCTTAAGAATGAATTAAATGGTGATAAAAAAAAAAGATTCCTGGGGAGGGGGGAGGGATAGCTTTAGGAGATATACCTAATGCTAAATGACAAGTTAATGGGTGCAGCACACCAGCATGGCACATGTATACATATGTAACTAACCTGCACATTGTGCACATGTACCCTAAAACTTAAAGTATAATAATAAAAAAAAAAGATTCCTTCTTCGAGAATATACAGAACATACCTTTTTTTTGGTCTTTTTCTCTGCTTTATTAAAGCAACTCATACTCATTGCAAAATAGATGCCAGAATACATAAAATAGAATTTGTAGAAGAAAATTAAATATTGGTGTTCCCCCACCCCACCCCCAGGCACATAGAGACACATGTGAGAATTGAATCATTCTATAAATATTGTTTTGTAACTTTTAAAAAAACCTAATGTGCCATCAATCAATAGAACTTTTCATCATTCTTTTTAGATATAAGCATACTTTATAATCTAAATTGTATAACTGAAGTATATGGCCTAACCACCACCCAGGTCAAGATATAGACCATTTCTAGTAGTGTAAAAAGTTCCCTTGTAGTTTTCTCTGTGGTGATGGACAATTCTGTATCTTGTTTGTGGTGGCGATTACATAAATATATATGAGATAACATTTTATGGAAATATATACAATACATATATACACATACACACAAAGTGAGTACATGTAAAAATTGGTGAGTTTCTGAGTAAGTTCTGTAGCTTACCATAATCTGAGTAAACTGTGTAGCCTAATTGTAGTGTGCCAATATTAATTTCCTGTTTTTGATTGTAGTTATACATAAGATGTTACCATTGGTGGGTGCTGAGTGAAGGGTACACTGGACCACTCTGCAGTATTTTTGCAACTTCTTGTGAATATATATTTCTTCAATTAAAAAGCCTCCCTCATGCCTGTTTTATCATTTTAATGGATGTCTTATAGGTTATTATGTAGTTGTACTACAAATTATTTATCAAATTTTCTATGCATTGAGATGTTTTCCTTTCTTTACTAGTACAAACAACCTTATGATGAGCAACCTTGTACATATTTTTTGAAAGGGGGCTTAAAGGAAAAGCCACTAAAAGTTCTTGTGAGTCATTTTAAATGGCTACATACAATTTTTAAGAAAATGCATTATGTAAAATGAAACAAACCCATGCAGTAGAAATAATTAAGTCCCCCAGAAAGAAGGCATTTCAGCAAAATTATAATTTCTGGCGTTTCCATCTGCCTGTTGCCAAAAGTCCAAGGATGTTGAATCCCAAGCCAAGGAACAGAAGACATAACTGAAAATTGGCCTAATTCAAACCTGTGTCATTATATCACTTCTGAAGGGTGAAATATTTCCAGAAAAGATCCATTCAAAAGTAAGCTGTATGACAAACTCTATTTTACAGCATTTATTTAAAGGATAAAGCCGTCTAAGTAGTTATGCTGAGTTTCCTTGATATGGTTCATCCTGATTTCTAATCCGATTTTGAGAAGATCAGCTTGCATGATAGACTTCTTGAAACCCTAATGTACTTTGTGCTACTCCCTAGTGGTTGGGGGCCAAAAGATAGATATGTTTTTGATAACACATGCAGTATATGAGGGTTGTTTTCCATTTAGGCACAGCAGGTACTCTATTCTCTACCAGTAAATGAAGGTGTTTTGTTTTGTGTTGTTGACACTGTTCATTTCACTTATGTTCTATTCCCGGCTATTATTGTGTCTTTGATCTGAGGAACTCGGTTATCTGTCATTAAAGCTTAAAACTCAGACACAAGAAAGGATTATAATGAAAGGGTTATTGCTTCTGAGACATCCAGCAAAGCAGGCTTACACTTGTCAATAAGATCAGTGTTGAACATGCCATATCTGTGTAATATTTGAATAAAAATTTGTTGAGATGATTGATACTGGTGTTTTTAAAATGAGGCCTGTATTGAAGTGGTGAGATTTAATTTTTCATGTAAAAGACTGCTCCAATATGACCTTATTTTCCATCAGTTACAAGCTTGAACTCTTGGCTCCAGCTGAGAAAATTAACTTCCTATCAGATTCCTATTTTAGAGCTATTACACACATGGTCTATCTGCATTCTTAAACTTTGCTTTTCTAATGTCATCTATAAAGGTATTTATAGACTAAACTGATTTAATGCCAACAAATCTTAGTATTTGTTGTTTTACTCTATTTATGCTAAGTGGCATAGCTCTTGTGTATATATGTTTCGCTGTATATTTGACTGAAATTCCAAACTTTGATAGCAAAAGCAGATAGTAACTTTGGGAATTACCCATTGGTTTGCTTTTCTCATAACTAATTATTTAAATATCAACTTATGATCAGAACTGAGAGCATAGGCAAATACTTGCCTCAACTGGAGTTTAAGATAAATAAATGATAGAAATGCAACATTTCTTTTTTACACAAGCTTAGAGTTTTGCTCAATTACTAGTTTTTCTTGGGAATGGAAGCATAATCGGAAATATTAATGATTTAAGTGTTTTGCATGGTAGGGTGAATCTTGTTTGGGGTTTAGACTAGCTTGAGACTGTTAATAAAGTTTTCTCGATGTTTTTCTGGATTTTTTTTGTTCTCCTGATGTTGGGCATCTTTTTAAATATTCATAAACTTAACATATTGTTATGTCCATGAAATTATTCAGTAACAAATCAGAGTCCATTGAGAGAGAAAATGTTCTAAAGGGTGTATGTTGGCAAGGTTGCTTTTTACCTTCATGGGTTGGTTCTTTTTTTGACTCTAGAGCAGTGTTACTAAATTGTCAAGCTGAAATGCCTCTTATTTGACTGCCTTTTTGGGAGTTTGCAGGTGGTACTCATGATCTTTTCTCCTTTGAACACGTGTAATTGAATGTCCCTGTCCTCTTTATTCCCCATTTTAACCTTGAGCAGCGAACCCCCCTCTCAGCTGGGTCCCAGTTCTGCAGGCGTCTGCGTGCGTGGCCTGTTATTACTCTCTGAATCACTGCTGGCCTTATTAAACTATTTTGGGCAGCAGCCCTTCCATTCTCCTCCTGTGAACCGTGAAGACTGGAGTTGGTGCAGCAGCATCAGGTCCGGTGTGGAATTTGAATATGGAGGAAAGACGGTTCACTGGTTTGTAACATGGCATTCTGCCTTACAGAACAGTGGGGGTCTGTCCCCGGGGACCAGTTGGAGTCTTGAAAGTTTTTGTTTCTTTTAAAAAGTGATCTTAGAAAGATCGTTCCTGAATGCCCAACATTTCAAATGCTTGAATATAAGGCAGTTTGGTCTTTGCCCCTGTCTTAGTCCATTTGGGCTGCTCTAACAAAATAGCATAAACTGGGTGGCTTATAAACATCAGAAATTTACTTCTCGTAGTTCTGGAGGCTGGAAAATGCAAGATCGAAGTACTATTGGATTTGGTGTCTTGGGAGGCTCGTTTTTTGGTTGGTAGACAGTGCCTTTTTGCTGTGTGCTCACAGGGTGGAAGGGACAAGGCAGCTCTGTGGGGAATCTTTAAAAGGGCACTAGTCCCATTCATGAGGGCTCTGCCTTCATGACCTAATCACCTCCCAAAGACCCCACATCCCAATGCCATCAAATTGGTGACTAGGTTTTAATGTATGAATTTCAGGGGGACATCAACATTCTCACCAGAGCACCCCCTTTTCCCTTTCATTTTCTCTAGGATGTTTATGATCCTGGTTTGTGTTGGTGGTGTTCTCTTGCTCTTGCATTCTAACCTATCTCAGACCCCTGGGCGCACAGCTTGAAACTTGACCGGGGAATGCTGCAAGTACACTGGATAAAAAGGTGATCTTCAGTCCGAAATGCCTGCATTCAAATTCCAGTGATGGTGGACAAATATGACCTTGTTAAGCCTCAGTTGCCGAAGCTTTAAAGTGGGACAAATGTGCCCATTCATTTCTTATTAATTAAATAAGACATGGTTTATGGGAACTGGTTTATGGGAAAACTGACCACTGGTTTGAACCAGTCTGTAGGGAAAGCCCTCTGGCCTTTGTTAAGGAGAGATTATCATTCATCTAGTCTACATGTTTTGTTTTACAGATCAGTCACTGAGACCCAAAGGGGTTGTGTTTACGCGATGACACAGCTGTATGTGGGAGAGTGAGGATGAGAGCCCAGGTTTTCTAACTCCTAATGTTTTTCCATTAAGCCTCAGCTTCCCCATATATTGCTGGCTCAGGACCACATTTGAGACAGTATCAGTCTTGTTGATGCAAGTGTTTGTTGTTCATCAGAAAATGCTTTTTCACATGCTGTTTCATACTTCTCTTTATTTCCTTACATCCCCTTCCTTTTTTTTTTCTTTTAGGAAAGACTATATTAGTTGCCTATTACTGCTATAGCAAATTAAGTTGCTTTAAGCTTAAGTTGTTTAAATTTATGACTTAAACTAACACAATTTTATTTTCTTTCAGTTCTGGAGGTCAGAAAACTAAAATCAGGTGTCAACGGGCATTGTTCTTTTGGAGGCTTTTGTGGAGAATTCACTTCCATGCTTTTTCTGTCTTCTAGAGGCTGCTTGCATTCCTTGGCTCATGGCTTCACATCACATCTCCTTTTCTTCCTCTGTTTCCATCATCACATTGCCTTCTACATCTCCTGACGCCCTCTTATAAGGACCCTTGTGGTTAGATCAGACCTCCCAGGACAATCCAGGATAATCTCCCCATCATATCTGAGAAGTCCCTTTTGCCATATAAGGTACATTCAGTGCTTCTGGGGGTTAGAACATGGACATATTTGTGGACCATTATTCTGCCTACCACAGACAGGCACATAACTTATAACCCAGAGTTCCCAAATTATCTCTTTTCACCTATAGTTCTGAATTTTTTTCCAAATTAAATAACACTTTTCAGTCTGCTCACAAACATTTTTGTTAGCCATTCATACTCCTCCCTCTGTGCCCCACAATGAATACCTCCTTTTAGAAAAGACCTATTCTAGAAATGGAAGGAACTGACACCACCCCCTCAAATGACTGTTCAGACTTGTTGGCTTACCTTGATGTTCAGGAAGCAATGGTTGGGAAATGGATGTCTGGGAGCATCTGTCTTCCCACAGCTCACTTTTTGCCTCTGAACACGTACTTCCTGTGAGAATGTTAAATAATTTTTGGAATTAAAAAAGTCATCTTCACATTCTACCATGTATGTATTTGGCATTTGGATTGGAGAGAGGTTTGCCTACTTGTTTTTGGATATAGGTCAAGTTTCAGTGACAAAATCTCATTGATGAATTCATTTAATCAGAAATCCTTCACCTCAACCTAGGTTCTTAAACCCTTAAAGACTCCACAGAAGGCTTTCAGAGAGCCAGACCCTTTGGGACTGTGCAAAACCATATAATCATTTCTGGAAAGACTGGACCATAACTTTCATTAAATTTTTTAAGAGGTTAACCTGGAAAGGTTAATGACCAACTGAATTGATGGCTTTATTCTTCATTTCCCCCTTAGGTAAGAGGCCCTTTGAAGTACACTGCATATGTATTTTTAATATGTGATCTTTTTTTAGCTGCAACTCAGTGTCCCCCATTCCTATTGAAATAGACCTCCCACTGAAACCTGTGTCTTTTTTGCTGTCAGCAATAAAAAGTTTACTTTTTTTTTCTTGGCATATTTTGAGATATCTTTAGAACAAGAGATGGGAAACCTTTGTTAAGTGTAATCTTAATCTTGGATAGGCAGTATAAAATTTGTTTGTTTAGACAGGAATTGACAACAAAAAGTGTTGAGTTTTTCCCATGTATTCCTACAAACACCAGATGTTTTATTTGCACATTTTTTTTATTTTAGTGCATATTTCCTTGGAACTGAAAAAACTAGTTTCCTTCAGTTTTGCCATGCATTTCTGCCTCACCTTTGATCATTAGTTAATTAGAAGAATAAAGCCATCAATTCAGTTGGTCATTAACCTTTCCAGGTTAACCTCTTAAAAAATCATTAGTTACCCTTTCTTCTAACTCCTAAAGTTTTCTCATAAAGAATGTATGATATTTTCCTTCCTTTATCATTAACGATGCCTTCACCTTTACTTTACCCTTACCTTGCTCTATGAGAACCCAGAGAGGTGAAGACTAACTTTGGGGATTTGGTTGGTTTTTTTTACATTGCTAGATATACGAGGCTGAACAATAGTAAAGAGATATTGTATAAGCATACAGCAGATATCAAATGAAATCCAAAGATTTGCCAATTGATTCACTCCACAATTTAAAGCTTAGTGAGCAAAACATACATGACCAAGGATGATTACTTATGCTTTTGGAATCAGAAACGTTTTTTAAAAACAGGTACAATTTGGAATTAAACTCAGATGACTATAAACGGAATGCATTAATGTTCACATCAAAGTTCATGATTTGGCAAATTAGCTTGGAAGCAGCAGGCAAGGAGGGAGCCTTCCATTGAATGGAACTCCTTTCTTGATGAATTCTTATTCCTTAAAAAAAAAGTGTGGTATTTGGGAGAGAATTATAGCATGAAATAGAATATATTAATATACAAATTCTCTTTGAAACCTGTGGGACAGTCTGTAAAAAAAAAAGTGCTAAACTATTATGAAAGTACTGCGATATTTTTGGTAAAACTTATTGATGTTCATTTTTACTTAGTACAAGAATTTAAGCCTCATTTGGCTCAATTAACTATTTTATCAATAGGGAAGAAATGAGGTGGGATAGATGGTCTTTACGGCGTTAGCAACTATTTAATGACAAAGTTGGTGATAAAATTTACGACAACGACCCTGATCCAGCGACCTTTCAGTATACCACATTGCCTGTGTTCCTTAGAAAGAGGAAAAAGTTACACACTGAACGAAACAGATTTCAGACCTTCTAAATTAAACTACAGTGAGGCACACCTGCACACCCATCAGCATGACTAAAATGTAAAAGACTGACAATAGCAAATGTTGGCTAGGATGTGGAGCAACTAGAGCTGTCAGACATGGCTGGTGGGAGTATAAAGAGGTGCAGCTACTTTGGAGAGCAGTTTGGCAATTTCTAAAGCTAAACACGCTTACCCTCTGGCCCGTCGTACTGCTTCTTTGTATTTACCCAAGAGAAAGGCCTGTAATACAAATGTTAATAGCAGCTTGATTGTAACAAGTAAAAACTGGAAACAACTCAAATGTTCATCAGCTGGTGAACAGATAAATTGTGGTGCATTTATACAACAAAATGCTACTCAGCAGCAAAAAAGAAGGGACCACTGATATTAGCAACAACATGGCTGAAACTCAGAAACATCATATTGAGGTGAAGGAGCCATAAAAGAAAAGAGCATATTCTGTATGATTCCATTAATACAAAGTCCTAGAACAGGTAAAACCAGATGGTAGTGATAGAAATCAGAGGCATCAGGGTTAGAGTTGACTGCAAAAGGGCATGAGGGAGCTCTTTGGGTGAGGGAATGTTCTTTGAGGTGTTGATTGAAGCGATGGTTACATAGGCATATACATTTGCTCCAAACTCATCAGTCTGTACACTTAAAAGGGGTGCTGTATTCTCTTACTGCTATACAGAAATACCCTGAGACTGGGTAATTTATAAAGACAAGAGGTGGCCGGGCACGGTGGCTGATGCCTGTAATCCTAGCACTTTGGGAGGCCAAGGTGGGCAGATCACGAGGTCAGGAGATCGAGACCATCCTGGCTAACACGGTGAAACCCCGTCTCTACTAAAAAGACAAAAAAGTAGCCGGGTGTGGTGGCGGGCGCCTATAGTCCCAGCTACTCGGGAGGCTGAGGCAGGAGAATGGCGTGAACCTGGGAGGCGGAGTTTGCAGTGAGCTGAGATCGTGCTGCTGCACTCCAGCCTGGGTGACAGAGCGAGACTCCATCTCAAAAAAAAAAAAAAACAAAAAGGAAGGTTTAATTGGCTCACCATTCTCAGGCTGTACAGGACACATGGTTCGGGAGGCCTCAGGAAACTTACAATCATGGCAGAAGGCGAAGGGGGAGCAGACACATCTTTCATGGCCTGAGCAGGAGGAAGGTAGAGAGGAGGAGGTGCTACACACTTTTGAACAACAAGATCTCACAATACTCACTATCATGAGAACAGCACCAAAGGGGAAATTTATCTCCATGATCCAATCACCTCCCACCAGGCCCTACCTCCAACACTGGAGATTAAAATTTGAGCAGGGACACAGACCCAAACCGTATCAGGTGCATTTTATTGGATATAAATTATACCTCAAGAAGCATTTTTTTTCTTTACAAAAAGAGATAGGGTAGTGAGAAGCTAAGGTGTGGAACAGCAAAGCACAGTTGGTATAAAGTGTAAAATATTTTTATCATGCCATTGAATTTTCTGTAGTCCTATTTTCTCTCTCAAAATGGTAAACCTTCTGTTATTATGCCCTTACCACTTGTCTCAGAACACAGACATAACTACAAGCAAGTGTATCACGGTGAAAAAAACTGAACAATCCACCCATACACATTTTCATCAGCAAGCTTCTTCTGTGCCTGAGGATATTTTGCCAACTTAAGCAGTAATCATGGGAATCATTGAGAGCTTCAGTTATTAATTCTTCTTTAGTCACCAAAATTTTACTAGCATAACTATATATGCAAGTAAAATAATACCCCAAGAAATGCCAAGTGCTATTCTGTTCTCTAGGAGGAAGTTTAGAGGATTTGTAGACTGAGTAGCTTGGATTTATTGCCATATTCTCTGCTAAAAAGTCTAAAAATAAAAACGTTGGCATCACAGTTGGTGTTCTGAGTCATATTTTAAGGCCTGCAAGCTTGTACCTTATAAAAATGCTATTCAGAAAACTCTAAACTGCACATAAAATATATCTTCGTTTTTGTCAATTCCCCTGCTGGCTTCTTTCTTTTGGGTTTTCTTTCAGAGATATCTAGGACTAGAAGTGAAGACATACGAATCCTCTTGAAATGAGTTCCAGACATACAATGGAAGCAGCATTGCTTCTAACTGAGTCAAAGATCCCCAAGCATTTTCTCTTGTAGCATGCTTGAGGATGATTAAGTAACTCTTGGAATCCAAAGCTCACTACAAAAAAATCTATTTGAATAAAAATTCGTGATTATATCCATTCCAATTTTCTTCCATTCAACTCAAAATAATGCCAGCAGTCTGTTTCTTACAACATTGACTACATTGGTTTTATTTACATGGATGCAATTATTAGTTCATCAAGAATTTTTTGAGTACCTATCATATGACAGGTGTTTTGCTAGGCAGCAGGATATAGGAATCATAGAGACCAGGTCCTCCAGGAGCTTACAGTTCAGGTAGGAGAGAAGCATGTAAGTATCTTTATTGTAATAGTGTTGTAATATATATACAAGGTATATGCAAGGGCAGCCTGGTGCATGCCAGCCTGGGGATGTTAGGCAGAAATGGACAAGAAGGCCTCATTTGAGCTGCGACCTTATACAGTGGCCACTCTGCTGTGCCCACAGTAAGGGTGGGCATGGCTGCTACAAAGGTGTGGAGATAGTCTGTAGAGAACTGCAAGTGGATTTGTGTGGCTGGAAGGTGAAATGTCAGCTGAAAAGTGGGGGTAATTGAGCCTTGTATGTAACACAGAGACTTCCTCTTGCAAGCCAGTAGTCCTCAATCGTATGCATTTCAATCATCTGGAAAGCTTTTTTTAAAAAAATGTTTATACCTGGATCCTGGGACCATTGAATTAGAATACTCAGGTAGAGCATGTCCTGAGCATCTGTTTTTCTTTACATTGTCCATGGATGATTCTGATTTGCAGCTAGATGACCTCTTATTTGTTACAGGTAATGAATATCCACTAAAGAAACTTGATCAGGGGCATGGCATAACCCTACACGTTCAAACTGAAAACTGGAAAGCTTTGTATGAAATGGAGTCCATCTTATAAACACTACTTCTATAGGTGCCAGTAGGTCACTATCATCCCCAATTCAGTACACCTGAGGGGTAATTGTTCTAGACACAAAGAAATAGTAGGATCCAATGACCACGGCATACCTAGCCCTGTTATGGGAACTGCCTGATAGTAGCGTCTGCCTCTTCATCACACCATTGCAAAACTGAAGGCTGATAAGATTTCAATCTCTAGCTATTTAAGGATCCTTTTAATGAAACAAGATAAACTTTATATTTCTAATTCCAGTTATATCATCTTGTCTTATAGTGATCCGTGGAAACTAAAACTGCTATTCTGTTCAACCTTTTCCACATCACAAATCTGGGTGAAATAAATAAAGCTAGCCAGCCGACTTTCTTCACTCTAGCAACATTGAGGTTTAAAGGAGAAAGCTTGCTTTGAATACACCATCAGTAGGACCTATCTCTTTATTCCTGGTTTTCTCTTGTATACAATTCAGTGATTCTGTCTGCTACAGTGATAGAGAAAAGCGATGAAACGTTCCAATCAAAATAGGAACTGCTGAATGCATGTTTAGCCCTGAGAAACTAGAGAATGCTCTTGCAGAGAAGGATTTATTCCTCAGGAGTTAAACTTGAAAGGAAAGCCATCTTTGTAGAATTCCTTTGAGACATTTTAGTGCGTCTTGCCTCAAACAGGCCTGTCCACTGGCTGCTTAAAAGGAAGACAGATTTTATTATTAAATAAGAACCAGCAAGGAAAGATGGGGAAACTGTATTGGGTCTTTGAGTATTCCGGCTGGAATTGGGATATTTCTTCTTTTCTTGAAAAGACATCTGGCCACATGTATTATAGGCAGACATCACCCCCCAGTGTTCCAAAAACTCAGACAACAATAACAAAGTCAGATGTGCATGCCCGTGTCAGCCCAGAAGGCTAACCACCCACCCTCTACATGTGCTTCTGGGGTTGATGTTGAAGGGGCTGAGGGAGGTTTGTTATCACAGCGGTAGGCCTGTAAACAGTCTACCAGGATAATTTCTGTTTCAGCTGCTGGCTTTTTAAATCCAACTCTGTGCTAACATACATGGTGTTTAAAACACCTAATTCTGTGGTCATGTCATTTAGAAATCTTTAGTAACGTTTTTTGAATGTTAATTGTATGTATAGTTCCACTGGCTCTTACAAAGAGCAGAACGACATATAAAAATGATGAATTGCTATGCCTTCTCCCTTGTCTTCTTAGTGTATAAACACACAAAAAAGAAATGAAAAAGGGTAACAGCTATATATAGTTGACTCTTATTCTATCTAAAGAAGGGAAGACAAGCAGACCACCTGAGCCGGGACAAATGTGACTGCTAGGCAGAACCGTGAGCAGCTATAGGTCTAAGTATCTCAAGAATAAGGGAAACTTGTTGGGCATCTAACAGCCTTCTGATTACTGTCAGATCAGTGAGCTGCTCATACAGGCCTCAGGACAGCTGATTAAGTTGGAGATAATCAGTGTCACCCAAACACTTAAAAATGGAATTGGCTGTCTCAGAAAGTATGGGTAGCGAGTAGCCCATCAGAGTATCAGCAGCCATTAAACTCAACCTTGTACAAAGTGGGCAGGCATTGAGGAAATGTTTACTAAGTAAATGTCACCATAGCAATACCGGGAAGAAGCTTAGCCAGATGACGGCAATTCTTAGAACCAGTTCTGTGTAGGAATCCGTACTGGGTATCATAGCAATAGGAAAGTCACAAGTACAAAAGTGTATCGGAGTTAGACTCTTACTACTTTTTCGCTCTTTATTCTATTTGTTTTTTACGTAATATATCATCTTGAATATATTCTCATTATAAAAATGTTGAAAATACAGAGAACGTATAGAGGAAGAAAAAATCTCTTAGCGTTGCCACCCAAATGTGGCCTCCTATTATCTCCCTCGGTATTTTCTTGTGGTCTTTATTTTCAGTGTACATTTTTACATAGTTCTATGTACTTTTATATTCAGCATTTTTCTCTTAACCATAAATCTTTTTAGAGGTGATATTATTCACCACATGAAGTAAACGTATTTTGGTCTTAATTTGCTTAACTTTTCTTCTACTGTTGGGCATTGAGGTTGTATACACTTTTTCCTATTATAAACATTGAGTCCAAAGGTATCAATATTTTATAGAATTTTGTTAGTGATAGCCAAGTAGGTTTCCCAGATATTTTAACTTATTTATCCACAATATGTGTCAAAATTGCCAGTGCTGCTTCTCATTAGGTGTTGATATTTGAAATTGTTTTTCTAGATTTCATAAGTGAGAAATAGACTGGATCAGGTAAGAGAGGGTTGATTGGAGTGATGCAAGGGGGCAGCTCTCAGAGCCCCTGGCAGGCAGCAGGAAGCACTGCTGTGACACAGGAGGGCCTCCCACTCAGCAGACAGAGCCCCATGAAGATCTCTCTTCTCCCCACCCGGCCGCCCGCCTGCCCCACTGCAGCTCCGCATCTTCCTGGTCTCCTTTGGGTTTCTATTTGCCTGCCCCTGTCTCATTGCATGTGCGTGCTGTCTGTCTGCCTGTCTCTGTGCCTCACACTCTGTATTTCTCTGGGACTCCTGTCTGTCAATCTCTCTTATCTTTTAGTCTCTCCCTCCCTCTCTCTGCCCTGCCGTCCCATACTCATCCCTGCTTGCCCAGCTCATGGTTAAAAATAGCTGCCCTGGCAGTCCTACCCATCTACTGAGTTCAGTGGTCTTCAGAGTCTGCCTAGGTCCCTGTGTGTCTAACTTCGAAATACTTCCACGTTCTGAGGAAGGGAATCTGGTTGGCTCAGCTAGGTCAGCACAGTGGCTACCCTTTGTTGGGGTTACTCCAGTGGACAGGGAGACATGAGGCACAGACCTGGATGCTGATTCACCCTGAGAGTGGAAGAGGCTGGTTCTAGGAGCAGGTTGCTGAGGAGCAGAGACGCTCTTCTAGCTCTGACTCCCCAGTCCTGAGGAGCTCCACTCTGTAGAGAGAGGTCAACAGGCATGCTTGGGCTCCTCTGTGGGCCTAGTGATGGCCCTTTCTAGATAGATAACCTATTGTGATTGATGGAAACTATCTTCTAGGATTAGATTTGCTGTTCTGAACTGAGGAAGATTCGCTTAATTGGTTCCACCTCTGATTCTGTGTGTGTGTTGGGGCGGGGAAGTATGTAGTGGTTATAGTGTAGAGTATCTCTGATGGTCATGTTTATATGTTTTTTTCTTTTTCTTATTCTTTTCCTTTTTTTCTTCGACTGCCAAAACTGTAAGCAAACTTGCTTTTTTGTTTGTTTGCTGCATCGACCCTAAAGTAATAAGCTTGCTTTGGAATCAGAATTAGCCCTGTGGTTCTCCCTGAGAGGGTGGTCTGTCACTTTCACCAAGAGGGTGAGGGCAGCAGGGACAGGGTTGGACAGAGATCCTTGACCTGAAGCCTGAAGCAGGACTAGGGGATTACGTGCAAAGAACAGAGTTCATAGCAAGGCTGTGAAGCAGGTGGTCAGGCTAGAATGAGGTCAGACTGAGGACCAGGGCAGAGCTGGCAGGTCTGTGGAAGTCACAGGAGAACAAGAAGAGGGCATAAGGAAATGGAGGAAAGGTTAGGGAGAGCAGCCTGGCATTTTACACACTTCCCTTGGGGTTTACTGTAATGATGAATCACATAGTGCATTTTATGTATTTAATTGTTTAATGAGAAAGTCATGTTTCTAGAATCAAACTCTAAAAGCACCACAGTATCCACCGAAAACTTAATTTCCCTCCCACGCTGGTCACTCAGCCATACAATTCCCCTGAGAGGGAATTGTTCCCTGGTTGAGAATATCAAGGCACAAGGAAGCAGATTTGCTCAAGGTCACATTGCTGGTAAGGACAAGCCACCTTTCTAACACGAAAGTTTGTGCTCTCCCCAGTCCCCCTCACTGTGCCCTTCTAGGACTTTTTGTAACACAGTCCAGATAGTACAGTGCTTGTAGTTTGTATTTGTTAACCTTCTATTTTCTGTTTCTCACCTAAATAATGTCTTTTCTGAGGCCAGGCCAATCCTGTTAATCCCCGTCACACTGTATGTAAGTTACTTTACAGTATTTAAAAAGTAAATTGCATTCACAATACTAACAATGTTAGAAGTATAGAGATTCCACAAGCGTTTTTGAGGTGGCTGCTGTGTACCAGCCTCTTGGCTGGACGTGAGACATAAAGGTGGTGAAAAATTGAATCTGTATTGATCATAGATGTTGAGAAGCTGCCAAAAGTCACGAATCTACTTTTCCTAATCTACTTTTCATGTATCTTCCTTACAAAATACATTTTTGAAAAATCCAGCAATTTGGCTCTCTGTAAGAATGGAAGGTTCTTTAAAATCCCATAATGTGAACTCTTGTTTGTTTTCATTTCCAAATTAGCAGAATTGTACTGAGGTTAGAACTCTGGGATAGTACTAGGAAGCCAGGTCCTTCTCTCAGCCTTTAGAGATCCCTTGTTAAGGATTTATATGTCTCAGTGGGAGTAGGATGGGATTCCCAATGTGGACCACGCCCTGTATTTGCTCCTCAGTTTAGGGTAACTGAGAGGTACCCTAGAGGGTACACTGTTTCTACTTCCTGCTGCTGCAGCCAGGATGCTGCCACTTCTGAGCTACATTCTGGAGTTGACCTTGGAAGGCGTGTTTAGCTTTAAGTGCATTGCATAGGCCTCTCTGGGCTGGCCTGGGCACATGACCAAACGTCTATGAAAAAATGTGTTTTGAGTAGTGTCAAAGAGGTGATTTACAATTACCTTTTGGAACTCAGCCTCAAAAGTTGGGATTATCTGTGCTTGCCCTATTCATGTTGTTCTTTTGTCTGCAGACAATGCAGTTCAGGCTTTTCATTAGCCTATGTCATTCTTTGGATTCGTGATGGGTTGGTTTGTGTGAATATGGGTGTACATATGTGTATCTATTTTAGCCTACATCGTGGTATTTCTGAGAATTAGAGTTGTTGTAACTTTTTTTTTAATGTGGGCTTGAGTCACTGCTAAATGTAAAGCAAGCATATAGAGCAAAGATCAACCAATTGTTTCAGAGTTTGAAAGTCATTTTCATGTCACATCCAGATTAGGCTTTTAGTCATTCTGTAAAGATTTTCATTAGACCTTGGATTACACATAAATAAATGCTCAGAGATCTAAGCTGGTGCTGCCTCTTGGGATAGAAGAAAGCCTTTGGGATCTTAGAAGACCCCAGGTTCATTACTGGATATAATTGTCAACAACCTCTCAAGTGAGTTCTAGGATGACTAATGTGGCAGCAGGATTGACAAGTCTTATCATAATTTGTACAGGTGTTTCCATGTGTAGAAGTTGAATTTGACCTCTGACTTTTGCTGTTTAATTCTTTCATTTCCATGAGTTCACTAGATGGTATAGATTCAATAGGCTTTATATAGGCTGATCCGAAATCACAGGGTCCCATGTTGATTTTATTTGGTCATTTGTTTTCAACTGAGCTTGCTATTTTAAAGCAGTCTTGGTGGGGTTTTCATAACTTCCTTGTTGGAGTTTTCAAGGGATTTTTACATTTAGATATAATTCACATACTACAGAATTTACTCTTCTAGAATGTATGTCAGTAATATTTTTTAGTATATTCAGAGTCATGTTACCATCACCACTATCTAATGAATTTCTATCACTCAAAAAGAAACTCCATATTACTTTGTTTCCTTCTGCCTCTAGCCAGCCCCTGGCAAACATTTTTCTATTTTCTGTCTCTATAGATTTGCTTATTCTGGACATTTTATATAAATGGAATCATACAATATATGGCCTTTAAAAAATCTGTCCTCCTTCACTTAGTGTAATGTTTTACATGTTCATACATGTTGTAGCATGACTCACTATTTAATTCCTTTTTATGGCTGAAATAATATTGTGTGGATATTCTACTTTTTATTTATGTATTCAGTTAGTAGATATTTAGCTTTTTCTACTTTTTGACTATTATAAATAATGCTACTATGAACGTTCCTGAATAAGATTTCATGTAGACATACATTTTCATATGTCTGGGTTTATACCTGGGAGTGGAATTGCTGGGTCACATGGTAACTCCATGTTTAACATTTTCAGGAACTGCTAGAAGGTTTTCCAAAGTTTGCATTCCCATCAAACTGTGTAAGGTCCCAGTTTCTCCACATCCTTGATAACACTTGTTATTGTCTGTTAAGTAAATAATTTTATATAAACATTTTAGTGGTACATCATTGTGGTTTTGATTTGCATTTCCTTATGGTTAATGACATTGAGCATCTTTTCATGTGCTTATTGGCCATTTTTTGTGGCTTCTTTGGAGGAGAAATGTCTATTGTAGTTATATGCCTGTTTAAAATATTGGATTATTTGTTTTTTTATTATTGAGTTGTAAGAGTTCTTTATTCTGCATACTAGACCCATATCAGATGATTGGCAAATATTATCTCTCGTTCTGTGGATTGCCTTTTTATTTTCTTGATATTGCCCTTTGAAGTGCAAAATGTTTTAATTTTGATGAAGTCCAATTTATCACTTTTTTCCCCCTTAGTTGCTTGTGTTTTTAAGTGCCGTATATCAGAAACCACCTAATCCAAGGTCAGGAAGAGTTACCCCTATGTTTTCTTCTAAGAGTTTTATAGATTTAGCTCTTACATTTATGCCTTTGGTCCATTTTGAGTTAATTTTTGTATATAGTGTGAGGTAGGGGGCCCAACTTTATTATTTTGCATGTAGATATCAAGTTCCAGCACCAGCACCATTTGTTTTAAAGACCTTTATTTCCCCTTTGGATTATCTAGGCCGTTTTTCCAAAAATGAAGTGACCATAAGTGTGAGGGCTTAATGTCTACATTCTCAATCTTATTCCACTGATCTGTATGTCTGTCTTTATGCTAGGACACGTTGTCTTGGTGCCTGTAGCTTTGTAGTAACTTGAAATCACAAAGTGTGACTCCTCCAACTTCGAAAAGATTATTTTTTGATGTGATGCTGATGTCTGTCCTTCTCCCACACATATTTTGAGATATCTTTTCTTTGTCATTATGAAGTCATATTGGAAATGCTATTTGAAGTGGCCATGAATTCATTTTCAGATCTAAGCTCGGTATTTATATAAAAGGTGTGGATTTGGATGGAATCAGACATATTCCAAAAATTTGGCCACTGGCTCTGTTTCTTAACTATAAAATGAAACTCTACCAAATCAAAGGGTAATTCGGGGAATTAAATAATGTGACGTATGTAAGAGCATCTAGCATTGTACCTGGGAAATGTTAGTTACAAAATTTATGTCTGTTGCCTTTTCTATCCCCTTCTCATGGATGCAGAAGCTTTCTTGGTACCTTGTAATACGATTCTAAATTCTTCCTTAAAATCATTCTTCTTCCATTTAGAAAGTATTTTCTCCAGGGTCATCATAGGAATTGGAATTACTGAATTTTCTAGTCTATGCTGTGATATTTGTATAATGTTTCAGACTAAGTTCACTGCCTTATCTCCAGTGTCTAAAACTGTGCCTGACCAATGGTAAGTGATTAGTGAACATTTGTTAAGTGAGTACTAAATGTTGATCCCATTTTCTTATTTGCTTGGGTAAATATAAAGTTAATTGCTTGTACATATGTTTCTAAGTAAGCCCACATAACAGTTGTGTGAATATTTAATTATGAGGTATTTTCCACAAGATTTTCATGAGTAGTTTATCCAGCTGACTTAGTGTTTTAACTCTCTCGAGTGGCACTTCTTTCTTCCAAATACATACTTCTATCTAGATGTTTTCTCTCTGGGGTAATTCCAGACTGAAATAGGAAGGATTGAGTGTGAGTAGTAAAGTTTAAACAGCAAGTGGAGAGGAGAGTGGGATGTTGGGGATGGCACAGTTATGTGGTCATGAGAACCAAGGAGGGAAACTTAGGGAGGATAGGGTCAAGTAGGAAAGCACACTGCCAGCTTCTGAACATTGCTATGGTGTTTATGTGATGGTCAGTTTCTCATGACTCTCTTGACCTCTCAGGTCTGTACATGAAACTGTAAACAAAGAGTATCCAGGTGTCATTACTGGCTGCTGTGAGCCTGATACACACTGAGAAACAGCACCTGTGCTTGTCATTATGTGCGTCGAGGATAAGCCAACCTTTATAGGTAAGAGTGCTAGTCATTTTATGGACTCATAGGATCACTGAATTTGAAAGCTAGACAGGATCGTCAGGCTGAAGGAATCTTGGTAAATGGGTAAGTGTTGCCTCAGAGAATGGATTCCATTATCAAATAGATTTGGAATGAGTTCAACCAAGTTAACAGGTTCAGGTTTTGTTGTTGCTGCTTTTGTTGTTTAACTTCAGGGTTTCTCAGAGCCTTTAATGTGCCAACATATGTTACATGGTGTCTTTAAGAGTGAATGTTTAAGAGCAGGACTTCCCAAAGATGACTAGTCTCTGGAGTCTCCCCCTAGCCCACAGAGAGCCTTCTGGGACTAGTACTTGCCAGGGCATATTTTGCATAGTTATGGTTCAGGGTAATGCCTTTATTTCTCAGACATGAAGTCTTATTCTTTAGTCTTTTTGAGTTGCTGTTTCTAAGAAAGGTCATGTCTGCTGATACATAACATAGAAGCTGACTGTGTCTGTTCTCTAAGAACTGCCACAAAAGTGAGAGCTTAAATTAGGAGTTACAAAAAAATTGATGAAACTCCCTGTTTAAGTGTGTGTGTGTGTGTGTGTATATATATATATATGTGTGTGTATATATATATATGTTACAAATATATATATATATATATATATATATGTTACAAATATATATATATGTTACAAATATCCTATGCTCCAGGATATCAATATTTGGGTTTTTAAAATCTGTTACTTGTATTGCGCAGTCTGTATGGTGCCTGATAATCCTTGATATAGTGAACTTGAAAATTCAATTTCTGCAGATTTTGCTCTGATGCACACCCCTTAAGATGGAGAACAAGGAAGAGGCAGGAGGATGACCTATGGAAAACATGACCACTGACTTCTGCTATAGAATAAACAAAATATGGACCACTATAATGGTGCTGGGGTAGTAGATAAGCTTGTTGTCACTGGAATGCATTCTTGGAGTTCTGTGGTAGAGCAAATTGTATATAGTTACAAATATGGGTGCAGCCCCCTCTACTCCTGGGAATTCTTTTTCCTTCCCTCTCTCTACCCATATACCCATCCTTCCTTCCTTCTTCTAAGTCATCAAATAGGAGTTATTTATTTAATTTTCTAAAAAGGTTGGGGGGGGTGGAAATGGAAGACGTCTTAGTGGCTGCCAGTAAACCTGGTTTGTGTGTGTTGGTATATGTCACCATTGTGGTGTAACAGCAGCACAGCTGGGAATCCCAGCATGGGAAGTTTCCATTTACATCTCTAGTGAAAATACCCAAGCACCACGTTTTTTTCTTATCTACATTATCGGGAGGTTTCTACACTTCCCTACTAGATGATGGTGTCGGGAGGAATGATATTAGGCAGATTCTTTCACCTTAGAGCATGGCACATAATGTTTCTCCAACAGTTGAGACACAGCCAGAGAAGAGGGTCAGGGAATGAAGAAGACTGATGGAGGTATATGAGTCAGAATCTGAGGTTGGGGAGTGTTGGGGGAAATAAGAGAAACACAGATCAGGTGAACAAATGGAAAAAGAACCATGCAAGCCAGAAAGGTAATTGCTGTTTTATTTTTACTTCACTGATGTTTTCTTAATTAAAAAAAATTAGGCAAAAGAAAAAAAAGTTCAAAGGAGAAAGTAAAATATTACCCAAAAAAGCTCAAGCGGAAGATAACAAATGTTAACATTTATTTCAGCCATGCCTCTGTACATACTGTGAGAGAGGAACAGAAGGATGGGTAGATAAATGATGGGCAGAAATAATTGTGTAAGACTGAGTTCAAACAAAACATGGCTTTAAAAGTAAAACATTCAATTTGATCTTGAATTTAACAAAAGGGAAAGAAATTGTCCATCTTCTGAAAAGTAATTCTGTAGCATAAGAGTATTTGTTCTCTTAGGTTCAGAAGAGAGGTGAAAACCATCACAAGGTTGGGAGTCAGGATGGATTGAGAATAACAGGACAACATGATAAACATCGAGTGCCTTCTCCCTTTGTCCCTGCCTGGCTTTCTGATGTATGCTGCTTGTTTTATTTTTGTTTTGTTAGGCTTTATACTTTTAACACTCTGTAGCTCTAATTTCCCCTGGGTATCCCTCCACCTATTTATTCCTAATCAATGTACTGTTAACCATTGGTCTTTTTACTATGGCTTTTCATTCTTAAAAATTTAATGGGCTGGGCATGGTGGCTCACGCCTGTAATCCTAGCACTTTGGGATGCCGAGGTGGGTGGACCACTAGGTCAGAAGTTCGAGACCAGTCTGGCCAACATCATGGTGAAACCCCATCTCTACTAAAAATACAAAAATCAGCTGGGCATGATGGCAGCTGCCTGTAATTTCAGCTACTTGGGAGGCTGAAGCAGGAGAATAGCTTGAACCCAGGAGGCAGAGGCTGCAGTGAGCCAAGATTGTACCACTGCACTCCAGCCTGGGTGACAGAGTGAGACTGTCTCAAAAAAAAAAAAAAATTAATGTTTGGTGGGCAACATGGTGAATTTTTTTTTTTTAAAGAAAGGGGTTTTGGGTGCCATATTCCTTGAATTTGGAAACATTTCATGTTTGAGGATTATTATGTTTGGAAGATTATTATTTTTGAAAGACAACTTTTCTGTTGCCAAACTGTCTTCTAAAGAGGTTGTTCACATTTCTAGTCTACTAGCAATTTATGAAAATGCCCACCTTCCATGGGGGAATTTTAAAGACTTTGCCTGAAATGATAGAACTCTATTGGGTAGTGGCTGAAGTAAGTTTGAGTTGGTAAATCAGGGGTCAGATTATGGAAAAACTTACATGTTGGAGAATCAGCTATTTTCTTGGTGAGTTTCTTCTTTCTTTGACAGATTAACAACTTTCCAGCAGGCCAAATGAGAATTATTGGGTAGCTTTGTGGAGCTGTGTGGGAACCCTCTTAAAAGATTTCTCATTCTCTCTCCCTGCCCACTGTGAAAAGGCACTTGGCTGACTGATGGTAGGTTTTGGTTGCCATCTGAAGATAGTAGAAAGTGGCAAATACTTTCATCTACCAAAAAATTGGCATCTGATTTTTTTTAACTGATAACTTTTTTGGTTACGAAGTATGATCTTTTGCCTTGCCTGACAGCCTGTTGTCTTGATACTGAGCAGTCCTTATAAACCATTCCTAAACGATTTCCAGTTGAAGTTGTATGAGCTGGAGGGTCTGGTCCTTGTAGGGCAGCTCATCTCTTGTGGTGACACAGTTTGTAGTACCTGTAAGTTTACATTGGGCTTTTTACTAAAAAACCCTGCTGATCTCATGTAGAAAACCAATAGCCTGTTTCATCTTTTGTTTCATTTTATCCAGACAATAGAGGAAATGGGAAAGAAAATTGCCCAGATGTGACTTCACACACTTAAGTTTTGGCCATCTTACTTTGTGGTGACTCAGATATACACCAGCCATCGACTTTTTCAGAGGAGGTGGAGCAGGACACACCTGGAAGATTTCAGGAGGCAGAAATGTGTCTAGGTTTGCCCATTTTGTGCTACAAAAAAAAGGGAGAAAATAAGTGGTTTAGAATGGTATGGTCTAAAACTGGGCTCTCCAGTATAGCAGATGCCAGTCATCTGTGGCTATGTAAATTTCAATAATTTAAAATGAAATAAAATTTAAAATTTAGTTTCTTAGTTGCACTGGCCACATTTCATGTGCTCACTGGGGCAAGTGGCTGGAAGCTACAGTATTGGACAGCATCAAGTTCTACTGGCTAGTAGATGCTACTGGCTGGTAGAACTTGTTGCTGTCCAATACTGGCTCTGCTGTCCAATGGCTGGCTCTGGTCTGGGTGCTGATCTTTTCTTTTCCATGATCCTGTGGGGTTCATTCCAGCCTTAAGAGTTGGGCTCTTGTCTCTTCTCCCTTGTTACCTCTACTTTCAATCATTCTTCTGTTCCTATTCAGATGACAAGCTGCTTTCCATATTGCCTTGTTGGTATCCTGTTGATAACCCTCAGGGAAGCCCATTTGTGGTGGGAACTAGATCTTTGCACTGCAATATTAAAAGAACAACCCTCTGGCCAACACCCAAGAGTCTGCATGTTCTTACCAAAGGATTGAATGGTGCTTGCGATTTTGACTCTTTCGTAATGAATCTGCTCCTTAGGAAAGTTTCAATGCATATATGTAGAACTTTTACTTTACTTTAGCTCTGTTTTCCATTTCTGGGTGTATGTTTTTGATGGGATACGGTCCTTGGTCCTTGTCCTCGTCCTAGTTGTATCCCCACTGACTGACCCTGTTACCTTAGTAAGATATTTAATTTCTCTGTGGCTCAGTTACCACATGACAATGCACTCCCAATCACAGCTTCAACTATTATGAAGATAAATGCCAAATGATAAGGGAGAAATTTTGAGGTCTGGGCTGAAAGGAATGTTTCCAGGGTTTTTAAGGGGTTCATGTGTCTTTTCATCTTTGTGCCCAGTCCTAGATTCCCAGTGTCACTTTGTGATGTGTCTGTCACTATCAGACACATACCGGCCTTTGTCAGCTGATTGGCCCCCACACTAGACCGTGTCTGCTTCTTGTAAGTGACTTTATAAGGGAGTCAGGGTTTGTTGGTCAAGGAGCCCCCTTCTGAGTCTGACCTACCCAGCAGGAGTGGGATGCTCTGGTAGCAGGAGCCTGCTAGCCTGAGGGACAGGAGAAGAGAGTGTTGCTGCTGACTTACCTAGGAGACTTTTTCACCCCATGTTCTCATGCTTCCCACCTGCTGAGTCTGGAGGTCTGCCAGGGCTTCCTGCCTGGGGTTTCAGCGATCTAATGCAGTGTCACAAACAACCCCAAAACTTGGTAAATTGAGACAATGACGATGAACTGGTAGGTTAATGACAATATTTATGTATCCCTGACATCTTTAATTTGGGTGGGACTTGATGAAAAGACATAGTTTCTGCTCTACTCACTGGCAACTGGGACAGCAGGAAGGCTGGAGGCTGGGACATTTGAATCCTTGCTCAGTCACATGTCTGCGGGTTGATGCTGGTTATCGGCTGAGGTGAGGCGGTCGCCATTCTTTTCCGAATGGATCTCTCCATGTGTTCTTTCCATGTTGGCTAGCTTGAGCTTACTCACATCGTGGTGGCTGAGTTGAAGGGCAAGCACCCTGAGACAACAGGACAAGTGGAAGTTACATTGCCATTTCTAATGCAGCCTCAGAAGTCACGAAGCATCATTTCTGCCATAATTAGAAGCCACTCAAATTTGAAGGATGGGAATATAGAAGCCATCTATTGATGAAGAAGTGTCACGGTCACTTTGTTAGAGGAGCATGTGGGATGGGATGTACATTGGTATGGTCGTCTTTGAAAAATACATCTTCCACACCCAGTAATGATGAATCAGAACTGGCATCAGCTTGCTCTAAGCCATAAATAAGCCTTGACGTCTGCCTTGGGTCTGGAGACTGGGTGCTTCTCATTTTCAGGAGCTATGATTGTCATTGTTCTGTGCTGGGGCTGTTCTGTCTTTGGGTGTGAGGATGGGAGAGTTGCCTTTTGCATAGTACTCAGAGTTCTTTGATGAAAAACGGTAAGCACAGAATGGTTTATTAGAATGCCCTTAATGTGCTAAACTCCCTAAATCAATGGATGTCTGCAGTGAATCTGCAACATAGGGGAATATGCAAGGAAGATCAAGGCCCTGGTTGCTGAATTTGATTTTTAAAATTAATTTGATGGAATCCAGCTTAGAGTTTTAACACATTACTTACATCCCACATTTTGACTTACATTTTCTGATTTGTAATTCCTATGAACTATTATTTTTTGGTAACATTCTTACTAGATGTAAACTCCTAAAGAATTAGGATCTATCTTTCCACAAATTTTTAAAGTTTGATAAATGGATACTTGAGAATATTTTCTTACTTCGGAGATAAAATTTAGTAAAAACCTTCTAGTAGCTAGTGTGAAGGGGAGGGAACACAGGTTATCAATTTGATAAACAAATAACCTACTACCTACCGTGTCAATTAAGAAAAAACAAAAACAAGGATGAGACAGTCTTCAAATTGCTTTTGATCTATACACTCTACTGGAGAGAATAAAATAACCATGTCATTGTTAGCATTGGGAACAGAGGTGCTTTTAGGTTTTTCTTGCCTTTTAGCTCTAGTCTACCAGTAACCACCCCACCTTTTTAAAACCTGTTTACTCTGCCTTTTCCTTTTATGTCTCTCTTTTTTCCAGTTTGCACTAGTTTAAAAGTGTCTCAGGTTAAGTTTTTTGCAGTAATCTTTCTTTCCCCTAGAAGTGAGTAAAACTTCCTGTATCCCTTTTTCTCCCCACCTATGTTCCCTAAATTAGTGATTCTCTTACAAGGAATTATTATCGCCCCTGCAGTTTTGGAAGGATACCTCCAAAATATATCTTGGGGACTTCGATTTATAGAATTTGGTTTAAGCTTAGATTCTGAGTCCCAGGGTTATTTTTAGTTAAGTGGACAAACAAACTTGAAGTGTGTACATCTGATACATGACCCACTAGGGTATTTTGTTTCTTGTTATTTGAGAGTGTTCAGTTAGCACTTATAGAGCATTACCCATTGTTAGCTGGCTGTTTACATTTCTGAAAAGATGATAAGTTGATTTTTGTAGGAAATAGGGAAGTTTTAAAACTTCATGCTCACATTTCATAGTAACTCAATTGATAGTCTTTTTAGATAAGTAATGAAATGCTGCCTGTGGTTGCCAATTGTTAAAACTCTACCAAGCTTCCGCAAGCAGTTGTCGGTTAAGGGAGCGTAATAACACCCACTGATAAAATTCAAACCACCAGATGTTATTTTAAGTTCTTGGGTGGTGCTATCTTTTCTTACCCTTTAAACTGCTAAGTCACATCCTGCTTTGCATTTCAATTTGGTATAAATTGGATGCAGCAGACATAGGTCTGGCATAAGATGCTCAAACAAAATTAAATACCAAAATTAAAGAAGGCAGTTCTGTGGAGTAAATCTGTCATTTCTGGATGCAAGATTATGTTAGAGCAGTGGCTCAACCCTTGCTGTGTATCCAAATCACCTGGGAGTGTCTCAGGATGCCCTTGCCCTGGCCTCATCCCCAGTGTCTGGACCAGTTAGTATGAAATGGCACCAGGCTTTGGGATTTTGTAGAAGCTTCCCAGGGTGATCCTGTCACGCAGCCGGGGTTGAGAAATGTTGCAGGAGGTGCCCCTCCCGACCCAGCTCACAGCTTTGTCCTCCATGCTTCTCTCTACCTAGTCAAGCCCTATCCACATCTTCACGGCTCCCTGCAGGCCACCTCTTCCTAAGCTTTTTCTCACAACTCCAGCCCCACTGAGCTCTTCCCTTGTGACTGCCCATAGCACCTACCAGATGGCCCACCCTGGGGTGTGTTCTGGCTTGTTTCATTTGTGACATCTTATCTCCTTGATCACAGTGGTTTCCTCCTTGGATTAAGTTTCTGTCACTTAGTTTCCATCACTGAAGGGTTAGCACAGCAGTGGACACATAGTAGTTACTTTATAGGATATATACTGAATTGAGTTTTCATCAGTGTGCCTGTCTTCTTTTTGCCACCTGTCTTTCCACTGTAGCTTCCTTTATTAGCCCACATTTATTCATAAGTATTTCTTCCTTGTAAGGTGTTGAAGGACAAGTAAGAGTAGCTAAGCTGCAGAAGGAGGAGGAAAACTCAGCCCATTTCTGATTTCTCCATTCAGGAATGGAGGAGTTGTCATAGGACCTATGGACTCATCTCTCTCCATTCAGAACATTGATTCATCCTGATCTGTAGTGACTCTTGGGACCACGTGGGTGATAAATGCAACATGAAAGGGGCTGGCTTGCTGGAGAAGGTGAAAATGATTTGAAGATTGGATGTCTACCATCTATCCTATTTTGAGCATTTGGGATTATTTCAGGCCAGGGTAATACACACCTTCAAATTGAAAATAGTAGCTTTCGGCCAGCCACGGTGGCTCACACCTGTAATCTCAGCACTTTGGGAGGCCGAGGCAGGTGGATCACCTGAGGTCAGAAGTTCGAGACCAGCCTGACCAACATGGCGAAACCCCATCTCTACTAAAAAGTACAAAAATTAGCCGGGCATGGTGGTGTGTGCCTGTAATCCCAGCTACTCATGAGACTGAGGCAGAAGAATTGCTTGAACCTGGGAGGCAGAGGTTGCAGTGAGCTGAGATCTGAGCTGAGATCACGCCACTGCGCTCCAGCCTGGGCGAGAAAAGCAAGACTCTGTCTCCAAAAAAAAAAAAAAAAAAAAAAAAAGAAAGAAAAAAAAAACAGTAGCTTTCCTTATTTTGTCAAATAATGAAAAGGATTCTTACTGCCATAGGTTCCTGTTTCTGGCACAGGAAGCTGGCCAGGACAGAGGTGATTGGCAGCTTTCTGTTAAGACGTACAGAGGTGACCTAAGGTTCCTAATTTGAAGGCATGCCAGCTTCTTAGGGCCAATGTTATTTGTGCTATACCTGTGTAACTGAGAGATTCAAAAATTAGGTAACTTTAACACGATTAAAGTTTATTTCTCTCTCATGTAACTGTTCAGATATTGTTATTCCTTGGCTGGCATGGTGACACTATGGTCTTCAACCAGTGTGTCTTTCATTTCTGGGTCCAGCTATCACCACCTCCCAGCTCTCAGGAATGGGGAAAGGGCAGGGAACATGTGTATCTCTTTTTAGGACCATGACCTGGAAGACAAACAACTCTGCTCACATCTCATTGGCAGCCCTTAGTCACAAGCCCCTACCAAGCGGCAAAGAATGCTAGAAGTGAAAGCCTCTTATTAGATGCCCATGAACCACATTAAAACTCGAGAGTTCTATTATTAAAGAAGGGGAGAGTGGATATTGCTGGATAACAAGCCAAGGCATGCATGCTAACTTACCAAAATATCAGATCTATCAGTTATCACCCCGTTCACTGGTTTGGGTAAAAACACTCTAAATGTCAAAAGAAACCTCAAATGTATCATGAGTTCTGTGAAGTCATGGTAGAAAAGTAGAGAACTTGAGGGGGATGTTTGATGTCTCTACTTTTTGGGGAAAGGTAGACCATGTGCTTGAAAAGGACACGCAAAGTAACTACAGCACAGATAGTGTTGATAAGCCGAGTTTGGTTTGTGGAGCAGGCTCTTGCCATCTTTTGAGGACAAGTGTGTTTGGCAAGAGATTTGCTAACTTGTTTAAGAGAGTTGAACTGAAATTTGATGGGAAGGAAAAAACGTTAAAACTTGATTGGCTAGAGAACAACCGGCAGAGCAAAGATAAAAAGACCAATAACAGAGGAGGAGAACATCAGTAATTTCTTTTTAAAAAAGCCTGGGCAGCTGGTTGGTAAAATACCTGCAGCTCTTTGCCATTGTGCAGCTTATGAGAATGAAGCAAAATAAACTTGAAACATTAAAACTTGGATATAGATAGCATCACTGGATCTGTCTCACCACGGTTAGCGTGGTTCTCGTGACTAGAATATGATTTTAGAAGGGGATGTTTTACTGTAAAGAAGCAGTCTTGGGGAAATCTAGACCTTAATGATGAATCCCTGGGTAAAGAGGGCATGGTAGGGAAGAAAGATTGTAATAGGATCAGTATTATGGATGGCCAGATAGAGGCTATGGAGGGCGCTTTCTTCTCAGAAACTGAAACTTTAGAATGAATACCACATGTGCTGATAAAAAGGAGATTCAATCAGATAATCACCCACTGGATGTTTCATTCGGCTAACTTCTGATAAACTCTTGACTTGTTTTGCCGATCATTTAATTTTTAAGAAGACTGAAAAAATAATGCAGAGAATGATAGCTCTGGGTTTCTTTCTGAGCCAACAAGGAAGCATTAACTAGTGATAGAAAGTGGCAGGAACCAGGAAATGAAATCCCCAAAGAAGGATGCTTTGGGCATAACATCTCTATGGTACTAGAAATATTTGAAACAAGTCAGAGAAAAGAGAGAAATGATGTCTCTTGTGGCCAAAGACTTAAAATGGCAAGGAGATCTCACAAGGAAGGAATAGCTGAAATATTCTGAAATACATAAGTAATCCCAAATGATTCCAGTGAACAGTAAAGACAGAAGTCTCCTATGGGAATAAATAAATGTGCTCACACTGAGAACTCTTTCCTTGGCTCAACAAAGATTGCTACCAGTCTTTGTAAATTACTTTCCACAGAATGTAGAGGTGAATAAAATGCAGTCCCGAGTGAGATATAGACCCAACATCTAGCAGTCAGGATATGAAGAGTGAGTCAGAGTGCAGGAAACGTGACTAATACTTTCAGGTAGCGCAAAAGGAAAGCAGAGTCCAAGAGGAAACAAACGCATTTGGGGTGGGAGAGGGGTTGAGAAAAGGCTTCATGGAAAAGGCAATGCTGAAAGTGATCTTCGGAAGATGGAGGACTTTGCCACAGACGGAAGAGAGAAAGTGGGTTAGGAGGGTGCTCCATAAAGAAGGACTCACTAGGAGAAAGGGAGAGTGCAGAATACAGGGTATGTATATATGAGTTGTTAGAGATGAAGTTTGAGTGATAACAGCCAAAGTGTAACTGAGTGATGTCTGGCAAGGACTATGCTGAGTGTTTTACATGCATTATTTTAGTCAATCTTCACAAAACCCTGTGAGGTTAGTACAGTTATTCATGCCTGCTTTCACATGACGAAGCAACTCAGACATTTAGCCACAGAGTGAGAGGTAGATCCAGAGTCCAAAACCAGTGAAATGCAACTATGTAGTGGAGGGTTTTGCCTGCCAGGCCTTGCTATTTTACTTAAGCTTGTAGGCATTGGGAATTTGGAGCAGGGGAGAGCCTGGCGATAAATTGAACTAGGGAATGGATATAAGGATTGAAGTGCTGGGAGAGAAAATGTGGAGTCAGTTGCAGGGCCTAATGGTGGTCTAAAATGGATAGGTTGTTTTGAGAATAGAAGAATATAAAACACATTGGGGGGTGATGAGGTCAGTGTCAGGGAGAGAGAGAATCTACACTACTGGGGGCTCTGGGAGAGGGAGTTTGGTTGGATTAATAGAGGGTGGGTATCTTAATCAGAGTCAGGGAAGCCAGTGGCAGGTATTAATATCAGCATGAGGGAGTAATGAGCATAGGCTTGCTGTTCCAGTGATGAATCCAGGGGCCAACACCAGGCTGGGGACTGGAGTGTGGGGGTAGGGAGCAGTGTAGAGGCTTTACTAAGGTAAGGGGCCTGTAAAGATGATCAAGAGCTGAAGTGCATAGAGAGAAGTGGATGAGGGACAAAACTTTGGTGACTGCCCATGGAACTGGGAGAGAAAAGGAGACAGTAAGCAACACTTTAAAGTTAAGAGGTATCAGCACTCCTGTGTTCACAGAAGCACTGTTGATGATAGCCAAGATGTGGAAACAACCTAAATGTCCATCAACAGATGAATGTGTGAAGACACTGTGGTAGGAACAGAGTGGCCAATGGCCTGGAGAGCAACATGTCCATGTGTGATTGTGACTACTGCAATAAATACCTCACTCATGACTCTTCATCTGTGCAAAAGATACTCTACAGTGATATCTACAAAGAGAATATGAAAGACTGCTGTCAGAATGGGGTGGAAGAGCAGCTCAGAGCCTGATGGACGAAACAATGGCTGCACTTCAACAAGGAAAGGTTCCTCCTACTCCATTCTCTGCCTCTCCCCAGCAGGGGCAATGATCCCACCTCCTCGCAAGTCTCCCGGCTCCTCTTTGCCCTGGTATGATGCCTGCACCTCCTATAAGTGGCCATCCCATGATGTCAGTGATGGGTTCTCCTCCTCCTGGGATGATGCCAGTGGGACCTGCTCCTGGAATGAGGCTGCCATGGGAGGTCACATGCCAATGATGCCTAGGCCTCCAGTGATGGAACCTCCTACCTGCTCCGTGATGATGCCTGCTGAGCCCAGAATGACTCACTATGCAGATGAGGACAGGAGGGAGGCCTCTTTATATTAGTTTCCTATTACTTGTTCTGCTTCACCAGGAGATCATGGTGCTGTGACTCTGGGTGTTTTCTTTTTTTTTGAGATGGAGTCTGACCCAAGCTGGAGTTCAGTGGTACAATCTCAGCTCACAGCAACATCTGCCTCCCAGATTCAAGCAATTCTCCTGCCTCAGCCTCCCAAATAGCTGGGATTACAGGTCCCCGCCACCACACTTGGCTAACTTTTGTATTTTTAGTAGAGACAGGGTTTCAACCATGTTGGCCAGGCTGGTCTTGAACTGCTGACCTCAAGTGATCCACCCACCTCGGCCTCCCGAAGTGCTGAGATTACAGGCCTGAGCCACCACGCCTGGCCACTGGATGTTTTCTTAACAGCATGGCAAGGAAGACTTACGCCCTCTTCCTATCAAAGAGAATAGTTTTGGAGCCCACACTCATCAGTATGGAGTCATGACTCTTAGCCCTGGACGCGTGTCAGAATGTCCTACGGAGCTTATTCCACTTCAATCATGGACTCTGGGCTGGGGCCTGGGCAGCAGTGTTTTGTAAAAGCTCTTCACTAGTTTGCAGCCAGGGTTGGTAATAATTGATCTAGACTTTTCAGAAATTTCCTGTCTGTTTCTAATAATCTTCACAGAATCTACCCAATTTTCATTTTCTGATACCTATCTCACTCTCCCTCATCCGGCATAGCTTACTGTCAGGTCCCATGAAGACTGAAGTCATTCAGTCCCCTCATCTGTTTGGGCTAAATTGGTATCCAGAACCCATTTAGCAGAGCTGGGTGCACATTTCCTATCTCTTCTCTGTCGTGGGTTTCAAGTTTGTCTTCTCTGTGGTTATTTTATTCTTTCCCGTTAGTACGTCTCCTTGAAGAAAAAAGATGGAAAACAACTGGGATTGGAGCAATCCTCTTGACCCCCGATGCTTTGTGAAGAGTTTCCACACCCAGAAGCTTATCTTCTATTTGTGCATCTGGCTCTGGCTATGTGTCCACAAAGCCCTTTAGTTTTCACCACTGCTGTTTGCAAGCCTTGGGTTGCTCCTGATACCAGTCCTCCAGGCATTATTCCAGCATGGTTGTGCAACACTCCTGATTATGAGCCTGGCAGTACACTGTTCTAGTTCCTCTTAACTTTATTCACACACACACACACACACACACACACACACACACACACACACCTGTATATTATGATCAGAACACTTCACTGAAACTCTGTATCCATTAAACAATAACTGGTATTCTCCCCTCCCCCCAGCCCCTGACAGCCACCATTCTTCTTTCTGTTTCTATGAATTTGATTATTTTAAATATCTCATATAAGTGGAATCATGCCGTATTTGTCCTTCTGTGACTGGCTTATTTCACCTAGCGTAATGTCTTCCAGAGTCATCCATGTTATTGCCCATTGTAAGATTTCTTTAGTTTTTTACAGCTGAATAATACTCTGTTGTATGTACAGCTGTATGGGGTACTGGTTCGGTGATCGCCACAAATACCAAATTTCATGGATGTTCAGGTTCCTGATATAAAATGGCAAAGTATTCGCACGTAACCTATGCACATCCTCCTGTATATTTAAACTATTTCTAGATTACTTACAATACTTAACACAGTGTAAATGCTATGTAAATAGTTGCTGTACTGTGTTGTTTTAAAATCTGTATATTTTCATTGTTGTATTGTTATTGCTGGAATACTTTTGCTCTGTGGTTGGCTAAATCCACGGATGTGAAACCTGCAGATACTGCGGGCTGACTGTATATACCACATTTTCTTTTCACTGAAAGAGTTGACAGTTACATTTTAACATTTCAACTGTACTTTTTCTGTCCCACTTCTCCCCTCCAAAACTACTGTCTTTGTTAGGAAGAGGGAGTAAGTCTTCCTTGTCATGCTGTTAAGAAAACATCCAGTGGCCAGGTGCAGTGACTCACACCTGTAATCCCAGCACTCTGGGAGGCTGAGGTGGATGGATCACTTGAGGTCAGGAGTTTGAGACCAGCCTGGCCAACATGGTGAAACCCCATCTCTACTAAAAATACAAAAATCAGCCAGCTGTGGTGGCATATACCTGCAATCTCCGCTACTCGGGAGGCTGAGACATGAGAATTGCTTGAACCTGGGAGGCAGAGGTTGCAGTGAGCCGAGATCTCACCACTGCACTCCAGCCTGGGTGACAGAGTGAGAGTCTGTCTCAAAAAAAAAAAAAAAAATTGGTGGTGAGAACATGGTAGCCAGTGGGGAGGACACAGCCTGATGAAGTCAACCCTACAGCAAAACCCACTGTCCTGAGTGATGTCTGTGGTCAGGGGTCAGGGGACATGTGCCAATAGTGAGGCCCATGTGACCAGGAGGAGGGACTCAGCATTGGAGCAAAGCCCTCGGCATTCAGGTATTGAGTGTTGGCAGACACAGGGGTGGATGTGTAGCAAACAACTTTCTCTTTTTTTAAGGAAGATGTCAGACTTCTGAAAAGTCCGCTTGAGGTATTCATCAACATATCTATTTGGTGATACCCTTGTGAACAAGGTAGAAAACCAAGATCTGAGTCAATAGCATTTCTTCTGGTGAAGGATAGGGTTACATTTGCATAGAAATCATTTGGAAATTATCTTTCCCTTCTTCTCCCAATCTGCCTGCAAGTGCGCTCTCCCAGGAATCCTATCAGCTTTGAATTGTCTATCGGTGAACTTCAAAAGGCTAGTAGTAAGCAACATTGGCCACTTGGGTCTCTTGATCTCTTCCTTTCTTCACTGGCAAGTATCTTTGATATGTGGCTTTCTGATTCTGTGAGCTAGAGGCTATTATTTGTGAGTGTGAGTCCACGCTTTCCTCATTTTTCACTTGTTCTAAGGATGTCTGTGGCCATAGGAACTGTCAAGTTGAGGCTGGGAGCCACAGGGCTCACCCAGAAGATGAAATGGAAGGCATCCTAGTGTTGGAAGCCAAGTATTAGGTTGGTACACAAGTCATTGTGGTTTTTGCCAGTTAGAAAACCACCAGTACCAGAACATCTTGCCAACAGCCCAGCAGCACCTTGTCTTACTGTCTAACTTAAGAAAAAGTAATTTATTTACACATTGTCTTATTCCACGGAGTTTTTGAAGTGGCCTCCAATAATACACATACTGCACATGGAAAAAGTCCATAGTTGAGAGAATTGGAGCACAGTGACAATAGAGGGAAGCCAAGCACAGAGAAATACTCATCTCTTGCTACTGAAGATTATCAGTGGTGAGCCATCAATTTGACCCTCTGTCCATGCTAGTACCTCAGACAAAGAGGGAGGTGCTCTGTTCACAGTCTCTAAAAGCTAAGAATAAGCCAGTCGTTTAGGTGTGGCATTCAAGAGTCCTTTCTTTATTATTATTATTATTATTATTATTATTATTATTTATTTTCTCTTGTAAATGACCATAGAAGAGACATTTAAAAGAAGCCTCTGTACAGTGTAAGTTGGTGTGGCCGTTTTGAATAGCAATTTGGAATATCTAGTAAAACTAAAACTAGTCCTACCTTAAGATGCAGCAGTTCCACTTGCTTTAGAAAATTATCATCACAGCCTCATGGGGAGCAGATACAAGTTTGTTCATTGCATCAGCATCTTTAGTAGGAAAGAGTCAGAAACAACTGAACGAGGAAGTTCAAGACATAGTCATGTTGCAGGAATGGAACAGAATGTGTGTTTTTGTGTGTGCAATAATTTTCAGTGAAAATAAGCCAGTTGCAGAAAGAAGTTAAGTTTAAAAAAACCCAGAAAAATGGTGGGTATATATGTGTGGAGACCTGTGAATTTTGGATGATAGTAATATGGGTATTTGTATATATCCTTTGTGTTTTTCTGATTAAAAGAGTAAAATACCTATTGTGATGTTGTGCAGGATAGTGACCAGTACATCCTACACTACCTAACTTATAGCAATGTGATTGCCTTCTAAATGGTCTTATATGCATTAGCTCATCTAATCACCTCAACAACCCCTTTCAGGGAGATCCTTTAATTATTCCCATTTTGCAAATGAAAAATTGAGATCTAGAGAGACTAAAAACTTGCCTAAAGCAACTTAGTAAGGCTGGCCTTGAACCCGGGCAGTTTGAGTCCACAGCTTTTAGTCTTTATTATTACTGCTCTACAAAATTTCCCAGTATCGTACAGTGGGTTGGTTATTTATTTATTGGCAGCAATTATCTCATTGTAGGTCATGGTTATACTCCTAGAAGACAATGCAGGGAAAGCAGTTCTTAGTGATCAGAATAGGGTAGTTCCATTATCAGATGATATAGCTTGAGCTTGGTGCACACATTGTCTTGTCTTTTTGGATCATTTAATGGTGGCTCACAGCCCAGAAGCACCTTGTCAACCCTGGTCCTACACCAGAAATACCTGTGGAGGTTTAGGAATACCAAAGCCTGGCCCCACCAGAGATTTCAACATAATAGATCTAGGATAGGGTCTGTTTATCAGCATTTTTGAAAGTGTGTCACGTAGTTTCAGTATGCACTCAGAGTGTGAGCCACTGAATGATAAAGTCTGGACAGTACATAGTTCAAAGTTATAATGTTTGGCAAGAGCCTGGTGCATGGGTGTTTTGTGTTGAGGATCAAAGACAGGTACATATGTGTTGACTTTTATGACCAGATTGCAGCTAATGTCCTATGAAATCATGGCTCTTAATCAGGATAAGGGAATGCATCTTAGCAGGTTAGATCTGTCTTACCAACTCTCTCTCTCTTTTTTTTTTTCTGAGATGGAGTCTTGCTCTGTCACCCAGGCTGGAGTACAGTGGCGCCATCTGGGCTCACTGCAGGCTGGAGTACAGTGGCGCCATCTCAGCTCCACCTCCTGGGTTCAAGCAATTCTCCTGCCTCAGCCTCCCGAGTAGCTGGGATTACAGGCGCCTGCCACTGTGCCCGGCTAATGTTTGTATTTTTAGTAGAGACAGGGTTTCTCTATGTTGGCCAGGCTGTCTCGAACTCTTGACCTCGTGATCCGCCCGCCTCAGCCTCCCAAAGCGCTGGGATTATAAGTGTGAGCCACCACACCTGGCCATCTCTCTCTCTTTTTTTTTTTTTTTCGAGACAAGGTCTGGCTCTGTAGCCCAGGCTGGAGTGCAGTGGCAAAACCTCAGCTCACTGCAACCTCCGCCTCCCAGACTCAAGTCATCCTCCCACTTCAGCCTCCCCAGTAGCTGATACTACAGGTGTGCACTAGCACGCCTAGCTAATTTTTGTATTAGGTTCGTGCCAATGGCAAAATCCGCACTTACTTTCACACCAACCTAATATTTTTTGTAAAGATGGGGGTTTCGCCTTGTTGCCCAGGCTGGTCTTGAACTCGTGAGCTCAAGCGATCCACCTACCTTGGCCTCCCAAAGTGCTGGGATTACAGGCATGAGCCACCACGCCTGGCCAGCCAACTCTGTCTTTTAGTTTTCTGGAGAGCTGATTGAGGAATTTTGCCATGATGACAAAGCTTGGGAGTGGAGACTGGAAGCACATGTGTCTGGTACTTGCCATACCTTGATTAAGGAGTAGCTAAGCAGTGGGACAAAATCTTTCCCAGAAAAGAACTCAGGGTCTACTCTAATCCCTGACAAATGTACACTAAGTCCTCATGTATCTTCATTGATAAGTTCTTGGAAACTGTGACTTCAAGTGAAACGATATATACGAAGCTAATTTTACCGTAGGCTAATTGATAAAAACAATGGCATGTTTCCTGTGGCATATTTCTGGTCACAAAAACATCACCAAACTTCTAAATAACAAAGTTAAATAAAACAACATTACTCGAGGACCTGCTGTATACCAAAGGCCGAAAGATTCTATGCCATGGTTGTAATATTAACCTGTGGCAGTGGTTTTGGACTTGTGCATTCAGGTCACCTGGAGAACTTGTGAAAAACAGATCCCAGGGTCCCCCTCTCAGTTCCTGATTTTGTTGGTCTGTGGTAGGGTCAGAGATTTTGCATTCCTAACAAGGTCCCAGGTGATAATGATGCTGCAAGTCTTAGGGCCCCTCTTTAAAAACCACAGGACTACGATAATAAAAGAGGGTTTTAGCTTCCTACCCTCTGCCACGTCACACATACACAAATAGAAGGATTGGCTTGGAGTCAAATAAGAAAGGTTGAAAGCTACAGGCTAAGTCAGTTACGTTCTCAAACTTTAAGCAAAAATCACCCAGGGCATGTGTTAAACATGCAGATTATCAGGCCCGTCTCTAGATAGAAATTCTGATTCAACTCATCTAAAGTGGAGCAAAATCTGCATCTTAAATAAGAATCCGGAAGACTTTGAAGAAGGTGGATCTGGACACTTTGAGAAATTGTAGGTGATTGTATAGTTATGGGCATTTATAGTGGGTTGTATGCATTTGTATGCAGAAATGCTAATTAACAGACAAATTAATGTCAGGCTGCAGAGACCTCCATGCCCTTGGTGCTCTTCTCGTTACTAAATCTCCAAGTATAATTTACTTGGGTGAGTATAGATTTCATATGCCTGTGCAATCTATGTATGCCGTAACAAAGAAGTCAGCCAGTGACCATTGGTCTCCAGAAATATCTTGACATGGGTCAAAATTAACATGTGATAATTTAATAATGATTATAATGATGGTAATAATAATAGAACAGTCAAGTCCTGAATTTTAGTTAAAGGAAGTAAAGGAGTCCGCTTCAGAAAGAAGGAAGCCCAACTTCTCAGAAATCCCTATGACCTGACAGTCCCAGTAAGAACACTGAGAACTGGAAAGAGATGCAAGTTCCCCCAAAGCTAAGGCAAATCCAGCAGTATTAACAGTTGCAGTGTGGTTGAGGCCAGGAAGATTGTCATTGCCTTCTCTTCTGCTCTGTCCAGACCACACCTAGAGCTTGTCTTTAAATCTGGGCATCACTGTTAGAGAAGCACAAATTGAAGGGTGATCAAAGTTGAACATCTGGGATCACAAGGGCTCTTGATCCATGTCCCATAAGAAATGGATGATGATGACAATGCGGCTGTTTAGTCTGGAGAAGAAAAGATTTGCTGGGTGGGATGTGGGGATGGTGGTGGTTTCAGTGCAGGTTATGGTTAAAAAAAAGTTCTGTCTTGTTCTATGTAGTTACCAAGGGCAAATCTAGGAGCAGCGCATGAAATTATAGTGAGTCATTATTTCAGCTCTAAATGATGACAAACTGTCTAGAATAGATTTTTAAAAAGGTGAAATGAAGTGCCTTGTTTCTGTCACAGGAAGTGGTCAAGCAGTGATGATCTAGCCATGTTATAGAGGGAGTTCTTGCTTTGTTTAAGCCGGAGGTTGGGCTAGAATTCGTTATTAGGCTCCATGATTCTAATGACTGGTGTTATTGCGCTTGTTGTTTTGTTTACTCAGTGATGACAAATAAATGGTTCCAGCCTAAACTGACAGCCAGATACCATTGTCCAGCTTTTTGTCTCATGGAAGCCGCACGCTTCAAATATGCACCAGGTGCATTTCTGTTGCTGGATTGGGCTCTGAGCAATCTGATGTCCCCTGAAGAAGTGGATTGTGAAGGCCATGGATGGAGCAGGGAATAGAAATGGATACTCTATTGTGCCAGAGTAAGCATTTGAGTCTTTAGGCCTCTTGACTCCTGTCTTGCCAAAAGTGAGAATAAGATTTAAAAAAAAAATGGTTTGTGGAGGAATTGTTAGACTTTAAAGAAGGGACTTCTGTGGACACTGAGCCTTAGTACTCATCTCCCAGAAACTTAGTACTCCTCTCCCAGAAACAGTCAGGTATGGGTGCCTTTGGATCAGACCAGCAGTTCAGATAGTTCGGACACATGGACAGCACTTCAGAGGTCCGGGATCACCGATCGGTATCTGAAGTTGTGATTAGAACCTGCTTCCAGAAACTTCTGATGCTGAATCTCTGGTCTGTGGTGCTTAAAGCCAAATAACCAAAGCCCTGCTTTTGACCATGTAACATTTTTGAAATCAGGGTGTTTCAGAGGGTACCATTTGTAAAAAGATGCATAACTTGGATTTGAATAATTTTATTTTATTAAAGACCAGAAATAGATATCCCACTTAAAAAATTTCTAACGTTAATTCAGGACATAATTTCTTTATATATTTTACTGGGAAATTGCAAACTATTTGGAATTATATGCCATCTGGCCTTCATGAAAGTCGTTTCCAACTATGGAAGCAAAATCTGTTTCTCAAGCAAAACATGGCCAAGTGTCTGAGTGCAGACCCCCAGGCCTAATGGATTAATAAGTAGCTGTGTTATATGCCACTTTTTGCAATCTACCAGATAATGTTGCTTTTTTGGAGAGCTAGTGGTGATGAATTCTGTGGCTTTTATCTTTCTGCATTTATGTCTTCTTCCAAAGTAAGCACACTGCTTTAATGCTTTAACACTAGTCTGTTCACACTCGCATTATGGATTTTGGGAGATGTTAATATGTTGAAGGACACACATGTTTTAAGATTCTGCCATCTGGCCGGGCGCGGTGGCTCACGCCTGTAATCCCAGCACTTTGGGAGGCCGAGGCGGGCGGATCACGAGGTCAGGAGATCGAGACCATCCTGGCTAACACGGTGAAACCCCGTCTCTACTAAAAATACAAAAAATTAGCCGGGCGTGGTAGCGGGCGCCTGTAGTCCCAGCTACTCGGGAGGCTGAGGCAGGAGAATGGCGTGAACCCGGGAGGCGGAGCTTGCAGTGAGCCGAGATCGCGCCACTGCACTCCAGCCTGGGCGACAGAGCGAGACTCCGTCTCAAAAAAAAAAAAAAAAAAAAAAAGATTCTGCCATCTTTATTTGTTTGTAGTTGAAGGAGGGGTAGAGCTTCTTATCTTGTGCTGCACCTGCCACTTTCAGGAAGCCAGGAGAGAGGAGGCCATGAGCCTTTACATCTGTGGAGTGTCTATTCTATTCCAAAGCCAGACACTGTATCCTCATTTTCTTATTTAATCCTTCTAATTTTCCTTCCTTCCTTCTTGCCTGCCTGCCTGCCTGCCTTCCTTCCTCCCTCCCTCCCTCTCTTCCCTCCCTCCCTCTCTCCCTCCTTCCCTCTCATGCTGGAGTGCAGTGGTGCAATCTCAGTTCACTGCAACCTCTGCCTCCCAGGTTCAAGCAGTTCTCCTGCCTCAGCCTCCTGAGTAGCTGGGACTACAGGCATGCACCACCATGCTCGGCTAATTTTGGTATTTTTAGTAGAGATGGGGTTTTACCATGTTGGCCAGGCTGGTCTTGAACTCCTGACCTCAAGTAATCCAGTCGCGTCCACCTCCTAAATTGCTGGGATTATAGGCATGAGCCACTCCACCTGGCCAAATCCTTCTAATTTTCTGGGGTGGCTATTATTATTCCCCATTTTATACAGGAAAAAATATAAATCAGAGAGCTTAATACATTTGTCAAGGTGCACAGAGTTTGTAATAAGGAAACACCAATTCAAACCTAGGTCTGACTCCTTCCAGCACACATATATAGTATGTGATGTCACCTTTACATCTTTTCCCAAATTGTGTTATCTTTTCTAAGTGAAACCTACTAACATGAGTCTTAAAATCAGCCTTTGTTGCCAAAATACTTGACAGTGCGTTGGTCATTTATTCTTCCCCATTCTGGGTAGAAATCAGGGTTCTCTTTTCCTAGTGGAAGCCCCAGGACAGCTTATGTTTGCATGTCATGTGTCCATTTGACTTTTAACCAAAACACTAGCGTTTCACACAGTCCTGACCCATCAGCTTCTCAAAGGTGGGTGGCAGTGGTGAGAGACAATGAAGCTCATCTTAGAGGCACAAACGTCATTTTTGAACTGACACAAGTGCATCTGGTGTTTGACACGTGTTGGTTTTGGTGGCCTCTGTGATTTAGAGGAAGGAAAGGGCCATAAGTTCTCTCCTCCTCAACCTCACCACCAGGTGGTTTGTTGAAACAAAAGCAGATCCCAAACCGAATTCTGTCACACATCAAACACTGACATTAGGCAGAATGCACCAAAGTAGCCATAAAACCTGTTCCTGTAAGCTGGGGCAAGTCCTAGCTCTCCATCCTTAAGGCATGTTGACAAGTACTTGCAGGAGAGATTTACTCAGGGACAGCAATCTGCAAAAAGATCAGCTCCAGGGGACCAAGAAGCCTTTTTGGCAGGCCGTAAATGTTCTATTTTTTGATCCAGCTGATGATTATATGAGTATTTGCAAGTGTAACATTCTGTATGTGCACTTAAGATTTGTGCACTTTAGTATACCTGTTATTTCTCAGTACAAAATAAGGTGGAAATAAATGTTTGCCCTTAAATTATTCACAGTCTGTGAGCAGGGAAATTATCATATATTGTTGAAACCCATAAACCCTTTGAATTAGAGGTTTTCCATGGAAGGGTCTCCGGGTGGAGTGAAAGCACTCAGGGGTCTTTCATATGCACCATCCTGCCGAGGCCTCCTCTCTGGTGACCCCAGCCCATCCCTGTGGTGTCCCCTAGAGTGGACACAGTAGTTGCCTCCATCCAAGTGACCATCTTGGCACCTGGGATACCTTAGTCTTGGGCTACAGCTGCCTTCTTTCTTTATTCTTCCCTGTTTTAAGTAGTCATGCGTCGCTTAAGATAGGAAGCACTGTGAGAAATGTGACATCAGGCAATTTCATCGTTGTTGTGGGAACATCATAGAGTATACTTAGCAAACCTGAATAGCAGAGCCTGCTACACACCCGGTCTATGTGGTACAGCCTACTGCTCCCAGGCTACAAACCTGTACAGCATGATACTGTCCTGAATACTGCAGGCAGCAGTAACACAATGTAAGGACTTGTGTAACTAAACACAGAGAAAGTACAGTGAAAATACAGAATTATAGTCTTATGGGACCACCAGCGTATACATGGGCTGTCACTGACTGAAACCCCATGATGTGGCATGCGACTATATATCCTTCTCTTGAAATTTGACTTCCTTTACTTTTTAGGCTGCTTTTGGTGGCTTTAACCAAATTCCTGATGAGGCTAGGCAGGAAGGTTCTAGGGGATGAAATAGATATATTTCCCCGGGCAACAATCCCAAAACTCCACCTTGTGGCTGGGCATGGGAGGGGCTGCGGGTCCCCTCTCTTTCTTTCCCAGAAGGGGAAAGGAGACAGGGGTAGGGGTCACCAGGGGGTCATGCTGGCAGAGCCCTTGGCTCTAAGTGCCAACTTTGATAGCTATTGGATTTGGCCTACTAAGTCCTGGCTGTTGCCTCCCAACTGAAATTCTGCAGGACAAAGAGATAAAGATGACCCTGTATCAGCTGCCTCTAGGACAGGGTTGTGGTGTTTCTGTTTTGGTGGTTTTAGAATTCCTGTAACTTTCATTTATTGCCCACGTTTCTCTCCCTTTACATTGCACACACACCCCTCTCATCCCAGACTCTTGTAGACTCTCGTTTAACAGAACCTCAGCCTTAAAGAAAAAACAAAAGCAAAGCTTGTACACACACACACAAACACTCCGCTGGTATTCCTAATCCACTGTGGAATCTGTTGCCATAGCAGTGGATGCCCCCTCCCCGCCCCAAGCACAGACACACATTTCATCATTTGGGGCTCCCACCAGGTTTTTGATTTTTTTTTTTTCTTTCTCAAACAGCAACAGCCAACACTGCTTTTCCACAAACTATTAATATATCTTTACAGTACTCTCTTGCTACTTTTTAGATTGCATTTGCTTCTAACTTCAGGTACACCTAGTCATGCCCCCATCAGTAAGGCTAATTTTATGAAGAGGCTGGTGCTGGTTTGCTTTTAGTCTTACTTATTATTGGATCCAATACTAAATGAATAAAGAGATTTGGGGAGTTACCTAAGAGTAACATGGGAATTGAGCTCTATGGCTCTGGGCACCTTAATTTCATTTTCTGAGATTTTGTATTTCTTTTCATTGTTTTGATTCTAGCTTATTGCTTTAATGTACTCTTTTTTATTTTTGAAGAACTAAGTGTTAATGAAGGTGTAGGAAAGAGTATATGATAATTAGCCAGGTTTGATATCATAGTTAACTAGCTGGTTCCTAGACAAATATATGATACTCTTCTTTTTATAATTAGACTATGTGAACATTAATAATGGAATGGGTTGGAGATATATATATATATGTATGTATATTTTGATGTTGTTAACCTGCTTAGGAAAGCTGTAGAATTTACTTGAACTTAGTGTGTTAAATAAAGTCCTGGTTTTCTGAAGCCAAAACCAAACATGTTAGTTACTCTTAACCCAGGGCTGTGGGAGAAGCCAGTGATTCTAGGCCCACATTTCCTCTTTGAAAACTAGAAACCCCTCCATCAGGGCAAGACTCCCAAAGAGCTGCAGCCTCCACCCCCCCGTCCCCCCCGCCCCGCCGCCCGGTTTCAAGCGATTCTCCTGCCTCAGCCTCTTGAGTAGCTGGGATTACAGGCACCCACTACCGTGCCTGGCTAATTTTTGTATTTTTAGTAGAGACAGAGTTTCACCATGTTGGCCAGGCTGGTTTCGAAATCCTGACCTCAGGTAATCCTCCCACTTCGGCCTCCCAAAGCGTTAGGATTACAGGCATGAGCCACTGAGCCCAGCCTAGTTCCAGAATATTCTTATCACACCAAAAAGAAACTGTAGCCATTAAGCAGTCACTCTACTCTCCCCTCAGTAACCACTAATTATTGGCCTTCTGTCTCTATGGATTTGCCAACTCTGGATATTTCATATGGAAACATACAATGTTTATTTTTTTGTGTCTGGGTTATTTGACTTAGCCTAATGTTGTCAAGGTTCATTGATGTTATAGCATGTATCAGTACCTCATTCCCTTTAATATCTGAATAATATTCCATTGAATGTATATATGAGATTTTGTTCATCCATTCATCAGTTGATGGACATTTGGGTTCTTTCCACCTTTGACTATTGTGAATAACATTGCTATGAACATTGGTCTGCAACTTTTTGTTTGAGCACCTGTTTTCACTTCTTTTGGATCTATACCTAGGATTGGAATTACTGGATCATATGATAATTCTATGTTTAAATTTTTGAGAAATAGAACAGCTACCAAACTGTTTTCCACCACGGCTATGCCATTTTACAGTTCCACCAGCAATGTCTGAGGGTTCCAATTTCTCCATACTCTTTCCAACACTAGTTATTTCCCATTAAAAAAATTATTATAGCTATCACAGTGGATGTGAAGTAGTGTCTTACTGTGTTTTAAGATTTTTTATAGTACTGATTTTGTATGTGTCTGGACTCAAATTTTTGTATTAATGTTCTTAAGCCTGCTATATTGCAAAGCTACATGAAAAACCACCTATACAAAATTCCCTGTAAGAGAATGGTGTAAAGCTTCTTTTCCTTCTCGGCGCCTGCTATAGCTAAACATCGTGAGTCTGTAATCTGTAGTATGTTTAAGCCACTTGCAGACAATTTGTGGCAAATTAGAGATGATATCTGATGCCTCTGACCTTCTTTCTAATTTCTCTTTTTTAGGTTTTAGGGTTTCCTTTGGGCCACCCAAAATGTTTTTTAAATACTTTGGATAAGAGCTAAACCACCTGCCACTGGGGACTTCCATACTCTCGGCTCCCTTGTCATCTGATGGCATTTTGATTGTCTCGAGGCCAAGTGACTTGCTGTCCATGATGAGTGATGAGAAGAACCTTGGTGTGTCCCAAAAATTGGTATCACCTTCAAGGAGCACAAGTAGCTGCTCTTCCAAGCAAGGAAGTCGACAGGTAAAGTTTAACTCATGCAAATTTTAATATGCAAATGTAAGCCATCAAGTTTGCTGGTTAAAATGCACACATTTACTTGGGAAAGCCTACTTCTCAGTTTAAGAGCATTTACTTTTGGTTATCTCTTGACTGTATGAGGAGAGTAAATTCTGTATAATTTTAATAATGTGTGCCTACCAGGTGGGAAGAACTGCATTTGGTTCTTCGTATAATTTTATTTAATTCTTGCAACTGTCCCCCAATGTAGATTTTAACATCTTCATTTTCCCCATGAGGAAGCTGACTCAGACTGACCAGGTTACTTGCCCAAGGACACACAGCTAATAAGGAGCAAAGAAAGAAGCAAAGCTCAGTCTGTTTGGCTTCAGAGCCCACACTTTCCTTTATATCCTGCTAAGCAAAACAAAAAAACAATCAATCATTTTTCTGGTAATTATAATATCCACCCCAACTTTCTTCCCTTCATCAAACCTTTTATGGCAGCTTGTAACCACAGATTGCCCTGTTAGTAGCTTCGAGACTCACCTGCTTTATATCTATAATGGATGAGGTAACCTAATCTACAGAAAAATGGTCCAAAGAAATTAAGTAGGAGGAAGAAAGAACTGAAACAAAGGAATGAATAATTAACTCCTAAATAACTGTTGAGTAATTATATATTGTTTCTTGGTTTCCTTTCTAATAAATCTTTGTTGGCAGAATTTGCTGGTTTTAGATCAGTGGCAGTAAATGCACATTAATCATTATAATTCTTCCCCCAGCAGTTAGATGGAGAGAGAATGAGCTGTCAGAAAGCTGAATTTATGACCAAAGTGGTCTCTGAGCCTTTTCAGCACCTGCTGCTTCTGTTGGCATTTCCTTTTCCTCATGGGAAGTGCTGGCCTGAGAAATCACCCAGAGTCTTTGGTTCCAGAATTGGAAGCAGCAATTAAGCAACTCCCACCTCAGTCACGTCTACACGTTTATGACACATCATCAGGGGTCTGTCCAACTGAGCGTTGCCTGGGATAAGGAGCTTTGCCACCCATGAATCTGTGATTCCAGGAAATTAGATTTTGCCACAGACCTGACATTTGGGAAGCCCTCCAGGATCTCCCCTGAGGGGTTAAGGAGAATTTTGTCAGCACTGTCATCGGTTCCTTCTGGAATTAAAAAAAAAAAAAATAAGAAAAGACTAAAATTAGTCATTGGCTAATGCATCATGGCTCCCTGCAGTTCTGTTTTCATGAGGGTCACTGTGCTTGTCCTCTTTGTCAGCTTTCCACAGGAGTATTTTTCTCCCTAAGCCAAAACTCTGGTTGGGATTAAAACAGTATGTGGTATATCCCCTACCTGCGCCATCTTCCTTACACCTAGGGGTTGTTATGTCCTTCTTTGATAAAGGGGGAGAACATGATTCATTTAAGTAGCAGGTGGTGATTACACCATAGGAATTGGAACAGTACAATGAAATTCTCAGATCAAATACTACAGAAACTTTTTTCAGTGTGTTATTTGGAATTGATTTGGTTTTCACAAAGCTTTTTTGGAAGTTACATCATGAAGGGTAAGAGGAATGTGCTTGATGCCTCAACTTTTTTCTGACTTGGAATGCTTGGTCAATCAGTCACTCATTCATCAAATGGTCATCTTTTATATTTAGGGTCTCCTGCTTTAATATGCATACACTGTGACTTTATAAATGGAGACACTTATATTTCCTCTGTGGCAGAGAAGGTGGAGAATTTATTAAGTTTATTTTAACTTCAGCCTGAAGTTAGTTATAAAGCCCATGTTTGATTTCCAGAGGTCATTTTCTTGGTCCGTCTGCTTTCTCATCCTTCTGTCGAAGAAAGGTGTTCTGTCCCAGGGTATGCTTAGTGTTTCCATCCACGGGGTCCACCTTGGCCCCCATACCCAATCTGCCTTCACAAACTGGCCCAAGATTGTGCTTCAGTCTTTAAAGGTGCTGCAGAGGTGCAGGAACCTTTGAAGCTTTCCTCACTTAGGGCACAGCCATTTCCGATGGTCTGTCGGTTGCTAAATACAAGGATGACACTGTGTTTCCAGTCACGTCACTGAAGAGTACCAGTTAAACACTTAAAACTTCAAGATTTACATAGTAAGAAATTTAATTAGAGGAATATGAAAATATAACTAAAGATAATCTGTACAAATACCAACTTGTATTTCAAACACCAGTTTAAAGTCATTTTCAAATTGCTTTCTTTCTTTCATCTGGAGGGGATACATCTGATATTGATTTTATTGGTCATTTTTCTTAGTGCTAGTTTTTCTCATGTGCTTTGGAATTGCAGCTTAGAGCTTCATCTAGAGATTGTTTTCCATGTATTCTTTCTCTGCGCTCACCCTGACCCATCTAGGGATTTGCTGTTGCCAACTTCCTACCTCCCAGGACCCCAGTGCAGAGTCAAGTCTAATATTTGCAGCAAGGGCCTTCTGTTCCATGATGATGATGGACCCAGCACCAGGCCCCAGACAGCATAGCCCAGCGCCTGGCTGTGAGGCTGTGTCTCCCTTCTCACCTCTCCCTGGGCAAGCAGATCTTTAAAGCTCTCTTTCATTGTGGTGTGGGGGCTTCCCCCTCCACAGTTTCAGATTTCCAGTAGTGAGCCTGGCTCAGGTCCCAGCCTTTTCCTGATGACATTTTTCTCCTCATTAGCCCTCAGAAACAGGCTAATGGACACCTTTGTCTACAGTATACTTCACATTTCTATTTGGTTCTGATCCATGGAGATACTTAATCTTTTTTTTGCCACATTATTCTTTTTTTTTCAGGTTTGTTGAGCTAATAAATGACAAATGAAAGTTGTATATATTTATGGTGTATAATGTGATGTGTTGATACATGTACACTTTAGGAAGTGATTACCCATTATCAAGCTAATATACCCATCACCCCCCATAGTTATTTGTGTGTGTGTGTGTGGTAAGAACATTTAAGATCTACTTTTATAGCCAATTTCAAGTGAATAATGCAGTATTATGAACTACAGTCAGCATGGTGTTACATTAGATCCCCAGAACTTATCAGACCCTGCTAACTACCATTCCATCCTCTGTTTCTGTAAGTTTGACTTTTTTAGATTCCACATGTAAGTGAAATCATGCAGCATTTTTCTTTCTGTGCTTGGTTTATTTCACTTAACATAATGTCCTCCAGTTCATCCATGTGATTGCAAATGACAAGATGTCTTTCTTTTTTAAGGCTGAATAGTAGTCCACTGCATAAGTATATGCACCACATTTTCTTTGGAAATATTTAATCTTGTTTCTTTATCACACAGACACAAAGGAGCCCTACATGTTTATAACTTTGTATATTTTTGCCATATTTGGAGTGAGGGTGGCATTTTGTATATTTTTGCCATATTTGGAGTGAGAGTGGCAATAGGGAAGGGGCATTAAATGCATGAACTTAAAACACCATCTTAGCTGGAAGACATGGTTTTTTAAAGTCATTTTTACTTAAATTCTCATCCAGTATTGCCAGGTGACCTTGAGAGTATCTGTACTTCAGCCACACTAGTTTTCTTTCACTTTCTGGAGCTGAATTTTCTCTTGTCCTTGTTTCTTGAACTGAACTTAAACTTGAACCTGGTCTTCCTATCTCAGACCTATTCATATAAAATCTCAAGGAGCTATGTGTTTATGTAGAGATACTGTCCTACCTATATACCTATGTTAAAAGAGCTTGCTTCCTTGAAGGAGAAAATGATTGAGACCTAGGTGTTTTCATTTTTACATCTGACCTAAGACAAAATGTACAACTTAGGGCCATGAAAACCCTAGGAGGAGGGTTCTATCATCTTTTAACTTAAATACTGGGGCTCCTGAGATTTTAAAAACAATAAGCCTCACTTTGCCAGTATGAAAACAACCTGTCAATAAAATCTCTTCAAGATAATTTGAGGAGAAAGGTATGCATAGTGATTAGAACATTAACTCTCCAATCTTGGGTCCACCCATTAATTGGTTCTGTGACCTTAAACTCTCCAAACCTCAGTTTTTTCATCAATAAAATTGGAATAATAATAGTTCTTTTCTCATAGCATTGTGGTAAGGATGAAAAATAAGCACTTATTCCAGGGTCAGACTCAGGATAGGTGCTGAGTAAATATAAATGTATGTTTTTATCATTATAATTAACATTAATTTGACCTTCAAGTCTTATTTGTGAAAGTCCTGAATGCCCATAGTGAATAGTTCTAGCTTTTTTTCTCCCAGGAACTTTTACAGTATCATACGTGTATCCACTCATACCTTTTTAGTGTTGTACAAAAGCCCACTAAAATATACACTGTATATGTGAATATATACTTTTAAAATAAAAAATGCCTTACTCTACACATTAATAAAATGCTTTTGTGACGAATACAATAGAATGTTTAATAATTGGGCTACATTTGACATCTTTAGGCATAACCTATACCTAAAACAAGTGAAAAAAGTTGATGAATTCTTACCCCATCCTGCTAAGCCTTGCCCTTGCTTGGGTGGTAAATGATTTTCCCCTCTCGCCCTCTATGCCAGCATCTATCTCTTGGTAGTAGCTGCACAGAGCATTGTGTTAAGAAGGACTTTGCAGCTGAGTCTGCATTCAGGGGAAAGATTGCCGTGTTTTTAGCTGTGACTTCTGGGCATAAGGCAGGGAGAGCACAGCATGGACATTGTGTTTGTCACCCCTTAGTGATAGAGAAGAGTTAAAATCAAGAGCTCTCTGTTGCAATCTTTATATTGTGTTATTGGATGAACTTCAGGCAAGTGTAGGTTGTCTCAGTTCTCCATTCATAAAATGGAGGAAAACTCAACTCCTGCTTTTTCCTGTGGAATGCGGTAAGAGAAAATTGAGTGTTTTCAGTGGCTAAAAGACATTGACAGTCTTTGGAGAAAAGTCCTCTGTAAATTTAAGAAACTGGTATAATTACGGATGAGCTGCTTTTACTTTGGCCAGTTCTGGAAGCAGAACTCACATGACCTTGTTTCAAAAACCGTGACACTCTACAGAATTGGTTCTTTTTGAAGTAGATCACTTTTCAGATATCGTGTCTTCACCATAGAGGAATCTACTTTTCTTGTAGGAACTAAAGGGACCCTGCTTATAAGAAAAAAATAGGTTGTTGGTCCCTCCTGACTGTCTTAATCATACCCTATTATTCTAGAGTTCTAAGTGGATCTTCAGTGTTCTTCCTCATCCCAGGTTTTGGCTCCACTATTCCTTTAGCTAGAATGATCTATGAAACCCTGCTGCCCTTTTGAATTATGTCATTTCCTTAGCAAGAATTTTTATTTATTGCTTAAGCATTTAAAGTGATTTTTATAAAAACAAGATTGCTCATTGTAAATCATTTACATAGTAAATGTGAATTGCTATTCTTTAATTAACTTGTGTTTAAATAGCTGCTGATAGGTCAAATAAAATGCCTGAAAATGACCGTGGTTTGTGCAGGTCATTGGTGTCATTGTCAAATGGTTTCCTTGCAGTCCTGGGGATGAAAGGCTGATTAGAGTTGATTCATGAGAGACAAGGAACAGAGGAATGGAACAGCCCAGTTCTGCCAGGCCCCACGACAGGATTTGAGAGAAGCCTTCACAAATGTTCTGGTTTGGAACCTTGAGCTTGGCTAATACCATGCTTAACACTGCCATCGTCTTTCCTCTTTCAATTGCTTCATTGGTTAAAAAAGTATATGGTTGTTTAAGTACTGGGTCCTGTTTATACATCCTTTTATTTCTCATAGCACCTAGGACAGGGCTTTGCATGTAGAAGATACAAATCGTCGGACTGAATTTATTGAAAACCAGCGACAAATATCCTTCTATTGGGGCAGGTGAGAATGTATGGCCAGGTATACATGGAGAACATGCGGGAGCAAAAAGCCCACAGATTCTTAAGCTCTTCCACTCCAATGACAGTTGTGAGGATCTGTAATAAAATGAAGAAGGGCTTCCCCATTGATTTTATTCTGGCAAATGATGGCATCCATAAATGTTCTTCTATACCTGTGGTCTGTGAAGGAACTACTCTATTGAACGTCTGGAACAAAAGTAAAGACGCAGCTCTAGAAACTGATGCTTGTTCTCACCGGTTTTGCTTTTTGCCTGCTGGATAACCTTGCCATGTTTTTTTTAACACATTCTGGGTCTAAGCTTTTTAGCTGCGAAATTTGGATAATTTTGCTTACTTTTGAGAACTAAATGAAACAGTAAATAAGAAGCATCTAGACTAGCATAGGGGAAACATTCAGTAAGTGTAGATTAAATTAATGAATGAATAAACATGCAGTTGCTTAGTAGAAAGATTACCATTCACAAAGTCTTGTAGATACATTAAGTGGGTTAAGGAATATCTAAGTGGGAGGGAGAATTGCTATTTTAAAATGTGTAAAATATGAGTAATTGCAATTTCCTCTTGTCTTTTTCCCACTGCCCCCTTACATTTCCTTCCTAGAATTTTCAAAGTAACACATTCCAGAGGCCAGATTAGCTTGATAAAGATGACCAAGTATGCTTTGTCTTTATCAAAAGAGTCCTATAGCCTTGAGTTTTATTTCTTCAGCCAATATGTATTGAGAGCCTGTTATTAAAAGGCCCTGAGCAGGGATATACGAAGCTATGAAGGACAGGACAGCTGAACAGTTCATCATAAATAAGAAATCAACTCTGATTGGAAAGAGTATGAGTGGTAAAGAGAGCACAGCCTCTATTCAGTTTTAAAGTGTATTGTTAGCATTTGGCATAGAAGTTAGCAATAGAGAGTAAATCCTGTCAAAATAATTGACAAGTGCTTCACTCATGATTGCAGGGGTTTTGAAATGGAGAGATCTATTGCTAGGTAAGTTTCCATACAATTATGCAATTCACTCTTGTCACCCTGCTGTTTCTGGGCTGAACTACAGTGGCTTGAACTCTCCCAGGGTCACCTGATGAGAGCTTATTTATGCAGGGTATTAGATTATGCCGCACTCCAGAGAGCCCAGCCTGGCTGGGCTCAGGGCCGGAACTCATAAAACAGGTGAGTGGAATGGGGAAGAATTTGCCAAGGAGGGAAAAGTGAATTAACACTTTAATAATGTCCAGGTGTTTATCATTTCAGCTGTCTGGGTATTGAAAATGGTTAGTCCCATTTCTTTCTTTTTTTTTTTTTTTGTTTTTGAGACAGAGTCTCACTCTGTTGCCCAGGCTGAAGTGCAGTGCTGCAATCTTGGCTCACTGCAACCTCTGCCTCCTGGGTTCAAGCGATTCTCCTGCCTCAGCCTCCTGAGTAGCTGGGACTACAGGTGTGCACCTGTAGTACCACCATGCCCTCAGGTGATCCACCCCCTTCGGCCTACCAAAGTGCTGGGATTACAAGTGTGAGCCATCACACCTGGCCCCATTTATTTCTTTCAATTTCATAATGTCTTTAGAGATACTAAGATTTAGCATCTCTAAATTTATTTCAGTATTCAGTATAGGCTGAATAAACACCACAAGAAAGTCCAGTCAAGGAGGAGGGACCTTGGAAACATCGTGGTTGTCTCACACTGTTCTATGATGATCATAGAAGAGGAGAGGCAGCGAGCATGAACTCTGGAGCCAGATGGCCAGTGTTTGAATCTCCGGCTGTTTATAAGTTGTTTGATCTTGGACAAAGTTAATACCCTCTCTCTGCCTTGTTTTCTTATTAGGTGTAGGTTGCTTAGTTTGAAGAGCGCCTGTAGTAGGAAGTGCTATGTAAGTGTTTGACAAATAAACATTCGCCTTTTGTGAGCAGAGGAGTCCCGGGAGCCCTTAAGCAATGTCACAGCTGCTTCCCTGCTTCATCTTTTCAGCTGGGAGGTGGGTGGCACAGTGCAGGGGCAGGCAGCTTGGCTTGTGTCTAGGCTGCTCTCAGGAAGACTCAGCATGGGACACTCGAAGTGAAAACTCTCCGATAGCATCTTCACAGCTCATAATATCCTTTCATGCTACCCTTTGGAGTCTCAGCACAACTCAGTGGGGTCTGTAATGTTTCCCCCACTGTGGAAAGGAAATACAGCCCAAAGATATTAACTGATTTGTTTGGAGTCCCATGGCTAATAAATGGTAGGTGACCCGGCAACCAACTGTTTGGAGAGCACTGGGTTTCTTTAGATGCTAGAAGACTTCTTCAGAAGTTAATTCAAGTTCCATGCCTTATGTACAAATGGTTGTTATTTAAACAAGCCTCCCTCAGCTCACATCTTTATGAATGCAGGGCCAAGAAGAACGTGGATGATTGAAGTAGCCTTAGGATCCCTGTTTGCCTGGAGCTGTTTTTTTTTGTTGTTGCTGTTGTTGTTTGTTTGTTTGTTTTCTAGTGGACCCCACTGAGAAAAATAATTAACTATATAGTTCTTATAGTTTTCTAGATTCTCATTTTCTGGGCCTTTTACTTCTCCTCCTTACTGCTGACCTTTTAGCCACCCCTATGGTTATAACATACCTCAGAGGCAGGAAGGCTGAAGAAATAAGACTGAGCTCTCAATATATTTCCACTCTGAGTAAGTCTTATAAGACACAAACAAACATTTGATATCAGAAGAGGTTAAAGTATCAGCTCAAATGACATATTTGAGTTGTCAGGACTTCTTTGTTCCTCTCCACATCCACAAATGACAGACTGTCAGCTGCATTCCACACTCTGAAGATCACGAGAAACTGAAATCTTAAAACACTTCCAGAAAGTTGCTGAACTGTCTGTATTGTTCTGCAATCCTGGAATAATAATCACAGCAAATATATTTGGGTGAGATTTAGAAATATTACTTTGATGAAAACTGCATGGGATGCCTTAAGAAAATAAATATATTTATTCATGGTTGGCAGTGGGCACATTTAAGATACAGGAAGGCAGAACCCTGGCCCAGATGCTCTGGTTGAGAGCACAGCATAGCAGCTGTACAAGGTAATGGAATGTTCTCAAGAAGCTATTGATGCAAATGTGAACTGAGCTGACCGATTCAATAGCTCTTTCCTGGGGAGGGGAAAGTCTGCTTCAGTAATTTGATAATATTAAAATACTAAAGGTCCAGAAGTGACAGTGCAAGAAGTAGGACAGAGGCACAACAGAAGACTTCCCTAGTGTCATCTGATATCCCTCTAAAACCTACACCCTGGCCCTACCGTCAAGTTCAGCTGTGTTTTCCACTGCATCTGTTCACAAGCCCACATCACCCTAAATCACCTCCTCTCTGTTCCTACTTCAGATGAATCACATTCCTGGCACATCTTGGCCCCGTGGTCCCTGGGGCCCTGTGTAGTGAGCTGAATCATAAAAAGACATGTTCACTTCCTACTTAATTAAACTAAAAAGTTTCTGCACAGCAAAAGGAAAACAGTGAACAGACTACCTGCAAAATGGGAGAAAATATTTGCAAACTATGCTTCCAACAGGGAACTAATATCCAGAATATACAAGGAACTCAAACAGCTCAACCACAACAACAAAAAACAAATAATCTCATTAAAAAACAAGCAAAGGACATGAATAAACATTTTTCAAAAGAAGACATACAAGTGGCCAACAAGTATATGAAAAAATGTTCAACATAATCATCAGGGAAATGCAAATCAAAACCACAATGAGATATCATCTTATATAAGTCAAATGACTATTAATACAAAGACAACAACATGTTGGTGAGGATGCAGAAGAAAGGGAACTCTTTCACACTGTCAATGGGAATGTAAATTAGTACAGCCTCATCAGAAAACAGTCTGGAGATTTCCCAAAGAACTAAAGAACTACCATGTGATCTACTGGGTATCTTGCCAAAGGAAAAGAAATAAATATATCTAAAAGGTACCTGCACTCATATGTTTATTGCATCAGTATTTACAATATCAGAGATATAAAATTAACCTGTTTCCACCAATGATTGCATGGATGACGAAAATATATACACACATGGAATACTGTTGAGCCATCAAAAAGAGTGAAATCATGTATTTTGCAGCAACATGGATGGAACTGGACCAGGTCATTATCTTAAGTGAAATAAGCCAGGCACAGAAAGACAAATATCACATGTTCTCATAAGTGAGTGCTAAAAAATGTATTCAGGTGGACATAGAGAGTGGAATGATCTAGATAATGGAGACTCAGCAGGTGAGGGTGGGGGAGGGAGGAGGGGGAGAAATTAGGTAATGGACACAATGTACGTGGTGATGGATACCCTGAAAGCCCTGACTTGACCACTATGCAAACTGTGTATGTAAGAAAATTGCACAGGTACCCTATAAATATATACACTGTTTTAAAAGAAAAAGATGTATCCACATCCTAATGCTGGAAGCTGTGAATGTTACCACATTTGGAAAAAGGACCTTTACAGATGTAATTAATTTAAGGATTTGAGATGAGTAGGGCAGCTCAGATTATCCAGGTGGGCCCTAAATTCACTGACAAATGTCCTTATAAGAAACACGTTCGGGAGAAGACAGACATAGAGGAAAAGGTGATGTGATGGTGGAGAGAGAGATTGGAGTGATGCAGCTACAAGCCAAGCCATGCCATGGAATGCTGGCAGCCACCAGAGGGAGAAGCAAGGAATGAATCCCCCTGAGATCCTCCAGAGGGAGCGTGGACCTGCCAACACTTTGATTTTGGACCTCTGGCCTCCAGAACGGCTAGAGAATAAATATCTGTTTATTTAAGCCACCAAAGTTTGTGACTGCTCATCAAGTTGGCCTCAGGAATCTAAGACACCCTGCTGCTTACTGTGTGTCATTTTTTCTGGGAGTCCCAGCTCATGTGGATCTAGGCTTTGGAGATTATGCCTGTCTGAACTCCTGCAGCAGGTTTGTGTGAATCTCCCATTTGACAATTTACAAATTTTCAACCTTGTGGTATCCCTTTTATTAACATTTGTAATGTATGTTAGCTTTTTGAGATCCAGCACTTGATTTTACATCTTTGTATCTCTAGTTCCTGATAATGAGCTTTGGACCTTTAAGCAGGGACCCCCCTATTAAAAAGAAGCTCCGTTACAAACTGGACTATAACATACTTGGCACTAAAGTCATTCCTTCTTTGATTTGTAAAGTTCTCTGAGATCTTAACATTGTCACTAGGTTCTCATTATGAGAACCAGTTATTGTGTAGCACTGTGAAAATAATTCACTTCTGATTTGGATCAAGATAAAGAAGAGTTTATTGTGCTAAACTTCTGCCACCTACTCCTGTGATTCTAAGTCATGCATGTGTTGATTAGTCAGAATGTATCTCTGCTTTGATTGCAAATTTCAATTAGCTCTGAAAAAATAGTTTTGAGCACTCTGTAAGAGAGAGCACTGTTCTCAGCTGGTGCTGTCCAGCAAAGCAGTGGGTCTCCTTGAAGAGTCATGAATGCCCTGTAGTTGGCATACAAGAGTATTATATCTGAGTGCAGAGTCTGTGATTCTCTTCTGTGCTCAGACACCAAAGGGCAGGGCTCTGTGACATGTCACTGAAAGGTTTTTTTTAAATTAAAATATAATAAAGGTAAAATATTAAAACAGTCCTGGGTGATATAAAAAGGAAAAATATCTCACCTCAGGCCCCAGTCCCATTCACACAGGAGCCTGTTTTGGAGTTTTTCTCCCCTTCATACAAGGTGTGTGCTCATGAGTTGGAGTCAAAAGACCTGGGTCCTGGTCCTTAAAAGCCCCTCACTCATTTTTCGCAGCCCCAAACAAATCACTCAGCATAGATTCCTCATCTCTAAATGAAAGAGCTGGGTAAATGACTTCTTCATTCTGTGTCACACTCTGAGACTTAAATATTCCATGATGGTACAGGAAAGCCAATCATTATGGTGTACTTTGAAGGCAAGAGAAAAACTCAGAAGAGACCCTTGAGTCACTTGGGTGGACAGAGCTATCTTGTCTTTATTGACTAAGCCACAAGTGTATGGAGGGCAGAAACATGCCCCTGGAACAAAAGACAGACTTGTTCCGCTGGGGGAGAGAGTAGGGGGGTGAGAGGCAGGACTGGTAGGGGAGGGTCAGTAGGTGGCCCTGGATGGGCTCAGCTGAGTGCTAGTTTGCTTCTAGGTGATCTTATCCACAGTGGACACTCAGCTGCGAGGTTCTGCGTGGGATCTCAAGACGCAGTCTGCAAATGGGTTCTGCCTCTTAATAGTTTGTGATCTTGCACAAACTAATTTGGAGCTTCAATTTTCTCATCTGTAAAATGAGGATAATAATGCTTTCATTATAGAATCACCACAAGGTACATATATTAAAAAAATAGTAGTTGTCACTTTTATAACTATAATCACTACCACAATAGCAACTATAAAAACCCCATCACCACCCCAGTGGGCTGCATGGCCAGAGAGGAATGACATTTATGGGCTGGATGTTTTCATCTTTAATAGTCTAAGAGACCCTGCTTACCGAACAGAGCATTAGGAGGAGAGAAAAATGCATAGAAGATGCTGTTTGTAGCTTTAAGGGGCTTGATACAATTAGGGGAATATTTAACAAATATTAATGGCTTCCCAATATATCTGAGGGGCCTAAAAACATGCCAAAGTAATTGTAGCCATAAATGCTGAGTGAGTGATCAACAGCGTGGAAATAGTCATATGTACATTGAAGTGTTTTTATTAATGCTATTTTAATTATAAATCCGTCTGTGGTCAATACAGTTGGAAAGCGTTTTTCTCTTTGGAAACTCAGGATGGGAATGACCTCAGGTGGAGCCACTGACAGAGCTGGCAGCCCACAGGATTTTATCTCCTTGTTGTCAGTATCAGCTGCTGGCAAGGACTGATTTTCCTTCCCTTTCTCAAGGGTTCACCACAAAGACAGCATGAATATTCTCCCATTATCTAAGTAATGAAGGCACCAGTGTTTTTGGTCTGTGGCTAACCAAGTAGTAAGACTTGAAACATTCTGGGGCCTGAATTATCTGGATATTCACTTCCCTAGCTCTGGCCTGAGGTTGGAGAGCTACATCTGTGTGTGAAGGGAAAGAAGGGATGGTGACGGTGGCGGGTGATGACTGCTACTCCCATTTAGTCATCAGAACCCAAGTGGGAGCTTCATTGCTCAGTCTCCTGTTTTCTTTAATCTTCTCACTTAGATCCCAAAGTCAGGGATTGTACTTGAGGTTATAGAGCTAATGCAAATGCTGCTGTTTAGTATGACATGAGTTTATGATAGAAGATTTAGAAAGGATCTCATAGCTCACTTGTTCTAAACTCCCTGCCAGTCTTGGAATCTTCTCTGTGGTGCCTCTGCCAGGTGACCACCAGCCTCTGATGGAGCACTCCAGAGACTTTCATAGATCAGCCATGTTTTTGCCATTTTTCATAGCACTCATTAGATAGTAAGACAACCCATCCTTTAGGCAAAGCTGGAATCCAGGGCCTTGTAGTTCCCACCCGTTAGTCCTGGTTTTGCCTTCAGATTCTGTCAAGTCAAATCCCAATTTTTTGAGACAGCCTGGTCTCCTGGAATGTGGCTACTCAAGTTGGGCTTATGGTCCAGCAGCAGTGATAGCCTCATCTGTGCAGGTGCAGAATCTCAGGCCTCCCCCAGACCTACTGAACTTAAATCTGCATTTTTAACAAGATCTCCAAGTGATTGACATGCAAATTACAGTTTGAGAAGCACTGAGTGAGAGCTCATACACTACCTTTCTCCCAACTAATTTTTTCTTTTCTTAAAAATTGCCATTGCTATCAGGCCTGCTGGTGCTAAACAAACAAACAAAAAACCATAGCTGAGAAACATTTAACAAGAAACAACAACTCCAGTTCTCAGTGATTGAAATGTGAGTACAGTTTTGGTCTAGCATCAGTTAAAGCTGTCATTCTATTAATTGAAAATCTATTGACAAGTATTGTCAGTGTTCATAGAACAATCATAAAAGGTAATATTGATGATCGTTAGCCTTTCTTAATAGGCCGTGGAAGATCTTGAATGCCTTTAAAATCATTAAAGACACATTAAATTACATGATTTAAGGCTGGGTATTGCCTTGTGATTTTTAAAAAACTGATAAACGGATTAAGTGAGTAATCAGGACACCCGTTTTCCAACCATGCCTGATAGAGGCAACCACAAAACTTTCTTCCCCAACACTCTTGAGCTGCAAGAAGAATAAAAGTTTTAATCGTTTTCTATTTCTGACATCACTGCAAGGGTAGTGACTGAGGATTCAGCATTTGAAAGGTGCCTGTGGAAACAGCTGTGCTGGAGGGAAGTGCTTTCAATTCGTGCACTCAGCAATATGGAAATTAACTTGGCCAGCGCATGAGCATGAATAAATGCTTAGCTGCCTTTGCAATCACAAAGCAGCTTTCTATCTTTGGCACTTTTCAGACATTCAGTAAAACAGACTAAATTTAATGCCAGATGACAGCACCAGACTGTCTTCAGTGAAACTCATGCAAAAACCTTAAGAAGCCACATCCCCCAACCCCTCCCATGTTTCTCTCTCCACCTGGTATTCATGGTGACCTTTAAGCTTGACACCCCACAGGATGAGACATCAGTGCAGCCGTGTTGGGCTAAGTCAGCAGGGCCTTGATTTCCCCAAGGGCCCAAGTCTACCCTGTACTGTGTCTCAGGATATGCAGCTCAAGGTGCCTGCCCTACTCTTGGGGTCACCAGGAGATACTCCTAAGTCCTGGTTCCTTTAGCCAAGAGAAACCAACATCCCTCTTGTTTTCTGTCCTGAGTGCCAACTCACTCTAATCCAGCACACATTATTAAAGTCCCATGTCCCGAAGGTTCTGGGGGACTCTTTTGATACCCCCCTTGCTTTGCAGACTCATTCAGTAAACATTTATTTCGGCCCCTATTTCCCAGGTAGTAGGATTGTAATAAATAAGACACAGTCCCTGTCCTCACGGAACCCATGTTCTAGCTAGGGAGGCTGACAGTGCAAGGTGACTGTCATCCAGGGAGGAGGTTTGGGCCTAAATGAGAATTTACCTGGCTAAGAGGTAGATGGGGCAGGCTTTCCAAATATGAAAAAAAATGAATGGCGAAGACTTGGCAGCCTTAAAATGCACAGGCTAATTTCCCTTCCCTGTTTGGTGGGATTACAGTATAGGGAAAACAGTAGCTATCTCTGAGCAGGGTTGAAGACCTTACTTGCCTCCATCCATACTGCACTGTTTCTTAACTCCTTCCAATTGTCTCAAGGTCTTGGCCCACCACTATTCCTCTACCCAATGGGATTTACTCCTTTTTCTTCATCAGAATTTACATACTTAAACTACAGTAAAAATGCAGTATGCTATAATATGTGACAGAATGATTAAAAATGTAAGTTCTGCAGTCAGGTGGCTTCGTCACTTGGTTTTGTAACATCAGGGAAGTTATCTAATTCTCTCTTCCTCAGTTTCCACATGCAAAAAAATAAAGAATACTAATAAATCCAATCTCAAAGGTTGTGCAGGAATTAAACATGATCATGTAAGTATGGTATTTAGCACATTATCTGACATATAGAAGATGCTTAAGTGTTAGCTATTGTAGTTGCTCTATTCTTTCAACATATTTATTAATATCTACTATGCACTATTTTAAGTAGTGAACAAGACAGAAAAGGTTCCTGCTTTCATAGAGCTAGAAAGTGTTCTCCAATTATTTTATATTATTATTGCTTATATAGTTAGGTTTATGTATTATTTCAGCCGACCCCACTGGATAGTATTTCCTGAGGCACTATTCTTTTGTGTTTTAAATGGCATGCTGTACAGAATTGTGGATACAGCTTAATATCTCTTTGTAGGCCAGCTACTCAGTGCCATTTACTTGGTTTGAGAACTTATTTTCTTGGTTTGAGACCCCAACAATGAATAAACCAGGAGAAATCTCTTAGTTCCTACTAAATATATACTTAGTACTTTACTAGGATTCTAAGCAAGTTGAAAAGATGGTCACTGTGATAGCTTGGGAAAAAAAGACCAAAGCACTGGAGATAAAAATGAAAGGGAAGAAAAAAAAAAAACCTTAGAAGTTAATTAATTGCTAAATTATTTGGTAATGGACAGTAATAATAATGTAATTTACAGGAATATGTGACTGATGTGGTTTGGATAATTTAGAAATTTCATGGAAGGAGGTAGAAACCAAACTAAAATCCTGAAGAGTTCACATCGTTGGAAAAGATCAAGAGAAGATTCTGGGAGGCCAAAATATAAGTAAATCGCCAAAGTGGAAATAAAGACAACCATTTTGTCATCCTCATTTTTATATTGCATGAAGGACAGGACACAATGAGGCCCCATAAATGGTTGTTGACTTAAGCACAAGTGAGGAATTAATGGAATGGATGAGAGCCGAGGTTAGGATGGTGGCTGGGCAATAAAGAGGAAGGGAAGTAGAAAATACACATTTTGAAGATGGAACCAACAGGACTTACTTACAAGAAAATATTAAAGCCTTTACAATTTTCAAAGTGATTTCACATACACTGTGTCCTGGGCTAGTATTCTTTCTTACAACAGCACACAGAATTTGTACCAAGTTCATTAGTGGTTCTTACCCTGTCGTCCACGTAACCAATGTCCTCTTATTATGACCAGTGTTTTAGTGATTGCTTTACTCTCCTCCAAAATTTACTCTCCTATAAATTTGTATATATATAAAATTTATATATGTAAATATGTATTATGTATATGATTATATATTAAAAATTACATATATAATTTTTTTAAGAGACTGGGTCTCACTCTTTCACCCAGGCTGGAGAGTGTAGTGGTGTGCTCATAGCACTCTGTAGCCTTACACTCCTGGGCTCAAGTGTTCCTCCTGCTTCAGCCTCCCAAAATCCTGGGATTATAGGCATGAGCCACTATGTCCAAATGATATTCATTATTAATGTAACCTACTTGAATACATAATTTTGAAAATGTCAGCATCATGCTTTACTGTAATATAAAGGAAAATTCAAAGAATGTGGTTAATGTTAAAACATATATTTCAATATGTAAAAGTCCAGGCATGACTACACCAGAAGACATAATGAAGTGATCAGATATACCTATACATAGAAAGTGACAACTGCAAATGGAGAGGATACAGGTGTGCTATATTAATAACTCAAATAGCATGGCCTTCAGCAATATCGTTCTCTAAAATAGTAGGAGACACTTGGTAAAGTTCCAAAAAGAACAAAATACAGTCTTCCCTCAGTTACTCTGCACTTACATCCCAAGAGTGTATAAAAACCATGCGAAAATACTTTGATATATGTGTGAAACAGAGTTTGGTTCCATGCTCAAGTGATTTTAAGCACATTTCACTTACAGAAATGGCTAATGGCACTTTGGGAAGTCTTTGGGGTGTGGGACGGCGTTTTCATTGTGCAAGACCGAGGCATTGTGGGACATCTAACATTCCTGGCTCCCAGCCATTCCATGCCAGAGGCATCTCCCTATCATTGTCACAACCAAAAGTGGCTCCAGGATTCCACAGTGTCCCCGAGGGAGCATTTGCAACCTCACTGAGAAACACTAGGCTGGATGTTGGCCTCACAACTCATGGACGGTGACAGGGAAGTTGGCGATGAGGCAGGGGGCAGATTTGGATGTCCAGTCCAGAAAAGGAGTTGGTTGCACTGCTTTTTTAGTCAAGGAGAGTCTTCACTTTCTTAAATATTTCAAACCTGGCTTTTCCAACCTGGTAACAGTTTCAAGTTCTGACCCCAGGTGGAAGATAAAATGAAGAAAACACAATATTTTGTAGGAAAAAAAAATGCAACTCCTTTTTTTGTTTATTTATGTTAAGGGCCAACAGATGTGCTTTAATTCCCTGCCCTTCTTGGTGGGTCACTGATAGGAATGCACTCTGTCTCAGGAGGAGGAACAGTCCAGTTCTAACAGGAATTTTTGAAATAGTTCTGAGATTTAATTCTTGTTTTCCTTTAAACTTACAGGTATGATCTTATCTACTTTTTCTTCAGTTTTGTAAAGGATGCAATAACGTCTGATTCCTCTTGGTATTTGCATTGTGCACAATCGAATGTTTTGAGCAGATGTGTATGATTATTTAGTATTAGTGCTCTGCAGGTTGCTTCTGCCTGGGAGTCTTAAAACAAACAAATCAAAAGGGCTTGATCCACTTAGAGTACTTTCCAGAGGATTTTAAGTCTTGGATTTTTATTTAACAATGACGATACCCACACCCTCTTCTTTCACAATTGTGGGTGCATTGTATCTAATTTGTAAATAGTCATTTGGCTCAAAGATACTGGGCACATTTCAAATGCACGCTAATTTATGACATTCCAAGAAGATAAATCTGTTTGCAGACTTATTCCAAGACTAAGTTTATTCATTTGCCAATCAGATGCATACTATTCACAGCACAGCAGGTTAGGCATTGTGGGGAAATCAGAAATACTCCGGACCCTTTATACCCTCAAGGAGCCTGCTGTCCAGCAGGGATGATAAAACCGCATGTACATGTTATCATAAGTAAGTGGTGAACCTCCAGAAAAGTAAGATGGAGTACCTATGGAGTCTCTAAGGATGAAATGGTATTTTCCACTGGAGGAGGTGAAATTTGAGGTGGAATTTTTAACTTGACAACCTTAAAGGTTCATTAACATTTAGATGGGTAAAATGTGTTAAATTTTGTGGAATGGCTTTCTGAGCTAAAATAAATTCAAGTAAGTTTTTTTTTTTGGTGTTTTTAAGTAATAGGAAATCTGACTTCCCATCACTTAGTAGTATGCATTTATTGTCTGAGTGTAATTAAGTGACTTGGAATAATTGGTAATAATTTTGTTATGAAGAAATCTCATTCAACATTGCTACCTTCCTTAAAAAAAAAATCCTCTAATTTAAAAGCTGGATCTTTTTTCGAAGCTTTGCTTTTTTCCATTGAAGAAGTCTTTTTCACAACTCCAGATCTTGGGATACCACTGTGATATTTTAAAACTCTGGAATGTACCTTTAATTGGATTCATGGTAAAGTGCCATCAGATAGAAGGCAGACCCATCACGATCATTATGTAAAGAATTCAGTTGCTAACGTAGGAAAGGGTTCTCATTACCAGGTGGGTCCCACGTATTGAACTTGAGGACAACACAGAAACTGAGCCAGAGCCACTCAGGACCCTGTGTGGTTTCTGTGCCCTCCCTGTTAGACCACTTGTGTCCCAGGACTTGAATCTAACTGCCTCCTGCTCCCTGGTGCTGGTTCAGACTCACTGTCCATCTCCCAGTGCCCTTGGCTTCTGCCTGTACCACCTGCCTGTGGGCTGGAGATTTGACTCAAAGCAAGTTAGTCCAGGTGAAATCTTGGCTGAAGTGTCATGCTTGTCAAAACTTACTCTGTGTTGGAAATGTTTTCTGTCGGGTTTGGCTGGCAGTTACTGAGTATATGTATAAATGTAAAAATTTATCATTTTTATCAAGGCATACTCTTAAGATTCATGCATTTCATGTATATTGTACCCCAATAAAAATGTAAAAATAATAATAAAAATAAATTCTCCCAGTCACTGAAGTATTGCTACTTTTGGTTTATCTTGGGGTGATTAGCAATGATGTATTTATTTTTAAGTATTTAAAAGTAAATTTTCAGAACTTTTAGTGTTCTTCTATTTCTTTTAAAATTCTTTTTCAATTAGTTGAAATAACCTAAATAGCCAATAGTGGAAGATTAGTTGTAACAACTATTTGTAATAATTGGCCAAAGAAAGAAAAGTTTTTGAAACAAAGATGGAAAAAACAAATTTCTGGGAAAAAAGTGAAAATTCTTGTTGCAAAAATATACTTTTGATGCTTCCAGATTTCCAGTACATTTAAATACCTAGAATTTGTGGATGCTGATTTTCAACAAAATAATTATTTCAATCAAGTTGTCATATTTACTGATTTGCATTGTCTCATACTGTTCAGCCAATTCTTAAACCAACTTCCTTCCCCCAACACCACACACACACACACACACACACACACACACACACACACTCTCTTTCGGTTAAAATTCAGACTGAAGTCTAGTGCTGAACGAACAGTAATTGCATGGTAATGTCAAACTGAACAAAAATAGAACTTACAGGAAAATCTTTACATTTAGCTGTGCCTATTAAGGTTCAAACACCGAAAGAAACATTCCCTTCTAAAAAAAAAAGAGCTTTAAAAAAACCAAAATTTGATGCCACTAAATTATAGAATTAAATCTGTGAAGCCCAGGGACTGTATGGAAATTAAATTTGGATTTCTTCTCCCCAACAAACCCAGCCAGCCTCCCCATCTTGAATAAATTTACTGACAGGATGCAGTGCTTTTTACCATTATTATTTTTCAAAAAGATAGACATTTAACATGAACTCTTTTGTTGGAACAGGACAGCTGGGAAGTGGTGGAAGGACTGAGGGGGGAGATGAATTACACCCAGGAGCCACCAGTTCAGAAAGGATTTTTGCTGAAAAAGAGGAAGTGGCCCTTAAAAGGCTGGCATAAGGTAAGGTTGGTCTTGGCCTCCCCTTTATTTGCACTCACACTGCCCCACTCAGCACCTGGTTCTTAGGTACTCATATTTAATTTCTAGTTGGAATTTGAGACCAAGAAAAGGGCACCTAAATTGAATGCCTTAATTAATAATACTTTCTTCCCCACAGAGATTCTTCTATCTGGACAAAGGAATCTTGAAATATGCCAAGAGCCAAACCGATGTAAGTCTTTTTGTGGGCCCACTGTGGTATTGAAGAATCCTAAAGGGGTAACCATCAGCTCAGAGATGAGAGTGTGTATAGTTGAGGATAGCTTTTCTCGGAACTGGAAACCATAGAGGGGAAACACTTCTGTCTGAGCTCTGGGTTCCAGGCAGGCTCAGTTCTTCCACCAGGTCAAGGTGCAGGGGCTCCCGCAACACTCTCTGGGCATGCAAAAGTCTGTTCTGGTCTTAAGGTTGTGCTAAGGAGTTCCTGGGGTGGGAGAATACATCCTTGCAGCTAGATAACAGGAACAAAACATAGGGCATCCCTCCCTCTTGCACTGTGACCGAGAGATTCCGGGGAGAAGCCCCTGGGTGAAGAAGTTCCTTTTCAAATTAATCCCAGGCAGTTGGTGTGTGAAGGCTCTGTGTGTGAATGACCATTTGTCCTGTCCCTTGTAGGAGTCCTACTCTTCTCCCTTCTTCCTCTCCTGTCCTCTCTCAGCCTTCTGCTCTCACTTCTTTTATTAATACATCACTTCTAAATGAATTTAGACACCAGAAACTCATTCAGTGGGAGGTGGTACAGTTGACAGGTGAATTCACTGCCATGGGAGTCAACCCACGGTGCTTACTCTTTTGTTTCCTCACATCCTGGCTGTGTAAACTGCTTGTTACTTAACCCCTTTGTACTCCAGTTTCTTCATCTGTAAAATGGGGAGAGTACTTCCTACCTCGGAGATTCAGGAAGACAGTGCATGTCCAGCACGTAACTCAGCACTGGCTCACGCTAAGTGCTTGATGAGTCGCAGTGTTTGTGATTTTACTATCAGGGGATGTGGAAGGGTGTGTCAGGGATGTGACTACTGCTTCTAACACCATGGTCCCCAAGTGACCCTCTTGGTGCCTCTGCAGATAGAGAGAGAGAAGCTGCATGGCTGCATTGATGTCGGGCTCTCAGTGATGTCTGTAAAGAAGTCATCAAAATGCATAGACCTTGACACCGAGGAGCACATCTACCATCTGAAGGTGAGGCTGCTTCCCACTGTGCAGAGTTCACTTATGTTGGGGAAGTATCATCAGTTATTATACTATTGGTAATGCCTTTTGGGTATTCGGCCAACATGTAGAAGACCTTCATTACCAAAGTGTTTCTCATGTACAGTGTTGGTATTTGAATGGGACGTCATTGTGCAGGACTGTCAACACTGCTTGAGGGTTTAGCCTGCTGGTCGCCTCATCCCCTAGATACGAACCTGCCCCCAGTGACTGTGACAACAGTCAACAATGAAAAATTTTGTTTCCAAACCATCTCCACCCAGGCAGTAACATCTTTAGTGAAGAACCATTTACCATAGGTTAAAACGTGTTCCTGAAATATATATGTAACATTTAGGCCATGGAGCCCTGTTTTATCACTTTGGCTAATTTTATAGGAATCCCACTAAAATTCTCATATTGTAGTGAAAAATGTCAGGAATTTTTCCCCTGAAGTGTGGGTTCCCAAATAGTACTTCAAAGCTGCTTACCCTCTTGTGCTGTCTCTCCTACAGGTGGTAGAGATAGTCAAAGCATGAAGCGTGAGATCTAGATCTGGTTCAAATCTTGATGTGGCTACTCACTAGCCATTGAACTTTGGCAAGTTAATCTCTGAAAGTCTCAGTTTTTTCACCTATAACAAAATGAAAATTATTGTAATACTTATCTTGTCGGGTTGCATGTAGAAAACTTGGTATAGTGCCTGGCCCAGTGTAAACTCAGGAAGTTTAGTTATTGTATGTGCTTGTTGGATGGTACCCAAATGTTAGAAATTAATTGAGAAAGTACTAAGACTGTTTTCTTACTTGGGCAAATTACTTGAGATATTGGGAATGGGGCCTGAGGATTAGGAAAATCAAAGCATGAGATCATGAGCTCCTTGTCTTAATGTGTCCCTGTCCTCTCTATGGCATGTGTGTGGTGATTGAGCCGTGTGGGCCACATACCTGTGGTTTGTTGAATGGGCAAGACAGTCAAATCTTCACTATTTCCTAGCCTAACTGTATCTCTGGGTGTAGCTAATTGTGTAAAGCAGGGTTTCTCAGCCTCTGCACCATTGACATTGTGAGCTGGATGTTTTGGTGTGGGAGGCCGACTTTGTACAGCAGGATATTGAGCAGTGTCCCTGCCCCCTGCCCTCTCTCTAGATGCCAGTGGCATCCTTCTCCAGTTATGACAACAAAAATGTCTCCAGACATTGCCAGGTGTTCCCTAGAGGATAAAATCACCCCTGGCTGCAAATGACTGGTGTGAAGTATGGGAGGGAAAAGCCTATATCTTAAGATAAAAAAGAAATTTAAGAAAGAATACTATCGTTTTTTCTGTTTCATTGATCAGTCTCCACTAGAATAGTTTAGGTTATTTCTTCAGGTACTTCCAATGAATCTTAGTTCTGTATTTTGACATGGTCAGGAATTAATAGGTTCTTATTTACCCACTATTCTGGTTAACAAAATAAAAGTAATTATGAATTCATAATTTTTAAAGAATTAGAATACCTGAAAATATATTGAATGCTAATATTGTGATAAATGCAGTTTAATATTTCTCTGTGTGATTTGCTTTAAGTTCTGTTTGGTTTCTTGTTCATTCTTTTGAACATCGGTTATGACTCTTAGTGTAGGTAAGTGTAGTTATCTGAGCGTTCTAGTTATTAGACTCAGTCAGGCAGTTTTTAATTGTGGGCTGTTTGGTCCCATTTATTTTATAGATAAGGGATCCTGAGTAGCAGAGAGATTAAGAGGCTGCTCACCCACGGCCCTAGAACTGCTTGAGAGACTGGAACAGGACCCTGGACAGTTATTTAATAAAGTGCTCTTATTCTTCTACCTTGTTTAACTCATAGAAAAGTGAGTCCAGATGAGTGCTTGGGCACTGACTTATAACGGCCTCTGAGAAGAGATCAGAGGAAAGGATAACACAAGATTCCTGTAAAATTCCTCTTAACCACATCTGGGAAATGAAATACATTTCAAGAACACAATTTAGGGGAGACAAATAGGTGTGAGTCTGTTTGTATTGCTTCTTCCTGTAAATGACACATTAAAAAGCCCCTGCAGGTGCTTCCAGTCTTATAGGTACTTCTAATAATCAACACCAGAGCCAACCTAACAGTTCCTCAGTGAGTGATATTGCTGGCATTTATTTGCATATCCTAGCTCTCATCTCTGGCATTAGTAAAGATTTTCACAGATTGACCTGAACTTTTCATCTTGGAAGTTAACCTACTGTGCATCCTTTTGGATTATCTTAAATTACAGCTTCATAAATCTCGGTGTCCTAATATGTGGGTATCTATCATTTATCTATCATTTTTTTACCTTGAAAATATCAATACACCATCACACACAGACACACACACACACACACACACACACACACACTTTTTTTTTTTTTCTTTTTTTTGAGACGGAGTCTTGCTCCATCACCCAGGCTGGAGTGCAGTGGTGTGATCTCGGCTTATTGCAACCTCCCCCTCCCAGGTTCAAGCGATTCTCCTGCCTCAGACTCCTAAGTAGCTGAGACTACAGGCGCACACCACCACACCCAGCTAATTTTTGTATTTTTAGTAGAGACAGGGTTTCACCATGTTGGCCAGGACAGTCTCGATCTCCTGACCTCATGATCCACCCTCCTCAGCCTCCCGAAGTGCTGGGGTTACAGGCGTGAGCCACTGTGCCCAGCCAAAATTGACTTTTAAGAAATATCTATGGTATATAGGTGCTTGTTATAGTCTTTTTATATATATCACATATTTTTATAAACATTTGAAATATCTTTAAATAAAAACTACTAGTTACAGTATTCTTCATGGAAATTAGAAATCGATAATTGTTCATTTATGGAGAGATGGCTAAAGGTTTGTGAGTGTGATAGTAATAAAAGTTAGAAAAATAATACTATTGCTGTATAGTGCTTTATTTCTGAGAGTGGGAGAAATGTTTTTTTAAATAACTTTCACATTCATTAACATATTGTATTAGTTCGTTTTCACACTGCTGATAAAGACATACCCGAGACTGGGCAATTTACAAAAGAAAGAGGTTTAATAGACTTACAGTTCCACATGGCTGGGGAGGTCTCACAGTCATGGCAGAAGGCAAATAGGAGCAAGTGACATCATCTGTGGATGGTGGCAGGCAAAGAGAAAGAGTTTGTGCAGGGAAACACCACTTTATAATACCACCAGATCTTGCGAGACCCACGCACCACCACGAGAACACCATGGGAATGACTTGCCCCCATGATCCAGTTACCTCTCACTGACCAGGTCCCTCCCACAAAATGTGGGAATTCAGGATGAGATTTGGGTGGGACATGGGACACAGCCAAACCATACCACATATACTCCTCAGCAATGTATTCTTTGTTGGAGAGATGAACAAGTTTAAATATTTTAGGAAGAATTTACTAATTCATTCCAGTTCAGAAAAGATTAATCTGAAAAGTCTGAATTATAAAAGAGTTTAAAAAGAAAAATGGTGCTAATATTTTCAGTAGGGATAGAGAAGCTGGAATTAGAGAACTTGGAAATGCTTTAAGAGACAGATAAATGTAAATTTCAGTTTATTTGTTGCTTAATATAATTGGCACTGTTCTGTTTTCTTAAAAATAGCATAACAGGCCAGGTGTGGTGGCTCACGCCTGTAATCCCAGCACTTTGGGAGGCCGAGGCGGGCAGATCACCAGGTCAGGAGTTCGAGACCAGCCTGGCCAACATGGTGAAACCCCGCCTCTACTAAAGATACAAAAAATTAGCTGGGCATGATGGCGCACACCTGTAATCCCAGCTACTCGGGAGGTTGAGGCAAGAGATCGCTTGAACCTGGGAGGTGGAGGTTGCAGTGAGCCAAGGTTGGGCCATTGCACTGCAGCCTGGGCAACAAGGCAAGACTCCGTCTCAAATAAATAAATAACAGTTGGACTTACTCATAGAAAGCCAAAATACATACTTTATAAAGATCATTTTTACTCTGCATTTCTTTCTCAAACTTGTTCCCATAGACCACATCAATGTAAACAGTCAATGAGAGGCTATTTCTCCATTCCTTTTCTTTTCTTTCTTATTTATGTATTTTTTTTTGAGACAGTCTCCCTCTGCCACCCAGGCTGGAGTGCAGTGGCTCAATCTCGGTTCACTGCAGCCTCAACCTTCCAGGCCCAAGTGATCCTCCCACCTCAGCCTCCCGAGTAGCTCAGATCACAGGCGTGTGCCACCATGTCTGGCTAATTTTTTTGGTATTTTTTGTAGAGACAGGGTTTCACCAGGTTGCCCAGGGTGGTCTCGAACTCCTGGGCTCAAGTGGTCCTCCCTCCGTGGCCTTCCAAATTGCTGGAATTACAGGCATCAGCCACTGCGCCTGGCTGTTGAAATTACGTGCCAACTGAAAAAGAGGATTTTGAGAGTGGCCTCAATTTGATGAGTAATTGTTCCTTCCAGTGAATGATTCTCTTGTTTCCTTTTTTCAATCGAATATATTATAGGTCAAGTCAGAAGAAGTCTTTGATGAGTGGGTATCGAAACTTCGCCACCACAGAATGTATCGTCAGAATGAAATTGCCATGTTTCCACATGAAGTTAACCACTTTTTCTCAGGGTCCACCATCACAGACTCTTCATCTGGGGTGTTTGACTCCATTTCAAGTAGGAAGGTAATGAGTGTTTTGCCAATAATGAATCTGAGAACGGGGTGGCTTTGTTTCATGGAGTCCTGTCTTGGGAGCTGAGTCCGAAGAAGGAAAAGTTTTCGGGGACAAGCAGGGTAGGCTTGGGCTGGTATTTAATTAGTCTGTTTGCCCACTGAGTCAGAACCAAGACCAGACAAGCATCTATTAGTTGGGGCGGGGGCGGACAGTGACTGAAGAATAAGGAGGAATTTAGCATCTCTGAATGAACTAGCTTTATCCTGACTGGTTTGAGTTTGGTTTCCTTTTCTGGTTGTAAACTACAGTAGGTATGCATATAGCTATGCAGGATTGCAAAATATTTCCAAACATTTATATTATTATTTTGATGTTATTAATATTTGATAAAAGAAGAAAATTAGGTCCACCATTCAAGGCATGTCGTATCATAGCACGGTATGGCCAAGCCGGGGTGATAGCCAGAGGTCTTAGTACTTTGCTAGAAGCTTCTTCCTCATTATAGGCAGATGGTGTCCATTAGTGACTAGCCCACTCTGTTATCCTTTGTCTTAACATGTCCCCAATGGGCTCTGTTTCCATTTACAATGTGCTTTTGTCATCCGTGGAACAGCGTAGCAGTATATCAAAGCAGAATTTATTTCAAACTGGAAGCAATGTATCATTTTCTTGTGGTGGTGAGACACGAGTTCCATTATGGTTACAGTCTTCAGAGGACATGGAAAAATGCTCCAAAGGTAGAGTGACTTGAAACGTCTGCTTTCTGTTGTGGCTATTAGATGATACTGGTTTGATGTTTACACTTCAGATTCATTTGTGTCCTTCCCCTATGCTTGTCCACATTCCCTTCCATATTTTGCTTGTAAAGGTTGCACCCATCATCAACAAAAGACACTCTCCTTGCAGATCTTTGCATCTTCACCTGGCTGTACATGCAGACAGGTTTCTTCTTCTGTTCCTTCAGTATTGATGCCTGATACTGATGCCTGATTTCCACATGGGCCTATAAGTCAGTCTCCAAGGGCAGAGTCTGACACACATCCAAGAAAGATTGAGAATCATTGTGCTAGAGGTGAGGGAGTGATCAGATGGAGATCTTCACGATGTAGGTGTTCTGTACCCTGACTGCACATTAGAATCACCCAGAGGGCTTTTAAAATGCAGTAATACCCATTCCCAGTCCTCTGTCTCAAATAATCTCTTTAAATTGGTCTGAGGTAGGGCCCTGATATCACTAATTTTCCAAAGTTCCCCAAGTGATTTTGATAAGGCGCCTGCCATAAGGAAACTCAGCATTCTCAACCTTAATTAGCTAAGACTGACTTAGGGAACTAAAAACCGAAAAGATCCACAGCGGGACTGGGAGTGCTCTGATTGAATTGTCTGGGGGTGGGATTTAGGCATATATAATTTAAAAGATTTCTCCAACTGATTTGAAACTGTAGCCATGATTGAGAACCACTATTAGAGAAAGATACCAGGTGGCAGCCTTGAAAATTGCATTATCTCTTGTTGAATACAGGTAATATCACCCTTGGGACCATGTAGGCTTTACCCCTCTAATAAATATCACTCATGAACTTTACCAAGTGACAGCTTGTCAAAGCAGTCCCTGAAGCCTTGTCTCTGGAGCAGCAGCGTCCACCCGGGAACTTATCAGCAATGCACATTGTCAGGCTCAACCCAGATGTATGGAATAAAAAACTAGGGGTGGAGCCCAACGAGCTGTGGTTTAACAAGGTCTCCAGGTGGTTCTGATGATATCAAAGTGTGAGAGCCTCTAGCCTAAGGCATTTGGGCCTGTATTCTTCAGCAGAAACATCCATCAGCATTCAGTGAACAGCAAATATGGACTATCTTTTGAGTTAGCGACTGGGATCTGGTTGGAGAGTCCTCTTATGTCCTCTCAGGTCCATGTGCAAGAGGCTTATTATGGTCCTCAGGCAGGTCCATGATTGACAAAGTTTTCCTTAGAGACCAGTACAACTTTCATTTTAGTTTTATTAATGTGCATTGGGTCCTGACAAGTGGATGGTGTCAGCATATTACTACAGGATTTAAGTTGGTGATGATGATGATGATGATGGTTGATTTATTTAGTTCTTACTCTGTGCCAAACACTCTTCTAAGAACTGTGCAATATCAACTCATTTAATTCTCACAACTCTCTTGTCATGTGATGTATAATTATCCCCATCTTTCTGATGAGGAAGTTGAGGCATGCAGTTTTGCAATTTTCTCAATAGTTACAGTTCATTAAGTGGATTCAAACTGAAGCAGCCTGGTTCTCAAGATTCATGCCCTTAACCACTAGAGTCTACAGCCTTTCCTGTAAAAAAGGAAGTAAAATTTCCAACCCTTACAGATGAAAAAAAAAATCAACTACAGATAAATAAGGAAAAGTAGCTGGCATGGGGACAGCACAGTGATCCCTCTTGCTAGTGGAGCATTGTGAGCACTGTCCTCTTTTCCCCCACAGACCTGGCGCACTGTCATGCCTACCTGGTAGAAATGAGCCAGCTCCTGCAAAGCATGGACGTCCTGCATCGGACATACTCGGCACCAGCTATCAACGCCATCCAGGTGAGCCGGACTCCTCTTCTGTTGACATTCTGGCCCTCTTCTGCTTTCCTTTCTCCTCCCAGCCTTTCACTAACAGTGGGATGCTGTGGTCAGTTGCTTCAGCCAAAGTCAAGGGGATGGAGGTGGTCACTTTGCTATGCATTTATCCTTGTCGGTTTGGTGGACTTTACTGTCTGTGCTCTCTTTCCTGTTTTGAAACAAAGGGTGGATCTTTTGAAAGTCCCAAAAAGGAAAAAAGATCGCACAGGAGGTGGCGGTCCAGAGCTATTGGCAAAGATGCTAAAGGAACACTGCAGGTAACCATTGCTTCCCCTGACAGACTGGTTTCTTCATTGGCCCTGCTCTGCATGCCGTGTGCCAGCAGCTACCTTGACTCAGCTAGGAGAATAGATGAGTGAATATTCTGTAGTTGTTCTTTCCAGTGTCCTCTGTAGCGAGATGAATTGAATCACTTAGATTATCTGGGTGCTAGGATAAGCACATAATGGATCGTGGGCAAGGGAGAGAATTTTTTCTAAGGGAAAAAGGGTGTGAGGTCGCAGGGACTGCTGCCATTTCTAGGGCTTTTGGTTTCCCCACCTTCACTGTTGAGCCTGCCTGTGCTCTTCCCTGCTTGTGTTTGTGCCTTGTTTTGTGGCTGCAGTTGCTGTGTGCTGTGACCTGTGTCTTCCGCTGATGCTCCATGGATTTGTCATCCCTCTAAGCCCACAGGCCTGATTCTCTGGGCACAGGACATGGTGTAGATTCTCCTTGGCCTCTTATCTCCAAACTCCCAATCCCTCATCCAGGATTCACTGTGTCATGCTAGGAGCTTTCCCAATGCACAGCTAAGCCACAGGCCAAGATTTGCAGCTTAACTGTTGCATATTAATTGCAACAGTTTTAGAATCAACATAAATCTCAAGCTTTTGGTTAGGTCACCTGATACACTTGTGTACACTCTTTGGTTCAAAGTAGTTTATGGACTGAAGATAAGCACTTTGGAAGTAAAGAATGTTCCATGTACAAATGAAGGTCATTTGTTTTGTAGAAGCCCTAGGTGCAAAGAAAAGCATTTTAAACCTATCCATTACTAACCGCCTGGATACATGGATGATTATTGCCAGGAGGAAGGAATTGAGTATAAATGAGAAAGCCTGGCAGCTTTAGCTGTCATTTTCAACCTATAGCTTTAATGCTTCTATCATTTCCAAAAGAATATGTGATTTCTCACCCATTTTTAGCTCACAAGAAGCAAGTTTCTGTGGAAAGTGTTGTCTTGAGTTCTCATTTTTTAAAATAAGTTATCACTCAGTAGAAAGACCTACCTAGGCTGGGCGCGGTGGCTCACGCCTGTAATCCCAGCACTTTGGAAGGCTGAGGCGGGCAGAACACAAGGTCAGGAGATCGAGACCATCCTGGCTAACACGGTGAAACCCCGTCTCTACTAAAAATACAAAAAATTAGCCGGGCGTGGTGGCGGGCGCCTGTAGTCCCAGCTACTTGGGAGGCTGAGGCAGGAGAATGCTGTGAACTCGGGAGGTGGAGCTTGCAGTGAGCGGAGATTGTGCCACTGCACTCCAGCCTGGGTGGCAGAGCGAGACTCCATCCCCCCCAAAAAAAAAAAAAAAAGACCTACCTATAAAATGTTTTGTATTTGTATTACCATGTTTCAATCTTAGAATCAAGTAAATATTCTAAGCAATCTGCATCTGAAAAGAAATATCTCCCTTTGGTGTTACTTCAGGTCCCGAAACCTTTTTCTGGCCCAGTAAGACTACACTCCTCCAATCCTAATTTGTCAACACTAGATTTTGGAGAAGAGAAAAATTATTCTGATGGCTCTGAAACCTCATCAGAGTTTTCTAAAATGCAAGAAGATCTGTGTCATATTGCCCATAAAGGTAAATGAGTTTTCTTTCTTCCTAATGTGTTTGATGAAAATGTTAAGTGCATGTCTGAATGTGAGATGTCCTTAGAGAGAGTATCTTAGTTGGTTCATTTTCTGCTCTATTAAGATTTAGGGAAACCTAATCTTTATTTTATTTCCCTAGTAGTGGAGAATGTATTGGCAAGAACTTTCTTTTTAACCTTGTGGGGGAGACAATGAGAGAGAGTTAGTACTTTAAAAGCTGAGCAATTCATGTGATGTTGGTGGGAGTGTAAATTGGTAATTTTCTGGAGGGCAATATGATATTATTTTCTCACTATTTTTAAAATCTGCCTATCTAGCAATTCCACTTTGAAGAATTCATTGTAGGAATTAACTTAGAATTTATCCAAACAAAGTATCCATTTTGCATTGTCACATCAAAAATTAGAAATAGGTATTCAACATCATTAGCCATTAGGAAAATGCAGATTAAAGCCATGATGAGATATCACTACACACCTATTAGAAGAGCCAAAGTTAAAAGGAAATATAGTATCAAATGCTGGTGAAAATGCATATAAATTTAATCTGTCATACATTGCTTGTAGCTATGTAAAATGGTGTAGCCACTCTGGAAAACAGTTTGGCAGTGTTGTATAAAATTAAACATGCATTTACCATGCAACCCAACACTCATTTCTGAGCATTTGTTCCAGATAAATGAAAATTTATGTCCACACACAAATCTATACCCATGTTCAAAGCAAGTTTATTTGTATTGGCCAAAGACTGGAAACAAACTCAAGTGGTTTTCAACAGATGAATGGTTAAACAAACTGTGGTACATCCATACAATGGAATACTCCTCAGCAATACCAAGGAACAAACTATTGATATACATAGCAACTTGGATGGATCTCAGGGACGTTATGCTGACAGAAAATAACCAATCTCAAAACATTACATAGTATAGGTGTATTACTCCATTTTCATGCTGCTGATAAAGACATACCCGAAACTGGGTAATTTATAAAGAAAAAGAGGTTTAATGGACTCACAGTTCCATGTGGCTGGGGAGGCCTCACAATCATGGCAGATGACGAAAAGCATGTCTTACATGGTGGCAGGCAAGAGAGAATTAAAGCTAAGTGAAAAGGGAAACCCCTTATAAAACCATCAGATCTCATGAGACTTATTTACTACCACAAGAACAGTATTTGGGAAGCCACCCCCGTGATTCAATTATCCTTCACTGAGTCCCTCCCATAACACATGGGAATTATGGGAGCTATAATTCAAGATAAGATTTGGGTGGGGACACAGCCAAACCATATCTGTAGGGTTCCACTTACATAAATGTTTTGAAATGATATAATTATGGAGATGGAGGAAGTAAAGGGGAGTGTGATTATAAAGGGGTAGCACAAGGGATCTTGTAGTGATGAAAAATTCTGTATCCTGATTGTGGTGCTGGTTACAGGAATGTGGACATGTGATAAAATTGCATTTACTTATACCCACACACATACAAACAGATCAGTGAATGTAAATCTGGTGAAATCTGAATAAAATCTGTAGATTATACTAATGTCAACTCCCACGTTTTTATATTGTACCATAGATGTGTAAGATGTAACTACTGGGAGAAACTGGGTATAGGGTATGTGGGACTTTACTATTTTGCAATTACCTGTAAGTCAATAATGATTTCAAAATAAAAGGTTAAAAAAATAGAAATAATCTAAATGCCAAACAATAGGGGATTGAATTTTTTCAAAAACGTAATATAATAGAATACTCACTAATAATAATAATGAGAGCTACTTAACATCGAGCACATAACTGTCACGTCAGGTATTTGCTAATTACTTTACGTGCATTATTTTAATTCTAGCTGCAGCCTGCGAAGTAGGTATCATTATGATCTCTATTGCATAAATAAGAAACTTGAGACTTAGATAAAATAACAGCTTCCTGAGGGTCACATGGTTACAAAGCAGCCAGCATGAGACTTGAATTCTCACCTGTTTGACCCCAGAGTCCATAATCCTTACCTGGTATTTCTCTGCTCTTACAGATGGAGTGGCCAGCGTTATTTTTTATAGTTGTAGAAAGATGTCCTCAGCATAAAATGTAAAGTAAAAATGTAAGGTTACAAAACAATATATAGGTATGATCCTATTTCGGGCATATATAGGTATACTAAAAAGTCTGGAAGGATATATACAAACATTTAAGTGATGGAGGCTGGAGTTCTAAGTGCTTATTTATCTTTCTGCTTAACTTTTTTTTCAATTTTCATATATTATTTCTTAAAGAGAAAATGGATTTAAAATTTTTCAGTGGGAGGGCAGTGTGTAATATGGGAAGAGAGAAGATATTCCCTCTATTGCCTTCCTTTCCTACTTCGTATTTTTGTTTCGTACATTACTGATTCCTTCAGCTCTCTCTTCCCTTACCCTCTAAATTTAAAACATGTTGGATATGAGGTGGGTTATAAGGAAACCATTTCATCCTTTATACAGATTGCTACCTGGAATGCTTGTCCTAATTACCATTAGACTGTTATGAGTGTTTTGTTGTGCAGTTCATCCGTGAAATGGCAAGAGTTACCTGGCCCACCCTTAAAGGATCTTCAAAGAATTTGAAGAATTAAAATAATCAGTTGCAATTAGGGCATCTTAAGTTTTGTGGGAGGAAATTCCTATAAAACATTGTTACTTTTTAATAATACAAACTTTTAAACAATGAGAAGATAATGCCTCCCTACACAGAGGAAATGTCCTGAGTTTCACCTCCATTGAAGAAGCTGCCTCCTCAGCAGGACAAAGGTTGCCATACTGAGTGGATCCATTGATCCAGTCCTCCTGCAGAGGTCTCCACCTTGTTGAAAGTCTGTAATGGGCCCCATCCAGCAGTTCTGTCTTTCCCACTTTGTGAAAACCTGCTGGCTGCAGAGCTGCCACATACCTAGACTGGGCCAAGGTTTGTCCTGGAGAAAGGTCCAATGCACTTATTCAACAGTTGCCTGAGCCCTGTGGGCTTACAGACAACAAATTCCACAGGGAGCCTAACAAGGTGTTTCATTCCTGTGGTTTTACAGTACACTTGCAGAGAGGGAAAGATCTTCCTTTTCCTGGTTCAGGGAGTCTCTTGCACAGATTGTAATTTGGGGGCCTCAGAGAATAAAGACAGCTCTCAGGTTTGTACTAAGTCCTGTGACCTTGCATGCCTTCTCACTTCCATACATTCAAACTCGAAGCATCTTGACCTTTCTTCCTGTGTAAACCTCGTTTTGTTACTGACAGTATCTATTGTACTTTCTCGACTGCATCACTATTCTGTTGACTACAATTCCAAAGCAGCTGAACTAAAGGCAAGAATTCCAGTGATGTAACATAGTCTCTGCGACCTTCACCTTGTTAAATGCATCTGAATTCTCCTGGTTTTGTAGATCAAATGGTAGGGAACCAAAATACACCCATGCTAGTTTTAAAAGTCCTTATTCTATATTATAGACTGTGAGTTTGATTTTTATGGCATATTGTTGAACCAGTTGTTGGCTTATGTTTCTGGCTTTGTGTGGATGTTCACACACATATAAGCAGAGAATGAAATATATTGAAACCTAAAAGTCTTAAGTAATTTTTGTTGCATATATTAGCTTTTACATTTCCCAAAATATGTTTTATGGAACACTTTACCCATAAAGTACTTCTAAAAATGAAACAAAAACTTCATGATTAAAAATGTTTGGAAAACACTGCTGACTATGGTCTCCTTTGGATTTACATAAGAACAGTAAATAGTAAAGGCCCTGAGAAGTCCTGCAGCAAAAAACAACACAAAAATCTGTTGGCTTTGTTTAACTCAGTGACTTTCAATATTATTTGGGAATCTTCCCCCCTATTCCCAACAGCTATTAACATCCTGGAATTTAAGTTTCTGAGAAACATACTTTAAAAAACATTGTAAATAATAAGCCTTTTTGGAGCTCCCTCTGTACTGGCTAAGTAGGCCACCTCTGTTACTGACTAGCTGTGGAAATTTGACTTCATTTATTAACCTCTCTGGCCCTTGATAGCCTGTTAAATGTCGTATAGTAGTTGTCCTGACTCTTTTGGTTCTCAAAATCTGTAGTTATTTTCTTTGATTATTTTACACTGAATAGAAAGAGTCCCTACTATTGCTTATTGTTACAAGAAGGCTTTCTGAGAGAGTGTTCTGTTAGCAGAAACAGAAATGACCAAACTTGGTGAGGAGATTTAGGATGGCAAAGCAAGGAACAAGACAGGGCTAGGGTCAGGTGTTCTGAATGGAAGCGGATATCTGTGTTCTTTGACTTGGAAGGGAAGCAAATGATGTTTTAGGGACACTTTTCCTACAAGTGAAGGAAATCCTCATTCACAAATGTGAAAGCTACATAGAACAAAGTCAAAACTGTATTTACCTATTCTTTTCTTTCTGGATTCTTTCCCTATGTTGAGTAGTAAGTATTGAGTGGTCATTTTCTGAACCATTTTCAGCTTATGGAAGCATTGAATAAAAAGCCAAGTGTGTTACAATGATACCTCTTTCATAGATTAAAAAGCTAAAAGAGATATATGACTGAACAAAAAGCCAAGTCATTTATTGTTCATAAATTAGAATTCAGCATAAATGTGCTGAGCAATTAGATTCATAAGTAGGACCATTTAGTAAAGTTACCTAATGTATCTAAATCAATTTGGATGGAATATGGGTTAAAAAGAATTTTAAAATCATGGGCATCCTGTGAGGTTTGAAACTGCTGCAGATTACAGAAGATCAGAGTGTCCCAGATATATTAGGAATGTTAACATTTCAAAGAAAATTCACCTAAAATTTGGTTTCCAATTAAAAAGGGGGAAAAATGAGTCTCACTGTTTGTTAGGTGCTCTGTGATAGTAGGTTTTCTCATTGCTTAAAGCGCTCCTCAGATGTGCCCATCATCTACATGTACAGATGTAGAAACGTATTTTGGACAAATCCTGAATATAATTGTCCAAAATATAAATGGCAGCTGCAACTAAGTGTTAGAGGTAGAATTTAACTTCAGGCTGGCCTTATTAGAGAATTTCTTTCTCCTGTACCACATTGCTTTCTAGAGCGGTACCCATGGCATTCATAACTACTTTCTCCAAGATCTTATTCTTTCCTGATGCTGAGAAACTGCTAAAGAAGGAGCATGTTAAGAAGTAGAGCTCAGATAAATTGAGATACATTGATAGTGAGAGTATTGACTCTCACTATCCAAACATTCCATCTATTATAGTCTCACTGTACTAACTCAATAAAAGAACAGCATGGAAGCCTTAGAAACAGAAAGGTAGTGACCACCAAGAGTCACTTGTACGACGCTTATGATGTTCCATTCTGTAGATGCAACTTATGACTTCTTACAGTCAAAAACTCAACCTGTGCCTGCCTCTCATAGTCCAGGAAGGGTATCTGAGAAATGGCTAATGACAGTTTGGGAAAGAGATGAATCATCGCAGATGCCACAGTTGCCTTCCGATATTTGAACACTCAATGAAAGAGGAAATACCTCCTCTTTGACAGTGAAGAGACACTGAGGCAAATGTCTTAGCAGCAGGAAGGACTTTCTAAGTCCCAGAGCAGAATGTACCATTTTAGGAGATAGCAAGTGCTCTGACAAGCGTGGGCCAGCAGACCATTTGGCGGGGAAGCTGGAGATGTGAAGAGTTGGTCGTGTTGTGGGGTGGGTGGCTTTGGTAATCTCTGAGCATCTAAGATTTTCTGTGTGGCTTTATTTATTGTCAGGTAACCATAGATGTGATGCACTCATTTGAATCTTCTATTTTTTAAAGCTGTTTATTTGTCTCTAGTAAGCTTAGATTCATGTTAGAAATAAGTAAGAAAGCACTCCTATCACAGAGAGTGTTCCTGACTTTTGGGATCCTGTGTCTTAAACAATTAATATAAATGTGGTCTCTCATGAGCAACCTCTGATCATTGCCCTGTGTGTGGCAGATCATTAGGTGGCTGTGAATGACTATTTTAATGTCCTGAGTGGGCCCTGATAGTCATTTAAGAAATTTAGTACACAGGGATCTAGTCTTCCAAACCCTTTTTTCAGATGATTTAGGAAGCGTTTTATTCCTTACAATAAAATATAATGACTATATGAGTTTCTTTCTGCTTATCTTACACCTATTGCAATCTTGTCAGCTGTACATTTTGAACCAAATATTGTATATTCTGCCAGTTTTTAAAATTTATGTAGGACTCTTCTCATTTGGTGGAAAGCCTTGTTTTTCTGTAGGTCACCTGGAAGCCAGAGGAATTGATTTGGAAAGTGGCGGCTAGCTGAGTGCCACATTTATTTTATTTGGAGCAATAAACAAGACAGTGAGAGGTAGCTCCCCAGGGGACCCACTGAGATGGCCATGGGCATCCTGTGTGTGTGGCAGGCAGGGGAGGGGCATAGTGCCTATCTAATAGGACATAGGATGCAGTCCGTAACTGTGTGGCTTGCTGCTCTCCTCCCAAGGCTGTTCTCCTACAGCTCCATAGATTCTGGCCAACCCCTCATTCCTAGAATTTCTACCCTGTGTGCAGTTATTTACAAGCATTTTCCTGGCAAAAGAGTAAAGCATCATCTAGAGCTGCTGCCAACATTTCAAGAGACTGCAGTCACCATCACTTTCATCCTCATGTGTCTCCTTCATCGGTATCACTATGATATTGCAGTAACATTTGTTATTTATTACATACCACGCATTGTGTTATGTGCTTTACCTGCATTCCCTCTCTCATTCAATCCTCATGACAACCATTTAAAGTAAAAGTTATTATTATCCCCATTTACAAATGTGGAAACCAGGGTTCAGGCACATCATTTACTCATCCAAGGTCATGGAGTTAATAGGTGATGGAGTGGGGAAGAATCCAGGGCTGATGGTGGAGCCCCAGCTGTTGATTACTCTGTTGTCCTGCCCATTATTTTGCTCAATTAAATTGTTTAAAGCAAGGAGCTAAGTGTGTTTCATAGGCGTCGTTAGAAAATTTTAGTTCCATTTGACCCCCATCTTCTGTTGGCAGAGGCAGCACCATTGTGTGTGTTTGTGTGTGTGTGTGTGTGTGTGTGTGTGTGTGTGTGCGTGTGTGTGTGTACAAATTGTTGTGACTTTGTTAAGATGTTTCAGGTCCATCACTAAATGCCACAACCTCAGACAAGTTCAGCAACAACATATAGAGAGGTTTAGTTGTCCTCCTTGCTATTAAATGAAGTAAGTCAATAATGCCTATTTAGTTTCTGTGTTACTAAATAGCCCACTCTTGAATAACAATACCTCTAAAAATGCAGCCCTGTGGAATTCAGTAATGTGCTAGGTCATTTGAGAAGACATGTGTCTGAGTCTCTTCAGTCTTCCTGCTCTTCTAAAACAAAATATTATAAAGGAGATTGGAAAGATAATATTCAAATGTGATAGCCACGATCAGTAATTTAGATAACAGCTTCCTCATCCCTAGGAAGTAATTTGTACATGATGTGATCAAAACCTAATGAATAATGATTTGTGTGTGTGTGTGTGCTGTATGTGTTAATGTTTTTTAAAACTTCAGTTCAGGCATTGGAGGCCATAGTGGCTAAGCCCTCATTGTACCTGAGGGCTCACTAGGGAACAGAGTAGCTGAATGCCAGGGTTAGAGCTGGGGGATTCTGGGTCCTGCAGCTGGAAGGGCTAACAAGCAAGAAGGTAGACAGTAAGACTTTGTTTTGAAACAATTACAAACTTACAGAAAAGTTGCAAGAATTATACAGAGAACTTCTGTATACCCTTTACCCAAATACTTCGTTTTAAATATTTGCCACATTTATTTTATCACTCTCTACACACACACGCTTTCACTTTTTGGAACCATTTGAGAGTAGAATTCATACCTCGTGTTGTTCTTTATGGCTTTATACTTTAGTATATAAAATAGGAATACTCTGTTATATAACCACAGTATAGTAATCAAATTCAGGAAATACAGCATTGAAGCAACTTTTATCTATTCTACCTCCCATATTCAAATGCTGTCAGTTATCCCAATAATGCCTTTAGTACCATGTTGCCCCTTGAGTCAGTTTCATTGTCATTCCTCTTTTGCCTCCTTTAATTGGGAACAGTTCCTCAGCCTTTCTTTCTCTTTCGTCAAATTGACACTTTTGAATAGTATAGGCCAACTTGTAAAAATAAAATGTTTCTCATTCTGGGGTTGTCTGATGTTTGCTCATGATCAAATTCAGATTACATAGCCCTGGCTGGCATACACCAAAGGAGATGTTGTGTCTTTTTCAGCCTATTTTACCTAGAGGCACATGGTCCACCTGACTCTCACCAATAGTTAATTTTGATCACCTGATTAAGGTGCTGTCTAATTTTTCTGCTGTAGTGTTAACATTTTCCCCTGGAAAACCAATAAGCTTTGTTTTTAACCCTTTCCAGTCTTTGGGGATACAAAAACAAAACAAAACACTGATCACTGAGGATCTAGAAGCAAAGTGCAAGTGTCAAAAAATCCTGATGATAAGTCATAAAGTCATGAGACATTACAGTGGATAGGGGCCTTAGAATTGCCAGATGTGTGTGAATGGGAGTTAATTTTAATAGACTTAATTTTTTCTAGCAGTTTTAGGTCCATAGCAAAATTGAACCAAAAGTGCAGAGCTTTTATAAGCCCCCTGCTCCCATGTAGGCACCGTCCCCCCGCCATCAGCATCCCACACCAGAGTACTGCATCTCTTACAGTCAATGAACCTACGTGGACACATCATCATCCAGAGGCCTTAGTTTACATTAGCGTGTTCTACATGGCAAATGTGTTTTTTAAAAGTCAAGGTAGAATGTACATTTGCTATACTCAAAATATTCAGGGCTGTTACTTTGCTTGTTTCTTTTATAAGAGATATGTTTTTTTCTGTATTTTGTTTTTAATTATGCCTCCTTATTCCTTTTTATAATGATTCTATCTCTATAGTTTACTTCACTTTAAGGTCAGCTTTTAATATCATGTCAGCGGAGAGAGAGAAACTGAAGCAGCTGATGGAGCAGGATGCCTCCTCCTCCCCGTCTGCTCAGGTCATTGGTCTGAAGAACGCCCTGTCATCCGTAAGTTACATGTCTGCCTCCAGGAATGCCTGAGATGTGTCCAGGCTCATGAATGGTTTGTAATTTCTATTTCCATGATTATGTTGAAAATTCAGGAGAAAACCAAATTATCCAAATTATATTCTAACCTTTCATCAAATCTGCTTATTTGAAACACCAAAACTTACCTATCCAAGTCTTAATAGCTAGTATTTTATTAAGTGATACCTTCTTTAAGTTTGGTTTCCTCTGACTGATCTTAATTTTTTTGTTTCTCTAACATTTTTATTGTACGTTTTTGTGTGTATGTGTGCGTGTCTTACAGACATTTTTCTGTTAATGCTTACAAAATCTGACAGTTTGGAGGAAATTTTATGGGCATGAGACACCACAAGCTTAGCCTTACTTTCCAAATGACAGGTGGCAGAGTGAAATTTCCAATTCATGCTCTTATCTTCCCTATTGCAAAGCACTGATCCTGTTTACCACTCTTTCAAAGACATGAGAGCTATTTTGTTTGATGGGATAGTACAAGACATTTAGCTTCCCTGCCCTGCCCCCCTACTGTGGCTACAAAGAGATGAGTCACATGAAAGTGCCTGTCAGGCAATCACTATACCTTCATAGTAACAGGAAAATCACTGACAGGGTCCCAAATGATTCTCAGCCATTGTCACTCATTCTCTCTCCTTTTTTCATCAGTTTCAATTAATTCCTCAGAATAGTTAGGCTCCATTAAAGTGCCATGTCCTACCTCTATTTGAATAAAGTTATCTCGTTTTTTTTTTTTTACCCTGAATCTATCAGGAGGCTAGAGAACTTTTGAAATAGCATACTGATTTGCTTTTACTCTTTTCTTGTACTTTGGAATTCCTACTTTAGAAAGAGAAAGAGTGTGTGCACATATGAAATTGCCATCTGAAGCAATACTGAATTTTCTATTTCAGGTCAGGTAGGGGAGATAAATTTTAGGATCTTGTAACCAGAAGCCAACACAGGCATTGAGAGAACTAGAAAATGTTGATTCATATTTTCTATTTATCGTATTGCCAAGAAAAGTGATGCTCTTAATATAATGTTAGTGATAAATCCTCTGCCAGTAGCACATATAGTTGTTGTAGAATATGTAAGGAGTATTCACTGATGGACCATTACAAGTATGCTATCTTCAAAAGAAATTAAAAATAACATTGGCTTGCTCCATATATAAAGAAGAGTCTTAACGTTGTCTTAAGGTCACAGATAGAATCGCCCCCTTTTTATTGTACAAGACAGCCATACACTGGTGCCATTTTGGTTTGAGAGAAGCAGAAGCAAAGTGTTTTTGTTTTTTTTCCCTAACTTTCTTATTGTTCTCATTAAGCTAGCTTTTAGTGCATTTACAAAAGGTATCTCTGATGGGCTTCCAAGGTCCCTCTCCCCATGATCTTCCTCTCCCTGCCTCCTCCCACAGAGGCCTGGCCTCATCTTGTCAATCTGCCTGTTTGGCCACTGAGACCTATTTGGCTGTGGTATCCTAGGCCAAGGCTGTTCTCACCTTCACTAAGGAATTCATTCTCACCCATATTCACGATTTTGGAAACTTCAGATAAAACCGAATGATCCTTTCTTTCCTTTTTGGCTTGGATTCACAATTGGGGTTTAAGACTTGTTTTTTGAAAATAAAATTTTTAGAACCATATCAGAGTTATCAGAATGGGTATGTCGGTGCTGTATGCACAGTGTTGCCATGTTTTCTTCTTCTGCCTGTGGCTTACAAAGGAAAGAAAAACTAATAAAATAGCACAATTTTCAGGCTGTACTAAGATTCTAGCCTCCCTACCTCTGTCATTGGCCAGAATAAAGTTAGTGCTCCAGAGAGACTGTTATATGTGGCTGTGTGATCTTAGCTCTTGTGCAGTTTTTCTTAAGTGGTCCTCAAGGATTTTCAAATAACCCATATGCTCTGCAGGGACTGAAAAACAAAGCCAGCATCCCTGTTGGAGATCCAGGTAGAGGATTAGGCAGTACCACATCCTTCTATGCTTTCAGCAGGTCGGTCCTGCAGGCCCTGGTGGATGCAAAAGGCTCAGAGCTTCTTAGAAAAGAGTCAGAAAGACAGACATATAGGCTGAATCTGCATGCGAGCACCCGTGGAGCTGATCGTGTGAGTGTCTGGGAAGACAGTCAGGAGAACTTGTCCCCCTTCCACAGACAGACCATTGGAGAAGAGTTGGTCATGAAGTGCACAGGAGTATCAGCGTGAAGGAAACAGCTTCCTTTACCTTTCAGCCACTTTCCTCCTAGTTGAGAGGTTGAGATAAGGAATGATCCCTGCCCAGGGAAATATAAAGGAGGCCTGGGGGCATAGTCTCAGATTTGCTTTTCATCTCACATTTACCCATTCCCAGAGCCATGGTCCTTAAGCCCTTATGCAGGTAAGTGAGGCTTACTCATTTCTTTTTTGAAATAGATTGCCTTAGTCCTGAAGAATGAATAGAACAATCAATACCCATATTGGAAAAGAGTAAAATTAATCTTTCACAAAGTCCTACTTCCCAGCACACAGCACACTTTCTTTATTTCTTTTTTTTTTTTTCGTGAGACAGGGTCTCACTCTCACCCAGGCCGCAATCTCAGCTCGCTGCAACATCTGTCAGCCTCCCAGGTTCAAGCAATTCTCCCACCTCAGCCTCCCAAGTAGCTGGGACTACAGGTGTGTGCCACCATGCCCAACTAATTTTTGCATTTTTTGGTAGAGATGGGGTTTCACCATGTTGGCCAGGCTGTTCTCAAACTCCTGACCTCAAGTAATCTGCCCGCCTCCACCTCCCAAAGTGCTGGAATTACAGGTGTGAGCCACCTTGCCCGGCCTCCAGCACACTTTCTAAAATCTGATTCAATGGGTATGATAATTAAGTAACATTGAAATATGTCCAATCATAAGGGATGGGGCCAGCATATTCTTCAAAGCAGATAGAAGCCTGGATTCCTTAGGAAGGGATTTGGCCAAAGAGACTCCAGACAGTTGGGGAGGAGGAGGAGATGCTGTGGAACCACTGGTCTTAACAGAAGCCGACAGTGTCTGTGACTTCCCTCTCTGTTGCACTTACCAACCCTCCCTCCATGTCTGGAATGAGAAAAGAAAAAGAGCATCATTTCCAGAGCCCAGGTTTGTCATCTCCCAGGCATCTCAGAACCAGTATCCTCTTGGAGAGCATTCAAGGAAAAAGTCCAGAAAGTGCGCTGTCAGACCACGTCACTAAGAGTTTCATCAAGCTCTTAGAGATCGCTCCTGCAGGGCCCACTGCTGTGCTTTTCTGAAACATCCATTTATTAACAGAGCCCCACTATTTTAACATGTTCCAGGCCCTAGCACAAAACACAGATCTTAAAGAACGCTTACGCAGAATCCATGCCGAGTCTCTGCTCCTCGACTCCCCCGCTGTCGCCAAGTCGGGTGACAATCTGGCAGAGGTGGGTAGGTTTCTCGTCTGGTAATGTCTCCCCAGCTGCCGCCCGCTCCCGTGATACCATCTGTCCCATTGCACGACCTCCCTGCTTCCCCTCATGGGTGCTGTCCACCTCTCTGCCCTCCTCCTCTGGGTGCTGGCCACAGCTAGGTCATGGACTGGGGTCTCGGGCTCAAACGCTTTCTTGAGCGTATGCTGCTAATTGCATTTTTAAACTGCTTCCTTCCCCAGAACTCTCTTTTTTTTTTATATTTCTGTTTCGCTCCTAAATGTCACCCCTTTCACTAGTGGTACTGGAGTGGGAACTATAGAGAGATAAACATTTTCTCTTGTTACTACTGAAGAAACCTACGTTTCTCTGACCTGCAGTATCTTGGTTCCCTGCCAGCCTCCTTCCCCTCTAACCCTTTCTCTGTGGCTGTTCCCTTCTCCCTTTTCTGTGATTTTCTTTTTCTTTTATAGAATGCGGCTGTACACTCTGAGGGAAAAAAAATACTTCATTACAATTAAAGTGTCTCTTGGTCAGTTAAAAGTATGTTAAAAAAAAGTCTTTCTTCAAGACTAGGGATGTTTATCCAAAATAGTCTTTGCATGTTTAAAATGAGAAATTTCAGAAAAGTACAAGTAGGTTACTCAAAAAATAAGTAGGAAAGAGTAATGAAAGTAAAAACTGTTTTTAAGCTATTTTTTATATTAAATGCCTGCTTCAGATATGCTAAATTTTTATTAACAAATGAATTAGACTGAGTACACTTAAAATAAAAAATGTAAGGCAGGTAATAGACAAGAGGTGTGTGTTTATGTAAGTTTTTAAAAGAAGTTTGTAATGTTTAATCATAGTGTTTCGTCCTTCTTTTTCTGTCCTCAGAGAAAACAAACCCCTCACACACCTTCACTCCTTGGGAAGCCATTGTGCGGGGTGGTGAGGCGAGTTGAGGCTGAAGTCAGTCAGTACATGGACTGTAGGGCTCCGGGCACCGAACCCATTTGGAGACAAGATGGTGCCATGTGTGGACAGGCCCATCCACTCCCATGAGCCTCACCCTCTGTCTGGCAGAAGCTTGTGGGTCTCTTACTACTTCTGAGGCACATGCTAGTGGTTAAGTATGACATTCTTTTATAGAAGCGCTACCCACAAGAGGTCACTTTTCAGTTATGTTAGCCCAGACCTAAACTGTCACCTGCAGCATTGAGCACCTAAACATTACTTACGGCGCCTTGACCTTAGGCCTGGGCAGGCCCTCTTTTGAGTCTGCACATTGGCTAAAAACAGGACCCAGTCATGGCCAGGATCAGCCATTACTGACCAGCTGCCATGTACTATGGTATTATCTGGAGTTTGTGCATGTTTTCAGACAGTATTTACCTTTTAAATAGTATTATCACAATTTACTGATTTAACAGGTAGTTAAATACATAACGTTCATTTATGCTTTTATGAATTTATGCTTGGCATGTCTACTTGGAACTATTTGTGTTTTGGAAAGGAAACCAAAATCACAAGTCTTTTAAAATACATGTTTTTAAACTATATATTTAAAATGCATATTTTAAACTGATCTTAAAAGTAGCATACCTGAAAGCTGAAATGCTATACACTGTCCTTGAGAGGTAACAATAACATCCTTCAAATGCACACCTTCCAAAACAGCCTTCTTGAGTCTTGAATCAGTGATGCAGTTGTCACCTTATCTATTTCCTCTTTCAGAAATTTTCTGTTTCCCTTATTTTATCCCTTTTATCATGGAGTGACTCAGGCTTACTTTCCCAGCAAAGGTAAAGTTATTGTTGCCTTCAGGACATAAGTAGGAAAGTAAGTGAAAATGGCCTCCCAGACTGAAAACTTGACTCCAGTTAATTTTTTTTCGGTAACTCCCGGTTACCTCTGGTACTCTATTGGGAAATGACAGTCTCCACCAATGGGGTCAGCCCAAGGTGCTCTCCTTTTAGAACTCTCACTTTCTTTGCTCACTTCGTTTCCTTTTCTTTCTTTCTTTTTTTTTTTTTTTTTTTGAGACAGAGTCTCGCTCTGTCGCCCAGGCTGGAGTGCAGTGGCACCTTTTCGGCTCACTGCCAGCTCCGCCTCCCGGGTTCACGCCATTCTGCCTCAGCCTTCCCAGCAGCTGGGGCTACAGGCGCCTGCCACCATGCCCAGCTAATTTTTGTATTTTTAGTAGAGACAGGGTTTCACCATGTTAGCCAGGATGGTCTCGATCTCCTGACCTTGTGATCCACCCACCTCGGCCTCCCAAAGTGCTGGGATTAAAGGCATGAGCCACTGCGCCCGGCCTCGTTACCTTTTCTTTAGCCACACGTATTACCCATCTTTGGTGTTGGGCCTGGCTAATTGAATTCTAAAATGCCCACCTTTTTTAATATCAGAAATTACCCCCACAGCCTACCAAGTTCTCCTGTTTTATATTCCTGAATGTGAAGATTTAATATTATCAAGTTATCAGTTCTTTGATTATTTTAGATTCCAAATGAAAGGGCAAGTGACTTTGGGAGGTAACACCATACTACATCCAATGTCCATTTAAGAGACTAAAAAAGGCCAAAACTTTTAAAGAAAAGTCTGAAAGAGAAGGGAACTTAATTCTTTTAATGTCTGTTTGCTATATCGGCATGCATTTGAATACATTACCTCACAAAATCCTAACCATGACTCTATGAAGTAGGTGGTGATAGTTTCATTTGAGAAACAAGAGAACTAAAGCTCAGAGAGGTTAAATAACTTCCTCCAGACATACAGCTTGTAATAGACAGAGCTGAGATTTAAATTCACATCTAACGAGGCCAAAGCAATCCTTTTCTCAATAGTATACACTGCTATATAATGAAGAACGGTATGCCAAGCCAGAAAATAAAACACTCATTCAAGCTCCAGCAGTTAAAATAAGGGATGATGGGTAAGAATGGGACAGAATAACTCTCTCAAGCATAGATGTTATTTTGTATATAAAAGAAATAAAGATTATGGTTCAAAAAGGCATCAAAAGCCAATGGGAAAGGGGTGGATTATTCAATAAATTAGGTTGGCACAGCTCAAAGAAATTTATTACATTATTATAATTAATTACCATTATTTTGGAGACAGTCTTACTATGCTGCCCAGCCTGACCTTGAACTCTTGGGCTCAAGCCATCCTCCTGCTTTGGCCTCCCAAGTAGCTGGGATTATAGGCACTCACTACCCACCATGCCCTGCTGAAAGCAATTTAAAAAGAAGTTTAAATCTTCTCATTGCATGTTAAATGAATCAAAAGCAAATTCAAGTTAAATATAAAAATTCAAACTGAAAAATATTAATGTAAATATTTATCAAACTGCTAGAGTAGGGAAGATTTTCTAAATTGGGTTGCAATAGAAAAAAATTGCAAAAGGAATGTTGATTAGATCTATTTTTTTTTTTTTTTTAGGAAAAAGTGATGTGTGTCAAAACAATAAGGCAAATAATAGACTGGGAAAAATATTTTCAGTGAAATTGACAGACTGAGATAATGCTAAATCAATGATAATGTTTTTCATATGTAACCAATAAACAAATAATATCAAGTAACTTAAAACTTTAACAAGTAAATGGAAAAAGGCCATAATTCACACACACACACATACACACACACACACATACACACAAATACAGATAGGTATGGGTTTTCTTTTTTTTTTTTTTTTTTTTTTTTTTTTTTACTTATTTTGCAATATTTGTAAATTCACAGGAAAGTACAAAGAAATGCAGAGGGAGGTCCCATGCAGCCTTCATCCAGCCTCTCCCTAGAATAACATCTCTACAAGCTTGTTTTTTAAAAAGGAAAAACTATTCAGCCTAATGAAAATTAAAACAATTAGATTAGCTCAAAAGTTTTCTAAATTATGGTATGCAGTACCCTTAATGTAGAAAAAACAGAGGTTTCCTTACTTGTTGGTGTAATTAGGTAATATATATTTTGCCTTGCCTTGAAGGTTATTAATAATTCTTTGAAAAATTGATTCTGAGAAATAACATGATACAAGCAAAGACATATTTACAAACATACTAAACCATTTTCGCAAATCTGTAAACATTCTTAATTTTATTATTACTCTGTGACACTATATAATAAAATATTTATCAATTACAGTTCACTGTCTCAAAGAATTTTGAATGGTCTGGGAAAATATTAACAATATAATGGTTAGTGAATGGAGCAGACAATATGTAGACTGTTTATCCCAGTTTTTCAAAATAAAATTTGTACACAGATATTTTAATATGAAAATACCAGCAAGTTAATAGGGGCCACGTCCACTTCCACATTCATATCGACTTCAATGGGACTTGAAGTGATATTTATTTAATTTGCTTTTTTAAAATTTTCTATTTTGAATACCTATTTTTATTTTCAGAATACAGTTTAATTTTGAAAAAAAACTATCTTGCAATGTTATTTGGGCGAACTTTATAAAATTACATACATAGAGATATGAAAATAGCATGATTACAATTACTGCACAAGAAATGTGTCAGAATGCTTGTAGTGGTTGTTATAGTGTGAGCTATGAATGTTCCTTTCCCTCCCTTTTCTCTGTTTATTTAATTTAGGGGTTTCCAATCTTTTGGCTTCTCTAGGCCACATTGGAAGAAGAAGAATTGTTGTGGGCTACACATAAGATACACTAACACTAATGATAGCTGATGAGCCAGAAAAAAAAAAAATCACAAAAAAAATCTCATAATATTTTAACAAAGTTTACAAATTTGTGTTGGGCCACATTCAAAGCCATCCTGGGCCATATGTGGCGCCCGGGCTGTAGGTTGGCCACGCTTGATTTAACTTTTTGTAATGCAAACAATAGATAAGCAACCAGTCATGCATTACATATGTGAAAGGAAATTACTGAATTGAACTGACTGGGTTAATATTTTAGCAAATGAGGTCCTGAGTTGTTTAAGGCACCATGCTGTAGACTTGGGGTGCAGCAGTGCTGGTGAGTTTACAGTACATATAAGAAGATGCCAGAAAGGGCTAGGGGCTAGGAATATTATTTTCAGTGTTGGTCAGCCAGGAAATCTTTGGACCCATCAGTCTAGGAGGAGGAAGATACAGAGATGGCAGGAGTGACTAGTAATAAATTAATGAGTAGAACAAGTAAATAAATGATGAGCATCTTTTGTGGCAGGAGCACACGGAAGACACAGGACTATTCTCTTGTTTGAGTGAGTGTTGAAGCTATTCCTTACGATGTTTTCAAGCTCAATAGCTTTATGCCTGGCTCTTTTGAGGAGAGAGACCTTTTCCTTGAAGTTAACAGCTGTGATACTTATAGATTCTAAAGTGATCTCTTTGTTAGGGTAGAGAAGAGGCTTGGTTTTCAGAAGGCTACATGGGTATTAAAATGGGTAGGATTGTTAATACCTTGGGCAGATGCCTTATTTAGGAAAGGGATATCTATTTCAACAGTTTGTAGATACATATTAATAAACTGAAGCAAGCAATTTGTAAAGGGACCACTTGCCTTTTATTAATTACGAAAATCTGCTGTGGCCCTCCTGTCATAGCATCCCCTCCCTATGAGACTGAGGGGTATATCCTGAATTCAGACAATTTCTGGGCAAGATATAATCTGCCTTTTCCCCAAATTATTCTGGATGATGTGGAAGCAACTCCTTTGTTAGCCCAATAAAAAATACGAGTGGTTTTACTACTACCTGTCTACTCTGATTGAAAGAAATCAAATCATCCTGTCCTGAATCTGTTCTTTTTCCTCAAGTGCCACTTCTATGAAGCCCTCCTCAAACAAAATCTCCCTAATCAGAATCAGTCTCTCCACTTTGCCAGCACTTTGTCTATTCCACAGGCCTGGTCTGATGTGCGTTGGATGCGTTCTCTCACCATTCATTCAGTCCACAAACCTTGTCTGGTTCATTGTTATATCCTGCCATGGCCAGCTCAGGACTTAAGTCCTCCCCAGAGGGAAAGTCCAGACCCAGTGGAGTGGAGAATGGAGGGTCATGCGAGATAAGAAAACAATGATGTTCTGTTGTGTTATTTGTACAGAGGCTTATAAAGAGGACTGGGGACTTCCTTTCCTTGCAGTCATTGTAGGTGGAAAGAGACAGACAAAGAGAACTTACATCATTCATCCATGAATAGTAAATGATCTGCCACCAGGGTGCTTCTGGACCAAAACACACTGTGTATTTGTCAAGGGACACCTCAAAAGCAGCATATTGTTCCCTCAGAGAGCATAGGGGCAGAAGAAAGCTATGTTGCTCTGAACCAGCCATGCAAGGACATGAATTCAGTGCAATGCAGAGGAGATTTTAGTATAAAAAGAAACATCCAGCAGTGGTAGCGAATAAGAGGATATGATTCAGAGAGCACTGGAATTTTTCCCCTTTTAAATGGAACAAAGAGTGACCTGGACAGTTGTTTTTTGCCTTGTGATTTGTTGCATGTGTGTGAGAAGTGATAGTGCCTGTAAGTGAGGTGCCCATATTGGGGGAGAACTTTTGTGTTTTGCATGAGGCTCGCATCTCAGTGTTGGAGCTGACTTCTGCTTTGAGTTGCTTATTTGCATGGGCCTGTGACCTTGTGTATTGTACAACTAAATCATTTATTTTCTTTCTCTTGAGAATGTTTTTAAATGTATACATTTTTGGTTTTGTTCTTCAAATAGGAAAACTCCAGAGATGAAAACCGAGCTCTAGTTCATCAGCTTTCTAATGAAAGTAGACTCTCCATCACTGACTCCCTTTCTGAGTTTTTTGATGCTCAGGAAGTTCTGTTATCTCCAAGCTCTTCAGAAAACGAGGTTTGAGCAATGTTTACAGTATGGTGCCTCAAAAATCTCTCTTGTTGCTTTGCTGATTAATCTGTTCAGTAAATAATCCATCATCAGAAACACTAAACTCAGTTGCCCTTTGTAGTCATTATGTTCTGAGAGTTCTCCCATAACTCATACCCAAAAAGTATAAAATGATACTATATGTGAGAAGAAAAAGTAAAAGTAGAGAGCATTGGATATTTTCTCATTTCTGTAACTTGATATGTTAAATTTGTTATACTTTTTTTTTTTTTTAAACAGAGCCTCGCTCTGTTGTCCAGGCTGAAGTGCAGTGGTGCAATCTCAGCTCACTGCAACCTCCGGCTCCCAGGTTCAAGTGATTCTCCAGCCTCAGCCTACCAGGTAGCTGGGACTACAGGCACGTGCCACCGTGTCTGGCTAATTTTTGTGTTTTTAGTAGAGACCAGGGTTTCACCATGTTGGCCACGCTGGTCTCAAACTCGTACTCCTGACTTCAGGTGATCCGCCTGCCTCAGCCACCCAAAGTGCTGGGATTACAGGCGTGAGCCACTGTGCCTGGCCTCTTTTTTTTTTTTTTTTTTTTTTTTTTTGAGACATAGTCTCATTCTGTTGGCCAGGCTGGAGTGCAGTGGTGTGATATCTGCTCACTGCAACCTCTGCCTCCCAGGTTCAAGCAATTCTCGTACTTCAGCCTCCCAAGTATCTGGGAATACAGGCGTGCGCCCCATGCCCAGCCAATTTTTGTATTTTTAGTAGAGATGGGCTTCCGCATGTTGGCCAGGCTGACCTCGAACTCCTAGCCTCAAGTGATCCATCCGCCTCAGCCTCTCAAAGTGCTATACTTCTTTTCAAGTACAGGTTAATAGTTTTGACTTCTACCTATTTAATAATGTGTCTACTATAGAGAAGGAAATTAGCATCCCGTATATTTTTTAATCATGGAATTTGACATATTGATTTATAATATATAATTATATTTTTATGATAATATGGTTATTGTAATATTGGTTTATAGCATTATTTGTTTTAAATTGATGCATAAAAATTATCCTTTCCTGAATAAGAGTTATTATAGTTAACAGTGTGTACTAATAATGTTACCCCTTAAATACAGACTTAGTCATTTTGTTTATGTATTAATTCCCATAGAAGATACTTTTTACACAAATAGCTCAAAGACAAATTGTAACTTCTTCTACTCAAACACTAATAAATTCTAAAAATGCAGTCAGAATTAATAAGAATCTTTATAATAACAGTCTTGAGCTTGCTTGCTGTTTTCCTTGTGAGAACTAATTCGGAATGTGTAAGAATTTTAAGAACAGGTGTTTGTTGTGAACACCTCCTTGGCAGATTGGTATATGGACCTTTATGAAAACAGTACCCAAGAGTATTTGTACTGTGAGACTCAACATGTTTGATCATTTAGAGTAAGGGTTTTATGAAAATCTGGCTCTTGTTTATTCTAACTCTAATGAATGTTATTTCTTCTTTCCCATAGATTTCTGATGATGACTCATATGTCAGTGACATAAGTGATAATCTTTCCTTAGATAATCTCAGTAATGATTTAGATAATGAGAGACAGACCTTGGGTAAGATTTACATTATTTAATCTCTGAAAAGTTTGGATTTTCATACAATACTAATAAGTTGTATAGTTGACTCTTGAACAATATGGGGGTTCAAGGTGCTGATACCCCATGCAGATGAAAATCCATGTATAACTTTTGACTCCCCAAAGATGTAACTACTAACATTCGATTAACACATATTTTGTGTGTTATGTGTATTTGAGGCTGTAATCTTACAATAAAGTAAGCTAGAGGAAAGAAAATTTTATTAAAAAAATCATTAGAACAGAAAACATATTTACAATTCGTTAAGGGGATCATCATAAAGGTCATCATCCTGGTCATCTTCATGTTGAGTAGGCTGAGGAGGAGGAAGAAGAGAAGGGGTTGGTCTTGCTATCTCAAGGGTAGCAGAGGCAGAAGAAAACCTGCATACGAGTGGACTGATGCGGTTCAAACCTGTGTTGTTCAAGGGTGAGCTGTGTAGAGGACCCGCTACAAGCAAAGAGCTCTAGCAAGTAGTATGTAAGAAAACTAAGACATGGACCCCACCCCCTAGGATTTTATAATCTAGCACCCACATGTGAAAGATGTGTTAATTCAAATAAATTTGTCTGCTTATGCAAATTTTTATTTTTATAAAGTGAGTGTATGCCAATTATAGGAATATAAAAAATGTAACACATATCTTTTTTTTTTTTTTTTTTTTTTTTTTTTTTGTGAGATGGAGTCTCTTTCTGTCCCCAGGCTGGAGTACAATGGTGCAGTCTTAGCTCACTGCAGCCTCTGCCTCCCGGGTTAAAGCGATTCTCCTGCCTTAGCCTCTGGAGTAACTGGAGAATACAGGCACGCACCACCATGCCCAGCTAAGTTTTGTATTTTTCGGTGGAGACGAGGTTTCACCATATTACCCAGGCTGGTCTTGAACTCCTGACGTCAAGTGATCTACCTGCCTCTGCCTCCCAGAGTGCTGGGATTACAGGCGTGAGCCACCGTGCCTGGGCCAGATATCCCTTTTGCACTCTAATGTTCTCTCTCAGGACATGTTAGAATATGGCTTTTTGCCCTGAGATATCAGGGGGTTTTTATAATTTAGGAATGTGATAGGACTTACATAATAAAAGATATGATCCAGGTGGTCATTTAGCTTCAGAGTCTTCAAAACAACACATTTGAAAGTAACAAATGGCTATCTCTTGGACGGACCCATCAGGGTATCCTAAGATGACCCTTTATTACTGGTTGATCCCAAGATGGGAAATGATGGGCAGGAAAGATATTTCATAATGCTAGTTCGAACTGTGGAATATCTGGAGTGTCTGGCTAGCCCCCCAAACAGCTCTGATTTAGGACTTCAGTAAGCAGACTGGCCTGTTTAGGAAGGTGCCCTTAAAAAGAATCTGCCCACCTGAACAGTTCTCTGCATGGGTCCTCGTAGCATCAAGCACTTATCAGTCTTGGTACTCAGTCTGCCTTGGAGTCTCTAGGTTTGTCTGCACTATGCATTGGATACTCAAAGCACCACCTATTTTCATATCTTCACAAAGGAGAGGGACCATGCCAGGCACCTTTTTGATATTTCAATGTTCCTCAGCTCAGTGTGTATGTGTGAACGGATGAATTGTTATCTGAATGGTTAAGAGCCACCTTTTGGGGGACCGCAGTATAGGGGAAGAAAGCAGGTAATTTTACCATGCTTTGGAAGAGTATCCTTTCAGTATCACACCTGCTAGAAGTAAGATGCTCATCGTGGTTGGTATTTTGTTTGAAATGTTTCTTGGGAGATGAACCCCTTAGTGGAAAGGTCTAAGAACCAGTGGGTTTGAAGAAGAAGGCCAAAAACACTGGAGCAAGTTTGTGTGCTGCTTATTTTTCTAGAAAAACAAGGAGGCAAGTTGAAAGAGAAATGAAGAAACATCACTCCCTTGGCAAACAGCATGCACACTAAAGTGGTGCTCCCACTGTAGATGAGGAGGATTGACAAATGTGGAAGTCCTCCATTTCTTTGAGTCTATGGAGAGGGAGCCATAGGAAGCACAAAGTTAATGGAATGTTCAGAGGTCAAAGGTCAAGAGAGGACATGGTTCAGAACCTAAGTCCACAGCTGTGCTGTGTTGACACCAGCCAGGAAAAGCTTAGAGGTTAGAGCTGGTTCTGTCGTAGTTTACATTCATGTTGCGAGAATGCTAACTAACATTGCCCTTTTTTGTGTATGAAGACAGGGTCTCACTCTGTCGCCCAGGCTGGAGTGCAGTGGTGCGATCTCGGTTTACTGCAACCTCTGTCTCCTGGGTTCAAGCAATTCTCATGCCTCAGCCTCCCGAGTAGCTAGGATTACAGGCACGCACCATCATGCCCAGCTAATTTTTTGTATTTTAATAGAAACAGGGTTTCACCATGTTGGCCAGGCTGGTCTTGAACTCCTGGCCTCAAGTAATCTGCCCGCCTCAGCCTCCGAAATTGCTGGGATTATAGGCATGAGCCACCTTGCCTGGTCTACATTGCCTTTCTTGAACAAACACTGGGCAAAACCCAGTTTTCTTCTTTGTCAGTGTTTGAATACTAGAAATGTGTGTCCCCTAGTTCTTTACAGACATTCCCAGGGGTTGGGGGAGATTATATTTCTAAGCATCAATACTCTACTGAAAAGATTGGATACAGAAATAACCTTTACATTTCATATCATCATTTTGCCTGTGTTAGGACCAAGATCTTGCTACACTGTTATTCTTTGAGTTTATAGTAAACATGAGGTTTTTAGAGTGTTTCCTATTAATTTCTTCCCCACAGTGTTGCTGGGCACATATTAGGACCTGTCTCTATGCTGGGTACTTTGGGGAAGTTAAGTGTTTAAGAATACAGATTAAGGGACCAGACTTCCTTGGTTAGCCCCAGCTCTGCCACTCAGTGGTTGTGTGTTCTGGGACCAGATACTTACTTCCTCTATGCCTCATTTTCTTCATCTGTGAAATGGGGATAATAATACTGTTTACCACAAGTGGTAGTTACATAGGATAAGTAGGAATAATGCATGTGAAATGCTTAGAAGACTGCCTGTCACAGAATAAAATGCAAGATATGTGTTAGCTGTTAGTAGTATTGGTGGTGATGATGGCGGTGGAGTAGCATGCTTTCAAAATTCAGATTAGTGTAATCAAAGAAAATTTTTTGAGACTACATGAAAAATTGTTTTCAAAAATGACTACAGGCAAGGCACAGTGGCTCACACCTATAATCCCAACACTTTGGGAGGCTGAGGCAGGAGGATTGCTTTAGGCCAAGAGTTTGAGACCAGCCTGCGCAACATAGCAAGATCCTGTCTCTAAAAAAGATACAAAAACTAGCCAGGCGTGGTGTAGCATGTCTGTAGTCTGAGCTACTCAGGAGACTGAGGTGGAACAATTGTTTAGGCCCGGGAGTTCGAGGTTACAGTGAGCTATGATCATACCACCGCACTCCAGCCTGAGTGACCCTGTTGAGAAAGACCCTATCTCAATATTTAATTAATTAATTTTAAAACTGCCATTTGCAGCTACTTACCTATGTTGTATTTACCCATATTAAGCAACTAAAACAGGCTGGGCGTGGTGGCTCACGCCTGTAATCCCAGGACTTTGGGAGGCTGAGGTGGGTGGATCACTTGAGCTCAGGAATTTGAGATCAGCCTTGGCAACATAGTAAAATCTCATCTCTACAAAAATACAAAAAATTAGCCAGGCATGTTGGTGTGCATCTGTGGTCCCAGCTACTTGGGAGGCTGAGGCAGGAAGATTGCTTGAGCCGGTGAGGCAGAGGCTGCAGTGACTCCAGATTATGCCACTGTACTCCAGCCTGGGCAACAGACCAAGACTCTGTCTCAAAAAAAATTAATTTTAAAAAAGCAAAACAAATTCAGAAGTTAATTGGATGATTAGATTAACATGAGATGCACAGTGTGGCCCTGTTTTCATGTGTTTCTGTTCATCAGAGCAGCCCCTTTATTCAGTGATTGGCTTTATAATAAGTAAATGTTAAATATATATGTTTAATAAAATATATATCAACAAAGTATGTTTATTGATATATAAATAAAAATAATATGCAAGAGATTTCATTTGAAAACAGGCACAATGGAGGATAGGAATTTCAGAGCATGAAACGAAGGAAAAGATTGATAGATTGGCATACCTAAAATATGTTTCATTCATCAAAATACTCCATGGGCCAAATTTAAAGGTAAATACCAAGTGGGGATTGAATTGTAAAACAAATATAAAACAAGAGAGTATGGTGTTAATACATAAATAGGAAGGCAGACAATTCAGCAAAGAAGAAGTGCTCATGAAAGCACTCCAAACCACACAGGAAATCTTTTAAATGTAAGCTAGAACAAGGTGGTTACACTGTCCACCTGACAATTTGACAGAAATTAAAAATGAAAATGACAAGCCTGAAGAGGCCTCAGGAGATGGATGTTCACATCTGCTGCCGATAAATGGGGAAGTTGGGGGCAGCCTTTTTGAAAAGCAGTCTGATCATGTGAATCAGAAGTCTAACAACATTCAGAGTTGTTGACATAGTAATCCCGCTTCTTCATATCCTAAGAAAATAAAGATATAGGCAAAAAATATTTTACAGTCTTTAAAAATGATTTATTAAACTCTTAGGTTCAGGGGTACATGTGCAGGTTTGTTCTATAGGTAAATTGCATGTCACGGTGGTTGCTGTACAGATTATTTCATCACCAAGGTAATAAGCATAGCACCAAATAGGTAGGTTTTTGATCCTCACCCACTACCCACCCTCCACCCACTCTCCACATTCCAGTAGGCCCTGGTGTCTATGGTTCCCTTCTTTATGTTCATGTGAACTAACGTTTAGTACCCCTTTACAAGTGAGAACATGCATTTGGTTTTCTCTTCCTGTGTTAGTTTGCTTAGTTAACGGCCTCCAGCTCCATCTATGTTGCTGCAAAGGCTATGATCCCATTCTTTTTTATGGCTGCACAGTATTCCATGGTGTATATGTACCACATTTTCTTTATCTAGTCTACTGTTGATGGGCATTTAAATTGATTCCATGTCTTTGCTGTTGGGAATAGTGCTGTGATAAACATACACGTGCATGCGTCTTTATGGTAGAACAATATATATTCCTTTGGGTATATAGTCAGTAATGGGATTGCTGAGTTGAGTGGCAGTTCTGTTTTAAGTTCTTTGAGAAATTGCCAAACTGCTTTCCACAATGGCTGAGCTAATTACATTCCCGCCAGTAGTGTATAAGTATTCCCTTTTCTCTGCAGCCTCACCAGCATGTTATTTTTTGACTTTTTAGTAATTGCTATTCTGATTGGTATGAGATGATATCTCATTGTGGTTTTGATTTGCATTTCTCTAATGATTAGTGATATTGAGCAAAAACTGATGTTTTAGAAAAATTTTAAATAATATGGAAAAATACTCTGTTAGCTGAACAAGCAGAATATAAAATACGTATACAGTATGAACAACACAAATGGAGAAAACACGAAATGAAGATACTCTAATATATAAATGGCTGCTATTTTGGGGTGGTGGAGCAATGAAAAGACCATTATTTCCTTTATAGTTTTCCTGTAATAAACACAATTGTTTTACCAGAATTTAAAGTGATTTTTTAAAAAGTTTACAAGTTTTTATAAACAATAAGCAACTATAGGCATAGAAATCCAATTTCCAGTTTTATTCTAAGTGTGTATGAGCTATGAGGAACTAGGTTTTGAGGAGCAATTCAAGGTCTTCCCTGTGAATAAAGTCGATGGGTTTTAGTGTGTGTCATTTTTGGTATTTAATTGCTCAGAATTCTTTTGCCGGTTTTCTGACTTCAGCCATACTCTGAACAACTGAGTTTAATAGTAACATTGACTACTTGCTACGTAAGGTTTTATTCGTGGATTAAAAATAATAGAATAAAATGAAAAGCTTTATAGAGACAACCAGGCCTCTTTCCCTTTCAGGGCCTGTCCTTGATAGTGGTCGGGAAGCGAAGTCCCGGAGAAGAACGTGCCTGCCGGCGCCCTGCCCGAGCAGCAGTAACATCAGCCTGTGGAACATCCTGAGGAACAACATCGGGAAGGACCTGTCCAAGGTGGCCATGCCGGTGGAGCTGAACGAGCCCCTGAACACGCTGCAGAGGCTCTGCGAGGAGCTGGAGTACAGCGAGCTCCTGGACAAGGCCGCGCAGATTCCCAGCCCCCTGGAAAGGATGGTGAGGAGTCAGCCTTCCCTTGCCACTGTCCAGCCTCGGTCCCCAAGCCACGAGGCCATTCACGGGGCCCATCAGAGAGACAGCCCCTGTTCCCTCCGGTTTCATTTTGATTGTTCCGTAAACAGGTTCATTACTCAGAGCTGTCTGGCTTCCTCCGCCTGGCTGTTTCCAGTCACCTTGTGAGGATTTGGAGACGGGGTTGGGGTGCTTCTCCGTGGCACTTGGTGCCTGGGGTAGTTCTGTTCTGTGGGTTTGTGCTTCCTCTTTCTCCAGAAGCCTTCTGGCTGATTGTTCCGATGTGCCCGGCTGGAAAACATGTCTTTAGGGCTGTCTGCATGTTTATTTTTACTTCCCTGGGTGGACAGAATTTAATTTCTCGAGCTGTTTTTCTCATCCAGGGTAAGTTTCCCCTGAGAATGTTTGTGTTTATTTCTGGAATTGTCCCATCAGCTCCTAGGTTTTTGGAAAATAAAGTTCACAAGAGGAGGTTTTCACATCAGAAATATTCTTTTTTTCTCTCTCCCTCTTATTTTATAGAGTACTTAAAAAAAATCGTAGAAAAGCCTTCTCTTCCCTACTGGGCATCAGCTCCAGTCACAGCATGCTGGCTTTTAAAAGGGCTTCCAAGTATTTCTCATCTTTCCCCCATCTCATGGGTAGGGAGATTGGGAAGGGAGTACCCAAAGGGCAAGACTCTGGGCAGATCAGCCCTCTCTATGACTGTGACTAACTTTGTTCTTGAACGTGGGTGTCTGTACCGCTTTTTGCTTCCTTATATTCAGTGACCTTAGAGCAGTAAGGTCATTGTCTCTATGGGATGCTGGGACAGCAGTGTCCCCCAGATGCAGAGTCTCTCTCCTGGGCATTTGCCAATTGGCTACATTGGAATTGGAGTGCCCCCTCGGCTTCACAGACCTAGCCCTGCCGACACTCCCCATTGATAGAGGATGCTATTATTTTCTACATTCTAAGCATTCTGCAGTTCTAGCGCTCATTAAAACATCATTACTTCAATGATTTGAAGATTAAGGGGGAATCTTAACTGCTGTCTGAGAGGGATAGCCCATAGTCATTCTGCCCAGTCTCCAGGGCCTCCCCATCAAAGAGACTTTCTCTTTTTTTGAGTCAGGGTCTTTGTCACCCAGGCTGGAGTGCAGCGGTGCAGTCCTACCTCACTGCAACCTCGAACTCCTAGACTCAAGCAACCCTCCTGCCCTGGCCTCCCAAAATGCTGGGATTACAGGCATGAGTCACTGTACCTGGCCCAAGAGACTTTCTTTCTTGTTACTGATAATCAGGGTAGGAGACAAAAACAAGCTGTATTTTTTAAACTCTTCTTTGTTACTTGTCCCCAGATAATTTTTGCTGAATAAAAGGAAGGCAAATCTTCTAGAAATAGCTTCTAAGCAAGTGTTAAAAGTCAGCATTTGTGGACAGCTCTTTTCTTTAAAGGAAATGATTGGCTTTGAGGATGAAAGTTTCTTAAAGATGTTTCATGCTGTGGCAATTTAGAGACCCTTAGGATATTCAGCTGATTGATCAGTGTAATTGACCTTGAGCAGAGGTTTGAGGAGAGGCTTCTCATCCCCAACATAACCACTAAGCAGGAGTCTTATCTCATGGGTTTTGTTTACTGTCCTGCACGTCTGCTTATGCCCCTGCCTGGACTCTCCCTCATGCCACCAACCCACAGGGAGAGTGCTTCCTTCTGCCTCCCCTTCGCTCTGTCTTCCCCACAACATCATGAATGGCACTAGGTTCTTTCATCGGTTGTGTTCTATTTTACATGGTGAAGGTGATTAAGGGTTGATTCAGCATTCCATACACAGTGTGGCTGTACTGTTTCACAGGTCACCAATGTGGAGAAGCAGGAAGAGGAACAGACACCCAGGTTTCAAGAACACAGGCAGTCACAAGTAGGACTGACTTGAGTGCAGTTGATTTTTTCTTCTTCTTTTTTTTTTTTTTTTTTCTTTGAGGCAGAGTCTCTCTCTGTCGCCCAGGCTGGAGTGCAGTGGCACAATCTCGGCTCACTGCAACCTCCACCTCCCAGATTCAAGTGATTCTCCTACTTCAGCCTCCTGAGTAGCTGGGATTACAGGCGTGCGCCACCACACCCGGCTAATTTTTGTATTTTTAGTAGAGATGGGGTTTCACCATGTTGATCAGGCTGGTCTCGAACTCCTGACCTCGTGATCTGCCCACCTCGGCCTCCCAAAGTGCTGAGATTACAGGTGTGAGCTACCGTGCCTGGCCCTTCTTTTTTTTTTTTTTTTTTTGAGACAGGGTCTTGCTCTGTCACCCAGGCTGGAATGCAGTGGTGCAATCACGGCTCATTGCAGCCTCGACCTCCTGGGCTCAATCAGTCCTCCCACTTCTGCCTCCCAAGCAGCTGGGACCACAAGCATGTGCCACCACACCCAGCTATGTCTTTTGTATTTTTTTTGTAGAGAAGAGGTTTCGCCATGTTGTCCAGGCTGGTCTTGAACTCTTGGGCTCAAGCAGATCCACCTGCCTCGGTCTCCCAAAGTGCTGGGATTACAGGCGTGAGCCACTGCACCCAGCCGAGTATAGCTGATTTTTATAAGCCATCCAGCTGCTCTAGAGAATTCTATAGCATGAGGTGGTGAGGTGGTCCCTATTACAGGCAACATCAAAAATTTAGCAGAAGGTTATGTGACTAGTGGGCATTTATGAAAGGCACTCAGCTCTTCTTCAGTATAAGAAACTGCACGAAATGTGCTGGGAAGAAGAAATCTTGAGATTGTTACTACCTGACATTAGAAAGGAAAATTGGACATCCCTGCTTAGGCTTAACTGTTGTTACATACATGGAAGAAAAGACAAAGAAGGTAATGTGCCTCCCTGATGCCCTGACGGGGAATTGCTAAAGACGCCAAGACCTCACAGTAAGGGCTGCCCAGAGAGTTTGTTCACTTCGTGTTCACGTAAAGTTTTTCTTCCTTCCTCTCTTTATTTTAATTTTTTTTTTGGATGTTTCACTTTTCCTCCCAAAAAAGCAGAACTTTAAAGTCACTATATCCTGTGGCTTGTTTCCCAGGCTTAGGAAATGACTCACAGATTTTCTTTGGTCAAAATGAATGTTTTGGTTTCTATAATACCACATTTTGAATGGTTAAATTTATGATGCTGATTCCTGAGTTTTGGAGGGATTTTTTAACACTCCTTTTTTAATACTCTTTCCCCACTCCACCCCTGAAGGCTTAGCACCATATTAGGATCCTCAGATACTGTCAGGCTTAAAAGTACTGGACTCAGCTTAACAGTTTCCAGAAACAGTGTAGTCCAGTTTAGAAATGTCATCGTCTTTATAGCATCTCCCAACTTTTAGGCATCAAGATAAATGGACAGCTTTAAAACATTGGGTTAATTTGTTTTGGGGCCCAGATAAACATTATTTAAACCTACAATTTTAAACCTATGTTGTTTAAAAACAACCAAAGACAAATCTTTGGCTTTCTGAAAGAAAATCATAGAGGTTTTATTTTGTTTAGTTCTTTGTGAACAATAAAGCTCTTGGTGACACGGAAATGACAAAGTTCTTTTCTCTTGTCCTTAGGTATATGTGGCAGCCTTTGCCATATCAGCGTATGCATCTAGCTACTACCGAGCTGGAAGCAAGCCATTTAATCCGGTTCTTGGAGAAACATATGAATGTATTCGGGAGGACAAGGGCTTCCAGTTTTTTTCAGAACAGGTAGATGTACACCATTTTTTGCTTGTTGGGAGGGGTTGCTTATGTCTCCCATTAAATGTGCTTCTGAAATATTTATCTTCCACCTTTCACTGGCTTCAAAGCAGCCGAGATAATTACAGTGCTTTTCAACATAAAGGGAGGGATCGATTTCCCTTCCACTGAAGCCAAGCCACCACCCAGGGGCATAAAGTTACCACCCGTAATTCTGCACACTTGCTTGGCTACATGCATTGCCGGTGTCCTTTCTCTTTAAAATCATTAGCACAAGGAATTTTGAAAGGATGAATGTTGGCCCAAACTTCAATTTAGAGGTTTAACATTGCTCCCTAACACACTGACATCATTATTCCAGAGCATGAATGCCCCCAGCAGAGTGGGTAGCGCCAGATAAATGCGTTATTCTCAATTTTGATTTGAGAGGAATCATTCATTCATGTATTTATTCATTCACATCAATAAATTATTTCTAGAACGTATACCATGTGCCTGCCACTGTTCCAGGTGCTAGGATATTGCAGTGGGGTGGGGGGTGAGGGGTCCGGACAGGAGTCCCTGCCCTCATCTGATGGATGCACAACCTTGTACTCATGCAGCCTAAGGTTCCATCACACTCTTGCCATAGAAGTAGCATAGAGTAATACTCAGGCTTCAGACAGCCCAGGATCCGTCCTACCTCAGTTCTACCTCTTACTAGCATGATAACCCAAGGCAAGTTACATAGCTTCTCTGTGCTTTAGTTTGCTCTTGAGAGTGGAGAGGATGACAGTTATATGTACCTCACGTGGTTTTGTGATGATTCAATGAGGCACTGTCTGCAAAGCACTTGGAGCAGCATCTGAGACATGAAGATACATGTTATATGAGTGTTTGCTGTCATTATTGATGCATGCCAGCAGAGTTTATAATGGTGGAGTGTTGGGAACATCTAAAATGCTTGTCAACAGGGGATTATTTACCTAAAATAGAGTGTATACATATTGAAATTTTAAAAAAAACCTCTAAGATATGCAGAAAGAAATTTTATTAAAATTATAACAAATTTAAAAAATAAAATACACCCTCTCCCACCTTGTTAAGGTAGCAATCAAACACGTCCACTCTCTGTATATCCCTAAATCCCTAGGGACATTAGACATCATTGCTTCTGTACATTTCTCACCCCCTAGTTCTTAGAGAACTGAGGAGAAGGGGGGTGGATTGCTAAAATATTCTTTTATCTTGCTGCTCTCTTTATCAATGGATTTGCACTACAGGGAGAGGAGGGGAAGCGTGGGTTGGCTGAGAGACTTATGATGATAGTGCTTATCTTAACTGTAAATGATAAGGAGTGTTCTCTGGAACTCAAAGGAAAGTGAATATACAGTAACCCAAAGCACACTGTCAGTAGCTTGCCAGTTAGAAGCTAAAACAAGAAATTAAACATGGACTAACACTGGGGAAGTAGGGAGTTAAATCAGTAGTTAAAGGGGATAAGATAATCTGTGTGATTCAGAATTCATCTGGGTTATTTAAATACTGAACCTAAAATAGAATGAGAATAAATGAAAATATAATTTGGTTTCCATGGTATCATATGCACTCTTGTGAAAAAATAAAGGCCAAAAATAGCCTCAAACTACAGCAGACAATCAGGACAGGATGAATAGCTATAAGAAAAGAATAGTAACATGAGCTGTGTAAAGTTGAGCTTCAGTCCTCTGAGCCCTGGTGGGACAGGGCCAAATTCAAGATCTGTTTGTGTATTTCCCATGGTGGCACAGTGGGGGAGAAATCAGAGCTCCTGGGCACATGTGCACAAAGACAGAAAGAGGGTTACATAACTCAGCATTTAGTTCCATGAAATAAGCAAGAAAGAGAACTGGTTATTGTTAGTAGTTTAGAATGTGCTGGGTGTAGGATGTACAGACCTGCCTGCTTCAAATCTTAACTCCACAATTTGCTCCATGTGTGACCTTATGTAAGTTCCTTCAACTTTCTGAGCCTTCCTTTTTAAAAAAAAAAAAATCTGTAAATTAGGAATGATAATGTTTGACTAATAGGTTGTAGTAAGGCTTAAACAAAATAATACACTGATGGAAATATTCAGTAAATGGCTATTGCTCTTATATTTAGTGGGAACTTCTACGATGCCTTTTTTTTTTTTTTCTTTTTTTTTTTTTTTCAGACAGAGTCTCACTTTGTCGCCCAGGCTGGAGGGCAGTGGCACAATCTCGGCTTACTGCAACCTCTGCCTCCCAGTTCAAGTGATCCTCGCACCTCAGCCTCCCGAGTAGCTGGGACTACAGGCTTGTGCCACCATGCCCAGCTAAGTTTTGTATTTTTAATAGAGATGGCATTTCACCATATTGGCCGGGCTGGTCGCAAACTGACCTCATGGGATCCGCCCGCCTTGGCCTCCCAAAGTGCTGGGATTACAGGCATGAACCACCACGCCTGGCCTACAATGCCTTTTAATATAAAGTGTTAAGAATAGTAAGAGTTTGGAAGGCTGAGGTAGGTGAATCACTTGAGGTCAGGAGTTCGAGACAAGCCTGGCTAACATGGTGAAACCCCATCTCTACTAAGAATACAAAAAATTAGCCAGGTGTGGTGTCACATGCCTATAATCCCAGTTACTCAGGAGGCTGAGGCAGGAGAATCACTTGAACCTGGGAGGTGGAGGATGCGGTGAGCCGAGATCGCACCACTGCACTCCAGCCTGGGCAACAGAGCAAGACTCCATTTCAAAAAAAAAGGGAAAAGAATAGTAAGAGGAGTGTTGACAAGGCAGAGAGGAGGCTGAGGAATGACTTGATGAAAGAAAACTAGAAAGGCATATATCTATAATATATACTTTCTTATGTTCAAATAAGATATGCTATATCTCCACTTCTAGTACAAGTAGTTTGAAGGGGACTTGATGTCGCTGGTGAGTCTCTGACAGAAAATGGCTGTCAGGCAGCCAGGAGTTCTCACAGCTGGCTTCACCATGGTCATACCACCAGTCCTGATCATCATGGAGCTGCTTCATCTGTCTGGAATTTAGCCTGATGGCTGCAGATAGTTGGTTATTTTAATATACCTAAGAATGGATGAGTCTCTCAGGGATAAATTCACACTAAGCTTACAAGAGACTGATGTATATAAACTAGAATGCTACTAAATGCATTTACTGTGAAAAATAGACCTGCTATGGGGATCAGAAAGCATTGTCCAGTGTGACTAGGTATGATTTTCCCATAGGCAGATTACTTGGGAAGCCAATGAGAATCCTAAGTGAGCATACAGTGTGAAGATGCAGCTATGTGATTCAGTACACCAGGCAGTCCTCTGCCCTAGAAGTGGGAAGGGTGTAGGGCCAGGGCCTCCCTTTCCCTGGCCAGCAGGAGCCTATCAGCTCAGTACCCCTCTTTCCCTCTCCCAATGCTGTCTATTCTAATTTAACACATCTGAAGAGAGTGCCAGAGCATTTATTCTGTTTCCTGCTGGTACCTGGTATGGCTCTTTCTGCCTCCAGCCCAGGAGACAGTCTACCTTGATGGAGACAGCATGACTCCGCCCTTGTCCATTATGTGTCATTGATAAGCTCTCATGGCTTAGAGGTTTGTTTTCTTGTGCCTCTCTACAATGAGTACAGGTTTCTGGATGACTAGTATAATAAACTGGGCAAGCCCCCCGAATTAATATTTTTGGGTGGAATTTTTTTCTAAGGAGGATAATGATGGAAATTGTATCTCCAAGCTTAAGGACCTGGCAAGAAACAGCTTGGCTTTTCTTCTGAGTTTTCTAGACAACAGTCTGAGTTGGAAAGTGATGGCTGCCTCTCTTCCAAGCCCCTTGATTTTGTTGTCTTGTGGATTTGCTGGGCATGTGGATGTTCGAGGTGGTGAGCAGCCAGGCAAGTGGAAGTCATTGCTGCTTGAGAGTTCGACTCTGTCGAAGCTTGCCTCTCTGTATTGTTTCTCGTCTAAAAGACCCAAAACCACAACATCAAAATGATTCATGTGGTCAGAAATCAGAGAAAGCATTTCTTGTTAAAAATTTTTCTTAGAACAAGTATTAGATTTGTAGAGTGCTCCGTGCATTCATGATCTTACTTGATCTCCAAAACGGCGCTCTGTGGAAGGTGAGGCAGGGATCAGTTACAGGCGAGAAAACCAAGGCCTAGAGGATTTGAGCTTCCCGGTGCCCCTCAGCAAATGCTAGAACCCAGCCCCTCTGTTTCCATCCCTGCCTCCTTTTCCCCTTACTCTCTGTGGGGTCTCTTGTGTGGACTCAGTGACTATGCTCAGAGCTACTGGAGTACAGTATACACAAAGCAGCCCTTTGTGTATGCTGTTCGTTCTCACCATGCAAAATCTCTCCAGACTCACATAGGACTTTGTTCTCCACTCCTGTGGTAGGCAGGGGTGTGGCCTTTGTGAAAGAGGACCGATCAGGAGTGAGTCATAGACATTCCTGTCCTAGGTTCTGACCCTCTGGCTCTTCCACCTTCTCAGAGGTTTCCTTTGTGCCAAAAAATCGGTTTCAACCTTGGCTTTCTACATAAACTCACAAAAGGAAGAATTCAGAGAGGAAGGACTTCCCTTCTTTCCTTACTGTTCAGGGACTAAGTATCCTCTGGCAGGTGATTCCCTGCTTGCTGCGTCCTCCTGCTGCCTGGCAGAGCTAACACACTGGTTTTGAGCTGCATCAAGGGAATAGATGGGTCAGAAAACTTATTTCAGTTGGCTATGTTCCTTTTTTCATACCTTTGGGAAAGGTTTGGTGTTGAAAGGATATGCAATTAAGCTACAGTCTAAAAGTAGCTTTTCCTAATTACATGAAACTTTAGTTGTCCAGATCATTGTTCATTTTAACCATTTACCCACCCACCTGCATACCCTTGACAGTGTCAGAAAAGCTGAGTGCAGTTATTAAAAGTTACTAAAATGTAAGAGATTGAAATGAAGATCTTTTCTTTTGCTCTACAGGCTCAGCCTTTCTTCCTTTTCTGTTATTTATTGGAGGACTCTGAGTCCATACATTCTTGGACAGGCTTATACTTGCCACACCCATCACTTCCTCCTTGCACACTCATGTCACCTCTGCATAGTCCTTGTATCTACTAGTTAGCAGAGTTATTTATTACTGATTAAATAAGTAAAGATACTGTCAAAGGGTAAATTCTTAAAGACACTCAAAGGGTAAATTCAAGCCGTTCAAATAAAACCAGCAATAAATCAAATATGAGACAACTAAACCATTGCTTTGTGGTTTTCTCCATTTCTAGGTCAAGTCAGCACTTAATGTGTTTTTGTTTTTTAATTTTTTGCAAGAGGCCATGTGTTTATGAGATAAGTGATTCACTCTGAACATGGGAGAAGGGAAAATAATTGGCATCTGCATTCTCCCCAAAATCAGGCCAGAATTCTTGGCATCATCCTTAATAGCTCTTTCTCTCATCATTCACATCCTCTCATCAGCAAATCCTGGGGTCTCCCTTCAGAAGCCTTCCTTCTACAGCCAGCCATTTTCACTTTCTCTCCCATGTGATGCTGGTCACCTAGCTCAGGCCACTAAAATCAATGACTGGGATTATTGCAGTAGGACTCACTACTGGTCTCCTGTTTCCAGAGCCAGTTAATTCCTTATCCAGCAGCCCCAGTGACTGCTTAAAACAGAAGCAGCAGCTGCTCTAAATCCTCCACCAACTTCCCAAGTCACTTGGAATAAAATCCAAAGTCCTGGCCATGGTCCACAACGCCCTCGAAAATCTCACCCTCAGACACTTCTCCTACTTACCCCACCTCCTCATTTAGCTCTGCCAGACTGGCCTTGCTTCTTCTGCTTCATACCAAGCATTTTCCAGCCATTGGCCTTTGCTGTGTCCCCTGCCTGGGACGTGCTTCTCTCAGATATCTGCATGGTTAACTTCCGAACTTCTCTCAGCCCCACAGGTTTCCATTATTAGAGTCCTGCCCCACCACCCTGTCTGACCAGCACTCCTACTCACTGTCCCCACATCCTCATGCCCTGCTTTATTTTCCTTAACACAATTTCTACTGACAAATTATGTGCTTCTTATGTGTCGTTTGTCTTACCCACTTCCATACTAAAATATAAATTCCATCAGGGTAAGAATTTTTACCCTTGGTGACTAGGACGGTGCCTGACACATCACAGGCAATCAATAAGTACTTGATGAGTGACCTGGAAAGAATGGCCACTTGGTCCCCTCTCTGGATGACTTCTTCACCTGGCACTTGCCCTCTTTTTCGTTATTGCCCTGTATTGCTGCAGGGAAATCAGGACCTAGGAGGACTGGATAGTTATGCCTTGGAGCAGTTGCAGGGGAGAACTGATGTACTGAAGGGCTACTTTTCTAAATCTGAAAAATAAAAACTTACAAAGTACAAAAATACTGAAAATACCTCCTTTTCCTATCTGCTTCTCCCCTGACCTCTTATATAAAGTGCATTCAAAGCATAAATTAAAAATGATTAGGTCAAGGTAAAGAAAGGCCTCAGATATATAAATAAATTATAAATTACCAGAATTCTTAACTGCCAGGGGAACTGTATTGGGGCTTGTAGAAAGAAAGATAGATACATGTGTTACCATATAAATACTTGCGTAATAAAAACCATGTGTACTAATTTCTTGAATGCTTGGGCATCCTTACCAATCAAGAATTGCTCTTCTTTGATTGGAGAGGACGTGATAGGGAAGAATGCTTAAAAAAAAAGTCTAAATTGGGTTTATTCAACAGGCTAACAGACAGCATCTCCTTCCAGGGCTGGGTCAATTCAGACAAATGCATTTACTGCCCTTTTTGCCTGAATTAAAATGTAAGGAGAATACAGACTCAACCAAAATCCTGCAATAACAAAGACAGGTTAGATTCTGCTCATTATTCTCTACTCTAATAGATTTTAGAAAGATTGCCATCAACAAAGATTAAGTGATTAACTGTGAATTACCTTTTTCCATGGGCATTGAAGTTAATCAAAGCCTTTGTATAATTTTTTCAAGTTGGCCAGCATCCGCCACCACCTTTGATGCTAAGATTCGAAGAAGACATTAACAGCAGATGTTAGAATCAGAGCATTTTGAAGCCAAGAGGGATCCTCACACCTCATTTTACAAAGAAATATGCGAGACTGAGGTTGGAAAGGTCAAATTCAAAAGTTTTTTTTCTCTAAATGTCCATGAGAAGGAACCTTAATGATGTGTCCTGGCTTTGGGGAGGGACACGAGCCCTGGATCTGGAAGAGGATGACATAGGTTTGGAGTGCTACCTTTATCACTCATTAATGTTGTGGCATTGGGGAAGCTCTTTGCTGGCCAGAACCCCTATTTCCTAATTTATAAAATCAGGCTCACCAAGATACAAGGCTGCCCTAAGAACTAAGTGAAAATACACTCATTTTAGAAATCTATATTTTGATTTTTTAAATGAGTGTATTTTCACTTAGTCTCTTTTAAATGAGTATATTTTCACTTAGTCTCTGCCTAATCCACATCAGTGTATGATCCTGGACAGTTTGTATGTGTTCTTTTTTTAGTTGGCCGAGTCAGTGGAATCAGCCTTATTTCACAGATGAGGTGACAGAGGCTGAAGGGACTGAAAAGCTGTGAAGGTCATACAGCCAGCAGATGATGTTGCAGTCAGGGCCCAGGTCCATGGAACAACAAAAACCTTTCCCTCGTTCCCGGACACTAGTGCAGCACATGGCAGATGCTCCAGAAATAGGAGGAAATATACAAAATAATAAGCTATCAATGTAAATCTCCCCAGAAAGCTTTGTAAAACTCTTAAAAGCAATGTGGGCCAAATAAACCATTCCCAAAGGCCTGTGTAAGCCATAAAGAAATAAGCAAAGTTACTGATATTTGAAGGTTGAGACTTATTCAGAAAATGTGTTGAACCCATCTAAACATAATCTGCTAAACATTCATTCATTATCTAACACAATAGTTTAAAAAAATCAAGGTTGGGTTTTTATGAGATGTGTGTATACTGTAGGGGTTCTCTTGTAATTCATATGGATGTATATTTATCCCTGTTTTATGGGGTTTAAAATTATTACAGAAGAGGCGTATGGTTTTTATATACTGTGTTTACATTCGGCCATACCTGTAAAGATGCCAAATTCTTCATCAAAGCTATAGTGCTCCTCTCCCACATTGCTACATTGTTTTTGTGGGATGAATATAATCTACTTCATAATAATCCACTTTAAAATATGTTTACATTATGGGGGAGAGGAACATTTCATAGCTTTCCTTCCATTTCATAGTGGGTCATGCCAGCTGGGGTGGAGAAGTGGGGAGTGGGGATTGTCTTGAGCTGATTAATGGTTATTATTATTATAGATAGTGTCTCACTATGTTGCCCAGGCTGGTCTTGAACTCCTGGATCCTGGGCTCAAGGGATCCTTCTGCCTCAGCCTCCCAAGTAGCTGGAATTACAGGGCTATGCCACTGCACCTTGATTTTGTTTTATATGATCCCATGGTTTCAAAGCTAGCTCCGTTGTTTTCATCGAAAGACAGCTAGTGAAGAAAAGGAGAAGAATGTAGCATTTTTTAATATAAGGTATCTCCAAGTGGTAGGATTTTTTTAAAAAAGATAACTGGATATGGTGGCTCACACCTGTAATCCCAGCACTTTGGGAGGCTGAGGTGGGAAGATCACTTGAGGCCAGGAGTTCCGGACCAGTCTGGGCAACATAGCATGACCCCATCCCTACAAAAAGTGAAAAAATTAGCCGGGCGTGGTGGCACACACCTTTAGTCCCAGCAACTTGAGAGGCTGAGACAGGAGGATCACTTGAGCCCTGGAGGTCAAGGCTGTAGTGGGCTGTGATTGTGCCACTGCACTCCAGCCTGGGTGGCAGAGGGAGACCCTGTCTCAAAAAAAGAAAAAAGACAACATCAAAGGAAATCAGAGAGTTACATTATGGGATTAGGTTTCTAAGTCAGTGCTTGAAGTGAAAGTTGCCCTTGAAAATCCCACAGGCACAGAAGGGCTCACGTTCTTAGGAGGCACATGGGAACTAAGACAAACCAAAGAGCAGCAGATTTGAGTCTCCTGCTTTGTATTGCAGCTGGCGTTGGTGTTTATTGAGGAATCTGAAAGATGCCTACATGATTTACGTCTTTGTCTCTACCTTTCTTTGGCCCACACTGGTACGGCTGTAATCCCATGAGTCACATCTGGGTGTGGCGTGTGTGACCACATCCTCCCAGCCGTGCAGTCCTCCTGCTGGAGGCCTGGCATACAGAAGTAGTTTTCAAACCATGTTCCTCAGCTGAGGGTCCCAAGGAAGGTGAACAGCTGTGGATTTGTCACCCACTGCCCTCCCTTCCTCCCCACCTGTTTATCTCAAGCAAGGGCTCAGTATTCTGGGTTCTTGATAAGACGGGTCTGAAAACTGTACAGCTGCTTAAAACATTTTTTTTCTTCTTTTTGCAAAGTTTGAAAACCAGTGAGGTAAACCAAAACTGCTGGGACTTACCGCTACCTCTTCCCTGACTATTGGTGTGGCTTGGGAAATGTTACTTTATCTTTCTGGTTTCAGTCTCTTCGTTTATAAGGTGCAGGCTTTGAGCTAGATACTCTCAATGTAAGACACCTCTGTTAAGAATCAGCTACATCAGAGAACTTTCTGGAAACACCCTTGGCAGCATTACTGTGGTTTCACCAGTGCTGAATTAGAATGACAGCATATACACCTCTCAACGTTCCCTGAGTGTGACTGAGATGAGGAAATAGAGGGAGGAGCCATTTTCTCTTCAGCCTCTTCACTGCTGAATAAAATGAGTAATGACCCCTTGCCAAAGGGCACTCTCTGCTCCAGGGGATTCTCTTTTCTGGAATGAGATTACTTATTTGCTTAAGATAGTTTTATTAGACCAAAAATAAATAAAATTTCTTAACAGTTGACTAACATTTCCTCAACAATTGTGTTTACCTTTTTTTTTTTTAATAGAAACACTCTTTTTTAAAAAAATTACCTTGCATTGGTCTTCTTGTAGGTGATTTGAAAAGAGGCTGGACTTTATGATGCAGAGTTTTCAAGAGTTAAATTGGCTGAGCCCGAGGAAGAACATTTTGGGTTGCATTTAAAATACTTGTTATTTGATATCTTAATTAAAACATCTGCAGCTACTTTCAGAACAGCTAATAAGAGATGTTGACATTGGTAGCCAATGTCAGATTATATGTTATGGATGAGCAGTCCTCACATGTCTCCGTTTTTATTTTTATGTCTTTCAAAATGCGCCTCTATCCTCATCACTCGCCACCTGGCCGCCCTCCCACGGAGGCTTCTGGAGGCTTCCGTTCAAGGGCCTTCCCCTCAGCCTTGACCAATCTGAGCAAGTGGGAGCTGACTGTATCAGGAGCGCCCTCTTGAGGACACACTTGATGAGGGAAACTAAAGAAGTTTTTCCTTCAGTTCAGCATTGCACGCTGTTACATCTCAGTGCAGGGGAGAAAGAATGGATTTCATGAGACACAAAAGTTCATTCATTTTTTGTTTTTCTGTCCTTTGTTTCCATCAGGTCAGCCACCATCCGCCTATCTCTGCGTGTCATGCTGAGTCTAGAAATTTTGTTTTCTGGCAAGGTAATGTGCTAATACATTTTACTTCCATCATATTGTGTAATATGTTATCTATTTATTTTATCCAAGAATTGCTGTCAATTCTTACTGAGATCAAAAGTGGTCCTTGGATTTGGGCCTGGTTGGAAGGATCTGCGCCACCTGTTCTTGCCTCTCATCTCTCACTTAGTTTATCTGAGCCACCTCCATTTATTTCTGTAACTTTATCTTATGTAAAAATCATTTGAAATGCCTCACATATTTCAAGAGACATTAAATATTTACAGTTGTTTATCAGAGTGTAGACAGCAGAGGGGTTTTCAGCTTTTGTCAAACTTAAATTTTATTTCTGAAGTCGTGTTTTACATTGCTTACTTCTTTTCATTTTTGAGATGATTGTTCCTAAAATTTTGTTCAGTTTATATTTTGAGTTGGGGTTGGGTGGGTAAATCTTCTAAAGAATAAATAAGGCTATAGATATTTCCTAGATGGATTAATTTTGTTAATCTCTCAATTTATTAAAAAAAAGTGTACTGTAGAAGGAACATATAAGCATCCTAGGTTTTTGGACAGTGAGCACATATACATTTTAAAAATATTTTTCTCTGCTACTAGTGATATCACACGTTACCTTTACACACACAGGCACACACACACACGCAGTCTATTAAACTTTAAAAGTACGAAACAGTATACTGTAACCCCCTTCCCCAGCCACTCAGTTTCTCTCTTTGGAGGCAATCAGTATTTCCAGTTTAAAGTGACAAGTACCATGGTTTTCTTTCTTCACCTTTGCTATTAAAGTTTAAAATTAAAACTGCTCTCTCACCAAAACCCTCTGGAAATATTCTCATAAGGTTCCTAGCCTCCTAATTGGTAAATCTCACTCATGCTATAAGCACCTCTTCTTTGTTTTTTCAAAAGTTGGATTTTTTTTTTTTTTTTTTGAAATGGAGTCTCAGTCTGTTGCTAGGCTGGAGTGCAGTGGTGCGATCTCGGCTCACTGCAACCTCCGTCTCCCGTGTTCAAGTGATTCTCCTGTCTCAGCCTCCCGAGTAGCTGGGACTACAGGCATGCGCCACTATGCCCAGCTAATTTTTGTATTTTTAGTAGAGATGGGGTTTCACCATGTTGGCCAGGATGGTCTTGATCTCTTGACCTTGTGATCCGCCTGCCTCGGCCTCCCAAAATGCTGGGATTACAGGCATGAGCCACTGCGCCCAGCCAAAAGTTGGATTTTTTTTTAATGCGAGGGGTCTTCTCAAAGTAGTTTTGTGTGCTCCTGTGTTACATCCTTCCCTTCTCAGCCTTAGCATCCTTCTCCTAGGCCATACTTCCCCATCAGCCTTTTCCTGAGCAATCTACCTATTTCCATGGGCCTAGGATTCCCAAATCTTGCTTTGTAACCCAGCCTGACATTTCTCTGCCTTTTATGTAGGTTGTGTAAACCATTTCCGTTTGTTGTGATTGTAGATGTAGCTGGGCTTAAATCTGCCCTCATGATGTTTCTTTTCTGTTTGTCACATCTGTTCTTTGTTCTCCGTTTCCTCTTTCTCTGCCTTTTGGATTGAATAATTTCTATCATTCTCTTTCATCTCCCCTGTTAGCTTATTAGCTATACTTACCTGTTTTGTTTCTTGTTAAAGTTGTTACTTTAGGATTTATGTTATATATTTTTAATATCATCAAATAATATTATGCCAGTTTCATATAGTGAGATTTACAGAAGTATACTTCCATTTTCCCTTCCCAACCTCTCTACTATTTTTTCATACGTCTTCTGTATATCATAAACCATGTAGTACATTGTTAATACTTTAGCTTTAAACAGCCATCTATCTTTTTTTTCTCTTGGTAACAATTTTATGAACATATAACTTATATACCATATCATTCACCCGTGTAAAGTGTACAATTCAATGGTTTTTATTCACAGAATTGTGAATTTAATAAACTGTGCAGTTATCAGCACAGTTAATTTTAGAACATTTTCATCACTCCAAAAAGAATCCTCTTTAGCAAATATTATCCACCCCCTCTGCCACCTGCCCCATTTCTCTCAATATTCCCCAGCCTATAAATGTGCCTGTTTGGGGCATTTTATATAAATAGGATTAAACAATATGAGGCCCACTGTGCTCGCTGGTCCCAGACCCACCTCTCTCACCTGGACCCCAGCCAGGGCTCCCCACTGTCCCCCCTGCTTCAACCCTGATTTCCCTGTGATCTGTAGATCCTCAGTGCAGCAGCCAGATGGGATCCTCTTGCTGTTCTTTTTCTATTTCCTGGCTTCTCTGTTGGTACCACCATTCATTGCAAGTTAGAGAAATCTGACATTGTTCATAAATTCGTTCTTTTTCAGTCTGTATCTAACTTGTCACCTAGTTGACCTAGTGCCTATTTCTTCTTCTTTAGTATTTCTGGGCTCACTCACTTCCCCGCGTCTGTTGTCTTGGTTCCCTTCATCCCGTTTGTTATCCCCTGGGCAATTGCAGTAGCCTCTTAACTTGTCGCCTTGCTTCTCCTCTCTCCTACTCCTGTTCCATTCTCCATATGGCTTCCAATTGCCTTTGCAAGGTCCATGTCTAATCACATCAGTGGCCTGATTATTTCCACTCAGTGCACACAAACCAGACTCTTAGCCAGGCTTGGAGAGCCCATTGTTTTTCGTTTTCAGTTTTGTTTTGTTTTTTTTGGCAGAATCTCACTCCATCACCCAGGCTGGAGTGCAATGGCATGATCTTGGCTCACTGCAACCTCCACCTCTTGGGTTCCTGCCTCAGCCTCCTGAGCAGCTGGGACTACAGGCACCCACCACAACGCCCAGCTAATTTTTGTATTTTTAATAGAGAAGGGGTTTCGCCATGTTGGCTGTGCTGGTCTCGAACTCCTGATCTCAAATGATCCACCCACCTCTGCCTCCCAAAGTGCTAGGATTACAGGCATGAGCCACTGCACCTGGTTTTGTTCTCAACCTTTCTACTCTTCTCTAGATAAGACAATCTGAGACCTATAGGACAGAACCACACTATTTGACTGTGTTTTCCTATACTTCCGTCCCCTCAGACAAGCTATTTATTTGGCCTTAAATTGCTTTTTCTCTGCCCAGTGAACTCCTGCTTATTCCTCAAAGCCCCATTTAGATGGCCCTTTCTGACAAGCCTCTTCTGATGCTTTCTCCAAGCATATTCGTCACTCCTTCTTCTCAGGTTTCATTTTACCTTATAACACACTCAGTTATAGCCTGGGCCTCTCTGTGTGCTTACTACTTGTTTTCACTTCTCGCATTCATGGAAAGGACTTTATCTTATCATTTTAGTTTCCCTGATTCTGCTCCAAGGGCCCATATGGGGTTGGTACTTATATTTTATGAAAAGTTATCCTATACAATAATTGACTTGATTGTGAAGAGGTTGTACTATATAGCGATTGATCATTTATCTAGCCTAGGAACTATTTCATCTACCTACCTCTCCTGCTAAAAATGTAATATTTGGTATTTCATTTCAGATGTGAGATGGAAAAACAAATTCTGGGGCAAATCCATGGAAATTGTTCCAATTGGCACAACCCATGTGACTCTGCCAGTGTAAGTTCTTCTTCTGTGGTTAAGGAGCTTTATGGAATTTAGGGCCAAGATTTTGCTTTGGGGACAGGATGCCCACCCCCGCCCCCGGCAGTTGCATTGAGTGTGTATTTTTTCTTTTAATCTGTCTGACAGTAGGTTTAAATGTTCCTCCTTTTGGCAAGCTCACTTTTAAAAAATGTTTCTCCCTCAAATGGAAATGCCTCCTGGAGACCAAAGTTCCCTGAATAGATGCTTATTAAAAACTCATTTCCACTTCCTAACAAGATTAAGAATGGTGGTTTTAGCTGGGCGCAGTGGCTCACATCTGTAATCCCAGCACTTTGGGAGGCCAAGGCGGGCAGATTGCTTAAGTCCAGGAGTTTGAGACCAGTATGGGCAACATGACAAGACCCTGTCTCTAGAAAAAATACAAAAATTAGCCAGGCATAGTGGTGGCACGCACCTGTAGTCCCAGCTACTCAGGAGGCTGAGGTGGGAGGATCATTTGAGCCTGGGGAGGTTGAGGCTACAGTGAGCTGTGATCGTGCCACTGCACTCCAGCCTGGGTGAAGGGGTGAGACCCTATCTCAATTTTTTTAAAAAAAGTGTTTTTCCTTTATTATGCTGCTTTGCTATCAAAATCCCTTTTAAGAAAAGTATGGCCTTGATCTGATAGGGATGATTGATACTTATTTATAAAGCAAGATGCTTCTGAGCAGGGACTCTGAAACTGGACTGCCGAGATTCACCTGCTCACTCTGGCACTTACTAACAGCGAATCCCTGGGCAAGTTACTTCACCTTTCTCATCACCAGTTTCCCCATCTAGAAAAAGAGAATAATAAACCACCTACTTCCTAGGGCTATTGTGAAGATTAAACAGATAATATACATGAAACACCTAAAATAGTACTTAGCACATTGCATATGTTTTGTAAGTATCTGGTCTTATTATTAATACCATTTTCCTCGTAATTATTGAATTCCATAAGTAATATCTGAATACTTTCTCATCACAAAGGATGCAGGCAATGTATGTTTAGCAGATTGTATAAAACCTTCATCCCTTTCTCAAGCTTCCCTTTCCTAGTTCAGCAACATTAGACAAGCCCCTCTGGCTCTGAATTGCCTCCTCTGTCAAAGGAGGGAGTGGGCTGTTCCAAGAGACCACCAGCTTCTAGTGAAGCCTCTGGTAGCTTCCAGAGTGCAAAGTCTGAATGCTGTCATTCTCTGTGGCATGCATGCCTCCTTGGAGAGTGGAAGCTCCTAGAACATCCAGTGTGACATAGACACTTAGCCAGTGTTGCTTCTGTGAATAAAGAGATGAATAATGCATTGCATGACTTATTTTATAAAAGAGCAGAGTTTGTTTGCATTTGCTGCTGGCTCTTCTAGAAATTGGTACTTCTACTTTTTCCTTCTTTTTAGTTTTGGGGATCATTTTGAGTGGAACAAAGTGACCTCTTGCATCCATAACATCTTAAGCGGGCAGAGGTGGATTGAGCACTATGGAGAGATTGTCATCAAGAACCTGCATGATGATTCCTGCTACTGCAAAGTGAATTTTATAAAGGTAACTCCAGTGACTCTCTGAGCTCTGACCCTGGAAGGGCTGTGGCAGAGCCAGGGCCCCAGAGCACAGGGCATTTGAGAGATTTTTCGCCTTCACCTTTATGCCAGCAGGCAAGCAATGCCTGAGCTCCTTGGTCCCAGCTGCACCTCTGTCACCTAGACCAGGGCAATGGCCCCTCCTGGCCTCTTACTCCCCTAAGGTCTGTCCTCCATACAGCAGCCAGAGAGACCCTTTTAAAACATAAATCACTGTGCTGCAGTATGTATGCACCTTGACAGCATTATGTTGAGTGAAATAAGTCAGCCCCAAAAGGACGAATATTACATGATTCCACTTCTGCGAGATCGCCAGAGGAATCCAGTTCACAGAGAAAGAAAGCAGAATGGTGGTCGCCCGGGGCTGCAGGAGGGAGGAAGGGGGAATTAGTGTTGAATGGGTATAGAACTTCAGTTTGGGAAGATGAAAAAGTTCTAGAAATAGATAGTGGTGATGGTTGCACAGCATTGTGAATGTATTTAATGCCACTGAATGGACCCTTAGAAATAGTTAAAATGGTCAATGTTACATTAGGTATGGTTTACCAGACTTTTTTTTTTTTTAATGTCATGCTGTATCATTCCTTTGAGCAAAATCCCCCAACAGCTTCCATCTTTCTCAGAGTTGAAGCCTGCATCCTTATGGTGGCCTGTCGGGCGCTGCACAGGCTGTACTCCCCATCTCCACCCTTTCACACACATACTTGCACACTTGCAGATACACCCATATACACACACGCCACCTCGTTCCTCTCCAACCTGAACTTCTCTTTTTCCTCCCTCTTTTTCCCCACTGTCCTCTGGCCACACTGGCCTTCTTTCTCTTTCTTCATTTCCTTCTGCTTGGGCAGCTGTCCCCAGATCCTTCCATCACCAGCCCCATCCTGTCATTCACTCCCTATCCTGTCCCATTTTCTTCAGAGTTCTTATCACCGTCTGAAGTCAGCCTGCTCATCGTTGCTGTGTGTGTTTATTTTCTGCTCTCCATACCCTCCTCATCATCCTTGACTCCAGAAAAGCAAAACCTAGTCTATCTTGCTCACTTCTGTAGCCCTGATTCCTGCAATGGTGTCTGGCACACATGAGAGACTCATAAACATTCAGAGAATAAATGGAAAAATTGGCCAGAGGCAAAAAGTATGGAATGGTCTCTCATTTTAACAGCCTTGCTGGCGGCCCTCCCTGCTTTCTCTCCCTCCTAGATTCCTTCTTGCTCTTAAAAATTGTATGTAGTTAAAACAGCTTTAAAACATGACCCTCCTCAAGGAATATTGGCATTTAACAAAGATCGAAATAATAAGCAGAGAGATGAGGTTTTATTGTGGAACTTCATGCAATGCCTCTCTGCACCACCTGTAACCTATAGGGAATACTTAGGAAGAGGTGGATTGGGGTCTTTATTATAGCCTCAAACTGGATTATAGACAGACATAAAGCCCATAATGACCTTACATGTGGGACAAAATAAAAATGACCCTACCTTGAAAGCTTTGTCTAAGCTCTCTGCAAACAGAAACAAAAGGCAACCTGAAGCAGGGATATGTTACCCGTGACCCAGGTGAAAGCCACGTTGCTCTCAACATTTTCTGCAAGGAAACATGCTCCACTCCCATATCTACCACCTACCTTGTTCTCATTCACTTACATGCAGAAAATGGGTGTATAGTCATGAGAGATGAACACTGGGCATGTCTGGTGTTGAAAGAGATGCTGCAAGTGGATGCCACACTCGCCTGTGGAAGGTGACAGTGTCCCTTGGTGGCTTCCAGCAAATTCTCAGCACTGGATTTGTTGGCAGATATCTCTAAGGGAAAATCTGACACCTGCTTCAGAATAAACTTAAGAGCCCGGGTGCCATGGCTCACACCTGTAATCCCAGCACTTTGGGAGGCTGAAGCAGGAGGCTCACTTGAGGCCTGAAATTTGAGACCAGCCTGGGCAATCTGACAAGACCCTATCTCTACAACAAATTTAAAAATTAGCCAGACACGGTGGCATGCACCTGTAGTCCCAGCTGCTGGAGAGGCTGAGGCAGAAGGAGCACTTGAGCTCAGAAATTTGAGACTGCAGTGAGCTATGATTGCACCACTGCACTCTACTCTGGGGAACAGAATAAGACCCTGTATCATCAAAAAATAAATAAATCAACTTAAGAGTCTCAATAGTCTTTTTTTTCTTTTTGCTTTTCCTTCATTCTTACATGGCTGGAGAGCTCAACTTTAAATTTCTAATTCAGGTCTGAGACACTTCCGTGCCCCACCATTTTTACCACAGCCTTGAAATGCGGAAGCTGAACTACCAGAATCTGACCTGAAAATGCCATTCAACATGATTAGTTTCCAAGTATGGACTCTGTTTAAGCTGAAAATAGTACTAGGGTTTTTTGATTTATGGAGAAATGCCTTTGCCATTCTTTCATAGAGATTTTTAGGGCAGCCAGGTAATTTGAAAAACAAAAAACAAACAAAAAAAACCAACTCTAGGGTGCTAGAGCTCCCTCTGCTGGCTGCAGTGTGGAACTGTATAAAATCCTCTGGGCTGGACTGGCCTGAGCTGGGCTGGACTGGCCTGAGCTGAGCTGAACTGAGCAGAATAGAGTGCAAGGTTGCCTCGCAGACCTGGACCAATACATAGTGAGAATACCCACACTACTCGCTTGATATATAGAAACTGAACCTTTTCTTTTCTTGTTCTTGTTCTTTTTTTTTTTTTTTTTTTTGAGATGGAGTCTCAATCTCACCCACTCTGAAGTGCAGTGGTGCAATCTCAGCTCACAGCAACTTCCGCCTCCCGGGTTCAAGTGATTCTCGTGCCTCAGCCTCCCAAGTAGCTGGGATTACAGGTGCCCACTACCACAGCCAGCTAATTTTTGTATTTTTAGTAGAGATGGGGTTTCACCATGTTGGACAGGCTGGTCTCGAACTCCGGACCTCAAGTGATCCACCCACCTCGGCCTCCCAAAGTGCTGGGATTACAGGCATCAGGCACTGCACCCGTCCAAGAACTGAGCCTTCTCTTACATTGTATGTAGCAAAGGTAGAAATACAAATGTATCTTACACAAATATTAGTTGAGTTACAAACTGCAGATAGTTAACCATTCATTTTTATTAAATAACTAAAGGTATGAGTTTTTTAAAGCCAAAATCCAAGCATAAAAACAGATACATAGACCAATGGAACAGAATAGAGAGCTCAGAAGTAAATCCATGCATTTATAATTAATTGGTTTTTGACAAAGTGCCAAGAACTCACAATGGGGAAAGGACAGTCTCTTCAATAAATGGTGTTGGAAAACCTGGATATCCACATGCTGAAGAATGAAATTAGAACTTTATACTGTAGACAAAAACCAGCTCAAAAGGACTAAAGACTTACAGCAAGACCTGAAACTGTAGAACTACTCAAACAAAAACATAAGGGGAAAAGCTTCATGACGTTGGTCAGGGCAGTTATTATTTTTGGATATGACCCCAAAAGCACAGACAACAAAAGCAAACATAGACAAATGGGATTATATCAAACTAAACAGCAAAGGAAACAATCAATACAGTAAAGAAACAATCTGTAGAATAGGAGAAAATATTTGTAAACTATACATCCGATAAGAGGTTAATATAAAAAATGAATAGAGAGTTCAATAGCAAGAAAACAATCAGATTTAAAAATGAACAAAGGACCTGAAGAGATGTTTCTCAAAAGAAGACATACAAGTGGCCAATAGATATATGAGGAAAAAATGATGAACATCAGTAATCATCAGGGAAATGCAAATTGAAACCACAATGAGATATCACCTCATATCTGTTAGAATGGCTATTATCAAAAAGATGAAAAATAATGTGTTCAGGAGGATATGGAGAAGAGGAAACACACCATTTGTGGAAATGTAAATTAGCACAGCTATTATGGAAAACAGAATGGAAGTTCCTAAAAACAATTAGAAATGGAATTACCATATGATCTGCCAATCCCACTACTGGGTGTATATCCATAGGAAATGAAATCAGTATGTCAAAGAGATACCTGCATCTCCATGTTCATTGCAGCACTATTCATAATGGCCAAGATAGGGAAACAGCCTAAGTGTCCAACAATGGATGAATGGATAAAGAAAATGTGGTACATATTAACACAATGGAATATTGTTCAGCCTTTAAAAAGAAGGAAACCCTGTCATTTGTGACAACATAGATGAACCTGGAGGATAAGTGACATAAACCAGACACAGACAGATGCTACATAATCTTACTTATATTTGGAATCTAAAAGAGTTGATCTCATAGAAGCAGAGGGTGGGACAATGGTTGATATGGGTTTGCCAGGGGTGGAGGGGAGGATTGGGAAATGCTGGCCAAAGGATCCAAAATTTCAGACAGGAAGAATTAGTTCAAGAAATCTATCGTACAACATGATGACTATAATTAATAACTGTGTTGTATACTTGAAAATTGCTGAGAGAGTTTTTGTTTTTGTTTTTGTTTTGTTTTGTTTTGTTTTTGAGACGGAGCTTCACTCTTGTTGCCTAGGCTGGAGTGCAATGGCGCGACCTTGGCTTACCACATCCTCCGCCTCCCGGGTTCAAGCGATTCTCCTGCCTCAGCCTCCCGAGTAGCTGGGATTACAGGCATGCGCTACCACACCCGGCTAATTTTGTATTTTTAGTAGAGATGGAGTTTCTCCATGTTGGTCAGGCTGGTCTTGAACTCCCGACCTTAGGTGATCTGCCTGCCTTGGTCTCCAAAGTGCTGGGATTACAGGCGTGAGCCACCGTGCCCGGCCACTGAGAGAGTTAAGTGTTATCATAAGTAAGTATGTAAGGTAATACATATGTTAATCAGCTTGATTTAGCCATTCCACAATGTATACATGTTTCAAGACACTATGTTGTACATGATAAATATATAAATTTTTTATTTGTCGGTTAAAAAAACGGAACCCAGAACTAGCAAACTAATATGCAGTATGGAGCCACTCTTACAGTCCTTTCTCTAGCTTTTCCTTTTTTCTTTCCTTAATATCTGTAATAAGCTGATGCTAAAGGACTAAGCCAACAACTCATTTGAATCCTAGGCAAAATACTGGAGCACTAATGCCCATGAGATTGAAGGCACAGTGTTTGACAGGAGTGGAAAAGCGGTTCATCGGCTGTTTGGGAAATGGCATGAAAGCATCTACTGTGGCGGCGGCTCCTCTTCTGCCTGTGTATGGAGAGCAAGTGAGTGTCTGGGTTTGTGGACCCCAGGCTGTGAGTGGGTGGATGGGTGGGCATGACACAAGAAGCCACAGAGGACAGGAGTAGTGTCTGTTCAGCATCTCCAGCCTCTTCTGCTTTGAACTAGGTTAGAGGTGTAGGCCCTCTTTCCTTCATCCAGTCTTCACCTCCCTGTCATGCTTACTTACAGCAACACCTCTGCTGGGCTGCTGGGTCCCGGGTTCTTAACCCCAGAACAAGCATTGCTAATCCATGGGCACTCTCTGAGGGAATCTGGCAGTCCACATGCATAACTCTACTGGGTACTATAAAAGAGTATCAGTGAAATGCAAGAAGTCATTCTACAGCAAGGACAAAGAGGAAAGTGTTCCTGGAAAAGCAGTGACCCAGGAGACCTACAAATGTTAACTATCCCCAGGCTGACCTAACCCCAAAAGCCATCCTCATCACTCCTGTGATTCCAGAAGGGTGCTGAGCTCTTGGAGCAGATATGGGCAGAAGAGCTAGGGAACCCCAGCTTTCATCAGCATGTCCCCACCATACTTTAACATCTTATTCCATCTCCTAAGTCCGAAAATTATGTTGTTTCCAAGTCACAGTCATATTGTAAACCATTGTTCTGAGATATAACTGTTAGGATGCTTCAGGCTGGTAAAAAACCAAACAGAAAACCATTTGACTGGTGGTTTAAACCGTTAGGCTGTGTGCTATTACACAACAGTAAGTGAGTGGGGGGGGTGGCTCCAGGGTTGTTACATAGGCAATTTACCTGTGTCAAGGACACACAGATCAGTGAGGATACATTCTGCTACTCCCAGTGTGCCGTGGTGTTTCCCCTAATGAATGCAAAATGGTTGTTACCATTCAGTGTCATACCCCTGCATGACAGCATACCAAGCATGTAATGAGAGGACAAAAGAGCTTTCCTCTCTCGTGCCTCTCTTTTCTCAGGAACATTTCCTAAGATCCCGCAGCAAATGGGACTTTATATCACGTCAGCCTGCAGTGGGTTCAGACCCATCCGTGAACCAGTCACGGGCAACAGAGTAGGCAAGAGAGATTTAGATGTCTTGGATTAATCCCCAGTAAGGGCACAATGCCATTTGAACAGAATCAGTATTCTGTTAGCAAGCAAGAAAGAGAAATGATGGTCAAGTAGGCAGCCAGCAGTGGCCCTTTCAATGGGTAGCTGCCACATCTCCCACTGTTGCAGAGGTTGCCGTGAAGTTAGAATGAATTGGCACCAGTGGAAGCCTTCCTAGCTTCAGAGGCAAGCATGAGATTTTGCAAATGGCACAGTCTGTCTCCTTTGCTTAAAGTATGCATCACAGATGAGAACTGCGATCCTGTCTCAGTGTTAAAGTACCACCTTGATAAAGCAACACTGTTTAAATTTTTGTTACTGTCATTATTCCTTGACTTTATGTCTCTCTAATGGCAGTGAGCATCCCTGGCCCATCTTTAAGAAAAAGCACTATCTTCACTCCCTGGTTACTGGGGAGCTGACCAAGACACCATAGGAAACTTTGCTACTATTTTTATGCTTAGGATACACAGAGAATTAGACTAGTTACAAGGAGGACTTATGAAGATTCAAAAAATGGGTCCCAGTCGGGCATGGTGGCTCACGCCTGTAATCCCAGCACTTTGGGAAGCCAAGGCAGGCAGATTGTTTAAGGCCAGGAGTTCAAGACTGCTCTGGACAACATGGCAAAATCTCATCTCTACTAAAAATACAAAGATTAGCCAGGCATGGTGGTGTGCATCTACTGTAGTCCCAGCTACTCAGGAGGGTGAGGCATGAGAATCACTTAAACCCTGGAAGTAGAGGTTGCAGTGAGCTGAGATCGTGTCACTGTCCTCCAGCCTGGGTGGACAGAGTGAGACCCTTTCAATAAAAAAAAAGGGGGGGTCTGCAGAAGAGTTACTGGCAAGCATTTCTCTTGTTATGTGTGAAGAGCTTAGGCTGTAAGTAGATCTTAGTAGTCTACATTGGATTTATACAATATGTAAATTTGGGTATGTTTAGCTTTTTTGGAATTCCAGTTAGGGCAATGCACCTAATGTTTTAAAGATGTAAGATTGAGGAGAGGCAAGAATTGGTAAAAAGGGTAGGAATGGAAGAAAAGAATAACATTTATTAACCACTTGCTCTGTGTTCAGCACTGTTCTAGGTACTAAACAGAGTTTCAAGAGAATTTGACATCACTTAAATCAAAAACAGATTCTCTAGAGTGAGAATCAGGAAAAATGGACCCAGAGCTGATATTAGTATGTTTATTTATTGTTGTTATTATTATTATTATTATTATTTTTGAGATGGAGTTTCGCTCTTGTCGCCCAGGCTGGAATGCAGTGGCGTGATCTTGGCTCACTGCAACCTCCGCCTCCCAGGTTCAAGTCACTCTCCTGCCTCAGCCTCCCAAGTAGCTGGAATTACAGGCGCCCGAGACCATGCCTGGCTAAGTTTTGTATTTTTAGTAGAGATGGTGTTTCGCCATGTTGGCCAGGCTGGTCTCGAACTCCTGACCTCAGGTGATCCGCCTGCCTCAGCCTCCCAAAGTGCTGGGATTACAGGCATGAGCCACCACGCCCAGCCGAGCATGTTTATTTTAAAATCAAATTATTTTCATAGCTTAAGCACTACAGAAACTTCACAGCATTGTATAAATTTGCTTTCTGACCACACATAGGAGGCCACATCCCTGTAGGCAGAAGAAAAATTATAGAGAAGAAAATTTATAGAGAAATGTTCAGTGCCTGTTCATTAGTCAGAATATTTTAACAGAAATGGAAGGGAGCTGAGAGAGAAAAATTGTAGCTAGGCTGAGACGAAAAAGGTGAAGGAATTAAAATGTAACATAAGTAACATGCAAGTTAGGGGTGAATGATTTATTTTCTTCTTAGATCCTATGCCGAAAGGCTACGAGCAATACTATAGCTTCACACAGTTTGCGCTGGAATTAAATGAAATGGATCCATCATCAAAGTCTTTATTGCCACCTACTGACACTCGATTTAGGCCAGACCAGAGGTAAGGATTTTTTAAAGATTTTTCTCTCCAGAGATGTAAAACCCTTTACAAAAAGTCTTATTAACAATCCTTAGGCCACCAGAGGCACCTGAGAAAGGTGGAAAATGTCATCAGGAATTGAGAGGTGGGGATGCTTTAAACAATTGTATCACGGAGGAGATGGGGCCCAACTAGGATCCATGTGTGGCATGGCCTTTATTATCTGTAAAGCCCCATTTGCATTGAAATGCCAAAAAAGGTGTTTATTTTGAAGAGTTTTACTGCATGCAGTAATAAAGAACTTAGTGTAAAGTAAGTAAGTTAAAACCTCCAGCTCCCCGAGCCCTCAAATTTAAATGATTTTGGTGCACTGAGATCTAACTGCTGATTCTAGGTTGCTGCTCACAAGGTGTGTGATATATGGTAGGTCTTTTCATCTTTCCTGGCCTCAGTTTCCTACTCTGTAAAATGGAAATAAGAATGTCTCCCCTAAGGCCTTTCTAATTAAGACTCAAAATCTAGAAGCCCAAGGAAAGAAAAGATTGTTACATTTGGCTTTATTAAAAACAAACAACACTTTGGGAGGCCGAAGCGGGCGGATCACTTGAAGTCAGGAGTTCAAGACCAGCCTGGCCAATATGGCGAAACCCCGTCTGTACTAAAAATACAAAAATTAGCCAGGCGTGGTGGCACATGCCCGTAGTCCCAACTACTTGGGAGGCTGAGGCACGAGAATTGCTTGAACCCAAGAGGAGGAGGTTGCAGTGAGCCGAGACCACGCCATTGCTCTCCAGCCTGAGTGTCTCAGTGAGAACTCACACCCCCACAAAACAAACAAACTTAAGCCCTTCTTTATGGCAAAATAAATAAAACTATATATATAAGGTCAAAAGATAAATGACAAACGGAGAAGTCCGTATCTGCAACTCATGTCATGAATTGCCTCTAGAAATCTAGTAACAGATCAACCCATTAGAAAAAATGGACATAGGGAGGTAAATTCATTTTGCAGGGATTGAACACTGTTGTTAGCAAATGCCTAAAAGAGATGTGAAACAGTTTACGTATGTCAGCTGTAACAGTTGGTCCCAAATGGGCCCATTCCCCTAATTTATTTTAAAGAAAGCCATACATAGAATGCTTCAAGCTATCTTGCTATGCACATTATGCTTGTACTGTTTCGTGCAGTTTGTCTACTTTTTTAGGGAAGTATTTTTTGTATAAAGTCTGTTACAATTGTGTTTCTTAAATCAAGCCTAAGAATGGAGTTAATTGGAAATATACAGTATATATTAATAACGTATGTGGTGTTTAAAGAATGGCAAGCATTGTTAATTTCTGTGATGAACATTTTCAATTAAATTTATCTTAAGTTTGTGTTAAAAAAAATGGACATAGGAAAATGAACAGTCCACAAAATAGGAAATGCAGATATCCCTTAAGCATGTGAAAAGATGCTCAGCCTTAATCATAATAAGAAAAATGCAAATTTAAAAATCATGTCGACATCCCAATTTTTAACCTATCAGATTGGCAAAAATTCAGAAGTTTTATACACTTTGAGGTTATGGGAGAAAAGGGCACTCTCAGCATTGCTGATGGGAATATAAATTGGGTATGATCCCCATAAAGGGCAGTTCAGTAATATATAAATTACACACTCACCCTTTCATCCAGCAATTTCACTTCTAGAAATTTCTCCTACAGATTTTTCCTACTTACTCATGTAAAATGATGGATATACAAGGTCATTTATTGCGGCATTGTCACATTAAAATGATTCAAATGATTCAAATGTCTATCCATAGGAAATTGTCTAAATTCATATACATCCACGCAACTGGATATTATGTGGCTATTAAAAAATGAAGATGTATGTACATCCATGGAAAGATCTGTAAGATATATTGTTAAATAAAAAATAAACCAAAACCAAAAATCAAGGGATACATAGCATGCTACCATTTATATTTTTTAAACGGAGGGAGGGATAAGAATATGTGTTAATATTTGTTTATATACACATGAAGAATCTCTAGAAGGATGCAGAGGAAACTAATAAAGTGGGTTTTCTAGGGTGGGAGGGTGAAGGTGGCTGGAATTAGAGACAAGGAAGAAAGGAAGACTTTGCCCCAAATTCTTTTTTGTAGATATAATTTTTGAATTATGTAAATATCACCAATTCAAAAAAATATCTTCTCTGACTACTTCAAGATACGGATTAAACGGTTGGGGCGGGGTCTTACGTATAGGAGAGGATTTTGAATATCCAGTCGTGGACACATGCAAGTTGAGTAGTAATGATTGTTTTGTTTTCTTGAATTCATATCCTTTCATTTTTTTTTCCTCGATGCCTCAGGTTTCTAGAGGAAGGGAACTTAGAAGAAGCTGAAATACAAAAGCAGAGGATTGAACAACTGCAGAGAGAAAGGCGGCGGGTCTTAGAAGAAAATCATGTGGAGCACCAGCCTCGGTTTTTCAGGTTCGTGCCTGGATTGAGTAGGTTTTTGGTTGATAGGTGGTGCCAGCACGTTATGCTTCTGGTTTGCAGAAAGTGAACAGTACTGTCCCCAGATAAGAGCATTCTCCAGGCTTTTCCTGCTTCCACGTGGGGGTACTGCTCCTCTGTGCCAGGCCCTGTCCCCCGCACTTACCTTCAGGCTCTCCCTCTTGCTGACTTCAGACAGGACTAGGGCCTGCATTTTTGCATTCCTTGAGCTTTTCCAGTGCCCTCAGCCAGTGAGTTTGCAGAGGAGCTCCTCAGTCAGGGAGCCTGCCAGAACTGGGTCCCAGCACCAGGCCAGCTTATTAAATCCACAGCTAAGGTTGGTCACCCCCATAGGCATGTTTTACACCATGACAGAGATCATTCACGATCACTCCACAGTTAAGCAGTATGGAAATTCCAAGCAGTCTGTTTCTTGCATTGTAGAAGTTCCAGTACACTTGGGCTTACATTTACTGTTATCTTTAAAATAACTTGCCAAGAAGGTCTTGTTAAAATAGATATAATTTTTTTTTTTTCTGATACAGAGTCTCGCTCTGTCACCCAGGCTGGAGTGCAGTGGCACCATCTTGACTCACTGCAGCCTCCACCTCCTGGGTTCAAGCGATTCTCCTGCCTCAGCCTCCTAAGTAGCTGGGACTACAGGCGCGTGCCACCATGCCCGGCTAATTTTTGTATTTTTAGTAGAGACGGGGTTTCACCTTGTTGGCCAGGATGGTCTCAATCTCCTGACCTCGTGATCCACCTGCCTCAGCCTCCCAAAGTACAGGTAAGAGCCACCGTGCCCAGCCAATAGATATAAATTTTTAAAGGAGGTATGAGAGATCTTCAACCCTTCACCTCCCCATCTCCTCCTATAACTGAGTAGAAGAGAAAGCTCAAGGCAGGTGGGGGATCTGTTGAAGGACTCGGTATAATACCCTGGAATGGGGCCTGACTCTCCTCACTACCAGGCCAGGGCCTATATGATTTTAGTTTTTCTGTTTTCTTTTTTTAAAAAACTTAAATAGGTGTATGTGAAAAAGCAGCAAGTTCCTGCTCTACTCCATCTGCCCAAGTCCTTCCAGGGCCACCAGTGTCTTTTCATTGTTTTGGGATGTTTTTTGTTTGTGTTTTTGTTTGTTTTTAGTGGACAACAGAAGTACTTTTAGGATTTAGTTATTAATAACAGCAGCAGTAATAAAATCTGTATTCCAAAACATCAAAATAGTGACAAATAAGGTTTTGTCTTGAAGAATATGATGCTCTTTTCCCTAAAGTTGATGTAGATTCTACTAGATCCCTTCTGATCATTTCCACAAATTCAAGATATTAGTGATGGAAAATCAACTGGCCAAAATTTCATCCTGAAATATTCAAGCTTCATTTAAACGTTTAAAGAATAAGATGGAAATGTTACATTCTTTTTTGAAAAAGGCAAGAAATAGAAAAATGGATAGATTAACAGACTGATCAGTTGATTTACTGATCAGTTAATAGATAAACACATTACACCCTTAAGTAGGTTGGTTCTTTTTCTTCCATACATTGTCTATTTTCATTTTTTAAAAAAAGAAAAATGTACAATTATGAAGATGTTCATTACAGTACTTTTTAGGATCATTAAAAATGGTAGGTAACCAAACTGTCTCAAGGACTAGTTAAGGAGATTCACCAACTCGATCCAACATGAGGCATTAAGGATGACCTTACGAAGCCTGTGGAGCTCTGCTGGAAACACATTACCATGTAAATGCAAGATACAGAATGTGATTATGCTGTCATTGCAATCAGGAAGGAATTGTGTCTGGAATGAAAAAGGACGGAAAGCTGCTTCAGCTGGGGCGGCCATTGCTCTTTTTCTTTTTGACTGTCTGTAAAATGATCATAGTATTAGATGGGAAAATTTTTTTCAATTGGAGAAAGAGCGAGAGTTGTTCAGCAGTAGCAGTCCTCCTTGGGACTGTTCAAATTAGAAACCTGGCAAAGAGATTTTGGAGAGGAATATGGGGACTTGGATGTTGTCATTAACACTTACTGAGGAACAGCAACAAAATCACTGAAAATTCTAAGTGGAAGCTGGAGCTCAGACCAAATTGAGCCTCTTTGTTTTAAAATAGTGAACTGTCTGATACACAGATTGACTCATTTTTAAACATATAGTGTTACTGGAATAGGGAAACAAGTGTGATAAAAATCTACATTCCTGAGAGTGTAGGAAAACAGGCACACTCCACTTTTGCTTCTAAACCATATGGTAATATCAGTCAGAATCACAAATGCACATACTCTTTGACCCAGCCATGCTAATTACAGGAATTGTTAATGTAACCGTACTCACACACATACAAAATAACATGCCGAGCTAGAGTTTAGAAATAACCTAAGTACCCATCAGTGGGGTACCTATTAAGTAAATTGTGGTCCATCCATACAATGGAATATCATACAACTGTATAAAAAGAAAATGAGGAATCCCTTATTGCTAGAGTCACCAAACTTTTCCTATAAAGAGCAAATGATAAGATTGTTGGTTTTGCAGGCCATCAGGTTCAATTCATTCAGTAGCTATTATGCAGCCCCGCTGTTCAGCATTGAAAGCAGCCATAAACAGTATTTAAACAAATGGACATGGCCATGTTCCAATAAAACAGTATTTCAGAGATACGCAGAAGGCTGGATTCGACCCTTGGGCCATAGTTTGCTGACCCTTACCTTATTGTACTAATCGGAAATGATCTCCAATATGTTTCATTATGTCAAAGCTGAAAGGGTAGAACAGTGTCTGGTACAACATTATGTCAGAATGAGAGGGAATAGAGTGTGTGTTCACACACACACACACGGAATTTCCCTGAAAGAATGAAGCTGATAACATCACTACCTCTGAGGAGAAGAATCAGGAGGCTGGCAGAGAGGGGGAAGATAAAAACTTGAAGCTGTATACCCTTTTGCGCCCTTTGAATTTGGTCTGTGTCATATATTCTCTATTCAAAGAATAGAAAATCAGGACTAATCTCTCCAGACTCTTATGGCTTTCAATTACTTTTTTTTTTTTTTTTTTTTTTGAGAAGGAGTCTTGCTCTGTCTTCCAGGCTGGAGTGCAGTGCCGTGATCCTAGCTCTCTGCTGCAACCTCTGCCTTCCAGTTCCAAGCGATTCTCCTGCCTCGGCCTCTTGAGTAGCTGGGATTACGGGTGCCCGCCACCATGCCCGGCTAATTTTTGTATATTTAGTAGGCACGGAGTTTTGCCATGTTGGCCAAGCTGGTCTTGAACTCCTGACCTCGTGATGTGCCCGCTTCGGCCTCCCAAAGTACCGAGATTACAGGCGTGAGCCACCACACCCGGCCTCCTTTAAAAAAAAAAAAAAAAAGTTAACCACTTCCTATGTACAACCTGGTTGATGTGTAGCTTTTGTGCAGTCATTCCCAAGGTGCTGACAGTCATGCAAGTTATGTTTTGTATATGACAGACTCTCCCCACATCCTCCTCCTCTCAGAAGCACCACTTTTCATAGCCTCTAAGTTTGAGAAGTTAAAGTCGTGTAACAAAATGGGCCAGCGTGGTGGCTCATGCCTGTAATCCCAGCACTTTGGGAGTCCGAAGTGGGTGGATCACCTGAGGTCAGGAGTTCTAGACCAGCCTAGCCAACATGGTGAAACCCCGTCTCTACTAAAAATACAAAAATTAGTCGGGCATGGTTGCACATGGCTGTAGTCCCAGCTACTCGGGAGGCTGAGGCAGGAGAATCGATTGAACCTGGGAAGCAGAGGTTGCAGTGAGCCAAGATCATGCCACTACACTCCAGCCTGGATGACAGAGCGAGCCTCCATCTCAAAAAAAAAAAAAAAAAAAAAGTAACAAAATTATTTCTGGACATCTAATTCCCAGAATTCCCGGTCCCAACACTCTGGGACGCTGAATGCATGTGGGAATGAGGATGGGGAAAGCAGGGAGGTTAGGAAGGAAAGAGACTTGAGAATGTGACGCTGGTTTCAAGAGTCTGCAAGAAATTGTTTCTTCTTTCACAGGAAATCCGACGATGACTCTTGGGTGAGCAACGGCACCTATTTGGAACTTAGAAAAGATCTTGGTTTTTCCAAACTGGACCATCCTGTCTTATGGTGAAAAAGTAAAGAAGAAAGATAACATTAGTGTATTTCTCCTGTGCTTGCCTTCTGAAGTGGCACAAACCTGTGTTTATATATTTAAAAGATACTCTAGGATGATCACTTGTGCTTAGCTTAGCATTGTAACTCTTTAAGTCTATATTTTCCTCAGTGCGTTTCTTTACAATTTCAAATGTTACCCTGATTGTTTATATGAATGTAGAACACCTTGACATTTCTTTTTATATATAAACTATTTAATAAAAATGAAAGATTGAATGTTCATGTGTGGGTTAAAAAAAGAAGCTTTAACACTAATTTTCCAAAGGTTAGGGAAGATTCCAATTAAATTTATGCCTTATAAAATTATGTTGTAGAAAAAAAATCAACCTCTCCCAGGTGCATTAAGAAATAAGAATTCCCAGGGTTACTCACCCATGCGTAAGCTACCCAAGTTTAATTTGGTAGCTGAAATATCTTTTTGCCTCAGACAGCTCTTGAATTGCTCATACAGAACAATTCTGCTGGTGCTGGAGTCTGAAGAATATTTTCATTTGCATTTTAGTGGTTAGGGAGAGGATATAAGATTAATGGAATGTATATTTTTATATAAGACGTATACGGCACCTTCTTGAAAAGGAAGCATTTGAACTTGTTCCTCCCTATAGTTCTATTGCCTTATATGCAAAATTGTACCCTGTTGCTCAGAGAAATTATTCATAAGAGAAAAGAATTCCAATTAATTAAATATCACAATAGCATCCCAGAGAGACAGTAGGAAATTTCTCCTTAGTGAGAGCTGAGTCCTTGAGAAGTTAAGAGACTGTTTCCTGCTTCCCACCCCACCCCGTTTTTTGTCCCTCCGTTTGATCACCTCCCTGTTGAGTATGGAATGTCCCAGTTTAATATAAAACATACAGTTTATTCCACACAGCAGTTTGACTTTGTAAAAGTTTAGCAAAATAACTGATTGTTTTGGATAACTCAACATGTTTTTCTTAAATGCTGTTTTAGTATTTTCTACCTCTTAATAAGCACCATATTTTAGATCTTGTATAAAAAGTTGCCATCTGCCTTATAGACAAATGTAGAGAATTGATGTTCTTGCTTTGTGTTGTGTTCTGGTAAAGCTTTAAGTGAGTGTCTTACCCCTTTCCTATACTTTCTTGTTATCCATATCATTCTTTTGTGAGTTTTGCAGCAGTCTTGAATAATACAGATTATAACTACTGAAAGGGGAACCTTCGTCTTTTTAAATGTGTTATTTCACATTACAATAATATGTGTAGTAGTTGAATTGTGTTATCAAAGCATGTCCAACTTCTGTCCAGATGACATTAAAACCAAAGCCTAATTGTTAAGCCTCTTATTCTAAAGTCCATAGCAATGCTATGGAATATCAAGTATAATGATGTAGTAAAAAGATTTCTCCAGAAAACACTTTGAGATACTTAAAGAAATTCAGAGCATATCGAATGTTATGAATGAAGAGTAAAATAATTACAGGAAAAGAATGCATGATTTTTCATTGTCACACCAAATAACCAGTTGGACAATATTGCATTTTCAAAATGGAGAGTTATTTAAAGTGGATGTGTAGCCTTCTGGAATCTGCACGTGACTGGCATTTTAAAACAACTCATTAAATATTGGATTCATTTTATCGAGATGCCAAGATGAACACAATGTGAATATCATTTCCATTTCTAAGCAGTTGAATGACACAGTCAGATTCTTTGGTGTATGCTTTGTTCTTTCCATCTCAAGCATTTATCCAAATTCTGCTCACAGACATGAGGAAGCAGGCTGTAGATTTAAGGGCACTCAAGGGGAAAACAAATGTAGTTTCCACAGTGTGAGGATAAATGTAGAATCGTGGTAATATTGGCTGTTAAATTGGCCTGCTCCAGAGACTGGCTCAAAAAAGAAAGAAGCAACGAAAACAAAATGCACAGCCTGAATGGACGTAGCACTGTCATGTGGCATTTGGAAAATCTTTAATTATCCTAATGTTATTTCACTTGCCCTTATGCTTTATTTTAGAGTCCCAGGGACAACTGGATGAAACATTACGTCTGTAGTCATCTTATTTGAGATGGGGGTGGGAACGAATTAAAATATGATAGAGAACTATATGCAGATTTTAAAATCTAGTCAGTACTAGCATCTATAAAGGGCTTTTCTGAAATTTAAACAGCTTGGTGATGCATCCTGATATTATAAGCTTAAAACTATCTTGAGGGGGAAATGACTTCTTTTCTCCTTCTGTCCCTTTTCTCAAAAGCATCTTTCCCCCAAATGTATGTCTCTAGGACATTTTATAGTTTTAAGAGGAAGAAAACAGAAACGTGGCATCATTTGGGAAGAACCAAGGTAGAATTTAATTTTCTGGACTTTAAATCTCCTGGTTAAATAATGCTAATCACTGTACCATTTGAGTTACATGTTTTAACCTCTTTTTTTTTTCTAATTATTCCATCCAAAATTTCTGGTGAATTACACAGAAATTTTTGGAAATGGGACTTTGTGCAGGTAACCACCCTGCACTTCAGGTAATGTTCCTGTCACAGCTGTCGACTACCCCACGCTGCAGGAAATCCATTCAGAAATGAGCTAACAGTCTCCAGTGTAGCAGGAGAGCCAGTCACTTCCCTCCCCAGGCCCCAAAGCACCCCAAGGCTGGTATTCCTTGAGTCATAGGTATTAATAATAAAAGCCTCAATGCAGCTTCTCCATGTAGTTCCTCTCCTACAAGCCAGGTGGATTCTGGTCCTAACTAAAGAGATGGGAGTTCACCTGAGGGCAAGAAGTACCCAGGATGCCCAAACAGCCGCACAGGTGTCCTGTGCTTCCTGTGAGACTTCCTGGGGGAAATATACAAACTAATATATTTTTTAATGTTTACGTCATTTACACTGCTGCTTTTCTCATATTCTGCTTTTAATTACTTGTAGTAAATCATTTGTTTGGGCTTCAAGCACTGTCTTCCATCTGCATCTTCCAGATTTATCATGAGTGATCTTGTTCTACTGTTAAAGATGTCAAGCCTAAAAAGTAATAAAGTTTTTATTTGGCTGTTGAACCTTGATGTAGCCCCTACTACATACACTACAAGTTATGCCTTCTGGCTACTACAGAATCTCCGCAGACCTTTTAGTTATGAGTAGAAGCAATAAGAAGGTGTCCTTATGGTCTTAGGAATAATAGTTCCAATGTATTGGCATAATTTGTTTGAATGTCTTTATTTTGATATTAACACCGGCATAAATCTATTTTTGCTACCAGATGATAGCTATTTTCATTTGCTCTATTTTCCTCTGCATTGTACTAATCTGTTACTCAGTGTTAGTCTTCATTTTTCTGTGTTGGAAACCTGCGTCATGTAAATATCTGCAAATCATGACAGTCTAAAGTGCAAACCATTTTCAGAGACTTTGGGGAATGCAGTGATCAGAAGTGGCTAATTTATTTTATTTCTGATTATTTTATCCAGAGGGTACTTTTTTAATGGATATTTGTAAATCTTCCACTTAACCACTGAAAATTATTTTGTTTTAATCCCACCCTTCCATCCATACCTCTGCCTCCCCAAAAAGCTCCTATTAATTTGCTTATCCCCCTCATGTAGCTAGTTGAATGTGAATAAATAACATGGAAAAAAAGGCCACTTTTGTCTTTGTTTTTCCAGGTTAATGGGAAGGTTATTTGGCTGCTAAAAGGGAACAGAACAGGACCCATGCCTGAACTCTTTCAAGGAGGAACACACCAGGTTACTGGAAGTGATGGGGGTTGGAGATAAGAATACTCTGGGACACAAAACACTTGGAAACCATCGAGTCACCATACCTTTTCCCCTAACATTTCCAAGGCACGCCACAATTGTAGAACCCCCTCAGCCCTTGGAAGAGAGAACTGAGGCAACTGGAGCCCCAGACAGGACACCTCCAGCCCCAGGAGCCCCTCTGTCGATTCCAGTGTGCTATGAAAATATTACGGTTGATTCTTGAACAACACAGGGGCTAGGGGTGCCAATGCCCCATGCAGTTAAAATCCACACAGAATTTTTGACTCCCCCAGATCTTACCTACTAATAGCCCACTGTTGACCAGAAGCCTTCCCAACAACACAGATAATTAACACATCTGTTGTATCATATATGTAATATAGACTGTATTCTTATAATAAACCTAGAGAAAAGCAAATGTTACGAAGAAAAACATTAGGAAGAGAAAATACATATACTGTTATTAAGTGGAAGTGGGTCACAATAAAGGTCTTTGTCTTCATCGTCTTCACGTTAAGCAGGCTGAGGAGAAGGAAGAGGAGGGGTCGCTCTTGTTATTTCGGGGTGGCACAGGCAGGAGGAAATCTGAGTATAATTGAACCCACACAGCTCAAATCTGTGTTGTTCATAAGGGAGGAGACCACCCCTCGTATTGTCTTATGCCCAATTTCTGCCTCCAAAGGAAGAAGTAAAAACTAAAAGGCAGAAATGAAATCCACAGGCAGATAGCCGGGGGCATACCCTGGGCCTGGTAGTTAAAGATCAACCCCTGACCTAACTGCTTGTGTTATCTATAGATTCCAGACATTGTACGGGAAAGCATTGTGAAAATCCCTGTCCTGTTATGTTCCGTTCTGATACCGGTGCATGCAGCCCCCAGTCACGTACCCCTGCTTGCTCAATGGGTCACAACCCTCTCACGCAGACCCCCTTAGTTGTAAAGGGACAGGAATTGTTCACTCGGGGAGCTCGGTTTTGTAAGTCTGCCGATGCTCCTGGCAGAATAAAGCCCTTTCCTTCCTCAACTCGGTGTCTGAGGGGTTTTGTCTGCAGCTAGTCCTGCTACATTTCTTGGTTCCCTGACCTGGAAGCGAGGTGATTACCGGGCGGTGGAGGCAACTGCTTAGGAGGCTTAGGCCTGCCTTGTGGAACATCCCTGCGGGGGACTCCTGCCGGCTTTAGTGAATCCTGAGAGTGCTTTCAGCTGGGTAATTGCCCTGGTGGAACGCCTCGCCAGAGCAGCGCACGGTAGGCCCCCGCGGAGGATTAACGCAGCGGCTGAACAGCGGGAAGGAATCGGCGCTTGGAGTCCAGACATCTGGAACACGGTAAGACTGGTCTTGGAACTTGCCCACTCCATCTGAGTGGAAGCGTGGCCTGATCACCCACGGCATGCCTTTATTGGCACCTTGGTTTTGGTTTTGATTTTGACTGGATTTGCACTGTTTTGGTTTAGATTTCGGTATTGACTTCTGGATTTGAACTGTTTTGGCTTTGATTTCGGTTCTGACTTGGCTCAAATTGCTTGATGAATGAGTAACTCCTTATCCATACTTTGGTTTTAGTGTGAATTGCTGGGGGAGTGAGTGACTTTTTGCCCCTTTTTGCCTTCCCTCTTTGTGGTAAGAGTGTTGTTTTGTCTCCTGAGAGAGGAGAATGGGTAAAACACAAAGTAAGCCTACCCCATTAGGAACTATGTTAAAGAATTTCAAGAAAGGATTCAGTGGGGTCTATGGAATCGCTATGACACCTGGAAAGTTTAAGGCTCTGTGTGAGATAGATTGGCGGGCATTAGAGGTGGGATGGCCATCAGAAAGAAGCCTAGACAGGTCTCTAGTTTCAAAGGTATGGCACAAAGTAACTGGTAAATCAGGACACCCAGATCAGTTTCCATACATAGATACGTGGTTGCAGCTGGTTTTAGACCCCCCACGGTGGTTAAGAAGACAGGCAGCAGTAGTACTAGTGACAAAGGGACAGATAGCCAAGGAAGAAAGAGTAGCTCTACTCCCGCCGGTCTCTCCCCTAGGGGAAGAGGAAGGAGACAGGAGAACAGCAGCATAAGCGGCTGGCAGAGGCAAGGAAAGACCAGCAGAGAGAAAAGGGAGAGAGAGAGAGGAGAGAAAGAGAGAGAGAGGAAAGAGAGAGAGAGAAGAAAAGAGGCAAAGAGAGAAAGCAAGAGAGACAGGAAGAGACAAAGAGGAAGTCAAAGAGAAAGAGGCAGAGAGAGAGAGGAAGAGACAGAGACAGAAGGAAGTCAAAGAGAGAAAGAGAGAGATATACAAGTAGTTAAGAAAAAAACAGTGTACACTATTCCTTTAAAAGCCAAGGTAAATTTAGAACCTATAATTGATAATTAAAGGTCTTCTCCGTGATCATATAACACTCCAATACCACTTTGTTGTCAGTGTAAACAAGGGCGTAGCCCGAAAGCACTGAGACCACTGACAACCCGTAGCCTTCCTATCAAAATTCCTTAACCCAGTAACCCGTGGATGGCCCAAATACATTCAATCTGTAGTGGCAACAGCTTTGCTAACAGAAAAAAAGTAGAAAAATAACTTTTAAAGGAAACCTCACTGTGAGCACACCTCACCAGTTCAGAACTATCCTAAGTTAAAAAAAAAAAAAAAGAAAAGGGGGGTAGAATTTATGTAAAAAGAACGTTATATATTACATTCTTGTCCTAAAATAAATTAACTGGTTGTTTAAAGAAAGGGATGTTTGCAATAAGTCAGAAAGTTGAGACATGTTGAAGAATTGTCTGTGAAAGTCGTGAAACAAGAAAAAAAATGTGTGTTATAAAAAAGGAATTTATGCAAGAAATGTTGTATAATTTAAAAGTAATTAGGCCTCCTGAATGTAAAACTGTTGAAGGAACAGTTTATATGCAAAGTGTGTAAGAAAAGTAAAATATATTTTTAGTAAAAGGATTATAAGGAGGCATAAAAATGTAGATTTTTACCTACATTAAAAGGTTTTTAAAAATTTTGTTTTGAAGATTTAAGCAAGTTTTAAAATGTTAACTGTAAAGAAAATTCTGTGTATAAACATATTAGCTAAAGTTAAAGGGGTATCATCCAGTTTTTCTGTGAACTGGACATTAAAGTAAAAACACCACGGGTTTTTCTTAAAGCACTAACCTGCTCTTTTACAAAAATTATAAAAGGTTGAAGAGAGTCTATAAAAAATCTTACCTTATGGTCAGACATTAAAAATTGAATAAATATGTCTACAAAGTTTTATTAAAACTAAGTGTAACATTAATAACACACTAATATAAAGGTGAAATTTAGCTTATCTGGTATAAAAGTGATACAGGAAGCATTGTCAAATATAAAATGGTGTTTGGCTTTCTTTGGTCTAAAAACTAATAAAAATAGGTGCAAAAGGAAATTTCTCAGTAAGAAGGCACCAAGGTACTATAAAATCTGCTGCTGATGTCCCACATTTAAAACAAAAGGTCAGTTTCTTAGAAATTATATACTTGGTTTATCTTCCACTTTCCTTTCCCTCAAAACTAAAAGTCTTTTAGCACATGTACTACCCTTAGAATTTCTGGTAAACCAGCACCAGCCTGAAAATTACGTTCTTATCAAAGGGTGGAAAAAAGAAAAACTTGAGCCAGCCTGGGAAGGACCCTACCTTGCGCTGCTAACCACCGAGACTGCTGTTTGTACAGCAAAAAAGGGATGGACTCATCACACCCGAGTCAAGAAAGCACCACCTGCTCCAGAGTTGTGGGCCATAGTCCCAGGGGAAAACCCTACCAAACTAAAGCTAAGAAAAATTTAACTCTTTCATCTATTCTATTACTCTTTCTTCTTTCCTGGCTCTATTGCTGACCATCTAGTTATTAACATAACCAAGTCAATTTCGCCTCAAACTTGCATTTAATGCTTGCCTTGTTATACCTTGTGGGGACTTGCCAAGTCAAAGACAGACCTCTACTTCAGAAAAGTACCTCTCTCCCTCCTGACTCTTCTCAGACTAGGCATTAGTAAATTAGGACCATTTTATCTGAGGAGATTTCGACAAAGACCCCAGTGTTAACCAGGAGTCTTGCCCCCCAATATACAGCTTTTATGCCATAATTGGTCCAACGTTCTGTGGACCATTAAAGAGCAAGGATGGACTGCCCCAACCAGTTTTTGTAATTTCCTGAAACCATACATTCATTTTATTAGAGGATCATAGAAGTTAAAGGCTTAAAACAAACTTTGACAATTAAGACAGGATACCAAGATGCAAATGTCTGGTTGGAATGAATCAAATATACCGTTGGCATGTTAAACAAAAGCAATTGTTATGCTTGTGCACATGGCAGGCCAGAGGCCCAGATTGTCCCCTTTCCACTAAGGTAGTCCTCCAGTCGACCAGGCATGGACTTCATGGTAGCTCTTTTCCAGGATTCTACAGCCTGGAGTAATAGGTTGTGCCAAGCTGTCTCTGCTATATCCCAAAGTCCAGCACCCTGTGGGTCAGCCCCCGAGGGCCATCCAGCTTCCTTCTCCCAACACTAAGTTCACTTCGTGTCTCTCACGACAGCAAGGAAACTTAGCATTCCCTGGAGACCTGAAGGGATGCAGTGAGCTTAAGAATTTTCAAGAGTTTATCAATAAGTCAGCCCTTGTTCATCCCCGAGAGGATGTCTGGTGGTATTGTGGCGGACCTTTACTGGACACTCTGCCGAATAACTGGAGTGGCACTTGTGCTTTAGTCCAATTGGCTATCTCTTTCACCCTGGCATTTCATCAACCAGAATGAGGGCAGGTGATAGAAGAAGATGGATCCGGTTATCAGATGGAAGAATAGCCATGCCACAACTGCTAGGAGCTGCAGTCGTACTGGCTGTGCATGAGACCACCCACCTAGGCCAAGAGTCACTTGAAAAGTTGTTAGGCCAGTACTTCTACATCTTGCATCTGTCAGCCCTTGCCAAAACAGTGGCACAGCAGTGTGTCACCTCCTAGCAGCACAATGCTAGGCAAGGTCTAACTGTCCTGCCTGGCATACAGGCTTATGGAGCAGCCCCCTTTGAAGATCTCCAAGTAGACTTCACCAAGATGCCCAAACGTGGAGAGCTCATCCCTAGGTTTGGACTGCCCTTATGAATTGGCTTGGACAATGGGCTGGTGTTTGTGGCTGACTTGGTACAGAAGACAGCAAAGGTGATCAGGTGTAGATCAAGGATTAGAACATAGCCCTCTTGCAGCCACGGTGAAAAGGACCCCAGACTGTGGTCTTGACCACTCCCACAGTGGTCAAGGAATCCCAGCCTGGATCCACCACAGCCCCATGAAACCCGCAGCACCTGAGACCTGGGAGGCAAGACCAAGCCCGGAGAATCCCTGCAAAGTGACTCTGAAGAAGACGACAAGCCCTGATCCAGTCACACCTGGAAGCTGACTGGTCCATGCATGGCCAAAGCATGAGGAAACTCACCATGGGATTTATTTTCCTTAAATTTTGGACTTGTATGGTAGGGACTTAAACTGATCTTCCTCAAACTAAGGATTGTTCCCAGTGTATACATCAGGTCACTAAGGTAGGGCAAAAAGTTAAAACTGTCTTTTTGTTCTATAGTTATTATAAATGTGCTGGAACCCTAAAAGGGACTTGTTTGTATAATGCCACCCAGTACAAGGGATGTAGCCAAGAAGTGCCCAGCCTGATGTGTGTTATAACCCATCTGAGCCCCCTATGGTCACAGTGTTTAAAATAAAATTAAGAACAGTCACCTGGTGGGGTCTAAACCATACTAAAAAGAATCCATTTAGTAAATTCCCAAAGTTGCAAACCGTGTGGACCCACCTGGAGTCCCACCGGGACTGGACAGCCCCCACCAGATTATACTGGATATGTGGGCATAGAGTTTACGCCAAATTACCCAACCAGTGGGCAGGTAGTTGTGTTATTGGCACTATTAAACCATCCTTCTTCCTACTGCCCATAAAAACAGGCGAACTCCTGGGCTTCCCTGTCTATGCTTCCCGTGAAAAGAGAAGCATAGCTATAGGTAATTGGAAAGTTGATGAATGGCCCCCTGAGAGAATCATACAATACTATGAGCCTGCTACTTGGGCACAAGATGGCTCATGGGGATATGGGACCCCCATTTACATGCTCACCCAAATCATATGGTTACAAGCTGTCTTAGAAATAATCACTAATAAAACTGGCAGAGCCTTGACTATTCTGGCCCAGCAAGAAACTCAGATGAGAAATGCTATCTATCAAAATAGATTGGCTCTTGACTACTTGCTAGCAGCTGGGGGAGGGGTTACTAATTGCTGTCTACATATAGATGATCAAGGGCAAGTAGTTGAAGACATAGTTAGAGATATGACAAAACTGGCACATGTGCCCATGCAAGTATGGCATGGATTTGATTGTGGGGCCATGTTTGGAAAATGGTTCCCAGTGTTAGGAGGATTTAAAACTCTTATAATAGGAATTATAATAGTAATAGGAACCTGCTTACTACTCCCTTGTTTGCTACCTGTACTCCTTCAAATGATAAAAAACCTTCATCGCTACCTTAGTTCACCAAAATGCTTCAGCACAAGTGTACTATATGAATCACTATCGATCTGTCCTACAAGAAGACATGGGTAGTGAGAATGAAAGTGAGAACTCTCACTATTCAGTGAGATTCTCAAAGGTGGAAATAAGGGAGGCGACCACTCCTCATATTGTCTTATGCCCAATTTCTGCCTCCAAAGAAAGAAGCAGCAAAAACTAAAAGGCAGAAATGAAATCCACAGGCAGATAGCCCAGCTTGCGCCCTGGGCCTGGTAGTTAAAAATCAACTCCTGACCTAACTGCTTCTGTTATCTATAGATTCCAGACATTGTATGGAAAAGCATTGTGAAAATCCCTGTCCTGTTCTGTTCCGTTCTGATTACCGGTGCATGCAGCCCCCAGTCATGTACCCCTTGCTTGCTTAATTGATCACGACCTGCTCACGCGGACCCCCTTGTAAGCCCTTAAAAGGGACAGGAATTGCTCACTCAGGGAGCTTGGTTTTTTGAGACATAAGTCTGCCGATGCTCCCAGCCGAATAAAGCCCTTTCCTTCCTCAACTCTGTGTCTGGGGGGTTTTGTCTGTGGCTCGTCCTGCTACATTCACAGGCGTGTGTGTGTGTGTGTGTGTCCTAATGTGAAAAAGGAAAATGCTTACTACTCAAACCAACATATTCACCCTTATGAATAATTAACTCATTTCCCATACCTGAGTTGTGTCTTTTGCAATACCAGAAACACCCTTAGCACTCCCTAAAGTTCCATTTGCTTCCTTTGATATATTAATGGTGTTACACAATGCACTATATTGCAGAGTTACTGACATAAAGTCACATCTCTGCATCCCTGAAAACACTTAAAAAGAGACATCCAAAAGCAATTCACGAACCCTGATTGGATCCTGGCTTGAAAGAAAAGGAAAAACAAGCTATAAAAGACATTTGCATAACAGTTAGTGGAATTTGCATATGAACATAATGAAATTATTGCCAATTTTCCTATGCATATTGTGATATTGCCTGTTGAACTGAATCAAATCTGCCATTAAAGGAGGACTGTTTTTCAGCATTATTCAAAATAATGTGTTATGGGCACTAAAGTATATCTTTAAAGGCAGCCTCGGAATATTTTAACATGATGGTACTGAGACATCCTAAGGTGTCAGCTTTGAGAAGGCAATACAATTTGGAGGCATAAGTTCCAAGCCATTAGTTTAGAAATTGAGTCATACCAGTGAAATACCAGCATTATCACCGTTAATGTCCGTCAGTGATTAGCACATCAGGACATCACTGTCCCCTTAGATGATAGCAGTAAAGGATTTCTTTTTATGGGCTTATTAGTTGGTGCCCCTGCAGGAAACAGAATCCAACTCAGATGGTTTGAGAGACTTAAATGAAGGGACTACTTATAAGGCTGTGAGCAGGCTGAAGTCACCGAGAGATTAGCAACAGTGGGAAGTGGGTACTGCCCAGCCAGTAGCTGGAGCTCCTGAGGAGGGGACAGCCATCGGGAGCTACAGCTGTAGAGAGACATGCGGCGTCTGCCAGAAAAATTCAGCCCAGAGTAAGGAAGAACTATCCCAGGCCCTGTCTCCTCGGGGCACCACTCATCGCAGTGCCCCCTAGTGGCTGAACCCGAGAGAGCCCCAGAGCCCCAGGGTGCAGTTCTTAGGGCTCAGTCCCTGGGGCAGGGGAAGAGCCAGGGCAAATAGAAAAATAAGCCCTTTATATTCACCAGAATAGTTCATGTCTGAGTGTTTGGACGCATTTTCAGTAAGTAGATACGCATAAGAGCCTTGGAGAGGGTAGAATTTGTTCAGTGCTTTTGGCTCCCATTTATTTTACCAAAGGCAAATTATGATCAACTGTGCTTTTAAAAAACTCTTTGGCCAGTGTGGTGGCTCACACCTGTAATCCCAGCACTTTGGGAGGCCGAGGTGGGCAGGTCACAAGGCCAAGAGTTTGAGACCAACCTGGCTAACATGGTGAAACCCCGTCTCTACTAAAAATACAAAAATTAGCTGGGTGTGGTGGCACGTGCCTGTAATCCCAGCTACTCAGGAGGCTGAGGCAGGAGAATTGCTTGAACCCAGGAGGCAGAGGTTGCAGTGAGCCGAGATTGTGCCACTGCACCCCAGCCTGGGCGACAGAGCGAGACTCTGTCTCAAAAACATAAATAAATAAAAATAAACCCACAAAAAACAAAAAAAAAACCTCTTTGGTTCTCCATGATACTATTACTGTTGTAATGGCTTTAATGAGCCAAGAGCATGCTGTCTTCTTTATTAACTGCCGTAATTTAAACAAATATTAGACTAGAAAAGGTATATCGACATAAGCAGTGATTCTCAGATTTGGCTAATGTCCTGGTGGTAAGTTACACACACACCACTGCCACCACCACTACCACCAAGTCCCGGCAGGTAGTTCAGACCCAGATAGCACCATACGGTTTGTGGATCAGCATTTGATCAGCACATAGCTGGGACACCACCTTCTAATTTCATGATTATTCTAGGACCTCAAAAATGGCATGTGGTTTACAACGATGTGCTTCTTTTCATTGAGTTTCATTTATTGCTTTTGTACTGTCTTTGAAAATGAGTAGGGGCCATGTTCCCTCCTTCCCCTGTGATGCCTGTTGGATGCACATGAGAGGACGTGGCAGCCAGCGTGACTCATGGTTCCTCTCCATGCTAAGTAAGCCACAACGCTGCTGCCCAACTTAGGTCACAATGAAATTTTTGATGTGTCACAGTATCTCGTGTTTCCTCAGCCCAGAGGCATGAGACAAAGGTTGGAGAGTAGATGCCAGCAGTACTTGGCTGGTTAAGGGAACCAGAGGAGGCCAAGGAAATCATGCCCAAGGCCCTCACCTCTTTCCAGTGCCACAGATCGCATAAGCCACCACCTCCAGTGCCCCCACCACATCCAAATACAATCTTAGGGAGTAACAGTGAGGCCAGAACCCAGGGAATTAAGAGAGAGGTCATCTCTCCAAAAGCAACTGTGCATGACCACAGCCGACTGCCTACATGATCAGATTAGGCTGTTTTTTTATTGTGATGAAATATACATAAATTTGTCATTTTAACCATTTTTAAGTATGCAATTCAGTAATATTAAACACATTCACATTGCTGTGCAGCCATCACGACTGTCCACCTCCAAAACTTTTTCACCATCCCAAACTGAAACTCTGTACCCATTTAGACTAAATTTTAAACAAAGTTCGAACTTCAGTTAACTTTTTCTTGCTCACCAATATGTGAAGGGCTCGTGAGGACCAGGTCAGTCATTGACAAGATGACAGAATCTTTTTCTCACTTCTGAGTTGTAGTGTGAGTTTTGCAACCCCACTCCGAAAGCCTCACAACAACCCCATTTAGGCAATCCCCATTTGTCAGAAGCATTCACTAAGGACTGGAAGTTAAGCAACTTGACCAAACTCTCACAACTCACTGCTGATGGTGAGGGCTACGAGTGTGTCTGCATGTTTCCAAGGGCACCTCCTTGTGCTACAACACAAGATACAAGCAGAGTGATTCCAATATCCCTTTCCCTTCCAAGTTTAAATGTTTGTTCTTTAATCTTAATTCCAAAGTTTTCCTCGGGTTTTTGAAGTGGACACAGGCAACCCGGTACACAGAAAAGAACCCCAGGATGGGAATTGGGGAACTTATCTCTAGTTAGTGGGTAGACTTTGGGTAGGCCACTTACCTCTGCAAATCTCACGTGCCCCAACAGCAGATGGACAGATTATCATTAAAGCTCTATACTGCCACTCTATGATCCCCAGAATAAGTAGAAATGGTCTGCAGTCAATCAACAACTATTCGTGACCACCAGACATGTGCCAGACACAGCCCTGCCCTCACGGAGCTTACCTATAGATTGCAAGATCTGCCCTCAATTATTCTTTTCTTTTTAATCCTAAAAGTGAAATTATTTGGCCATCTGGAAGAATTATATTGGATATGTATATTGAGGGATTGTGAGACGGTAGAATCAATAGATTGCAGATAGCCATGGGGCTGAAGAATTGCTGGAGACAGAGGGCTAGAAGGAAGGAACTGGAAAGATAGGAAGTGGCAGCCTAAGACCAGTGTGCTTGACATGTTTAAAACAAGTGAATTGGCTGGGCACGGTGGCTCATGCCTGTAATCCCAGCACTTTGGGAGGCCAAGGCAGGTGGATCATGAGGTCAGGAGATCGAGACCATCCTGGCCAATGTGGTGAAACCCCATCTCTGCTAAAATACAAAAAAATTAGCCGGGCATGGTGGCATGTGCCTGTAGTCCCAGCTACTCAGGAGGCTGAGGCAGGGGAATCGCTTGAACCCATGAGGTGGAGGTTGCAGTGAGCTGAGATCGCGCCACTGCACTCCAGACTGGTGACAGAGCAAGACTCCATCTCAAAAAAACAAACAAACAAACAAAAAAGTGAATTATGGACTAAATAAATATTGAAACCCTTTTACATTAAAAGAGAGATTGTGATCATTATTTAGTTGATATTTCTTTAGTATTTTCTGGTCAGGAACTATGCTATTAGCACATTATAAAATAAATAGTGAAATTGCAACTCAAGGTACAGTGCTATATCCAAAGGATCTGCAATTTTTTTTAAGTCAGGTAGTACATATCTTAGGCTCTGCAGACCACATGGTCTCTGTTACACTGAACTCTGCTGTTATAGCCCAAAGCATCCAGAGACAATAAGTACATGAATGGGCGTAGCTGTGTTCCAACAAAAGTTTATTTTTAAAAAACAGGCATCAGGCGGGACTCAAACTGCAGACTACAGTTTGCTGACACCTACTTTACCCAAAGCACTGTCTATAGGTGCCTGTGATGGTTAATAGTGTTAACTTGATTGGATGGAAGGGTGCAAAGTATTGTCCCTGGCTGTGTCTATGAGGGTGTTGCCAGAGGAGATTAACATTTGAGTCAGTGGATTGGGAGAGGAAGACTCACCCTCAGTGTGGGTGGGCACCATCCAATCAGCTGCCAGTGAGGCTAGAAAAAGGCAGTCCGGGCGCGGTGGCTCACACCTGTAAGCCCAGCACTTTTGGAGGCCAAGGCAGGTGGATCACTTGAGGTCAGGAGTTTGAGACCAGCCTGGCCAGCATGGTGAAATGCCATCTCTACTAAAAATACAAAAATTAGCCAGCAGTGGTGGCAGGCACCTGTAGTCCCAGCTACTCGGGAGGCTGAGGCAAGAGAATTGCCGAGACTCTGTCTCAAAAAAAAAAAAAAAAAAAAGGAAGAAGAAAAAAAGCAGGGGGAAGAAGGTGGGATCAGCTGGCTTGCTAAGTCTTCCCACTCTCATCTTTCTCTCTTGCTGGATGCTTCCAGCTCTTGAACATCAGATTCCAGGTTCTGCAGCCTTTGGACTCTTGGACTTAGACCAGTGGTTTGCCGGGGGATCTCAGATCTTCAGCCACATACTGAAGTCTGCACTGTTGGCTTCCCTACTTTTGAGGCTTTGGAACTCTGACTGAGCAACTACTGGCTTCGTTGCTCCTCAGCTTGCAGGTGGCCTATCGTGGGACTTCACCTTGTGATCACGTGAGTCAGTTCTCCTTAGTAAACTCCCCTTTATATATAGCCTATTAGTTCTGTGTATGTTTTCCTATTAGTTCTGTCCCTCCGCAGAACCCTGACTAATACAGTGCCCATGGATAAGTCCTCTCTCAAGCCATCATAGAAGAAAGTCAAATTTCCAAGAAACACACACCTGAAATTCAATCAAAGTAAAGAAAGGCAAACTACTCTTTGGATCTTAGGCTCATAGAATCTTGGCAATGAGAGCATTGGAAAAGCAAACACCTTGGCCAGGCTCATCCAAAACTGTGGCTTCTCCTCCACAGAGAACGCCTGCCAGTGTCTGCTGCAGCCTCTCCATGCCTGACCTCTCCTGACCTTGCCATCCACATTTCCACTGCCTGTGGAAATCCCCTGGGGCATCTCAAACTCAACACATCCAAGGATGAAATCATCTTCCCCACGCCCAACCCATTCCTCTCTTCTCTGTCTCAGTAAATGTCACTACCACCCATAAGCTCACACAAGGAGCCTGGGAGTAATTCTAGACTCCTCCCCTCCCTAATCCCCATGTTCATGGGGACTAAGTCCTGCCCACCCTGCCTGTGAAGTTCCCCTCCCTCAGCCCCAGAACCCCTGCCTCAGGTCAGACTCTTAGAATGGAGCCCCTGTCTGCAGTCCCAACTCCCACCCATTCATACTCTTAGCTGCCACCAGAGTGATTTTTCTAAAATCAGGTCATATCATTAATCTGCTTGTAAACCTTCTCTGCTCCAAACACCTCAGCGTGATGTGTGTATAATACTGCAGTCACAAGCTTGGCCTTTGAATGAGAGAAATCACATTTGAATCTCAGCTCAGCTATTCTGAGCCTCGGTGTCCTCAGTTCTAAACTGGAGCAAACCCCCGAGGGTAGTTGTGGGGATCGCTGGTTGCTGCCATTTCTGGAGCATTCACTCCATAAATGTGCAAGACACTGTTCTAAGGCTCCCTTACTGTCCCCATTTTATACTGGAAGAAATTGAGCCCTAGGTTAGGTAACTTGCTTACAGCTACAATCTTGTACTTGATAAAGCCAGGATGTGAATGCTCTGAGCCTCTAAGCCAGCAGTTCTCAGAGTGTGGTCTTGGGAATCTCAAGACCCATGCATGAGGTATGCAAGGCCTCAACTGTTTCCATAAAAAATATTAAGACACTGTTTACCTTTTCCTCTTTCATTTTCCATGAGTGTACAGTGGAGTTTTCCAGAAGCTACATGACATGTGAGAGTACAACAGGATAATGCAGAAGCAAGTATGAGAATCCCACTGTCTTCTTTTAAGCTACACATCAATTAGATTTGCAAAAATATAAAGCAAAGCTATTCTTCCCTCTATTTTTTTGTTTTGGTGACTCTAGCTATATTTCATTAAAAATGTGTTTTTGCAAACAACCCCATCAAAAAGTGGGCAAAGGATATGAACAGACACTTCTCAAAAGAAGACATTTATGTAGCTAACATGTACATGAAAAAATACTCATCATCACTGGTCATCAGAGAAATGCAAATCAAAACCACAATGAGATACCATCTCACACCAGTTAGAATGGCAATCATTAAAAAGTCAGGAAACAACAGGTGCTGGAGAGGATGTGGAGAAACAGGAACAGTTTTACACTGTTGGTGGGACTGTAAACTAGTTCAACCATTGTGGAAGACAGTGTGGTAATTCCTCAAGGATCTAGAACTAGAAATACCATTTGACCCAGCCATCCCATTACTGGGTATATACCCAAAGGATTCTAAATCATGCTACTATAAAGACACATGCACACGTATGTTTATTGTGGCACTACTCACAATAGCAAAGACTTGGAACCAACCCAAATGTCCATCAATGATAGACTGGATTAAGAAAATGTGGCATATATACACCATGGAATACTATGCAGCCATAAATAAAGATGAATTCATGTCCTTTGTAGCGACATGGATGAAACTGGAAACCATCATTCTGAGCAAACTATCGCAAGGACAAAAAACCAAACACTGCATGTTCTCACTCATAGGTGGGAATTGAACAATGAGAACACTTGGACATAGGAAGGGGAACATCACACACCGGGGCCTGTTGTGGGGTGGGGGGAGGGGGGAGGGATAGCATTAGGAGATATACCTAACGTAAATGACGAGTTAATGGGTGCAGCACACCAACATGGCACATGTAAACATATGTAACAAACCTGCACATTATACACATGTATCCTAGAACTTAAAGTATAATAAAAAATAAATTAATTTTTAAAAGTATGTTTTTGGGCTGGGTGCTGTGGCTCATTTCTGTAATCTCAGCCATTTGGATGGCTAAAGTGGGAGGATTGCTTGAGGCCAGGAGTTTCAGACCAGCCTGGGCAACATAGCAAGACATCCTTTCTACAGAAAACAAAAAATAATTAGCTAGGTTTGGTGGCACACACCTGTAGTTCCAACTACTTGGTAGGCTGAGGTGGTTGGATTGCTTGAGCCCAGGAATTCAAGACCATAGTGAGCTATGATCAAGCCACTGAACTTCAGCCTGGACAACAGAGTGAAACCTTGTCCCCACCCCCACCCCCCAAAAGAGTGTTTTCATTAACATATAATAGGTTATTATTGATATTTTACATGAATTAATATTTTAAAATTTCTGTTTGAATTTCTAATATGATAAATATCAATAGATTTAATCCACATAAACAAACGCTCTTTGGGGTTCTTAATAGTTTTCGAAAGCATAAAGGTGCCTTAAGATCAAATAGTTTGAGAAACACAGACCTAACCAATACATACTATATGAACTGTATAGTCCTCAGCTGTACATAATATATGTAAATTGCTTATCATAGTGCCTAGTGGAGAATGAGGTGGTTTTTACTCTTTTATGAGGTGCTGTGTTGTGAATATAAATTCACCGGCCATGAGTACTGTAAGCTGCATGTCTCACGGCTTCCCCACGTGCACTTACTTCTCTTCTGTGTTAGATTGAACAACTCTCAGCCCAGATCTCCATGCCTTTGTGCATGCTGTTCCTCTTTGAGAAGTGTCTCCTCCCACATCTGCTTCCCCTTAAGACTCAGCTCCAGCACCCACACCTTCTAGACGCCTGTCTGGAGTTAGGCTGTACACCTCTCCTGCCTGTCTGTGGTCACACTGACTTGGGCAGGAGGTCATGTTGATCTCCTTGGAAAGGGACCAGAGAGGAAGATTTTGTCACTACCCATTCAGTACATCTGAGAAAGATGCGCTTTTCATGGTACATAACAATTTCCCCATCACTAGACCAATGTGTGCAAGAGCTGAAGAAACATGATGGGCCACGCCAGTGTTTCCCAAAATGGGGCCTGAGTCCCTGCGTCAAGGTCACCTGGGTACATGTTAAAATGCAGAGTCCTGGGTGAGTTAGGCCTTCTGAGGGTAGGGGCTGGAAATATGATTTTTTAAACCAAATTCTTTGAGGGAATTGGGTGATTCTTATACACACCAAACTCAGAACCAATCTTCTAGATCCTACTAGGCTCCAGAAGAGGCAGCATGCCATCTACTGGGTAGACAAAGGTCACTAAGACCCTGCTCTGCCGCTTGCGGAGTTCATGCTCTCTGGGAGAATTATACTGCATTGAGAGAGGGCGTAACCACCTGTGAATATTTACAACGCATAGAAACTTAACAAAGGGAGGAGTTAGTTCCATTTCAGGGAAGATTTCACAGAAGACATGACATTCAAGTTGCTCTGAATGGGCATTTTTCAGGCAGAGCAAGGCCACGAAGCTATCCAGGCAAGAAGGGTGTGTACAAAGCGGTAGGAGTGTGAAAATGTGTGGCACCAACAGAGAAGGGCAGAAAACAGCTCAAATCCTTTGCTTGGATGTTATGTTTCTTGGTTATGCTCAACTAAGAAACTTCCTGAATATTAATTTGGTTTTTCATCTGCTGTGTACCAGATGATAAACATGAGTTTTCTCGCCATTGGAGAGAGATTTGCACAGCCTATATTACAAATCAATAAACTGATATCCTGGTTTATACGCTGACCTTTGGCTAGGGTGTATCAATACCCCATAACTTAATCAATATATCAGGTGGCAAAATTAAGTTTCTAATATGTAACTCTAGGTCCTGGCTGTGATTTCACAAGGCGGGAACTTTGCATGGGACCTGCCAGAAGGGCCAGCCAACTTCTCGGACGTCCTGCCAGGGATGCTGGAGATGGCCTCAGCCATTTATTCATCCTCCTTCTTACTTACTTATTAGCAGAACTTTAATTCTCTTTGTATGTGGGCAGCCTTGTGCTTGAAGCAGGGCGGAGCCCCTTCCCAGCCCCAAGACCCTGATCAGGCTGAGCCTAGACAGCATTCCTGCTCCTGCCATTAGCTGCCTTCAGAATGGGCGTGGGATAAAGTTCTGGCCAATGAGATGAGGGCGAAATGTGCTGGCAGCTTTGGAAATGTTTTCCACAATCTGAGAAAGGGGCTGAAGAGAGAAGCATCTCCTTTCCAGCCTAGGGATGCTGTTGGTGTGGACTGTTTCTGCAGTCATCCTGAGGCCAAGAAGGGGCGAGCCTGAGGATGGTGCCAGGGCACTGAGGATGGCAGCGAGAGATGGTGGAAAGAGCCCAGGCTGCTGGCAATCTCTCTGAGCCTCCGAATCCACTCGCCCCAGAACTGCTCTTCCTCTGCACGTCTTGATACGTGAAATGACAGATGTATGTCTTTTCTGGTTAGGCCATTTTTAGTGGGGTTTTCTGTTTTCTTTTTTTTTCCCCTGATGAAAGCCCATTGATGGCACAACACACAGACACACACACACACACACACACACACACACACCATGTATCACTTCCCCACCCTGGGAACTGAGATAAAGGTGTAGGAATGTAGGAACAGCCATACTCCTGGGCCTCCAGAGACTCTAATACATTTATGAAACTGGAGGATTATTCAGGAACCCACCCACTTCTATCAATAAGATTAACTTTTCCTTCTCAAGAATAAGTTAATCCTCTCCACAGGGCCTGGCTGCCTCTGCCTTTGCCATTCTGCAGTTACTAACCACTTTCTTACCTGAATGTCTTTGCTCTACCTCATGGCTTCTACTCATAGCTTCTGCTGCCTAATTTCTTTCTAGATATCTTTCAGCTTCTGCATCTGACTAACCAACTTCCCGTATCTGCCTTTCAGTTATTTTAGGAAAGAGTCATAGCCTCGTATGTTAAGGCTGTTGCATCAGGCTGTCTCATCGGCTGCTGGAAGTTGGCTGCACTTGGGTCATGGGATGAGCTCCAGTCCACTCAGCTGAGGCTTAGGTGGAGGTCACATGGGACCAGCATGACAATTATCCAGGAAGACCACTTAGGAGGGAGTTGTGGGGTATGGCAGGTGTTTGAGGTTTATCTGTTCAGTACTATGGCAGCTTGCAAGATGCCCTCCAAATTTATTTTCTCCTTAATCCAAACCAACAGAGAAGCTTTGACTGGGTGCATGGTTATCCAGCTAATGACAGCATTTCCCAGATTCCTGCTAGGAGTGGCCACGTAACTGGATTCTGACTAGAAAGTCATGAGCCACAGTGGTACGTGCAGCTTCTGTGTTGGCCCTTTAAAATGAAAGAGGCCACCCCTCCGTGCTTGCCCCCCTTTCCTGCTGGCTGCCCATGGGCATAAGGATGGAAGCTGGAGCAGCTGTCTCATGCCCCAAGATGGAACCTGCATGTCGGCCAGCCAACAAGGTCGATGGGCCCTGGAACCCAACACCTGGGGCAACCAATTTGTCCCGGACTTTCCCAATTCTAGTATTGGGAAGTCCTGTGAACCAGGGACCTCCTCAGCCTTGGACAAACTGGGACAAGGGTGCAACAAAACAAAATAAAAAGTCTTCCATTTGTGATTTCTTTGTTTACTTCACACTAGCCTGTCTCTTAATACAAATACATTTGGTCTAAAGATCTTTGATGACTACTTTTTTGTTGTTGCTCAGCCTCAGGTCTGATGCTGAGGTCTGAAGCTCCCTGGCCAGGCTTCTAGGCCCCAGTGTCTGGTCTATCCATGTCTGGGTTCCAGCCTTTTGTTACAAAGGCCCCTGGGAAGGCTGAGACCTGATTGCTAGCTCTAACCTGGTCCTTCTGCTTGGATCTCTCCTTCCCTTTCTGAGTAAGAAGGGACATTTTGAAACCTATTGATAATCCATTCTAACGCCACTACAGACACACATGCACATACACAGTCTTTCTCTCTCTCTCTCTCCCTCCCCCACCATTTTCTCTCTTTCTTTGTCCCTCCATCTTTTTTTTTTCATTCCCGGCCTTTTAGAGGGAGCCTTTATGGGAAACAGATGGGAAGCTGGAGTGGATTCAAGGGCACAATATATTTGTTTTTCTTTTTTAAATCACATAATACATGTTCTTAGCAGAAAAATTGGAAAAAGAATTATGGTTTCATAAACTTTGTTTTTGCTTTTGTTTTGGAGATGGGATCTCTCTATGTTGCCCAGGCTGGCCTCAAACTCCTGGGCTCAAGCGATCCTCCTGCCTCTAACTCCTGAGTAGCTGGGACTAGGACTACAGGTGCGTGCCACTGTGCCTGGCTTTCATAAACTTTTTCAAAAAGCAAAATAAATTGCAACTACAGGACATTAGGATTTAATCTCCTTTTGTCACACCATGAGACACCACTCACATCAGAGCCTGGAAGAACACTTGAGCTAAGCTAATGATCTGGGGTTAGGTGAGGGGTGCTTCTTGGAGGCAGAGGAATTCAGGCTCAGTCTTAGGTGTGGGCTTCCTGTTCAGTGACATCACCTGCAAGGTTGGCTCCAAAATGTGCCAGTGACTTTCTGTATGTCTGCATTTTTCTAGAGGAGCTCTACTTTCAAATATCCTTTCTTCCCCTAAGAGCCATCTATAAAACCGCAAACTTCCAGTGGTTCGATTCCAAAACTTCATTTCCTACACCTCTTCTTGCATTCCAAAGCATCCCTAAAAGCCTTGGTCAGCCCATGGGTGTGGTCTCTGGTTCGGATAATATACGGGGCCAGATTATGATTGATCCATAGGCAAACTAGAGGATCGCCTATGTGGACAATTTCAGGGTGTCCAAATTATGTTGCTTGATTAAAATACTTCTCCCATTTTAGATTTTTACTGAAGAGTTCAACCCGTGTAAGGAAGCCAAGGTGTTATTTTCTATACAAGCTTCTTTCGAATTCATATATTTTTAATGGCATTTTTGTTCATTTTCTTAATCATAAAAGTAATTCGTTACTTTTAGAAATAGAGAAAATATAAACAATTATTAAAATATAATACAGTGAATATAACAATTATATTATTTATAGAACTAGAAACATTTTTAATAATTATAAGCTAAAAGGAAGAATAAACTGAAAATTTCCTGAGTTCACACCACCCCAAGAAAACACTGTTAATAGTTTGGTGCACGATTTTTTACTTTTTGGCACCATCTCTATGACTATAGGTATACACACATATAAATGAATTTCCAGTCTTTTAAGAAATGAAAGAACATAATTTGCATCCAATTTCTTCAGAAAGTAAATCACCTTTAGAGCAGGAAGTGGGAATAGTGACCTAAGAAAAAGAGAATGAGGCTGACAGAGTGCCCTTTTGATTTTCATATTACCAGGCTCATTTGCTTAATAGAACTTATACCTGCTGCAGGAAGTTTTAATTAAGGCGATCCATTAAGGATTTAATTTTAATCGAATTTTTAAATGACATAAAAACAAACTCTTGATCACATATCAAAAACCTGGTTATAAGATGAAACCTAGGATTTGCTTCAAAATAAAATAGTTGGGAGTGGGGAGCTGGGTACAGATGAAACAAGATTGCTTATATGTTGATAATTATCGAGGAGGATGGTGGACACGGGAGTTTATTACACTGATCTATCTTTTTGGTATAGGTTTGATGTTTTTCCAAAATAAAAAGTTAAAACAAGTGACAATTAAACCCAGAACTGGCTCCTGGTGACAGACACAATCTGACTCAGGTCCCTGCATCTTCTCATTTTGAAGACTTCTCTTTTCTTAGAAGTACCGCCACCACGTCCACTGTGGCCTGGACCCCAGGAGCTCTTCCATATCACAACTCCTTCTTAGCAGTGATTCTTTTTTTTTTTTTTTTTTTTTGAGATGGAGTTTCACTCTTGTTGCCTAGGCTAGAGTGCAATGGCCCGGTCTCAGGTCACTGCAACCTCTGCCTCTCAGGTTCAAGCCATTCTCCTGCCTCAGCCTTCCGAGTAGCTGGGATTACAGGCTCCCGCTACCACGCCCGGCTAATTTTTGTATTTTTAGTGGAGACGAGGTTTCACCATGTTGGTCAGGCTAGTCTCAAACTCCTGACCTCAGGCAATCAGCCCACCTCAGCCTCCGAAAGTGTTGGGATTACAGGCGTGAGCCACTGTGCCTGGCCTTTTTTTTTTTTTTTTTTTTTTTGAGATGGAATCTCACTCTGTCACCCAGGCTGGAGTGCAGTGGCATGATCTTGGCTCACTGCAACTTCCACCTCCTGGGTTCAAGTGATTCTCCCACCTCAGCCTCCCAACTAGCTGGGATTACAAGTGCCCGCCACCACGCCCAGCTAATTTTTGTATTTTGAGTATAGACGGGGTTTCACCATGTTGGCCAGGCTGGTCTCAAACTCCTGACCTCGAGCAATCCGCCCAGCTTCAGCCTCCCACCTCCTATAGTGCTGGGATTACAGGCGTGAGCCACCGCGCTGGCCCTTAGCAGAGATTCTGAGAGGCTGCTTGGGGCAGGCAGGTAGGGAAGGAGGACAGCAACCTCAAGGCGTCCCCAGCAGCTCCTTGCAAGCTTGAAGGATCATCAAATCCTGTCACTTCACACGTTTGTGTTGATTTTGCATTCCAAGCGATATGATTTTTAGGCAAATTAGTTAACATATCTGAGCTTTAGCTTCCTAATTAAACGGATATCATCACACTGATTTTATAGTACAGAAATTAGTAAAATAACATATATCAAAAAATTAACTAGCAGTGTACTGGACATAGCAAATGATCAACATCCATCACCTTCCTGTTTCCTGAGTTACTAAGAAATCTGAAAGAAGGTCTTTGCTTTCCTAGACTTACGATAGAGTTCAGAAGTTAATGTGTCCATATAATATTTTGTAACAGCATGAGAAAAATGTACCAACAGACTTGGTATTGGAATTCCTCTTGGGAAAGGAACTGTTTTTGTTGGGAAATTTAATTTGATGAAACACTGCGGGTGAAATATGACACCCCAAAGGTATGGATCACCAGAAGACAAAGAAACCACAGAGATGGCAAAATCCCAGGGCCACCTATTATGCATTATTTAGTTGCTTGTTTTGCTTCCTTGCAAACTCCATTTCCCCCAGCATTCAGAAACATCCCCCATACACACATGCCTTGTGTGGGTAGTATTTGTGTAAATGAAAGACAGGGGCTGGGTTTCACATCTGCATCAGCTCTAAAGAAAGGAAAGTGTTATGGCCGGGTGCAGTGGCTCACACCTGTAATCCCAGCCCTTTGGGAGGCCGAGTTGGGCGAATCATGAGGTCAGGAGTTCAAGACCAGCCTGACCAACATGGTGAAACCCCGTCTCTACTAAAAATACAAAAATTAGCCAGGTGTGGTGGCATGCGCCTGTAATCCCAGCTACTCAGGAAGCTGAGGCAGGAGAATTGCTTGAACCTGGGAGGCAGAGGTTGCAGTGAGCAGAGATCGTACCACCACACTCAAGCCTGGGTGACAGAGCGAGACTCCATCTTAAATAAATAAATATATAATTAATTTAAAAAAATTTTTTTTAAAAAAGGAAGGAGTTGGTAAGCATGAGTAAGTTTGCAGACCCAGGATCTTAAAGCCAGACGTGGCACAAAATTGAAGTTGTGGGAAAAGCATGAAGTATTTTGGGAGGTCCTGGGCCTTCTTCGAGGGCTTAAGGTGAAAGATGGACAGGAAGGAAGGAAGGGAGGGAGGAAGGGAGGGAGGGAGGGAAGAAGGAAGGGAGGGAGGAAGGGAGGGAGGGAGGGAGGAAGGGAGGGAGGGAGGGAAGAAGGGAGGGAGGGAGGGAGAGGGAAGACAGACCAATAAAGTGAATATGATACTGTTCATGTTAAGGAGCAAATGAGTGATGCCAACAGGAAATGACGTGGAAAGAGATGACTTCTTTGGAGCAGCCATGATGGAGTTAGAAAGGAGTTGGAGGATGAGCAGGGCCTGGGAGTCCCTCATCGCTCAGACTGTACTGATACAGGAGTCTCTCAGAAAGACAACATTTTCTCCTCCTAAAGGAAGCAGGGTAAATGTTTTTATATTCTAGATTTCACATACCTTCAAAAGACATTTGTGCATCTAAGAGACACACCTCTATGTAAACACAGGAAAATTTAAAAGAAATTGGAAATTGTGAAAAAGCAAGGATGTGGTTATGCTGGGAACTAGGAAAGATGTGGTTGCAGCATTTGAGCTTTCTGGTAACCTCAGGAAGGAGGGGTCAAGAACTTTCCATAGCAGACAAATGGAGTTAACACTAAGGCAGAAGGAAAGCACCAGATTCTAGAGAGAATTCTTTCAGGGGATGTGTTCATAGATATATTTAAGCTCCCTTACTTGACAAAACCTAAGAGGCCATGCCATCACTATTTTAGAAGACACAGGCTCTTAGAAAGGTGGGGGAGAGAGGGAGCTATACTGACAAGTTACAACATGACTGTGACTCTTAATTAGCCTTAAAAATTCGTTAGATCTGCATAATATATCTGAAGCTGAGAGTCTCCATAAAACATACAAAAATAAGAACTGATATCAAATTGGTAGATGGAAGAATATGAATTGCCATCAAATAGGAATATAATTAAAATGAATTAGTCATAAACCATACTAAAAGGAAGGCTACAAATATTTGGATTTATGATTTGCACTAAAATGTAAAAATAATAATAGTGCTTTATCCTAAGCTATGAAGTAATGTTTCTCAATGTGTTTCAAATGATGATATATATAACTTGAGATGTCTAAATCATAGAACAGAATTAAGGCCCAAATGATTTAAACAGCCATGTAAGAGCAAACACTGAATTGGATTACATACAAGGGCTTAAAGTGCCTAATGGAATTGAGTTTATAAAGAAAAGAAGATGGAAAAACATTTTTTTTATTGTCACTGACGAGTTTCCAGGAGAACAAGACAGACTTTTCAGGGATGGAGGTGAGAAGAACAAGTTTACCTGTTTTTGAGTTTTGGCTTGCATAGCCCACCTTGGGTTAAGAGCATGGTATTCTGTAACAATGCAATTCCCATTGTCTATAATCAGCAACTACTACATCTACCTCACCCCAACCCCATAGGTCCTTGAATGCTATTGGGTGTCTCATTGGCTGTAATTGCCAAGTCCATAGCAATTAGATTCTTTATCTATTAAGATCAAGTCTCATTGAACAGCCTCTTTTATAAATAAAAGATATATTAGCGCACAGAGGAAGAGGCAACCGGGCAACCAGTCAGAAAGAAATACCTTTCTAAGTTCTACAACTAGATTTCTGAAATATTACTGAACTACATGGAAATCCATCCCTATAATCCCAGCTGTCTTTGCAAAGATATAAAACCAAGTTAGTCATGGAAACTACTAGAATCTGACAAGAAATATGCCCATGAAATCAACAGCTATCATTTATTAGGCACCAAATGCATGCCAGGTACTATGCCAATGACTGAACCGAAAGTTAACTCTAACCCACAGCCACAGTTGACTGTTCATTCTTTATTTATGCATTCAACAGATATCTGTGGAGTGCCGACTCTGTGCTAGACATTGTGTGAGACACTGAGGACACAGCAGTGAGCAAAGACAGGCATGACTCTACCCTTTATGGAACCTACATAAAACAGACAGTAAACAAACACACAATCAGTTCATTAATTACAATTAAGAAAATTACTATGAGGAAAGCTATGAGAATAAATAAATGAGACCTTAAACCTGTGGGTCAAAGAATGCTGGGTAGAGAAAGAGAAGATTAAGCTGAGATGTGAAGCTAAGCAAGATGCAGCCACATGAAGAGTTGGGAACAGAAATGGCCCCTGTGGATTCAGCCCCTATGGAAGGCACTCAGCACTTCTGAGGAACTGAGGATGGGCCAGCAAGGCACCTTCCTCACAGAGTGAAGGGAGAGGTGGGCAGGGGCCAGAGGATGCAAGGACTTGGGATTCTGTATTTAGGAGCAATGGGAGAATTCCCATCCCAGGCGTGGGATACCCAAAGCTCGTGTCACCAGCTCATTCTATTTCTGCCGGCAGCCCTCATGAACAAGGGGCTGTTGCGCATGAACTGAAGACAAGGGGACTGCATCAGGTGAAGTTTTTCAAATGGGATGATAATAGCCAGGCCACGACCTCCATTCACGTCAGGGATGCTCTCAGGCTCTCCAGTGGAGCTGGAACAGGATTGACTAGGACAAGACTTAGAGATTCTTCTTAGGTGTCCCTTGCCTCCCTTCCTCTTGGCCTTTCCTTTCTTTAGAAAGGTTCCTGCAGCCAGGCAGGTACGGGAGCAGTTTTGCAGGCATCTGGGACCTTTTCACATCAAGTGAGTGTGGAGCATCCAAGTAAGCCCTCCCAGGACAGTCTTGACACTCTTTTCCAAGCTCTCTGGGGTACCCTTCTGTAACCTATAAATACCAACTAGCGGTACAATCTGTAGAAGTAGAATAGAGGCCCAAAAACTCAGGCAACTTGCTCAAGGTCACACAGCCAGTAAGTGGCAGAACCAGGATGCAAGCCTGGTTACATTCCTTCTACTGCACCAAAGGACCTATTTCAGACGGTGCCAAGCACATATTAGGGGCTCAATGAATGTGTTGAGTGAATTTTCTCTCTTTATCTTCACTCATTCACTTAACTAACATAACACAATATGATAGAATAAAACAATGTAATACAATGTAATATAAATGCTGTTTCTGCTGACTCTAAATAAACAAAAACATTAATGTGTCCACCACAAATTGAAGAGCTCATAATAATCTGACTGAAAGGTCTCCTTTCCGGGGAGGCTTTCCTTGACCACTATATCAAAAATTCCAAAAGTTGCCCCATGTAACTCTTTGGCCTTTCCTTTATTTTGTTCCTTTTAGCATTTACAGTTACCTGACATGCCTTATATTTGTTTTTTTCAAGATGTTTTCTTTATCTTTGGCTTTCTGAAGTTTCAATACGATACGCCTAGCTTTAGTTTTTTTGTCATTTATCCTGCTTGGTGTTCTCTGATATTCCTGGGTCTGTGGTTTGCTGTCTGATGTTAATTTGGGGAAATTCTGTCATTGTTGCTCTAAATATTGCTTCTGGTTCTCTCTCTCTCTCTTCTTATATTTCCATTACGCTAATGTTACACCTTTTGCAGTTGTCCCAGTTTGGGAATATTCAGTTCTTTTTTTTTTTTCAGCCTTTTTTCTTTTTGCTTTTTGGTTTTGAAGTTTCTATTGATGTATACTCAAGCTCAGAGGATTTCTTCTTTTCTCAGTGGTGTCCAGTCTACGAATGAGCCCATCAAAGGCATTCTTTATTTCTGTTACAGTATTTTTGATCTCTAGCATTTTTTGGTTCTTTCATAGAATTCTCATCTCTCTGCTTATATTACTCTTAGGTTCTTTCTGGGGTGATTTCTGGCACCAACCAGTTCTCTGATTCTGCAATTCTCTGACACCAGCTGGGCGTTCAACAATTCAATCCCATTCTGAAATCAACTCCCAGAGTTAGCATAGACCCCACAGGTGAAGAGCTGAGTCTTACAAGTTGCAAGTATCAGGTTTCCAAGTAACCCACACTTCTGTGTAACCGGGCTGCAAATGTGGCGATTCTCACGACTTTCTCCTCAGGTTCAATAATTCTCTGGAATGACTCACAGAACTCAGGAAAGGCTATACTTACTATTAACAGTTTATCATAAAGGATACAACTCAGCAACAGTCAAACAAAAGAGATGCATAGGGCAAGATATGGGTGGAGGGAGGAAGACAAAGCTTCCTGTCCTCTCCAGGCACACCCAGTACCTCAATGTGTTCACCAATGTGGAAGCTCTGTGAACCTCATCATTTAGGAGTGTTTATGGAGGTTCCATGATGTAGGCATGGTTGATTAAATCGTCAGCCATTGGTGATTGAATTCAATCTCCAGCCCCTTTTCCCTCCCTGGGGCTTGGGTGTAGGGCTGAAAGTTCCAACCCTCTAATCACATGGTTTGGTCTTTCTGGGACAAGTCCCATTCTGAAGTCATCTATGGACCCTCAGCCAAGAGCCATGTCATTAAACACCAAAAACAAACTTACCGTGCAGGAGTTCCAAGGGTTTTAGGAGCTCTGTGCCAGGAACCAGGGACATAGACCAAATCTATTTTATTATGCCAAAATTATCCATCTGTTCTTGCATGTTGTCTACTTTTCCCATATTAATTATAGTGAATTTTTAATTCCTGGGCTGATAATTTCAACATCCCTGCCATATCTGTGTCTGGTGCTGATGCTTGCTTTGTCTTTTCAGATTGCATGCGTGTGTTTTTGTTTTGTTTAGTTTTTTACTTTTCAGCATGCCTCGCAATTTTTTGTTGAAAGCTGAACATGATGTACTGAGAAAGAGGAACTGTGGAAAATAAGCTTTTAGTGATGTGGTGGAGAGGTATAGGGCTGGGGGAGGCGTTCTATAGTCCTATTAATCAGTCTTTAGTGAGCCTATGTCCTGGGCTGTGAAACTTAGTTCCCTCCCCCCATTATGTGGGGCAGAATGGCTAGAGGGGACTGGAGTTGAGTTAGGCTCTGATAAAACCCCAATCGTTTAGGCTTTGGTGAAACAGTTTCTCTTGAAGACAGGCCTCGTTAAGAACAGAATGCTCTGGCATGTTTCAAAATGGCTACGTTCCCCGCCTCCCGCTGCAAGAATGAGGGGAGTTTTTCTGATATTCCCTGTGAGAACCTGGTTAGAGCTCCTAGAGGTAAAACTCACAGAAGTGTAGAGAGTTTCTAACTCTCAGACTTGTCCACCCTGAGCTTCCAGCAGTTCATCAGTTACAGTTCAGGGTTTCCCATGCAAGCAATGGTTCCTGTGGTTTCTGCTCTGGTAAGTTGTGAGTCTCTGAATCTATGTCTGTCTCTCCAAGACAATGGTTTTTCTTGTGATCTCATTTCTCTGACAATTCTAAGAAGAGTTGTTGACTTTGAGTTTGTTCAGCTTTTTAACTTGTTAGGATAGAGCAACGACTTCCAGGTCCCTTTCAGGTTGTACCAGGAACAAGAAGTATATTTTTTGCCCATTAGAGCATGAGCTCTATGACAGCAGTCACTTAGGTCTGTTTGTGTCTGTTATTCCTGGCTGTATCTCCAGTGCCTAGGACAGTGCCAAGCACATACCAGGGGCTCAATGAATGTGTTGAGTGAATTTTCTCTCTTTATCTTCACTCATTCACTTAACTAACACAGTATGATAGAATAACACAATATAATACAATGTAATATAAATGCTGTTTCTGCTGGAACTGCTGATGAAAGCCATTTCATAAGCAAATTAATTTGGTGAACCAGATTGCTTTAAGGTGGTGCTCCCAATCTTTGTCATAGCATGGCACACATAGAAAATAAAAGCGTTCATTCAGCAACCAGCCAGAGGCTGACGTTTCAAGGGTTGACAACCTCAGTCTCTAGTTCCACTTATCACTTGTGTGCTGTACCACTTGGGAACCTCTACTTTGAGGGTAACACTTAACTTACTGGAGATAACAATCCATTTGGCTAGGCCCATTTGAATGGGTCCCAAGGACTAAAGAGAGCTTAGGGCAAGAAGGGGGAAAACGGTGTAGATAAAAGATCTAAATGACTCCTCCCCGTTGACATGCAAGGCTGTTCCCCCGTCTGGTCTCAGCTGATCTTTACAATCTCAGTTCCCTTCCCTCCGCTACACCTTACATGGCATTTCACCTGGCTCCCCTTAATGCTATTCCCTCTCCCCCTATGCTAAATCTTACCATTCTTCTATTACCTCCAGGCACAGCCCAGCAGGTGTTTCTCCGTTGTCCTAAGCAGAATCCTCTCCCCTGCACACCAGAGTTTTTGGTCCACGCACTGCAGTTGAGTTTTTTACTCCAAATTTTAAAGTTTGAGTAACCTCAGAGACCGAGTTTAACCTTTAATTTTCAGATGAAACACAAGGGATCAGAGAAGTAGAGGGACTGTGCTGACCACAAAACCAGCTGGGGGCAGCCTTGGGACATGGGTGTCCTGCCCCTCTGCTCTTTGTTCTGCTCAGTTTAATTTCTTTGCTAATGATGACACTTGATAATTTATTAATGGGTGAGAACGGATTCATTTCAGAGTCTATATGATCGGTAGCAACAACCAGATGGCCCTTAATAAAACATTAATAAAGCAAAGGCAGATGGCACTTAATAAAGTATTACACAAACATGCCCGAAAGCCATCAAAAGCATTTTTTCTGCACTTTCTAATAATGGAGAGTTATTAGACAAGATATAAAAGGGGAAATTGGCCTCTAAGCTGTGATGTAAGAAAATGTCTTTAAGTTTTCTGCAGAATTTTGGAAAATACAAAATTTTTAATTTAACTTTATCCCAGATTTCTTAGCCCTACAATGACTGGTTTGTAACAAGTTTGTAAGAAATGACAAAAACTTTAGTAGAAACAAAAAAAAAAAGGTTCTACAACTCCATTTTCCTTTGAAAATCCAGCCAAAGCCATGCTACCCAACTTTTCTCACTTTTTTAGAAAAACAGACTTCTAGAATTCATAAAAATAATGTAAAAATTCTAGATAGAGGTTTCTTTTGCAGTGATGGCGGGGGAGGGAGGAGAATGAGACTGGGCATACATATACAGAAACTTCTATTGATAGTTTTATTTTTTAACTGGGTAGTGGGTACATGTGCTCATTATGTTATTCTTATATACCCTTATATGAGACAAATATTATTTCATGATAATATTTTTTGTTGAGATGGAGTCTAACTTTGTCACCCAGGCCGGAGTGCAGTGGTGCAATCTTGGCTCACTGCAACCTCTGCCTCCCAGGTTCAAGCGATACTTCTGCCTCAGCCTCCTGAGTAGCTGGGATTATAGGTGCCCACCACCACGCCTGGCTAATTTTTGTATTTTTAGTAGAGACGGGGTTTCACAACGTTGGTCAGGCTGGTCTTGAACCCCTGACCTCAGGTGATCACCCCGCTTTGGCCTCCCAAGTTGCTGGGATGACAGGTGTGAGCCACTGTGCCTGGCCCATAATAATTTTTTAAATGTTAAAAATAACATCTCATGCCCATTTGAATGGCGATCATTAAAAAATCAGGAAACAACAGATGCTGGAGAGGATGTGGAGAAATAGGAACGCTTTTACACTGTTGGTGGGAGTGTAAATTAGGTCAACCGTTGTGGAAGACAGTGTGGCAATTCCTCAAGGATCTAGAACTAGAAATACCATTTGATTCAGCAATCCCATTACTGGGTATATACCCAAAGGATTATAAATCATTCTACCATAAGGACACATGCACACGTATGTTTACTGTGGCACTGTTCACAATAGCAAAGACTTGGAACCAACCCAAATGCCCATCAATGATAGACTGGATAAAGAAAATGTGGCACATATACACCATGGAATACTATGTAGCCATAAAAAAGGGTGAGTTCATGTCCTTTGTGGGGACATGGATGAAGCTGGAAACCATCACTCTCAGCAAACTAACACAAGAACAGAAAACCAAACACCACATGTTCTCACTCATAAGTGGGAGTTGAACAATGAGAACACATGGACACAGGGAGGGCAACGTCACACACCGGGGCCTGTCGGTGGGTGTGAGTCTAGGGGAGGGAGAGCATTAGGAGAAATGCCTAATGTAGATGATGGGTTGATGGGTGCAGCACACCACCATGACACATGTATACCTGTGTAACAAACCTGCACATCTGCACATGTACCCCAGAACTTAAAGTATAATGAATAAATAAATAAATAAATAAATAAAGTGTTGTGCAGGGTCTGGATTTTATTAAAAGCAAAATGAATGAGTATAGGCTGACTGTGAAAACAGGCAAACATGCACACACACACACACACACACACACACACACAAATAATGTAATTTAATATCATGGCCATAGAAATCACTAGACTGAACTACAGGAGTTGTTTTAGGAGTCACTAACCTAGAGAACATTTAAGAACAGAAGAAATAATCTGTTTTCAGTGAATGAATATTAATTTACCTAAAGGTAAAAATATGGACTTTGAGGTTTATGTTTAAATGTTTGATGTCTTCCCCAGATTTACCCATTAGGCAGTAATCAAAAGTTAGGGCATGGAACTCAGATCTGAGTTCAGATCCTCATATATATTGTGCCAGATTTATAGGCTGCCTCTCTAGGATTCAGTTTTTGCCATCTGTAAAATAGGGACAATAATAATTTATAGAGTTGTACAAAGATCCAATGAAATGATGTATATAAAGGATCATGCTGGACAAAAATAAGCAATCCAAAAAATGTGGGTATTATAGATATCTAACTTGGTGCTATTAAAAGAAAAACTTTAGATAAATGAACTTTAACAGAGTTTAATTGAGCAAAGAATGATTCTTGCCTCAGGCAGCTCCCAGAACCAGAATAGGTTCAGAGCAACTCTGGGGCTGCCACATGTCTGGATAACATTGAAGGACAGAAAAAGGGCAGTGACGTACAGAAAAGGGGAGTGACGTACAGAAACAGTTGGTTTGGGCACAGCTGCACAGCTGCCTTATTTCAACATTGGGTTGAGCAGTTGGCCTGTGATTGGCTGAACTGTAACCTAACACATCCAGTGAGGTTACAGTTCACTATACCCGGAGCAACCTTTAGGCTGAACTTGAAATACTAAGGAGGGAGCTTTAGGCTAAACAATTTAACAGTGCCCATTGTTCTAACTAAGCTAAAAATAGCGAAGTTGTGGAATAATTTCATATTAATTTTCTTTTTGTAAACTTTTTGTCCATTTTCGACAAGAAAGGATCCGTATCGACATTTAAAACTTAATGGGATTGTTTATTGCACTGTGACTTCTCTAGGGGCTATTTATACCTCAAGTCTATTTCTAATTCTAGAATGTAAGGCTAATCATTCCTAGAGAGGAGGTCCAGCATTACCCGGGGCCAGGCTTTTTGGTGAGCAAGGAGAGGTGAGAAATGGATTTGGGGAACTTTGAAGCATGCTTGCTCAGCCTTCTCTGTGAGGCCCTAATCAAAGGCTGGTCTTTCTATGGTATGTTTCCCCAAAACTCCCTCTGCCAAGTCAGAATTGCTGGGACCTTTTAAAGCTTTTTCAGCACGTCACTCCTCTAGTGGTTGTAAGCTTCTTAAAGGCAGGAATCCAGATTTATTCAGGTACACAGTAGGCACTCAACAGTATTTGTAAAATGGAATGGAATTCCAGGGAATCAGAAACTAATAATCATAGCTACCATTTATCAAGTATCTGCTGGTATATCTAATCACAGTAACTCAGTGAGCTAGGCGTGATTATTCCCACTTTCCAGATAAGGAAGTGGAGGTTTGGAATAGTGGTGACAGCAAGTAAGAGGCAGAGTTGGAACTCAAACGTAGCATTTGCACCAACTCCAAAATCATCAAACAGCCATGTCTTAGTTGGCTGCCCACACTGACACTGGGATTTGCTTGGTTTGGGGTGGTGTTGATTTTTTATTGTTTTTTAATATAAGAAAGTTAGCAAAAGAAGATGGATTTACTTGCAGAAAGCAAGCTGACTTGATTTCTGAAGTCCCTGTGTGCCCATTCCCACTGGATGTCTAGACTCCTTACAGAGATGGAGCCTCAGAATGAAATGACAGGTACAGTTCTTTGGGGGAGAAAAAAAGAAGCTTGAAGGTTTCAACATATAGTATTAGAAAAAAATTCCATTTCTACCAACAGTTTGAAACGAAAGCTTTCATGATATCACAGGTGCCTAAGGTGACAGAAGCTCTACTTGCAGGGTTGTTTTCTTTTCCATCATTCAGACCAAACACATTTATTACACTGGTGCTTTTAGCAATCAGTCAAGATTGAGTCAGGTGCCAGGATAATTTTCCTTGCCAAATTGCTTTTTCCATTGCAATTAGTCTTTTTAAGGACCTTACCAAACAACAAGTGTGTACACAATTCTCATACTCCCCTTCCAATTATAACTCAGCTAAGAAGTTGTATCAGTAATAAATTGTTATAGATGAAAACATCAACCACACCCACTCTATCACCAGTCTCTCCCTGTATTCTTAGATAACTCTTGGAATCAGGTGTAAGATTAAGAACGGCTCGTTTTAAAAAACAGAATGTATTATACAATCCAAAAATATGTCATTTAAATCAGTTCAGCTGTCTGGTTTACCCTAGTTGGGATTCTTTACAAAAGCTCTGGGCTTGGCCATCACCTATTTGCCCTCTAAAATTATTTTGTACAAAGCTGTGTCGGCCACTGCTCTCGAAACCCAGTTCCTTTTTTTCCGGAGCACAAAGACTACATTTTCCAGCCTGTCTTGCAATTAGGAGAGACTCTGTGACTGATTTCTGGCCAAAGGAAGGTACAGTAGGCTCCCTTTATCTGCAGTTTCACTTTTTGTGGTTTCAGTTACCCACTATCAGTCTCCATCCAAAAATATTAAATGGAAATTTCCAGAAATAAGCAATTCATAAATTTTACATTTGTGCTATTCTGAGTAGCATGATGAAATCTCATGCTGTCTTGCCCTGTCCTCTCCAATGACACAAATCATCCCTTGTCCAGCATATCCATGCTGTCTACACGCCTGCCTGCTGGTCACTTTGTGGCCATCTAGGTTATCAGATTGGCTGTCATGACATTGCAGTGTTTGAGTTGGATCACCCTTATTTTATCTAGTAATGGCCCCTCTGTGCAATAGTAATGATGCGGGCAATTGGGATATTCCAAAGAGAAGCTGTAAAGTGAGAAAGTGAAAGTTCTCAATATGGAAAGAAAAAAATTGTATGCTGAAGTTGCTAAGATCTATTTCAAGAACCAAATCTCTCTGTGAAACTAAAGAAGAGAAAAGAAATTTGTGCTAGTTTTGCTATCTCACCTCGAACTGCAAATGTTATGGCCGCTATGTGATGTAAGTGCTTGCTTAAGATGAAAAAGGCATTGAATTTGTGGTGGAAGACATGAGCAGAAACGTGTTCCAGTTGATCCTGGCTGGGTTTGGTGCCATCCTCCATTTCAGGCATCCACTGGGAGTGTTGGAATGCATCCTGTACCCGAAAGTGCCGCTCCCATAAAAATCTCCCATGAGGGAGTCTCCGGGTTCTTTCCTTATCTATCTGCCCGAGGTGTCCATGCTCAGGGCAACCTCAACAACCTGGAGCTGAGCCTCCCCCAGCCTGATTCCTGAAGGAATGAGGACTGTGGTTCTTCCTCCCCACCCACCCCACCCAAAACCTAGAAGTACCTTAGTCAGACTGTTTACCGAGTAGGAAATAAGCTACTATTGTATTTGAGCCATTATAATTTGGGACTTCATTTTAGCAGTTAGCTTACCCTAACAAGGACAGCTGATCATTGTACTTCTCATCCTCTATCCTTATTGTTTATCTGTCTGCCTTTCCCGCTATACTACAAAGCCCACAGACCTGGAGGGCATGAAGCACATTCTCGTTGGTCACCTTATATCCTCAGTACCTAATATGGCACCCAGCACCTAGTAGGTCACTAATAAATATTTGTTAAAAAGATGTTAGGTGCATGGGCTTTACTTCTCTATGCTGGGTATAGCTCACCTGGATACTGGACAATATTTAAAAATAACGATAATCAGATGAAAAAAGTTTGTATATCTCTGGATCATATTATTTTGAATATTTCTGTAAATTGGACATCTGGTGGCTGACTACTGGTATTCATCACAAATTTCCTTAATGCTGATAATAACGTATGTTTCTCCATGAACAATGGACAAACAATACAGAAGTTTTTACTAACTTTGTTTATGTAATGCCACTTTCTTTTATGGCTTTTTTTTTTTTTTTGACACACAGTTTCTGTCACCCAGGCTGGAGTACAGTGGCACGATCACAGCTCACTGCACCCTCAACTTCCCAGGCTCAGGTGATTCTCCTGCATCAGCCTCCCGAGTAGCTGGGACTACAGGTATGCACCATCACACTGGCTAATTTTTTGCATTTTTAGTACAGATGGGGTTTCACCATGTTGGCCAGGCTGCTCTCTAACTCCTGGGCTCAACTGATCTACCCACCTCAGCCTCTCAAAGTGTTGGGAATACAGACAGAAGCCACTGCGCCTATCCTGTAATGCCACTTTCTTTCATGAAAACAAGGGCGGCAGATAGAAGATGTCTGGAAATTCTTTGCTGTTTCTCCCATTGAGAGGTAGAATATACCACCCCTATCTTTGAATCTAGGCTTGTTGTGGAAATTACGTTCTGGGTGTTTAGAGATTATGTCATAAGACTTCTAGCTTCTGCCTTGTTTCTTTTTCTTGAACATTTGCTTTTGGAGCCCTGAGCCTCCACTATAAGAAGTCTGACTTCCCAAAAACCACCATGATGAAGAGGCCACATGTAGGGCTCTGGTTGATAACCCTCAAGTTCAGTCCCACCCTCAAGGCATCCCTGCCAGTGCACTAGACATGAGATGCTATGGTCTGAATGTTTGTGTTCCCCCAAAGCCATATGTTGAAACTTAATCACCAATGTGATAGTTTCAGGAGGTGGGGCCTTTGGGATGTGATTAGGTCATGAGGTGGAACCCTCATCAATGGGATTAGTGCCCTTATAAGAGACTTAGGGACTTGTTTTGTTTGTTCTTCCCTTCCACCAGGTGTGGACACATTGAGAAGTCACTATCTATGAACTAGGAAGCAGGATCTCACCAGACATCGAATCTGCTGATGCCTTCATCTTGGACTTCTCTCTCAGCCTCCAGAACTGTGAGAAATAAAGTCCTGTTGTTTATAAGCCACTCAGTCTATGGTATTTTATTACAGCAAACCGAATGGGCAAAGACATGGGTGAAGTTATCCAGGACCCTCCAAACCAGGCCATTCACCTTCACCAGCTAAATTCCACTGAGTGACCCCAGTCAGTGCACATGGAACAGAAGAGTCACTCAGCTGAGCCCTGCTCAAAGCCCTAACCTACAAAATTGTGAGATATAGTAAAGTGGTTGTTGTTTCAAGCCACTAAGTTTTGGGGTAGTTTGTTATACAGCAGTTGATAATTGGGACAGCAAATTATTTCACATTTCCTTGTTTGTCCAATAATATTTGCATTGAGACTTTTGATTTTGACAATATTGGTTGATCATTTGCTAGCTGCCAAGTAATTTCAGTTCTTCTCCTATCTGTATCCGTGCCTTGCAATTGAATAAGAGAAGGTTGGGACACCAAGAGAAACAGATTTAATTCTGGACCATATTTAACCCTCTATAAAGCTTTTTATTTTAAAGCAGTAATTAGTAATATGCATTGGCAATACAGTCTCCAGTTTAAAAAGCACTTTTGGGATTTAGGGAGGTAAATGAAATCAGTTTTAAAATATATATCAATGTATGCCAAATTTTATTTTAATTTATGTTAGTAGCTATGTTCCTCTGGGAAGCAATCAATATGGTAAAAGGCAAAATTATGCATATGTGAAAAATGTAGTCTTAATTTAAAGGCAACTTTAGCTGAAAAGTAATTAATAAAGGCAAGGAAACTAATTTTTATTGAGTGCTACTATGGGCTGAGTACTTTATATAATCTCATGACAATGTTATAAGTAATTTTTAAATGGGAAGTTATACAATTTGCCTAAAGTCACTCAGCTGGTAAGTGGTAGGCTGGATTCTACCCAAATCTGATGGATCCAAAGTCTGTTTTTCTCTCCTTTGCAGAGGTTATTAATCTGAAAGCGTCCAGGTCTCCAAATGTGGTTCTCAAGGAACTAGGAAGCAATTATGGCAGCCATGCAGAGCTGGTTTATTGGTGTATTCATTTACGAAATAAATCCCGGTAATGAGTTTTATTGACTTTTGCTGCCCTTTGCGTATTTTTCCTTAGCAAGAATCTAGGCATAGGGTAGGAAATACACGACACCCAATAGATGTGTTTCAGAAGTTCTGTAAGTTGAAACATAGTTTATATAACGAATCTTTTTGAAAGCAGATGCTGCTTACCATCATCATTAGGACCACTCCAATTGATCTCCTGTGAGATTTTCTTTCCATAGCCCTCCATTTCCTCAAAGGGGATATATCTATATGGAATAAGAAGATTGGAGTTCCACGTTTTCTTTTTATTTACTTTTTTCCAATTGGGCTAAAAGTTTCCATGTTGTATATGTTCATCTGAAATCTTCAAATAGTCTATTTAACAATAATAATAAGCACAATTATTTTTTTAAAAAAGTTATGGCTGTGCCAGAACCTTTTCATCCCCCCACCATTGGACAGGGAGAGCAGCAGACTGGGGTCAGGTGAGATCTTGAACACAAGTCATCCCTCTCTCCCAACACAGACCATGCTCCTACACTGCTTGGGTGGGGGGACCCCTACTGCACTTCTGCACTTCTTATTTTCTGTTCTGGAGAGTCTACCCTATGGTGGGTTAAAACTCAGATGGTGCTGAACAACCTGGGTTAAAATCTTGGCTCTGTCTCTTCCCAGTTGTATGAGCATTCCAGTTTGTGCCTCAATTCCCTCATTTGTAACTTGAAACCCCCAAATAGTTGTAAGGATTAAATGAGCCAATCATTGCATGTAATGTACTCAGAAGCATGCTTGGTGACAGTAGACAGAAAGTGCTACATAAATAATAGCAGCTGATATTATTACTATCTTCCTCGGGCATTTAATTAAAAGACTAGGCAGGACAAAAAAAAAAGTGACAGAATTTGAAGCCACTTAGTAACTGTTGCATCAAAAAGTTCACCCACTCTGAATTACAAGTGGTAACTATCTAGATAGAGGACTGGGGCTTTTTGGGGTGGGAACCTGATGAGTATGCTGTTTATGAGGATATTCTTAAGGTCAGTACCCTAGCGGGGGATGCAATAATCTCTGGCAACAAGCCAGAATCATCACCGTATAATTTTATAATGATAGAGAACCAATAGCATACATGAAAAGTCTCTTGACAGGGCTGGGATTCTTTCTTTCGTCCAACATCTCATCACATTAGCAAATCAGGGGCCTACCACCATGGACCATTTCGAACCACTTCTTCATCCAATAACCACTAATTGTGCACTTATTTTGCGCTGGGTACTGCAAGGATGTGTACTGCCCCACAGTCTAGGTGGAGAAACAAACAAAAGGATTCATTTCTTAATTCAACAATTATTTACTGGATAGCTACCATGTGTCAAATCCTAAACTAGGTGCTGGGCATAGGGAACAAAACAGACCAGCTGCCCTCATGCTGCTGACATTTTACAGGAGAGGATAATACATGAAATAAGAGGCACACAGTCTATCAGATGGTGGTGAGTGCAAAGAGAAAAATAAAGCAGAGGAGGAACTAGGAGGTGTTCCCGTGGGTGGGTGGGCAGCACTTTTAATTTGGATAGTCAGGAAAGGCTTTACAGTGAGGTGGATAATTGCAATCTAGAGATATGTTTAAAGCATAGCGGGGCCCAAGGGAAAGCGCTGCCGGGCTTCTCTACCTGCCCTCCCCGAACAGCCTTTAAGACAGCCACACAACTCCATACTGTGTGAGCTCTCGCAGGGCAGAAATTTCATTTTCTCTTACTCTTTGCTCTCAGCTTAGTAGAGAGCATTGCACAGTGAAGACGATACACTGACTGAAAGTGTCACTGAGCAATGGGCTCGTAACCTGAGGCACACAGAAACCAAACTGTGGCACAGGCTTTTGAGAAAAGAAAAACTTCTATTGCCAGTCAACTGGCAAGGAGACAAGAGGCAAAGCTTAAATCTGTCTTCTGGACCTGGGAGCGGGTCAGGCGTTTTTGGCATTTCTAACCAGTCCCAGGTGATGCCAATGCAGCCTTCTGCGGGGCGCGCGGTGTTCACAATTAGAAAGCTTTCCCTCTTGCACACGCCCGGGAGATTTTGGCTCTGCCTCGCTGTAACAACTTAAGTAATGGTTAATCGGTTTCAGCTGGTCCTAATGTTACAAAAAGAGCTAATATTTAAGTCAGTTCATCAGAAAGCAATGTTTGAGCACCAGCTATGCTGAGATTCCCTCGTTCAGTATTCGTTGAGCACCCAGTGTGTGAGAGCGCCTGGTTTTGCCCTCAAGGAGCTTAGAGTGGAGTTTACAGGAATGAATCACTGATTAGCGGCAGGCCTAAGTGTGGGCACTGTCGCACCACACACCCAGATACTACTCCAGGCACGGGCATTAGGGGCTCCCACAGGCTGGACAGGCCTTGGACTTTCCTGGTTGAACCGTGAGGCCGCGGTGTCAGTCCACACTCCACTGTGGGTGGCGGGTTCGGCCCCGCGAGGAGGCGCCGCTCTCAAACCCCACGGTCCCGCGCAGCGAAGAGGCGAGGCGGCCGCGGAAGGCAGGCGCAGCCCACTCTTCCCGAGAGGCCCCGACATCTCCCGGGTGAGTCCCGAAAAGCGCGCGGGGACTCCGGCTGAGCGCTGGGCCGTCAGCAACCCGGCTCCCAGAGAGTCACACGAAGGAGGGGAAGCGGCTCTCTCTGGGGCTTCTGGGAGGTCTGGCCCGGGCCCCTCCCGCAGCCTCCGGCGGCCAGTCCCGCGGCTCTGGGGCGCCCGGACCGAGCAAAGGTCCCGGCGGGCGGGCCCTCTCTCCGCCCTCCCCAAGCGCCCGCCCCCCGCCGGCCCAGCGCAGGCTCCTCCGACTCCGCCAGCGCAGGGGGCGCGGCTGCCGGGGACCCAGCAGCGGGCGCGCGGGTAAGTGCGCGGCGGGCGCGGGCTGCGGGATCCGCTCCGGGCTCCACTCCGGATCCTCTTTGGTCTGTTTGGGTGTCCCGGGCCGGGGGCAGCCGAGGCCGCGCGGCGCTTTCTCTCTGGGCCACCCTCCCCTCGCTCCTTCCTAGGGGAGACGAATCGATTGGCTGCCCGGCCGCCGGAACGGCAGGTCCCGTCGCTCCCCTCGCCTCCCGCATTCCCGGCCCGGTCCCCTCCCATCACCGCGTCCCGCCCCAACTCGCAGTCAGCATCCCCTTCCCATCCTCTCCCCGTCCCCGCTGCCACTTCCTTCCTTGGATGTTGGAAGCGCAGCTGGTATTTTCGTTCTCCCAACCCCCCAAACCCCCCCTCCCCATTCGTTCATCCTTTGTGTTCCGGTCTCTTCTCTGGGTGCTGCGGAGGCTCTCCCGGCTCGGGGGCGTGTGTGCAGGGAGGCGGACCGCGGAACAGATACGGAGTTCAGTCTCTCTGGACGGAAAAAAGTCCCCCTCCACTTTGCTCCGGTATCTAGAGAGCTCCTAGCTTGGGGAGGAGGCCAAGCCCCACTCGGTGTGCCTGGCATGCGCTGGAATGGCTCTCAAGAGCTGCCCGCGTGGCTTCCTTTGGTCTCCATTTGAGGACCTCTGACCCTTTCCAGAGCCGCTTGCCGTCTGCACCCCGAGGGGAAAGACTAGAGGGCACCTCTTAGAAAAGCGCTGGTTGTGGACTGAACACACCGACCACCCACTCCTCCAGAGTCTACTCTGTCCAGAATAGTGAATGGGATAATGAAAGGGATGGATGGCTTGCGGTCGCTGTCCTCGAGACGCAGGCAGGTGGGGCAAGTCCAAGTGGAATGAAAGGAGTGCTGTGGGGTTGGAGAAGCAGCTGAAGAGTGAAATTAATTGTCTTCACAATCTACCACCACCAAGCTCTTTTTCTAAAGGAGAAGTTGAGCCCAGACCATTAGGTAGATCTGAGAGAGAAAGGGCCCAACCCCCTAGCCACGGTCCCTTGGCTAGGTTCTTTGTTATTGTTGAGAGAGGGTCTCGCTCTGTCACCAAGGCTGGAGTGCAGTGGCACTATCCTAGCTCACTGCAGCCTTGAATTCCTGGGCTCAAGGGATCCTCCCATACACCCGTAGCTGAGACCGCAGGTGCCTGCCACCACACCGCATCTTCTCTATTCTTACCCAGACTGCCCTCTGTTACCCACTCCACTTCCCCAAAGCCTTTGGCGCCTCACTCTCCTTCTCCTTTCGAGCTCCTGCCTGTCTTATGACCATCATTGCGTTCACATACCGATTTTTATTTTAGAAAGAAATGATGAAATATTAATTTGTCTTCTCATTAAAAATGAGCTCAGGTACTGGGCTGTAGGGATAGGAAGATAAAAGATGCCACCTCTGTTCTAATTTAATAGACCCAATTGCACTTTGCTATCTAGAAAACTAAAACTAATTCAAAGTATGCTGAAATTGCTAACAATGAGACAAGTAGACAAGTACAGCCATGTTTCGTCTCCCCAGATAGAAAGGAAATGACACATGTTCCATAGCAATGATTTCTGTTTCCACCGTAACTGAGGTTTACCTTTTTCAAGGGCACTTTCTTATGTTACAGAATGAGTCATATGAGGCCCACATTAGAACAGAAAAAAAGCTGAACAGGGAGCCAGCAGAGTAGAGTGGTCAAGGGCACAGGCTTTGGAGTCAGGTGGACCTCGGGTGGAATCTTGGCTCAGCACTGATTCTCTATGTGATGTTCAATCCCCTCCAGTCAAAGACCTCCAGGAACACACTGTCAGTTCAATAAGTTGGTTTATTTCTCCTTAAAGTGAGGGACACCATGGGGAACCCTGAGATGTCTCAATAAGAGGTGTTAGAAAGGACAGAGGATTTGGGCATGTAGTAGGTGATTTGGGGAAAGAGGGCTTTGCTCTGAATTGGATGTGGTCAGGGAAGCAGGGGAAGTTCTGTGATTGAGTATCCTCGTAAATCTCGTCAAAAATGAGAGAAGGCCAGAGAGAGGCTATAGCTGTGATTGGTCAGGAAGCAGCAGTCACTCATTAGGACTGCTAATGATTGGAAGGGGGGTGGTATTTGATCATTTTTGTGCTTTGAACGTGTTCATGTTTTGTCTGTGTTCAGGCATGATTACAGAGAAGCCTTGTTTTCATGTTGATTTATCATGACAAGACTGGCCTTGCCTGATGTTGATGCTCTGTGCCATTATTCATGGTCAGCAACACCAGGGCCTGATAGTTCCAGGCCAGTTCCCTGATAGGGCTGCTTCTTTCTTTGCTGTGATCTTGGGCAAGTTACTTAACATCTTTGAACCTCAGCTTCCTCACACTGCCTACTTCAAAGAGTTATTATGAAGATTAAATAAGGAAATGTGTATAAGGCAGTAAGACCCATGCCTGGAACATAGCAGATACTCAACAAACAGTTGCTCCTCTCTTTGTCTAGAGTATTTGATGTTGAAGTTTCTTTTCTAGAACTCTTCAGGCAGAGGCCCAGGGTTCAACCAGAGCTGCTTTTAAGAAGAATCCTGAATGGAGTGTGAGAAAGAATGAGGTTTCTCTTCTAATTTAAAAACTAGATAACTCCATGACTGAATCAGTCTTAACAGGCAGTAGTGAATATAGTTATCTTCTCCTGCAGTCATTACCTTGGCAACTATTTTTAAGATTCTTTGTTCCCAGTGGCTCCAGTTGGCTGTGTGCTTTGCTAACTTTGTGTCATTGTCCTGCTTTCTTGGTGTCTGCCCCACAAGGTCTCTTGTCCAAGAGTCTGACTCAAGCTAGGATATCCTTACTGCATTTGCTTTGGCCTTTTTAGTTCTCATCTGCTTTCAGCTGGGAAGCCAGACTAAGGACTGTTTGCTAATACAACTTTTTTTTTTTTTTTTTGAGACAAAGTTTCGCTCTTGTTGCCCAGGCTGGAGTGCAATGGCAGGATCTTGGCTCACTGCAACCTCTGCCTCCCAGGTTCAAGTGATTCTCCTGCCTCAGCCTCCCGAGTAGCTGGGATTACTGCCTGCCACCATGTCTGGCTAATTTTTGTATTTTTAGTACAGACCGGGTTTCACCATGTTGGGCCAGGCTGGTTTCAAACTCCTGACCTAGGTGATCCGCCCCACCTCGGCCTCCCAAAGTGCTGGGATTACAGGCATGAGCCACCAGGCCCGGCTGCTAATATAACTTTTAAGGCTCTGTGCGAGAGTCCGTGATCTATGTAACAACTGTGAAGTGCAGTGAGTTTTTAGGCCATGAGCTATTTGAGCATGATGCCTCCTGAGGCCATTTTCATCTTCTCCCAAATTGGAGCATTGTGAAAATGTTAATCCAGAGTCTGACTTTTGGCTGAGACATGACTGTGCTTGTCTGTGTCGGGCAACTTGAGTTCTAGATCCTTCATTCATTTGGACCTGGCCATACTCTTTAATCTTTCCTGGCTGACTAGTTATCTTATGTGTTTGAGAATGATGGTGGCAGTGTATTGTCCCCTAATGCTGCATGATAAACTCTGTTGTTCCTAGCCTATATTTTGGTAGATTTATTATATCAAACATTCCTGGAAATAAAGCCAAAAAAAGCAAGAATAGAAAATGAGCAAAGGATACAGTTAAATACAGAAAGTCTTTCAACAAAATAAAAGATGCTTGATTTTATTTGTTTTAAAATAACACAACCTAAAACTAGGCTGAGATTCCATTTCTCACCTATCAGACTTGCAAAAATCCAAAAGTCTAATGATACACTGTTGCTAAGATGGATACTTTTGTACATTATTGGTCAGACTGCAGAATAGCACAACTCCTACAATTACAGATGCATTTACCCATTGTTCTAGCAATCTCTTTTCTAGGGATCTACCCTTCAGATACATTTGTTTGTTTATGAAGAGGACATCCGTATGGGGTATTTCCTGGGGACAGCTTTAATATAACACAAATTTAGAAATAACCCAAGTGGTCAGCAACATGGGACAAGTAAAATGCGCAATGATACATCTGCATAAGGGAGTATGTGGCAGAAAGCAAGATGCTGAGCAGTGTTCAGACTCCTTTTAACTACACCTCTATAAAGAAATATGAAGGAAATATGGCTGAAGGGGAGAGGAGTGAAAGGGTTGCTGGGGCCTGGGCAGGAATGGGATTTCTCAATGTGTATCCTTTACATCATTTAGATTTTTGAACCGTGTAAGTATAATTCACATGTAATAGTAATAAAGAAACCTCCAACTTTAACTTCACCAGGAGAATATTCTGAGTCCCATGATTAAAAAGTCTGAGTCTAATAAACAAAGCAATAAATAGCCACCTCCAGTTACTCTCCTTAAAGCACCCTACCCTGCCAAGAAGGCAAATTAGCTGTTTGATGTTAGATGGAAAAAAAAAAAACATGAAAAATTAATTTAGGAATTTCCTCTTTTTTACCGTCTAATCCCTGTGGGGGAGGATTGGTGTCTTTACTAAGGTTTTCCCACCCACAGCAGATGGGTTTTATTTTGTTTTTTAATGGCAAGCCTGATTTGGTTTCTACAGAAACCTGTGTGATCTGAAGGCAAGTGCGTGAGTGAACTCCCTTTCAGCTTGTCCCAGAAAAGAATTAGAAGCCATAACAGTGGAGATCCTGACAGCAGTGGTAAACTAAAGCAGTTGTTCTGTGGCTCTTTTCCTGGACTAGCAGGACGAGTTCTCACAGGCCCTCAGGGAGACCCAGTCCCATGTTTGGCAAAGTAAATCTGTTCCTTTCAAATTCCCTCTCTTGGTAACTGGCTTTTCCTTCTCATCTCCCAGCCTGCACCTGGGATACCAGCATGACACCCCAGGGAGCCTTCTTTCTTTCATCACCACCCTTCACCAAGCGAGTGTCTTTTCTATCCTTATGCCACTGACATAGTCCAGAGCGTTGTCATCTTTGTCCATCTCTAATCTTGTTCCCCTGCAGTCCCTTTGCTATTTTGCTTCTAGAAGATTTTTCTAAGGGATCATTCTGATCACAGATCCTCCAGTGGCACCTGCTTCCCTGGCTGCCCTGCAGGAGAGGCAGGACATGGATTGGGGGCCTCCCCAGCTTTGTCTCTGGCCCTTCTCCACTCTGGAATGCTGCATTCCAGTGCAAGAGTCAAGCTCAGAGCTTGACCAGTCTTTCCAGTCTGTCAAAGTGGTGGATGGCAGATCAATACAACACAATGTCTCCTGGGCCATCTCAAGCTCACTGGTAACCCATTTGCTTGGCACTGTCTTCCCCATCCCTCCATCACCTCCTGCAAATTTTGTGCTTTCATAATGGCTGCTCCTCAGCTACAGCATCCATATAGTGCTCCTTTGCCTGGCTTACTTCTACTTAGCCTACACAATGCAGCTTGGATGTCATCGACTTCAGGAGGACTTCTGTGACAGTATGCCTCTCTCCAATGAGATTTAGATGCCTTTTTCTTGGTTCTTTCCCTGGAACAATCTCTGCCAGTAGCTAACATAAAACTAAGCTGTTTATTTCTCCATCTGGCCACCAAACTAGTAGCTCATTGAGGAGAGAAATTATTTTTTGTTTCTGTATCCTAAGTGCTTCAACACAGTAGTATAGTAGGTACTCAAGAAAAATTAGTGAATGATTCAGTTGATGATTTGGTAAATAAATAAATGAGTATTCCATTGAATGCAAGATTCTTATGCATAGCATAGTGACAGATAAATTACAGATGACAGCCTGAGCATCCTTAGTCATGCTGCTTTGCAGTTCACCTTATCAGAAAGGAACTTCCTTGCATATTTTAGAATTTTTTCCTTAAATGTTCATTCCTAGTGTTAATATACAAGAACAGGGTCAGGTAGCTACTGCTTCATAATAATCTAAGAAAAGATACTGTACAAAAGAACCAGTGATCGATAAGACAAATGATTTCCCATGCCCCGAAAGAGATTCATGTTAAGGTGGATTGAGCTAAAGTCTGAGCTTATTCTCATCTCTTAAATCCTAAGAGCTGTGTGACTGTGCAACTGTGCCAAGCGCCAGGGTGCAAGCAAAAATAAAAAGCAGTTCTTGTGCATTAGAGCTTTTCATTTTGACCATGGATAGTTTGTAAAAATGTTATTTTCTTCTTTTTGTATGTGGTAACTTATTATACATGCGTGTATATATATATTGGGCTATGTGCAATTTGTGTATTGTGAATGGTTTAGAACCATTGCCTATGTTTCTCTTGGAGTACAGTATTTTAAAACTTGATTTATGAAAGTTTTTAAAAAATATGTTAAGCATTTTTGTTCCCTCTCATAAATATTACAATTATTTTCTCAGTTTGCCCTTTGTCTTTCTAAAGGCCCTTCTCATCCTGCGATTGTACAAATATTTCTCTATTTTTTCTAGTACTTTCACAGTTTCATTTTTCCTCAAAGAAACCTCTTGATTTCATTGGGAATTTGCTTTATTTATGGTATGGGAGAGGAATTCAGTTTTTTTCTTTCCAGATAGTTAGCCCATTGTTCCAACAGCATTTATTAAATAGTCTATACTGCTTCTCTTGAGTGTAATATTTTCCTTTTTATATCTTCCAATGTATCTCTTCTTTTCTCCTCCTGCTAAAGTATGACTGTGCCTTTATTTTCTGGGTTAAAAAGCCATAGCTACTTACTTTTCATTATCTGAATATGAGAAATCACACAGTGTAGAGAAAAAGCACCTTTGACCCTTCAAATAAGTAGTCATAAGTAAGCTATCTATTATGATAGTCAGTAGGTTGTTGTTCAACAAATATTCCCAGCTCTCTGCCTTTTTGAGACAAAATCTTGCACTGTCACCCAGACTGGAGTATGGTGACGTGATCATGGCTCACTGCAGTTTTGAACTCCTGGGCTCAAGCAATCCTCCCACCTCAGCCTCCCAAGTAGCTGGGACTACAGCTGTGCGCCACCACACCCAGCTAATTTTTTAATTTTTAATTTGGAGTTTTGCTATGTTGCCCAGGCTGGTCTCCAATTCCTGGACTCAAGCAATCCTCCCACCTTGGCCTCCCAAAATGCTGGGATTACAGGTGTCACCCACCATGCCCAGTCTGCCTTCTGGATTCTTGATAAAATTGTATTTTCTGGCCCTTATTGTTGGTTGAAGCCATGTGACTAGTTCTGACAAGTTATAAACGATCTGCCTTGTGTCACTTTGGGGCCAGATCATTTAATTGCTGGTGTGAGACCTTCCAAAACTCTTTCCTGTTGGATAATGATTGACAGTGTTCAAGATGCTGGCTTTCCCTTCAGTCTGGATCCCTGAATAACCATAATAAACAAAACTCTCTTGTACCCCTGTATTGTGCATGTAGTATGAGCAACAAATAAACCCTTATTGTAATAAACCACTAAGACTTAGGGATTGTTTCTGAAGCGTAACCTAGCATATCCAGACTGGTATATATATGTTCTTTCAATATCTCTATTTGAGTTCTTTATTATCAGCTAAAGTCAAACTAGAGGGTCTTCTAGGAAGAAGATATTCTTTCATGTGAACTGTTGTGAATAGGGAGAAATACAGTAATTTTAGGGAAAAAAGCCACAAAATAGTAACTTCTTATTTGATTTTAGGATAACTTTACTTTTTCAGATAATCTGGAGCTTTCAAAATGTTTGCCAAAGCAACCAGGAATTTTCTTAGAGAAGTTGATGCTGATGGTGACCTGATTGCAGTATCAAATCTGAATGACTCTGATAAGTTACAGCTTCTAAGTCTGGTGACAAAAAAGAAGAGATTCTGGTGCTGGCAGAGACCCAAGTACCAGTTTTTATCCCTCACCCTTGGCGATGTACTCATAGAAGACCAATTTCCGAGTCCAGGTATGTTTCCTTGGGTATATTCTATAATTAGTCTCGGAAAGGATGATCCTTTTTTTTTTTTTTTTTGACACAGAGTCTCTGTCGCCCATGCTGGAGTGCAGTGGCGTGATCTTGGCCCATTGCAACCTCTGCCTCCCAGGTTCAGGTGATTCTCCTGCCTCAGCCCCCTGAGTAGCTGGGATTACAGGCACCCACCACCACGCCCAGCTAATTTTTGTATTTTTAGTAGAGACAGTGTTTCACCGTGTTGGCCAGGCTGGTCTCAGACTCCTAACCTCAAGTGGTCCACCCACCTCGGTCTCCCAAAGTGCTGAGATTACACACATCAGCCACCATGCCTGGTCGATGATTCTTCTTTAATGCAAGTATTGCCTTGAGTCCAGATACTTTATAATGAATTCTCCTGTTTCTTTGCTTGTCATCTTAAAAACATATCCTTTCTTAAAATGAACAAAATTCTGCAGGCCTGACGTGACACATTATAGCTTAACCTTTTAAAAATAATTTTGCGGTATAGTATAAAAGTAAGACATGCTTACTGTACATGTTGTGGCCACTCAGCATAAGTGGGGTGGATCACCTACCCCAAATGTGGTTTGGTGTTGAACTGATGATGCCACATACCCATCAAGAAGGTGTGAAAATTTTTGTCATTCACATAATGATGCTTTCTGGGGAAAGCAGGACAGTCTCTAAAGCTGGTCCAAAAATGGCCACAGAGAAGGGGATAAGGAGATGGGCTCAGCTTTTATTGTGATTAGTGAATGGAGATGGGCATTGGTCCCTGCATGGGGGATGGGCTTATGTGGTTTGAGCTTTCACTGACACCATGGACAGAGCACCTGGAATCTCTTATCAGCTTGTCCAGATGTGCAAAAGAAAGAGAAGGAGGAGTGGGGTCTCAGAAGCTGAGAGCAGTCAGACATAAAAAATGGGGTCAGACAGATGTATTGTTACAGTACGGTATAAAATATAGAAAGGGATGAAGAAGAAAATTTAAAAATAAAAAATTCTACCATCATGTGTTAATTCCCGTTGACACTTGGTTTGTAGCCTTTTATTTCTCTGCATCTGATTTTTAATAACGAAACTGAAAATATACTGTAGGCCGGGCGTGGTGGCTCATGCCTGTAATCCCAGCACTTTGGGAGGCCGAGGCTGGTGGATTACAAGGTCAGGAGTTCAAGACCAGCCTGGCCAACATGGTGAAACCCCATCTCTACTAAAAATATAAAAATTAGCCGGGCAAGGTGGTAGGCACCTGTAATCCCAGCTACTTAAGAGGCCGAGGCAGGAGAATCGCTTGAACCCAGGCAGCAGAAGTTGCAGTGAGCCAAGATTGCACCACTGCACTCCAGCCTGGGTGATAGAGTGAGATTCCATCTCAAAAAAAAATATATATATATATATATATATATACTCTATATAATTTTTATACACTCCTTATTTTTTTACTTAACATTAAGTTTAAATAAATATTTAATTAGGTTTAAATATTTTTAAATACAATTTTCAACAAACACATAATATTCCTTTGAGTGTATGTACCCTAATTTGCTTAACCACTACAATTTAGTGCTTAATAAATAATGTTGGGGCTGGGTGCAGTGGCTTATGCCTGTAATTCCAGCACTTTGGGAGGCCGAGGTGGGCGGATCGCTTGAGCCCAGGAGTTTGAGGCTAGCCTGGGCAACGTGGCAAACCCCATCTCTACAAAAAAATAGAAAAATTAGCCAGGCATGGTGGCATACACGTGTAGTCCCAGCTACTCAAGAGGTTGAGGTGGGAGGATCGCTTGAACCCAGGGGGTTGAGGCTGAAGTCAGCCATGATTGTGCCACTGCATTCCAGCCTGGGCAACAGAGTCCCTGTCTCCAAAATAAGAAAAAAAAAATGATTAATAAGTAAGGCTGCAATGAGCATTTTTATGTGCATTTTTGTTGTAGTTTTTTAGGCAACTGCTTTAGCGTAAATTCTTAGAGAATTACTGGAGCAGAGGATGGAAACTTTTTGAACACTTGGTACTTACTCATTGCTACATTACTTTTTTGAATGTGGTGATATATGAAAATATCTTCAGCTCTTAATTATTGGACAAAATGATGTCTGAATCCTCTTTCAGCTCTAGAATTCTCTAATTTTGTGATTGCGTCTCTGTTAAAGGGGAAAAGAGGTAGAGGAGATAATTTGAGTTTACAGATAATCTTCAAACTTTCTTCCAGGAAACGATTCCAGCCAGTGCTGTCTCCAGTCAGCTCATCAGAGCTGTCACACAATAGGCAAATGAATTGATATTAATTTTACATCACCCTCCCCTTCAGGAATCTGTGTGCTTTCTGGCAGAACTTCTATCGAACGGTGAAATAACTAAATATGAAAAGGAATAAGAGGGTAAAAAATGACAAAATAGACCAGGAACTCCTGAGTAATTGGAGTTTTACCGTTCTGTGATGTGAAATGCCTCTTTTGTGGTGTCCTGAAAGATCACAAAGACTTGTGCTGGATTGGTGAGGCCAGTGGCGGTCACTGCAGGTGAAGAATCCCCGAGCATGCTCATCTGGGGTCAGAGCTCATCCTGGATTCTGTGTCCTGTTGGTGTTAGGGCGGTGACGAGAAGCGTCTTCTACTTTGTCTACTGGGTAGAGTCAGGATGCTTCACCTTTGTTATTTTTTCCCACTCGCAGCCTCACTGGCATATGTGTTGCCCAGGGCTGTGAAGGGTGTAGGGTGGTGACTGGTGTTGGCAGTCCAAGTGATGGCCTGTTGGTCCCCTCATTTCTTCCCTTCCACCAACAGCAGTTGACAGCTTGATGCAGAAGTGTGCACAAATGACATCTTCTTCGGAGGTGTGTCTAGAGTGGCTTTTCAGAACACACAGACAAATCTTGACTGTTCCTTCCTGCTGTGGATCAAGTCTTGGGGACAGGGTTTCCAGGAGTGGTAATAAGCCTAAGACCAGACCTGTGTCCTGAAGATAAAATTTCTGTCTTTGCTGTACTTTGTAGAACCTAGGACTGTCCTGTTTATTAGAAAATGATATTTCTGTGGCCTAAACACAGTGGAGAGATTGAGCCTTTGCTATGTGTGAGACTCTACCTTACATGCTTTCCATATATAAACCCGCAGCAGAACCCGTCAGGTAGCTATCATTAATTATCTCCAAATTGCTCATGAAAGTCTGAGGTTCAGGGAAATGAATGTTACCCAAATTCTCCCGGTTAGTAATATTAGAGTAGGGATAGAATCCTAACCTCTTTATCTCTGCTCTGCCCTTCTTCCCAAGGCATTGCCCAAAATGTTTGTTTTCCATGAGATATTAACAAAAAAAGTCCATGAATAGGATAAATTTTTACACCATTCTTATTTTTGGGCTGGTGGTACAGGAGATGATTCTCTGTTTTATAAATTTCAAAGGTGATTGAATGGTGATTACTTCTGATTAACCCTGGTTGAGGAGTGGGTTTTCTTGATTGCAGTGGAAGAAGTGTAGGTGAAGTATGGGTGTTGGGGCAGTGAGTGGATGGAAAGAAGCCTTTCAGACTGCCGGTGGGTTTGAATCCCCTGTGAAGGGCAGCCGGGAGCCCAGGAGAGCCTTGGGTCAGGACAATGGAAAAGGCCAAGTGTGAGGTTCCTAGTGGACTCTTAATGTCTCCTTACCAAATGGTGATGATAGAGACTATTTTTAAAATCATTATTTTTATTTGTTATTATTTTTATATTTTCTTAGAGATAAGGTGTTGCTCTGTCACCCAGGCTGGCGTGCAGTGGCATGATCATTGCTCACTTGTAACCTTATACTCCTGGGTTCAGGTGATCCTCTCACCTCAGCCTCTAGGGTAGCTGGTGTTGCCCAGGTTGGTCTTGAACTTCTGACCTCAAGGGATCCTCCTGCCTCAGCCTCCTAAATTGCTGGGATTACAAATGTGAGCCACCACACAGAGACTATTTTTAGGGTGGTTTTTGTTTGGATTACAAAAGAGAATAGTAGAAACCTGGAGATGTGAGAAGGCTGACAGTTCAGATATGAGATCAGACATTTATCATTTTAAAAAGGGCATGTCCACTGACCTTATCAGGAAGTCAGAGATAAGGAATTATATGATGAGGAATTGAATGACTGGGTAGAGGTCAGAGAGAGAATCATAAATATGGGAAGGGAATAATTTGACTGGAGATGGTAATAAGGGCCAGGGGATTGTTTTCCAAGACTGGTGGGTGGGTAGACAAGATGCCCCCAGACAGGCCTAGGTGGCCAAGGAAGGCTGTCCTCTCGCGGTGCATCCAGAATAGGGGCTGCTGTTCTCTCTCTGTTTAGTTGTCTTCTTTGTCTAGTCCCTTTCAGTCTTCACCCTGGAAAAGTACACATTTAAAATGGTCTATTGATCCACCTGGATAGTGGTTAAACAGGCGCTAACTTTATTCATTAGTCCTTTCTGTGCACCTTTCTATACGTATTGGGATTGAAAACCAATGAAAGAGAAAAGCTTCTAGTGGAGCCCTGGTCACTGGTCCACTGTGTGCCCGTGGTCCACACACACACACACACACACACACACACACACACACACACACACACACACGTGCTGCACTGGTCCACTGTGTGCCCGCGGTCCACACACACACACACACACACACACACACGTGCTGCCCTGTTTTCTTGCCCACACACACAGCATGGCTGCCGGCTTTCCATCTGAGTGCCAGCCTTCTGCTTTCCGGGGCTCTGCACAGGCTTGGAAAGCTAAATGACCCAAGACATCTTGGTGGCCTTATCATCATCGGCTTCCTCTGCTCGTCTCCTCCATTCCAGTGGTCGTGGAGTCGGACTTTGTGAAATACGAGGGCAAGTTTGCAAACCACGTGAGTGGAACCCTGGAGACTGCACTGGGGAAGGTCAAGCTGAACCTGGGGGGCAGCAGCCGCGTAGAGAGCCAGTCTTCATTTGGAACCCTGAGGAAGCAGGAGGTGGATTTGCAGCAGCTCATCAGAGACTCTGCCGAGAGGTAAGGAGACTTGTTTGGCATTTTGGATTTTGACACATCTCACATTTAAAGGTCATTCAGTTGGACCTTTGTTAAAAGGGCGACAGATTTGATCTCTGCCGATCAATAAACATGTATTGAATGCGCTTGTGTTGAAATTTCATGAGGAGCACATTCTTTAGTCTGGAATTGCTTGACTGTTCTTAGCCTGAGTGGGGGGAGACTTGGGAAGCACTTTCAAAGGATGTTACTTCAGGCAAATATGTACTTCCTTCAATCACATGATTTATAAAATGCGAACGGTAAAAATGCTCTGTCCTGCATTTTTGAATATTAACTTTAGAAGCCAGGAAGTCATGACCCCCCTCTGGCTCTATAATTTTCTGATGAAAAAAAGAAGAAAGCAAGTGAGAGGCGCGTAAAAAAGTTCAAAAATAAGAGCTCTTTTCAGTCTTTGAAGTCTTGAAGAAAACCCCACATTTATTCATTGTTTGGCTTTCGGTAAATACATCTTACCACACTATAGCTCATCATTATTCTTACCTCATATTTATTCAACATTCAAAAAATAATTGTATTGAGTGCGTCCTATGTGCCATGTACTGTTCTACATTCTGGGGAGGCTGCAGAGAGCAAAATGCCCAAATGTCTGCCTTGCATTCTAGTGAGGAGAGATACCAAACGTACAACTAAAGTAAAATGTGCAGTAGGTTGATGGGAATCGGCAGCAGTGAGAGGGGCTAGGATGTGCTAGGAATGGGGGCTACGAACTTAGAAAGTGTGGCCAGAGAAGGTGTTATGGAGAAGCTGGCATTAGGGCAAAGCTCTGCAGGAGGGCAGGGAAGGCACAGGGGCATCTGGGCAGGACGCTGTGGGCAGTGGCCAGAGTGGCCTGTGCCCAGTGAGCAAGGGGAGGGCAGGAAAGGAGAGTCGGAGGGGCTGAAAGGGGTGGGGCGCCAAGTCCCACAGGACCTTGAAGGCCACTGGAAAGGCTCACACTTACTGAGAGCCAGTGGAGGGTTTTGGGCAGGGAAGGGGCGTAATCTGATGTATTTTTTAGAAGGATCATTCTGGCTGCTGAGTTAAGAGACTGGATGGGCAGCAGCAGGGAGTTCAGTTGAGAAGTTATTGCAGTAATTCAGCGGGGATGATATTTCAGTTTGTACAGTAACATGTGCATTTTCCTGTGTAATTTTGTTGCCCTTTAGTCTTTTAAAGCAAAAATTCAAATCCAAATAAATTAAGAGAAAATTCACTTGTATTTAAGTATGGCTGGCTTATTTCATCTTTTGCAACATTTTAAAGATTATATGGAATATTAAATAAGTGCTCATTCCACAAAATTATGTTTAAAAATTAATAAAAAATACGATAAAACTCACATAGCATTAGGTGGGTGGATTTTGTACAGACATTGAGGGTGCCTGGGCAGCTGCCGTCTTCAAGTCCCAAGCCCCTCTTCAGTAACTGCCCATGCTTACTGGAACTGAAGGACCATGGCTGTGCGTTTACTGCCTACGGGCACTTTCTAGGACTCCAAGACCACACAAAGCTGTGACTCCACCAGGGGTTCCCTTTTGGTCAGATGATTTGAAGTTCTCTCTGGTAGCACCAGGTAGAAGGGACAGCTGCCTCTGTCTCTGGCAGTCATGATCTTTATTTTCCTTTCTCTACAGCTTATCTTTGCTAGAGTCCCATTTTCCTTCTCAACTGCAATTGTTGGGACACACTAGAAATGTATTTGATATTTATCTGAAATGAAAATTTAACTGGGTGTCTTACATTTTCATTTGCTAAATCTGGTGGCACTGGGGAAGGGGAAAAGGGAGGCGGGGGGTGTCCAGAGCGTCTTCTCTGCTCCCTCAGTCTCACCCAACCCTCTCTAGCTTAGATGCGCTTTGCAGTCTCGTTATTTCTATTTCAAGAAGCACAGTTTGGCAATGTCCTATAATCACATTTCTCGATATAGGTTTTTAAACACCATGATTCAGGTGTAAAAGCTCTTGCTAAAAGGAAGCATATGAGGAGGCTCACTGAGAAGAGATGGGAGAAAACATTCCGGAGAGAAAGAAGCCAGAGCCAACAGTTCTGAGTGGAGGAAGAGGGAGTGGGGGAGGGAAAGGAAAGGAGCATCCGCAGAGCACCTACTGTGTGCCAGGCACTTTATATGTAGCCTCTCCTTAACTCTGCACAGCCATCTCCTTTTACACTTAATGGCACCAAGGCTCAGGAAGGAGAAATAACTTATTCCCAGACACAGAGCTCAATTTGGATGCTGGTGCTGGGATTCAACTCAGGATTTTCTGGCTCCAAAGCTCCTGTTCTTTCCTCTAAATCATGTAAAAGTCTTAAAATGATAGCACAGAATGTTAAGGCCGAGGCATGAACCCGCGTCCCTAGGGAGGATACTTGGTGGGTGAATCATGGAATAGAAACTATCCTGAGCAGGCACATGTGCATAGCGAGGCCTGCTCTCCTGGAGGTGCCTGGACACAGGGATGAGATCACTTGGACTCGGGAGTCCTATTACTTGTAGTGGTGATGGGGGAAGGGATGCCCTGGGGAGTGGTGCCACCAGAAGCATGATAAAGAATAAATACAAGGACTAGAACCCAAAGAGGAGTTTTATCACAGAATCACCTCACCCTTGTTAGGCGGCTAGGAGGACAGGGTGAACTATAGGGGAGGGGAGGACAGGGGCGGGAAGGGAAGACTTCTGCTCTTGGCATGGAGCTCAGTAAAGCTAACATTCTTGTTACGTCATGCTGGAGTAATAAATTCTTATCCACGTTGTCTGCCTGTCTCTGGACTCCCCATAACATCATTGGGATTGATAAGGCGTTGTTGATACATGCGTGGCCTTGGGAGTGGCAGTTCGTGATGCTTAAGGACTGTACATTCCCGAGGGCTTATTTTCAGTCACTTTTATTTCAGGTCATTTAGATAAGTTGTCATCTGCAGACAAGTTATTTTAGGCCTCAAAAATCAGAATATTAGCTTTATTGTCTATGAAATGTGTGCACATATCAAAAACAAACTTTGTCCTTGAAAAAACAAGCCTGTGCTGGGCAGGAAGGCATTCCACAGAAATTAACCTTCCGGATACCTGGAGCTGACCCCTTTGAATGCAGTCTCTGTGCAGATCTTAGCATTCTTGATGGAAACTATTCTAAGATATGTCACATACTTTTTTTTTTTTAAATGGAGAATAACAAATTTATTGAGTCTTTTTCATAGTGACTCGGATAAGCTCTTTCATTTTTGTGTTTAATAAGCTTTCATTATTATTCTGTAATACGCTTTTCATTTGTCTGCCTTGTCTTCCGTGGTCAGCTGCCATTTGTCACTACCATAAGTATAAAAGCCACAGCCCACCCCACCTCTGCCACTAGCTTGTTGCTTCTAATTTCCTAGGGTCTGGTAAGTTTATTCCTGGTCAATAACTTAGGTCGACTTGGTAAGCCGTTTCTGCCCTTGGGTTCAGTTTCCCCAGCTGTAGGTGAGATAGTTGGACTAGATGATCTCTGAAGGCTTTCTCCTGGCTGAATGTCTGGAAGTGAGTGGACTCTGGAGCGCGCACACCTGTCAGCTCCCTCCCCTGAGTTCTGGGCCGCGGTCCCGGCTGTTTTCCAGAGACCATGCTGCGTTGTGCTTTCCTGGCTATTTGGGGATTGAGGAGGGTGTTACCATAAAGGCATATCCCACTTTTATTCTTCATCATATTGTAAAGGGAATTTTGGTAAAGCAGATTACATTTTTCTATGCACATACAGTAATGAGAAGTTTGGTTCTTTATTAGGAATTCCAAATTAAATAAATTATATGAAACCAGTATATTAAAGCAATGTCATGACCATGATAAATCTTCATAATTAAAATGTTTCAGAATTACACTGAATATATATATACATATATTTACGTAAATATATATACATACATTTATGGGATATATGACATTTTTTAATGAGGAATTTTTAATGGGAAAATACATCTCATGAGATGTTTTGATACAGGCATACAATGTATAATAATCACATCATGTAAAATGAGGTATCCATCACCTCAGGCATTTATCCCTTGTGTTACAAGCAATCCAATTATACAGTTTTAGTTATTTTAAAAATGTACAATTATTATTGGCTTTAGGTGTCCTAAAGTTATGCTATCACATACTAGATTTTATTCATTCTTTAGGTATCCTAAAGTTATGTTATAAAATACTAGATCTTATTCATTCTTTCTATTTTTATTGGACCCATTAACTATCCTCGCATCCCCCTACCACTCTCCCACTACCCTTCCCAGCCTCTGGTAACCATCCCTCTACTTTCTATCTCCATGAGGTCAATTGTTTTAATTTTTAGTTCAAGAAATAAATAAGAACATGTGAAGTTTATCTTTCTGTGCCTAGTTTATTTTGTTTAACATAATGACCTCCAGTTCCATCCCTGTTGTTGCAAATGACAGGATCTTATCCTTTTTTTTTTTTTGAGATGGAGTCTTGCTCTGTCACCCAGGCTGGAGTGCAGTGGTATAATCTTGGCTCACTGCAACCTCCGCCTCCCAGGGTCAAGCAGTTCTCCAGCCTCAGCTTCCCGAGTAGCTGGGATTACAGGCACCCATCACCAAACCTGGCTAATTTTTGTATTTTTAGTAGAGATGGGGTTTCACCATATTGGCCAGGCTGGTCTTGAACTCCTGACCTCGTGATCCGCCTGCCTTAGCCTCCCAAAGTGCTAGGATTATGGGCGTGAGCCACTGCGCCCAGCCCAGGATCTTACTCTTTTTTTAATGACTAAATAGTACTCTATCGTGTATATTTACCACATTTTCTTTATTCATCTATTGAGGATTAGGTTGTTTCCAAATTTTGACTATTGTGACTAGTGCTGCAATAAATGTAGGAGTGCAGATAGCTCCTCAGTATACTGATTTCCTTTCTTTTGGGTACATATCCAGCAGTTGGAATGCTGGATAGTATGGTAGCTCTATTTTTAGTTTTTTGAGGAATCTCCAAACTGTTCTTCATAGTGTAGTAATTTGCATTACATTCCCACCAACAGTGTACAGGCATTCCCTTTTTTTCCACATTCTTATCAGCAGTTTTTATTGCCTGTCTTTTGGATAAAAGCCATTTTAACCAGGGTGAGGTGATAACTCATTGTAGTTTTGATTTGCATTTCCCTGATGATCAATGATGTTGAGCACATTTTCATATGCCTGTCTGACATTTGTATGTCGTCTTTTGAGAAATGTCTATTTAGATCTTTTGCCCATTTTTAACAGGATTATTAGATTTTTTTCCCTACAGTTGTTTGAGCCCCTTTTATATTCTGGTTATTAATCTCTTGTCACATGGGTAGTGTAAAAATATTTTATCCCATTCTGTGAGTTGTCTCTTCATTTTGTTGTTTCATTGCTGTGCAGAAGTCTTTAACTTGATATGATTCCATTTGTCCATTTTTGCTTTAGTGGTTCGTGTCTGTGGGATGTTACTCAAGAAACCTTTGCCCAGTTCAATGTCCTAGAGAGTTTCCCTCGTGTTTTCTTATAGTAGTTTCATAGTTTGAGGTCTTAGATTTAAGTGTTTAATCCATTTTGATTTGGTTTTTGTATATGGTGAGAGATAGGGTCTAGTTTCATTCTTCTGCATAGGGATATACAGTTTTCTCAGCACCATTTATTGAAGAGGCTATCCTTTCCCCAATGTATGCTCTTGGCACCTTTATTGAAAATGAGTTCAACATAAATGTATGGATTTGTTTCCGGATTCTCCATCCCATTCCATTGGTCTGTATTTTTGTTTATATGCCATTACCATACTGTTTTAATGACTATAGCTCTGCAGTATAATTTGAAAGTCAGGTAATGTGATTCATCCAGCCTTGTTCCTTTTGCTCAAGGTAGCTTTGGCTATTCTGCATCTTTTGTGGTTCCACATAAATTTTAGGGTAGTTTTTTTTCTATTGCTGTGAAGAACATCATTGGTATTTTGTAGGGATTGCATTGAATCTCTACAAAGTATAGATTACTTTGAGTAGTATGGACATTTTAACAATATTTATTCTTCTGATCTGTGAATATGGAACATCTTTCCATGTTTTTTGTGTCCTCTTCAATTTCTTTCATCAGTGTTTTATAGTTTTCATTGTAGAAATTTTTCACTTCTTTGGTTAGTTTGTAGATATTTAATTTTATTTGTAGCTATTGTAAATGGGATTATTTCCTTGATTTCTTTTTCAGATTGTTCTCTGTTGCCCTATAGACATGCTACTGATTTTTGTATGTTGATTTTATATCCTACAACTTTAGTGAATTTGTTTATTGGCTTTAATAGTTTTTTGGTGGAGTCTTTAAGTTTTTCCAAATATAAGATCATGTTTTCTGCAAACAAGGATCATTTGACTTCTTCCTTTCCAATTTGAATGCCTTTATTCTTTCTCTTGTCTGATTGCCCTAGCTAGGACTTCGAGTACTATGGTGAATAACAGTGGTGAAAGTGGGCATCCTTGTTGTGTTCCAGATCCTAGAGGAAAGGCTTTCAGTTTTTCTCCATTTCAGTATGATACTAGCTGGTTGGTCTATCATATATGGCTTTTATTGTGGAACTATGTTCCTTCTATGTGCAGTTTTTTATCTTGAAGGGATGTTGAATTTTATCAGATGCTTTTTCAGCATCAGTTGAAATAATCAAATGGTTTTTGTTCTTCATTTTGTTGATATAATGTGTCACACTGATTGATTTGCATATGTTGAACCATCCTTCCATCCCTGGGATACATCTCACTTGGTCATGATAAATTATCTTTTTAATGTATTGTGGAATTCATTTTGTTAGTATTTTGTTGAGGATTTTTGCATCACTGCTTGTAGTTTTCTTTTTTTTTTTGATGTGTCTTTGTCTGGTTTTGGTATCAGGGTAATACTGGCCTTGTAAAATGAGTTTGAAAGTATTCCCTCCTTCTCTGTTTTTTGGAATAGTTTGAGTAGGATTGGTATTCATTCTTTTTTAAATGTTTGGTAACATTCAACAGTGAAGCCATCAGGTTTTTGTTGGCTTTTCTTTTCTGGGAGACTTTATTTTGGCTTTGATCCCATTACTTGTTTTTTTTGTTATTTTGGCTTTGATCCCATTTCTTCACGGTTCAATCTTGGTAGGTTTTGTGTCTAGGAATTTATTCATTTCTTCTAGGTTTTCCAATTTATTGGTGTATAGTTACTCATAGTAGCCTCTAATGATCCTTTGAATTTCTGTAGTATTAATGTAATGTCTCTTTTCTCATTTCTGATTTTATTTATTTGGGTCTTCTCTTTTTTTCTTAGTCTGGCTAAAGGTTTGTCAACTTCATTTATCTTTTTAAAAAAACAAACTTTTGTTTCATTAATCTTTTGTATTGTTTTCCTCATTTTAATTTATATCTGTTCTAATCTTTATTATTTCTTTTCTTCCACTAGCTTTGGATTTGGTTTGATCTTGATTTTCTAGTTCTTTAAGATGCATTGTTAGATTGTTTATTTGAAATTTTTCTACTTTTTTGATTTATGTACAGCTATAAACTTCCTCTTAGTACTGCTTTTGATGTACCCCATAGGTTTTGCTGTTGTGTTTCTGTTATCATTTGTTTCAATAAAATTTCAATTTTTCTTAGTGTCGTCATTGACTCACTGGTCATTCAGGAGCATGTTGTTTAATTTCCATGTATTTGCATAGTTTCACAAATTCCCCTTGTTATTGCTATATAGTTTTTTTATTCCACTGTGGTCAGAGAAGGTACTTTATATTATTTCAATTTTTTGGATGTTTTGAAACTTGTTTTGTGGCCTAACATATGGTCTATCCTTGCGAATGATCCATGTGCTGAGGAAAAGAATGTGTATTCTTCAGTTGTTGGATGAAATGTTCTGTATATATCTATTGGGTCTGTTTGGTCTGTAGTGCAGATTAAGTCTGATGTTGATTTTCTGTCTGGATGATCTGTCAAATGCTGAAAGCTAGGTGTTGATGTCTCCAGGTATTACTGCACTGGGGGCCTATCTCTTTAGCTTTAATAATATTTTCTTTATATATCTGGGTGCTCCAGTGTTGGGTACATAAATATTTACAATTGTTATATCCTCTTGCTGAATTGACCCCTTTATCATTATATAGTAACCTTCTTTGTCTCTTCTTATAGTTTTTGTCTTGAAATCGATTTTGTCTGACATAAATATAGTTACTCCTGCTGTTTTTTTGCCTGTGATTTGCATGGGCTTTTTCCATCCCTTTATTTTCAGTCTATATGTGTCTTTATAGGTGAAGGGTGTTTCTTGTAGGCAACAGATCATTTGGTCTTTTTTTGTTGTTTTTAATCCATTTAGCCAGTGTATGTCTTTTAATTGGAGAGTTTAGTTACATTCAATTATTATTGATAAGTAAGGATTTACTCCTGTCATTTTATTATTTGTTTTGTGGTCTTCTCCTCCTTCTTTCTTTTCTTCCTGTCTTCCTTTTAGTGAAGGTGACTTTCTATGGTGGTATGATTTAATTTCTTGCTTTCTATTTTTTGTGTATCTGTTGTAAGTTTTTTATTTGAGGTTACCATGAGGCTTGCAAATACCATCCCATTATTGTAACCCATTATTTTAAGCTGATAACAACTTAACACTGCTAGCATAAACAAATAAAAAGAAAATGAATACAAACTCCACGCCTTAACTTTGTCCCCCGGCTTAACTTTTTCCTTTTTTCTATTTATATCTTATTGTACAGTCTATGTCTTGAAAAGTTTTTGTAGTTTTATTTATTTATTTATTTATTTATTTATTTATTTATTTATTTATTTTTGAGATAGAGTTTTGCTGTTGTCACCCAGGCTGGAGTGCAGTGGTGCAATCTCGGCTCATCGCAACCTCTACCTCCCAGGTTCCAGTGATTCTCCTGCCTCAGCCTCCTGAGTAGTTGGGATTACAGGCGCCCACCACCACGCCCGGCTACTTTTTTGTATTTTTAGTAGAGATGTGGTTTCGCCATGTTGGGCAGTCTGGTCTCGAATTCCTGTCTTCAGGTGATACACCCACCTCGGCCTCCCAAACTGCTGGGATTACAGGCGTGAGCCACTGTGCCCGGCCCTGTAGTTACTATTTTTAATTGGTTCATCTTTTTGTCTTTCTGCTTAAGATATGAGTAGTTTACATACCACAGTGACAGTGTTATAATAGTCTGTGTTTTTTCTGTGTACTTACAAGTACATTTTGGACTTTCAGATGATTTCTTATTGCTTATTAATGTCCTTTCTGATTAAAATACTCTCTTTAGCATTTCTTGTAGGACTGATCTGGTATTGATGAAGTCCTTCAGCTTTTCTTTGAGAAAGTCTATGTTTCTCCTTCATGTTTGAAGGATAGTTTTGCTGAATATACTATTCTAGTGTAAACGTTTTTTTCCTTCAGCACTTTAGATATGTCATGCCACTCTCTCCTGGCCTTTAAAGACTTGTGCTGAAAAGTCTGCTGCCAAACATATTGGAGCTCCATTGTATGCAGTTAGTTTCTTGCTGCTTTTAGGATCCTTTCTTTATCCTTGATTTTTGGGAATTTGCTTATTAAATGCCTTGAGATAGTCTTCTTCCAGTTAAATCTGCCTGGTGTTCTGTAACCTTCTGGTACTTAGGTATTGATATCTTGTTCTAGGTTTGGGAAGTTGTCTGCTGTTACCCTTTGAATAAACTTTCTACCCCTATTTTTTCTCTCCTTCCTCTTTAAGGCCAATACCTCTTAGATTTGCTCTTTTGAAACTATTTTCTATGTCTTTTAGGTGTATTTCATTCTTTTTCATTCTTTTTTTCTTTTGTCTCCTCTGATGTATTTTCAAAAATCCTATCTTCAAGCTCACAAATTATTTCTTCTGCTTAATCAATTCTGCTATTTAAGAGACTCTGATGTGTTCTCCAGTATGTCAATTGTGTTTTTCAACTCTGGAATTTTTGTTTGAATCTTTTAAATTATTGCAATCTCTGTTAAATGTATCTGAAGGAATGCCAAATTCCTTCTCTGTGTTATCTTGAATTTCTTTGAGTTTCCTCAAAACAGCTATTTTGAATTTTCTGTTTGAAAGGTCACATATTTCTGTCTCTCCAGGATTGGTCTCTGGTGCCTAATTTAGTTTGTTTGGTGAAGTCATGTTTTCCTGGATTGTCTTGATGCTTGTGGATGTTTGTCAGTATCTGGGCTTTGAAGATTTAAGTATTTATTGCAGCCTTTGCAATCTGGGCTTGTTTATACCCATCCTTCTTAGGAAGACTTTCCAGGTATTCAAAGGTACTTGGGTGTTGTCATCCAAGTTTTTTGTCACTGCAGCTGTATCTGCATTAGAGGACACCCAAAGCCCAGTAACTGTGTGGTTCTTATAGACTTGTAGAGGTACCACCTTGGTGGTCTTGTATAAGATCTGGAAGAATTCTCTGGATCACAGGCAGAGACTCTTGTTCTCTTCCCTTACTTTCTCCAAAACAGAGTCTCTCTCTATGCTAAGCTGTCTGGACCTGGGGGAGAGGTGACACAAGCAACTGTGTGGCCACCACCACTGGGACTGCACTGGTCAGAACTGAAGCCACCACAGCTCTGGATCTTGCCTAAGGCCTGTTGTAACCACTACCTGGCTACTGCCTATGTTTGCTCAAGGCCCTAGGGCTGTATAATCAGCAGGTGGTAAAGCCAGCCAGGCTTGTGTCCTTCCCCTCAGACATGAGGTGATTTCCCTGGGGCCCCAGGTGGGTCCAGAGATGCTGTCCAGGAGTCAGGGCCTCGAGTTGGAAACCTTAGAAATCTATGTGGTGCTCTACTCTACTGTGGCTCAACTGGCACTCAAATCACAGGACAAAGTCCCTTCACTCTTCCCTCTCCTTTCCCCAGGCAGAGGACTCTCACCCATGTCCACCAGCACTACAGGCCCACAAGGAGCACTGCCAGGCCACCACCCATATTCACTTAAGGCCAGGGGCTCTTTAGTCAGCTTGTGGTGAATGCTGGCAGGTTTGAGACGCACTCTTCAGGGCAGTGGGGTCCCCTGTGGGCCTGGGTAGGTCCAGAAATGCCATCCAAGAGCCACAACCTGGAATCAGAGACTTGAAGGGCTTGCTTGGTGCTCTACCCCACTGTGCTTAGCTGGTACCCAAGCTGCAAGACAAAGTCCTCTTTTCTCTCTGCTTTTCTCAAGCAGAAGGAATCTCTCCTCATAGCCAGCACAGCTGTGAAAGTGCCGAGTCACACCTGACCACAGCTGGGTCAGCATGTCTCAGAGTCTCACCCAAGGCTCATGGCATGTATTGCCTGGTTACTGTTGCAGATCATGCAGGGCCCAGGGCTCTTTAGTCAGAAGAACAAGAATCCTGTCACAACTGCATCCTTCCCTTAAGGCAGGAGGTTACATTCTGGCTCAGGGTGTTTCTAGAAATGTCTGGCAGCTAGGGTCTGCAGTGGGGGCCTCACAACTCTGCCTGGTGCCCTATCCTACTGTGGCTGAGCTGGTATTCTGGTTACAGTACAAAGTCCTTTTTCCTCTTCCCTCTCCTCTCCTCAAGCACAAGGAAGGGATCTCTTTTGGAGCTGCATGTTGTGCTGCTTGGAGTTGGGGGAGGGTTAGATCCAGTACTCCCTTAGCCACCCTGGCTGGTGTCTCAGTAGGTTGTGTACCCACCCCCCAAATCCACTGGCTCTGAGCCCAGCACAGCTCTAGGACTTGCCTAGGAGCTGCAGTCCTTGTGGCCTAGACTGCCTTTCTAGTTTATTTAGAACACCAAAGCACTTTAGCCCATGGTGGCGAGGCTTGCCAAAACTCAGGTTCTGACCACTGGGATGGGTGATTCTCCTCTGGCTAGGGCTGGTCTACATGCTCCCTCAGTGGGCGCTGGCTGAGTTCTGCCCGGTGTTGGCAGCACTGAGTTCCATGCAAAGTCCCACAGTTGCTGTGCTCTCCCTCCTACAGCACACGGCTTCTCTCTCTCTGCCACATGGCTGCTGCCCAGAGATAGGGGAGGGGTGGTGTTGGCAATTCAAGACTGCCTTTCCTACCCTCTTCAGTGCCTCTTTCAGCAAAATGAAGTCAAAACCAGGTACTGTGATTGCTCACCTGATTTTTGGTTCTGATGAAGGTGCTTTTTTATATAGATAGTTGTTGACTTTGGTGTTCCTGTGGGGAGAACAATCACGGGAGGCTTCCATTCACCCATCTTGCTCTGCTCCTGGTCCTTTAACATTTAGGAGTTTTTCAAGGAGAAAGATTTGAGGAGCCATGTCTTTCTTGGAAAAAACAAAGTTTGAACTGGGCTTCCTTCCTACCTGATCAATTTCCCAATGGCTACCAGAGGGTTTGAAAATCATCCCATTTGTCTTTGTGCTTTACTCAGCACTGGAATCATTATTTTTAGTAAACAGTTTGTGCCTAACAATGAAGACTTCTGTCCATGTGTACTTGGAGAACATGAGTTCCCTGATTCTGGTCCTGTCGCTGATTCTCTTTTTGCTGTGTTTCTCCTTCCAGGGCAGGTGTAACTGGTCACAATAAACCGGGGCATCCCAAGGTCTGGGATGGGAGGGGCTGGCAGTACCTCTTTATGCTGGTCTCCTGGTATTGGCAGGTGGAGGTATTTTTAGGCCGAATTCAGGGTGGTAAACTTCAGGCTCATTTTAAAAATCAAAACAATTTGTGGTGGAAACAGAGGGAGGGTTTAAGGAATAACATAATAAATGCTACTATGCCACCTCCTAACCAGCTTACCCAAAGATCTTTTTCTTTAAACCAAGACACATGGGACACCTTTTCCTACCTTCACGACCCAGAATTTCTTTGATTAGCAAAATGGGATCGGTGTTACTGTGAGAACTCAATGAGAGAACATAAACAGGGCAGGTATAGTAGTGCTTGGCATGTGGCAAGTTCTCATTAGTTGTAACTGTTAGTGTTACCACTTGCAATAAGTATAGAGCCTGCCTAGCAAATCTGGCAAGCGCCAGAGCTCCCGGGGAGGGAAGGTGTGATGCAGCTTGCTGAGAGCCAGACAGGGAGCCACAGAGCTGCAGGAAGGAGGCGAAGTCCTTGGCGTTTCCACGTGCAGCATGATGTTTTGTTTGAGCTCTTGTTTTCCTCTCCCGTGGAGGAGGTAGGCACCTGCGTGGTCACCATTCTGAACTCCACCGTGGAGCGACTGACCACCTCCAGTGAAAGTCGGCGGGGCTCTGGTTCTTGCATGCAACCCGTGTTCCCCAAAATAAGTGCTGATCCAGACGTGTAGCTGGGCTACGGAGAAGTCTGCATAGCACACAGGCTGTTCTTTGTACATGTTTTGTTTGTGGCAGGAGATGTTGATTTGATTCTTAAGTAAAGGTGTATGGAGCCCTTGAGCAATGTCAGTAAGACCTTCATGGGCCTTGTCCTGCTCACCATATTCTCTATGGGAAGCAAAGCTGTGAAGCTCAAGGCCCCACGAAATCCACTCTTTTTAAAAGATGTCTTTCCTGAGACCCCCAGGCCACACTAAATTCTGTGCTATCTGAAATTCTGCCAATTTATTAATTTTTTTCTAAATTATTCTGTCTCCTGGTCTTGGTTTTAGTGAGCCCCTGAAAGCTTGTCTGACTTCTGTTGCTTCCTTTCACAGTGTAAAGGTGGCTTCCTGTAGAGAAGGGTGTGCTGGGGACCCTCCAATACTTGTTCTTGGGAGTGGTTTTAGTCTTTTTACAGAAATCACCTTGTCTGATGAGTTTCATTTTTTATTTTTTTATTTTTTTTGAGACGGAGTCTCACTCTGCTGTTGCCCAGGCTGGAGTGCAGTGGTGCGATCTCAGCTCACTGCAACCTCCGCTTCCTGGGTTCAAGCAATTCTCCCGCCTCAGCCTCCCAAGTAGCTGGGACTACAGGTGCGTGCCACCACGCCCAGCTAATTTTTGCATTTTTAGTAGAGACGGGGTTTCACCATATTGGCCAGGCTGGTCTTGAACTCCTGACCTTGTGATCTGCCCATCTCAGCCTCCCAAAGTGCTGGGATTACAGGTGTGAGCCACTGTGCCCAGCTGAGCTTTATTTTTAAAGGCAACTTCAGATCTTTTTGGAACTAGGTAGGATTTAAGTCCTAAGAAGAATCATTCAAGTACTATTTTCTTCTAAGACTGATAGGCATTATTGTATTTCTTCAAATCCAAGATGTCATCCATTGAAAGAGGCACCATTATTCTATGTACCATTGAGAAAGAACACTGCCAATTAAACTATGCCACCTATCAATTTTAAAACATCCTGATTTCTGAGATGTTAAAATGTAAAGAAAAAAATATGTGTCTCAGAACTGATGAGCTGCAGTGTCTACAGTCAGGATGGCTGGGATGAGTCAGGAGTTAGAATTCAGGTGAGCAGATGTTTGTTCCACTTGGGCTGTTCATATAGTGTTTGACACAGAGACTCAACTCATCACTGCACTTCTCATCTCTCTGAACCCTCCAGTGAGCTGGTGGGTGAGGCATGAGTCCAGTTGGTTTAGCCAGGAATCTGAATATCAGACATAGCTCCTTCTTCACCTTCTCTCCCACACCTTGTCTCTTACCAGTTGATTCTGCCTCTTAAATATCAACCTTATCTGTTCCCATTCCCCCAGTCTCATGACAGTTTCTCTGGGAAATGGTGCAGGCCTCCACCAACCATCTCTTACCTGTTCTCGTCTCTCCCCTTCCAGTTGATTCTCCACAGGGTAGCCAGTCGGATCCCCTTACTGCCCAGCCATGCCTTCTGTGCTCTCCCCTGTCCTAGGAGGATGCCCACAGGCTCCTCTGTGCAACAGAGCCATGCTTTCAATCTCTAGCCTAATCTCTCACCAGTTGCCCTCACATCCTCCAGGTCAGTCGCTGAGCTAATTTCAGTTCCTGGGATTAATACTCCAGGCTCCTTCTACCTCCAGTCCTTGTCTGATGTTCACTCCTCCTGTCTGCACAGAGGCATGAAGGACACACACAGACTCACTTCTCCTGTGTCACCCAGCCAATTCCTCAGTATTCCTTAGGTTAGACCCCACTTCCTTCAGGAGCCACATCACCCCTGGTGGCATACTAACCACGCCGTAGGGTCAAGTGTGTCGGAAGTTGCCTGCGTCTGTGTCCGTTTCCCTCCTGGAACGCCCTGCCTCCTTTGTTGTGGGGTCTGGCGCAGTGCCTTTGGCACACTGAGCCCAGTTTGCTTGAAAGGATAATTGGTTTATCTTTATTCTACAACTGAGGAGCCTGAATGTGGAAATTAATTAGTTTGCCTAGATTCAGGATTTAAAACCAAGTTCACTAAACACATGATTTTTCCGATCCAACTTCTATGCACAGAGCTTGGAAACAGACACATGTTCCAAGGGCTTTGGCGTGAAGTCACTTCTGGGCATCAGCTGCGTTTGGTTTATCATCTTCCAGGCTTGCTGCATTTCATCCACTGGTTGCAGTTAATTAATTACTCGTCTAAAGGGCTGAACATCTACAGGTTCTCAGTCATTTTTTCCTTTCTCTTTCCAGGGGTCGTCGTATGTGAGTAAGATAAGGTATTAGAGACTATAATGTGGACAGAGGCGGAGCAGCCACAGTCTGCGGGTGACTTGGTCACTTTGGCAACAATGTGCAGTGAGCATTCTGCCCCAATTTTGATTTTCCCAGCATTTTACAATCCTGAAGTCATCTACATTACAGCCAAGTGACAGAGAGAGAAAGAGCAGGGCTTATCTCACTGTGTTGGAAGTGGAGGCCCAGGGCACAGGAGTTGAGGTTTCTAGAGATTTCCTGCCCCCGGCTGTGGGCTGAGCATCTCTGATGTGTGGGAAGTTTCTGTTATGAAACGTGGTTGAAATGGGGACTGCTAGTACCTGCGGGGGAGACAGTGGGCGGCTGCTTTCGTTTCCAAGAGGATCCACTTCCTGACTCTGGGAAGCTCTCATGGGATGGAGCAGAAAGACTGCCAGTTCTTTAACAATCAAGCATGCATTAAGCGCCTTCTGTATGCAGGGCCCAGGAAGGTTCAGGAGGGAGAGGCAGATGGGCGCAGAGCTTCGAGGGTGGATGGTGCTGAGCTGCATTCTCACCCAGCCCCTTGGCTTCTGAGTTCTTCGTGCTTCTTGTTGCTTTCTGAAATAAGGATGATGGTCACTTCATATACCAGTTAGGGTGTCTGGTTGCAAAGAACATTTGTTATTATCTCACATAAGAAAACATCTCGAAGAGGGTGCGTCCCGGTTGACTGAATGGTTAACGGCAGAAGGTCAGTTCGGTGGCTCTGTGGGCCCCTGTGGCAGCCGCCATCTGTCCTGGCAGCTCAAGTTCTCTTGGTCCCTAAATGGCAGCCACATTGCAGACAAAAGGTCCAGAGGCAGAAAAGTGGCCTCTTCTTTGTGTCCCTTTTTAAGAGGGAGAAAAACTTGAGAACCCCTAACAGATTTTCCTCAGGTCTCATTGGCCAGAATTGCCCCCGATTCCTGATAAGAAAAACGGAGTGACCAAGAATGGCCGAGAGACAAATCAAGACTCATTGGCAGGGCTGGGTGCACCCTGTCTCTTCCTCCCGTTACAGCCCCCCTAGCTCCCGAACAGTGCTGGGGACGGCAGCTAGTGGCACCCCCGACTCGTAGTGTGGGAGGGTTTTGCAGCCTTCCCGGTACAGGATGCTGGGGACAGTTCCTGCAGAAGCAGCACAGATGTGGTTTGAGCGCTGCTCTCCTGCCTTCGTTGTCAAAAAGCTTACAGTCTTTGAAAAGGGTGAATGGAGCCTCCCTTGGAGGGGAAATCGGCAGATGAAGGAGGCAATGGTGTGTGTGTTCCAGGATTTTAGGGGGGCAGTTACTGAAATAAAACTCTGCCATCTCTGTAGACTGGAGGAGGTTGGTTATCAAGAGAGAAGCAGACTTTCCCACTTAATGAAATGTCACAAAGGCAAAGCCAAGGAGTTTACAGGCAATGTCTGTGGACCTAATTTTCCTACTCTACAGCTGGTGTGTGAACACACGTGTGATCCTTTGTAAACTGTAGTTTTAGCCAATAAATCAAAACCCTTGGGAGAAGTTCTGGATTTACTAAAGCCTTTATCATCAATACATATCTCTGTTTCTGTGGGTTAGTAATTCTTGCTTAATATTCCTTGAGCAGCAGGCTGGCCACCACCTTTTGGCTCTCTGTCATGTCCCCATCTCTGTTTCTGGGGAGATGTTGAAACCAGCTCTGGCAGTACTGCACCATTTCCTCAGTCTGCATTTGTACCTTTCACTTTTTGTTGTTCTTTAGAAGAGTGTAGTGGAAAAGCACACTGGTCTCAGAGTCAGAAGATGCAGTTCCTGATTTTGGCACTGCCACTAACAGGCCATGTGGTTCAGGTGGGCCTGTCACCTCTCTGGGGCACATTCTTCACTAATGAGCAGAGACACTGGGTTAGATCTAGGTGATCAGGGCCATCCCCCTCCCATGTCCAAGCAGACACTGCCACTTAATCACAGCTTTCTTCCTCCTTACTGTCTTCCAGCCCACACTCAGCCTTAGAATCCTTTTCCTACAGCCAGGCAGTAATAGCTGATGGATTAATCAAGGTGAAAATAAAGATGAACCTGAGTTTCTGCCCAGAGCTAGATAATCCCCTTGGGTCCCTTCTAGTTTTATAATTTCTCCACAGCAGACTCAACAAAAGCTCCTGCTCTGTCATGATGTCCCCTGGGGTTTGGAGAGCCTTACCAGGCTCCCCAGGGTTTCCATTGGAAACTCTTCCTCGAGGCCATTGGTTTTTTTTTTTTTTTTTTGAGACGGAGTCTCGCTCTGTCCCCCGGGCTGGAGTGCAGTGGGCGATCTCGGCTCACTGCAAGTTCCACCTCCCGGGTTAACGCCATTCTTCTGCCTCAGCCTCCCGAGTAGCCAGGACTATGCCGGGCTGATTTTTTGTATTTTTAGTAGAGACGGGGTTTCACCATATTAACCAGGATGGTCTCGATCTCCTGACCTCGTGATCCGCCCGCCTCGGCCTCCCAAAGTGCTGGGATAACAGGCGTGAGCCACCGCGCCCGGCCTACCATTGTTACTATCAAGGGTTTTTGTGTAAGAGGACCCTGCTAGTGGTGGCTGCCTTGGCCTCTTCCCTGAGAAACTTGCATCTGGCCTGGTGCCTGGAGCATAGCAGAACTCAGGTATTTGTGGAGATGAATGAAGGAGAGTTGAAGTGTGGGGTCTGCATGACAAAGCTCGCCCTCCTGTGTCTCTGCAGGAGGCATCCCCGGGACCTCCTTTATGCTTTGGTAAAGAAACCTGCTTCCCTCCTTTTGGATATTGTCAGACTTTTAAAAGTTGTCTCTGGGTTTCTCCTCTGTGAGTTTGCATTTTGGCTCTTGAAAGTCTTAGAAGCAGAGAAAATGGAAATTAAAGCTTCAGGCTGGGAGAGGAGGCGGCTTCATTAGGGCTGGGCCTGGGGAGCTGATGGATGCTGGAAGAGCTGGAGCCTCCCTTCCTGCTGGGCTGCTCTGGTCCCCAGCAACCACGCTGGGCTCTGAGCCACGCTTCCCTCCCTCCATCTCTGCCTGCCGCCTCCCAGCAGCTCCTGCCTGGTCTCCTTTTCCAGCCATCTCTCGTCCTGTATCATGTAGCTGCTGTCTTGAATGTATCCGCGTCTTGTATCCAACTCCTGTCCTGTGTCCATGGAGCCATGCTCTTAATTGCTTTGAGGGTCCACTTCCTTAAGGGAGGGGACCACCCCTCATATTGTCTTATGCCCAATTTCTGCCTCCAAAGAAAGAAAAAGTAAAAACTAAAAGGCAGAAATGAAATCCACAAGCAGACAGCCCGGCGTCACACCCTGGGCCTGGTCGTTAAAGATTGACCCCTGACCTAATCAGTTATGTTATCTATACATTACAGACACTGTATAGAAAAGCACTGTGAAAATCCCCATCCTATTTTGTTCCAATCTGATTAGCAGAGCATGCAGCCCCCAGTCACGTACCCACTGCTTGCTCAATCGATCACGACCCTCTCATGCGCACCCCCTTAGAGTTGTGAGCCCTTAAACGGGACAGGAATTGCTCACTCAAGAGCTTGGCTCTTGAGACAGGAGTCTTGCCGACGCTCCCGGCCGAATAAACCCCTTCCTTGTTTAACTTGGTATCTGAGGAGTTTTGTCTGCGGCTCGTCCTCCTACACCTGGCTGAGGGCTCCCTTATAAAGCATCCTGAAAATTCTGGCCATTTCTTTGACCACCCTGGAAAGGGGTCTTGACTTGCCTTCCCTGCCAATAGTGGAAGGAAAAAAACATTTACAGAGCCCCTGCCATCTGCTGGGTAGAGTGTGGGTCATTTAATGCAAGATCTCACTGAACGTAACCCTCATAGCAAATTCTCAGTTTACAGATGTGCAAACTAAGCTTCAGGACTGGAGCAGTAGCTCAGCTAGGAGGAGATTGAGTTAGTCTGTTTGCATTATTATAAGGAAATACCTGAGACTGGGTAATTTATACAGAAGAGAGGTTTAATTGGCTCATGGCTCTGCAGGCTGTACAGGAAGCATGGTGCCAGCATCTGCTCTTGGTGAGGCCTCCAGAAGCTTCCAGTCATGGAAAAAGGTGAAAGAGGAGCAAACATGTCACATGGCAAGAACAGGAGCAAGAAAGAGGAACAAGAGAGAGTGAGGGGGAAGGTACCACACTCTTAACCAGTGTGAACTCAGAGTGTAAACTCACTCATTACTGCAAGGCGGGCACCAAGCCTTTCATGAGGGATCCACCCCCGTGACCCAGACACCTCCCACCAGGGCCCACCTCTAGCACTGGGGATCACATTTCAACATGAAACTTAGAAGGGACAAACATTAAACCACATTGGAGCAGGGAACCGATTCCGGGATGACTCCAGGTCTTTGTGTTATATCGACCTGCCAGGTACGCGCAGAAGGGCAACCTCACAGTAGAACTGGGTGGGCGGAGTTGAGCCAAGCCCCTGAGTGAGGAGAGGGAGTTCTTCTCGACTGAGTATGCACCCCCTTCCCCTGCCTCCAGACTTGCTCCTTTGGGGCTGGCCCTTTCTGTTGAGGATATACGCCTCTGCCTCAGTGGCCTCCTGTTCTTGCTTTCACGTTGCCGCCCCCGCCAGGAAGAACAAGGAGCCTGCCCTTAGATGTGTGAAGCGGATGAAGAACCTCTGCTTGTTCATTTTCTCCTGGAAGAGCTTCTGCTCCATTTTCCCTGTCTTTGGGCATTGGCTCCTGGCTGGACTTGGGGAGAGGGTCTCATTCCAGTCCTGCCCGGGTTTATGTGATAAACCATTCATTTTATCCCCCAGCTGGGTGGATAGCACAGGGCTAGGCACCAATAAAAAGAGCAAGTACTTTGTCCTCCAGGAGCTTACAGTCTGTCCAGAAGGCCTTTTTTTAAAATACTTTTTTTTTTTTTTGGAACTGGGCAATCTATTCACATGGTTTAAATGTCAAAAGGTCAAAAGAGAAAAGGTGAAAAGCCCCTCCCCGCCATCTGGTTCCCCACCCAAGAGGCGACCACTACTAATAGTTTTCTGTGTCTCTAAAGCCATTCTGTCTGTGTTGCTCAGTGGCTCTCACAGGGCCCGAGAGGAAAGAAATCAGGACAAGTTGGGGAAGAACTGTCAAATGGCACAGGGCGGCAGCCACGAGGAGAGTGAGATGGGCTTGGGGAGAACAGGCAGGCATGGATATTCTGATAAGGATTCCCAGAGGACTTGGGTATAACTTGCTTTTCCAGCCTCCATCTACTGGTCTGGTTACATAGGCAAGATATTTACATATAGAAATGAACATAGCAATACAAGAGTTAATAGAGATGAAGATTCAATTCCTAGTACAGCCCAAGGGTGCCCTCACCCAGAAGAGGGAGACAGCAGCTATGGGTGCTATGGCCATGTGGGCCATTGTAAAAGACCTGGGCTTCACAGCTGTGTGACTTTGGTTACTACCATCAACCTCTCTAGGCTCTTTTTTTTTAAACTCTTCTGAAACCCTCAACTGAGAGTTTTAAATGTTTTGTTTCATGAACTCTATTAGCAGTTGAAGAAACCCATGGGCCTCTTTAAATGCTTATAATAAAATATATAAGGTTATACAGTAAACAAATTGCATTGAAATTTGGCTGGTTTCTGCACTAGGCGGGCACAGGGGAGCCCTGTTGCATGGTGATTTCTGTTCTGAGGAGGGCCAGAGCCAGGGTCTGGTGACCTTGAACTGTTCTGGGTCTGCACCTGAGAACACCGTCCCCAGGGGACACCAGCTCTCCCCCTGGGGCTGCTTGGGGCTTGGTGGAATTGACTGAGGGAGGAGATGGGGAAGAATTCCCTCCCGAGATTGCTTTTCAGAGAGTCAAACGAAAAATCCATTTTCCCTGATGTGTAGCTTCCCCGCTGTCCCTGTGGGGCCTCTCCTAACTGAAGATGATTAAATATTTCCAGCATTTGGTTTCCAAAAGGTGGCAGCACTGTCCTGGGAAACAGAATCCCAGTGACTTGGGTGGAAGTGTTTGCTGCTAGGTGGATGATGCCTGCAGTTTCCGGCAGCCCTGCCTTGGTTGCCCAGGGAAGGATTCCCAGTGGCCTGCATGAGCTGTGGCTGTGTGACACGTTTCTGGTCACCCGAATCCTAGCCTTGGAGACAGTCTCCGTCCCTGGGCGAGCTTCTGTTCCTGCGCTGTGGTGGGTCCGCCCCACAGAGACCTTTTGAAGGCAGCGACTCAGCAAGCGTCTCAGGACTGCCCTGTCATCGGATACAGCAGGCAGTTGCCTGCCCACCTGCGTAGATGGCTGCCCCTCTCTTTTGGTGTTTGAGGTGGGGGTTCTGGAGGGAGGTGGGCATTTTAAGCAGTGGAGTCTTGAGTAGTCTAGGCTGAGCTTTTTCTTTTCAAACAATTTCACACTGGCTAGGAGCAGTGTCCAGTGTTCAGTGGATTCTGTTTAGGGCGGGTAGGAGGGCTGTGATTTCCAATCCAGCAGAGTCACATCAGACTCCTAAAGGCGGCAGTTGTGGGGTCGTCACCAGGCGGTGATGTGTCTGACGTGCGTCTAGCTGGGAGGAGCCCATGCCTTAGTTGTGAGGGCACAGACAGACGTTCAAGAATCTGCTAGAATTTTGAGCAATAGAAGGAAGAGACCATTGGAAAGGGAACAGTTGAATGTATGTTCTGACCGGTGGTTACAATGGCTTTTATCTTTAAAGTCTTTGCCTATGGGACCAAGACATGCAATCCCTTAGGAAGATCGCATCTGCTATGCACCATTTTTTGATCCAAGCTGCAGATCCTCCATTTCCCCCATCTTCCGTGTCTTCTGTCTTTCACACGTGGATGCACAAATACATATGTACACATTCATTCAACCAATAGAGGAAAAAACCTCACAAGTTTTATTTACTCATTTATTCCAAAAATATTTCCTGAGCTCTTCCTACGTACTAGGCATTGATCCTGGCCCTGAGATATGCAGTCAACAGGAGAGCACACTCACCACCTCTGTGGGGTTTATATTCTTGATGGAGGAGGCAGGCCATGAGCAGATAAATGAATGAGCTAGAAAAATATCCTGTGGAAATGTGCTCTCCAGAGAAGTGATCTTAGGGTGTGATAGCATGATGGGGGTGCAGGGAATGCTTCCCCGAGGAGGTGACCAATGAGTCAGTGAAATGTGGCCATCAGGGAATGTGTGCCAACGCCTCGGGGTAGGCACACACCTGGCATTTTTAAGGAGTAGTAAGAAGGCTGGAAGATAAAGTCAACAGGGGGCAGGGCAGATCACATGGGGCCTCAGCCTGGGAACGCACTGGACATGGGATATAGCCATTGAAGGCTTTTAAGAAGGGAGTGATGTGGAAACGTACCTCTGATTCAATTCAGTGCCCCATAATTCCCATGCAGGGCACACACTGTGGCTTTGTTTTGTGAGCCTCATAGAGGGACACGGGAAGGTGGGCGGAGCCAGCTAGTGTTTGTGTGGCATTTAACTCTGTGCTCGGCACACCCTAATGGCTCACTGCATGCATGTCATCTAAACCCTGACGGAACCCCATGAGGAGGGGGCCCTGTTACCAACAGTTCATGCACGAGAAAACCTAGGTGCAGAGGTGGCCCTTCACTCGAGCTTGCCCAGTGGGAGGGCAGAGCTGAGATCCGAACCCCAGCCCTGCAGGCTCCAGGGTCCCTGTTTCCTGTTCCTTCCTGGAAATGGAGTCTCTCGGCAGCTTTGTGGTTGTCATCAATGTATTTTTATCACGTGTGAGACATTTTTATAATTTGAATTTCCTTAACCAGTACTAAGATTGAACCCGTTTTTCCTATGTCTTATCTATTTGTTATTGTGGTAAAATAGATGAGACACAACATTTACTGTTGTAACCATTTTTAAGTGTAAAATTCAGTGGCATTAAATACATTCACCCTGTTGTGCCGTCATCTCTACTCTGCATTTCTAGAACTTCTTCGTCACCTCAACTAGGAACTCTGCAGCCATCAGGCAGCGAAGCCCTGCAGCCCCGGTAACCTCCAATCTGCTTTCTGTCATTATGAATTTGCCTGTTCCAGATATTTCATATGAGGAACCACACAATATTGCTCATTTGTCCCTGGAGTGTGTTACTTGGCATAATGTCTTCAAGGTTCACCCATGTTGCAGCAGATGTCAGAACTTCACTTCTTTTTTTTTTTTTTTGAGACGGAGTTTCGCTCTTGTTGCCCAGGCTGGAGTGCGGTGGCACAATCTCAGCTCACCGCAACCTCCGCCTCCCGGGTTCAAGCAATTCTCCTGCCTCAGCCTGCTGAGTAGCTGGGATTACAGGCATGTGCCTGGCTAATTTTGCATTTTCAGTAGAGACGGGGTTTCTCCATGTTGGTCAGGCTGGTCTCGAACTCCCGACCTCAGGTGATCCACCTGCCTCGGCCTCCCAAAGTGCTGGGATTACAGGCATAAGCCACTGTGCCCGGCCCAACTTCATTTCTTTTTATGGCTGTATGATATCTCATTATATGACTATAACACATTTTGTTTCTCCATTCATCTGTTGATGGACACGTGAGTTGTTTCTATTCTGGGCAGGTGATTACATTGAGATGGGACTTTCCTAGCTACTCACTCCAGTTCCAGGGCTACTTTCTGAAGCCCAGAGAACCTGAGTCTGTCTAGGATGGGTGACCCAGCATGTGTGTGGTCAGGGATGGGTGCTGAGCTTTTCAAGGTAACTAACCTCTTAAAAAAAGACCAGCATGGATACCATAATTTTTCTTGTGCTGTCACCAACTCTAGTTTGGTTCTTTTCCTGTCCATTTCATAGAATCATAGTATTGAATGAGATCTCCAGAGAAGTTATTTCATCATTTGCTTCTAAGCATGAAATCATCTCCTGTAAATAAAAATTTAGTCTGTTCTTGAAAGTTTGCAGAATTTCAAGTGGCTGGGTGGGAGCCCCAAATCTCTGCTGAGTGACTCTGGATAGGCCATGCATAACCAGCCTCAGTTTCCCCATGTGTAAAAAGACATCAAACCCCTTCTAAGAGATGAAACATCTTTCCTAGACAGGTTAAGAAGTTTCCTCTTAGTTCAAATCTAATTTCCTTCTTGCTACTCATACTTTAGGCCTATTCCTTTCTCAATGAGAAGCAATTGGTCACCATTCCTCCCATCATAATCCTGTATTCCCTGGGCCATGGCTGTGACGTCTGACATCCTTCAGCTCTGATTAAATAAAAAAGTGGAGTTTCCAGGGTCTAAGGTACATGGATTGCAGTTTCCTTCCTGGTTAGTTTTCTTTTCTTTTCCTTTTTTTTTTTGAGATGGAGTCTTGCTCTGTTGCCCTGGCTGGAGCGCAATGGCATGATCTCAGCTCATTGCAAATTCCGCCTCCCAGGTTCAAGCGATTCTCGTGCCTCAGCCTCCTTAGTAGCTAGGATTACAGGTGTGTGCCACCACGCCTGGCTAATTTTTGTATTTTTGGTGGAGACAGGGTTTCACCATGTTGGCCAGGCTGGTCTCGAACTCTTGACCTCAAGTGATCTGCCTGCCTCAGCCTCCCAAAGTGCTGGGATTACAGGTGTGAGCCACCACGCCTGGCCCTGGTTGATTTTCTTTTCTTCTCCTTGACAACCGGCGCTGCTGTTTGACTGAAAGCCCCCTTCCCTCTGGCATCTAGCCTGGCCCCCAGAGGCCCGGCAGCTCTGAGGTGGCCTCAAGAGAGTTTGGTTTATGTCTTTCCAGGTGACCTGCCACCCCTTTCATCATGAGGAAATCAACAAAGCCTGGCTGTCACCTGCTCACTCCTCAGCTGCCTGCTGTGCAAGAGGAAATTCACACTACACCAATGTCCCCTGAGGCACTAAGCCACTCACATCCGTTTTTCTTTTTCAGAACAATAAATCTGAGAAACCCTGTGCTCCAGCAGGTGCTGGAAGGAAGGAATGAGGTCCTGTGCGTTTTGACACAGAAGATCACGACGATGCAGAAGTGTGTGATCTCTGAGCACATGCAGGTCGAGGAGAAGTGTGGTGGCATCGTGGGCATCCAGACCAAGACGGTGCAGGTGCGTGCAGTCGGGCTGCCCTGCGTTCATGGCTGAGCAGTCCTGGAGACCTTGGTTGGGGGCCTCTTTGGGTGGTGTCTTCATTAGTCAGGACTCTTTCCGTAGCAAGTTAACAGAAACCCAACTCACGTTGTCTTAAATGAGCAAGAGTGTATTGGCTCATGTAGCTGAAACACTTGGGGAAACTGGCTCCAGTCACTGCTGGATCCAGGCCTTGAGGATATATAGGGAGCTGCTTTCCCTGGGTTGATGCCCTCTCAGATGGGCTCTCCCTATGGTGCTGGCAGCTCCAGGCTTGCTCCTGATTTGCTGCAACTCCAGGGGTGAGGGGGGCCTAGGACTGGGTCTCACCAGACCGTCCCGGGATATGTTCATTCCTGAAGCAGGGCAGGGTTGCAGGCACTCGAATGGGCCAGGTGGGCTGGCGTCAGGTGCTCTTCCTGTGGGCGGCAGATGTTTCCCCAAGAAAAATGAACACACAGGCACTGATCAGGCCAAATGCAAAAGAATCCCTAGAGCCTCTCAGAGCTGGGGCTCTCACAGTGATTACTTGGAATTAGCTGCTGCAAATCCTTTGTGGGTTGAGTTAGGGCAGGTAAGATCTAGCTATCTCTACATAGATTCTTCTAGATTAAGTTATTGACAGTCTTACCAAGCTGATCTGTGAGCCAGTACTAAACTTCAATGGACTAGGTGGCCATCAGCCCCAAACTCTTTCTCCTCCAGCTTGCCATGGTGGCTGATATTTTCTTAGAGATTTACTTCTTGGGATGACTTTTGGCTTTTTCTAGAGGAACTCAGAAAGTTGTATTTGGAAGGAGCTGGAGGTAGAGGTCTGGGGCCAGCACTCTTACTGGGTTGGGGCTGGGTAGCAGCGAGGGAGGCGCCGATGGGAGATGGCTCAGGCCGGCCCTGCTGGTGCTCCTGCCACAGTCACTTCCTGCCAAAGTGTTGAAGCCTTTCAGAGTCAGGAGGCCAGCTGCCATTTCTCAACCCAAAGCAACACACTCTGACCAGGATCAAGTTGCTAAGAAAAGTTCTCTGATTGCCAGTGTTTGGCCAACAAATAGATTCTCATCTTCCTCTCACCAGGACATCGTGGGAAGGGGTCCTGTTTGTGAGAGTGTTTAAAGGCAGGAGCTTGGTGCCTGACTTCTTGGCATTTCCTGCCTCTCCTCCCTCCGGCCTCTTCCCACTTCCCTCTCTGTTCCTGGTTTTATCAGCACTGTGCACCATCTACAGGGGTCTGGAGTGATATGCACGGGGTAGGGGGCCCTCTCAGCTAGGTTCTCCCAGTCCAACTTGGCTACTGTTTAAGGTTTTCATTAGGATTTCAGTTGTTTCCATAACCTGTGATGGAGGGAATTGGGAGGTGATCTTACGTATCGTATGATCTTTGCACAGCACTGTAGACCTAACTTCACTGTATCCCACGCTCTATAATCTCGCTTTGATGCCACCAGGTTGGCCGTTTACTTGGGAATTTGTGTACTGATGCCAACAAGGATTGAATCCCCCCATCCCCCATGCTGGCTGGCTCCTCTGTTCCACTCGGTTCTGTGGACATTGCTCAGCATCTCTTATGTATAAGGCACGAGGCTGGCTGCAGTGGGGAACAGAGCAGCTTGGAGAGCCCGAGTGCACAGGTGGGAGTGTGCGCTTTTGCCCACAGGTGTCAGCGACGGAGGATGGGAATGTCACCAAGGACTCCAACGTGGTGCTGGAGATCCCAGCTGCCACCACCATTGCCTACGGTGTCATTGAGTTATACGTGAAACTGGACGGCCAGTTCGGTGAGTGCCACCTCCTATGGGTGCTGAGGGATCCCCAGCAGAGGATCCCTCAGCAGAGGGACTTGACTGCTTTCCAGAGGACTCGACTGCTTTGGAGACTGTGGGAAGAGAGGGAAAGAGGTCTGAAGAGCGTAGATTGTCCCAAGACATGGTCCCTGGACACATGGGCTGCACTGGGGGAGGGGTGTGGTGAGGGATGCCTGGAGCAATGCCACCCTCTCCTCCAACATTGGTGTGGGGCAAAGTTCCACCAGCACAGTAGAGGGCTGGGCTGTGTCCTCTGGGCATCAACCTGGGCTCTGCATCAGACACACTGGGCATCAACCCCGGTGCCATGATGTCCTATGAGGTCTCAGGCAAGTTGCTGAATCTTGCTGAGTCTTGGCTTCCCTGTCTCTGGAAGGTGAAGGGCATTTCTTCACAGGGCTGTGTGAAGATTTAATGAGATGAGGCCTATGAAGCGCCTGGCACAGTGGTCATTTATTAATTCCTCCACCTTTGCTATTAATAGCATTATCATCATTATTGTTACCCCACCTCCTCTCCACAAGTATGAAGCCAGACATGCTGAACTTGACTTTCCTCTGCTGATCACGAGTGTGTTCAAAGCGCAGAGACCCAGCTGTTGTCACGGAAGAAAATCCAAGCTTTGGTTCAGCGTGTCTGCTCACTTTAGGTGTTCACAGCCCCTTCCCTCCTCATGTTCCCAATGAGAAGAGGTTGTGTTCACTCATGAAAGCTGTGTGACCGCTCCTTAGGGACATGAGTGGGTAAATGTAACATAATAAATTGTGAAGTTTTTTAGGTGTGACAATGGTATTATAGTTATATTTATAAAAATGAGTCATCCTATCTTTGAGAGATGTACACTGAAACATTCACGGATGAAATGGTAATATGTCTGTGGTTTGATTCAAAAATAATATGAGTGGAGCATAAAGGGTGTGAGCATGGGCAGCTGCCGAGGGAAGGAGGCTTGGCTGAGAGGGGACAGTGGCTGAAGCTGGCTGATGGGCACACGCTGGTTCACGCTCCTCCTCTCTATTCCTGTGCAGTTTGACATTTTCTGTAACAGCAGTTTTTAAAAGGGCCGTGATAGACCACGCACATGCCTGCTGCTGCCTCCTGCTTCTCCCCCATTTGTGGAAGGCGGGTGGGGGGCAGTCTCCCGTGAGACAGCTCCTGCCCTCGCTAAGCCCACATGAGTCACTACGCCATTCAGCAGCCACTAGAGGGACTCAAACAGAATGCTCAGTGTCCTCGTGTGCTGCTGTCCACAAGCTGAAGGGTGTTGAGGATCCCTAGGAGAAACAGGCGAGGCACAGAAGGAGTGCACAGAGTCTCCCTCTCTCATTCTGCAAATGAAGAAGCCTGCATTTTAGGGCGGTGAAATGATTTATCTGAGGTGACAGAAAGAGAAAGTGTCAGTTTGAAGCAGTTGGTCAAAGAGGTCTGTCAGGGACCAAGAAATGCTGAGAATACCAGGTGTTGTGGCTTCCTTGAGGCCCGTAGTTCCAAATTTGTGTCCTCTGGGGCGTTTTCGTTATTATTGTCATCTTTCTCTTTGAAAAGACTTGTCTTCCAAAAAAAGTGCATCATGAAGAGGATCAAATTGTTCTTCTAGTCTCTGTTATCTGTATGTGGTAAGTAGGGTCACCATCTGCACTTTTGGGTTTCTAGCCCCCCTATGTCTGCCTTGGTGGTCCTGTCCAGTCTTACTGATGGCCAGTGGTGAATGTGTCACTCCCCCGCAGCTTACTGAGGTATGATTGACACACAGAAACTGTATGTTCAAGATGTACAAGTGATGATTCAATAGACATAGACATTGTGACGGGATAACTACTGAGTCAAGCTAATGAACACATCCATCACCCAGCATGGTTACCCTCTGCATGTGTGTGGTGAGGACACTTACTGTCCACCCTCTCAGCAAGTCTCAAGTAAACACTGCAGTACTATTAGCTATAATCACCATGCTAGATCCCCAGAACTTACCAGCTTACAACTGGAGGTTTGCATGCTTTGACAACATCTCCCCATTTCTCCCAGCACCTGGCAACCACCAGTCTACCCCCTGCTTCTGTGAGTTCAGCTTTTTTCAGTTCCATGTATAAGGAAGACCATGTGATATGCATCTTTTTGTGCCTGGGTCATTTCATTTAGCATCCTGTCCTCTGGGTTCATCGAGGTTGGCACAAATGGGAGACTTTCCTTCTTCTTCATGGCCAAAAAGTATTCCATTGTGTAAATACATCAATTTTCTTTATCTATTTGTCCATCAACAGACAGTTACATTATTTCCGTATCTTGGCTGTAGTGAAGGATGCGTCACTTCTGTAACGCTTTCTGAAATCTTGGCATGCACCTGAGGATGCCCAGGAGTGCTCTGCGGACCCTTCGGTGGCGGGGACCCAGGCCTGGGCTGCCACTCTAGGTGGTGGTCCCCATGCGAGCTTCCTCCTGTTTGTCCCAGGAGGTGACCAGACCCTGCCCTGACGCAGCTCTGTGGAGGTAGCCTCTCTTTCTCAGATGGGGTTTGAAAGACACACAGCCTTGTTCTGGCAGGGCTCTCCTGTTTGCATTTCAATTTCAAGGCTTTTATCTTTTCCAGCTTCCACTGTCTTTGAAAATAAACTCCTCTTTGTGCTGCTGAGAAGAGGTACCCTGGGGATATCTCGGCCTTCCCTTGGCTCGTTCTGGATCCTGGCCTAGGAGGCAGCTCCGTGGCTCCTTCCTATGGTGGCTTGGTGGTCAGGTCATCGTTCTGGGTGATTCACTGCCTGATTTTAAACCAGTTCTGCTATTTCTTTTCTTTTTTTTGCCCATCCGTTTTCTGTTGCTCTTGCTACAGAATGTTCTGGTATAGCTTCATAGACATAAACCTGCAGTGGTTGGAAGGGCCCTTGAGAAGACATGCCTGCTCTCTCTCCCTACCTTCCTGGTGGGATTGCATTTGACAGAGATCCTGGTCGTCCTTTGAAACCTCGAAGGGAGGCAGACTCCATCTGTATCCCGGCCAGGTGCTTCAGCCATGCCAGCTGCAATGAGACCCTTTCCTTCACCCACAGCTCCCCTCTCAGGAGACACTTATGCCCAATCAGAAACACCCTTTCATTCTCTTGACCTTCTGCCTTGCACTTTTATACATCTTGGCATTTGCTAGCGTCCTTCAGCACCAACTTCCAGTTGGATGCCTTGTGGGCGTGAACCTGTTTCCCACGCTGCACCTGAATCTGTGCACGTCTCCCCACTGGCCCTAACACCATCTCCCTGCTTCCCCACCTCGCTTTCCTTAAAGACAGGGCCTTGCTCTGTGACCTAGGCTGGAGTGCAGTGGCGGGATCATAGCTCACTGCAACCTTGAACTCTGGGCTCAAGCAGTCCTCCCACCTTGGCCTCCCAAGCAGCTGGGACTACAGGGGCTCTGCCACAGACTCGTAACTGGCTACTCTGATTCTTTCCTGTCTGTTCCATCCTAGCAGTGTAGCTAATGGGATTGTTTTAAAATTGACCACTTCACTCACCTGCTCAGACACCCTTCTGTGGCTCTTTGTCCCAAGAATGCAGTCTGCACCATGTCACGCCTTATGGGCCAGCCCAGCATGGGTCTCGTGCCTTCCCTCTGGTCACAGTGCCACTTGCCCCGTGATCTCACTGAGGTCTGGGGCATGGCACACCCTCTCCCACCCCCAGGCCTGCTGCGCCTCTCTCTGGGCGTGCTCTCTGCCTCTTTTGCTCCTGCCCAACCATCAGATGGCTTTTCTGGTTCTCCTTCCCTGTGACGGGGTTCAGGACATGCAGTCCTAAGATATTTTAAAGTGAAGGAATTTGAAAAGATGACAGAAGCAGGAAGGTCACTGTGACCTTCCCCTCACCCTTCTCCCTGTAGCAGGTCATAAAACCTCTGAAGGATTTTCCAACCTTCCCCTGATGCAGGTTACAGACCCTCAGGGGAGAGGCGCCGTCCCTCTGCCTGGAGGAAAGGAGCAGCCGTGTCTCCCGACACAGGACACAGAGAGGTGAAGAGACAGGCCTTGCTGAGTTCCTGGATGAATGGCCTTTCCATCATATGCTCTGCCCTGCCACATTTCTCCACCACTGTCCCTCAAACCTAGCAAAAAAGTACTCAAATTTAACTATTTTTTCACATGTTCATTTTCTTATGAAGGCTTCCATGTCATGTAAAACTGCTATTCGGTAAAGTTGCGTGCTTTTCCCTTTTTTTTTTTTTTGAGACTGAGTTTCACTCTTGTTGCCCAGGCTGGAGTACAATGGTGCGATCTTGGCTCACCACAACCTCCGCCTCCCAGGTTCAAACGATTCTCCTGCCTCAGCCTCCTGAGTAACTGGGATTACAGGTGTGCACCACTATGCCCGGCTAATTTTGTATTTTTAGTAAAGACGAGGTTTCTCCATGTTGGTCAGGCTGGTCTCAAACTCCTGACCTCAGGTGATCCGCCCGCCTCGACCTCCCAAAGTGTTAGGATTATAGGTGTGAGCCACCGTGCCTGGCCTCTCTTGTTAATCTGTCTGTTGTGATAGGGGCCTCAGCCATGAACCTAGGATGAGCAGAAGGAAAGATGTTTTTCCTCCCCTCCACCCGCTGGTCACTCTGGCCTCAGCCCTGTTCAACCGCTGTCCCCACTCTTACCACACTCATCGTCAAGGCCTGGTTGTAGTCCTTTGTATCTGTGGCTGTGAGCACGGGGCCTGGTATAGGGAATTTTAAAGATTTACATTGTTGCATATTTGCTGGCTGGCTGGCTGGGGATGGATGGATGAAAAGAATGAAGGAATTAATTGGTGGCGCCCTCAGGGAGCTATGCATGGGTGAAGGTGAGAGTGTGGTGTGTGGTTGGTGCTGTGGATTCTTAAAATGCCAGTTGGTTCCACATTATTTTGGGGACCTGGCAGGGCTTCTGGCAGAATTTGAGGCTGTGTGAATGGTCAAGGCTCCTGTCCTCAGGGAACAAAGTTATGACCTAGGTGCTGGTTCACACTCCTGCACCCCTGTGGCTAAGCGCAAAGTGTGGAGGAGTAGGGTCAGCCTGAATGCTGGTGTGGGCCAGGTGGGTAAAGCCCAGGGATCGTTTCCTTTGTCTTTAGACAGCCATTCTTCTTTTTCTTTTCCATTCTATCTTTATGAGCATCATTAATGCCCACAAGCAAATGAAAATATTTGCTAATACTCATGCCTTCTACATTTCAGCAAATACGGGGCCCTGCCACATTTTTATTCCATAGCCTTTGCTTACGTACACAAGTTAGTAAATAGAATCATAAAGAGAATGCTAATTCTTGAGCTCATTTACTGTTTCTGCTTAGCAAGGACGTAATAACTTACATTTTTATCTACACCTTAGATACCTTAGCTGGGTTCTCAAATATGGAAGTGTTTGAGAAAACATTTCTTTGCCTTTTTTTTTTTTTTTTTTGGAGACAAGGTCTTGCTCTATTGCCCAGGCTGGAGTGCAGTGGTGCGATCTTGGCTCACTGCAACCTCCGCCTCCAGGGCTTAAGGGATCCTCCTACCTTAGCCTCCAGAGCAGCTGGGATTACAGGCATGTGTGACCATGCCCAGCTCATTTTAAATTTTTTTGTAGAGACGGGGTCTCACTATGTTGCTACTCTCAAACTCCTGGGCTCAAGCAATCTGCCTGCCTCAGCCTCCCGAAGTGTTGGCATTACAGGTGTGAGCCACCATGCCCGGCCCTTTTTATTATTTAAAAAACTTTTTATCGCCTGGAGCAGTGGCTCACACCTGTAATCCCAGCACTTTGGGAGGCTGAGGTAGGTGGATCAACTTGAGGTCAGCCTGGCCAACATGGTGAAACCCCATCTTTACTAAAAATACAAAAATTAGCCAGGTGTGGTGGCAGGTGCCTGTAATCCCAGCTACTCGGGAGGGTGAGACAGGAGAATCGCTTCCAGCAAACGGAGGTTGTAGTGAGCTGAGATTACACCACTGCACTCCAGCCTGGACAACAGAGTGACTCTGTCTCAAAAAGAACAAAAACAAAACAACCAAAAACAAACCTTTTTATTATGGACATTTCCCACATGTTAAAAAGTAGAGATAATAATGTAGTGAGCTCCCATGTGCCCACCATCCAGCTTCAGTGACTAGGGCAATTCATGTTTTAGCCATAACTTCACCATCTCCTTCCTCTCCTGCTGGATTATTTTGAAGCAAATCCTAGGCATTATATTGTTTCATCTGTAAATATTTTAGTACCTTGAAATGATAAGGCTTTTGAAAAAAGACTAGCTTTGCCTTTGTAGAAACAGATTCAGAGAGAATGTATTCTTTTGTGTTTGCCATTTTTCACTCAACATGTTTGTGAAATTCATTCATATAACTGCAGACATCAGTATTTTATTTTTTATTGCTGTATATTATTCTATATATTATAGAAACATTGATTTCTTAAAAATATAATCACATAACTACTTGGCCACCTAAATATACTGGCAATACTTTTAAAATATTATCAGTGTTCAGATTTTCCTAGTTGTTTTGTGCATGTCAGGTTTCATTTGTCTGTTTAGAATCAGTTTGTTCAAATCAGGATAAAATAATATTTCCAATGTTTTAAAGATTGTGTCCAGCCTGTTCAGAGAATATATATTAGGGAGCTTTATGTAAGAACAGCCATTTCCTTATTTGTTGGAAGTGGCTGGGCTTTTGGTCAAGCAACATAATGTGTGTAGGGATCGAATTTTATGGGGAAGATGGATGGGTCTTCTGCTCCACTGAGTTACGTCTAAGATGTGCCATCAAGGCTGGGCTGACCCTGTCCAGACTTGTTGGCACACCTTAGACTCAACTTTACCTAACTTGTCCTTTTCTCCTGCACTACAGAGTTCTGCCTTCTCCGAGGGAAGCAAGGTGGCTTCGAGAACAAGAAGAGAATTGACTCTGTCTACCTGGACCCCCTGGTCTTTCGAGAGTTTGCATTCATAGACATGCCAGATGCTGCGCATGGGATATCTTCCCAGGATGGACCATTAAGTGTTTTAAAGCAAGGTATTGCCAGCAGGGCAGGAGTAGTGGGCAGTTGAGGGCCAACTGAGCCCTGTATCCCAAGAGGTGGTGTGGCCTTCAGCATCAGTGACCCCTCAGTGACTCACAGAAAACATATGAGAAGAGAGGTGATGCCGCCGAGGCCCAGTCCACTCGGCAGGACTCACCTCGGTTGGATCTTAGGGAGCCCCAGGTTGTGGGTGCTGTATTTTAGGAAGGGTGGGGAGAATGACGCTCCATGGGGTAGGGGTCGGAGACTGAAGAGTGAGGCAGTCAGGGGCTTGGCATTTTTCTTTCATTGTAAGCACAGAAGCCCTGTTGACTACTAAGAATGGCTCATCAGCCGCGAGGATGGAGAACCCGTTCTGCATCTGTTTTGTTATATTCTGGGCTTCATTGTCAAGACAAGCAATGCTTTGTCAGCCTTGCAAAATGCTCTCTTGGAGGCTCTTTATCCACATGGCATGGACTGCATGGTGCCAAAGAGGAAGAGGGGCCATGCCCAGGATGTGCCTGCAGCAATTCCTTTTGCTCCTCACAGCGTATTGTGCTTTAGAAAGCTGGTTTCTTTTGTCGGGGATGTGGGGGCGCAGCATATAGGAGGAGATGGGCAAGGAAAAGGAGAAACAAATAGGTGAGAGCTTAGCACAAAGAGCTAGGAACCGCTCCGTGTGCGCGCTGGCTTGGAGGGTAAGCACAGAAGCCCTGGTGACTACATCTGTGGAGCTTCGATGAGTCCCAAACCAGGATGCTTTTGTAGCAAAAATGTCCGTATTTGAAGAAATGACAACAAAGGCCCAATTTTAATATAAGGCTTTCCTATCTTGGCTTCCTTGAGATGGATAAGTGGGTGCAATTTTCAGCTGCCACTTGAAGGATTTTGTCATTGTGGGTTAGAACCACAGCAAAATGGCCCTGCAGCCACTGGGTAGCAGAAGGCAGTCCCGTGCTGCAGCTTCCTTCTGTCCTGCCCACAGGCCCACCCTTCGAGTTGGCCATTCTGGTCAGCAGGGGTGCAGTGGGAGCTGGGTGTGCGACTGGACCGACCAGGACAGCTTCTCTCTTCAGGCTGGGACTGGTAAAGACAGTTGTGTGTATAGCAGAGTTTTGAAATATGTTGGTTACTGATGTTCTGTGTTCCTCTGCGTGGGGCTTTATACAACTGCTAGTTGGAATCGTCCATCCTCATGGGTGGTACATTGATGTATTAGTGTGCATCCCTGCATACGAAACCTTTATCAAATCTTTAAAAATAAAATCTCCACTAGACTTAATTTACAAGAAGCTTCTGAGTATCTTAAAAACAAACAAACAAACAAAAAAACCAAAAAACAAAGAAAGGAAAAGAGATTCTAAGGGGAGAGGCCCCTAAGCATCCTGCAGAGGCAATAGCTTCGGGGACTCAGTGCTCAGCTTGAGGACTCATGAAGAAGCAAAGGATAGAGAAAGAATAGCTGTGCTTGCCATGAAAATAGGGTGCCAGCCCCTTTAAAAATGGGCATTAAATATTAAAGGATAGAAAATCTGCAATGTACTACAAGAAAGGACGTGAAAAATAATGTATTTTGGAATTTGTATGGCTCTAAAGCATTGTAAAAGCACTGACTTGTTTAGTAATTCAGCTTTGATAATTTACTTCTAGAGAAGTCATGCTAAAGAAGAATTTAAATAACTTTTCCAGAAAATAATTGATTAGACTTAATGTTTAGTGAGTCATCAGAGAAGAGTGAAGCTTGAAATACAAAACTTGGCTTCCCTCTTTCTCTCTCTCTCCTCCCTCCCTTTGGTTATTGAAAAATATGCAGGGTGGCTTGTAACTTGATGTTTATTTCTGAGTTCCATGACTGACTATGCAGCTGGGAATATCCATGAAAGAACTGATGACGATTAGGTATAAAAAGCAGGAGTTGCTGTCCGACGTCGTGAGATGTGCATCGCAGTCATGAGACTTGGGTGTGCTTTGTTTTCACAGCGACCCTGCTCCTGGAGAGGAATTTCCATCCATTTGCGGAGCTGCCTGAGCCACAACAGACAGCTTTGAGTGACATCTTCCAGGCGGTCCTATTTGATGATGAACTACTCATGGTCCTGGAACCAGTGGTGAGCCCTGAGACATCTCAAGGCAGTGTTTTCACTGGGGTTTTCTGGAACAGGGGAGGAGGCAGGATGGAATTGTGTTAAAGGTTCCCCCGCCTCCTTTTCTCCCTACAGCTGTCTCTTTTCTGACTCTTGGGTCCTGCGTTTTCTAAGTGCAGACAGGTAGCTGGCATCGGGTGGAGGGAGGTGTTAATTTCCTAGGGCTGCCTCAACAAACCTGAGGGCTTAAAAAACCAGGAATTTATTCTCTCATAGTTTTGGAGCCCAAAAGTCCAAAGTCTAGGTGTCTGCAGGGCCACACTTCCCCCAGAGGATCTAGGAGAGAATTCTGCTGCCTTGTCTCCTTCCAGCTGCGGATGGCTCCTAGTGTTCCTGGCTCATGGCAGCAGCACTCCAGCCTCTGCTCTGTCTCCATGTGGGCTTCCCCTCTGTGTGTGTGTGTGTGTCTTCTCCTTTACTGTCTGTTATAAAGACACCATCATTGGATTTAGGGCCCACCCCAATCTAGGATGATCTCATTTTGATTTCCTTACTTTAATTACATCTGCAAAGACTAAGGTCACGTTCTTAGGTTCCAGGTAACATATGTTGGTGGGCCACTACTCAGACTACTGCAAGGGGGTCGTGTGGTGGAATCTATAAAGTCAGCCTGTTCCATTTAGAACAGAGAAATAAATAGGCTTTTGCACTGTTGTGTTTTGCAGCAGAAGGATATCCTGGGGAGGTCAAGTTCCTTAACTCTTAGTTGTACAAATGGTGAGAGCCACACAAGCTGCCAACCCTCCAGCCACCCAGATTCTGTGTCCTCCCTTTCTTAAGGCTGAGGCTTTATAAACCTGATTTTGACTACAGTTTTGTTTTTTGTTCTTTTGTTTTTCTATTATATTATGCAGGGAGTTTGAATAACTGATTTAGTGCTTTATGGTTTCCAGGGAAGTGTTCATATTATTTTTCTCTCTTGAAATTAGATTGTGCCGAAAGAGCCTGGGTATCAGTGATGGAACCTGTTATTGAAACAGTCCCACAGCCCAGGACATTTGCATTCTAGAGGGTGGGGAGCTCAGCTCCAGGGAGAACAGTGTTTTAAAAAGCCCATTGACTTCTACTTCCGAAAATAACTTCTTCCAAGAGGAAAATGTCAGGCCAGCACCCTGTGGAGAGAGCCTCAGCTGCCCTGTCAAATGCTGGAGAAGCAAGCTGCCCGGCTGGTGGCGAGGGTGGGGTCAAGCTTTCAGATGATCGGATCTGGACACCAAGGCTGTGGGTGGTGCAGAATTGGCGGGGTGGTCCGAACTGGCTCTCCAGCAGGGTCGCCTCACTCCACAGCAGGCTCTGTGGGGACAGATGCAGCTGCCCAGTGCCCGGTGGGAATGTGGCCGGGGGCTGGAGCGCCTAGCTTAACGCATGAGAACCAAGACAAGACGATGCTTGAACATCGCCCTCCCCAGTTCTGTGTGTAACCACTTGTTTCTGGTCCCTGGCACTACCCAACAGACCCTGCCCTGGAAGGTTCTATGCCACAGTTCCAGCAAGTACGCCCCCAACCCTCGTGGGCCAGGTTCAGCTTACTGTCCCGTCAGTGAAATGTAGCCACCAAGGATTAGCAATTTCAGAACGTAGAGAAGAGCTGCGGGTCGTACTTTCCTCGGGGGAGTGGGAAGGGCTGGGGCTTGTGTGTACTGTGAGCGGAGGCCCCAGCTGTGGCGCTTGGTCTCCAGCTGTGTCATGACCCTTCTTCTTCCCTGCCCTACAGTGCGATGACCTGGTCAGCGGCCTCTCGCCCACAGTGGCGGTGCTGGGGGAGCTGAAGCCCCGGCAGCAGCAGGACCTTGTGGCCTTCCTGCAGCTGGTGGGGTGCAGCTTACAGGGTGGGTGTCCGGGCCCCGAGGATGCAGGCAGCAAGCAGCTGTTTATGACAGCCTACTTCTTGGTCAGTGCCCTCGCAGGTAAGGAGAAAAGAAAATGAAAGAAATGGCTGCTGCTGCTTTAAAATGCTTTGCCTACTATCTATGCTTCTGGGGACACAGAGGTGGTAACTGTGGAAGATATGGTACATACAGGTCCTTCCCTTCTGGTACAGGGAGGGTAAGAGGTGGGAGGCTGATGGGAAACCCCCCTTCGGTCTCGAGTCTGTGCCTTTCCATCCAGCACAAGCCTCCCTACTCTCCCGGAGGGCCCTTCTCCCTCCTCCCCCAGGGAAGGCCACAGTGGGTGCCCCTTTGCCTACAAAAGCAAGCATCTCCCTGACAGGCTGTGGTTCACTCCGGAGTCCCAGCAGAGCTGAGTGGCAGCAACTTTCATTTGCCAACTGCTCTCCTCCAGCATTTCAGTCCTTCTGATCTTTGCAAACTTGTTATTCCCCACCCTGCGTGCTCCTGTCTGGGGCAAGGGGGCTGTGGAGAGCATTCAACCATCCAATGTACTAGGCTGGGAGGCAGAGCTGTGGCTGGGCCCAGATGCACAGCTTCTGCACTGGTCCTGAAATGGCCTCCCAGGGGAGCAGCCATCCAGTTACTGTGGAACAATCTCTGCCACCTCTGTACCCCTCCCATCCGGAACTCGCCATGCCACAGTGCCTGTCACGAGGAAGCTGGGCTTCCTATTCCCTCTCAGAAAAGCCAGTTGTGGCAAACCAGTCCCCACAGCTTCCCTTCATGGTGACACTAGTCAGGACACATAGTTTCTGATACATTCAGGGTTCCTCCCTAGCACCACACAGAAACAGACCCAGTAATCTTCAGTTTTTAAAGAATTAATCTGAGAGAATGCCTGTCCCAACTCTATGTGCTGATAAATATATGCTCTGTCTTGTTCCAACTCATGGATAAATATAGTTTTGACTGGTAAACTGAAACAGGACATAAGACAGAGCCCTGCGGAACTCCACTAGAGACTTTCTCCCAATGTTAACATCCGGGTATTAGAGTCTTTCAGAACAGGCATTCTGTCAGGAGCTAATACACAGGCCAGAGTTCTCCGACTTGTGAGAGGTCTTTTCTTCATATACCCCATTACTTATTGCAGCATTTCTATCAATAGCCTGGATCAGTGATGCCAAGTAGGTAACACAGGGCCAGCATCATGAAAGCACCACAGTCCCCTTCTACTTGAGCCTAGACACAGCATCAAATTCTCTGCAACTGGCTGGGTGTGGTGGCCCCCATCTGTAATCCTAGCGTTTTGGGAGGGTAAGGTGGAAGGATCACTTGAGCCCAGGAGTTCAAGACCAGCCTAGGGAACATGGCAAGACCTCATCTGTACAAAAAATAAATTAGCCAGGCATGGTGGTGTGTACCTCTGTAGTCCCAGCTACTTGAGGGGCTGTGGAGGATTGCTTGAGCCCAGGAATTCAAGGATGCAGTGAACTATGGACGCCATTGCAGTCCAGCTTGGAAAAAAAAAAAAATCTCTGCAAGCTTGCACGCAGGCAGCAGGCCACGCAGTTGACACATAATGTGAGACTGACTTGCTGTTTCTGAATTGGAAACTCAGAGGTAGTGAAATCTTTAGGTGCAGCTGGCAATGTCTAAATTTTTCAACCAATCCTGCCCTTTATTTTTCTGAACTGTGATCTCATTTATATGTCAGTCCCAGTGGAGGCCAGGCTGGCATACAGCCCTTCCATTTGTGCTCTTGCTAATCCTCCGCCCTTCTGAGTTCATTTTTTTTCCTCTTAATATAATCTTCTCTCCTTAAAAACTGAGGAAAGTGCTGGAATAGAAAATGGGGTCTTCGTAGGTCCTCACACCAGTTTCTGGCTAATAGCTGTTTTCAGCACTTCAGTCCCACATGTGACCTGTCTCCTGGGAAGCTTCCTCCACTATTTTGTAACCTTAAGCAACTCCAAAGGTCTCAACTCCTTGGACTCTATTTGTAAAATAGAATTGGTACATGGAAGAGCAATCAAAATAATTTCAGTTCAAGAAACATTTAACAAGCTTATACTATGTTTTAGGCAGTGCTAGGTAAATATCAAGTCTTGGCCCTCCAGGAAATCAGAGTCAAGTAGTAAAATTAGTGGGTAAGCTCGGTAATGCAGATGCTGTTCTTTCATTTCTGTGCCCCTAGCACCTAGTGTACCACACTCAAGATAGCAGCTAAATGGGTAATATGGGACTCAGGTATTTCCAAGAATAAGAGATGAGGATGATGGTTACCTGGGTCCCAGGAGCCACCCTGGAAAGTGAAGGCAGGGCAGTAATGGCAGATGAGATGGCTGGGGACAGAGGCTCAGCTGGATACGCTAGGCCACATAGGCTTTCCGTCTTCACCTTCCTGCTTTGGGGTAAGAGACTACTTGAGAAACTGTGGATCTTCTCTTCAGACAAATGCATACACATTTGAATACCACATTAGGTTCTCTGAAAGAAGCATCCCCCTGGCTGCTGCCCCACCCCCTTAATAGCCTACACTCTCTCTTGAGAACGAGCCATGTACTCTCTGGGTCACACCTCAACAACACACTGTCTTTACAAATAAGGCTGCTAACACATGGCAGGAACAACTGAGTTCCTAACCAGTCCCTCGGCTACCTGATTCAGCACGTGACTCATTCTTTTTTGCCTTTTCAGCTCAAAGCTTGTACCCCCAAGGGACTATGGTCCTTTTAAGAACTGTATCTGTGTTTTCCCTGGGAGGTGTTTAATATCCACTTTGAATAACACTGATCTGGCATTCCCTTCCCTGGGGCTTGGCAAGGGCCCTTCTGGTGCAGCCCCTAGCCTGGCACAGCTCTGCTCCAACTTTCTGCTGTTGCTGCTCCTGGCCTCAGGCCACGCTGCACTGATAAAGCTACACTGCATTTTCCTCCCCAAAATGATTGGTGATGGGGTAGAGCCCTTTATAGTTTACACAGTATTCTGACATATGCAAAAACAAAACAACTATGGTAAATGAGGAAACTGAGGCTGAGAGAGGTGTACCTGAGGCTGCAGCCTGAATGTGTGGAGGGTCTCAAACATCACTCTTCTGTCACCAGATGGCAGGGTCTGCTTTTCCATGCTGTTTCCTTTCCTTCCCCCAGAGTCTGGGCAGTTCTTTCCATTTGGTAAATTGAATGTCAAGGAGTATCCTCTGTGGAATGCAGAGCTGGCAGCTGGGTTCCTACATCTGTTTTCTACAAGGTCTTTGCTGCCCATTTAGCACCATTCATTCACTAACTCAGCAACTGCTGAGTACCTCCCCTGCCTGGCTGGCGGGAAAGTACTAAAATATAAGTTAGGTGCCATCCAGGGGCTGGCTCTGTTCCCATGGACTTGTTTTTTTGGACTGTGACTGTGATTTTTCTCTCCTGCAGAAATGCCAGATAGCGCAGCAGCTCTGCTGGGCACTTGCTGCAAACTCCAGATCATTCCCACACTGTGCCACTTGGTAAGCAACCTCCCAGGTGGGACCTTAGAATGGATAGGAATGGGGAAATGATGAGGGGGTAGACATCCAGCAGCCGGTAAAACACCTCTAGGACTTACCACAACAGCTCTTCAAGACACATTAAGTAAGTATTGTTATTAACCCCACTTTTATACACATCCCACCCCATGGGAAGACTGAGACCCAGAGGAAAATGATTTGTCCAAATAACTTGTTAGCAGGTCCAGGACTTCATCCTTGTCTTTCGACTCCAACTCTTATACTTTTCCCATTGTTTGGAGAGAATTTTGGCCAAGGTTTGGTGTTACATTACAATAAAGGGGCCTGACACCATATTATTTGCAATGGCAGTTTTGTGCTAAGACTGGTTTGATTGAGCTCTGCAGCAGATTTGCCAGGGAGGTATCCAGGACTGATCTGTCCCAGGGAGACATAGCTTCTTTCATCCACTTTCAGGAATATCGTTAGCTTGGTGCCCCCTCTGGAAATGTCATTCTAAGAGCATGAGTTAGGTAATGATGAGCTTAGCCCTAGAGAGTCAAGATTAAGCTTTTCCTTTTTAAATTATAGATTGAGCCATTAGTAGAAAGAACCACCAACAGGTTGCCCTGAAGCCACCCTGATGGGGCAGCTAGTCTTGTGTAGCTTTTGCAGATGTTGCTCAGCCTGGGGCAGAGGAGCTGAGCACACACGGTCTGATTATTTTAAGGCCTAATTACTAAAGTCCAAGGCCAACCTGCTATGTTGGCCCAAAGGATCATCTCTCAGAGCTCTGCTGTCAGATCTGGGAAGCAGGTATTGGGGCAGACTGCCTAGACAGGACCCTGACATTTGGTATACATCTACTCTGGGAACACCGAGTAATGTGGTTGGTGCCTTTGTGCATAGCAAAGACATTAGAAGACTATGCAGCATGGCATCATTCCAAGGAGCAGATCAGGTATCACAACTGAAAGATTCCACAGGCCCAGAGGAACATGCATGCTTGTCCACTGACTGCAAAAATGGAACTACTTGAAAATGTGCCAGCATGTGTGTCCTGGGCCAGCTGAGGGTAAAGGCTGGTGGCACAGTCTGGTTATGGAAACAATACGTGCCATTATTCTAATTGTATGCAATGATGAGCAAAACAACAGCTCTGCTTTCAGATCTCAGCTCCTCTTGCAGCAACTGAGTGCTCAGCATTTACTAAGTTAGTCCTTCCCAAGTATTTACAGATTCATCAACTGCAACTGAAGCAAATAAAAAGAAAATCCTGCCAAGCCCATGTTATCTAACTGTTATCTAACCCCTTCTGTGACAAACTCACACTTAGCTGTCCTCCTCCCTGCAGATCAGCTCTAGGACATTTGTATTACCCCCAAGTTCTGCTCTGTTGGTGTTCTAAGAGCAGCAGCCAGAACACATTCGGAGTTCAGAATGGAAGGTATTCTGCTTCTGCACATTCTGCCTTTTGGCACTGCTCAACATAGTCAAAGACCTCCTTTTTCTGTAAAGACCTTCCTGGGTATCTTCACATACCTCCCCTCAGATTTGCAATAGCTCTATTTAAGACATCGAGGTGTCTGCCTCCTGAAGGAATTTGAGCGTCATGTTTCTTTAAGGGATTTACTTAAAACGGCACAAAATCCATCTGCAGCCCTGTCTTTTCTTGTCTAGTAGCCAGGGTAACTTTGAGAGGCTTTCTGAAGGGCTTTTGGGAGTACAGTGCCAGATACACTAACACATTTCCAAGAACTGGTGAAAGGGTGAGTTAGAATCAGTAGAGAATGTTAACTTCACTCCACCACCCTCTGGGTCACCGTTTCCCCCTTATACCTAGAAATGCCTGTGGGCAAAGGGGGTGGTGGATATTTAGAAAAGAAAGCCGAATGCTGCACAGCTCTCATCCACCAGGTGGTAAGGACAGGGAGCCTGCCATGCTGTTGACAGTCTCCAGCCTGCGCCAGTGGGGCTCCTCCTTAATTCACTGGGGTGTGATGCTGTGCTTAAAGAGCAGGTCTAATCTACTCTCTAAAGCACAATCAATAGTTTGCAGTCTGAGCCTAATGGTAACGTTAAGCCTGTGGTTACATTGTGTGAGTTGTATTTGGCGAATCTACAAGGTTCGTGAGGCTGATTTTGATAATAAACCCACAAGTACTTTTACATTCCAGTGAGTGCTACCCTTCAGTCTACCTGGACAAGCTGCATGACTTTCAAGATAGTCACCACTGCTCAGGAAATTTCTGGAATTTTTTCTTTTGGATTCCCTTCAGATTTCTTAAAATTCAGGCAAACTTTCTAGGCTTATTTCATTTTTAATTTAATTTAAAATTTTACTACTTACATTATTAATCAGATCTTGAATGCCTGTTTCAAAATGAAATCTACTGGTAAATTTGTAATTGCTTAAGATTTGTAAAATATTACGGGTACAGATCAAGACCCTAAAAGCAAATCAAATATTTCAAGTATGTGTTGAGCAGTGGAATTAGAGCAGCATCCAAAGTGACCTCGGTGAAGAACACATTGAGTGTCTGTGTTGTAGGCACGGCAGACAAGGTCCCTGCTCTCACGAGCAGCTTAGGGTTAAATAAGGGAAGGTGACTAAACACTATCAAGCAGATTACTTCAGATATAGTAAGTTTATGGATACAACATAATGGAGTAACATAAGGCTGAGTTCTGGGGCTGGGGGTAGCTAGATGGAAAGGGATTGGGAAAGGCCCTCAATGTGGCATTTCAGCTGACAACTGAGTGATGAGAAGGGGAGATCAACAGGGAAATTTGGAAGAAGGAATAACAAGGGAAAAGGTTCTTGAGGCAGGAAGGATAATTAAACTAAACTATGGTACCTACCTTTGAGGAGTTCATGCAAAGATATAAGAAAGTTCTAATATCTTCAGTAAAACAAAAACTAAGCATACTGCATATATGACCAAAGTACATTCTAACCTTTCTAATGTACTGGAGTTAATGGGACTAGTAGAAAGAGTTTGGAGAGTAGGGATTCAGACAGAGGACACTAGACAAATTGGATAGAATCAGGCCTGAGGTCCTGGCCTGGATCAAATATATCATGTTACACCTCAAGGGTTTTCCTGCTCTATTTGGGGAAATTTAAAAAACGACATAGTTGGCCAGGCGTGGTGGCTCATGTCTGTAATCACAGCACTTTGGGAGGCCGAGGTGGGCAGATCACCTGAGGTCAGGAATTTGAGACCAGCCTGGCCAACACGGTGAAACCCCATCTCTACTAAAAATACAAAAATTAGCTGGGCATGGTGGCGCACACCTGTACCAGCTACTCGGGAGGCTGAGGCAAAAGAATCGCTTGAACCTGGGAGCTGGAGGTTGCAGTGAGCCGAGATCACGCCACTGCACTCCAGCCTGGACGACAGAGCAAGACTCCATCTCAAAAAGTTTTTTCCCCCAGAATTACCTACAAGTGCATTACTATCCAATGTGGATTTTTTAGGACATTTTAAAAGTGAATTTGTTTAAATGTGTCATTTCAGCTTCGTGCTCTGTCTGATGATGGAGTATCTGATCTTGAAGACCCAACCTTGACTCCCCTGAAAGATACAGAAAGGTTTGGGATTGTGCAGCGCTTGTTTGCCTCAGCTGACATTAGTCTGGAGAGACTGAAGTCATCTGTGAAAGCTGTCATTCTGAAGGACTCTAAAGTCTTCCCACTGCTTCTTTGTATAACCCTGAATGGACTCTGTGCTTTAGGCAGAGAACATTCATGATGTCATATGTGAACTAGAAGTACGTGTTACTGGCCAAGGCTATTTTTCAGAACTGTTAAAGGTCATATGCACGTTAAAAGTTGACCAATGAAATGAATTTACAGAACAGTTTAAGAAGTGGTGACATTTTGCATGATGAATGACCTGACTTTTAGCCACCAGGTACTCTTTAAACAGTTTTCCTTATCAGAGGCCCTCCTGTGCTGGTGACCCAGCATCTGAGTTAGGTTCCAGCATGTAAAGAGCTGGGAGGGCGGAGAATTCTTAGCATACATTCAGACGTTTTTTCTGCACAATAATAAGTCCATCTGTCACTTGCATTCCACTTTTTGTTACATAGAAAGAGTCTGACCCTTTAATCCAAAAGGTCTTTTTACATTGTGAATGCTGTGGGAAGGCAATTTCTCTGCACACAAGAGGCTACGTTTTGGAAGTGATGTATGTTATTTGATGACTGAAAATGAACTGTAAATGCTCCTAGAGTATATTCCTCTGCTGAACAAAATTAAACTTCAAAAAAATCTAACAGTAACACACCCCTGCTTGGGACCCTAGCTATATGCATTTTATGTGACCTTGCCATGCTTCAGTGAACATACTAATTCTATGTCTAGCACATGTTGATTTCCTATGTATTCTGGGTATTCTATTAAAGGAAACTTTGAACTATGTCTATTTTGCTTTTTATTCTGTTTTGATGTCCTTCTATAAATAGCTTGGACTGGCTCCCTGTGTCCCTGATTCCATAGACAGGATCTGAGCCACTGGGGATGAGGGGTAGCAGTTGTTGGAAACATATCATACAGCACCTATTCTTTTTTCCCTGCAACATCATCCACTTATTCCCTTTCTTCCCTTCAGATTTTAATGAAGGTTAACAAGGAAGAATAAAGCAAATAACCCTTTCATCACTACTAAAAATGAGACTCTTTATGGAAATGCTTATATGTTGGGGGAGAGGCTATAAAATGGCACATGGTGGCAGCAGCTATACAGAAATAAGCCTTACATACAAACTGGAAAGGAATATGCAAAAGTGAAAGCAGTTGTGCTAAAATGGTGGCACTATACCTGCCTTTTGTCTGGTTTTCTGAAATAAGTAAAAAGAACAAACTGCAAACAGAAGGTATAATATGAATCTACTTGTGTAAAAAGATAGATAGATGTATACATGTTATCAATATTAATGGAAAATTTCATTTAAAGAGTTCACACGAAATCTAATGGTGGCTCCTTTGGGGAGAAAGAAACTTAGAGGTTGAGACAAGAGGCAGAGGAAGATTTTTTAGCTTTCTATTCCTGCTAGAATTCTGTATGTCTTATCCTCCAAATTAAAAAACAGACAAAATGAAAGACTTCAGATTGAAAGAAGCCATCCCAGCAAGCGCCGAAAGTCTGGGTTACATCAAACAGTCAGGAATCTAGCTGTTTCACAATTGTTCTAAGACCAGCCAGTTGACATGCTGGATTGTGTTTTAAGAACTAGCTATTAAAAAGGAGGTAGCTTTATGCTACTACAGTTGTTCCCAGCCTGAGGTTACTGCCAGGCATCTTAGCAGACACCTGTAGAGATGCGGGTGCAGCAAGGCTAGGTGTGCTTGCAGTGAGGTGGAATTGGGCCTCCAAAGGTTTGAAAAAGATTTAATGAGGAAGTTGGAGATATCATCTTTGGAGGTTTCTAACTAGATAGTATCTCCAACTTTCTCATTAAATCTTTTTTAAAAAGTGCCTCTATTGACATCAAGAACCATACTTGTTTTTCATAATTAGATTTGCAAACAAGTCTATTAGCTCAGGTCATCTGGAAAACAGTAAATAAAAGGAATACTTCCTAGAATAGCACAAGACAGCCCCCTTAATTCTGATATTTCCATTCATAAGAGGACCACTTCTCTTTCATAAATGGATGAAAGGAGTACCACTGACATAGCTAGTGTTGTTGGTCCATTAATGACTCCTCACAGATGTCCAAGACCTAGTCCCTGGAACCTGTATGTTATTTTACATGACAGAAAGGGACTTGGCAAATGCTTTTAAAGTTATGGACCTGACATGGACACATTATCCTGGATTATGTCGGTGGGCCCTTAAAGGAAAGAAGGCAGAAGAGGCAGTGAAGGAGACTTGGCTCAAGAAAACGTAGGAAAGGTGAGGCCAGTAGAAAGAATCTATGTGCTGGCCGGGCGCGGTGGCCTGTAATCACGCCTGTAATCCCAGCACTCTGGGAGGCTAAGGTGGGCGGACCACGAGGTCAAGAGATTGAGACCATCCTGGCCAACACAGTGAAACACCGTCTCTACTAAAAATACAAAAAAAAAAAAAAAAAAAAAAATTAGCTGGGTGTCGTGGCGCATGCCTGTAATCCCAGCTACTCAGGAGGCTAAGGTAGGAGAATCACTTGAACCGGGGAGGCAGAGGTTGCAGTGAGCCGAGATCGCGCCATTGCCCTCCAGCCTGGGCAACAAGAGCAAAACTCCGTCTCGAAAAAAAAAGAAAAAAAGAAAGAATCTACGTGCTGCTGCTGGCTCTGAAGATGGAAGGGACTAGAGCAAGAGGAGAGAGCAGTCCCTCTGACAGCCAGCAAGGAAACAAGGACCACAGTCCTATAGCTGCATGGAAATGAAGTCAGCCAACAACCTGCACAAGCCTGACACGGGTTCTTCCTCAGATCTCCAGGTAAGAACCCCAACAGGCCCCGGCCGACACCCTGATTTTAGCTTGGTGATATTTGTGTTGGACTTCAGACCTACAGAAGAGGTAATAAATTTGTGTTCTCTTAAGCTGGTAAATTTGTGGTTGTGATAGAAAACTAAGGTAGTATAAGATGGAAGAATGAAGAAGATAACATCTAATTCCTCTGGAGACATCAGAGATACACTGTACTAGCAATTTCTTAAGTATGAGGTAGGCAATCCTGGAAATTAGCTTGGGCAAGAGTTGCAAAGGGCCCTGTCTGGAAGGAGGCTTCCTGCATGCACCCAGTGCCACACCTCTGTCTCTCGTCAGCCTGGTGGGCCCAAGTCCTCTCTCACTGCAGGCTGCAGTGCTGAGCTGTGTGCCAGAATGGGTCGGTTCATTCTCTTTCTCACCAGGATTTCTTTCATTCCTGGCTAGCTGGGAAATGGTCAAGAGTATTCCATGCCATCTCAGCACAGAAGCCTTGTTTTCTTGGTCCTATATTTTAACCTTCCCCAACACTGAAATTCTTTCCTTGAGTGTGTCTTTGAAAACCACCAAATCGGACTGGGATAGAGAAAACAATGATTAGGGCTTCTGTTGTAGAGGCAAGTGATCAATTTATTTATTTAGGTGGGAAACACTAAATGACTTTAGGGGCTTTTTACAAAGACTGTTATCACTTAAAAGAAATTACCTGCAGAAGACTGAAGCTGGACCGCTTCCTTACACCATATACAAAAATCAACTCAGGATGGATTAAAGACTTATATGTAAAACCCAAAACTATAAAAACCCTGGAAGACAACCTTGGCAATACCATCTGGGACACAGGAACAGGTAAAGATTTCATGACAAAGACACACCAAAAGCAATGGCAACAAAAGCAAACATTGACAAGTGAGATCTAATTAAACTTAAGAGCTTCTCCACAGCAAAAGAAACTATAAACAGAGTAAACAGCCTACAGAATGGGAAAAAATATTTGCAAACTATGCATCTGACAAAAGTCTAATATCTAGCATCTATAAGGACCTTAAATTTACAAGAGAAACCCCCCCCACCCCCGCCGCCTTAAAAAGTGGGCAAAGGACATGAACAGATACTTCTCAAAAGAAGACGTGTGTGTGGCCAACAACCACATGTAGAATAGCTCAATATCGCTGATCATTAGAGGAATACAAATCAAAACCACAATGAGATACCATCTCACACCAGTCAGAATGGCTATTATTAAAAAGTCAAAAACTATCAGATGCTGGCATGGTTGTAGAGAAATGGGAACACTCATACCTTGTTGGTGGGAGTGTATATTAGTTCAACTATTGTGGAAAGCAGTACGGAGATTCCTCAAAGAGCTAAAAGCAGAACGACCATTTGACCCAGCAATCCCATTACTGGTTATATACCCAGAGGAATATAAATCTTCCTACCATAAAGACATGCATGCAAATGTTCACTGCAGCACTATTCACAATAGCAGACACAAATCAACCTAAATGCCCATCAATGACAGATTGGATAAAGAAAATATGAGATATATACATACACCATGGAATACCATGCAGCCATAAAAAAGAATGAGATCATGTCTTTTGCAGGAATATGGATGGAGATGGAGGCCATTATCCTTAACAAATTAACACAGGAACAGAAAACCAAATACTGCATGTTCTCACTTCTAAGTGGGAGCTAAATGATAGTATCTTATAAACACAAAGAAGGAAACAACAGACACTGGGGTCTACTGGAGTGGGGGGTGGGAGGAGGGGGAGGAGCAGAAGAGATAACTATTGGGTACCAGGTTCAGTATCTGGATGATGAAATAATATGTACAATAAACCCCTGTGACACGTGTTTACCTATGTAACAAAACCTTCACATGTGCCCCCAAACCTAAAAGTTAAAAAATGCAAACAGTTAAAAAAAATTATCAACGCTAATCAGATATCCTCCATTATTATCTCTAAACCTTAGTTCTACCTATAAATGAAACACTTTTTTCCAATAGTAAATATTTCTTTATATATACAAAAATATTTTACCAGGAGTATATAATCTCACAGATTAGACATTTCAATAATTTTTGTTTTGGACAGCACATGGAAATATGTGAAAAGATTTATAGGGACAGTTTCTGAAAAATCAATACTTAATTGTACCACAGGAAAATTTTATTTATACAACAGCAATAATGTTTCTTTTATACAGAAACTAATAATACAATTACCTGGAAAGCAGTAGCAATTAATTTTTCTTTTTAAACTTCTTAATCAGAAACTTTAAGCAGCTTGTTCAGCTTTGATTTTCAGATTGCTAACAAGCATTCTGCCCTCCATTTTTTTTTTTAAAGATTCTCTTCTACAGTTACTTCAAAAACTAGAGGTTTAAAAAAGCATGCGTCTTGTGTTCAAATAAAAGACTTACCAAAACGAACTGGCGTGGGGGGAAAAGGAAGAATAAAAAATTCCCACAGCAAGGTTTTCACATCAAATACTCACCATAGGCTCCAACAGAGCTCAACATAACATGGAGAAATTGCACTTGTTGCTGAATACTAGTGCTCATTCTTCTACAACAGAGTCCAACATATCACTTCTTTAAAAAAAAATCAGTGTTACTGAAGAGACAGGAGCCAGTCAGCAGTTCTTTTTAAAAGAGAATACAGAGACATAAGAAATATTTTTATTGTATTTCAAATACAGATGTAGCTGAGCTATGCCTGAAATCTGGTTCTACCTGAAAAGATGGAGGCATTTCTCATTTAGACCATGTTTACCAGGACAAGCTTTATGTCTTTAAAGCAATGTTACTTACACTACTGTCCACCTCTCCTATTTAAGAATAAGATGAAAACCACACATTTTAACTGGTAATGACTTCTGGTTTAATGTTGGTAATTTACAGCTGATGAGTTTTTACATCAGATGAGTATGCTTTTTTCCTGTTTTAGTTAATTAGGCTTCCTCCAAGCTCCTAGGCTACTTTGATAGGAGGAGAGCCAAATTTCATATATGACCTGTCATATTTATGTATGTTCCTTCCCCTGGCTTGCTGTTGGCTGAAGTACAATAAAGACATCTATTTCCAATTTTAAGACCTTTTTGGCTTCTGTGGTAGCAACACCACCTATTTCATAAGATTCAAAGACAGTTGCTTTACAAGCAGTAAATCACTCAATCTTCTGATTGGTGGCATTTACCTTAACTATAGATGTGTTCATTCCATTTACACTGGAGATTAGAAAACAGTAAGAGCCAGTAGGAGGGGAAAAAAAGGAAGAGAACTATCCCTTCTGATCGACTTTTGTATGTGGAGATAAGTCAAATTTATCACACCATTGCATTATCAGCCAATGACTGAGAAGCAATTACAAAGTAATAACTAAAGTGGATTAATATCTGGATTTTGAGGTTCACAAACTAAGACCTCACTGTGAATGTTTCTTTCTATAAAGAAATAGATGCCTTTTTAAATTAATGGTATGGGTAAAACAGTAGGGCTGCAGTGATTTCAGGTATGCAGTGATTTCAGGTATAAGGATAAAGTAGGACAGTTTTCGGGGGCAAAGATCAGAGTCTTCTGGTGTAACCGAGTACTGGATTGCTTGCTTACATTTTGTTTGATTTGTGAGTGGTCTGGTTGGCAGCAAGGATTTGCTAAGGGTTTGGATTTAGTATGGGATTATAAGATAAAAGGGACTTTCTGATTAGGACTAAGAGAGCAGAACAGACCTTCCACCAGCTGAAACTGTATCTTTGGGGCTATTTTAAAACTGGAAGAATTCCTGAAAAGTATTCACCATTCACTACATTACTTCAGAAACAGGTACACTTTAAAATAACTAAAAGAGAACAGATAAAGTAGCCTAATAAGGATTTTTCAGTTCACCATATCACAGCTACCACATCAGAGTTACAAATTACAAATCAGAATTTAAGGCGAAGACAAATATTAACTTAGCCTTACTTAACAAGTAGAATAGTAATGATAAAGGGAAATATAAATTTCATCGAAGATCACACAGTCAGAAGTCAGAATTAGGATCTTGGCCAGTACCCTGTCTTTACTTTTATCACTAGAGAATATTTTTTAAAAAGTACTGCAGTGTATTGCCAAAGTGGTGTGAACCATGCTTACTTTAGAAATGAGATATCATCATTCTTTCACTGTTTAGTATATTAAGGACTCATGTTCGAATCTCTGCATTTTTCAAAAACTATTCCAAGAACACAGAAGCTAGCATGATGAATTATGGGAAATATTTTAAAAAGAATATAAATTGCAAAACGTTAGAACAAAAATGCAATTTAAAAATAACCTTACCTTAAAAAAATTATAGAACTGTCATCTTCCTCAGGTATACAATATATGCTTGCATAAAAACTGACAAGATGCTCAATTATTAGTCAAATGTATTCTTAAATTTTGTGAGTATTCATTTGTACTATATACAATAATCCCATTATTTAAAAGAATGAATTTCTCCCAAAAATTCCAAATACATTACAGATGTTATTACATGAATTCTCACAGCAAACCTCTTGAAATAAGACAAGGGCAGGTATCATAATCTCAGCCTGAATCATATTAAAGATTCATTCAAAAGTTTAAATAAGAATTTCCAAAGGGGTTTCCATCCAGAACCCTGCCCTTTTTCCCTAAGAAAATTAAATTTATTATAATAATGACTACTTTCTGAGTTTCTCATATATTTTTCAGAAAGATTATCAGCTTCAAGGTGGAACCAGAGCGTTTTAAAACAATCTAAAAAAAGTTTCAGAATGTCAAAGAAATGGGAGTAATTAAAAATTTTAGAATGCTAGTTATAATTACATGAATGAATACATTCAGTTTTATATTCATACATTTTGGGAGAATTTTACATATTATACACATAGCTGTATATATATATATATATATATATATATATATATATATATACACACACACACACACATACATAATATATGGCAACTCGAACATTTAAAAAATGAACTGCTATCTATGTACATAAAACTTCAGGATTGCCTTTTTCATGTTTAGTTAAGGTTCATTACTACAAAATTATTGGCTCTCTAGCCTGTGATTTCTGGATAATGGAGTACTGTTTCAGAAGTTACAAAAGTAAAATTTAAGTAGATTATTATTTTGAGCAATTTTCAAAATTGTTATCTTTAGTTTGCCAATTCAAAATAATTTTACCTAACTCTATGGCTATCCACCTTGAAAATCAACTCCAGTCACTGGGATCATGACACTTGTTATACATAAAAATAAGTACCATTTAATAATTTTTAAACCAAGGATCATTTTTTATTGTCATTGGGATATTATGGTCAAAGCAGTTAGTATCTGGACATAATCTATAATGTCACATGGTTTTATTGCTAACTTGGGTTATTATCTAAATTTGCCTTAATAATCTATTTGTTGCTTTAAAGGAAACTTCTTAAGAACTACTATAAATTTATTGGATTCTAGAATCTAGGATTTAGGCTACTAATGCTGTAGGCATACTGGGTTTCTCTTATAATTTCTATTTCAGAAAGCTATGTTCAGCAATTGTATAGTTAGAGTTAGCCAAAATAAACAAAGTCCTGATGTATTTGACATGTGATATTACCAAATATCACACAGAAATGGAGACTGCATAATAAAGGCATGGCTGTAATGAAAGTGAAAATTCTACTTTTTAGGGCCATCACATTTATTTCACTAAGCTATGGTTAAATGACTTATCCAGGCACATCACCTCTATGGGTATTTGTACATTTGAAAATGAAAAAATATATATATAGTCTTAGGTTGTGTACAGTCATGCCCTGAGTGCTGAAATGTGGACACTGACCTATCCACAAGGAGCCCTCAGGCACATTAATACGTTGGCACATCATGTTTCCCAAAAGCACATGCATGTGTGTGTCTATTTCAACTCTTAACAATTGCTCAACACCACTCTAAACCATTTTCGCTTCCATAAAGCTAATTATCGCAGATCTTCCCAAAAGAGAAGTTCACATTTCCTTGATCACAGCTATACTCTCATTACCTAGGAAGAACCCTGGGACCTCTGGGGCTGTTTGCCCCCGCAGAGCACTGCTCATTCCTGCAGATTCATTTGGGACTTGGGTTTCAAGTTCAATGATTCTTCATTGAGATACAATGAACTTATCTAACTGTATTCTTGTTAGTACGGGCATCTAGACTGAAATGAACTAAACTGCATCATTTCATTTTATATTAGGAGAAATCTAATGTGCATTAATTAAGTAGTCAATCATGAATACCATTTATAATAGAAATAATTCCTTTAAGTATATTTTCTAAGTAATACATTTTATATCACATAAGGCTAATATACATGATGTAAAAGTCATCTATTGTACCAAGATGATTGAAATATTTTGCAGATAAACTTCTTGTGCTGCTATAATTATCCCAAAGCTGTTTAAAGAGGCTCCATGCTGCAGCATGAAAGTACATTAGAGAATACAGCACATTTCCTGAGTGAAGAACTGAAATTTCTCTTAAAATTTCAAGTGTGTGTTGAAACATTGTCATAGGGCATCACCTTGATACTGTGCTTTAATTCATGTTGCTTTGAGAAGCCAAGAATTTGGTGTAAACACATGTAGTTTGAAAGTTTCCACTGTTATTAAAATAGTATAATCCATTTTGTCACCAATTCCCTGTCCTAGGACAAGAAACGTGAATTTGTGTTCTGGCCATGAAATCTAGAATCAAAAAAAGAAAAAAAAAAAAAAAAAGAAAAACCTATAGATTTCCAACTTTAACAATATGACAACTTGGGTGTTTTGTTTTATTGTGAAAAAGATTTTAAACAATGTGTCAATACTGCCTATTGTCATATATTTTCTTTTCCTTCAAAGTCCTCCCAGCTGGCGTTCCAAATGACAACTTTGGTGAGGGAAAAAACAAATTCAGCAGCCAGGTGTCTGGCACCTAACACCAGACAAAGATGACCATCAATATTTAAACACCTAATCCTTTAAAGTGTGAATAATGTTTACATGAAAAGCTAGCAACAATACAGAATGTGGTTACCTTAATTTAATAATGAGCTGCATCTCTGAGTATGTTTTAGGAAGAATTTCTATTATCCAAGAATCCTAAAGGAAGATATTAACTGAGGTGAATGTGGGAATTTGTATAAGTCAATGCTTCTAAAGGAGAACTTCTTTCGGTAATCATTAAACAAAAAGTACACTTCTTGGCTAGGTGCAGTGGCTCATGCTTGTAATCTCAGCACTTTGGGAGGCCAAGGTGGGTGGATCACTTGAGGTCAGGAGCTCGAGACCACCCTGGCCAACATGGTGAAACCCCATCTGTACTAAAAATACAAAAATTAGCCGGACATGGTGGCACCCAACTGTAATCTCAATTACTTGGGAGGCTGAGGCACGAGAGTCGCATGAACCCAGGAGGCAGAGGTTGCAGCGGGCTGAGATCGCGCCACTGTACTCCAGCATGGGTGACAGAGAGAGACTCCATCTCAAAACAAACAAACAAAAAAACAAAGTACATTTTTTAACAGATATGTAAAAAATATACAAAACATTTTATATATATTATATAATACATAATATACATATTATATAATGTATATATTTTGTGTGTATGTATACAAAATAGCTGACAATTATTTCCCAATTTTTTAAGTTGTTCAATGGGTTTGGTTCTCAACACAACAGACAAAACAGGTACCCTAAGGATCACATCACATTTCTAAAAGCACAAAAACCTCCAACTGCAAACTTAGAGGCATCTCTAAACATCACTAAAATTTGCAGAGGCATGATACATTTGCTGACCATGTTCTAATAAAACCATTGTTTAAAGTAGTAGGTTCCTTTTGTCAGTCAAAATTTTACATGTGAAAATAAACTTTCTTCAAGTGTCATTTTGCTGTAAGGTTTTACAGGATAAGGCACTCTCTCAGTCTGCATGACCTTGCTTCCAGCCCCAGAGCTTACTGTGTACATGTTAAATTAGTTAGCATCATATCACTGCAACAAATAAAAAGAATAACCTCAAAAGAGAGTGCAAGGTATTGCTCTTCAATTTTTCAGTAAAGATAGAAATGAAGAGACAAAACTAATATAGCTGTATAAATTAGAATGGATAGCCATACATCTCCGAAATAATGAAAATACGTAAACTGATCAGACTTTTGATGTCAGATTTAGATGGTAGTAGACTAGCTATAACACTGACTTAAAATTCTGCTTTTGTAAGAAATTTATAAGAAGGAAGGTCAATAACTATATTTTCTTCTATTAAGACTAACCCTTCACTATTTGAATACTGAACTAAATGACAGCTTTACAAAACTATTTCAAGTAATATTCATTATCACAGTGAAAATATGAGACCAATGTTAGAGTGAATGATTTGAAAATTCCTTTGATGAAAAAGGCAAGGGTACTAAATCAAAACATATACAAAATGCTTCAACGCATTTCTTTATGTGATATGAATAGAAAGATTATCCATACAAAGTTAGAAAAATTAAGATAAATTATATATTAGTACACCTTCCAACCACATTTTATATAAAAATTCAGAAGTGTACTATTATTTCAATCTACACCATAAAAATGCCTGGACTTAGCAGATAATCTTCTATCTGTGATGTATTTTCTCAGTAGAAGGTTTATTTGTTGCAGTCACTTTTTAAGAGTTTAATTTTCATTGTTAACCTTACTGAATCATCAGTAAACCCAGCTGATTGGGACCCACTGTGGTTCCATTCTCAGTTTCTCTATGGCAGTTTGCAGTTTTTCAAAGGCTTTGTCTAGATTATCATTTATGATGATCAAATCAAAATAGTGGTTGTATGCTCTCTGAATCCGTGCACTTTCATCCACTGTTTTCTTCAAGTCAGAGTCCTGTTGAAGAGTTTTAAAAGGAAATGTTTGTATTACAATGCATATTTACTTGCTCAAACTCCAACTAGAAGTGAATATAATAAATAGGTTAGATATATTTCTGGTAATTCTGGTATTAATCTTCAAAATCTAATCCATATAGTGTTAAAGACAACACTGCCATCTGTTCATGTCTTATTCTTTCCAACAACACTCATGTTTACATTTATGAGTATTCTGCATCTTTTGCCTCACTTATATTAGGATAAAATTCCTAATTAAAAGACTGCTGAAAATAATCTTGGAATGAATCTACAGTAACAAAACAATTACTGCAGGTGACTGGTTTCCAGCTCCACTATATCATCCTTTTCGAAAGATTTTTATCTCATGGCCCATGTACAACATGGTACCCAATTTGCAGTGGCTGTTAAGCTCAAAGCCAAACTTGCTACCTCTCTATAAGATCAGAGAATCTTAGAAGTGTTTTTTGAAGATTAACCTTACATGCTGCCCATCCTCCACCAAAACACATACTCACATACTTTTATTTATGTTTTTGTCCAGGCACTGTTTATATTTCATAAAGTAATTTTAGTCATTTTGGAATGATGTGGGGAGTACATAAGCAATGGGTTCTACATAAGTAAAGCTTTTCGTAAGATGGTGTTTTGAATTTCACTATACCTCTACATATTCTACAAATATTTATTGAGTTCCTATTAAGGTGTCTACTATGTTTCAGAATCAGTGGGTATGACAATGAATAAGAGAGAGGGTTCCTATCCTTTAGTGGAGGAGATAAAGTGGAAATAAACATAAGAAATACCAAGTTGTGATAACTACCATGAAAGAAACAAAACAGGCACAAAGAATTTTAAGAGATCTACTTTAGATAAAGTGATTGGAAAAAGACTGAGTAGTAAATTACAGTTAAGCTGAGAACTAAATGAAAATAAGGAGGTCAGCATTCAGGCAGAGGAAACAGCAGGGCAAAATCCAGAGGAAGGAAACGACCCTGGCACGTTCAAGATACTGAAAGAAGACCAGAATGGGTGAAGGGTTGGGAAACAAGGTAAGTCATGGAGGACCCCTACGAGATGGAAAGACCTCTGTGGGCCTTGAGTGAAAATGTGGCATGACATGAGTGGAAGCAGGGAGACTGATGGCAGGAATCCAGGTCAGAGAGAAGGGTTGCCTAGGTTATGATGGTGACAGAGGAGATGAAAATGACACCAGACTGTAAATTTATTTTGGTGATAAAATAATCAGGATTAGCTTTTTACATCATCCAGGATTTGAAAAGGGAGGAAAATGAATGAGTCAAGAATTGCTCTTAGGTTTCTAACTTAGGTAAATGGGTGGCTGTGGGAGATACAGAGTTGAGGGGTAGGGAGAGCATAATTTCTGGGGGAAACAAAGTGTGCTACTTTGTAATATGGTAAGCTTAAGATGTCTGTGAGACATCCAAGTGGAGATGTACAGCAGGCGACTGGTTATGCAAATCAGAGCTCTGAGGTCTGGGCTAGCTGTATATAAATCATTAGCATAACAATGGCATGAATGTAAATGATGTTGATGGAAGCACTCAACAATGTCATTTGTGTAGAAAGTGTAGAGAGAGAAGTGGATTCACTGCCAGGCCTGAAGGACCCTAATACTTACATTTCAGCTGATACTGAGACTTCTAAATGAGTTTGAAACAGCTAAAATATCTTTGATCACAGATATGTAAACAGGCCACATTTCAACTTGAAAGCAATTCTTGCCTATTAGCAATCTGATTTGTTAAAAAAAAAAAAAAAAAAAAACCCTGTTAACAATAACGGAGTATGCCATACAGATGGAACAGGAATAAAGATTCTCTCTCTGGCTATAGAGTGGTCTCTAGGATATACTGGTATTGGAAAAATGCAGGCACATTTTGTACATAAGGTATGATTTATGTATAAAATGGGGGGGAGGAGGAGACACAGGCACACTTGCTTATACTGGAAACTAACATGGTAAAATGGCTACCAATAATGGCAGCCTATGTGGGTGGGAGGAAACAAAGTGGAGAGGGCACAGAAAAGCTGGATTCGTTTTAAGATTTATGTTGGAGCAATGAAAATGTTGTATAGAATTATACAACAAAATTTAAATTCAAATTACAGCCATTCTTAAAAATCAGAAGCAAAATAAAACAAATAAACCTGTGTTTCAAGTTGGTGGTTTAACCACACAGCAAGGAATTATTTCAGTGGCTTTAAAAGAAGATAATATCTAGTGGGTTATAAGTGGGAGGTGTACAATAAGAACACATGGTGGGATTAACACACATTGGGGCCTGTCAGGGTGGGAGCACGAGGAAGAGAGAGCATCAGGAAGAATAGCTAATGGATGTTGGGCTAAATACCTAGATGATGGGTTGATCTGTGCGGCAAACCACCACGGCACACATTCACCTATGTAACAAACCCGCACATCCTGTACATGCACCCCGGAACTTAAAACAAAAGTTGAAGGAAAAAAAAAATCTAGTGGGATATATCCTAAGAACAATAAAAGCCTGGAACTTAAAACTTTTCAATAATCATATTGTTAATACAGATATAACTCAAATTACATATGTGCTTAGTTTATTTATATTTATATACATGTAAGTTAAGAAATGATGTTATCATCAGGAACCAAGGTTTTCAGGATAAGAGGAAAAAAAGGCAAATATAAAGCCCAAGAAGAATAATGTAAAATTTCATTTGAAGCTATCAAATTGAACTAATGATGTATGTTTTCTAAAAACAAAAAATTTATTTCCTACTTCTGGTTACTGAAAAGGTCTAAAAACAATGTCCAACTAAGTTTAATGTACACCCTTACTGACTGAATTATCTTTAAATGCTATCTCCCACTAAAAGAAACAAGGGCTTCTGGATGGCTGGTTCCAGGTCTGGGCCAGGAAATGTAGAATAATCTGGAACATCTTGTCATATCAGAAAGCAAGGAATTATCAGACATTACTAGAATCATGTTAAAAAGACTCAGAAGCCAAGTTGAATAGGCTCCTACTGCTGAAGACACAACAATTTAAACATTAAAAAAGAATAACTGACCTAAATACACAGAAAGGAGGTACTTCAAGTGACTTTAAAACATAGTGATCTCCCTGGCCAACATGGTGAAACGCCATCTCTACTAAAAATACAAAAGTTAGCTGGGTGTGGTGGCGCATGCCTGTAGTCCCAGCTACTTGGGAGGCTGAGGCAGGAGAATCGCTTGAACCTGGGAGGCAGAGGTTGCAGTGAGTCGAGACTGCACCACTGCACTCCAGCCTGGCGACAGAAAAAAAAAACAAAAAAACCCCATAGTGATCTGACTGTATCTACTTAGTGGGATATACTCTAAAGACAGAAAGACCTAGGTGGGCAGTTGGGGGGACTGTTCACAGTAATGATACTAGTGGTGGTTATGTTGATATACTTATTCCCAGAATGTTGTGTTTGTACTGTAGAATAAAGCAAATGAGCAATTATTTGATATTCTAATTCTAACATTTCCAGTGTTATGAGAAGGGATATTCAGCATAAGAGAAAGGAATTAGACATATAAGATAAAATAAGTTAAATAAAAATCCTGTAATCTTGAATTTGATTGGAAAATATCAGAATAAATTCATGATATATTTTCCTTCAAATATACAAACAGAAAAGCATATATGCTAGCACTGTCCACATAAAAAGGTCTAGCAAGAAGCAGTGATCAACTATGTGACAATGGGCACTGTTAGTATTATGGTCTTAAAACACCATTTACCCTAAAAGAAACCAGAGTATCTTGGAAAAATGGCTGATTCCTGGCCTAGAACAGAAAATGTACAAGATGAGCCTGGAACATTTGTTCTACCAGATAGCAAGGAAGCTATCCAAGACTATCAGCGTCATGAAAAAAAAAAAAGGTCTCAAGGGCCAACTAGAATAAGCTCCTATTGGTCAATGATGGGACAATCTTAGCATCAATAAAAATAATCACTGCAACAGAATAAAGCACACCAGATAAGTTTGAACATACGTGCTCATGAAACTAAAAAAACAAAGCCAATCTCAGCTGGTCACCTGTTACCTCTAGAGGCTCTTGGGGAATAAACTCATTATTCTGAAAGCTGACCTACAAAGGACAGTATCAAAGATGTATCCTGCCTTTCCTGTATCAATCGTACCTCAGAATAATCAACTACTTGATGAGGAAAAGTTCTTCTTAAGAATTCTAGTTTATAAATGTAGAAGGAATGACAAATTTAGAATACTACCACCTTGCCATCCCTAAAAATATAATTTATCCAAGGCAAAGATCAATAAAGTTTGCTAAAACCAGTAGGTAAAGAGTTACTGAGGAACTTTATAGATCAGGCTAACAACTTCTGACCCCACTGATTAATCTTATGACAAAAAGCCTGACATATGCCTCATGATGTTAATAAAACAAGTACCACCTATGAATTATTCTTGCAAAAACCAACCAACCAAAAACCTGAATAACCTGAATCTGTGTCTGACCAACCTCTAGATCAACCTATCAGTTTACAGGAAATAGAAGGGATAGAGGAAAATGATACAATGGGGACAGAATGGGTAAAATCCAGACTATGGAACATGCTGTAGGATAAGTGACTTATTATTATTATTATTATTTTAACAACTAAAGTACAATGTGAAAAGAGAGGGAAGGGAGGGTGGCAGTGAGAATTTACAGATTTAAAGGGATGTCTGCTTTTAGCCAAGGTGGAATAACAGGCACCAGACTAACTCTCCCACCTAACAATTAATTTATGGACAAAATGTATCAAACAACACTTTTTAAGACACTATACATCAAGGTATTAAAAACAGATCATAGAAAGACAGAAAACAAATGAAGTGACTCTTATGATTACCCCAGCTTCCTGGCTTGAAAGAGTTTCTGGGCAGTAGGATGGGGAGAGTGAGCCCAAAGGAGCCTACAGGACTCTTGAGTTGAGGACAGAGCTGAGTCCAGGGAGACCCAGGTGGCAAGAGTTTGCAGGACGGAATGCCAGAGGGGAAGAGCAGCACAGACAGACTTTGGAGACTTGTAGAAGGTCTCCTTCCAGCATTCGGCTGAAGTACCAACCTGCACATTGGTACAACGACCTGAAGCTGAGAAAGAACCACCAGAAAGGATTAGAGGTACCCAGGAATGGTACCTATTCCCCCTTAGCCAGAACAGAAAATCTCATGACTCACAAGCCCTGTGGTAGGAGTACCAAATGGGTCTTGCCTTATTTGTGGGGATTAACTGGCCCTAAAATGAGAACTGCTTGGGTCTTACCTAACACATTTAAAAAGTGAGACCTGAAAAAAACAAACTATTTCCAAATAACTGCATCCTAGAACAAAGCTCACAATGTCTGGCATCCAAAGAAAGTTCCCAGGATTGCAAAGAAGCAGGAAGATATACTCATAATAAAGAGAAAAATCATTCAATCAAAACCAATCCAGAACTGACTCAAATGTTAGAACCTGCAAAGACATTAAACACTATGTTTCATACGTTCAGAAAGTAGAGACATGGATCAACTTGAAAAAGAACAAAGAAAACTAATACTACCTGATTTCATGGCATATAATCAAGTACAGTGAGGGGAAAAGGTGACAGTGGTAGGGGGAAGGGTGTGGGGAGCAGGTTACAAAGGAGCACAGGCGAATGTGTGGAGATGATGGACATGTTCATTATTTTGGTTGTAATGGCTTTCATGAGTACAAATATGTGGCCAAACTGATCAAGCTGTACATGTTAGGTAGGCACAGCTTATTATGTGTCAATTATACCTCAATTAAGCTGGCAAAAGATTTAGGTGACAATGAGTAAATTCAATGTGTTGATCTTGTTTGAATCCTTATTTGAACAAATCAACAGTAAAAAAAAAAAAAAAAAAATCTTGGAGAAACTCAAATATAGACTGCATGTAGATGATAGTAAGATACTGCTTATTAATTTTTGTTGTATTAATGGTATGTTTTAAATGTCTTTATCTCTTAGATATAAATACTGAAGTATTTACAGATGACATGATATCAAAGATTTGCTTCAAAATAATTCAAGGTGAGGAGGAAGTGGGGAGGGGTCTAATTAAAACAAGAAATTGCCACGATTATTGAAGCTAGGCGATCGGCATAGGGACTCATTTATTCCCTCTTTTGTATATATTTTTGAATTTCCATTAAGTAAAAAAGTAGACAGGAAAAAAAGGAAAAAACATGTAATAGAAACTAAACATCAGAACACCCCACTTTACCAATGATAAACCATATAATAAACATGCCTGTTAATGATCTCGGAGCCCAGTTACCCCACTAGTAAAATGAAGGCGTTCAATTAATACGCATATTTTAATATTGGTCCATTTCATTTTACAAAGGGGAACTAAACTTTTGATTTAAAATAAAGTGTACAATGATTTTCAAGTAAAAGAATACTGTTCCAGATCCTAACTACATCTAATTAATTTTCATTCTGTAGCACCTTATATAGCATGTTTATTTCATAAGCATAATTAGCTAAGAGTTGGCCAGGCACGGTGGCTCACGCCTGTAGTTCTAGCACTTTGGGAGGCCGAGGTGGGCAGATTGCCTGAGGTCAGGAGTTCAAGACCAGTCTGGCCAACATGGTGAAACCCCGTCTCTACTAAAAATACAAAAATTAGCCAGGCCTGGTAGCGCATGCCTGTAATCCCAGCTACTTGGGAGGCTGAGGCAGGAGAATCGCTTGAACCCGGGACGGGGAGGTTGCAACGAGCTGAGATCGCATCAATGCACTCCAGCCTGGGTGACAAAGCAAAACTCTGCCTCAAAAATAAATAAATAAAAATAAATTAGATAACAGTTAAACATGCTCAAAAGAAAAGGAAAGATTTTAGAAGGAAAATCGTATGGTTAGCTCACGGTCAGAAGCTTGGTAGTGATTCCTGCATCCACCACAGCCTTGTGCATGGCACGTAACGTCTCTAGCTCCGGAGCCGCAATAAATACCACATAGGGCATAAACTCTGATGTCCTCAATACTTTCAGTGCCTGTGTAAAAGAATAATTATAAGCCAATTTATACAATATTAGAACTAGAATTCTGCTACCCTTTAGTATATATCAAAGGCTGTTTGCACTTGTTCTATGAATTAAAGGACATAACTTAATACTTATCCCTGTTCTGTCCTTCTCATTCCATATAGTACTTTCTTAAAACAGTGATCCATTTATTTTGTTTTGAACTCAGTCTGTTCCTCTTGAACAAAGTATAAAACAATGATCCAAAAATCATCAAGAGTGATGTAAACTCTTTTTTATGTTAATTGTAGAATTCTGTTAATACTCAAAAAGTAGAAATAACCTCAATGTTGATTAATTGGAGAGTGGTTAAATGAATATATATTCATACTATATAGCAATTACAAAGAAAAAAAGCTCTACAGTAACTACCACAAAAAGATCTCCAAGGAATAGTTCTATTTAATAAAACCCCTGAAGAATCTATATAGAATTTTTCCATTTATGTAAAAAGAAACAACAAAAACAGAAAACCCATTACCTTATATATATTTGTATTTAAGGCATAGTGAAATGACTAGAAAGAGACATAAGAAACTATTAACAATTTTTATCTCTGAGTAGGGACGTGAGGTTGGGCTGAGTGTAGCGGAGTGGGAAGGGGTAGGTGACAGAAATATAGAGTGACAAAATGAATAGTGTAGAGGTGTGCATGTGTGTCAGGTAGGAGGGGGAGTGACTTTAATTTTTTATTCTTTATATTGCAGACTTGAGTTTTAAACTTAACATTTCTTAACACAAGCACTTATGCATTACTTGAACAGGTAAATAAATACATACTAAACTTCTATTGTAGATCTAATCACACAGTTTCTATTGCCACCCAAGCCTCTGTTGGCTAATTGTTCAGAGATTTATTTAACTAGCTATGTATACATAATAACATTCTCTATCACCCAAAGGTAATGGAGGGAGTCACCTTTCCACCCTGACAAAACAAACAACCCCAACCCAACAACCCCGACACACATGAAAAAAACTCCACAGAAAATAAAATATAAAACAGCTTTGGAATCCAAGCAGCTTACTTGTGGGTTGACATCCAGAATGCAAGTCCGTCCAGTTTGGACAACCTCAAGAATAGAATCAATTTTGGTTCCATAGAGATTTCCTTCATATTCCCCATGTTCCAAATACTTTCCAGCTTTAATATCTGCTTCCATCTCAGATCGTGACACAAACTTATATGCCTGGCCATCTTTTTCATCTTCCCTTGGTTTCCGTGAAGTAACTAAATAAAATAGTGTTGAGATTTTTGTACAAAGAAATTTTAGGGCATAAAAAATAGACTAAAATACATAGGGTGGCTTAACGTTTTTCCACTGGGTGCAGCAAACTGTAGGCTATGACCAGATCTGATCTGCTTCTTATTTTTGTAAATAAAGTTTTATTGGACCACAGCCATACTCATTTGTTTATGTATCATACATGGTTTCTTTCCCATTAAAATGGTGGTAGTAATTGTGACAGACTGTATGGACTGCGAAGCCTAAAACTTTACCATGTGGCCCTTTAATAGAAAAGTTTCTTGATACCTTAGGGGAATATTTTAAGAGGTAGTCCCCCAAATAAAATTTGTATCCAAAAATATGCTTCTTAAAATCACTTTGAAACTCAAAGTATATTTACCTAGCAGCAGAGCCTTCAATGAAGTTCTTAATTATGGTAAGTGTTTGAGGCATGTTGTGAGTGAGTATCTTTTCAACTGACCAGCACTCTCCTTCTCCTTAGGAATCTATTACATCTTTTCTTTCCACATTAACACTTCCTAACTGCCCCAAAACGTGAGCAAGCAAAGTTCACCTGTTCTTAGTTGTGATACCAATTTTGTAAAGTGCAGTTTTACCCACAAATTATCTATCTTTTATCTTACCTCAAAACCAACGCTTTTAGCTTCCTGTTTATTGATATTCCCAAATGTTAACTGTTCTATTTTATACTTCAGTGGTAGAGCTAGACGCCTCATTATTATTATGGTCTATTAACCTCCTCTCCTCTGACCTGACATATTATTTCTGGGAAAATGAGATTGAATAGCTCAAGTCAAAATTTAGAAGTAGGAGATCCTTTTGTCTGATATTTTACAGCTTTGAATACTTTCAGAGACATACAACCCTTTGCAAGTTGGTCTGTGCTAGGAACGGTTATTACCATTTTTTAAACTGTTGCAAATGTGTACTCTCTGACAACTTTGTTAACAACAGCTTTGAAGAAGAAAAGTAATTTTTGAGCGTGTTATTTCAAGCTTAGCCTTACTCTGGGCTTTGCTGGATCGGATATAAGAAGTATCCTGTTTCTATTAGCTAAGTAGTTGGAGAATAACTGATGGAATTATTAACTACACCAAACTAAACTAAGAAAGTAATCCGAATAAAAAGATGACAGTGTTTTGACTATTTCTAATAAGCCTAAGACATAGAAAACTTTTATAAGAACAAAATGAACTTCAAACTCATGCTCAAAAATAAGGGTCAAATGAGATCATTATGTATAATAGGACTCCTGTTTTCCCCTTGTTTTCTGGCTCAACCTTGAGAGTGGTCGTCTTAGACTACTGTGAAGAGTATTTATAAAGTATCTTTGAGAATCTTCAAGATGCTATGATGGCTTTTCATATTTAAAACTGTGTGATCTTTAAGGTTTCTGGAATTAGTCACCAAAGGTGTGTATAATAAAACTTCTCAATAAATGTAATCCAGCATATAAACAGAACCAAAGACAAAAACCACATGATTATCTCAATAGATGCAGAAAAGGCCTTTGACAAAATTCAACAGCCCTTCATGCTAAAAACTCTCAATAAATTAGGTATTGATGGGACGTATCTCAAAATAATAAGAGCTATCTATGACAAACCCACAGCCAATATCATACTGAATGGGCAAAAACTGGAAGCATTCCCTTTGAAAACTGGCACAAGACAGGGATGCCCTCTCTCACCACTCCTATTCAACATAGTGTTGGAAGTTCTGGCCAGGGCAATTAGGCAAGAGAAGGAAATAAAGGGTATTCAATTAGGAAAAGAGGAAGTCAAATTGTCCCTGTTTGCAGATGACGTGATTGTATATCTAGAAAACCCCATTGTCTCAGCCCAAAATCTCCTTAAGCTGATAAGCAACTTCAGCAAAGTCTCAGGATACAAAATCAATGCATAAAAATCACAAGCATTCTTATACACCAACAACAGACAGAGAGCCAAATCATGAGTGAACTCCCATTCACAATTGCTTCAAAGGAATAAAATACCTAGGAATCCAACTTACAAGGGATGTGAAGGACCTCTTCAAGGAGAACTACAAACCACTGCTCAACGAAATAAAAGAGGATACAAACAAATGCAAGAACATTCCATGCTCATGGGTAGGAAGAATCAATATCGTGAAAATGGCCATACTGCCCAAGGTAATTTACAGACTCAATGCCATCCCCATCAAGCTACCAATGCCTTTCTTCACAGAATTCGAAAAAACTACTTTAAAGTTCATATGGAACCAAAAGAGAGCCTGCATCACCAAGTCAATCCTAAGCCAAAAGAACAAAGCTGGAGGCATCACACTACCTGACTTCAAACTATACTACAAGGCTACAGTAACCAAAACAGCATGGGACTGGTACCAAAACAGAGATACAGATCAATGGAACAGAACAGAGCCCTCAGAAATAACGCCGCGTATCTACAACTATCTGATCTTTGACAAACCTGAGAAAAACAAGCAATGGGGAAAGGATTCCCTATTTAATAAATGGTGCTGGGACCACTGGCTAGCCATACATAGAAAGCTGAAACTGGATCCCTTCCTTACACCTTATACAAAAATCAATTCAAGATGGATTAAAGACTTAAACGTTAGACCTAAAACCATAAAAACCCTAGAAGAAAACCTAGGCGTTACCATTCAGGACACAGGCATGGGCAAGCACTTCATGTCTAAAACACCAAAAGCAATGGCAACAAAAGACAAAATTGACAAATGGGATCTAATTAAACTAAAGAGCTTCTGCACAGGAAAAGAAACTACCATCAGAGTGAACAGGCAACCTACAAAATGGGAGAAAATTTTCCCAACCTACTCATCTGACAAAGGGCTAATATCCAGAATCTACAATGAACTCAAACAAATTTACAAGAAAAAAACAAACAACCCCATCAAAAAGTGGGCGAAGGACATGGACAGACACTTATGCAGCCAAAAAACACATGAAAAAATGCTCACCATCACTGGCCATCAGAGAAATGCAAATCAAAACCACAATGAGATACCATCTCACACCAGTTAGAATGGCAATCATTAAAAAGTCAGGAAACAACAGGTGCTGGAGAGGATGTGGAGAAATAGGAACACTTTTACACTGTTGGTGGGACTGTAAACTAGTTCAACCATTCTGGAAGTCAGTGTGGCGATTCCTCAAGGATCTAGAACTAGAAATACCATTTGACCCAGCCATCCCATTACTGGGTATATACCCAAAGGACTATAAATCATGCTACTATAAAGACACATGCACACGTATGTTTATTGCGGCATTATTCATAATAGCAAAGACTTGGAACCAATCCAAATGTCCAACAATGATAGACTGGATTAAGAAAATGTGGCACATATACACCATGGAATACTATGCAGCCATAAAAAATGATGAGTTCATGTCCTTTGTAGGGACATGGATGAAATTGGAAATCATCATTCTCAGTAAACTATCGCAAGAACAAAAAACCAAACACCGCATATTCTCACTCATAGGTGGGAACTGAACAATGAGAACACATGGACACAGGAAGGGGAACATCACACTCTGGGGACTGTTGTGGGGTGGGGGGAGGGGGGAGGGATAGCACTGGGAGATATACCTAATGCTAGATGACGAGTTAATGGGTGCAGCACACCACCATGGCACATGTATACATATGTAACTAACCTGCACATTGTGCACATGTACCCTAAAACTTAAAAGTATAATAATAAGAGGGGAAAAAAAAAAACCTTAAAAAAATAAAAAAATAAAAAAACTTCTAAGGCAACTTGTAACTCCCCAAATAAATGCATAATAGGACTTGGTTCAACATTGTGAACATTAATTTTAAAAATTAATGTTTTTTCGGTGAAGTCCTACAGTGAAACCATATAGGGGAATGCGCTGCTTGAAATAAATATGTATATGCACATGTATTACCTCTACCTCCATGCTGAGGGAATCTTAATTCTTAGAGAAATGTTCTTTAGTTTACAAGTGAATTTTAACTACAATCCTATTCTCTACTAACACTTCAAAAAACAATCTACGTTGCCACATATTTAAACTGCTTTCCATTTCTAGAACAGAGAAATTAGAACATGAAGGTTTGACTACAACTGATTCCTTAGACTTCTATACTGCGCAACTACATAATGTGATTTTTTAGAAGTAATTTTTTATGATAGGCAAAATTCTCAATTTTAGCTGCTCTTCAAATAATGAAGACACAATCAACAAAGTAATACTTCATTTGTTAACTAAGCTCAAGATGTCAAGATGTCAATGTTAAATTGAAAACAGGATGCATAACATAGCCCATCTCCCTAAAATAACAATGTTTTTCTATTTTATCTTAGGATCATTTTGTAATATATAAAGAAAGTTAAATCACCTTAATTTTATAACAGAAAATTTTAGAAATTCAAAAATATATGGAAAATAAGCAATATACTCCCAAATAACCAATGGATCAAACAAGCAATCACAAGTGAAAGAAAATACTTTGAGAGGAGATGGTGCTGTTGAAGAGCACAGTTACAGACAGAGCTGACCAGGCTCTTCCAGAGTGCCAGTTGTCCAGCAGCATGTTCATTACCCTGAAGATGTATGATGGTTGAACTAAACCCATTCATTCTAAGAAAAGGTTCTGTGGAGGGCTTTAAGCCCTTGATAATTGTCTTAAAAGCTACTGATGGGAAAAAGATCAGCACTGTGGTGAGCACTGAAGAGCTGAATCATATGGCTAATTCAAACATATTAAGAGCTAACATGGATGGGCTGAAGAATAGGGACAAAATGAGTAAGAGTAAGCAGCACAGTGAAGGGCACTACATTTCTTGCTTTCCCCAACTAATGGATGAATTGCTATTTCTTCTTCGGTTTTTACTTTTGGTCACAAAGATGGGTTCCCGTTCTGCCATATTAACTGTACTCATGTAAGGTTTAAGGTCATTGTGGAGGGAAGAAGGGTTGGAACAGCACAGTTGTTGTAAGAAGCCAGTTTATTATTTTAGATCTGGCTAACTGGTCTGTGTTGCATAGTTGCATATTCGGGATTACAATTTTAAAGTCTCTGTAGCCATCTACAGAGACATGTATCATTGAACCTATTTATATATATATATAAAAAACCCACTCAAAAGTATTTTGAGATGAATGAAAACAAAAACACAGCATACCAAGAACTTTAAGATGCAACTAAGTGCTTAGAGGGAAATTTATAGCTGTGAATGCCTATGTTAAAAAAGATCTCAAATCAATAATCTAATTTCCTATCTAAAAAAACAGAGAGTAAAATAAACCCAAAGTACAAGTAGAAAGAAAATAATAAAGATTATAGCAAAAATTAGAAAGTAGAAAAAATACAGAAAATCAGCAAAGGCAAAATTTGGTTGTCCGAAAAGATCAACAAATTGACAAATCTTTACATAGACTAAGAATAAAAGAGGGAAGACCGAAATTTCTAAAATCAGAAATGAAAGAAAAAACATTACTATGAACCCTGCAGAAATCCTGAAACTGATTTTAAAAAAAATCCAAGTTGACCTATAACAAGGAAAGAGACTGAACTAATAATCAAAACTTCCCACAAAGAAAAGCCCAGGGTCAAATGGCTTCATGGGTGAATTTCATCAAACATTGAAAGAATTATAATTAATCCTTCACATACTCTTCCCAAACAATGAAAGAGGAAAGAATACTTCACAACTCATTCTATGTGCCCTGAATTACCATATCAAAGCTAGACAATGACATCACAAGTAATGAGATGTATAGACCAATATCCCTTATAAATATAGATGCAAAAATCCTTACAAATTACAAGCAACTGAATCTAGAAGTATACAAAAAAAGACGGCACATCATAACCAAATGGAATTTACCACAAAAAGACAAGGTTGGTTCAATATATAAAAATCAATGAATGCAATACATCCTATCAATAGAAGACAATAAAAAACAAAAATCATATGAACCATTAACAAAGAAAAAGCATTTGGCAAGATCTAGTACCCTTTCTTGGTAAAAAGCCAACAAAGCAGGAACAGAAGGGAACTTCTCCAATCTGATGAAAGGCATCTATGAAAAACCCACAGCTAAAATGGAAAGATTGAATGCTTTCTCCTTTCTCCTTAAGATCATGAACAAGACAAGGATGTTCACTTTTGCCACTTCTATTACACTATTACACATTACACTGCAGGTTCTAGTTGAGGAAAGTAGACAAGACAACGACATAAACAGCACCCAGATTGGAAAGAAACAAGTAAAACGATCTCTATTTGCAGATGACATGATTTTGTATATAGAAAATCCTGAGGAACCCACACAAAAAAATCATCATTAGAATCAATGAGGTCAATAAGGCTAAAAGACAAAGCCAACACACAAAAATCAGTTTATTTCTGTACACTAGCAAGGAACAATCCAAAAAGGAAATTAAGAAAATACTTTTTGCTACAGAATAAAAAAGAAAAAAATACTCAGGAATAAATGTGACAAAAGCAGCATAATATTTGTACAATGAAAACCATAAACAGCATTAAAATGAAAACCTAAATAAACAGAGAGACATCTATGCTCATAGACTGGAAGAATTAATACTGTTAATATAGCACCTGTAATCCCAGCACTTTGGGAGGCTAAGGCAGGCAGATCACCTGAGGTCAGGAGTTCGAAACCAGCCTGGCCAACATGGTGAAAGCAAGTCTCTACTAAAAATACAAAAAAAATTAGCCAGGCAGGATGGTGGGTGCCTGTAATCCCAGCTACTGGGGAGGCTGAGGCAGGAGAATGGCTTGAATCCAGGAGGTGGAGGCTGCAGTGAGCCGAGATCATGCCATTGCACTCCAGCCTGGGCAACAGAGCAAGACTCCATCTCAACAAAACAAAACAAAACAAAACAAAACAAAACAAAACAAAACAAAACAGATGGCAGTAGTCCTCAAGGCCAAGTTACTGGCATTTCTATATAAATTATAAGATAAGCTTCCAATTGCTGCAGAAAAGGTAGCTAGAATTCAATATAATCCCTCTTAAAATTCTAGCTACCTTTTCTGCAGAAACTGGAAGCTTATCTTATAATTTATATAGAAATGTCAGGAACCCAGAAGAGCCAAAACAAGCTGAAAAAGAAAGAACAAGTTGGGTTCACAATTCCTGGTTTTGAAACTTAATACAAATATACAGTAATCGAGACAATGTGGGACTGGCATAAGGACAGACATCTAGGTTAATGGAACAGAACTGAGGGTTTATAAATAAATCTTGACATTTACAATCAATTGATTTTCAAAAAGGGTGGCAAGACAATCCACTGGAGGAAAGAACTATTCTTTTTGACAAATTGTGTTGTGACAACTGGATAAGTGCAAGCAAAAGAATAAAGTTGGAACCCCCTCCTCACATTTGACACAAAAATGAACACAAAATTGATCATATAATCTGCATGTAAGAGTCAGTAGTATAAACTCTTAAAATAAAATACAGGAGTAAAATTTTGTGGCCTTGGGTTAGGGAAAGCCTTGATATGGTACCATACTTGATACGATATGAAAAGCATGAGCAACAAAAGACATATAAATTTGGACTTCATCAAAATGAAAAACTTTTGTATATCAAAGGACACCATCAAAAACACGAGAAGTCAACAAAGAATGAGAGAAAATATTAATACGTGCAAATCATATCTAACAAGGAACCTGTACCCAGAATATAATATGACCTCCTCTTACAGCTTAAGAAAAGGACAAATAACCTAACTGAAAAATGGGCAACCAGTTTGAACAGACATTCCTCCAAAGAAAATATATAAATGGCAAATATGTACATGAAAAGTTGTTTGACATGATCAGACATTAGGGAAATGCAAATGAGAACCAAAATGAGATACAACTTTACACCCACTAGGATGACTACAATCAAAAAGCCAGATGACAAATGTTGGTGAGGATGTAGAGAAACTGGAAACTTCATATGCTGCTGGGATTGTGAAGGGTATATACACAGCTGCTGTGGAAAACAGTGTGGAAGTTCTTCTAAAGGCTAAACATACAGTCATCATATAACCTACAAATTCCATTCCAAGGTATATACCCAAGAGAAACAGGCATATGTCCACACAAATACCTGTATACAAATGCTGAGTGTAGCATTATTCACAATAGCTAAAAATAAAACAGTCCAAATGTCCATCAACTGATGAATATATAAATAAAATGTGGTATAGCCATATAATAATCACTTAGCAAGGAAAAGAAAATAAGTACTGATAAATGCTACAATGCAGATGAGATCTGACATGTTAAGAAGCCAGTCACAAAACACCACATATTGTATAACTCCAGTATATAAAATGTCCAAAATAAGCAAATCTATTTTGACAGAAAGATTCATGATTGCTCCTGGCAGCAGGGGGTGAGGAAGTTGGTGGGAAATGGGTACAGAGATTCTTTTGGCGATGATGAAGACGTTGTAACAGCTTTTGAATTTTACAATCCAGAATTCTATTCTCTGCTAATTAGTCAAATAAAGGGCAGAAAATATACATTTTAAAACACAAAGATGCAGACATTACATTCCACATACAAGAGGATGTACCCCAGCAAAACAAGGTGATAAACCAAGAAAGAGAAAGAATGGGATCCAGGAACAACAGCTTCAACCCAGGATAACAACAAAGGGAACTACTCCAGTGTTAACAGCTGGGCAGCCAGAGAGACAGCATGTAGTCCTCATTGAAGCAGAAAGACAGAGGGTTCTGAGACAGAGGTCTCCAGGAAAAAAAAAAAGAACCTGACTTACTGGATAAACAAGTCTTTAGTTTAAAAAACAACAAAAAACTGTATACACATATATATATAAAATCAGGTAGTATAAAGAAAAACAGAACTCCAGAGATTCCTGGGTCACAGAAGGGGAAAGGGCTGTTCAAGAAAGTGAAATTGAACTAACTGAAAATACAGCTATCTTTATATTGGAAGGACAGTCAGGAAGTCAACAGATAAGGCCTAAACTGCATAAAGCAGGAAACAGCAGACTAAAGACATTATTAAGAAATATGGAACACAACCAAAAGAAATAGCAAAAACAATGAAAAGTGACTGTTTTTCATAAGTGAGGCAGGGGAAGAGAAGGGGTTATTTTTTTCCCCATTATATGTCTTTAAGAACTACTTGCTAAAAATATTGGGCACATATGAATTTGATAAAAGCGAAAAACTTTTTACTTCACAAGTGCAGCTTTAACATACGTTGATTACAGTGAAGTTTTTGTTCTGTTAACCACTTTAGTAGGATTTGTCTAAATTTAGTGATTTACAATGCCTGCAGTAGAATCAGAAGATTTACACTGAAGGGATTATAAGTAGCACAGGGGGGCAATGACAAGGCTATTTCCCTAACTTTTAAGAATTTTAGCAATAAGAGTACTCACTGAGAATTAAACCCAAAATATACTGGACAAAACCAGGGAAACTCTAAAATTCAATTAAAAGAGATAGGGTTAAAGTTAGCCTAGGATTTGACTCAAAATAGCTTAAAGGCATTAATATACCTAAAGGAATGCCATGTTAAAAGGGGGCTTGGTCAGAAATAGAAGCACAGCAATGGGAATGAAAGCAATGTTAGCTTATCTCCTGCTTTCTTCAAGGGAGAGAACATCTAAGTTCACAAGTAAAGATCCACGTATTTCAAAAACAAAGACAAATGTTTATTAGTCCCTACAGTCAGAGACAAATGTGTATTAGTCATTACAGTAAATCACTAACATCATCCAATTCCTTGATCTAATTCCATTCTCATCAAGCATACTTCTGACATGATTATTTAACTTTCTATGTAAATATGCAAATAGAGAAATGAATGCAAAGACCATAAAATGAGTGCTTGGTTCACTTAATGGTTATACTTCTCATCAGTACTATTTTATTCTATACATCAGACTCTGTAACCTTAATGAATGCTGCCTGCAGTAAAAGATGAATCACTCTTATGTGCTATCAAAAATCAGGTTTATGACCTTGCATGACTGAGAGCTACAAGCCAGGCCACGTAAGTTCACACAGCTGTTGCCACACTGGGTATGTCCAAGGGTCAGAAGCTTTCCCCTTTTCTTTACACTAAAATGGCTGAAAAATCCAACTTTTTAGATAGACATCAGTACAAGAAAATCCTAAATGCCTATCTTGCCACGAGTCTTAAATGTAGGCATTTAATTCTAACATTTCTGAACTGAATAGTTTAGAGAAGCACTTGCCACCAGACAGCAAGCCAACAGCACTGCAGCACTATTTCAAGACAGCTACAGAATTACTAAATTTTTCAATGTCTTTTACTTGTTCACTTTCACTGCCATAAAGAAAACTTATTTGGGAATAACAATAACTAATGATAATAATCCCCCTTTCCTCCATATGCCCATACTCTTTCCTGCCAATTGCATAGCAAGGAAAACACAGAAAACTTACATGGCACCGTAGTTCCAAATCTAGTGGGATTCAATACTATGAACCTGTTTTTCAAGCTTCTTCGGCCTACACCTTGAGCTCCTATCAATACTAATGTTTTTCTCTGGAAGGGAGGCATTTTGGCTACCTCCTCATATATCTGGATTTCATGACGATCAAATTCTAAATGAAAAAGGAAATGGGAATACAAAGTCAACTTTTATATACATGAAAGAAATCTCTGCAATTCTGTCTAGTAATGGCTTAGCTGTCTTGATAGTTAAATATCACTTGACTTGTACCCACTTAGCATAGATTTGTTTTTACAAATTTGGTAAAGTACAATAAATAATAATTATTTTATTATTGTTTTTAAGACCGGGGCTCACTGTCACCCAGGGTAGAGTATAGTGGTGCAATCTTAGCTCACTGTACCCTTGAACTCCTGGGCTCAATGAAGCCTCCCGAGTAAATGAAACCACAGGTATGAGCCATTATACCCAGCTAATTTTTAATTTTTTTTTTTGTAGAGATGGGATCTTGCTATGTTGCCCAGGCTGGTCTCAAACTGCTGGCCTCAAATGATCCTGCTGCCTCAGTCTCCCAAAGTGCTGGGATTATAGGCATGAGCCACTGTGCCTGCCCCAGTAAATTATTTTATATCTTGCTTTAAACATCTGGTTCCATCCATTTGCCCTTAAAAATTTGTCTAATCGGGCTGGGCATGGTGGCTCATGCCTGTAATCCCAGCACTTTCGCAGGCCGAGGTGGGCGAATCACGAGGTCAAGAGATTGAGACCATCCTGGCCAACATGGTGAAACCTCGTCTCTACTAAAAAAATACAAAAAATTAGCTAGGCGTGGTGGTGTGCGCCTGTAGTCCCAGCTACTCAGGGGGCTGAGGCAGGGGAATCACTTGAACCCAGGAAGCAGAGACTGCAGTAAGACGAGATTGCGCCACTGCACTCCAGCCTGGTGACAGAGCAAGACTCCGTCTCAAAAAAAAAAAAAAAAAAAAAAAAAATTTATCTAATCAAGCTAGAAAAATTCTATGTTTTATCCTTACTTATCAGAGATTCTATCCACTGAAACTTATTATCAATTTGCCAGTAAAAATCCTTTAATATAAATAATCAAATTACAAACCAGTATATATAGAAAGCATGTAGCAAATACGGAGGACAGGAGTAAACCTAGCGTGGTTGCTTAAGTAAGTTCCACAGAACAAGTGACCTTCCAATTATATAAATGAATAAATATTGTATGGCAAATCAACAATTATCAGTTTGATTAGAATTCAACATACTGACATTTACTGACAACATACATTTAAATATTAAGATTTTGAAATTTACATATAAAATAAATTTTAGATCCAACTGTTTCACTAGAAACATAACCCAAAATTATAATCTTAGTCGATGGGAAAATTACAAATTTTCTATTTTGCAAAAAAGCCTTATGGGCATATATTTTATGAATAATAGGGCCAAAGTGATGATTTGAAATATTATATTACCTGTTATTACTGTAACTCTCAATCTGTAGTAATAACACTCCTTCCTTAGCTTATTATCCTAATAGTAACTCTTTCTTTGCACAATTTCCCCACAGTAGATTAAACCAATATTAAGAGAAAGCAAGCCTACTTCTTCCTTCTATATTATTTTCTTTTATGGTGTGCTATTTAGTTTATTACCAGCATAGAGGTAGCTCTGAAGTCAAGAAAGTACTTTTAAAATTGCCAACTCCTTTGATTAAGCCTCCAGAAATTTCTGATTCATAGAGCTGTTTTTTATTTCTGTCATCCTCTGCAACTGGGAAGAATAAATATAGTAGTTTCCATTCTTTCCCTTCTTTCCTATTTATTTATTTTTAATAGCCAATGAGTAGCCAATCCAGGTCTGGGGTCTTATTTTACATTGTTTTTAAAAATCTTTTCAGCTTTACTGAGGTACAACTGACAAACAGGAATTGTATATAAAGTGTACAACTTGATGTTTTCATGAATGTGTACAATGTGAATGATTACCTCGATCAAGCTATTAAACATATCCATCACCTCATATAGTTACCATTTCTTTCTTTTTAAATATATTTCTTTCTGTATGACTAAAAGATTTAAGACAGAATTCTATTAGATCAGACTAAGATTTATTTGGTCCAGTGCTATTTTTCTAAAACTATCATGGTCAGTGTTATGGCAGGATACAGTTGCCCTAAACATAACTCTTTTAACATCTTGACAAAGGCATTCTATCCTTTAGAAATGGCACATAAATTACTATTTCAAAATTCTCTGGACAAATAGTTTCAATTATGATACTGCTTCTTGATTAAGACAAACAAAAATCTTAACCAATTTGTTTTGTGTTGTAAACTATACTCACAAAATAAAGCACATGGTAGTATATATAATGTGGGTTTTAAATAATTTATATTATATTGCACCATGTGTTCATATGTCAGCCCCTTGCAACTAGGTACTAATCTGAATTACACTCACTTAAAGCTGTATATTCAGAGTTTATGCCACACTAAATGACATATAGCTACTTCACTTGGACTTCTCAAAAAGTATTTAAAACCTACCTGCATTTCTGGTTGTGAGATACATCATCTTTTTCTTTTTTTTGCTACTTATAGTTCCACAAAAAGGTCCTGAAGGATGATAAAACAAATATAACTTAAGCAGTATATCAGAATATGAAAAAATTGCCCTATAGTATTTTACAGGGGTGGGAGAATTATCTCCCCAATGTGGCATCCTAGGAAGCAAAAGAGGGTGGAGGTGAGTTAAGCCACTGAATTTTGATACTCTACCAGCAGGTGGCAGAACGGGATCAAAAAAGATTACTTATGAGCGAGAGAAAGCAGAGGGAGGGATTCATTCTAGACATATTTTAAATAAATGCATTTGCTTATTTAGACAAAAGAGACAAAGAAAGGTGGTCACAAAGGACTGCTTGTTACTTATTGTGTCGAGCTCATCACCTGAATTGTCCCAGTCTCTTCTAACAAATGCCTTTCTCTTCTCTTCCAGGAACTGGCTTGGAATGAGACCAGCGCTTCCTCCCTCTTTTACATGGCTAGCCTAGAATCAAATTAATGAATTGTACATCTCAGTGACCAAAATTTGAGACCATATTCTATTAAGTAAGACAAGCAGTGGTCAGTCAAAAAAGTCACATTTGCTCTTAAAAACAACCTTGAGATTTAAATCCATAGCATTGTCAGTTAAGATATTTAAACAATTCAGCACTGAAGAATCAATTGGCACCTAAAATTCTTCATATCTGTCATCTGGTAGTGAAATGTGGGGACCAAAATACAAATTAAATTGCTAAAACTTCTTATTTATGATACTAAGTTAGAAAAGGAAAATGCTATTCTAAATAAGATGTATTAACAGGACATTTTATCTAGCACCCTTTAGTAAGATATTTACTGTCAACCTTAATCCTACTATGTTGGTATTTCAGGCCAAACCAAATGAAAAGGAGATACTATGTGGAATATAAAGTGTAGATTTTAATTTATGCCACCAGGAGTCTGAATATCCCAAGAGTTTGTAAGTTTAAACTAGGCGAAACTTCACCTAATGTAAAACAGCTAACTTAAAATAAGCTCCAAAGAGAAATATTTTAAAATAGTGGCTGGAGAACTGGCTGTTAGTGGTTTATCTCACAAAGTTAGTATTTCTATCCTTACAACTAGCATAGAAAATCTAGTATAACTTTAAGCACTTAAAATCCTGAAAAACAGAATTAAAGTAACCAACTATCAAAATGCAGGGAGAAACTGAGAGAATGGTGACAGGTTAGAAGAGAAAACTAAGAGATCGTATTCATAGGAAAAAGAAAAAAAATGGAAAACTGGAATAATTCAATAAAGGAAACAGCCACAGAGAGATTTTTTAAATGAGGGATCTAAAAAAAGTTCAGGGGAAACCTCTTGAAATCATGGATTCTGTTTAATTTACCCATTTCTTAGCTGTCTCAACACATAGTGCACTTATACATAATGTTTTAAGTTAAATTTAAGGACACATAAGTAAGATTGTTCTCATTCTGTGATTTGTTTCTCCTTAGAAGTAGATCTATAATTTAGAGCTAATGTGAGTTACCAACATCTCAGTTAATTTTAGAATTTGGTGCTAAGTCCTGGATCCTTTCCTCTTACTCCTTGTTCTTTAGTAAAACTCTCATTTGCTTTGATAGTTTAAGGCATTTCAGACTTCCTGACCTGTCAGTTTTTCCAGTTCTGAATATTGTGGTTGTTAGCTAACATAAACCATTACAAAAACAGACTTATTACTGCTGCTAGGGGTTTCTGAAAGCTGCATTAGGAGAAGAAAAAAGAATACCATTAAACAGATCTTCTGAAAAAAGGAGGGAAAAATACAGTGATAATACACATCTCTTTCCATATACACAGATTTTAATCCAAAACCAAACAAAACTGATAGAGTGAACCTCCATTTCCCAATATCTGAGAAGAGGGGAGCAAATAGACATTAAGACCTTAAGAAATGATGCTTTACTTGCTATGAACGAACATGAGGGAGAGGAGACAAGAGACACACTTATTTCACAGTAAAAGTCTCCTACTTAAAATAAACAAAACCCAAGTTATCTTTTGAAAAGGGATGACCCAAGTGAGTTCTTCTTGGCCAATAGCATATTTTAATGCAATTACCCATGTGAAAAAAACCAATTGGTCTAATCCCTAAACCAATGGGTTAGTGCCACAGGCTGGTTAATTCTGCACTTATTAAGTTGCAAATTCCCTCCCAATTTGATCTTATGTCCACAAAATTAGTAGCCACGAAGCAGGAGCTGTTCATGTGGGAAAAATCATTGTAACAAATGCTAATATTCTTCCTGACTATTCAGATATTGATCAGATCTAAGATTAAAATTAGAAAAGTAGCTGAGGAACTTCTGAGAAGCATACTAACCTGCCACCAATTTGGATCTTCTCTATTTACAATCTGAAGAATCTCTCCTTTGGAAAACTTCAATCCTGCTTCTTTGCAAGGTATTAGGTTGTCATTGTATGGATTATAATCAAAATGACACTTCACAAATACCTAAAACACATAGCACAATTAAAAATACTATAGTTGTATCACTTGCCACTGAATTTAAAAAATCCTTGTCAAACCACTCTGATTTAATTGTAACTGACAATGTATTTAGTACTTCAGATAATGAACTTGTCTCTCATAAATGGAAATCAAGTTATTAGAATATTAACAGATTTTGGTATCAGAAAGATAATAAAACTTCTTCTCTACTTTAATATCTAACTTTAAATCAACAAGAGTTTGATAATCATTCTATCCCACCATTCTTCCACTTTTCTTCAATCTTTTCACTTGATTTTCCAACCAACACTGCATAATTTTTAATGCAAGTAAATGCTATGATCCAATTAACATCCTGAAATATAATATAGGTAGTTGATTTAAGGTATATATTTCAGATGTATTAGAACTCTGTGAAAAGGCCCTGAAACCAAAATTAAACAATAAAAGTTGATGTTGAAGTCAGATATGAAATATATTTGGTAGCCTTAAATACTTTTTTAATCATCTTGCTCTGATTTATATGCTCATCTTAAATTTAAATGATCAACATTAAATTCATTGTAAGACAAATACTGAAGAAGTCTCGAAACTATTTTCCATTTTAAATTCATTTGTGTATACACATTTCTTTTACATTTGCATTATTAATAAAAGTATGTCAGTTAACACTGTTAGTTATGATCTCCGAAATTTGGGCTATTTTGCTTATTTGCTTTAATTTAAATTCTAATTAAATTATGCATTTTTGGTATTTGATGGAAGGTTCAGACCAATTGCTGTCTTTCTTTCTTTCTTTTTTTTTTTTTTTTTTTTTTTTTTTTCAGATGGAGTCTCACTCTTTCACCCAGGCTGGAGTGCAGTGGCGTGATCTCTGCTCACCGCAACCTCCGCCTCCCAGGTTCAAGTGATTCTCCTGCCTCAGCCTCCCAAATAGCTGAAATTACAGGCGTGTGCCACCACACCTGGCTAATTTTTGTATTTTTAGTAGAGACCAGGTTTCACCATGTTGGCCAGGCTGGTCTCGAACTCCTGATCTCAAGTCATCTGCCCACCTCAGCCTCCCAAGGTATGGGGATTACAGGCATAAGCCACTGCGCCCAGCCCAACTGCTTTCTTAAAACAGACTTGTTTTATATATATTTATAGAAATTCAAATGTTATCTTCTAAAGAATTGCCTTAGCATTAATCAGCATGTAAACTTTAATAAGAAAGTACACAATTAGTCAAAATAACAATGTTCTTTTTCTATTTGTTTATCATACTTCTGTAACCAACAAAATTCAAATAACACAAGTAGACATATTATATTATTAGTGTGGTAAAAGTATTGTGATCGATGCATACAAAATAATTTTAAAATAACGAAATCTGGGAACATGTAATAAAATCTTAGTTATTTATAATTAGATGATTTTCATAGAAAGCATTCAGAACATTTTCAACTACTCTAGAAAAGCTAAATATTAATCCTTAAATCAGTAGGTCAATAATTTTTTTCCTGATATATAATTTTAGATCTAAAAAGCAAGCATACAAACATTAAGATTGCTAAAGTGTGACAATTGGCTAACTTGATAATGTCATGCAGCTCCATGTTTTGACAACGGGAAAAAACCAAAATAATTAAATTTAACCAAAGGAAATTTAGTTGGCGGATAAGACAGAAAAATGAAGTACCAGAGAATGTTCTGGAATGACAGCATACCTGATGGGATGTGTGCTGGATGCCTCTCCATATTGATGAAACTCTAAAAATATATTTGTAATTGCATAAATAAAGCCAGACTTTTAATTTATAATAAATTAAGAAAATATAAACAAACTACTAGACCATTTTATTACTTCACTCATTTGGTAAGGCAACTACCTCCCTAATTAATTGTCCACAAAGTATAATACCTGCAAGTTATAAATGATAGAACAAAAAGTTAAAGGTATTTGAGATCAGGCAGAGAAAAAGGATTGGTATGCAAAGTTATAAAAATACCTGCATACTCCTTACTTCTCAAGAAAGATGCAGTGATTGAAGAATAGCAAGAGAATCCTGTCATCTAACCATGAATGTGATTACCATTCTTATGTGTGGAACAGAATATATTTTGTAACCATAAAGCTCAGACTTTACAAGATAGTCCAAATTTCAAATATTCATTCCTCCAACATCTGTCAAATTGTTATGGAAATGCCATTATCTGTGGAATACAAACCACATCTCTCAAAGGTAAAAGATTTATAGAACAATTTATTTTTTTTTTTTCATTAATTAAAGTAGTTTTAGAACATTACTGTTATGGTCAAAAACTCAGATTAACCTGATTTTACTTTGAACTTTGAAAATTTGTCTGAAAAATCAACCCAACCTTTGATCTAACCATTTTGTAATGACTCTAAAACCATTAAAGATATGACTAGATTTAGTATAATTATATTTTATTAAATGCAATTTAAAGTGTTGCACTTATAGGCTATGGATGTTAACTGTTCATTCATCATTAACTAAACACCACCTACTAAAATATTTCTATTTCATATTCTTATTACTAAAAAGAACTGAATGACCAAAATGATTTAAAGTACAAAGAAAAGGAAGTACAAATGGCTTTTAAGCATAGGAGATGTTCAACAACCTCACTCAGAGTAGAAATACAAATTAAAACTACTTTATAACATTTTTTCCTATCAGATTAGCAGAAATCCTTGTATTTTATAACATTCTACAAAAGAACTGTGGGTTAATAGGCATTTTCCTAATAGGCTTGTGGAAGAATGGTTCAACCTCTTGGGAGGACAATTTGGCAATAGCTGTCAAGATTACAAACGCATAAACCCTCTGACCTAGTAATCCATGTCTGGGAATGTATTCAACAGCTATGTTATGCAGATACATCCAAAATGACTTATGCACAAGACTACATCATTCCTAATAACAAAAGATTGGAAGCAACCTAATTGTTTAACAAAAAGGAACTGGTGAAACAAATGATGGTAGGTCTACATGATGTGGCACTATATATAGTCGTTAAAAAAGTGTGTGTGTGTGTGTGTTTGTCAATAGGAAGTGTATGCACCAATAAGGAAATATCCTCAAGACAGATGGTTAAGTGAAAAAAAATAAGGTTCAGAATAGCATGTGTACTATGCAACCTTTCTATGAAAAAGGAGGTGAAAGGTGAAAAAGGATATGTAATTTTTATTTACTTGCATATGAATGAAGAAATTCTGGAAAGATAAATTAATAGCAAAGTTTGTTACTGGTGGGGGGATGAGGACTAGGTTGGTAGTGGGAAGGATTCAGAGGGAGATCTCAACTGAATACATATTACATTTTTTGATTTTCAAACCATGGGAATGATTCACCTATATAAAAATTAAAATTTTAAGGTAATAAAGATAAATCACTCCCATTTGGATTCAGATGAAGTAACAAGGACCCTCCAACATGAAACAACTAAAAACTATGTTGACAAAATATGTGAAACAATGTCTTTCAAGATGTCCGAGATCAGGCAATGAAGATAGTGATCCTAAAAGATGGAAGAAACAAGATGAGCTGCACAATTGCCCCAGCTAACTGCAGAGAGGGTTTCCAGGCTGCAAATCAGGAAGGGAGAAAGGTGAAGCCTGATGGTCTCTAAGTTGAGGAGATGAACTGGGAGACCTGGGAGATCAAGGTGGTTACAGTGCATGGAATACAGTATCAGTGAGGAAAGGCTGCACAGAGAGAGAATTGTGAGGGACTCCCTCTGTTTTCAACTGAGTACTTAATCAATGCATGTGTATGAGGAAGCTACCTGCATCCTCTCTCTGTGTAGCTCTTTCCTCAATGATGGTAAAGAATCATTTGAAAGCATTACAGGGAACTATATATAGAAGTTGTATACGGTCAAGAATAGTTTCTGTTCTCACCAGGCCAAGTGGAAAAACCTTCGTAATTCACAGGAGGTGGGGTACAATACTTAGAAGGGTTATGAGCTAAACTACATCCTGCAATCATACCTAATAAACCTTAAAAAGCAAGATTTAAAAGAATCATCTGTATCCTAGAACAAAGGTTAAGAATGGTTATTACTAAAATGTCAAAAAATAACAGATGTTGGCAAAGTTGCAGAGAAAAGGGAACCGCTAGTGGACATGTAAATTAGTTCAGCCACTGTGGAAAGCACTTTGGAGATTTCTCAAAGAACTTAAAACGGAACTATCATTTGACCCAGCAATCCCATTACTGGGTACATACCCAAAGGAATATATATCATTCTACCATAAAGACACATGTACACATATGTTCATCATAGCACTTTTCACAACAGCAAAGATATGAAATCAACCTAGGCGCCCAATAATGGTGGACTGGATAAAGAAAATTTGGTACATATACATCATGGAATACTATGCAGCCATAAAAAGAATAAAATGTCCTTTAAGCAACATGGACATAGCTGGAGGCCATTATCTTAAGCCAATTAATGCAGGAACAGAAAACCAGATTATTGCATGTTCTCACTTGTAAGTGGGTGCTAAACATTGAGTACATATCGACACAAAGAGGGGAACAACAGACCCTGGGGCTTACTTGAAGGCAGAGGATAAGAGGAGGGTGAGGACTGAAAAACTACCTATCAGGTATCATGCTCACTACCTGGGTGACAAAATCATTTGTGCACTACACTCCAGAAACATGCAATTTATCCATGTAACAGACCTGTACACATACCCCTTGAACCTAGAAGTTGGAAGGGCCGGGTGCAGTGGCTCACACCTGCAATCCCAGCACTTTGGGAGGCTGACGCAGATGGATCACGAGATCAAGAGATCGAGACCATCCTGGCCAACGTGATGAAACCCTGTCTCTACTAAAAAAAAAAAAATTAGCTTGGCCTGGTGGCACGTGCCTGTAGTCCCAGCTACTTGGGAGGCTCAGGCAGGAGAATCACTTGAACCCAGGAGGTGGGGGTTGCAGTGAGCCGAGATCGTGCCACTGCACTCCAGCCTGGCAACAGAGCGAGACTCTGTCTCAAAAAAAAAAAAAAAGTTGGAAGAAAAAAAAAGAATATTTCTAATACAAAAATATCCAGCACCCAACAAGGTAAAATTTTTGATGCCTGGCAGCCAATCAAAATGGCCAAGCACGCAAAGAGGGAGGAAATAACCTATAACAAGGAGAAAAATCAATGAAGAATGACCCAGAAATGTCAAATGTGCTAGAATTAGTAGAAAAGGACATTACAGTAATTGTTTCAACTTTACATATTATATTCATGGTTCAAGAAACTATAGGAAGGATTAAGTCTATTAAACACATGCAGATATAAAAAAGACCCAATCTGAACTTCTAGAAATGAAAGCCAAAATATCTGAGATGAAAAATACCCACTAGGTGTGATTAATAGCAGATTAGACATTGCAAAAGAAAAGATTAGTAAACTTGAAAACAAAACAATAGAAAACATCCAACATGAAAAATACAGAGAAAAAAGGCTGAAATAAATGAACTAATCAGTGACCCATGGGACAACTTCAATGGGCCTAATATACATGTAACTACAGTCACCAAAGGACAGGAGAAACAGAAAAATAGAAAAAAATGTCTGAAGAAATTATTGTCAAAGTTTTTCTAAATTTGATGAAAGAAATAGTCTTTTCAACAAACTGAGCTGGAAAAATTGAATATTCATATGCAAAATATAAACTCTGATCCTTTCCTCACATCCTATATAAAAATTAACATACAGTACACGTATCATAGACTCAGAGGTACAGCATAGATAGAACTGTAAAACTTGTAGAAAACAAATTGGAGAAAATCTTCATGACCTTAGGTTATACAAGGACTTCTTAAAGCCACAAAAGGATGACTCAAAGAAAAAAAATCATAAATTGGATTTCATCAAAATTCAGAACTTCTGCTCTTTGAATGACATTGTTAAGAGAATGAAAAGACAAGATAGAGACTGGAAGAAAGTCCTGGCAAATCCCAATTCTGATGAAGCACTTGTATAATGAATACATAAAGAATACTCAAAACTAAGAAAAACAATTCAACAAAAAATGGACAAAATATTTGAAGACACTTCGCCAAAGTGCACAGAAGTATGGCAAATAAACACATAAAAACATGTTCAATATTATTAGTTATTAGGAAAATGCAAATTAAAATCACAGTGAGATACCACTACACACTATTAGAATGGCTAAAATTTTAAAGACTGACCATACCACATGTTGCCCAAAATGTAGAGTAATTGGAACTTTCATATAATGTTGGTGGAAATTTAAGTTGTTATACTAACTTTTGAAAACGGTTTAGTCATTTCTTCAAAAGTACAACATATACCTACCATATGACTCAATCCTTCAACCCCTGGTATATACTCAAGAGACTTACATGTAAATGTCCATAGCAGCTTTATTTGTAAAAGCCCCATACTGGTAACAAAAAAATGTTCATCAGCCAGGTAATGGATAAACAAACTGTGGTACAGCCATGCAATGGAATATCACTTGTCAATAAAAAGAAATGAACTATCAATATACATAACATGAATGAATCTCCAAACAACTATGCTGAGTGAGGGAAGCTAAACAAACGAATCAAACAAAATCCAAAAAAGAATACAGGTATTCCATTTATATAAAAATAAGGAAAATGCAAAATAATTTAAAGTGACAAAAAGCAGAGCAGTAGCTGCCTGGAGTCAGGGGTGGTAGAGAGAAAGGGAGTAGGAGGGAAGAATGAGAAGTGGACACAAAGAAGCTGGGAGGCCGGGAGCAATGGCTTATGCCGGTAATCCTAGCACTTTAGCAGGCTGAGGCAGGCAGATCGCTTGAGCACAGGAGTTCAAGACAGCCTAGACAATGTAGCGAAACCCTGTCTCTACAAAAAAAAAGAAAAAATACAAATATTAGCCGGGTGTGGTGGTGCATGCCTGTGGTCCCAGCTACTCAGAAGGCTGAGGTAGAAGGATTATCTGAGCCCTGGGAGGCTGAGGCTGCAGTGAGCTGTGATCATGTCACTGCACTCCAGCCTGGGTGACAGAGTGAGGCCCTGTCTCAAAAAAAAAGAGAAAGAAATGGACACAAATAAATTTCTGGGAGTGTTCATCATCTCAATTGTGTTGACTTCATGGGTATATTATGTATGTCCACATGTATCAAATTGTACACTTTATGTTATTTATATAAACTTTATCTCAAGGATATTTTTAAAAGTAAAGATAAAAACAGTAAAAGTATTGAGGAAATATTGCACAGGAATACACTATGCTTATGCAAATGACAATAATTAGTGGGAGAAAAATTAAATGGATGAAACGGCTAGAAAAACAGCTCCACCTTGACCCTGATGTTAAATCAGAAGGTGGCTAGTAATTCATTTGGGAATGTGTTGGCTAAACATGGTGCAAATGTTGCTTATTGAACCTACTTCTTAAACCATAGTTCCAGGCCCATCTGAATCTGCATTTCAGAGTGAGTGACAAGATGGTGAACAAAGTGATTATCATTGCTAAGAGATTTTCCATGACACTAGCTGAGATGATCAAGGAAGGATGCTCTTTTTCTAAAAATTTTCAGTGTACGAACTTGGTCTACTTCGTTAAATACAGATGTACACACACATTTTTGATAACAGCAAGATAACAAGAAGGTATGTTTGGTTAAAAAAGTTTTGAAGGGCAATCCACGTTCCTTTCTGATAAATACCTGAGGGCCACAAATTGAAGCCTCAGCCAAATAAAAAATTTTATTTTAAAAATCATATAAAAATTAGCCAGGCATGGTGGCACACACCTGTAGTCCCAGCTTCTTGGAAGGCTGAGGCAGGAAAATTACTTGAACCCGGGCGGTGGAGGCTGCAGTGAGCCAAGATCACGCTGCTGCAGTGAGCCAAGATCACGCCACTGCACTCCAACCTGGGTGACAGAGCTAGACTCTATCTCAAAAAAAAAAAAAAAAAAAAAAAATCTACTAACTACTAACCTAGGCCAAAATTATACTAATCATAATTCTTAAGTTTATATCACTGGTTCGTGCAAGGACTGCTTTTGTCGATTCAATTAGTTTTAATAATATAATAGACAGCTATGCACTTGCCACCTAAAACTAACATTAAAATCCTACTTGATTCTCCTGCCCTCATTCCATCCCATCCCATCATTCGGTTTCCCCAACCAAGGCACACTTCACCCTGAATCCTGGGTTCACAAACTCCTTGCTTTACATTTTGATTATAGTTCTACTGCATCTATACGTACTCTTTATATAGTTATTTTAAACGTAAAAAAATAGTATCATGCTATATGCATGTAATCTTTTGGGGTTTATATGCTTATTAACATGTTTCCAGCTGTACATACGTAAGAATTGCTCTAGGGAATTACTGCAGCTTGATATATGTGAATATTTAACTCTAAGAGACATTAAACTTTTCTCCCCAATGTGTTTATACCAATACACACTGCCACCAGCAATGTAGAAAAGATGCTGTTGATTCACAGCTATAATTTTTACCAACTTAATGGTATATCACATTATGATTTTCAATATATCTTTATATGTTTACTGAACACATGTCCCCTTTTACTTGATTTTTCTGTGTAGAGTGAAACACAATTTCAAACAGTATCCCTAGAATAACCAGGTTCCCCCCATTCATTGCATCATCTCCTTTCCACATTGAAAAACATTATCTCTGTCACATATCAAAGTAATATGTATGTGTAGGTCTCTTTCTGAGCTCTCTAAAAGTCCATTGATCATGCTGTCTCTTCCTATGCCAACATCACAATATCTTAATTCCTACATATTAATAATCAGACCCCATTCCTGCTTTTCTGATTCAAAAGTGTCTTGGCTATTCATCTTATCAAATTCCATGGAAAACCCTGTTTTGACTGGAATTCCATTAAATCTACAAGTTAATGAGTGAAAAATCAACATCTTCACAATATTGTCTTCCTGTCCATGACATGATATACCTGCTTATTTAGATCCTCTTCATAATTCCTTTGTGTAGAGGTCTTGAATTTTTTTGGTTAATTTATTCCTAGACATAAATGTGACATTCTCTGACTCTACTATAAATGATGTCATAGTTACATTTCTAGACGTTTGCTGATGACATACAGAAATGCAATTGAGTTTTGTGTCTTCATCTTATTTTCAGGTACCTTGGTAAACTCTATTATTTCTAATAAGTTGTAGTTTTGAGGGGTTTCTATGCAAAAACATGATCATATTTGTAAATAAGTTTTATTGCCTCCTTTCCAAACATTTTGCTTGTATAATTTATTTTTGTCATACTGTACTTATGGATCCTTCAAGAAAATATTAAATATAAGTGGTGCTAGTGAGCATCCTTCTCTAGTTTCTTTTTTTTTTTTTAACTAGGCAAAGGCTTTATCTTTGTTTTAAACTATTTTCTGGCTAATTAATTGCCAATAAATAACTGTATATAATCAATAATTAAAAAGCAGTGTCCAAGGGTCTTGGAATTTATAGACTTACATTTTATCATATATAAAACAAAAATTTTAAAAGCAGTTAAAATTCTTGAAATTGTATTATTTTTTAGAAGCTGAATCAATTCAGTTTGCCTCACTGTTGGAAGCTTCATCAAAATTCTGAACAAGATCACCACTTCCCCAATAGTAAGTGGTACTTTTCCATCCAGCTTCTGCCAGTTTCCTTAAGCTTGTTGACACCAAGCTGGTTTAAGACACTGGGTGGCATTTCTGTTAGCTGCTTTGTCTCAGCATGTCTGGTAATGGTCAAAGTGTTCGCTGCTAGAGATGTCTGAACACTGGGATTGTTAATGAAGATCACCATTCCTTGGTTTGCAGACATACCTCTTTAGTATCAGAGATATTGCCTATTTCTACTTTCTTTCAGGAAAACTGAAGATTTTTTTTATCATCTGTTTTAACAGATAATGTTTGCTGTATCATCTGAGGGCAGTTCCTTTTTACCAGTGCACAATTGTGCTTGAAATCTGGCAAGTTTTTCATGGTTTGTGAGGGCTTTTTCATTTTATAATGAAAACGAAAGTGGAATTTCGTGAGTGGAAATTAAACTTCGTGGGGTATTGGGGTTGGCACTAGAGGTCTCAGGCAGACCAGCTGCAAGGCCAGTTTCTGACTTTAAAGGGAAAGCTTCTAACATTAGTTAATTCAGAATAATGTTTGTTCTATTTTTTTTTTTTGTAATAAAATTAAGGCTTTTCCCTTCTGTTCCTAATTTACTAATCATTTTTTAAAAATCATTGAATTTTATCAAATTCTCCATTGAGGTTATTCTCTTTTCATCTGGTAATGTGCTTAGTTACATACATATGGATTTTCTAATATGAAACTCTCCTAGCATACCTGGGATAATAAATCTAACTTGGATATGTTGTATCATCTTTGTTATATACACAATCAAATCTGATTTGCTAATATTTTGTTGAGAATTTTTAATGTATATCCTTGAATGAAACAGTCCTGTAATATATTTTCTTATATTGTTTCTAGTTGTCCAGGTCATGTTGGTTCCAAAGAATAAGAGAGAATTCCTATCAGTTGGCCTTAATAAACAAATGGAATTACGAATAGCCCCCGGAAATCTAAGCTATAAGAAAGTTGAAGAACTTCAGAATTGGCTACTTCTAACTCACTCTGGCCCTCAAAATTTAAAACATAGATACTTATGTCCCATAGCAGATTCTGGACTTTTACCAAGCACCTGAAACGATTCTGATAAAGATCATCTACTGACTATGCTTTTGAAAAACATTACCGTGGTAGGGAAGAGTTCTTGGCTTTCATTTGCTCTTGCAGCAATCCAGAGCTGAGACTAGCTCCACAGCACTACATGGTGGAGATTTTAGTGAAAGAGTTGAAGACGCAAAATGCCCTTGCTTCCCTATAGCATCTCAGTAGGATGCCCATGGTTTGCAGATGCCCTGGTTTATGCCTATTATTCCAGCATATGAGTAATGTTCCCCTTTTCATTTAAAAAAAAAAAAGTCTCAATTTGGATGTTCTTTTGGAAGCCTTCATGTTATAGTTTCTTTACTTCTTTATGGGAGGACACGCCTCAGGCTACCTCGGACTTATAAGACTCCTCCTCTCCTACTTGAATTCATTTCCCCAGCTCTAAATGCTAAGTGAAAAGCAGAGTTTGAGAGGGTATGGAATGTGGAAAACTTATGTTTAAACAAGGCTAAATGTCCTTGCATTTCATGGTATTCAGTTAGTTCACCAGATGCAAAATCTATGTAGGAATTTGGGCCAAAGCCCTAGTTATTAATATTATAAAATTTTATTTTGCCTGTAAAAGTCTCTTATAGCCATGGTGAGCTAGAAGAATTCTGGAGTTTAGACCACAGAAGGAAAATAAGATCTTCCTACTACAACTAACACATAATAATAAATAAAATACGTAAATCCTAGATTTTACTCTTCCAGCGTACGCAGGTCCAAGATAAGGCCTCAGGCTGTCACAAATTGAAAGTTGCCAACTGAGGAATAAAGGTAGCCTGAGAGGTACTAGTGATATGAAATGTCTAAGTACTAATATCATTTATTTTTCACAATTCTTTTCCTTGAGGACCACAAAACTACCTTCATTTCAACCAAAGTTAATTACAAGCCTATCTATTTTCATAAGTTCAATTTACATGCTAATATTAATGACTAAATAATCTATCCTTACCTTTGAAAGAACAGTTTAAAATAGACATTCAATGAAATGTTATTTCAAATAACTGTATGGAAATGTAAGAACTAGACTTTTAAACTCTCATTTTAACAATATGAAATAAGATACACTGGCAGTATCTTATGTAAGAAAACTTATAATTTCATTCATACATCAAACAATAAATTTCTGGAATAAACCTAAGCATTAGAGGCATCTACTTCTACATTACTTAGGCTTGAAAACCCTCTCTTTGGTTCCAACACTCCTATCATAATTTTCAATTCTTCCTCCGCAATTTCTTTTTCTTTCTTTACGGTTCCATTTCACCACTACTGCGTCATCACCACAGCAAGTGCAGCCACTTCTTGAGCACTCATTATGTGCCAGGTGTTGCTGTGAGAGCATTACATGAATTAACTCGTTTAATCCTCATAACAATCTTTTGAGAAAACAAATTTTATCCCTAACTATATAGATGAGAAAAATGAAGCACAGAGAAGGTAAGCTGATAACTGGCAGCACTGGTATTTGAACCTAAGTGGTCATCTTAACCATTCATTAGAGCTGTTGTTCACAAATCACCTCACACCTTCAAAAATCTGCCACCTGGTTACATAATCTCATCTCTCTTCTTTTTGAATTCACTTAACATACCGAGTCTAGACAATCTCTATAACTAAAACATTTTCCCGTTCAATTACCTAGTTTACCTAAAATTAGTTTTAAAATACAGATCAAATGTGTGCAAACCAGGGGTCCAAGATTTTCTTTATACCCATCCTCTTTTCTGGCCTCATCAGTCATTTCACCCATGACACAAACACTAAGCTGGAGGTGATCTGGACTGCATTTTTATCCTCTCCCAGGGCCTAATACAATGCCTGAACATAACAGCTGTCAGAAATGTTTACTAGATTAGTAATTCAAAGACTTTATGGTTCTTCTGATACCTAGCTGTAGGTTACTATTATGCCAGGGTTCCTGGTGTTAATGAAGAAATCTACTATTTCCTTTACAATAGTAAAATAGCATTGTTTAAAAATTCAAAAATTCACCCATGACAAAATAAGCCATTTCAGAACACTCAAATCAATTTTTTCTCTTTTCTTTAGCAAAATAGTAGCAACTGATAGTTATTTCCAACACTGTGATTAAAAACATGAAAGTATTTTTAATACTACCAAAAATTTTATTACTAACCTGTTGAGGAGTAATGGTATCTCTATAACTTGGTAAGATTTTTAGGGTGACACTTCCACTAATATTTTTCAGTAATTCTTGTAATTCCTTTGGATTATTTCCAACCTCATGGCCATTGACTTCTTTAATTATATCTCCCACATGAAGTAGACCTTGTCGATCTATCATTCCCCCATGGAGGATTCGGGCAATTACCAGATCATTATTTTCAACCCTAAATGTCACACCCTATGAAAAATAAGAAACAGATTTCTCATTAATTATTAGGGAGAAATGCTTAAATATTCATGAGCATATGTAAGAAAATAATTCTAAAACTAGGTAAAATGAATCATTCTTACTTTTCCCATGTTCTCTCCTGTCTCAATATTTCACTCCCATTAAACTGTGTACTAGTATAGTTTATTACACTAGTGGATAGGATGTATCTTACAGGCTAAATGGAAACTCGAGAGAGCAGGAAAAGGTATTTGTGCATTCTGATGGACTTATTCCTGGCTTTTCCTTTTTTGCACTCACTGTTCTTATAGTCAGGATCCAGAAGTAATAATTTTACCAAGGAATAGTAAACTTCACTACTTAGAGAGTCCTAGTATGGCTTCAATTTTTAATAACAACTTCTTTTTATATTTTGATACTGTCAGTATTTCTTCAAAGGGTAGTTCATGTCTTCAAAGGGTAGGAAGAAACATAATAGTCATCTTCTGAAATTTTTTGCTACCCCTTGCCATATTTCTACTTCTAGCTCAGTTTAACTTTTCATTTTAGTTAAATTTTGCAGGCTAAACCAAGTTGAGAAAGCATCAGCTGTGTCTTTATACACAGGCCAAACAAGAATACAGTTTTCATAACATTATGAAAAGGAAAAAAAATGAAACAGAGTAGTGACTGAACCACAAATTATGTCATATTTCAGATTTAATAGGGTACTGATTTATCTGTACTCACCAGTGGTTCCCCAGCTCTTTTGTGAATACCAAGAATACGAATGGCATCTACTGGTAATAACTGATTATTGATAGAAGAATTATTCATTTCTGGGCTTGATGGAGGTGAATCATAACACTTTGATGCCACAATATCATGGGCCTCCAACAGTGACTATAAGGAGTCAAAATAGCCTGTGGTTATTTATGATATGTGGATGAAATTTGTTACTAAAAGTACTTTGTTATTTCATTATTCCAATGGAGTACTAAAAATTTCCAAGGCACATGGTATTAAATTCCCAAATATCAGGTTGATCAAATAAATATATAATTTTTAAGAGATATAAAAATATATAGTTTTATTATCATCAAACAATATTATATTCCTTCTTTGAGATATGAAGAGATATTAGTGATGCTTTTTAAAAACTGGCAAGTTCACTGGAAACTGAACCTAGGTTTCCAGTCTGGTGCAATGAAGGTACTGGGTTTTATTGCCACCACTGTCATCATATCATTCAATATTTACCATCAATCCTATTTACTAAAATACCATAAAAATTCAAATTCAAATGACATTTTTACCTAACATTGCTATGTTAGTAATATGATATACTTTTTATATGTAGAAAACGTCTGTTAAAAGATGTCCAACAGAAAATGGATAAATATTAGCATCTTATATCAGTGACAAAAAATTTTATATTACCAATAAAGGTTTTAGTTTATAAAAGGAACATTTTTTGAGCAAAAAAACAAGTCAGTAATAGTCCCGAATATAACGTATTTTTTTTACCTCCTATACTTACTATGTATGTGCTACCAGCATGGGTGGTTTTGATCTAGCTTTCTAGGAATTGCTTTTTTTTTTTCTTTTTTGAGACAGAGTCTCACTCTGTCACCTAGGCTGGAGTGCAGTGGTGTGATCTCGGCTCACTGCAACCCCCACTTCCTGGGTTCAAGTGATTCTCCTGCCTCAGCCTCCCAAGTAGCTGGGACTACAGGCGCATGCCACCATGCCCAGCTAATTTTTTGTATTTTTAGTAGAGACGGGGTTTCACCGTGTTAGCTAGGATGGTCTCGATCTCCTGACCTCATGATCCGCCCACCTCGGCCTCCCAAGGAATTTCTTAATTAATACTAAAATGTTAAATTTTTTTTCATTTCTTATCCTAAAAGAATAATTTTTAGGGCAGGCGCGGTGGCTCATGCCTGTAATACCAGCAGTTTGGGAGGCCGAGGCAGGTGGATCATGTGAGGTCAGGAGTTCAAGACTAGCCTGGCCAACATGGCAACACTCTGTCTCTACTAAAAACACAAAAAATTAGCTGGGCGTGGTGGTGTGTGCCTGTAATCCCAGCTACTCGGGAGGCTGAGGCAGGAGAACTGCTTGAACCCGGGAGGCAGAGGTTGCAGTGAGCCGAGATTGCACCATTGTACTCCAGCCTGGGCAACAAGAGTGAAACTCTGTCTCAAAAAAAAAAAAAAAAAAAAGAATAATTTTTACTGCAACTGTGCATATTCAACATAAAGATAAGTTAACATTCTTGAGGGGCTGGATAGAATTCAAGTTCAAAAACAATAAATCAAAATAGAAAGAAGCAAATATTAACAGGTTCGGGAAAAAAGCAATCAGGATAATTGGTAATTTCTGGTCATTTCATAAAACAATTTGTGAAACACTGGAGAAAAAAATTCAATAAAACAACTCATAAATCCATATGTAAGGATTCTTCCTATAAATGCTGGAAGTTGCTAACCTGCGCTGCTTAGTTTTCCACCCTATATCCTCCTTTGGCAGTTTCATTTACTCCTGTGACTTGAGCCACTACTTATGCATTGACAACTCTTAAATTTCTATCTCTAGTTCAGAAATCTCATGTGCTTCAGATTTTTATAGTAAAAATTTGCCCACAACTCGTCAAAGTCACGGCAATTTGAAAATCAAAAGTAGGGATTGTAAAAGATTAAAACACTGAATAAAAAATCCATAGATCCACAATGCTATTTAAAAAAAGACTGAAAAAACTCATTTGTTACCACTTGAAACTGCAATTTTAAACAGCTCTTCACTTTGAAACTTAGTAAAAGGAAGGATCAAGTACATTCCTGCCTCTTCAGTAGAAATGCACTAAGCAGCCCAGTTGATGAGAAGCTCTACATTATGGAAGAATACTAGCTAATAATGTAGAACAGAAAAACGTCATTTTGCAACCTCTAATGAAAATTCTGATTTACAACCCAAAAGCTAGAATAAGATGAGAAATAACAAAAATTAGAGCTGAGCTGAAGAAAACTGAGACACAAAAAACCTTCCAAAAGATCAATGAGGCTGGGCATGATATGATGGCTCACGCCTGTAATCCCAGCACTTTGGGAGGCCGAGGTGGGCAGATCACCTGAGGTCAGGAGTTCAAGACCAGCCTGGCCAACATAGTGAAACACTGTCTCTACTAAAAATACAAAAATTAGCTGGGTGTCACGGCACGTGACTGCCTAGTCCCAGCTACTTGGGAGGCTGAGGCAGGAGAATTGCTTGAACCTGGGAGGTGGAGGCTGCAGAGAACCGAGATCGTGCCACTGCACTCCAGCCTGGACAACACAGTGACTCCATCTCAAAAAAAAAAAAAAATTAATTAAATTAAATTAAAACAACAACAACAACAACAAAAAATCAGAATCCAGGAGTTGGGTTTTTGAAAAAATTAATAGACAAGCCACTAGCTAGACTAATAAAGAAGAAAAGAGAGGAGAGCCAAATAAACACAATTAGAAATGATGAAGGGAATGTTACTACTGAACCCACAGAAATAAAAACAACCATGAGAAACTACTATGAACACTTCCATGCACACAAACCAGAAAACCTAGAAGAGAGATAAATTCCTAGACATATACAACCTCCGAAGACTGAGCCAGGAATAAATTGATTCCCTGCATAGACCAATAACAACCTCCGAAATTGAATCAGTAATAAATAGTTTATCAACCAAAAAAAGCCTGGGACCTGATGGATTCACAGCTGAATGCTATCAGATGTACAAATAAGAGATGGTACCATTCCTACAGAAAAGCTATTCCAAAAAACTGAGGAGGAACTCCTCCCCAACTAATTCTATGAGGGCAGCCTCATCTTTATATCAAAACCTGGCAGAAACACAACAGAAAAAGAAAACTTTAGGCCAATATCCTTGACAAACATTAATGTCAAAATCCTCAACAAAATACTTGCAAACCAAATCAATCGGCACATCAAAAAGCTAATCCACCATGATCAAGTAGGCTTCATCCCCAGAATGCAAGGTCTGTTCAACATTTGCAAATCAATAAATGTGATTCATCACATAAACAGAACTAAAGACAAAAACTACATAATTACCTCAATAGAGCAGAAAAGGCTTCCAATAAAATTCAACAACCCTTCATGTTAAAAATTATCAATTAACTAGGTATTAAAGGAACATACCTCAAAATAATAAGAGCCATCTATGACAAACCCACAGCCAACATTATACTGAATGGGCAAAAGCTGGAAGCACTCCCCTTGAAAACCAGCACAAGACAAGGATGACTTCTCTCACCACTTCTATTCAACATAGTATTAGAAGTCCCAGCCAGAGCAATCAGGCAAGAGAAACAAATACAGGGCATCCAGATAGGATGAGAGGAAGACAAACTATTTCTGTTTGCAGATGACGTAATTCTATATATAGAAAACCCCATAGTCTCAGCCCAAAAGCTCCTCCAGCTGATAACTTCAGCCAAGGATACAAAGTCCTTTGTATCCTTCCGAATGATACAAATTTTGCAGGATACAAAATCAATGTACAAAAATCACTAGCATTCATATACACCAACAACAGCCAAAGGAAGAGCCAAATCAGAAAGGCAATCCCATTCACAATTGCCACAAAAAGAATAAATTACCTAGGAACATAGCTAACCAGGGAGGTGAAAGATTTCTACAATGAGAATTACAAAACACTGCTCAAAGAAATCAGAGAAGACACAAACAAATGGAGAAACATCCCGTGCTCATGGATAGGAAGAACCAATATTATTAAAATGGCTACACTGCCCAAAGCAATTTACAGAGTCAATGCTATTCCTATCAAACTACCAATGACATTCTTCACAGAACTAGAAAAAAATATTTTAAAATTCATATGGAACCAAAAAAGGGCCCGAATAGCCAAGGCAATCTTAAGCAAAAAGAACAAAGCTGGGGGCATCACATTACCCAACTTCAAACTATACTACAAGGCTACAGTAACCAAAACAGCATGATACTGGTACAAAAACAGGCACATAGACCAGTGGAACAGAAAAGAGAGCTTAGAAATAAGGCTGCACATCTATGACTATCTGATCTTTGACAAAGCTGACAAAAACAAACAACGGGGAAAAGACTCCCTATTCAATAAATGGTGCTGGGATAACCAGCTAGCCATATGCAGAAGATTGAAGCTCAGCCCCTTCTTTATATAGTACACAAAAATCAACTTGAGATGGATTAAAGATTTAAATGTAAAAACCCCAGAAGACAACCTGCGCAATACCATCCTGGCCATAGGAATGGTCAAAGATTTCACAACAAAGACATCAAAAGCAATCACAACAAAAGCCAATATTGACAAATGAGATCTAATTAAACTGAAGAGCTTCTGCACAGCAAAAGAAACTATCAACAGAGTAAAGAGCCTACAGAATGTGAGAAAACATTTGCAAATGATGCATCTGACAAATGTCTAGTATCCAGCATCTATAAGGACCTTAAACAAATACAAGTTCTTTGCCCATTTAAGTGGGCAAAGAACATGAACAGACACTTCTCAAAAGAAGACATACATGTGGCCAACAAGGATATGAAAAAAAGCTCAATATCACTGATCGTTAGAGAAACGCAAATCAAAACCACAATGAGACACCATCTCACACCAGTCAGAATGGCTATTATTAAAAGGTCAAAAAATACCAGATGCTGTTAAGGTTGCAGAGAAAAGGGAACACTCGTACCTTCTTGGTGGGAATGTATATTAGCTCAACCACTGTAGAAAGCAGTATGGAGATTCATCAAAGAGCTAAAAGCAGAACTACCATTTGACCCAGCAATCCCATTACTGGGTATATACCCAGAGGAATATAAATCTTCCTACCATAAAGACATGCATGCAAATGTTCATTGCAGCACTATTCACAACAGCAAAGACACAAATCAACCTAAATGCCTGTCAATGATAGATTGGATAAAGAAAATGTGATATATATATATATACACACACACACACCATGGAATACCAAAAAACCTTTCAAAAGATCAATGAGGTTGGGCAGCCATAAAAATGAGATCATGTCTTTTGTGGCAACATGAATGGAGCTGGAGGCTATTATCCTTAGCAAACTAACGCAGGAACAGAAAACCAAATAATGCATGTTCTCACTTGTAAGTGGGAGCTAAATGGTAAGAACTTATGAACAACAAGAAGGGAAAAACAGAGACTGGGGTCTACCTGAGTGGGGAGGGTGAGAGAAGGGAGAGAAACAGACAAGATAACTATTGGGTACTGGGCTTAATATCCGTGTGGTAAAATAATATGTACAACAAACCCCCATTACATGTGTTTACCTATGTAACAAACCTTTACATGTACCCCTAATCCTAAAACAAAAGTAAAAAAAAAAAAAAAAGAAAAAAGAAAATATTGATTTAGGCAAGGATTATTAACTTGTGTTCATCAGTAGGTACATGGTTGATAGAGAACAGAATTTGTATAATGTTAAGATAAAAACACAATTGATTACTTCCCAGTAATCAAAGAAAGGATTAGGCCATCACCACCTTTAATCAAAGGACCAATCTCAGCCCTGTGGTGGGCCAAAAGGTATTACACATCTTCTAATGCAGTTTAATTCATGTTGCATCGTATCACTTAAGATGTATTCTAGCTCCAAATAATCAACTTGAATCATCAACTTTTTAGATAGAACTTCTGTTTATAGGAAATAGAAGAAATAACATCAACACCACAGGGAAGTAACTAAACAAATCCGGGGGTGGAACATTCTGCAGGACAATAGCCTGGTCTTTTCAATAGGTCAATGTCATAATCAAGGGGAAAAGGTATGGTGCAACCAGCTGCCACACATGGACCTAAACTGGACACTTATATGTACAAACCACCTGTAAATAATATTGTGGTATCAAATGGAGAAGTCTGAATATGGTGTGTGTATTATATGAGATGGAAGTTCACTGAAACAGAAAATTAGAAATCAATAACTTAAAAAAAGAGTAAGTTAAAACAGTTTGTGCAAAATCTCAAATTAGTAAAAAAATTATATATGTACATTTGTGCATAGAAAAATATGGATGAATATGCGCTAAGAGTACAATAGTGATCTGGGTAGAAGAAAAGCAATGTCTTCATTTTTGTATTTTTATTTGCTGGTATTCTAAAATTTTTATATGCTACACTTCATATAATGTATGTGCTTATATATTTATTAAATTACAAATATTTACTAATAATAAGTAGCATTCCTGAAAACCTAGATGCTTCCAATGTATCACAAACCTAAGGTGGCCAGTTTCCTTAACATAAGTATGTCCAAAACATTTTCTTCTAGTGTTCCTTACCTCATTCAACAGCCATCGTTTAAGTCATAAATTGTGTTATCAACTTCCCACATCTCTCTTCTACAACTGTCATATGCAACCAATCACTATATCCTGTTGATTTTATTCATTAAAACTTGAAAGTCTTTAAATTTCTATCTATACGTACTGCCATCATAATTTCTTGCCTTGGAACTTAACCATCTCATTTCACAAACCTGACCTTTCCCTGGTTAATACCCAACCCATCCTCCTTTCCTATTCATCTCCCCCTCCACACCTAAAGTTTCCCATTGTCCTTACGATAAAGTCCAAATAACTCAGTATGCCTTTATAAGGACTCAATCAACTGGGACCTGCACAGGATATGTCTCTGAGATATGTGTCCATATTTCTTTTGTACCTAAGACACTAATTTATGTCGGAACCATCTCACTATAAACCTTCATATTTTGCAGTAACATTGTTGAAGAGTCACATAAAATCTTTGGCTGAGAAAGAGCAAAAGGCTGTTACCATTTGATTTTCAGTGCTAAGATTTGCAGGGGAAAGCAGGTGACATTTACTTTATTCTATCCCAGCACCATTCTTTTTCCACGAAAATGCAGTGTCCCAGTCATAAATCAAGTTACCATATACGGCTGGATGTATTTATCGGGGATTTCCATTCTTTTCAATGAGTTAATTTTTCTAACACCTTCCCCAATACCACACTGTCTTAATTATTATACGTTTACAAGAAATCTTTCCTGTCTTTTCTCTTCTGAAATGCATTCTTCTTTGTAAAACTGATGAACTCTTCATTGGTACAGGCCATTGCTAAAATCATACTTATTTCTGTACCTGTGGAGATTATGTTATACAATAGTTTCTATACTTCACAGCTCTCTATGTTCCATGGTCACTGACTGCACAACAATCTTGAGAAGCAATACTAAAAAGTATTGACTAAGAAACAGAATGGGAATGAGGAAGAAAAAAATCCATTATCATAGTGAGGAAAATGGCTCCAGCATGTGGTCTGACGGTGAATTAAGGTTGTTTTCTTTAATGGCACAAAGAAAAATCCATTGTGATGTATTTCTGTAACAGTGTACATTTATGTAGCATTATTGTTACATATGTCTCTTTATATATCCTCAGCATATGAGGACATTAAAATACCAAGGTTGGAATTTACATACTTACCTATTATAGCCCTAAATAATCTTTGAAGAAAACATCACCTTAAACTGGAAAGTAAAGGAGAATACTTTGGGAATACAGGGAACTTGAGAGTTGAGTGATAGGGAAAGTTACCTGGAAGTGAGGTTCTTTGAGTATACCAACCAATTCTGCCACATTTTCATCCACATTTATTAGAGGAGTGATGTCTTCAAGAATTTCATTGACTAATTCCAAGTTATTGTCACTGACAGCTTCTAGTTTGGAATCTTCTAGCCTCTCATGAGCCTGAAAAAATAAGAGTATATTAAAGTAGTAATACTTATTTGTTATTTGCACCAGACCATGGTTTATTTCTTTTTCGTAAAGTTTTAAAATATATTACTTGGAGATTTAATTCATGTAAACCAAATTTAATACTTCAACCAGAGGCAATATATAGATTTTACAGTAAGTATATCATGCAATATAATAAATCTTGGCCTCTAGTTCTATCCTGAAAGTCATGAAAAACTCATTTTTATAACTAAACCATGAAAAAACTGGACAAGTCAGCTAATTATTTACAAAACCTATTACAGTCCCTTACCACCAAGAGAATTTCCTAACGACCTCCTAGGGTCAAGGCTCAAACTCTAGATGTTATTGTTACATTTTATTAAAATAAATGATTAAGCATAATAAAAACAAGGAATAGGAATGTAATAATTATATGTTAATATTTTTTAAAATGATAAAAATAATTTTGGAAACCCCAGAATCTGGAAGCTCCTATCTTCCAATGTTGAAAATCAGTGGAAAAAAAAGTCAATTTAGAGCAAGTGGCCCTTAAACTGGATTTTAAAAGACTATATAATTTAATCAGGGAAATGATCATCTGTCTTTATAAGTAAAGTTGTTTTTTTCTTAATCTCACAATCTTTTCCACAGAAAATAGACCGTCAACCACACTGTCACAGAAAGTAAGTAATTCTTTTTTTTTTTTTTTTTTTTTTTGAGATGGAGTCTCGCACTGTTGCCCAGGCTGGAGTGCAGTGGCGCGACCTCAGCTCACTGCAAGCTCCGCCTCCCGGGTTCACGCCATTCTCCTGCCTCAGCCTCCCAAGTAGCTGGGACTACAGGTACCCGCCACCAAGCCTGGCTAATTTTTTGTATTTTTAGTAGAGACAGGGTTTCACCATGTTAGCCAGGATGGTCTTGATCTCCTGACCTCGTGATCCACCCGCCTCGGCCTCCCAAAGTGCTGGGATTACAGGCATGAGCCACCGCCCTCGGCCGAAAGTAATTCTAATCATCCTTTCATAGTAGGAGTAAAGCCGAGTGTTAAGTTCAAATTGAGAATGAACACTAAGCGGCTCCAACTTTTAAGCATTCCTTGCTTTTCTGATAAATGGTTGCTATACAATTCTGAAGACAGGAAAAGCGTAATTATCAAAATTTAATTCATAAACAAAACCATGTAAGATAGCAAATCTTATATTTTAAGATCCATTTCAAGGATTGCTAAAGAAAAATCCACATTTCAAGTGGTAACAGTATCAACTAAACTTTTTCAGATACCTAAACTATCATACTTTAGATGTTATTTTTACCATAGAGTGGATCCTTCAGAGTCCAAATAAAACATTCTAATTTTTAAAAGACAATTTTTCTTGCTTAAATCTATTTTTTCTAGGTAATTCACAGGAGTAAAATAAGTTCTTAAGTGGAAAAGAAAGCTATATATTAAGCAAGATTTTAAAGAAAGACCTTAAAAGAAGAAATTCTAAAAGTCATATGAAATACCGAGAAAGAAGAAAAAACTCTTACTAAACAAAAAGAAAAATATCAAAAGACCAAAAGTAATTGAAATAGAGGAAGAAGTTTTATGAGATTTAGATTAAAAAAATTAAACTACAGTGGCTCATGTCTGTAATCCCAGCACTTTGGGAGGCCAAGATGGGCAGATCACTTGAGCTCAGGAGTTCGAGACCAGCCTGCCCAACATGGTGAAACCCCATCTCTACTAAGAATACAAAAATTAGGCAGGCATGGTGGTGGACGCCTGTAATCCCAGTTACCCAGAAGGCTGAGGCAGGAGAATTGCTTGAACCCAGGAGGCGGAGGCTGCAGTGAGCCAAGATCATGCCACTGCACTCCAGCGTGGGTGACAGAGACTCCGTCTCAAAAAAAAAAAAAAAAAAAAAAAATTAGACTAGAAAATGCCACAAAAAATGAAAACGGGTAAATTTGTAATTTTCTGAACATATAATACAAGCCAGATAAGGATGAGAAGATGAGGACACTCAATATTTATCATAAAAGACTATCACCATTGGAAAAAAAAAAAAGAAAATAATCTACAGAATTAGTTAACTCTTATGAAATAAGCTAGAATTGCCAATTGTTTAGATAGAAATATTTGCTGGAATAAAAAGCCACTACCTGATTTAGCATCTTTAACCTTGTAATACTCCAATTCTTTTAACATAGTATAAAAAGAAAGCTTCAAAGGAAAAAAAAAGGAAGGAAAGAACCTTAACATCTATTGAAGGGCTTTTTTTTCTGCGTTGGATACTATATTCTAAGTAGTGTGTGTGTGTGTGTGTGTGTGTGTGTATTCAGCAAAGGTAGGTATATTATACTCACACTATGGACGAAGAAACTGATGCAAAAAAAGGTGAAGTGATTTGCGTGAGTTCACATTACTGGTGAATGGCAGAGTCAAGTAGTCTAACACCAAGACTTGAACTCTCATCTATTAAAGCTTACTTTACTTCATCTTTATATAGAGAGCCACTCTAACATTAAATTGCAGTTAATTATTCAATCCAATAAATGATGCATTATTCTCATTCACTTAAATGTATGACATACATCTCAGTCAGTCTAATTTAGTTGTTGCTGATTAGCATGGCTCTTCCAGTCTAGATGTGTTAATTCCATTACACCGTATCTATCCTCACAGTTATTTTATACTTCTATGGTTCAGAATACCACTCGTCCCTTTGACTTTCACTCCTTTGCTCTAAGTAAGAGCTATGAAGACCATTTATTTCTTCAGGAAAATGTTATATGATCAGCAACAGTACTTTAGACAACAGTAGTCCTTGGTTTAATTCAGGACTTTAGGAGAAGTAAAGGAACAGAAATGATCAATGACTTGAAAACTCCATTCCTTAGTATGTGTATTAACCTAATGCTTCCAAATTGGGTGAGGAGAAGTAGGAATGTGGAAAGACTAATGGCAAGGGGTTGGGGGTCAGGGGAGAGTCATGTGAGAAGGCAGAATCATGTTAGAAAAAGAACCCAAGCACATCTGAAGATTTTTTCATATCAGCCTCACAGTTTGGTTCTATGGAAGAAGAGAATCTCACTAGAAAATACAGAAATTGGCCGGGCGCGGTGGCTCACGCCTGTAATCCCAGCACTTTGGGAGGCCGAGGCGGGCGGATCACGAGGTCAGGAGATCGAGACCATCCCGGCTAAAACGGTGAAACCCCGTCTCTACTAAAAAATACAAAAAATTAGCCGGGCGTAGTGGCGGGCGCCTGTGGTCCCAGCTACTTGGGAGGCTGAGGCAGGAGAATGGCGTGAACCCGGGAGGCGGAGCTTGCAGTGAGCCGAGATCCCGCCACTGCACTCCAGCCTGGGCGACAGAGCGAGACTCCGTCTCAAAAAAAAAAAAAAAAAAAAAAAAAAGAAAATACAGAAATTGAAGGGAGAAAAAAAGGTTTTTTTAGAAACTGTAGCTATAAATATATTAACATGGAAAACCAACATACTTGGATTCAACTGGGATCAATTTTACTTTTTCTAAGAAAGCAAATGCAGGTCCACATTTATTAACATATAGCTTTTTAAGCTCTGAGATGTTGTCAAAAACTTGGAACCTCTAATTCACTTTAAGGTCAGATTTTTTTTATTAGCTTTCAAGAGGCAAGTACCAACTTAAATTTAACTAATCAAACTAAAAAAGACAAAGGAAACACACACAAAAAATAACCAGAGGAGCAAGTGAGCCACATACTATTTAAATAAATAAATCTTGTTTTCTTTTTTTAAATTAAAGAGCACTATTGCAACACTAGCATAACTCAATAAAAATATATTTCACTTGCCACAAGTGGTTGGAAGAACATTCTATGACTGGCATTGAGTATTTGCAGCTGATACAAATATGGCCTAGCCTTCTTAAATATCCAGTTCTGAGAATTTTATTCACCACTGCACCTTTGAGAAATGAACTTCAGAGAAGAAAATGTTCTTTCAGAACTTCTGGGTATTTCACTCAAGGACACTCCAACCATGCTTGCAAACAAAAGTTGTGGGCTATATCTAAAGTGACAAATATTATTTTCTAATAACAATCATATTATTGTTATGTGTAGAAACCTGGTCTTTCTAAAACACAAGGACCATATCATAAATTTTGTTTCTATCTTTTGAGAAAAGAGCTATGTATGTAGTAGTTACTTATTATTTCTTGAAAAAGCTAAGTAAATGGGAAATAAGTTTGGCTGTGATCAAGCACCACCCTCTTCTTTTATTCTAGAGACCTAAAACTCAAGATCAACACAGGCTCACTAATACTCAAAAATAAAAAAGAATTTTTGAGCAGAAAGTAGAAATGAGACAGAGAGAATGGAGAACTCAATTTCTATTTTGTTTCTGCATACATTATATCAAAAAGGATGAGCTTTGCTCTGAAAAAAAAAAAAAAAAAAAGATGAGTAAGTGTAAGTAAATCAGAATGGAATTCTCTAGTGAGTAAAGAACATATCAGAAATTGCCTAGTTAACCAAAATACAAATTCCGAGATTAGATAAGTTACATATCAAGGTACTCAGGAAACTTCTAAATAGCACTGCTGAGCTTCTCTTAGATATATCTGTAGAATCAGGAGAACCACACAGATGTCAAAAAACCAGAAAAGGGAATCTGTTAAATTTTTAAAAGAAAAAACAACATTTTAAAAGCTTGGCTTTAATAGTATTCAGAGGAAATACACAATAACCTTTTTATAACCTTTGAGTGGGAAGGATCTTTCTAACTATAACACAAAATCTGAAAGATACATACATTATTTCAAAAAAGGCCCAATAAAATTAACTTAATGAACGTTTTAAATTTCTCATCAAAAATCGACAAAGTCAAAATACAAATGACAAACTAGGGTCAAAACACAAATCATATTCAAGACAGAAAGCTAATTTCCCTACTTACGAAGGACTTCTACAAATCAATAAGAAAAAGATCAACAACTCATTAAGAGAACTGGGTGAAGAGTTTCAGCAAAGAAATTCACAGAAAGAAAAATTTAGGAACCTATCTTTAAAAATTTAATTTTATATTTCTAATTGATACATATTGTACATATTTATGGTGTACAATGTGACGTTTCAATGCATGTATATACATAGTATAATGATCAAATGGGGTAATTACCATATCCATTATTTTAAATATTTATTTCGTTGGGATGCCAACATTCACAATCTTCTCTTCTAGCTATCTTGAAATATGTATTACATAGTTATTTGCAATAGTCACCTACTGTGTATCAAATATCTCTTAAACATATGAAAAGACACACAACTTCACTCAGAAGTACAAACTAAAACTATAATGAAATCCCTTTTCTCTTTATCAGATTGGCAGAGATAAAAATTCTGATAACACATCATGCTAATGAGAATATGGGAGAAGACAGGCACTTTGACATATTTTTTCTAGTGGGAACATACACTGGTAAGCAAATTCACCATATCCACCTAAATTACAGTGATACTTTTTTTTTTTTTTTTTTTTTGAGATAGAGTTTTGCTCTTGTTGCCCAGGCTGGAGTGCAATGATGTGATCTCGGCTCACTGCAACCTCCACCTCCCGGGTTCAAGCGATTCTCCTGCCTCAGCCTCCTGAGTAGCTGGAATTACAGGCATGCGCCACCATGCCTGGCTAATTTTTGTATTTTTAGTAGAGACAGGGTTTCTCCATGTTGGTCAGGCTGGACTCGAACTCTTGACCTCAGGTGATCCGCCCGCCTCAGCCTCCCAAAGTGCTAGGATTATAGGCATGAGCCACCGCGCCTGGCCTTACAGTGATTCTTTTCAGATCTATCCTAAAAAGGTGTGTGTGTGTATGTACAAAATAACATGTAGCAAGATTACACATTACAGCATAACTTGTAAGAAAAAGGCCATCTAAATATCAGCAGGCTGACTCAAAAAACCTGACATATCCATAAAATAAAATATTATGTCACATTTACAAAGAATAAAGTTGTGACACAGGTACTGATATAAAATCTTATGCAAAAAATCAAGGTATAGGATAGCAGTATAAACCCACAACTTCCATTATATTTACTAGTGAAAGATTAGATACTTCCCCTTAAGAGCAGAAACAAGACAAAGATGTCCACTCTCATCACTTCTATTTAACATTTGTACTGGAGGTTATAGCCAGGACAATTAGGCAAGAAAAATAAAAAAGCCATTCAGGTTAAAAAGAAATAAAACTGTCTATATTCAGATGACATGACCTTGTATTTAGAAAATCCTAAGGAGTTCACTAAAAGACTATTTGAATAAAAAAATAAGTTCAGCAAGGATGCAAGATATATAAGATCAATATACAAAAATCAATTATATTTCTATACACTAGCAATGAAAAATCTGAAAATGAAATTTAAAAAACAAATCCATTCATAACAGCAGCAAAAAGAACAAAATACCTAGGAGTATAACTAACAAAACAAGTGCAAAATTTATACTCTGAAAATTATAAAACATTGTTGAAAGAAATTAAAGATTTAAATAAATGTTTATGGATTAGAAGACATCACTGTTAAGATGGCAATACTCCCCAGAACGAACTACGGATTCAATGCAATGCCTACTGGAATCCTAAGTGACATGTTTATAGAAATTGACAAACTGATTCTAAAATTCTTATAGAGTTGCAAAGGGATCCAGAACAGTGAAAACTATCCTGAAAAAGAACAAAATGGGAGTACTTACATTTCCTCATTTCAAAAAGTACTACACAAGAGTTATCAAAACATGATGCTGCCACAAGGAAAGATCTATAGATCAATGGAATAGAATTGAAAGTAAAAAAATAAAACCACATGTCAGTGGCCAACTGTTGCATGTTAAGACAAAGGTGCCCAAAACCACTCAATGGGGAAAAAATATTCCTTTCAACAAATGGTGCTGAAACACCATTTGAAAGTCCAACAAATGGACTAGAGAAGCACATGTAAAAGACAGAAGTTGGTGCCTAACGTAATATCGTATACAAAAAACTAACTTAAAATGGATCCAACACCTAAATGTAAGAGCTAAAACTATAAAGCTCTTCGGAAACACAGGGGTAAATCTTCATGACCATGGATTTAGCAAAAGATTCTTACATATAAGACCAAAATCACAAGGCAACAAAAGACAAAAAGACAACTTGGACTTCATCAAATTAAAAGCTTCTGTGCTTCAGCCGGGCGTGGTGGCTCACGACTGTAATCCCAGCACTTTAGGAGGCCGAGGCGGATGGATCACGAGGTCAGGAGATCGAGACCATACTGGCTAACACGGTGAAACCCCGTTTCTACTAAAAATACAAAAAATTAGCCGGGTGTGATGGCGGGCGCCTGTAGTCCCAGCTACTCAGGAGGCTGAAGCAGGAGAATGGCATGAACCCAGAAGGCAGAGCTTGCAGTGGGCCGAGATCGTGCCACTGCACTCCAGCCTGGGCGGCAGAGCAAGACTCCATCTCAAAAAAATAAAAATAAAAAACAAAAAACAAAAACTTCTGTGCTTCAAAAGGCACTAAGAAGAAAGTAAAAAGATAATCTATATAATGGGAGAAATATTTGCAAATGATATATCTCATAAAAGACTTGTACCCAGAATACATGAAAGACTCTCACAACTTCATAATAAAAATAAATATGACTCAATTTAAACATGGGCAAAGAATCTAAACAGATATTTCTCCAAAAAATATGTACAAATGGTCAATAAGCACATGAAAAGATGCTCAATATCATTAGTCTCCAGGGAAACACAAATCAAAACCACAATAAAATACCACTTCACACCCACTAGGACAGTTAAGAACCAAAAAATCAAATAATAACAAGTGTTGAAGATGATACAGAGATATTAGAACTCTTGTACACTACTGGTGGGAATAAAAAATGGTACAGCTACTATGGATAACAGTCCGGCAGTTCCTCAATGAAACACAGTTACCTACTTATATACACAGGAGAAATAAAAAACTACGTCTACATAAAAGTGTGTCCAAGAATGTTTATGGCAGCAATATTCATAATATAGGTTGAGTATCCCCAATCCAAAAATCTAAAATCCAAAATGCTACAAAATCTGAAACTGAGAATTTTCCTAAATTAATGATGGACACCAAACCACAGATCCACGAGACTCATAGAACACTGTGCAGGATTAAAAACCCCGAATTCTAAGTCTAGGTATATTATATTCAAACTGCAGAAAATAAAAAACAAAATACTGAAACATCGGGGTGGGGGGGGGGCAACCTTACCTGCAGAGGAGCAAGCATAAGAATTATACTGAACTCTTCAGGAAACATGCAAGCAGAGAATAGAGTGAAATCTTTAAATGTTGAAAGAAAAAAAAAAAAAAAAAAACTCCACCAACCTGGAATTACCTATCCAGTAAAGTTATCATAAAAAAGTTAAAAAAAAAAAGGACTTTTTCAACAAAAATTGAGAATATTTGTTACTACTACACCTGTCTTGCAAGAAATGTTAAAAGACATTCATCAGAAAGAAGGAAAATGGTGTAAGTGCAAAACTTGGGTTGATATAAAGACGAGTGCTAGAGAAAAAAAAGGTAAAATAAAATCTTTTATTTTTCTTATTCCTAATTGATTTAATAGATAATAGTTTTATTCACAACAATGTATTTGATTATTATAGCTTATGAATAAATGAATGGCAGCAATATTATATGGGACAGGAAACAGTGTTATTTTATAAGGTAGTTGCACTGTAAGTGGTATGATGTTATTCGAAAGTGTATTAGATTGCAAACGTATACTGCAAAATCAAGGAGAACTGCTAAAAAGTTTTTTTTTTAAAGTCTAACATGCTAAGAGAGAGAAAATTGAAATCACATACAATGTTTAGTTAAAGCAGAGAAAACAAAATGAGTGAGAGACACAAGGAAAAAAGGAAGGCAGGCAGGCAAGCAGGCAACAAATACAAAACAGTAACAGTATGAAAGACGTTAATCGAATTATATCAATAAACATGAAACATCAGTGATCTAAAGCACTTAAAAGAGACTGTTGGCTGGATGCGGTGGCTCACACCTGTAATCCTAGCATTTTGGGAGGCCGACGTGGGCAGATCACAAGGTCAGGAGATTGAGACCACCCTGGCCAACGTGGTGAAACCAGTCACTACTGAAAATACAAAAATAAGCTGGGCGTGCCTGTAATCCCAGCTACTTGAGAGGCTGAGGCAGGAGAATTGCTTGAACCAGGGAATCGGAGGTTGCAGTGAGCCAAGATGGCACCACTGCACTCCAGCCTGGCAACAGAGCAAGACTCCGTCTAAAAATAAAAAAACAAAGAGACTGTCAGAGTGAATTAAAAAAGATCGAATTACATGTTGTCTACCAGAAACTTACTTTAAATACAAAGATATAGAGAGATTAAAACTAAAGGTATGGAGAAAGGTGTATCATGCTAACATTAACTAAAGAAAACTGGAGTAGCTATATTAATTTCAGACAGGGCAGACTTCAGATCAAGAAAAATTATTGGGAACAAAGAGAGGCATTACATAACGATAAGAGTTGATTCTCTGAGATGATATAACAATCTTAGTGAATGTGTGTTTAACAAAAGAGCATTAAAATATGGGAGGTAAAATCTGACAGAACTGCAAAAAGAGATAGGTTAATCTACTATTATAGTTGAAGGTTTCAACATTCTACTAGCTGTACAGGCATAGCTCAGAGATACTGCAGGTTCTGCTCAAGATAACCACAATAAAGCAAATACTGCAACAAAGTAAGTCACACAAATTTTTTTGTTTCCCTGTGTATATAAAAGTTATGTTTACATGACAAGGTGATCTATTAAGTGTGCAACTGCAATATGTCTAAAAGACAATATACATACCTTAATTTAAAAATACTTTAAAGGTTAAAATGCTAAGGATCAGAGCCTTCACAGAGTCAAAATCTTTTTGCCTGTGTAAGGTCTTGTCTTGATGCTGATGGCTGCTGACTGATCAAGGCGGTGGTTGCTGAAGGCTTGGGTGGCTGTGGCAATTTCTTAAAATAAGACAATAATAAGGTTTGCCACATTGATGGACTCTCCTTTCATGAAAGATTTCTCCATAGCATGCAATGTTGTTTGAGAGCATTTTATCCAAGCAAAACTTTCAAAATTGGAGTCAATTCTTTCAAACTGCTCCTGCTTTATCACCTAAACTTTATGTAATATTTGTAATCCTTTGTTATCATTTCAACAATTTTCACAGCATCTTCACCAGGAATAGATTCAATCTGAAGAGACCACTTTCTTTGCTCCTCCACAAGAAGCAACTCCTTATCTGTTCAAGTTTTATCATGACATTGCAGCAATGTAGTCACATCTTCAGGTTCCACTTCTAATTCTTGTTTTCTTGTCTTCTAAAGTCAAGAAAGTGTCATCTTTCATCTAAGTGAAAGTCACTTGTCATCTAAAGTGACTTCCTCCACTGAAGTCTTGAATCCCTCAAAGTCATCCATGAGAGCTGGACTCAACTTCTCCCCAACTCATGTGAATGTTGATATTCTGACCTTCTCCCATGCATCACAAATGTTCTTAATGGCATCTAGAATAGTAAACCCTTTCTGGAAGGCTTGCAATTTACTTTATCCAGATCCATTAGAGGAATCGAAATCTATGGCAGCTGTAGTCCTATGAAATGTATTTAACTAAGACTTGAAAGTCAAAATTACCCCTTAATCCATGAGTAGAAGAGATGTTGTGTCTGCAGGAATGAAAACAACATTCCTCTCTTTGTACATTTCTGTCCGAGCTCTTGGGTGACCAAGTGTGTTGTCAATAACCAGTAGTATTTTGAAAGAAATCTTTTTTTCTGAGCAGTAAATCCCAACAGTGGGATTAAAATATGTAGCACACCATGCTGTAAACAGATGTGCTGTCAGCTAGGTTTTGTTGTTCCAGTTAGAGGGCACAGGCAGAGTAGAATTCGCATAATTCTTAAGGGCTCTAGGATCTTCAGAGTGGTAAATGAGCATTGGCTTCCACTTAAAGTCATCAGCTGCATAAGCTCCTAACCAAAGAGTCAGCCTGTCCTTTGAAGGCAGGTATTGACTTCTCTCTAGCTGTGAAAGCTCTAGATGTTCTTCCAAAACAAAGCTGCTGTGTCTGCATCGAAAATCTGTTGTTAAGTGTAGCCACTGGAATCAATGATCTCAGCTAGATCTTCTGGGTAACTTGTTGCAGCTTCTTCTTCTTTTTTTTAAAAATTATTATTATACTTTAAGTTCTGGGATAATGTACAGAACGTGCATGTTTGTTACATAAGTACAAATGTGCCATGGTGGTTTGCTGCACCCATCAACCCATCATCTACATTAGGTATTTCTCCTAATGCTATCCCCCCTCCCCTTGCCTCCCAAACCCCCGACAGGGATCGGTGTGTGATGTTCCCCTCCCTGTGTCCATATGTTCTTCATTGTTCAACTTACACCCACTTAAAAGAAAACATGCGGTGTTTGGTTTTCTGCTCCTGTGTTATTTTGCTGAAAATGATGGTTTACAGCTCTATCAATGTCCCTGCAAAGGACGTGAACTCATCATTTTTTATGGCCGCATACTATTCCATGGTGTATATGTGCCACATTTTCTTTATCCAGTCTATCATTGATGGGCATTTGGGTTGGTTCCAAGTCTTTGCTATTGTGAATAGTGCTGCAATAAACATACATGTGCATGTGTCTTTATAGTAGAATGATTTATACTCCTTTGGGTATATACCCAATAATGGATTGCTGGGTCAAATGGTATTTCTAGTTCTAGATCCTTGAGGAATTGCCACACTGTCTTCCACAATGCTTGAATTAATTTACACTCCCAGCAACAGTGTAAAAGTATTTCTATTTCTCCACATCCTCTTCAGTATCTGTTGTTTCCAGACTTTTTAATGATCACCATTCTAACTGGTGTGAGAAGGTATCTCATTGCAGTTTTGATTTGCATTTCTCTAATGACCAGTGATGATGAGCATTTTTTCATGTGTCTGCTGGCTGCATAAATGTCTTCTTTTGAGAAATGTCTGTTCATATCCTTTGCCCACTTTTTGATGGGGTTGTTTTTTTCTTGTAAATTTTTAAGTTCCTTGTAGAGTCTGGATATTAGCCCTTTGTCAGACGGATAGCTTGCAAAATTTTTCTCCCATTCTGTAGGCTGCCTGTTCACTCCGATGATAGTTTCTTTTGTTGTGCAGAAGCTCTTTAGTTAGATCCCATTTGTCAATTTTGGCTTTTGTTGCAATTGCATTTGGTGTTTTAATCATGAAGTCTGTGCTCATGCCTATGCCCTGAATGGTACTGCCTAGGTTTTCTTCTAGGGTTTTTATGGTCTTAGGTCTTACGTTTAAGTCTTTAATCTATCTTGACTTAATTTTTGTAATAAGGTGTAAGGAAGGGGTACAGTTTCAGTTTTCTGCATATGGCTAGTTTTCCCAACATCATTTATTAAATAGCGAATCCTTTCCCCATTGCTTGTTTTTGTCTGGTTTGTCAAAGACCAGATGGTTGTAGATGTGTCATGTCATTTCTGAGGCCTCTGTCCTGTTCCATTGGTCTATATATTTGTTTTTGTACCAGTACCATGGTGTTTTAGTTACTGTAGCCTTGTAGTATAGTTTGAAGTCAGGTAGCGTGATGCCTCCAGCTTTGTTCTTTTTGCTTAGGATTGTCTAGGCTATACCGGCTCTTTTTTGGTTCCATATGAAATTTAAAGTAGTTTTTTCTAACTCTGTGAAGAAAGTCAATGGTAGCTTGATGGGAATAGCATTGAGATTATATATTACTTTGGGCAGTATCACCATTTTCATGATATTGATTCTTCCTATCCATGAGCATGGAATGTTTTTCCATTTGTTTGTGTCCTTATTTCCTTGAGCAGTGGTTTGTAGTTTTCCTTGAAGAGGTCCTTCACATCCCTTGTAAGTTGTATTCCTAGGTGTTTTATTCTCTTTGTAGCAATTGTGAATGGAAGTTTACTCATGATTTGGCTCTCTTTTTGTCTATTATTGCTGTATAGGAATGCTTGGGATTTTTGCGCGCTGATTTTGTATCCTGAGACTTTGCTGAAGTTGCTTATCAGCTTAAGGAGCTTTTGGGCTGAGACAATGGGGTTTTCTAAATATGTCATCTGCAAAAAGAGATAATTTGACTTCCTCTCTTCCTATTTGAATACGCTTTATTTCCTTCTCTTGGGCCAGAACTTCCAATACTACGTTGAATAAGAGTGGTGAGAGAGTGCATCCTTGTCTTGTGCCAGTTTTCAAAGGGAATACTTCTAGCTTTTGCCCATTCAGTATGATATTGGCTGTTGGTTTGTCATAAATAGCTCTTATTTTGAGATATGTTCCATCAATACCTAGTTTATTGAGTGTTTTTAGCATGAAGAGGGGCTGAATTTTGTCAAAGGCCTTTTCTGCATCTATTAAGATAATCATGTGATTTTCATCATTGGTTCTGCTTATGTGATGGATTATATTATGCATTTGTGCATGTTGAACCTGCCTTGCATCCCAGGGATGAAGCCAACTTGATCGTGGTGGATAAGCCTTTTAATGTGCTGCTGGATTCGGTTTGCCAGTATTTTATTGAGGATTTTCACATCGATGTTCATCAGGGATATTGGCCTGAAATTTTCTTTTTTGTTGTGTCTCTGCCAGGTTTTGTTATCAGGATGATGCTGGCCTCATAAAATGAGTTAGGGAGGAGTCTCTCTTTTTCTGTTGTTTGGAATAGTTTCAGAAGGAATGGTACCAGCTCCTGTTTGTATCTCTGGTAGAATCTGGCTGTGAATCTGTCTGGTCCTGGGCTTTTTTTGGTTGGTAGGCTATTATTACTGTCTATTTCAGAACTTGTTAGTGGTCTATTCAGGGATTTGACTTCTTCCTGGTTTAGTCTTGGGAGGGTGTTATGTGTCCACGAATTACTTATCCATTTCTTTTAGATTTTCTAGTTTATTGGCAGAGAGGTGTTTATAGTATTTTCTGATGGTAGTTTATATTTCTGCGGGATCAGTGATGGTATCCCCTTTACCATTTTTTATTGTATCTATTTGATTCTTCCCTCTTTTCTTCTTTACTAGTCTGGCTAGCGGTCTATCTATTTTGCTAATCTTTTCAAAAAACCAGCTCCTGGATTCAATGATTGTTTTTTTGAAGGGTTTTTCATGTCTCTATCTCCTTCAGTTCTGCTCTGATCTTAGTTATTTCTTGTCTTCTGCTAGCTTTTGAATTTAATTGCTCTTGCTTCTCTAGTTCTTTTAATTGTGATGTTAGGGTGTTGATTTTAGATCTTTCCTGCTTTCTCCTGTGGGCATTTACTGCTATAAATTTCCCTCTAAACACTGCTTTAGCTGTGTCCCAGAGATTCTGGTACATTGTGTCTTTGATCTCATTGGTTTCAAAGTACTTATTTATTTCTGCCTTAATTTCATTATTTACCCAGTAGTCATTTAAGAGTAGGTTGTTCAGTTTCCATGTAGTTGTATGGTTTTGAGTTTCTTAACCCTGAGTTCTAATTTGATTGCACTGTGGTCTGAGAGATTCTTTGTTATGATTTCCGTTCTTTTGCATTTGCTGAGGACTGACTTCCAATTATGTGGTCCATTTTAGAATAAGTGCTATGTGGCGCTGAGAGGAATGTATATTCTGTTGATTTGGGGTGGAGAGTTCTGTAGATGTCTATTAGGTCCACTTGGTCCAAAGCTAAGTTCAAATTCTGAATATCCTTGTTAATTTTCTGTCTTGTTGAGCTGTCTAATATTGACGGTGGGGTGTTAAAATCTCCGACTATTATGGTGTGGGAGTCTAAGTCTCTGTAGGTCTCTAAGAACTTGCTTTATGAATCTGGGAGCTCCTATATTGGGTACATATATACTTAGGATAGTTAGCTCTTCTTGTTGCATTGATCCCTTTACCATTATGTAATGCCCTTGTCTTTTTTGATCTTTGTTGGTTTAACGTCTGTTTTATCAGAGATTAGGATCGCAATCCCTTTTTTTTTGCTTTACATTTGTATGGTAAATCTGCCTCCATCCATTTATTTTGAGCCTATGTGTGTCACTGCACATGAGATGTGTCTCCTGAATACAGCAGACTGGTGGGTCTTGATTCTTTATCCAATTTGCTGGTCTATGTCTTTTAATTGGGGCATTTAGCCATTTACATCTAAGGTTAATATTATGTGTGAATCTGATCCCGTCATTATAATGCTAGCTGGTTATTTTGCCCATTTTGATTATTAAAAAGGCAGTAACTGCAAAGGGGAATAAAGTGAAATGCAAAAGTATAGGGTTTACCTATATTTCTTCTTCCCTCTCTCCTTTCTTTCTGGAATACAAACTACATATATTAGATATTTTGAGTATGTTTCACATATTGTTATCTTTTTTTCATTCTTTCTTCTCTATTAGTTTTTGCTTGAGTATTTTCTAATAACCTATCTTTAAATTCACTTATTCCCTCTTCTGTTGTGTCTAGTCTTCTATCAGTGAACTAATTTCAGATACTGTATTTTTGATCCTAAAATGTTCATTTGATTATTTTTTATTCTGATTTTCTAAAAATATTTTACATGTTTTTTTCCCTTTTCTTCTACTAAAAGTACATTAATAAGTTATTTTCAAATCCTTGTGTATAAATGCTAATAAAAGAACCATTTATGGGACTGCCTCTGTTGTTTTTCTCATGATTAGTGGCCAGATATTTCTGCCTCTCTGCATATCTAGCAATGTGTGCCTCTTTTTTCCTTCTATTTGTTATACTGAGAGTGCTAGGCTGCTGTGACTTACTATTTCTTTCTTGGAAGCGGAATTCCTCCCCTATTCCTGGGATTTTTTTTAACCTATATTATAGGAATACTGAACTACCATTGTTTTTCCTTATTAAGAATCTGCCTGAATGTTGCATATTATTGGATAACTCTTTGCTTTATTTCATTTTTATCATCAAAAGAGTACAGTAGCACCTTACCTGCTCAAAAGTCATCCAACCATTGCAACTGTTAAGAATAATGAACAAGATAATCCTCTGAAAGACCAACATCAATGGCATAAAATCAGTAAATTTTTACTCCCACCAGTTTTTAAGAATAAGCATACACAAACATACACATACCCCATCACCCGGTGTTGGAGTAGGTAGAACACAGAATTTGATGATAGAACACATGGCCTAAACCTCATCTGTCTTTTGCTAGCAGAGAGACCTTAGACACAACACTTATTGACTGAGTCTTACTTTTCAATTCAAAAGTTGTTGAAAGATAAAACAGTATATTTTAAATTCATAAAGTTGTTGTGAAGACAAAACAGTGTATTTTAAAGACCTTTGCAAACTATAAACATTTGTTAGTGCATTATATAGTTTTAAAATCTATAGATCAAAAGCTATAAATTAAATAAACATGGAGATAACAGTGTAACAGCTACATGGACAATAACTGACAATCAACAGAAAAACATCAAGAAAAGAGTAAAAAACCATTTTAAAAGTACAATAAGAACCCAGGTAAACTATTTAACAGAAATTTAAATAGTTCCTACTAATTTCAACAGACCCTGGAGCTATTACTTTAAAACAGTAGGAATTAATGTTTATGACAAGTTTGAATCTGAAACAATACCCTGCACATTATTATTAAAATATAAAAATATCTAATGAACATTGGAAAGGCTATAGTAAAAAATGACTAAAATAAAAATTCCAGTTGGATGATCTGCAAATGGATTCGTTTCTACTTAAGGGCCTTTATACCATGTGATTTTAGCATAAGTAAACACGTAAATAAAATGAAGACTCTGTATCATTGGCCGGGCCTGGTGGCTTATGCCTGTAATCCCAGGAGGCCAAGGTGGGTGGATCATGTGAGGTCAGGAGTTCGAGACCAGCCTGCGCCAACATGGTGAAACCCCTCCTCTACTAAAAATACAAAAATTAGCCAGGGGTGGTGGCACACGCCTGTAGTCCCAGCTACTCGGGAGGCTGAGGCAGGAGAATCACTTGAACCCAGCAGGCAGAGGTTGCAGTGAGCTGAGATCGTGCCAGTGCACTCCAGCCTGGGAGACAAAGTGAGACTTCCTCTCAAAAAAAAAAAAAAAAAAAGAAGAATCTGCATCATTAATTCACTCTCACTAATAGAAAACCTTGTAAAAGGTATTTTTCAGAGGTCTTGGAAGAAAACAAGTAACAGACTTTGGCTAAGAAAAAAATCACAGAAGAGAGTGAAATCAACATTCTCATAGAGCAAAAACCAAAAGGAACAAGATGGCTCTATGAAGAAAAGATCAAAGAAGGCATGTGGCATAGATTCTTGAAAGCAAGAGTCATTTGGGGGAACTCTAAAGAATGGTATAGCAGGTTTGTAAAATAGGTAATACATTAAGCTTTAGCATATAATAATTATTTAATAAAAATGGTTGTAAAGTATACTTATCAATGAGTTAAAGAGATTACTCCAGAGTTGACTAGGGAAACAGACTTAAAATACCAGGCTTATGCAACAAATAACAAAATTTCAAAAAAGCACTAGATAAAGGAAGTCAAGAACTTACATGAAAAGTAGGTACACAGTCTAATGCAAAAGAAGAAAATCAGTACTTTGCCATTGTTGAAAATGGAAATAGGATCAGGATCTTTTTCACAGGCCCTGTTAAAACACAACTGTGCAGGTATGATTTCTCTAAACCTTAAAGGCATTACGCCAAAACTAAGAGTCATTTCATCCTGTATTTAAAGTCAGAGTAGAAAAGAGAAAAATGGTCTAATTTTTGCATATGTTAAGATTTCATTATGTGCTGAATGTTTTTATTTGCTAACTAAACCTAATGTATATCAACCAAATTCTAAAATAGTAATATCTGAAAATATCTCTATAAAAACTAAGTCCAAAATAATTCAGTAATCTTATGAATAAATCTATATACCTTAGCAAGTGATTTTACAATAGGATTCTCCATAATTCCCTTGAGGAAAATTAGGTCTATTTCTTCTGCTCCAGTAGACGAGGGCAGCTCCGTAAGGTTTTCCAAGACTTGCTGCATTGCTGCTGAGATAAAAGCAACATAAAAACAAACAAACAAACAAACAAACAAAAACCCTTAAATTTCAAGCCGTTATGGAGTAAGATTATTTTAATAATGCAACTAGACATTAAGAATACTCTTTGGAAAAATAACATTTTAAAAAATGAAATTGTTAAACAGTATGAGTTTCAAATTGACTTCCCAGGAATTAATAGCAGGATAGATTTTTATATGTAATTTGGACTTTATCAGACTACCTTACACATACTTACAACCTTGCACTTGCTCTGTATTTTTCAAATTTAAAAACATTACTCAAGAAAAAACAGAAAATTCAAACAGACTTATAAGAAGGAAAAAGTCTAATTTAGGAATCAGAAACTTCCCACAAGCTCAGAACCAGCCTTCACTGCTGAATTCTATCAAACAGTTAAAAAAGAATTAAAACCAATACTTCACAAACTCCTTCAAAAAAAAAAAAAAAACGGAAGAGAAGGAAACACCTTCCAACTCATTCTATGAGACCAATTACCCTGATACTAAACCCAACAACATCACACACAAAAAAATTACCACCAATCTCTCCTAGAAATACAAATGCAAAAATCTTAAACAAAATACTGAATCCAGTGACATATACAAACAATTGTACATAATGGCCAAGTTCACTTTATCCCAGGAATGAACGAGTGGTTCAACAGATAAAAACTCAACAGACTCTATTAATAAAACCAAGAACAAAACCAAATGACACTTCAGACAAAGAAAATCATTAGACAAAACCCAAAACTCTTTCATAATAAAAACATTCACCAAACTAAAAATAGAAGGGAAATTCTTCTCTCTGATAAAAGGCTTCTATGAAAAACCCACAGCTAATATCATACTTAATGGTGCTTTTACTCCTAATAAGGAAAAAAATAAGGCTGTACACTTTTGGCATTTTTATTCAACTTTGGATTAGAGGTTCTAGACAGGGCTGTTAAGCAAAAAAAAAAAAAAGAAAAAAGAAAATAAAGAAAAGGCATCCAGACTAGAAAGCAATAAGTAAAACAATTTATATTTGCAGATCATATGATTCTGTATATGGAAAATCCTAATATACAAAAATTTATTATCATTAATATGTGAGTTCACCAAGGTTTCAGTATACAAGATTAATACAAAACAACCAATATGTTGTTACACATAGTGTATTTCTATACACTGGTGACAAACAATCCAAAAATGAAATTAAGAAAACCATTCCTTTTACAGTAGCATCAAAGACAATAAAATACTGAGAAATAGATGTAACAGAAGTAGTACAAAATTTGTACAATGAAACTATAAAACATCATTGAAAGAATGAAAGAAGATCTAAATAAAGGGAATGACATCCCATGTTCATGGATCAGAGGACTTATTATTAAAATGGCAACAATTCCCAAATTAACCTACAGGTTTAATACACTCCCTATCAAAATCTGAACTGCCTTTTCTTTTTTTGTAGAAATTGACAAGCTCATTCCATTCATATGGAAACTCAAAAAAACCAGAATAGCCAAAAGAGTCTTCAAAAAGAACAACAAAGTTGGAGACCTCACACTTCTCAATTTCAAAACTTACTAAAAAGCTACAGTAATCAAGACTGTGTGGAACTAGCATATATACATACATACAACTAAACAACAGGCTAGAAACAAATCCATACATTTATGGTCAATTGATTCTGACAATGTGCCAAGACAATTCAATAAAGAAAAAAATAGTTTTTTCAACAGCTGGTGCTGGGACAACATATGTACATGTTAGAGAGTGACGCTAGACCCCTCCCCTCACTCAATATTATAATCTTAATTTTATTAGTTTTATCTCTTAGCTCATAGAATAAATCAACAGTAAATACAGAAGTCGTTTTTAATATTAACTTTTATTTTTATTAAAGTAAAATATAAACACTGTTAAAAGTCAGATTGTAGTACTAAATGGCTTATAAAATACAGTTTTCTGTTCCATGCTGCTTACCCTTCTCCCAACTTATCCTACTCCCAGAAGTAATTACTAGGAATTTAATTGTTTCTTCTAATCAGATCTGTTCGTAGTTTCTCTTCTTTCTGGATAATATGCTAATATTGCTACTTTGTGACTGACCCATTTTGGACATTATCTATTTTCTGTTAGAATACTAGAGGTTTCAGCTTTTACTTTCCCTATCTTCAGACTCTCAATTTTTAAAAACAAAATCAATAGTGTTTTTCATATGGAACTCTTAAGTTTTTTCCAAATGTTCCAACAAGCTTCTCACATTTTTACCAGTATTTTTCTAAATATTCAAATATTTTTCTAATACTCTATCAGACCTATTTCCTGTCTTCTATCCCTGATCTCCCTCACAAAGCATTCTCTTGTATGTTAACTTGGACAGGTTCATCCATGGGGGTTTCATGGATGACTGACAATTTTTGAAGGTAAAGAAGCGAACAAGAGGACAATGTGCACTTGACAAAGGAGAAGGAAAACAAGTATTGGATTAACATGAAGAAAGATGACATAAGAAGTAAAGAATATAAACTAAGCTACTTAGTAATTTTGCTTAAGGTCAACAAGTTACCTTTAAGTGGGCAGGGAACAATAGAATCAATTTTTAAAAGTACTTTTGTCCTGTGGCTATAAATGTGGTTAGCAGTACTTCCCATTATTTATTTTTCTTTCTTTTGACATTGTACATTTGTTTTTATTTTTAGCTTTTATTATGGAAAACTTCAAACATATGTGAAGAAAACAGAATAATATAATAAACCACACAATGATCAGCTCCAACAATTAGCAACTCATGGCCAATCTTGTTTCACACTCCTATATACTTTCTACCTTATATAACTTTGAAGCAAATTCCAGAAATCCTATTTCAATGTATATGTCTCAAAGATCAGCACTCCTTTTAAACAACATAACCAAAATACTGTTAGCAATAGTAACAAATTAGCAATACCTAGCAAATTAACAGTAATTCCTTAATGTTATCAAATGTTTAGTCAGTGTTCATAACGCCAGTTGTACTGAAGATTTTTAAAAAATGTACCTTCTGTATTGATTCTTGAAGTGCTTGTTTTTTTTTCAAATTGGTGTTTAAGTCAGTAGAAAAGTGAAAGAAATTGTGAAATAGATCTTTGGTTATTTTAAAGATCTTCATAAGTTGTTACTGACTCTTAATCATATGGAATTTAATCTAGAAATGGATAAACTTGACAACATCCCTTGTCCTGGCAAAGAAATCTCAAATATTATAATGCTGTCAATCATTCTCAAATTAGTTTGTATATTTGGTGGATTTATAGTCAAAATACAATACATAGTTCTTTTAAACTATATTATCCTAAAAGCATATGAAACGATAAAGAAAAACCATGTGACAAAATTATAACAAATAATGAGAGATGGGCCTAATCCCAACTTAGTACAAGTGATTCTGCAGTCTCTCACCAAAATGATGAACAATGGAATCTGAGCTGGTACCTTCTTACAGAAATCTCTCCTGCTGTTTAGCTGCTTAAAATGGAAATGGCTGTCCTTTGTTACCAAATCCCTTTCTTCTCCAAACTTCAAATAATGTACTTTCGTGATTTTTTTAAAGTAGCAAAATGATTTAGTCCTATAAAATATTAAAACATAAATCTATAATAATTATTCAGATATCGATAAACACAAGACAACTCTAGTATATGTAAAAACTTAATATATAAAATAAGAGGCTCTCTGGAATGGGAGCCTTACAAAGTTAAGATAGGAGCCAGAAAAACAGGGAAGTTTTTCCCATTTACTTAGAGATTTCGGGAAGAAAGGAGAGTCTAAACTCAAAAAGTAAGTTACCTACAAGTTCCACTCCTTCTCAATAATCACTAGAGGAGATAAACATTTTAATCAGACCCTAGATTCAATAACACATAAATGGGATTCTTTTTTCTTTCTTTTTTTTTTTTTTTTTTGAGACAGAGTCTCGCTCTGTTGCCCAGGCTGGAGTGCAGTGGCGGGATCTCGGCTCACTGCAAGCTCCGCCTCCCAGGTTCACGCCATTCTCCTGCCTCAGCCTCCCGAGTAGCTGGGACTACAGGCACCCACCACCACGGCCAGCTAATTTTTTGTATTTTTTAGTAGAGACGGGGTTTCACCGTGTTAGCCAGGATGGTCTCCATCCCCTGACCTCCTGATCCGCCCACCTCGGCCTCCCAAAGTGCTGGGATTACAGGCGTGAGCTACCGCGCCCAGCCATAAATGGGATTCTTACATGGGCTAGAGAAAAATTAATAGATTTAATCTAGACTCTTCAGTTACAAATATGAATAAACCATGAATCACCAATCACTTATGAAAACTAGCAGCATGCATTAGACTAACCAAATTCAACAAACAAAAGCATGAGCCTCCAGAGAAACAGAATTACTACCAAATAAAAAGAGAGGAAAACAAAAACAAAAACAAAGATTAAATTGTGATACACAGAAAGATCAAGCGGAAGAATACTCCCATTAAAAAAGGGCAAAGAGCAGGAAAGTATGAGTAAACTATTATGGATCACGAAAGACCAAAATTTACAAGGTAATTAAATCCAGAAACGAATAAAAGGAAAAGCAAAAGTCATCCAATCAAAAGAGATAGATTCAATCAGTAAGTCAGTAAATAGCTGGCTTTTTCAAGTGACCAATTAAATAGACAAATACTTGGCTAGTCTAATCAAAAAAAGACAAGACACGAAGAGTGATGTCAGTAAGATGGCTGACGGTAAGTGTCTGGTGCACATTCCTCCGCTTCAAGAAAGGACCACGGCAATAAATAAACAGCTAAGATTTGACTGGAGTGTTGAAGGGAGAGTGCCGAAGTACAGCAGGGAAGTGGAGAGGTACCTGTGATGACTGGGAGCCCACAAGGCCAGCGTGGAGGCATCCTGCCTCTGCCATCCCATCCTCCGAGCCTGGAATGGCCCAGAGTCAGAAGGGACTTCTCCTTGTGGGAGCGGAGGCTTGGTAGGGGAGGAAGGTAATCAGAGGAACCTCAGCAGCCTCCACTCCCACTGCAAACACATGCAATCCTTACTACAGGAGAATCCACAGTCCTTGCAAGCCCTGAGCCCAGTTTGGGGAGCTGCTGTGAATTCACACAGCTGTATTCCCCCAGACTGGGAGCACAAGATCTGCACTTACTCCCTTGTGAGCCAAGCTGCTGCAGCATGTCACCGATCACCTTGAGACCAGAACCATTTCTGAAGTACACCCTGCACTTTTCCAGCCTAGGAGTTGTTTTCATTCCACTAAGTCCACACAGGTGTCTGAATGCCACAACCCCAGCTGCACAGAGCCTGAGCACAGGATCTGCTGTGGCTCTGGTCCTGCAGAGCAAGGAAACCAATCCCTGCTGCCAGCACTTCTGGTCAAACAGTCTGGTGGACACATCCAGGGAGAACCCACCCTTGAGCCAGTCACACCACTGTATGCCCTCCCCTGAGCAGCAGAGGTCCCTGAGCAACTGAGCAGCTGACATGTCCCCATGGTGGCCGGGTAGTTGCACACCCATGTCCTGAGCCTGAAAAACAGCCTGGCAGGCTAGCCTCTGGTGAAGATGTCCTTGAACTGGCTCCACATTGGCACCTACACCCTAAGATACTCCAGGAGGCCTGAACTCAACAAACATGCCCACAGACTGGCTAAGCAGTTGTGCACCCAGCCCAGAACCTAAAAAACAGACTAGTAGGTTCTCCTCTGGCAGACATGCCCCTAGACTGGCCGAGTGGCTGCACACCACCCCTGAGAACTTGAGAAATAGCCCAGTGGCCCCAACCCAGGCATTGTGTCTCCAAGCCAGCCAAGCAGGCATGTGCCCATGCCACCAGCCAGAGTAACAGCCCCATGGCCATAATCCCAGCAAGCCAGACACCAAGTTGGTTGCCTCATCACAGCGTTCACTCATGCACCCCTGACCTGAGAAACAGCCCAGTGAGCCCACCCCTGGCAAAGCTGCACCATCGCAGCCACAAACTCTTGCAGCTTAGGCCACTGAAACACTTACAAACATCACTAAAATTGATTACTGCTGAAGAATCTGCAAAGAGACTACACAAGTGGGTCTACCTAAAAACAAAGTGAATGCACCCCACGCAACCAATACTCTAAGTTTTTTCAACAACTCCATAAAACTGGAAAAGGCAACTTTTCTACCATATGTGTAGAAATAAATCAATGTAGAGCTACATCAAACATGAAAATACAAAGAAACGTGACACTTCCAAAGGAATACAGTAATTCTCCAATAACAGATCCCAATTATTAGGAAATATACAAAATATCACAAAGAGAATTCAAAATAATAATCGTAAGGAAACAGTGAGATACAAAATAATAGATACATGATTCAACAAAATTAGGAAAAATGATTCATTGTTTGAATGAGAAATTCAAAAAGAGAGAGATATTAGAAAACAGAAATCTTAGAGCTGAAGAATTCAATGAATGAAATTAGAAGAAAATACAATGAAGAGCTTCAACAAAGGACTAGACCAGGCAGAAGAAAGAATTTCTGAACTTAGGACAGGTCTTCTGAAATAACTAAGGCAGACAAAAAGAAAAAAAGAATAATTTAAAGAATACTATTAAGTGAACAAATATTCACATTATGAGAGTTCCAGAAGAAGAAGAGAAGGGAAATATCATAGGAAATATTTAATGAGCTAGTTGTAAAAAACTTCCCAAGTCTTGGGAGATAATGGACATTCAGATCCAGGAAGCACAAAAGTCCTCGAATTGATAAAATCCAAACAGTCCTCTCTGGGGCACATTATACTCAAACTGTCAAAAGTCAAAGACAAAGAGTTCTAAAAACAGCAAAAGAAAAGCATCAAGTCATAGACGAAGAAATCAAAACATCACTACAGAGAACCACTCATCCACAAAAATAAACAATAAGAGAATGTAAGAAACAAGGGATATTTTTTAAAGAGAAAATAAAACAACAAAATGACAGGAGTAAGTCCTCACATATCAACAACACCCTTGGCTGTAAACGGATTGGATTCCCCAATTAAAAAATATAAACTGGATGAATGGATTTAAAAAACAAGAGTCAATTACATGTTGCCTACAAGAAACTCATTTCAACTGTGAAGACACACAGAGGGAAAGCAAAGAGATGAAAAAAGATATTCCATGTAAATGAAAACCAAAAGCTACACTTATTTCATTTCAGATAAAACAGACTTTAAAAGTTTTTTCAGTTATTGTAAATATAATGGCTTTCTTGATTTTTAATGTGTGTTGTTTGTATATAGAAATACTACTGATTTTTGTGTATTTATTTTGTATTCTGAAACCTTACTGAATTTACCATTTCTAAGAGTTTTTTTTGTAGAGTCTTTTAGGCTTTTCTTTATTGTAAGATCATGCCATATGTAAACAGTAACAATTTGATTTCTCCCTTTCCAATTTGGATGGCTTTTATTTCTTTCTCCTTTCTGTCACTCTTGCTGGAATTTCCAGTACTGTGCTGAATAAGACTGGTGAGAGTGGATGCTCTTGTCTTGTTCCAGTCCTTACAGGAAAAGCTCAAAGCTTTTCAGCTTTCAATGGGATATTAGCTGTGGGTTTGCCATATATGGCCATTATTTTGTTAAGGTACATTTCTTCTCTACCTAATTTATTGAGTTTTTATCAGGAAGGAATGTTGAATTTTACAAAACGCTTTTTCTGCATCTATTGAGATGATTATGTGGTTTTTATTTTTCATTCTGTTCATGAGTCACATTTATTGATTTGTGTATATTGAACCATTGCTGCATCCCTGTAATCCCACTTGATCATGTTGTATGATCTTTTTGATGTGTTGTTGGATTTGGTTTGATAATATTGTTGAGGATTTTTGCATTTATGTTCAGTAGGGATATTGGTCTGTAGTTTTCTTTTTGTGTGATGTCCTTGTCTGGTTTTGGTATCAGGGTTATTTTGGCCTTGTAGAATGAGTTTAGAAGAATTCCCTCCCCTCCAATTTTTGGAATAGTTTGAGAAGATAATTTAGTGGTGAAGCCATCCAGTCCTGGACTTTCCTTTGTTGGGAGTCTTTTTTTTTATTACTGATTCAGTCGTATCATACATTGTTGGTCTGTTCAGGTCTTCTATCTCATCTGGACTCAATCTTGGTAGGTTTTATATGTCCAGGAATTTATTATCTATTTTCTCTAGATTTTCAAATGTATTGACATATAGTTGTTCCTAATAGTCTTCAATGATCCTTGTGTTTCTGTAATATCAGTTATGACATGTTTTGTTTCTGATTTTATTTGGATTTGCTCTTTTTTTCTTGTTGATTTTATCTTTTTAAAAAACCAACTTCTTTTGTTGACTTTGTATTATTTTAGTCTTTACTTTCTGCTCTGATCCTTATTATTTTCTTCCTTTCACTACCTTTGAGTTTGGTTTGTTCTTGTTTTTCTAGTTCCTTCAGATGCATCATTAGGTTATTTGAAATCTTTCTCCTTTTTTGATGCAGGCATTTACTGCTATAAACTAGTATCTTACTACTGCTTTTGCTGTATCTCACAGGTTTTGATATATTGTGTTTCTATTTTTATTTGTTTCAAGGAATTTTTAAATTTCCTTTTAAATTTCTTCATTCATTGGTCATTCAGGATCATGTGGTTGAAATTCCATGTTTTTGTACAGTTTTATGTTTCTCTTGTTACTGGTTTCTAGTTTTATTTCATTGTGGTCAGATAAGATACTTGATATTATTTTGATTTTTAAAAATTTTTGTGACTTGTATGCCCTAACATATGGTCATAAATGTGGTTGGCAGTACTTCTCATTACTTTTCTTTCCTTTGACATTGTATGTTTGCCTTTATTTTTCCTAGAAAATGTTTCATGTGCTGACGAAAAAAATGTGTATTCTGCAGCTGTTGGGTGAAATGTTCTGTAAATGTCTGTTAGGTCTATTTGGCCTATGGTGCAGTTTAAATCTGGTATCTCGTTGATTTTCTGACTAGGTGATCTGTCCAATGCTGAGAATGGGATGCTGAAGTTTCCAACTATTATTGTATCAGGGTCTATCCTTTTAGATGTAATAATACTTCCTTTTATATCTGGTGCTCCAGGGTTGTGTGCATTTATAATTGATTTAGCCTGTTGCTTAATTTACCCTTTTACTACAATGTCCTTGTCTCTCTTCAAATAAGAAATAAAGGGCATCCAAATTGGAAAGGGAGAAGTCAAATTGTTACTATTTACATATGACATGATCTTACAATAAAGAAAAGCCTAAAAGACTACCAAAAAAACTCTTGGAACTGATAAATTTAGTCAGGTTTCAGAACACAAATACACAAAAATCAGTAGTATATCTATACACAAACAACACACATTAAAAATCAAGAAAGCTATTATATTTATAATAACTGAAAAAAAACCCTAAGAATAAATTTAACCAAGGATTTGGAGAAAAAGGAACTCTTTTACACTATTGGTGGAAATGTAAACTAGTACAGCCACAATGGAGGACAGTAGGGAGATTCCTTAAAATCTACAAATAGAACTACCACATCATCCAGCAATGCCACTACTGGGAATTTATTCAAAGTACAGGAAATCAGTGTATTAATGAGATATCTGTGCCACCCCCATGTTTACTGCAGCACTATTCATAATAGTCATCATACAGAATCAATCAAAGTGTCCAATAACAGATAAATGAATAAAGCAAATGTGGTATATATACATAATGGAATACTATTCAGCCATAAAAAGGAATAAAATCCTGTCATGTGCAGCAACCTGGATGGAACTGGAGGATATCAAGTGAAATAAATCAGGAACAGAAAGTTAAACATCACAAGTTCTCACTCTTACATGGAAGCTAAAAAAGTTGATCTTACAGAAGTAGAAAGTAGAACAGAGGTTACTAGAGGCAGGGAAGAATAGGGGGAAAGAAGGGGTAGGAAGAGATGTGATAAAGGACACAAAATTACAGCTAGATATGAGGAATAAGTTCTAGTGTTTTATAGCACCATAAGGTGACCATAGTTGACAACAGTATACATTTTCAAGCGGCTGAAGAGAGGATATTCGAATGCTCCCAACACAAATAAATGAAAAATGTTTGAGACAATGGATATGCTAATTATCCTGATCTGATCACTAAACATTGTATGTACTAAAACATCACTAAGTACCCCATAAATATGTACAATTATTAATGTGTCAATTAATTAAAAAAAGGCAAGACACAAATAACATTAGAAACGAGATGAGAAAATAACTGTAGGTATAGAGATTTTTAAATCTCTTTTAAGAATACAATGAACAACTTTATTTTAAAAATCTAGTCAAGTAGGTGATTTTCTAAGAAAATGTCAATTATCAAAGAAAGAAGTAAAAAATGAAATAGATCAAATAGAAGAAACTGAAAGATTTCCAAGGGTCCTCTCTTTAAAAAAAGGCATGAGATCTGGAGAGATTTAAGAATAAAGTCTATCAAACCTTTAAGATGGAGATAATTCATTTTTAAAACAAAACAGAAAAGACTGAAAGCTTTCCAATTTCTACATAGACTTCAAAACTTAGTTAAAAAATTATAATGTAATTTAATATAATATCATAGAATAAGGAAAAAACCCAAACTCATCTCAATGCTTAAGATATATCAGATAGAATTCAAATCCCAATTCTGATGGAAAAAACCTTACCTTAGTAAAAACAGAAGGAAATAAGAGTCATTTTATACCAGGTTCTATAGGAAGCATCACATTTAATGGAGAAATGTCAGAAGCTTTACTATTAAGTCAGGGACTAGACAAGAATGCCCACTACGATGACTACTTTTCAAACTTGTAGTTTAAGTTTTAAGTAATGTAGTAAGACATAGCATTTTAAGAAATGCAGATGATATAAGTGCATTCTCAAGAACTGCAGAAAGGTCTGAAGAAATCAGTGAAAAAATTAGTAAAGTTATTTATGAGAGTTTGGCTGACTATAAATAAGAGCAACACAGAAAAATCAACAGTTTTCCTAAATAATCGTAATAACCAAATAAGACTAAAATGTTCAGACAGATATGAAAATTATTAAAATTATGCTGAGACATTTAAAATAAATTGATTAAATGGAGAAGCCGTGTTCTGAGGTAAGAAGATCCAATAACGTAAAAATGCCAATTCTCTCCAAATTATTCTTTAAAAAAAAATGAATAAATCCTAATAGAAATCCCAAAAGCATTTTGGGTAAATTTATCCTAAAATTTACCTGAAAAAGAAAGTACGTAAAACTAGCCAACATGATTTTTTAGGAAAGCATAAATGTCAAGGAGGTACCTGCTATCAACTGTAAAAACACTGTATATTCAAATAGTGCAGTATTATCATAGGAACAGACAAATCTTCAGAGTAGTTAAATGAAACAATATACAATAAAGGTGACATTTCAAATCAGTGGGCCTAGGGTTCAGTAAAATATGTTAGATTGACTACCTGAGTTTATATTCTTTTTCTTCACAATCTCTATTAAAACAGCAGCAAAGTATTAAGGCAAAAAACCACATGAACAAAGGGAATAGCTAAAGAGAAACACTGTACAAAAATATTCAAAAGTATTTCAAAGCTTAAAAGTGGTAGGAGTAGAAACAGACACAGCAAAGAAGCAGTAAATTCTACCTCGTAAATATTTCTAGAATCTAGAATCTATCAGTTTCTTTCCATCACCCCCTAATGAGTCCTTGCCATTATCATATCGTACCCAGACTACCCCAACAGCCTGGTATCTACATATAACTTATGAGGAATTAAAATGTGATTTTATGGCTTATAAGCATTTTAATATATTGCTAGATTCAATTTGCACCACTCCCACAGCTTTAAACATACCAGTATTACCCCAGCCCTGATGCAAAACCCTCCCTGCACTTACCACCACCTATACACAACCATCTTTGCATACCTAATTCACACTCATTCTTTAAGGGCAAAATATCAATGTCCCTAACTGCCCTAATTAGGATAACTTCTCCTAAGACATACTTTCATAGTACTCTATACTTCATAATTCTGATAAACCTATATAATTAAATTTTTTGGTATTTAATGTGCAACTTCCTTTCTAAACTCTAAGTTTTATGAGTGCAGAAATCATCTTTGCATCCCCAACAACTAGGCCACATCTGGGACATCATTACTTCTTGGTGGCATAGTTTCACAGTCACAAAAATGTTACATTTTTCTGTTACCAAAATCAAGAATAGTTTTAAATGTACATATTACTATTTATAAATAAAATTGTGTAATACTTGGAAGCAGCAAAAGGTGATATTGTTTATAGAGTAGTACTCTTAAAGCTATCAACTTCCCGTGAATTGCATAACAAGGCATAAAGATAGAAGTGGCATCTTTAGTCTACTAAAATGGCAAGCTTTTACGGTAATACTTCCTGCCTATAAATGTATTTCTAGCTGTCTACAATACAGTTTATTATGTTAAGGAAATGTAATAAAAGTGTTATTTATTCGCCTATATTCTGCCCCAGAAGTTTTCTGTAACAATTGTTTTACAAAAGCATTTCTACCCAGGTTTAGAACTGTAAGTAAATGAGCTATTCTTAATATACTAGGCCGTGCCTATTTTAATATTAAAAATCCTTTTGTAACTACATTAGGTGATAGGTTCACACCCATTTAATTCAACAAACTGAATTTCCATTGAAAATATGACAGCTAAATTAAGCATTCATAAGATGTTAAAAATTACTTCTGCTCTTATATTTTACAGATAAAATAATTATTTCACCAGATCCATGTTGCATAACTTACAGTATCCATGAAATGAAAAACAAAATCTCATTCTATGCATTATTTTTAAGTATTTTCTTAAAGGAAGCACTTAAAAGTCATCTGCACTATTTCTAAGGTTTTTGCAATACAGCAGCAACATTATTTTGTAAAGTACATTTCCAAGAGATGATAAAGAAAAAAGAACTGACTGAAATTTCATTTTCTTAAGATTAAATTTTGATGCAACTATTTTCACATACTGATTTGACCATAACCAGAGTTCACTTAAAACATTAAATCAATAAAAATAATTTTCTATAAACTGACAATATGCTATCCATATCTTCCCTCTCAAACTACTATCTTGAAACTGTAATTTAGTAATATTTCATTGAATCAAAGAAAAGTAGGACTTTGCGCACAGCTAATTCCATAGGTATTTACTCACAGCTAGACGCTATGCACGTGGTTAGATGTTGAAGAAAATATATGGACAAACCATCTGTTCCCCAAAAACTCAAATTTATTAGAGTAGACCAAAATGTATAAACACATGTATGAAACTGGTGATAAGATCATCATAAAGTAATCACAGAAAAAGGTGATACAGCACAGTGGTAAAGAACCTGCATTCTACCACTTAACTAGTCCTGAAAACCCGGGTAAATTACTTACCCTCCTAAAGTGGGTTTCTTTCACCTGTTAAATGGGGGAATGACAATGGTATCTAACTCACAGGTTTGTTATTGCTAAATAATACATGGAAAACTCCTAGAACAATACTTCCTACTGCATTATTAGTATTGTGGAAATAAGGGAAAGCAGTTAACTCTTTATTTGATGGGTTTGGTGGGGTGTTAAGAACATGAGACACACGGGGACACACCACTGGAAGTATCCTAGTGGAAAAAACTAAACTGAATTCATCTTAAAAACACTGAATTTATGATCAGTATTTAAAGCCTTAAAACAAATGTAGAGCTGAATTTCCTAAACCATTCCTAGAGAAAATTCAAGCTTGGAGTCAACAACAACAACAAAGTGCAGGCACAGTGGAGGGGCAGTCATTCCAGGCCATTAAGGAATCGCATATAGAAGAGCCCACATTTTGGCCTGACTAAATACCACAAACTTCTTTCCAAAGACAGTGGGGGTTTGTTCTCTTTGGGGAGGGCTCTGAATGGGGATGTGGGAGCCTGAAAAAAAAGAGAGTAGAGGCTGAGGTAGATCTCGTTCTTTGCAAAGGACACTAGAGGAGGAGGGATGGAGGAAGGGAGATTGCCTAGGAGTGAATGCACTAAAGCAGGGTTTTTCAAACAGGAAACCACTGGCACTTAGGGAGAAAAAAATTCCTTTTTTCATCAAACGGCTGTTGTCTTCCACAGGTGTTATAACAACCAAAAGTTCCCCTTAATACATTTCCCAGTAACTCTAGGGGTGGTGCCATTTTCTTCCCTTCTGTTCTTCCACTCAAAGCCTTACCCTAATATGTCCCATATCCAGAGTACTCTTCCTTCTTAATTTAGTTATTTTAAGGGCTCCCACCTGCTCTCTGCCTATAAATCTGAAGCAGCAGTCTGCCTGAGGACAAACCCACCACTTACTCAGTGCCTGACCATGACGTCCCATTCCAGGTAGAAGGCTGGTGGGAGGAGGGGAGGAGCAGCCTACACAAATACAGAGGAAATCCTCATCAGATATAATCCTGAATCATCACCCTAGTCCTTCATTTATAAATAAAACTCAGCAATTATATCACCAGGCATTTGAAGAAAACATCAGTGACAGCGGGTAAACTAAGCAAACTAAACTGGGGGAAAAACAGATGGTGCTGAGAATAGAAGAGAATTTTAACATTTTATTTTTGTTAGCATTCTGAGAGATATGTGAGAAGCTACTGTGTTCATAAAAGAACAAGTCACTAAAAGGAAGCAAAGGAGCAACCAAAAAATAAGAAAGTTCCTGGCACTTAAAAACATTATTGTCAAATTTAAATCTAAGGTTGGCCATGCTGCCTCACACCTGTAATGCCAGCATTTCAGGAGGCTGAGGTGGGAGGATGGCTTAAGGCCAGGAATTTGAGACCAGCCTGGGCAATAGAGAAAGACCTCATCTCTACAAAAAGAAAATATAAATAAATTAGTTAGCTGGGCATGGTGGCAATGTGCCTGTAGTCCCAGATACTTGGGAGGCTGAGACAGCAGAATCACTTGAGCCAAAGAGTTCAAGGTTATAGTGAGCTGTGACTGTGCTACTAGGTAACAGCAAGACACTGTTTCTAAAATAAAAACAAAAATTAAAATTAAAATTAAAATGTAACAGCAGACTAAATGACAGAATAAAGTTGAAACTGCTAATCCAGAAAATCAAGTCAAGTTAATCTTCCAAATGCAGAACAAAGATGACAAATATGAGTAAAGTTAGAACCCAGAAGCAAATCCAACACTACCTATTAAGAGTTTCATAAGACAAGAATAGAATAAGTGTGAGAGGAAATAGTTGAAGAAGTAATAGAAGAAAATGTATTTGAGTTTAAATGACACAGAAAACTTTAGAATGAAGGGGTCTACCATGTGCAGAGCAGATGGAATGAAAATGGCCCAAATCTAGAAACACTAAGTGAAACCTCAGAATGTTTAAAACATAAAAAAATGGGGATTTCCAGAAAGAAAAATGTTAATGTAAAAGGAACAATAATCAAACCTGCATGACATTTATTACTGATAGTACTGAACAACAGGAGATAATGGAGTAGACTCCAAAGTTGTGATGAACAGTGAGTAAAAAAACCTTTACATATAACATTTAAAAAAATCCATTACAGGTTCACACATATGTATATAAATATGTGTATGTATGTGTATATAAACACACATGTATGTGGTAAAAGATGTAGTCTAATTACATTGAAATATTTAAAAATCAAAAAACAAAAACTGATCTTCTCCCCTAAAGAAGTCTCTTTCTAGCCTTTTAGACAAATTTACACAAAACTTTCAGACAAAATTGAATACATCAATTTTTATTTACATGAATGCAATTGTTTAATAAAATCTTAGTGATTTTTCCATATTGAAGCTCATTCTTTTAGAGATACCTAGTACTTCATTGTATGCATGCATCAAAATTTATCTCGTCTGTCCTCTACTGAAAGACATACAGGCTGCTTCCATTTCTGCAGTTGTAATTAGTGTGGCAATCAGCATCCAAAAACAAATACACATACACACACATATGTATATGTGTGTGTATACATACGCATACATATACATACATATATGTATATATACACACATATATATGTATATATACACACACATATATGTATATATACACACATATATGTATATATACACATACATATATACACGTGTATATATACACACACATATATACACATATATATACACATATATATCATGTGTGTGTTCAGAGAGAGAGAGAGAGAGATACACATACATTAGCAAGTAAACACTAAGAGCTAAAAGTAGAATTCCTAGATCAAAGGATACATGATTTTTCAATTGTCAGATACTGTCATACTGTCCTTTAAACAGGTTGTAGCAATGACATTTTCATTAAGAGGGCTTCATTTCATTATATGTTAGAATAATAATAATGAATTGCTTCATAAAACACTCCAGTATAAATGCTGAGGACATGTGTGGCAAAAGGAGTGATTAAATAGAGTAAAAACTAAATTCTGAATTATAATCTCATTTTCCCCAATGTAGTATTTTTAAAAAATCTAACCACACATCTATCTTCTTACCTGAAAAATATAAATGACATTGATACAACTCATAAGGTTATACAGGTTGAACATCTCTAATCCAAAAATCTGAAATGCTCCCAACTCCAAAATTTCTTGCGCACCAACAGGACACCACAAGTGGAAAATTCCACACCTGACCTCACGTGACAGGTCATAGTCAAAACTTTGTTTCATGCACAAAATTAAAAGCACTATATAAAAGTACTTTCATGCTATGTACACAAAGTGTACATGAAGCATAAATGAATTTTATGTTTAGACTTGGGTCCTCTCCCCAGACAACTTATTATGTATTTGCAAATATTCCAAAATCCAGAAAAATCCCAAATCTGAAACACTTCTGGTTCCAAGCATTTCAGATTAGGGATACTCAACCTGTATAATAAAAGTAAATAGGCCAGGAGCAGTGGCTCATTCCTATAATCCTAGAACTTTGGGAGGCTGAGGCAGGAGGATTGCTTAAGCCCAAATTCAAAACCAGTCTGGGCAACATAGCAAGACCCCATCTCAAAAAAACAAAATGAAACAAAAAAAAACCTAATTAAATGCCTACTTTACTAAAAACATAAATGCTATTCTATTTTATCTATATTCTGCAACTCATCAACCATCTCTTTCTGACTAATTTTTCAAAGTGTCAGTGAAAAACTAATCTCAACAACAAATGCTAGAATATGAAAAGCCAGAGCTCAAAATATAAAGATAGTACTTAAATTCACTTTGACATAGTATCTCAAGGCCCTCTCCTATCACCTATAAAATCATTTTCTTCTTAAAAGAACTGTGGAAGACAAATTATTTCCATTTATTGCCACAGTGTCTTGGAGTCTGTTTCCTTTTTACAATCTATGAAGGTTGTAATTAGGGTAAAGTATTTCTAGCAGAAAATACTTGATTCATAAGATGACGATTTAAAGAATTAAGAGTAATTGTTAATAAGTTTCATTCATAGTAATTCTTAACTGTAGGCATAAAGAAATCTTGTAACTTGAAATGCACCTGTTAAAGTTATTAAAAGATATTATTGAATGTGACACATACTGAAATGGCTTACTACTAGGAAAGAAATCCATGATAAAAAGCACAAACTAACATATAAGTCATGGGATTTTAAAAGATGAAATGTTCTATATAAGGAGATCATCTTTGGGTTGACAAATCCATGACTTGAGAAATGATGCCAAGCATGTTTCACCTAATAAAATCTTTTATATAAGGGTGCTTAATTTTATTTCATCAAATGGTTTTCTTTAATCTCTGTGAATTTGTATAGAAACTTCTAGGAATCCTCATGATGTTGACTTTCCATATACATAGCTGATAGCTTGGGCAATCCATTTGTTAAATTATTGTTTTATTACACAGGTATACATAAATTAATTTTGTAAAAAATTTCAGGTATTACTGGATAGAGACAAGAGCCTTTTTAACTTGGCCAGCTTTCCATCTCTGCTCTTTCCCTAGGGGTAATGCATGTTATACTTTGTTTTTATGTGTTTATAGACCTATTCTTTATGTCTTTATAGACCTATTCTTTATGTCTTTATAGACCTATTCTTACATATTTACATATTTGTATCTGTAGAAAATATGAAGATATATGCTTCATTTCTATACTTATATAAATATCTAAAACATAATGTGTTACTGTATTTATATAAGTAATATCTTACTATATCAGTGATATATGAAACTTATTTTCCCACAGAAAAATGTATTTTGGAGAACATTTCACATTAGTACATATGAAACCATGTTATTCTTTTAGTTGTTGCAGATTCATAGGATGAGTGTAGTTTATTTAGCGTCTGAGGAACATGGCAGTTGTTTCTATTTTTCCCATGTCTTCAAGAAATGCTGCAGTGAACATCCTAATGAATTTCATCATTAGAAACAATATTGCCCATATCACAATGATTTCTTTCACTTGATAACAAAGTTGTGACTATGAAAGTTTAGTAATAGTAAAATGTTGAAAATCTTTTATTACAAACATTACTCAATTTCTGATAATATTGGCATGAAGAGATTGGCAGTTCCCCTCTGCAAAAAAGCAAATATAAAACTGGACAGCATCATCAAAGGCAGTCTTTTAAGGGTGCTGAAAATTGCCCAAAGGCCGTTATAAAAATGAGGCACATTTATTCTGGCAAAACTGCTAGAGCTTGAGGTAAGAACAGTGTGACTCTGTGGCCTTCTTGCCTGGGGCTGTCCCCATGTACCTCCCCAGGGCCCCAGCTCAGTTGGTGATAACCGAAGCTTGATCAGTGCTATGGCCTAGGCGTTTGTGTCCCTCCCAGATTCATATGCTAAAACCCTAATTCCCAGTGGGATGGTATTTGGAGGTGGAGTCTTTGGGGAGGTGATTAGGGTTAGACTAGGTCATGAGGGTGGAGCCCCCATCTTGGCAGGAATGCCCTTATCAGAAGCTGAAAGGACCAGAGCTCACTGTCTCTGCCAAGTTAGGGTATAGTGTGCTTATTTCATCTTACTGAAATTCTTTTTAAGTTTTATTTTCTACCAGAATTTAGTAAAACTTTGAGATGGTTTGGGGCCACTATTACTTCAAATATTTTTTTCTGTCTCTCTCTTTCCTTTCTGTCTGAAACTCCCATTACATGTGTGTTGGAATGTTTGACATTGTCCCACATGTCTCCAAGGCTTTGTTCCCTATTCTTACAAATCTCTTTTCTTTCTCTTGTTGGAATACTTTTTATTGATCTTCACATTTTCTCTGCCATCTTAAATCTGTTGAGCCTATCCAATGAAATTTTCATTTCAAATACTGTGCTTTTCAAATCTAAAATCTCTACTTGGTTCTTTTTGAGTTTGCTTCTTTACTGAGGTTCTCTATTTATTGTGTCCTGTTAGCATCTTGTTCACATATTTTTCTTTTTTCCTTTTTTTTTTTTTTTTTTCTTTTCTTGAAAGAAACAGGGTCTTTACTGCCCAGGCTAGACTGATGTGGGTATTCACAGGTGTGATCATAGTCTTGAACTACCGGGCTCAAGTAATCCTCCCACCTCAGCCTCCTGTGTAGCTGGGACTACAGGCACATGTCACAATGCCCAGACTGTATTTTCCTTTAATTCTTTCAATATATTCTAAATAGCCAATTTGAAGTCTTCATTAAATCCAACACTGAGCCCAGTCAGAGTCCGTTTTATTGACTATTTTTCCCGATGATGACTCACATTTTCCTGGTATTTCTTTTCTTTGCCATGTCTAGCAGTTTGGGGTTGAATATGGAACCCTTAACAGTAACTCTAGATTTATTATTTTTTTTTCAGAGTTTGAGTTTTTAAATAATTGGTCTAGACTTAAACTGCAGAATCTGTTTCCCTCCAAGGTATGCTGTCAGGACATCCGTTTAATATTTTAATTCTTATTTTTACATTTTAGTCTGACTCTCTTGGGGTTGTACCTATGTCTGTAAAGCTTAATGATGGACCAATATTGTGCTCCAACAGCCATTTGAGCCAATGTTGTGGACAAATCAGCAACGGCTGTGTTCAAAAACCTCAAGCTTTTAAGACTTCACTCTCAGTGAGTTGAGCTGTGATGGACTGGGAAATGCATTCAAAGTTGCAGCCAGTTGTCAAGTCCCCATCAGCTTTCACTTTTTTCCAGGCTCTCCTGGGTCTCTATGTGGAGAGCTCATCTTAACCCTTCCATGGCTCTCTCATTTCTAGGATTTCCCTATTAAATTTCTGCTGGTCCACAATGTCAAATTAGCACAGCAGCAGGTTTTCTCTATTTGTTTCCAACCAAATCCACCACTTTTCACCAGCAAAGTCACAGGTTTAGTTTGTGTGTCTTCTCTTTCTTCCCTAGCCTGAATCAAGTCACTCCACAACTTTTGGGCAGCAAAGCTGCTGGTTTTCTCAGCTAGTCCTAAGCTCACTGTCTCAGTTAATTCAGGCTGCTATGACAAAAATATAGCCTGGGTAGCTTAAATGACAGAAATTTATTTCTCACAGGTCTGAAGGCTGGGAAGTCCAAGATCAAGGTGCTGGCTCACTTCCTGGTTTACAGAGGGATGCCTTCTTACTGTATTAGTCTGTTCCCATGCTGGTATGACCCAAGACTGGGTAATTTATGAAGAAAAGAGGTTTAATTGACTCACAGTTCCACATGGCTCCCCAGCCTCAGGAAACTTACAATCATGGTGGAAGGCACCTCTTCACAGGGCAGCAGGAAAGAGAATGAGTGGCAGCAGGGAAAATACCAGATGCTTATATAACCATCAGATCTTGTGAGAACTCATTTACTATCAAGAGAACAGGAAACCACCCTCATGATTCAATTACCTCCCACCAGGTCCCTCCCATGACATGTGGGAATTATGGGATTACAATTCAAGATGAGATTTGGGTGGGGACAGAAAGCCAAACCATATCACCCACCTTCCTCCACTACACAGAACTGAAAACTAGGGGCTTATTTTCTGGAGAGAGTAAGATAAGAGGTACCTCTCGACCAAAGACAATGAAATAATATAGAAGACAGGATTATTAAATGCTGATACAAACCCCTCCACCTGATTCTCCCTCCTGACTATCTGAAGCCTTCAGCTTGGTCTTTACTTTCCAGGCAGATGTGAAGTCTTCTTCATAGTCTACAGAATATGACCAGTCAACAAGAAAGACACAGACATGAAGATCAGGTATTACCCCCAAATAACCCAGCTACAAACTAGCTACAGTGACATTCAACATGAAATCAGAGCATCAGGTTTTTAGTCCCCCACTCTTAATGAGCTAAGAATCTTGGGATACTGGATAGCTGAGAAAAGCCTAGTAAATGAAAGAGATTAAAATAAACAAATAGGTAAAAACTACTCAGGTTGAAAAAAGAAACAGTTATAAAAATTATCAAAGAAAAAGAAGAATATCATACTCATGAAACTAGAATAAGATAGTTACAGAGGAAACAAAAGAGCTCTTAGAAAATAAAAATACAAAAGCAGAAAGAAAAAATTCAATGGAAATCATGGAAGGTAAATGTGAGGAAATACCACAAAAAGTAGAAAAGCACAGGAGTAGAAAAACAGAAGAAAATTAGAGAACCTGATTAGAGGGCATCTAAACCAGATGGGTTTTGGAAAGAAAGGAGAGACAAAATGGAGGGGAGAAAAACAATAATGAAATATTTAACATTTTCCAGAAATGAAAGATGTAAGTTGCTGGAGTACACTGAGCACCCAGCAAAACAGATGAAAATGGACTCATATTAAGATATTTTGTTGTGAAATATCAGAATACTGAGAAAAAAGAAAAAAATCACGTGTCAAGAATCAGGAATGATTCTGAATGGCTCAATGATGACATCTAAAGGTAGAAGATGATGCAATGATGCCTTTAAAAACATTTCCCCCAGGAATTCTTTACCCTGCCAAACCATCAATCAAGTGTGAGGATAGTTAAAAATAATTTTCAGACTTGCTCATAAGGTTTCACAAAATTAACCTACCACAAACACTTTTCCTCAGAAAGATTAAAAACAAAAACAAAAAAAAAGACATGCTGCTCTCAAAGCATGAAACAAGCAAAACATAAAGAGGGAGACAGAGAATACAGGATCTAGAAGGCCCAACTCAGGAAAAAGGCAAAGATAATTTCTAAGAAGATCGGTGACACGTGTACACCAGCTTCAGAAAATGAGTCCGTATTCAGCTTAGAAGGCTCCAGGAGTGACATCTTCAAGAAAATGAAGTTGACAAATCAGAATGAATGCACTGAAAGTTGATTTTGAAAACAAGCACAGATTTCGGGGTTGAATTATAGCCAAGTGGCATATACAAAAAAATGAAGCAAATAAATGAAGTCTGAGAAAATGAAAATACAGGAATAGAGAATAGCAACTACAATTTACTAGTGGATCTGCTAACAAATACTAATCTAATCAAAATTACTAATATAATTAGGGTGAAAGAACTGAGGGATTGGAAGAGTATATGATATGCATACGTGGTGAAGGAAAATGTAAAGAGCTAAATCCTCATCCTCCATAATGGTTAAAACCAAAAAAATAAGAATTAGCAACATAAGCACACCATTTACTGACATGATACCAAAACAGTCAGCTAAAAATGTTCGATGTAGTAGCCTCCTGGGAGGAAGAAACAGAAATAGAGTTGGGGAGCACCTCTAGTCTTTCATCCATATGTGCATTAATAGTTTTAATAAAAAATAAAAACCTAAAAAAAAAGTATATCTATCATGTGTAAATAGTTACTAGTTTGCATGCTGAAAAATCAAATAATTATAACCACTTTTCTAGAGTTAAAAACAGGCAAGATTTTTTCGCTTGAGGACAGAAACCTGGAGAAGACAAAGTCATCCTTAGATGACATGGTTTCTTAAATTCTTTTTTATCTATACTATGACATGAAATATATTTCAGTAAAACATTCAACTAAAACGTAAGATGTAAAAACTATAATTTAAAAACCTATAAAAAATAGTTAAATGGCTATTCTTTATATTTATAAATGTAACGATTTAACTTATACAAAATGAACTGCTTCTACTTACTGCCATGTTTATCTAGTGTCACCATAAATTTTCCTTAACTGGCACACTACCAATTCCATTCTCATAAGAAACTGGGGCTCAAAAATTATTGACCTACAATCAAACATAATTCACATTTGAATATTATATGTTATACTTAAAATAACAAACCTTTTTTCTTCTTTGTCCTTGATTCAGGGGGAAATGACATGGATCTTGTTATGTAAGATATTTTATAAGCTACTAGAATTACCTCATCAATTTGGATACAGTCATGTACCACATAACATTATTTCAGTCGACCAAAGACTACATATACAACAGTGGTTCCAAAAGATTATAATGCAGCTGAATAATTCTCTCAAGAAAATGTACAGTGAAGGGTTTAGCAGAAGTTTTTGCAGACTTCAACAAGCTGCTTAACAAGTTTGAAAACATGAACCCCAACAATGAAAGGTTTTCATTACTAGAGAGGAATGTTCATAGATCTGCTTACAAGCAAATCTATGATGAAAAACAGAAACAAACCCAAGGAAACCACCATGAACAGATTTCTGAAAAGAGTGACACCCCCGCAAGAAGATCCTCAGGCAGGTTCTTCAGGAGATTCCAGAAGAAGGCACTGTTATCATAGGAAATGATAGCTCCATGGGTGTTACTGCCCCCTGAAGACTTTCCAGTGGGACATGATGTGAAGGTAGAAGACACTGATATTGATGATCCTGACCCTGTGTAGGCCAAGGCTAATGTGTTTGCATCTTAGTTTTTAATAAAAAAGATTAAAAGGTTAAAAAAAATTAATAGAAAAAAGCTTATAGGGCTGGGTGCAGTGGCTCACACCTGTAATCCCGGCACTTTGGGAGGCTGAGGCAGGTGGACCACTTGAGGTCAGGAGTTCAAGACCAGCCTGGCCAACATGATGAAACCTCGACTCTACTAAAAATACAAAAAACAGCCAGGTGCGGTGGTGCACACCTGTAATCCCAGCTACTTGGGAGGCTGGGACGGGAAAATCACTGGAACCCAGGAGGCAGAAGTTGTAGTGAGCCCAGATCACACCACTCCACTCCAGCCTGGGTGACAGGGCAAGACTCCATAAAAAAAAAAAAAAAAAAAAGCTTATAGAAGATATTAAAAAAGAAAATATTTTTGTACAGCTGTACAATGCATTTGTATTTTAAGCTAAGTGTTATTACAAAAGAGCTGGAGTTTAGAAAGTAAAAAAGTTATAGTAAGATAAGGTTAATTTAATACTGAAGAAAAAATTTAAAAAATAAATTTCTTATAGTCTACAGTAGTGTACAATAATGTCCTAGGCCTTCACATTCACTCACCACTCACTCACCCAGAGCAACTGCCAGTTCTGCAAGCTCCATTCATGGTAAGCCACAAGTGTAAAATGTTATACAGGTTTGTAGCCTAGGAACAATAGGCCAAATAGCCCACATGTATAACAGACTATACCATCTATGTGTGTGTTAGTACAATCTATGTTTGTGTTAGTACTCTCTATGTTTGCACGATCATGAAATCGCCCAATGATGCATTTCTCAGAATGTATCCCCTTTGTTAAGTGATGCACGACTGTATTTTATTCCTGCCTCATTCAACACTCGGTGTGTTTTTTACTTTTGATTATGTATCATCCTTTAAAGTACTGGGCGAAATATTTCACAAAAGTATATACAAAGCACTGCATTAAAAATAAGCACAAAAAACATTTTTGACAGTAAAAATAAGTTGGAAACAAATTATCTTCTTCAAAGGCATAATGTCTCCCAGTCATCCCTTCTGGGCATGAATGCTCACATTAACAAGACAGAGAAACACAGACACACCATACACAGAATCCTTGCATGGAATATTAAAACATAGTCCAAATATTAGAAAACTTTGATTGTGTGTGTACACATAAAACCTTGCTCATAATAGCCTTATTTATTTAGCACAGTTTCAGAAATTTGCGAATTCCAAAGAGGTCCTAACTCAGTGAAACAGCAGATTATCCAATCTATAATGAACAGGTTATTTTAAGTTTTAACCTCACATTTCTTATATGAAAGACTTCTGGTTATAAGAAACTTAGGCAATCTGATAATTTGTTCAATGTAGTGAAAGAACACTTTAAATAGATGAAATTACAACTGAACAACAGTACTATTTTAATATGTTTTCCTCACTGCAAATTTCCCTATAGCAAGCATCAACACTATAGACAACTGGATATCCTTGTTAGCCCTTCACTTCTAACAACTAAAGACTGAGCTGGGTACGTTTTGAAAATACTGGTAATAAAATGAACTAAAAATATGAACTAAAAAGACAATAACTTGTCCTTCATAAATTTAAGTTACATGAAAATACCTGTTTCAAATGTTGTAGAACTTTTCACAAGTCCTTTTCTATAATGATAATTTTCTGCTTTAACAGAACTTCCTTTATATACTTTGGTTTGATAAAACAGCATTAATGATGTAGTTCACATTTGGACTCAGTGAAAAGATCTCCCCAGTGGCCTAGCAATAGCTTGCCTGCACACATTTCAATATAGGCAGCCCTAGGCAAATCATGAAGTAATCATCTCCCCTCACCTCTTATTTTCCACAGCTCTTTTCTCCATTCCAGGGCCTTCCTTCCTATTCTTATCCCCAAGTATTGCAATATTCTCAAATTGCCCTGGTCCTACAAAAAGAAACAAGCTCCCAAATACTGCTGCACAATCCTATTACTTGCCCCTTCTCAAGTTCTCTCATATTCTCTATTTCAAACATTTACCACACTAAATTGTCAAAAGACTACTTTGTCAGAAGAAAAAGGAAAAAAAGAGCTTATCACCTATGATTTACTGAAATTCCCTTTCACTTGCAGAATCAAATACATTACCATCATTCTTTATTCCTTGTATCTCAGGAGAAAGTATGCCCTTCCTCCTCTACAAGGCTACTACCTGTCAATGAATCAACTACTTCCCACCCACTGTGGGACCATGATCCATGGGTTATTCCTCTAAAACTTCAATATTTTTTCATTTGCTATTTCTGCATCTATAAATGTGCTAACATCTTCTCCATCCTTAAATAGTAACTTTTAAAAATCCCTATATGGAACCTCATTTCTCTTTTAAGTCACAGCCTTATCTCTCTCCTTTTCCCCACCACACTTTTCAAAGAGTAGTCTGTATTATGCGTTATCTTTCCAGTTCTCCACCCGTGCCATCTCAGCCACAGCTCTCCTCAAACTTCTTGGAAAAGATCAGGAATGACAACTGACAAACCAGTCACATACTGTCTTCATTCTATTTAAGGACAGACTATCACTGCTGATGCTATCTCTCAGGTTTTCATTCTTTTCTTGAGTGATCTCATTTATTTCTGAGGCTTCATCTAGTTTCTATATGATGATAATTTCCAAGTATTAGTTACAGCACTCACCTTTCTTCAACTGCCTTCTTTACGTTTTTCCCCAGGGAGTCCCAAAGATGGTGCCTTTAATTTACCATTTTGAAAACTACTCACTGACTCTAACCAAGCCTACTGCGACTACAGATTCTACCTCTCATTTATATTACGACATCACCAACTACCCATTCTCTGATGCTTATAATCTCAGAATCATCCAATTTTTTTCTTCTCCCTAACCTCCAGACATCTAATTCTTCTTCAAATCTTTTCATTCTACTTCATAAAAGTCTCAAAGTAATCTTCACCACAATTCCACTCTAAAAATTTCACTGTCTGGTTTAGAGTTTCTAATATTCTCTTGCCTAGACTACTTTAAAAGCCTCTTAACTGGTATACTAATCCCCAATCTCTCCCCACCACAGTCCATGCTTCCTACTATGTCCAGAAATATCCTTGTTAAAGTGTAGTGCTCACACAGGAGAAAGCTAGATATACGGAGAGTCCTTTTTTTCCTTTTTAAACAGAGCTCAAATAAATAGCACTGTTGCCAATTTACTCTCACAATGTAGTAGTCCTGCTTTGAGTAAATTTTTATTCACCCAACCACTAATTAACAAAGCAAGTCAAAACTTCATTATTTTACAAGAAAATATGTAGTATAATGAATCAAAATTGTTTGAAAATGTTTTACACACCTAATAAACATTCATAAATGTGAAATATTATAGAATCACTGAGATATTTTATCAAATGTTCTAATTTGAATCCCAAAACTATGTAATTTTAGAATAAATTTCATTGATAGGGTCTGTTTTCAAAATAATACTTTATATATATACTTACAAAAATACCTAGAATTCATAACAGATCCAATGATAAACTGGTTCTTCAATTCGGTCACAATGGAGGTGACTGAAGAAAAGCCATCTGACTCCCTTGCCCATTCACTGCTATCCCCCTACGCTAAGCCACCATCAATTCTTGCCTGTCTGCTGCAGTAGTCACTTGACCAGTTCCCTTACCTTCACTCTCGTTCTCAACAATATTCTCCCCAGAGTGGCTAGAGCCATCATTTTAAAACACAAAACAGATTTTGTTACTCTCCTGCTAAAACTACCCAAAGGCTTCCCACTGTACTTAGAAAACTAGCCACACTCTTGACCATGGCCGCTTAGCGCCTTCATGATTTGTCACCCACTGTACCTCTCTGCGTTCAACTTCTCCAACTCTTTCCCTTTGTCTGCTTGTCTCCAGTCACACTGGGCTCCTTTCTGTTTTCAAACTAGACCAGTTCATCTCCCATCTCTCATTTCCCATCTTTACCATCTTCTGTTCTCTCTCCTTGAAATGCTCTTCCCAGAGATCCACACACATACCAATATTCTCTTCATTTTGTCACAGTGTAACTATTACCTCCCCAGAAAGTAAACCCAAGCATTCAATCTAAACTACGCTACCACCCTTACATACAGTCTTGTCACTCTCCATCCTTTTAGTTTCATTTTCATCACAGTACTCATCTGAAATTATTTTTTGCTTATGTTTCCCCTCACTAAAAATTCACTCATTGTTCTGTCTCCTCTGGCACTAGGACAGTGCTTGACACACAGTAGACATTCAAATATATATATATTTATATATATTTATATATATTTATATATAGTTAATATATATTTATATATTATATATTATATATTATATATATTATATATTATATATATTAAAAATATATAATATATATTTACATATTTATATATATTTATATATATTATATATTATGTATTTTATATATTTTTTATATATTTATATATATTTTTTATATATATATAAATAGTTGATGTCTCTCAAAGCTATATCACCCAAGCTTCAGATTTGTATTTCCTTGCCTACATCTCCACAGAAAATCTCCCATGGGCACCATAAAAATGAGCATATCCAGAAATTATCATGTTACTTCCTAAATCTGGTCTTCCTCCCGTATTGCCTATCTTAATAGCAACAATGAATAGCTGTTTGATCTCCTTTATTCTATCTAATCTGTCACGAAGAACTTTTGATTTAAATCTTGGCATATTTCTCAAATACTATCCCATTTTCTCTATCTCCACTGTCACTGCCTTAGTTCACTCTCTCATCATCTCTCACCTGAATATCTAAAACCTTCTACAGGCATACCTCATTTTACTGCACTTCATTTTATTGTGCTTCACAGATACTGTTTTTAAAAAAATTGAATGTTTGTGGCAACCCCACATTGATCAAGTCTATTGAAGCCATTTTTCCAACAGCATATGCTCACTTCATGTCTTTGTGTCACATTTTTGTAATTTTCACAATATTTCAAACTTTTTCATTACTATTATGCCAGTTATGATGATCTATGATCAGTAATCTTTTTAAACTTCACAATAAATACACACATTCATGGGGTAGTATTTCGATACATATAATGTATGGTGATAGGGTCAAGGTAATTACCATATCCATCACATCTGTGCTCTTTGATGTTACTACTGTTTACTGTTTTGGGGCACCATGAATCACCCCCATATAAGACAGCTGATAAATGTATGTGTTCTGACTCGTCTACCAACTGGCCATTCCTCGTCTCCCTCTCCTCAGACCTCCTTAATCCCTGAGACATAACGATATTGAAATGAGGCTAATTAATAATTCTACAATAATCTCTAAGAGTTCAAGTGAAAGGAAGAGGAGCAAGTCTCTCACTTTAAATCAAAAGCTAGAAATGATTACATTTAATAAGGAAGGGAAGTTGAAAGCAAAGAGGCTGAAAGGCCTCTTGAGCTAAACAGCCAAGTTGTGAATGCAAAGGAAAAGTTCTTGAGGGAAATTAAAAGTGCCATTCCAGTGAATACAGGAATAAGAAAGCAAAACAGCATTATTGATGATATGGGGAAAGTTTGAGTGGTCTGGAGATCAAACCAGTCACAGCATTCTCTTAAACCAAAGCCTAATCCAGAGTAAGGCCCTAACTCCCTTCAATTCTATGAAGGCTGAGAGAGGTGAAGAGCTACTGGAAAAAAGTCTGAAACTTGCACAGGTTGTTCATGAGGTCTATGGAAAGACGTCATCTCATAACATAAAAGTGTAAGGTGAAGCAGCAAGTGCCAATGTAGAAGCTGCAAGAAGTTACCCAAAAGATCTAGCTAAGATCATTGATGAAGGTGGTGACTATGCTACACAACAGATAGATTTTCAGTGCAGACAAAATAGCCTTTTATTAGCCACATAGGATTTCATAGCTAGTGAAAAGTCAATGCTTGGCCTCAAACCTTGAAAGGACAGTCTGACTCTTTAGTTAGAGGCAAACACAGGTGGTGACTTTTAAGCTGAAGCCAATCCTCATTTACCATTCTGAAAAATCCTGTCCCATAAAAATTATGCTAAATCTACTCTAACTGTGCACTATAAATGGAACAAAACCTTGATGACAGCACTTCGGTTTACAACAAGGTTTACTGAATTTATTAAGTCCACTGTTGAGACATACTGCTCAGAAAAAAAGATTCCTTTCAAAATATTACTGCTCATTGACAACTCACCTTGTCACCCAAGAGCTCTGATAGACATGCACAGCAGATGAATGTTATTTTCATGCCTGCTAATACAACATCTGTTTTGCAGCCCATGGATTAAGGAGTAATTCTGACTTTCAAATCTTATTTAAGAAATACATCTCATAAGACGATAGCTGCCATAGATAGTGATTCCTCTGATGGATGTGGGCAAATTGAAAACCTTTTGGAAAGGATTCACCATTTATGTCATTAAGAACACTTGTGATTCATGGGAGAAGGTCAAAATATCCTTCAAAATGTTGATTCACAGGAGTCTGGAAGAAGCTGAGTCCAACTCTCATCAATGACTTTGAGGGATTCAAGACTTCAGTGGGTAAGTCACTGCAGATGTGGTGGAAAAAGTAAGGGAATGAGAATTAGAAGTGAAGCCTGAAGATGTAGGCTACAATCTCATGATAAAACTTTAACAGAAGAGGAGTTGGTTTTTACAAGTGGGCAAAAAAAGTGGTTTCTTGAGATGGAATCTACTCCTGGTGAAGATGCTGTAAATATTGCTGAAATGACAACAAAGAATTTAGAATATTACATAAGTTTAGCTGGTAAAGTAGCAGGGTTTGAAAGGATTAACTCCAATTTTGAATGAAGTTCTACTATAGATAAAATGTTCTCAAACAGCAGCACATATTACCAATAAATCTTTCATGAAAAAAGAGTCTACCAATGTGGCAAACTTTATATCTGTCTTATTTTAAGAAATTACCACAGCCACTCCAACCTTCAACAACCACCACCCTGATCAGTCAGCAGCCATCAGCATCAAGGTAAGACCCTCCACCAGCAAAAGACTTCAACTCTCTGAAGGCTCTGATGATTACTAGCATTTTTAAGCTTTAAAGTATTTTTAAATCAAGGTATGTACATTTTTTAGTCATAATGCTATTGTATACTTAATAATCTACAGTGTAGTGTAATCATACTTTTACATGCACTGGGAAATAAAAAAATTTGTGTGATTTGCTTCATTGTGATATGTGTTTTATTGTAGCGGTCCAGAACTGAACCCGTGATATCTCTGAGGTATGCCTGTATTTATTTTCCTTACTTCATCTATACCCAATACCAAAGCAGTGTGAGCTTTCCAAAATACAAATATGACCATGTTTCTCCCCTGGCTAAAATCATCCAATAGTTTCCCATCACCTACAGAATCAAAATTCCTTAATACAGCATAAGGGCCTTCACATCCTCCTCTGTTAGCTGGCCAGTCCAAACGTCCCCACTTGCCTCTCCTTACAGGGGCCCTTTTATTCCAACCACTCTGGACCATTTGCCATTCCATAGATTCATTGCTTCATACTGCTGTAAATTCATCTTAATTGTCTCAAATGAAGCCTTCCCTGACCCAACCTAGCAGATTTACAATATACAGCACTTACCACATTATACAGTACAGTTGATTCTCATTATTCTGTGTTTGCGAATTTGCCTACTTGCTAAAATTTACTTTTAATCCAATAATCGATACTTACAGAGCTTTTGTGGTCATTAGTGGATATGCAGAGTGGTGAAAAATTTGAGTCACCCAACATTGCACAGTCCCAGCTGAGGTGGAAGAAAGCAACACTCTGCTTTCTTGTTTCGGCTCTCATACTAAAAACAAGTATCCTTTTCATAGTTTATTTTGTGCCACTTTTTTTTTTGCATTTTTCTGTTGTTTGTGATTTCACAAAATGGTCCCCAATCATAGCACTGAAGTGCTATCTAGTGTTTCTTTATCATGAAAAGGCTCTGGTGTGCTTTACAGAAAAATGTACATATTAGACAAGCTTTGTTCAGGCATAAGATATGGTAAGCTTGGCTATGAGTACAATGTTAATGAATCAATAATATATAATAAAGTATCTTTAAAGAGAAATACAGATAAAAAAGGCTATATATTGACCAGTTGATGAACATACTGTGACTAAAGGCTTGCAGGAACCTAACCCTGCATTTCCCCTAGAAGCAACACGGCTCAGCATTTGATAATTCTGCATTTGCAGAGACTTTATACACCATAACTATCTTGAATAATGAGAACTATTTTAATTTACATGTCTATCTCTAACACAAAATTAGTGGGTTCACTGAGGATATGGCATTTTATTTATTTTTGTACTCTAATTCTTAGTATTACTCCAGACACATCACATTTAATAAATACTCATTGGATGAAATTTTAAAATTCTGGCTTCTCATCATTGTAATGTGATTTGCTTTATATAGCTAGACTTTATGGTAAGAGCCCACGTATGTCAAGCTACACACTGCCCCCTATCTCAGTGAGGCCTTGCTCAACTGCATAATGGTCTGAATGTCATCCTCCATTCCTGACCCTGTCCCTCTTTTACAGCCAAAGACTATGCTTTTTAAATTCAAACTTAAAATGACAGTTAAATGGAAAGGTATTTACATTGATTTTTCCTAAGGTCAGTTGGTCCTAATAGACATAGTATACCTCAAAACTATTAGACACACTTCCAGTTAAAGTGGAAGACTGAACACACATGCCTATGTTCCCTCCCTCCTGAGGTCCCACTGAAATGACAAAACAGGTATGTAATTTTAAAAAAGAATAAAACAGCACTAATACTGGAGGGGAGGTGAGACAAAAATAAAAGAGAAAGAGATTAGCAAACCAGAAGTTTAGGAACTGCTTAGAAGTTAGAAAACAGATAAGAAAGGCTTGCTGGTTTGGCAAAGAAGGTACCCTTGAAAATCTGAAAATAATTCTCTCACAAAACATCTAAAAATGCAAAATAAAATACTGAAAACATCCCCTCAAAAAAAAAAAAAAAGTCCCCAAGAATATCCCTGTGAGCCAATATGAAGGGGAAAAAACAAACTAGTAAGTAGGTACTGAAGTTATGACTGCCCTGGGGTGTTTAGGATTTCAGTAACCAGGAGTTCAGAAGCTGCCATTTAGGCCCTGGCCTGTTCAAGATGAAAAATGCAACTTAGACCTTCCCACATGAAGCTGAGACCTTATAGGACTAACCCCTACTTTGTAAGAGTAGTCTAATAAAAACATGCCTGTTGGCCAAGGAAGACAATAAGGAAGTTGGCCTGTCTCAGATTGGACTCCATATTAGCAGAAAAAAATATCACCTGAGAATTAGTAATCACAGCCTACTCTCAAGGATTCAGGGTTCCAAATATACCTACCTGCCTAGTTCAGAACACCCCAAGCAGAGAAACTACGAAGTGGTCTTGGGTCAGTGGCTTCCACAGGTGCCAAAGAAAAGCCTTGGCAAACCTTGGAAAGAATGTGTCCTCTAACTGGGCTGCACAGAATTTCCTCCAATAAAACCCAGCGAAGCAAGAGCACACAATTCAAAAATCATCAAACAGTAACAAAAAGACAGGTAGCTGAAAACACAAGAAAGTAAGACTATCAGGAAAGAAAGCAGGTAAGATTGAAAAATCTTATCATCTAAGACTTTAGAAGTAAGCACAGTTCCTCCCAAGTGGACTTTCTCTGGGCCTCCCTCAAGAAGTCTGTGCGCACTTAAATATTCTTTTATACTAGAGTCAATACTTACTGTGTGAAATTGAAAACATAAACATATGCTTTCTAAGATGTATGTTTTTTAAAATTAGCATACCACCTCTCCCCAGTGAGCATTTGGAAATGTACTAGGCCATTTTTGATTGTCTCAGTAACTGTGGTAGAAAACCAAATATTAAGGGACACTAAACACTGAGTAGTGTTCAGGTCAGGACAATCCTGCATTGCAAAGTATAGTACTGCCAAAAATGCCAGTCATGAATTGAGAACCACTTTACTAATATAACTAAATCTGAAACTACTAACCATGATTAACTCTATGAAGTAAGAGTAGGGATAGAAACCTTTAACTTTCATGGTACATTCATTCTTCCATGCTGATTTTAACTTTGCATGTCATGTAGCATTAATAATTTTAAAAGCTTAATTAAAAATAAATTGATCATAAATAAGTAATGGGATGAGAGAACTATGTTACTCATTAACCAACATAAATTCCTCCCTCCAGGTACACTAGCTTGTTCAGAGCATTAACAATACAGAAATGCATTTGACTGCCCTGAAATTTCTACACTCAGAAAAGTAGTCTCTTCACACACTTAAATATTTCTTAGGTAAAATATCTCCAGAATTAAAACAGGCTTACTTACTAATGCTGGTTGTGTGCACATACATGAGGTACCTGAAACTTCTTTCGAGAAGCAGCAGCTGCAACAGTAATGCTTTCCATGGCTGACAAAAAGCCCAAGAAAGGAGTCAAGACCCAAAAAAATAACCATATAGAGTTGCAGTGGTGGGGTGGAATGGTTCAGTGGTACAGCTCCAGAGTATATCACTTAGCAAACTAATGAGAGCCTATTGTTAACAACTGATCTATCAATGAGGCAACTTGGTTTTGGATGTGATGGGAGGCCAATTAATGAAACACCTGTACAGGTGAAAATGGAAGATGAAGATATAATTGATGTGTATACAAAGCAGACAGGAAGTATCTACTAAAAGAAGATCTGCACTTACTTGAGAACTTTGCCTCCCAAATTTTCCAAACACACACACACACACAAAATTTGGATCTACAAATCATATCCTGACCACTACAGTAAAGAAATACTTTTGCTTTCCATCTCTTTTTATTGTACAGTGTAGTTGTTATACATAGGCAGACTGGAATTATATTTTATATTAAATGGCCAATATGTTTACATCAACATCAAATGGAGGTGGGATAAGGACAAAATAAACTGTTTTTCTAAAAACACACCCCTTTCTCAATTATGATACATTCATTCAACTTTTATCTTCATATTATGATGAATTATTTTGCTCTGCTTAACCAAAACAATAAAGCCAAATAGAAGTTCTTGCAAACCTTGTTTCATTCTAGAATTTCAGTGTTTTCCATTTAGTGCTATAAACCATTATAAAGTCTTTTTGTATGTAGCTGTTATACGTATGGCAATCTTTATCTGTAAGCAAGAATAAAATCATTCTAAAAGAACTCCAAGATAGTTTTTCCCTTAAGGGTCTTGTTGTTCAAACTTTTTATATACTAAAAAATCAGAAGAGGTTCAAACAGTATATGAAAAAAATCTGGACTCAAGAACTAGCTCAACCCAGACCTGGGACTTGAAGCACATGAAAATGCTGTAAAAGAGAATACCTAAATACATCATCAGAGGCCCTCAATTATTTAAAAATAGAGTGATGCCTCAAGAGATAAACTGGTAAAACAGAAAAATAAACTTAGCAGAAAAAAGCAACCCTAAATGAAGATGGGTAGAAATATTTAGAAATATTTGTCTAATTGAAATGTCTAAGATATACCCTTAAGATAAGAACACAATGAAACAAAGAGTAAGAATCTATATGGTATTGTAAGCTGTTGGTAGGATGATATCTGGTCAAGCCTAGAAGAAAAGGAAGTAAAAAAAATTGACCTATGTCTCCAAACATGTCCAGGGAAGAACCTGCCTACTCTACATTCCAGGGTTTTTCAATCTTCGCACTGCTGTCAGTTGGCGCCAGATAATTCTTTGTTGTGGGGTCTGTCCCAATGAATTGCTTAGTAACAACCCTGGCCTCTACCCACTAGATGTCAGTAGCACCCCACCCCAGGTGTGACAACCAAAGATGGCTTCAAATATTACCAAATGTCCCTTAGGGGGCAAAACTGCACCCTTAGAGAATCACTGGTGTATTCTAAATAACAAATAGATCAAACTGTATTAGCTCGGTGCTATTTCTGGCATCAGAATCACTCCACTTTTCTTGCTCACCTACTAAATGTTTCATAATATTCTGGCTTTCTAGAGACAGTATGGTCATGGTTGTAAGATGTATTTGCTATAGTGTTCTTTTATGAAATTGAAAAGAAGATGTCAGAGAGGAAGACTCAGACAAAAGTAAAGTGAAACTTTCTGATAAGAATCAAGCCACGTACTTTCCACACTTCCCCACAAAACTTAGCATGGTGGCTCATGCCTGTAATCCCAGCACTATGGGAGGCCAAGAAGGGAGGATGGCTTGAGACCAGGAGTTCTGAGACCAGGCTGGGCAACACAGTGAGACCTGGACTCTAAAAACATTAAAAAAAAAAAAAAAAAATTAGCTGGGCATAGTGGTGTGGACCTGTAGTCTCACCTACTTGGGAGGATCACTAGAGCCCAGAAATTTAAGGTTGCAGTGAGCTACAATCAGGCCACTGTACTCGACTGGGTGACAGAGGGATATGCTGTCTAAAAAAATTTTTTAAATTAAAAATAACATATTCCTTACTATTAGTATCTTTATTTTCTCAGTTCCTCTAATTTAATAATAATAATTTAATAATTTAAAAGTTCCTCTGCTCTTTCCCCTCCCCTATATGACAGTACCCACACTCATCCATCGTCATTCCAGTTAACGTCCTTCGTCCTTCCAATGTTTTTAACAGTATATAATGCAGGGATAAATGACAAATTAATAGCGAAGTAGGTAGTCTCTAAAGAACTTTTCCATCCTTTAGTATTAACTTAGTCAAATATGAGAACAACTTGCTCAAATCTAGGGGCCATAACAACTTATTTAAAAATAAAAATAACCAAAAAACAAAAAACAAAAAAAAAATCCTTTAAACAAGACCAGGGTTTATTTTGGGGAAAATACTAGAATTTGGGGGGCAGGGCGGGCGGGGAATTTCCAAACTCTGAAAATCCAGAGACTGCCTTTGCCTCGGAATTCCTTGAAAACCTCAAGACGCCCTATGTCATTTGGTTTGTCATGGTGAATTTGCAATGTCCTTATATTTATCTTTTACTCTCCCTTCCCTCTGCCACCACTGTCTTTCAGGCTCTCCTTAATTCACTTTTAAATTATTACCACAAGCCTCTTCTACCATTCTCTTCTTCACTGTAATCTACTAGGCGTAAGACTATCACACCAATCATGTTAAAAAATCATTTTAATGACCAGATTGCATTAGAAAAACATGATTTTCTATCATCTGGGTATGTTTAAATTTCTCTTCTTAATATCTAGCTTTCCATCTATTCAACCTAATGCACTCTTATTCCTTAATATAAACTCTCTGTTCTAACCACATTGATCATTTTACTTCCTATATGCACAACCACATATCTAATTCTCACCTAAATGCCTTCACTCTTGTTACTCATCCCATCTAAGGACTACTTTTTTTCCTTGGTTATTCCATACTTACCCAGCTTATGACCTATTTCTTGCTTACGCAGAATCAAAATTTTAGAGCTAAAATGAGTCCCTGAACTCATCTCAAAATTAACTCAATCAAGTAGCAAATAAGTAGCAAGTCTCTCCCCACAGGTGAACATTTCTTCTTCTGAATTCTCTCAGAACTTACAGTCTGCCACACATGATAAAATAAAGCAGTATTTTATTTTATGGCTAAATAAAATATATGGCTAAATAAAATTAAATATGGCTAAACTTTGTTTTCCCCTAACATCTTCAATTAAAAAAAAAAATAGCAAAGCCTATGTTCATGGATGATGCCTGACTGGGGGAATACAAAGAAACTGCTTCTTCCCTCAAATAAACTATATAATCTTTTTATTTGTGTAATACCAGTATATACATATATAAACAGACTTGCTTTCAGTGAAAATTTCCCTGGAGAGTAACAAATTCTAAGTTGCTCTTTTTGGAGATAATTTGCAAAAGAGGGAACTCCAAGTTTGGATGATAAAAGAGAAGGGAACTAGATAGATGGCAGAGTAGGAGTAGAAGATATTAGTGGTGCACACTCTTAGAAGAGATAACAGAGGCAGGTGGCGGGCGCCTGGAGTCCCAGCTACTTGGGAGGCTGAGGCAGGAGAATGGCATGAACCCAGGAGGCGGAGCTTGTAGTGAGCCGAGATCTCGGCACTGCAGTCCAGCCTGGGAAACAGTGTGAGACTCCGTCTCAAAAAAATAAATAAATAAATAAATGTGCAGTCTTCAATCTAGAATTGCAGTGTGTTGGAAAGGAGGGGATGGAGATGAGAATAAGGACAGACAGAGCCAAGTCAGTGTTCCATTCTGATGAGTACTGGCATGAAATTATCAAGGGTGGAAACAAACTATAAATACCGACTTGGCTATATAGCAAGCTGAGCGAGTTAAATAAAGGTTACTAAAAGCATTTTTTTTTAATCTCAAACATCCAAGTTATGCTATCTCTAGGACAGAAGTTGGAATCAATAACTTTTAAGTGAACATAAGAAAGGATCTGAATATACCTAGGAATCCAACTTACAAGGGATGTGAAGGACCTCTTCAAGGAGAACTACAAACCACTGCTCAACGAAATAAAAGAGGATACAAACAAATGCAAGAACATTCCACGCTCATAGGTAGGAAGAATCAATATCGTCAAAATGGCCATACTGCCCAAGGTAATTTACAGATTCAATGCCATCCCCATCAAGCTACCAATGACTTTCTTCACAGAATTGGAAAAAACTACTTTAAAGTTCATATGGAACCAAAAAAGAGCCCACATTGCCAAGGTAATCCTAAGCCAAAAGAACAAAGCTGGAGGCATCACACTACCTGACTTCAAACTATACTACAAGGCTACAGTAACCAAAACAGCATGGGACTGGTACCAAAACAGAGATATAGATCAATGGAACAGAACAGAGCCCTCAGAAATAATGCCACATATCTACAACTATCTGATCTTTGACAAACCTGAGAAAAACAAGCAATGGGGAAAGGATTCCCTATTTAATAAATGGTGCTGGGACCACTGGCTAGCCATACGTAGAAAGCTGAAACTGGATCCCTTCCTTACACCTTATACAAAAATTAATTCAAGATGGATTAAAGACTTAAACGTTAGACCTAAAACTATAAAAACCCCAGAAGAAAACCTAGGCATTACCATTCAGGACATAGGCATGGGCAAGCACTTCATGTCTAAAACACCAAAAGCAATGGCAACAAAAGACAAAATTGACAAATGGGATCTAATTAAACTAAAGAGCTTCTGCACAGCAAAATAAACTACCATCAGAGTGAACAGGCAACCTACAAAATGGGAGAAAATTTTCCCAACCTACTCATCTGACAAAGGGCTAATATCCAGAATCTACAATGAACTCAAACAAATTTACAAGAAAAAAACAAACAACCCCATCAAAAAGTGGGCGAAGGACATGAACAGACACTTCTCAAAAGAAGACATTTATGCAGCCAAAAAACACATGAAAAAATGCTCATCATCACTGGCCATCAGAGAAAGGCAAATCAAAACCACAATGAGATACCATCTCACACCAGTTAGAATGGCAATCATTAAAAAGTCAGGAAACAACAGGTGCTGGAGAGGATGTGGAGAAATAGGAACACTTTTACACTGTTGGTGGGACTGTAAACTAGTTCAACCATTGTGGAAGTCAGTGTGGCGATTCCTCAGGGATCTAGAACTAGAAATACCATTTGACCCAGCCATCCCATTACTGGGTATATACCCAAAGGACTATAAATCATGCTGCTATAAAGACACATGCACACGTATGTTTATTGCGGCATTATTCATAATAGCAAAGACTTGGAACCAACCCAAATGTCCAACAATGATAGACTGGATTAAGAAAATGTGGCACATATACACCATGGAATACTATGCAGCCATAAAAAATGATGAGTTCATGTCCTTTGTAGGGACATGGATGAAATTGGAAATCATCATTCTCAGTAAACTATCGTGAGAACAAAAAACCAAACACCGCATATTCTCACTCATAGGTGGGAACTGAACAATGAGATCACATGGACACAGGAAGGGGAATATCACACTCTGGGGACTGTGGTGGGGTCGGGGGAGAGGGGAGGGATAGCATTGGGAGATATACCTAATGCTAGATGACAAGTTAGTGGGTGCAGCACACCAGCATGGCACATGTATACATATGTAACTAACCTGCACAATGTGCACATGTACCCTAAAACTTAAAGTATAATAAAAAAAAAAATTAAATAAATATTTAGCATGGGAAAAAAAAAAAAAGAAAGGATCTGAATAAGATATCCTCAAAAATGCCTCCTAGGATTTATAACCACTTTATTTGGGGGCAGGGGACCTTATTGAAAGTCGTGAAAAGTTTCTTTCAAGAAAGTAATGGTGAATGGAAACTAATTGTATAGTATCTGGTATTTCCAAATTGAATAGCATAAAATGATAATCTAACATTTTAATTGGGTGAATAGTAAAACTTTATAAAGATCATTAAATTCCTTCACGGAAAATTTCTCTACCTAGTTGTTTTCAAGAGCTTAATGCTAAGGATTGGTTGGTGATGGCAAACTGAGACTACTTTGTCTCACAAGATAGTCCAACCTTTTAAAAATAGGGCTTACATTTTTTTTTACTGACCTCCATTCCAAAAGATTACTAGCTAAAAAATAAAAAACATTTAAATTGATTTGTATAAAAATATGAATGATTTCCAGGCACGGTGGCTCACGCTTGTAATCCCAGCACTTTGGGAGGCCAAGGCAGGCAGATCACGAGGTCAGGAGTTCAGGACCATCCTGGCCAACATGGTGAAACCCTCTCTACTAAAAATACAAAAATTAGCTGGGCGTGGTGGCACACATCTGTAATCCCAGCCACTCAGGAAGCTGAGGCAGGAGAATCACTTGAATCCGGGAGGCAGAGGTTGCAGTGAGCCGAGATCACGCCACTGCACTCTAGCAGCCTGGGTGACAGAGCAAGACTCTGTCTCAAAAAAAAAAAAAAAAAAAAAAAAAAGCATGACTATCATTTCAAAAATAAGCAACTTTAATAAATTAAACTTCTTTACTCAATTATCTGAGTTTCTTATATCAAAGCTCTTTATAAGAAACCCAATTATTGGAGTTTCTTATACCTTCTAGCTCCTTATACAAGGATAGAAGATAGAAGGATATTAAAAGAGGAATAAAAAAAGCAAATAATTTTTTATTTATGTAACTAAAGTTAGGTTTTCCATATAACATTTTATTATGTGCATATAGACATACATATTCTAGTAAATAAAAAGAAGACAAATCCACTCAAAGATAGCCACATTCAAACTTCAAATAATATTTATTACAGTTAATGAAAAAAAAATCAATGTTTCTTTTAGAAAAGTAACGCAAGCACTAAGCTGGTAATACCAATAAAGTATTTATAGTAATATTCTATAGATTATTTATAAACTCTGCCATTACAGAACTAAAACAAAATGTTCTGAAACATTCAAGAATTTGTAAACAACTGACATTAGCCCTCACCATATCACCAGATTGGATGCTGTTCAAATGAGCTGCGACTAGAATTAGTATTCCCAATTCCTTAGCAAGCCATTATTACAAAATAGGATTTCATTTTCTTTATATGCATCATATGCTGTATTTGATACAAGATGATGGGAGTTATATTCTTTATATGAAAATCAGTTGATGCTTTGGGAAGACCCCAAAAAAGCAAGTGACAAAACAACAAAACAAAATGATAAACTGCTGTAAAATTAAGGGTAAAACAAGTATAAACAATTGAGGAGTCATAAAACATTAGAAATCTAGATCTTATATGCAGACTGCTTCACAAACTTTTAAGTTCTCACTCCAAAGCTGGTAATCAGTGATAATGCATTGGCTTATATAAGAATGATGACCCAGAGTTCCTGGCAAAAGACACATACTTAAAGAAAAGACTGACACATGAATGTAGATTTTTAAGTAATATATTATTTAAGATATGTGTCAATCGTTTATGACTCTTCACTTAAATCACTTTCAGTCAGCCAAAACTACCACCCGTTCTGATCAAATCAGATTAAAGGCTTTTACTCGTAATAGAGGCATCAAAATTTTTTCTGGATACCCCAAAAAAGCTATTGGCAATAGTTGCCTTTAGAATAACGTTTCTCGGCTTCATCACTACTGACATTTTGGGCTGGATGACTCCTTGTTGAGGGGGGCTGCCCTGTGCACTGTTTGCAGCATCCCTGACCTATACCTTATACATAGTAGTAGCAACACCTTCCCAGTTGTGACAGCCAAATATTCCTGGAGATTGTTCAGCAAAATCATCCCTGATTGAGAAATACTGACTTAGAAAGTGATGAAGATGGGACAAAAAGACTTATCAACTCCTCCTCCCTTTTCTGAACTATTTAAATTACCATTATGGTAGGCTGAATAATAGTCTCCCCCTCCACAAGATATCTATGTCTTAATTCCTGACACCTATGAATGTCACCGCATTTGGAAAGTTTCACAGGTGTGATTAAAGATCTTGTGATGGGGAGGTTATTCCAGAGAGCACTAAATGCCTTCACAAGTGTCCTTCACAGAGGGAGATTTCCCTTTCTCTCTGACACACACACACACACACACACACACACACACACACACACACACACGTGGGGAAATGAAAGACACAGAGCTGAAAGATTTCAAATGCCAGCCTTGAAGACTGCAGTGTGTAGCCGCAAGCCAAGGAATGCCAGAAGCCACCAGAAACTGGAAAAGGCAACAAGTAAGTTCTCCCTTAGATTCTTTGGAGGAAAAATGTCCCTGTTGACACCTTGATTTTGGCCCAATTATACTGATTTCAAATGTCTGGCCTTCAGAATCGTAAGAGAATACATTTATTTATAAGCCACTAAGTCTGTGGCAATTTGTCACAGCAGTCACAGAAAACTAATACAATCATAAAAAGATTTTAGTGACTTAAAAAACATAATTTTAAAATCTGCAACAAGCAGATGAGATAATGTGTGGAGAGCATTTAACATAGACCTTGAAACATGGTGGTATCTATAATATTATCAAATGTTTACATCAGCATTAACTATGACTAAACGCCAACCTCTTGATAGCAAGAAGAAAAAACAAGGAAGCTCAACTAGTAAAACTGGGTATATTTGTTCAAGGCTCATGTGAACGAAAACACATAAATCATCTACTCATGTGATGAGTGTACTTGCCAGTTGTATAAGCACTGTGTTATAATTTGTTCTGTACTGAAAAGATAAATTATGGATGAGGCCACCTAATGATGGCTTCCTTGGAGAACCATGCCTGAATATTCATTAGTAGAAAAGAAACAAGAAGGCAGAGGAGGGAAGAGTATGCAAGAGAGTAAAGCAATGGGGATCAATGAGGTATGTGCAGAAGTATTGACCTGGTGAGAGACCAAGTTCCAGCATTAGAGTTACCTAAATTATATACAACCTCAAAAGCTTTGTTGAATGATTTCATTATTAAAATGGAATATTCCACAGGATGTATTATTTTACACTCAAATGGTGGCTCCTGGGGATTTTAACAATATAAACATGCTCCTGCCCCATACCAGACCTACTAAATTAGAATCCTTTAGCGTAGGATAGCTCCAAAGGATTCTGATGCCCACTTAGGTAAAGAATCCCTGCCAGAGTCACTTCATGGTAAAAATGACCTACAGAACAAAATATAAAGTATTTATCCTTGAAATATGCATTTAAGTAAATCAGCTTAGTATTTTCCTAAGTTAAAACTTCTCCCAACATGTACCCCTCTGAGTTCCACCACAGAATTTCTCTAAACGAATCCCTCACCTTTCACTTTTCCTTTCCTAAGCATATGGCCCCCAGTCTGCTCAGAGAATCATTTTCCCCACACTTTCTCATACATTTTTCTTTAAAAGTCCCACATATCTCCAGCTGCCCTATTCTATCTTTTAAAAATATTAATCCTACCCAACTAATATCTAATAATATCCTACAGAACAAAGCAACTATGAAAAAGTTCCATTAATATGCTATACAATAAACCAAGATTTATAAAAAATTGCTCTATTGCCTATTCTAATAAATATTCTAAGTAGATTTATCAAATGAAATTGAAAATCACTTTTTATAAAAGATTTCTTCCAAAAACATAAGAATTATGAACTGGGTCTATAAAAAGGTGATAAGCTAAGCTCCTTCAATTAAATCTTTACTTAGTGCTACTAAGTAGGTAACAAAGTGCTGGGCTGTGTGAAGGATACAAAGTATCGGAAAATCTCGGTGATTTATAAACAACTTTACCAGTACTGGGGTAGAAGAAAGGGGAATGGAGAAGATGGAAAGGGGTAACTAAATACCACTCAAAAGGTATCTCTTTTTGGGGGAGGAAGCCTGCTGTTTCAGTTTGTTTATGACTTTAGCCAAAAACAAAGCAATGCAAGTTAGTGTTCAAATAAGTTGTGCATTAACTTTTTACCCTTTCACAAACATCTGTATCAATTAAGGCATATTTCCAGCCTTTTCTATTTACCTTAATGCTCTTCAGAAATTTCAACCACATCAGATTTTGATTTGTGTTTCCACCAACAATGTGAAAGCCCCTGTTAACTAATAGCCTCTTCAAAAGTATTATCAAACATTTTCCATCTGTCAGTAGGTGAAACAGTATCTCATAGTTTTTATTTATAATATTTGTATTATGTGTGAGGTTGAATACCTTTACAGATGCTTACAAAACACTTGCATTTCCTTTTCTGAGAATTACTCTGTTCATGATCTTTGCCCACTTGATGGTTGGTCTTTTCCTAATTGGTTAGTAGGTACTTTATATAAAGGAAGTTAGACTCTTATTTATCATACAAATTGCAAATATTTCTACCAGTTCCTCCATTATCATGCTATTTTTATTTTACTTCCTTTTTGTATATATTTTATCTTCCTCAATCAAACTGCAAATCATGCCCATGAAAGATATCACATTTCTTTTCTATATCTCCAGGAAGAGTGCTTTTCAGATACTTCAGATTTCAAGATCAAATTTAAAAAGAGGAGAGACGAGTGTTTTGCAGCAGATGAATAAGTATGAACATTAATTATCACAGGGGCACCTACTTGGATTGTCTGTTTAATCCCATTACATGTGGTTACAGCAAGTACAACCAAGTTCTAATAATGAGATATAGTTTATTGAACAGGGAAGAACTAGATGAACCTTTCTCCAGTTTCCCAGGCTGGTATCATGAAAACTCAGAAGCTACTGGTGGCCATATTTTCCACTAAGAGGACTAGAAGTGGTCCTCTGCAGCAAGAGAAGGAATGAAGCAAACGCACAGAGAAGAAGAGAGAAACGATATGATGTGCCCTGCAGGCACTGGAGTCCCAGTCCTTGCATTCCACTGGACATTGGCTGCATTTGAACGATAAATTCCCTTTATAACAACTAGAATGGATTTCTATTACTTATGGCCAAAAGAGGCCTGTTTACCATACTACTATCATTTTATAAAGGAGCATTTGAACACCGAAACCTCAGAAAGAACATGACCTCAGATTTTTTAAAAGGATGATTTATTTAATGACAGCTATGTGCCAGGAACAGGTCTAAGTCCTTGAAATATAGTGTTAATCAAAAGAGACAAGATCAGCAGGGTGTGGTGGTTCATGCTTATGATCCCAGTGCTTTGAGGCACTGAGGCGAGAGAATCCCTTGAGATCAGGAGTTTGAGAGCAGCCTGGGCAACACACACAGCAAGACTCCATTTCTACAGAATTTTTTTTTTTTAATTAGCTCGGCATGGTAGTTGTTGCCTATAGTCCTAGCTACCAGGAGGCTGAGGTGGGAGGATCACTTGAGCCTAGGAGTTCCAGGCTGCAGTGAGCCGTGATCACACACACCACTGCACTCCAGCCTGGGGTGACCGAGTGAGATTCTATCTCAAAAACAAAAACAAAAAGAGACAAGATCATTGATATCACGGGGCTTATATTCTAGTGAGTATGGAGATTATAAAATAATATAAAAACATAATTTCAGATACTGATAAATGGTTTGAAGAAATTTTTAAGTAAAAAAGGTAATGGGATTGAGGGGGATGAGGCTAGTGTCATTCTGGAAGGATGGTTAGGTAGCAATGCTTGTCTGAAAAGATGATATTTGAACTACAACATGAAATGATGAAAAGTAGTCACTCATGTAATGATTTAGGAAGAGTTCCCAACAGAGTGAACATAGTGCAAAAGCCCTAAGTTAGGAGCAAGCCATGGCATTGATGAGGAACAAAATGAAGGGCAATGTAGATGAAATATAGCAAAAAGTGGAGGAAGAGGGTAAAGAAATGATAGATTTAAGAGGAAAAGATGTAAATTGGTGAAGGAGGGATTAAATCATGTACAAAACTAGCAAGCAGTAGAAAGGATCTGAAAATAACTTGAGCTTTATGAAATATTCATTATATTGTCTTTAATTCTCATTTTGCCTTGTATCAGTGATAACTCTGACAGATAGGCTTTTAGAAACTTCCATTCCCAAGTACTTAACACAATCCTAAAGTTAGCCAGAGATGAATATATTCCTAAGCAGAAAGTATCTCTTCTAGTACACTATATTAAAAAAAAAAAAAAAGGAAAAAAGGAAAAAAGAATTTTCGGATGAAAGCAAAGTCATCTTAAAGGAAAGAAGGAAAATAACCTAGGATGAAGGAAAAATAGAAACTAATTTTGTTCTGTTCATTACTCTGTGAATATACTTACTATGATAAAGATTATAGAAAGGTCTTTGAATTAGTCTATCATAATTAAGGAAGGTCATAAAACTTAAGTTCTTTCTAAACTACTATAAACGTAGCAGCCTCTGTTTACTGAGTTCATTATTATTGAATTGGACATTAACAAGGTTAAATACTGTCAGAAAAGAAAAAGTAGAAACCAGGCTTTTGACTTTATTACACCTGGTAATAATGGTCACAGCTTAATGGTTAACAAAGTTGTGGGCTTTAATCTTATCTATATGACTATGATAAAGGAAGAACTTCCCCTCTGCGGTGAAATGAACACTAAAATTAGCTACATGGGATGCTTCAATATCTTCTCCTCCAAAAGCTTTTTATAAGAGGAGACCAATTTGTTTAAAGGGTTTGGATATAGATACACTTCACAGAAGAGTGATGATCTTTCCAGATCCTTCCAGACAACTAATATCTGTGTACTCTAAGCAAGCAATTAAACCTACACTGCTTCTAAGATTAATGCAAGTAAAGTCGGATCTTTGAAAGCTATAATGTATTCAGGAATCTTATCTTTCATTATGTTAGAGGCATACTTAGACCACTTAACAGTAGACTGTTAATAACACAGTCTATAAAGAATGATACTTTGTAAGCATGCTGTGAGTTAAAGAAAGAAAAGTCATTAAACACCTTGATTGAGACTTGCTTCAGAGTGCATCCTCCTCAGCACACTACCCAGCAGTTTGACAAAGTGCCCAGGATTAGCAGCCAATGTATGTAAAGAAGGAATATGGTCAAGCCCAATTGTAAAGTCTCCCCCCAGTGGTCAGATACAAGTAACAGAAAAGGAGGAAAATCATTGCAGCTTCTGTGAGACTGAACAGGAAGACTAAACAAAACTGGTCCCTACAACAAAAAAATAAAATCTTTAATTCAATACTAGCACCATATCAGGAAAGAGATCTCTTGTGCTTATCTGCTCTTATATTTATAAATGTGAAGACTACTTTTCTAAAGAACCTACAGTTAAAACAAAACTAGCATAATTTTTCTCCGCCTAAGTTTTAAGGAATAACTGACATATTCCCAAACAGTTCAGTATTTATCAAATGGGTAAGTGTTCATTCTTCCTGAAATAAACATCAGCACATCACTTACATGGTTAACTATACTTACCTGAAGTAGAGTTCTGATTTAAAAAAAAAAAATCTAGTCACTCATCAAGTGAATCACTCTGGAAGGAAAAATTATTAACTATTATATACCTAATGTGAATTTTACAAGATACTCTTTTTCAAAAGTCACCTAGCAATAGGTAATTTATATTAGAGTGATGTCAAAAGTATAAATGCGTCCTCTTACCTCTTTTAATTTTATTTTCTGGCTGTTTTTTTACAATTAGCCTTTGACTAGCACTAATCCTGTATTATTTGTAACTCTCTCAGCAATAATATGATGCTACTCCATTTTTACAAAGCTCAGATGTCAAAAATATGAAAGACATTTAATTAAAATATCTGTTTTATTCTGCTAATCCATTATTAAGTAGTAAAGCATGTAAAGGGATAGTAAATATTCAAACAAGCAACTTCAATTTTAAAACAACTTTTTAAAAAGATAACACATAGAGTCACAGTTATGTCTTCTTGGTTATCTCAAGCTAAAAAGAGGGGGAGTGGGGAGAGAAAGAGAGAAGCAGGCTATGTAGTGCTCTGGAACAATTTCAGCCTAAAATGAGACTCAGAAGCAAACTGCTCCCTCAAATGTTTAAAAATATGATTCATTTTTAAAAATCCAACAGTTGGCCTAAAGAAAAAAAAAGATTCTGTCTTATATAGAGCTACTAGACTTGCTTAAACACCTTAATTTTTCCAGTGTTGATTTAACCTAGAATGCAAAATAATTCATTTTGACATTCCAGATGTCAAGAATTCGGTGGCATCAGTAAGGACACATACACACCTCTTTCATAAAGATGGTGTGCAGTCTCCATAGGACAAAATTGAGCAATTAAAAGTGTTACCATTTGTGTATTATGTAACCGTAGTCCAGAATGAAGGAAACATGGACCTTAAAGAGTAACACATCGTGCAAACACGCATTTAAACACCTATTTAAATATATGATAGATTTAAGGTACAAATGACCTCAAAATGACACAACCCACAAAAGTTCTTTGTTTACTGTTAACAAGGCCTCAGAAGACATAACTATAATCAGGCCTACTACCCACTACCCTATCATTGCACAGTAGATGCCTACAATAAGCAATATTACTTGAGGTCCGTTGCTATACCTATATACGGAAACTATATACCGCATTACTAAAAATGTTACTTCGCCTGGTATATTCGACCAACATAAGTTTACAAATGATTTGCAAAATTTCACGGGAAGAAATGGCTGCTAAATCATACTCCAATTGAAACGCATTTTAACGCACCCCAAACGTTCTCAGCTACACTACAAGACCACTTGTAATATACTTGAAGCACAAAGTAAAATTCCAACACTCTCCAAAGGCGTAGGAAAGAATAAAACGTGGCTAGCCTGACCTTACCCGGCTGTTTATAAGTAATGCGGAGAATTTTCTGAGCTTCCCCGGCAGTCTTCAATTCTCTCCCTCGCTTCACCCCCACCCCCTACACAGATGCACACCCAACTGATGGAAGTTTAACAAATGTAATCTCGAGCTGCAATCCCAGAAACTGGTAGGATTGAGAATAAACTCCCAGTAAAGTGTTAAAAAGTCCTTCTGCAAAAAAACATCTACCAACCAATCCACATCCTGTCACCACACGGTCGGATACCTCAATCGACTCCCCTGCTGACCCTCCACCCAGCCAAAATAAAAAAGCCCCAGCACCTATTTGGTTTCAGACAAACGTACCGAGAATCCGCGAGCACGATCTCAGCAGCGAACGCCCCCGCGGCAGCCTGTGCTCGGCCCACAGCCACTTTGGCCAAACAACTGGAGTCTCGTACCTCGGAAGTAGCGGCGGTAGTTGGAGAAAGCCTCCTCCCCTACCAACTCCGAGCTCGGGAGAGAACCGGGAGCCGGCGGAATCACCCCCTCTCGGGACAGACCCCGGAGGTGTCAGTCACAGCAACGCCGCCCCCAGGCCGGCTCTCCATTCAGGCTCCACCGCGACTCCCGCCGCAGAGGTGTAGGCACCCAAGCCCCGCGCCCGAAGGGGCCCCGCGCGTCTGCGGCCCTAGCCCCAGTCGGGGCCGCGCCGGGGAGCGCGTGGGGAGCGGCGGCAAGCAGCATGGGCCAGACACGTTGCCGAGCTCCGGCCCGCCCAGCCGCCCGCAGCCAGAGAGGCAGGAGCCCGGCCGAGCGCCCCTTCCGCGCGGGCCGGGCTGGGGGCGGCCAGCAGCCTCCCCGACCGCGGCGCCGCCGCCGCCGCCTGCCGGTCCCTCTTCCCCGCGCCCGCCGAAGCCCAGGTGCCGAGGGGGGCGGGGCGGGCCAGGGTCCCCGCGTGGCGCGCCGCGCCGAGCAACAGGGCGCCCCCGGCCGGCCCGGCGCGCGGCGCGACCGTTACCCGAGCGGCGTGGGGGTCCAGTTAACTCACCGGCTCGCACCTCAGCCGCCTCCGCGCCGCCGCTGCCGCCGCTCCCGGTCGCTCCCCGCCGCCGCTGCTCTCCCTCAGCCACAGGCGCCGCCGAGCAGCCCCATCTGCAAACTCGTGGCTCGTAGTTGAGAACTGGAAATGCGTCTCTCACTGCCCTCCGCCTCCCTCTCTCTCCTCCCCCTCCCTCGCTCCCCACTCTGCCCCAGCTCCGGTCGCCCCCGCCGCTGCCTCCGCGCGCGCAGCCAGCCGCGCCTCAGCCGCCCTCCTCCTCCTCCTCCTCCTCCTCCTCCTCCTCCAGCCGCCGCCGCCGCCGCCGCTTGGGCGCGCTCCCAGCCGGCCTCGCGCGTGCGCCGGACGTCGGGGAGCGCGCGCTCGGGCGCGAGGAGGTGCCACCGCCTCCGGAAAGCCGGGCCCCGCCCCTCCCGCCGCGGCTGGGCGCCCAGGTGGAGCCCCCTCCCAGCTTCTGAGCGCCCAGACTGACTGCGCTCTGCGCCCGGCCGGCTCGCTTCAGGGGTCCCGGACCTGCGCCCGCGAGAGAGGGCTGGTCGGACCCAGTCCCCGCCGGGTCTCCTGGGCCGAAGTCGCAGCTGTCTGTCAGCATTTACGGGTGGGCAAGATACTCCTCGGGGCATAAAACAGGCTCCGCCCTGACCTTTCTGAGAGTTTTACATTCAAGAACCCAGTCGTGGGGCACAAAAGAGAAATGGAACGAGAAGAAAAGCCTCTGGAAAAATCTCCCCCTCCCCCTTCACAGACTCCACTGGATCTGATGTGTATTTGGCAGGTTCTACGGCGCTGACTGTGTCCTTCATTAATTTTTTCCCAAAGGCCCGACCGGGCAGTGTGATTCACACCCGAGGAAATGCATGGACACTGGCTCTTTTCATAGCACCGAGGCTCCCGTGGAACTCCCTGGGTCGGCTTTGCCAGACACTCCCTGGACACAGTTGTTCAGCTCCTCCCCAGCACCTGGGCTTCCCAGACCTCAAAAGGGTGGGGTTGGGGAGGGCATGCCATCCTTTCAGCCTGGACTCTGCGTAGAGCTTGGTGAACTGTGATGAGTGTCCGGATGTGTAGATGACACATTTTGACAGAAGTGCAGATTTAATTTTTCAGTTGAAAGGAACTGAGCAATGCACTGCAGCAGAGACTTCTGGCTAGAAAAACATAGCAAGGCAGCCAGAGAACTTCCGATCCCCTTAAAAGAGCTCTGTGAACCCTCAGACCTGTGACAGGCGGCTTTTGGAAAAACTATTGTGTTCTTCCTAAAATTGAAGAATGTAATTTACATTTTACAAAATGCTTACTGCAATCTTTTCAAACCATGAACGTAGAAAGTGCAAGTCAAACTTTACGTGTGAGGAGTGTTATGAGGTGGCCTCCTCTGTGCAGCCTTTCCTGGCTTCTCTTGGGCACCTTGCACAAACCAGACCATTAATAAGTGTTTGCAGAATAAATGCGTGCATCATGGCCCTTTGGATTCAGAGATGAAGTTATAAGTTGTATTGTCTCCTCTCTTTGTGAATGTGGCAGGCATGGAAGGGAGAGAGAAAATACTATTGATGAGATGTATTAAGAAGGTCCAGTGTCCAAAACAGTGATTTTTGTGTTTATCCTCAACCAAGCATCAAAGATTAATTTACTTTTCCATTAGGATCATTAATTTTGCAAACCAACATGCAGGGGGGCCTTGTACAGTGTTAATTTAGAACCTTCTTTCCTGGAACCACAAACCCAGGCAAAGGTAATTGGAAGCATTTAAGGAGACTCAAACGTGCCCAGGGCACAGAGTAGCTTTGGGCCCCCTGTAGTCAGGATGGCTGGATGAAATGAAGTGGAGTGGGCTCGGAGCCCAAGGCAGAGACAAAGCGGAAGGATGGGGTTTGTCTTCTCGGGGTGTCAGCAAGACCTTTCAGGTCCTTCTTGCTGCCCCAGGCCCACTTGCTTCTCACAGGACACCCATGGGTCCTCCCTGCTGTACCCTACCCAGGCTTGTGAACTCTTTTCCCTTCTGACTCTTAACCTTAACACATCCCCTTGGACCCAGCCACTTAGTTACTTGCCCTGAGCTTCTCTGGGGTTGGGGTGGGAGGTAGGGTATGAATGTCATTTCCAGATATGTTAGTGATCCTTAATAGTGCACTTTTATTTCCTCAAGGGTCTTCTGGAAACAATGTCCTAACCTACTCTACCCCTGCTCCCTGCAAGTAGAATGATGTTAACTGAGGAAGTTTTAGGGAGGGAGGGTTTGGGGTAGGCTCTGCCCCTCAAATTACATGCAGACCTACCTGACTTAAAGCTGGCACCACTCCTGGCCAACTGCTTTATCTCTGCATCTACCAGAGACCCAGCATTTGGGAGCAGGAATACAGGAACAATTATCTTTCATTTGCAGTTCCAAGTCTGTGCTCTAAGTAATGACAGCAGCTATCAGATGGAGGCTTATCACTGCCGTAAGACTCAGCTTCATTCTTAGAGTCAGAAAAATGATTTTGCTCCAATAACTGTCTTTGATTGCTCCCCTTCAGAAAGCTCTTGCCGGTGAAGTTCCTCTCTCAGTGTCAGATGAGTATTGTATCAAATACTCATATACAGTTATAAAAGGAAACACTATTTCCTTTTATAAATGATATTCCCATTTTATAACATTCTGCCCTTCCTCTAAACTTTAAAGGTGGGACATGCCAGGATAAATTTAAAGTGTTCTCAGTTAAACATTGGAACTCCCATCATTGGTTCCCAACTCAGCTTTCTGAGAGGTCATCATACTGAGACACCACCATCCATTTCCCATACCGGTTACAAATTCTTCATTCCAAGAAAGGGGAATGATATGATTGAGAATGATGGTGGATCTTTCTCTTCAGTGTCCTTAATAGTCTGACTTTTCATTTCCTTCAAGGTTACTCTAAAGGGATCATAATTTTACCACAGCCCAGTATCTCCCAACGGTAATTCAATTTAAAATTTGAATTTTGATTCTTAATTCAGGAGCATCCATCACTCAATTTTGTTTCCTCCTTCAAATGTAAACAACATACACTTTTAATGTGATTACATTTTCTTTTCTCTTCTGACCTGCTTTGCTCCTACAGAAATTGAGAATTTTGCTAATAGCCCCGAATTTTAGCAAAAGCAAATCCTGTGTACTTGTTTTTCAACTAATCCATCATAGTAAAAGCAGTGACACTCCTGGAGGATAGCTTTATTTAAAAATGCAACTGGCATGCATCACAAAGTCCAACCAAGTTTTCCTTCAGAATACTTTATTTAGCTTCACTCCTTTTATCTCTGCTCACAAAGCTAGGTCAGATTCCAATTTCCAGCCTCCTTGCTAACCTTTCTAATTCTAGCCTCTCTCTTGCTTCCTTGCAATTTATCCTATACTCAGAGCAGTGCTTCTTAATTTTTGGCTCTTTATTGAAATCACCCAGAGAACTTTAAGAAACAAAACAAAGCACTGATGCTTTGATGCCATCCCAGACTTAATTGCTCTGGAGCACAGCCTGGGTGCCAGGATTTTTTCAGAGCTCTCCAGATAACTCTAATACGCAGCCAGAGTTAAGAACTATGGAAATGAATCATCTTCCAAACAACATTTATACCAAATCTTCACAACAGTGGGGTAGCTCCAAATTACCTCGAGTAATCAAATTAAAATTCCTAATCCTGTGCTTTAAGACTCTTTGCCAATTGACTAGAATAGTCCCCTTTCAAAACAGCTTAAATTTATCTCCTTCCTAAAGCTTCTCCAGATTAGTCTCACCTGGCTGCCTGAAGATCACCGTTCCCAGCTCTGAGCATCCCGACTGGCACTGGTTTACAAACCGCTGGACCTCAGTTGATTGTGTACATTATTGTTTTAATCTTGCTTTCATAGATATTTGTCAGAGGCTTTTCTTATAATCTAAATCTTTCCAAAAGTCCCACTGGGTCAACTGTCTCAAACAGAAATGTCTTAGCAGAACTTTCTCCTCTAAACTAGCTGTCTGAAAAAACATTTCCTGATACGATGGCAGTTCTTTTTTTTTTTTTAATCATCACAATTAAAGCCAAACATTATAAGAACTTGAGTTTTGGGGTTGTTTGGTTTTTCCTTAAAAAAGAAAACTATATATCTCAGCATATCTCCTTGACTTTTCTTACCATTATTTGTTTATTTTAGGCATTGGAATTGGGCTTCCACACCCACTTCTCTGCTGAAACTACTATTTCCATCACAATTAACATTTTCATTCATGTGTTCATCCATTCAGTCACTCATTTACTAGTGAAGCATAATGAAAATAAAAAAATTAACAATATCAAGTAGTCCCTACCTAATGGCGAAGAATAATAAGCAAAATATTACATAATAAGTGCTATGCCAGGTGTCTTAATAGTATATGACAGAATTAGTGGGGAAGGTCTTTGCTTAGTGTTCATGCCATTGAACTTCTCTGCAGTGTTTGAGGAGGTTAATCTCTCGTACTCTCACTCTCTAAACCTCTCTTTTCCTTTAACTTCTCTGATACCATACCACCTGGGAGCTCTTTCGACCTCTCTGACTGTTCCATCTCTGACCCTTACTTTGCTGTGTTATCTCCTCCTACTTCCTAAAGAAAAATGTTCCACTAAGAATGAAATAAATTTTTGAGGAGAAACTTAAAAAGAGCAGATAGTACTGTTTATCTTGAGAATCCCAGGGATCCTTAGGACTCTAGCACCAATGCTTCCACATCTGTATCTATTCTCCCTTGAGGCATATTTTCAACTCGCTGTTGAAAATTTCCATCTAGATAAGCTATTCACGGGGTTGCTCCTGCTGGTTTTTCTGGCACCTTCCTTTCCTTTACCTCCTTTTACCATCTCCTGAACAAACACATACTCAAATCCCTTGCAGCCCACTTTCTCAAAATTATAGGAATGGATTCTCTTGTTTATTTGCTTTAGTCCTACAGAGTCTCCTAACTCATCTCCCTGCCTCAGGGCCTCCTTGCCCTGACTGCCAGGTGCCAGTCATTTTATCCCTGTCTCCTTACTGCCTACGGGACCCCATTTACAAGGTCATTCACAATGACAGTCAAAGCTTCCCTGTTTGGATATTCTAGTTAGTCATATCTTGTATCTTTATGTTTCTACCCCTGTTTTTGCCTTCTGCCATCTCTGCTGGCCAAAATCCAAGCATGTGTGCTCATCTCACACCCTCCTTTTCCATGAAACCCTTTCTGCCTCACCTCAAACAGAGGTACAGTAGTCCCCCAGTCCCCCCTTATTCATGGTTTCACTTTCCAAGGTTTCAGTTTTCCTCAGTACAGTATGATAAGATATTTTGAGAAAGAGAGACACTATGTTCACGTAACTTTTATGAAGGTATATTGTTATAATTGTTCTATTTTATTATTAGTTATTGTTAATCTCTTAACGTGCCTAATGTATAAATTAAAAACTTTATCATAGGTATGTATGTCTACAAACCATAGTACATATATATATATATATATATATATATATAAAATATGTACAGTGCAGTACTATCCATGGTTTCAGGTATTCACTGGGGGGCTTGGAATGGATGCCCTCTTGGATAAGAAGGGACTAGTGTAATTGCTCTCCTTTGAACTCCTGTAGCACTTTAATTGCATCTTATGGCTCCTTTCCTATTCTGCTTCATAAAAGCATCATTTATGTTTTCAAATATTTATCTTTGCATTCTTTTTACCGCCACTCAGCCCCATCCCCTTCTTTCTTGCAGGTAAAATCCAGGGTGATGTGTACAGGAATGCCTGTAGCACTTGGCATAGTACTGCACATAGTAGCTGCTCATTTATTGAAACAGATAAACCTGTTAGTTGGTAGACTTCTAAAATTAAATAAAATTAAGTGAAAAATGTTGCTAATTACAATTGAACACTTGTTCCAGAATATGCAAGTTACAGATGAAAAGCTCTTAGAAAGACAATCAGATTTCAAGCAGTGACCTTAATTGAGCTTGACTTTATCTCACCAGGAGCCAGCATCTATATGTAATTAACCCTTTTAGATACTCATTTAAAATCGGCCTCTAAATTCTACCTCTCCCATTATATATATGAACTGAAAAAAAAATCCTTCTACTCAAGTATCAAAAAGAAGATTAAAAAGACATAGGAAAACAGGAAAAACCTTTCTTAAAAATTTGTAAAAATATATAGTGTCAGTATAGTGTGTACCTTTCCCCATTGAAAACACAGACAGGCACGAAGTCCTGGAGGGCAGTGGAGGTCTTCTGGAAGAATCTTCTGGCATGACAGGCAAAAAGGGTGTCAATGGTGATTAAACATAAAAACAAAGGGTCAAACTGTGAGGCCGATGCTCCTCCAAAGGACTGAGGAGAAGTCGTGAGGGTAAGAGCAAGTCATTAAGATGCATAGTAGGCTCTTAAGACATTTTTGGTAAATAAATGAATGAAAGATGGATAGGATAAGGGACGTGGAAGCAATGATGGAAGTCGGGGTGTATGTGTATGAGTCGGGGCAGCCATGGCAAGCTGTTTTGGCTGTTAACAATCTGGGAAGTTAATGGCCCATTTTAAAGCAATGCCATCTTCATGCTAGGAAGTACAGGGCATTTAGTTTTTCCTTAAAATATCAGCTGTTTATAAATATGAAAGACCAAGTCTTTTTAAAAAATCCTGCTTTGGTAATAATAGCGAATGACAACTATCTATTGAGCTCATGCCTGTGTGGCAGACACTGGTGTATAACCTTCATATGGAGCATCCCATGGGGATCATTACTATTACTCCCATTTTTCAGATGAGAAAACAAGTGAAGAGGAGTTAATGGCTCAGGCTTCAGAACCAGGAAGTGTTTAAAGAAGCTCTGCTGCAAAACTCCTGCTCATTCCCACACTTCATACACAGAGTGCTTTGTAACTTTCAGGTCAATTCAACTGGAATGAATTATAGTACGAGTTACTACAATTAGAGGTTCTCTGTAGCATGTTATTTAACTCAGATTCACCACCACGATCTACAGACTTACTGTATGTGTGTATTTTAACAATGTAGCATTTGTGGAAAGGCTATCTATTTTGCATTAGATTCTGGTGGGACTACTAATCACCATATCCTCCCCATATTCTTAAATTACAAGAGTGGCCATGTGACCCAGGCCTGGCCAATAAGAGTGCCCCATCCCTTCAGCCATAGGGATTAGTGCAAGAAGTAGACATGTTACCTAAATAAAGAAAATTTTGGATTTTTCTGTACTGCAGTAGGAAGAAAGATAATTTGTTTTTTTTTTCTCTTTTCAAATCAACACTTTGAGAATCTCAAAAAAGGGAAGATTTAGTCATGCCTGAGGCCAGCCTTAATTCTAGACTTTTCTGGTTACATAAATTCATGAGACCTTTTTAAATTTAAGATAATTTGAGTTGAGTTTCCATCACTTGTCACCAATAGAGTTCTGACTTATAGATGATTTATTTGGGGCAGAAGCTATACCTTTATGAAATGCTAAGTCACAGTCTAATCAATACAAGTTGACGATCCATTATCTGAAATGCTTGGGACCAAAAGTGTTTCAGATTTCAGATTTTTTGGGATTTGGGAATATTTGCAAATACGTAATGAGATATCTTGGGGATGGGACCCAAGTCTGAACATGAAATTTATTTATGTTTCACATACACCTTATACACATAGTCTGAGGTAATTTTATATGATATTTAAAATAATTTTATGCATAAAATAACATTTGTGTTAAGTACTTATATGTGGAATTTTTCACTTGTAGCATCATGTTGGCATTGAGGAAGTTTCAGATTTTCAGATTAGGGATGCTCAACCTGTATATTATTAAATGATATAGTTAGGTAAATAATTATGAAGACACTGACATATTGTAGGTACTTAATATTTATTTGATTAATTCTATTTTTAAATTAAGAGTAATAATTATAATTTCTGTCATTCAAAGTCAGTATTATAATTCTCACAAGTTGAATACCTAAGATATATTAAGTATATCATTGCAACCCTATACCAATTGACCAATGAGACAGATCCATTTGTATGTATCAGAATTAAATCATAATAGTATTTATATAGTGCAAGTAATACGGTACAAAAGAAGAGTTTAGAATCAGATAACTCTAAGTTCTACTAGATTTACCACGTATGAGCTGAGTAACCTTAGGAATGTTTTTCAGTATATAAGAATCTTTCTTTTCTCAAATGCAAAATGAGTATAATAGGCCTACCTTGCAGGGTGTTTTAAGAATTATTAATTAAACCTATCAAATGCCTGATATAGTTGCTTTTTCAGAGAAGAGTGTAATTACTATTATTATTTTCACAAAAGTGTAGTTGTAGGACAGCAAATAGTCATTTGCTAATTTACTTTGGTGCATAATTATAAGCTAAGAATGCTCTTAATTAAATTATCTTTCCTCCCAAAAAGGACAAAGTTTCCATTTTATCTACTATTGCTAAGCCTTGATCTGGAAGGTCTAGCCAGTACAATAAGATAAGAAAGAAAAGAGATAAGTAAGAGATATGGTATTAATATTGGAAGGGAGAGATAAAGTTATCATTATTTACTGATGATGAAATTGTCTCTCTAGAAGACCCAAGATAATCAACTAAAATAAATAATAAATAATAAAAAGAAAGATTTGGTAGATCTAATCAAAATTTATAAAATGCAGTTGGTTTTTTTGTATATATGATAGCTAGATAGAAAACTAGACTGAAAAAGAAAATATCACATTCACAATTGAAACAAAAATGTACCATACCAAAAATTGGAATATAAGGCCAAAGCAATTTAAATGTAGAGTACTAGAGAAAGAATAGATTAATGAAATAAAGTAGTCATGAAATAGACCCATGTGTATATGGAAATTTAGGAATGCAAAAGTGATTATTTTTAATTGGTAGAAAAAGTTTGGATCACTAAATAAATAGTGTGAAGATAATTAGCAAAACGTGTTAAAATTACCATTCAGAAAATAAATTCCAGTTGAACTAAAGATTTAAATCTAAAAGAGAAATACACCATTATATCAAGATAGAAACTATAATTGAAGGACTAAAAACTGTGACTAGATGAATTTTTTTGGAAAAGAGATACCATAATTAAAATTGAAAATTAAATAATAAGTTTAGAAATAAAGTTGAGTCATGGCAAAGTGTTCAGAGTCTTCATATACAAAGAATACCTAAAAGTTAGTATAAACATAAGTAACTAAATCCAGTTTAAATTAATAAATGACAAATGTAAGCTTGGTTGAATCAGTGTTCTTTAGGATTCATCTTTTTACACTCGATGATTTATGAAGGTTAATGAAAGTGTCACTGGGATAGGATCCAGCCGCTCAAATTATTCTTCTTTAAATTTAAAACTTAAAGTATTAGGGAACTTCTTTTTTTGAGCAGAGAGGATTATTTGAGTAAATTTGATTCCTAAAGTGTAGGGATTTAACTTGTTTTAATTAAAGTCTTTTTCATGGTACTTACCAGGGTGCCTTACACAGATGGGTGTTTAATGATGATGATGTACACTATAATAATGCTCACACAATATGTGAAATATTTTGTAATCATGTGGACTTCTTTATGATAGCAAACATGACTGATTAGATCAATATCATTTGCATATCATTATGGGTTTGATGTTTTTCATTTTCTTCTTACATCTTAAGCATATCTTAGTATGCTTAAAGAATATTAGTAAAATTGTGGCAATGTTTTTTCATATTATATTCTTAATGGGATTCTACAGAGAGAAAAAGTGGTAAGGTTTTGTGAGATGTTACTGTATAACTGATTTGACTATGTATTGCTTTAGAAATACCATCCCATGACTTTTTCATCCCAACTAGGGTGTGGGCTACTTATGAGCATAAGACCTGACTTCAATTCCTTTCTTCGAAAGGAAAGGAATCCTACCACTAGGTAGGTGCTTTCTAAATTAACAATTCAACTAATATTGATTTCAAGCACCTAATACCTATGGCAGATAACGGGCTGGGAACTAGGTTACAAAGATGACAGAGACAGACATGATTCTTGTCCTCACAGAGCTCAGAGTCTAGATGGGGAGACAATGACACAAGTATATTAGATTCAATACTGGTGCTCTAATAGGGAAAGTTCAGGCTGCTGTGGGAGCAAATAATAGGAATGCCAAACTCACTTACTATCCCAGCACAGGGGAATTATTTTCAATCCCCAACAAACTAAAATTACTTATTGAATAACAACTATGTTCTATGTACTGTGCTAGACTCTTTTCACTTCTTGTTCAAAATATACATATTTTGAGAAATATGTAATTATTTCCAGTTTATAAGTGAGGAAGCTATAAGTCAGATTGTTTGATGGGCCTACTAAAGATTATATAGTGGTTAAGACCTGGCCTGAGAGTCAGGCAGCCTGGTGAATTTTGGCCCTGCCATCAATTAACTGAGTGAACAAGTTTCCTGATATTCCGGAGCATCTAGTTTTTCCATCTGTAAGGATGGAGATAATAGTGAGCATTAAGTTAAAACATATAAAAACCGCTTAGTACAGTACAAGGCAGCTGGCAAAGGCAAAATAAATGGTAGCAAAATATTAAAAGTATATAAGGGCCATAGCTATTTGTTAATTTCATGAAAACACTTATTTATTTAGTACCTAATATGTATCAGTAGAACGATTGTTGTTGTCAATTATACACCATAAGAACAGTCCTATGGTTCATGAGCTTTTCGAGGGTATGAAAATATTTGAGACTTGAAAAACCTCTTTATCGGTTCCAAAACAAATGAAAAAAAAAATGGCAACTTTAAGAGAAGAAGTATTTTGTCAAATATCTACAGAAATGTTATTGTTAAGTTACTATTTCATTATATTTAACAATAATTTTGGGTCTGCTTAAAAACTGCCTTGAAATCATAGCTAGCCCTTAGAATTAAACCAGTTGCTTATAGCTAAATAATTTTCAAAGCACAATTATAAAATTTTTTCAAAATGTAGCAAGAGTTATATTACTTGGGAAATGGGAGTTCATTTTAATTTTGTATAAACTGTGATGCAGTCTAGATGGGTTCGAGTTAAAATATTCCTCTTTATTAGGTGTTGGCTATTTAAAGTTATTTAACATATGCTCTTAATCCTCAAGGAATGCAGTCCAATACATAAATGGACACACGAATAATTATTACACTACAGTGTTTTAAAGGATGTACTTATGTTTTATACAAAGTATAATAGAAACAAAAAAGGAGGTAAGATGAATTATGTAAATAATTCAGAGAAAATTTCTTATAGGTGGAGATGCTTAAGGTGGGACTTTTTTTTTTTTTTTTTAAACAAACAGGGCCTCACTCTATCACCCAGGCTAGGGTGCAGTGGCATGATCATAGCTCATTGTAACCTCAAACTTCTGGGCTTAAGTGATCTCCCCGCAATACCCACCTGCCCCCTACCAGGTTCATGCACCACCACACACCAAACCCAGCTAGTTTTTAAATTTTTCGTAGAGACAGAGACTCACCATGTTGCTCAGGCTGGTCTAGAACTCCTGGCCTCCAGCGATCCTTCTGCCTTGGCCTCCCAAAGTGCTGGGATTACAGGTGTGAGCCACTGTGCCCAGCCAAGGTGGTACTTAAGGAATGAGTAGCAAGGAGTTGTTAAATAAGGTTGGGAAAAGGGAAAGATATTTGAGACAGTGGTGAGAACTGGGAAATCAGGAAGTTATGAAACAACTTGATGTGTGCAGTTCGGGAAGCATCTAGTAGGGAGGCATAGAAGATGAAATGCAGATGAAAGACAGTGAGTGGAGGGAGCACCTTGTGGAGTGGCTTTGTCCTATGCGCAATGGTAAGATCGAATTACTTTTTAAAAAAATTAGATATCTGATTTAGAAAGGCTGCTCTGGTCATAGTGTGGATTTTTGTTTGGAGATGAGAGGACCTGTTAGGAAACATTGATGGAAACCAAAGAACAAACAAATGGGTGGGGGAAGGAAACCAATATTTGTTGAAAATGCACTCTGTGGAGGCAGTATATGAAGTGCTTTCACTCGTGGTATCTTATTAACCCTCACAGCATGCTCATGAAATAGATATGACTCCCATTTTAAACAGGAGGCCACCTCAAAAAAGTCAAGTTACTGTTCCCAGTATCAGACAGTTAATAAGAATGGATGTGAGATCCAAACACAGGTCTCTGTGATACCAAATCATGTGTGGGTTTATTTCTGCACCATACTGGCTTTCCAGGGGACAGACTGTGAGGGCTAAGATTAAGGCAATAATGATGATAAACCAAAGCCTGGACCAGTTTGAGAGACACTGAGATGACATAGTCTCCCAGATTTGATGTCTGGATGTGAGGAATGAGGAAGGGGTCTGGAATGACTCCCAGATGGGAGGAAAGTAGGAGAAAATATAGAGGGACTCATGTGAAGTAGAACAAGGGATTTCAGAAGGCACAGTGCAAGCAAAGCAAAGCAGTCTTTGAGGAGGACACATAGAACAGCATGAATTGAAGATTAAGGCCGAGGGGCTTGCCTTTTAGACAAGGAGGATGGGGATGATAGGCAGGTTGGTATTAACCGGCTTTGAGGTTGGACTTGCCATCATCTTCTATTTTTTAAAAAAGAAATACAAATCTCAGAAGTGGAAATTTGGTTTGCTACTTCAAAAGAAAAGAACCGCTTTCTAGCTCAGAGGAAACTGTAAATCAACATTCACCACAAAGGTTATCTACACAATGATTGCTAAGGCAGGAAACTAAGATTACCCTCTTCCAGTACTCAGCCAGAAGTAGACAAGGCCACTGACAACTCAGGAACATCACAGGTGTTCAGGGAGCCACGGAGCCCTGCTGGAAACTTAGTGTCTCGACAAGGTTTTTCTTACTTGGCCGAGCCTTGAGTGGTCGCCAAGTGGGGTCAGAGATCAGAAAATATTTGCTCAGGTCATGTAAGCTTATTTTAATATATCAAAGTAGAGAAAGTCATTAGATTAGAAAAGGAAGAAATAAATGAATTCAAATTGGTTGTTACATTAATTCCAGTGTTCTCACTTAGAGAAGCCTCAAGCCTCAATTCAGAACTTGTCAGAAATGCAAGTTCTTGGGCCCAATCTAAAACCACTGGATTAGAGCCTTGCCCCTTTCTAGGAAGAAAAGCCAGTAAATATGCATGCCTCAAAGCACTATCTACCATTTGTCTCTCTATCTCTGTCTCTAGGCCTGCACATCACCTCCCCAAGACCCCTTAATTCCTTCTTCTGAAAACTAAAGGATCATGTGGCTTCTCTCAAACCTGGAAGATACTCAGAATGTGTCCAACACATTTGGTGATGTTATTCTTCAGTTAGAAAGAAATAAAAAGATAATAGATGCAGAGGTAGTAGAGGAATTTCTAAGCTATGAAACCGAAGTTATAAAATTATTGATAAATGTGTCTACATACAATTCAAAAATTCAAAGAAGAAAACCCTCAGTAAGTAAATGAAAAAGCAAGTTAGAAACTAGGAAAAATAGCTGTATCATAAGTGTCAGGCAAAAAGTCATTATATACTTTAAAAAAAAAGACCCGTACAAATAGAAAAGAAAAAGCTAACCATCCCAACAGAAATATGGCCAAGGGACAGACAAGAAAAGGAATTCACAAAAGATGAACTACAGAGGCCAATAAATGTTTGACCTCATAAGAGATCAAAAAAGCATATTAAAACAAGAAACCAATTTTCACCTACAAATTGGTTTAAAATTTTTAATAAATACCTAATGTTGTTGAGGGTAAGGGAAAATACACATCATAAACTGCATTTGGAAATATAAGCTGGTATAAATCTTTCTGGGATACAACTTAGCAATGGGTCAAAAGCCTTGAGAATATCCTTAATCTTTGACTCCAAACGAGGATCATGTTGCTCTGAAAAGAGTTCATCCAAAAAGAATAATTATAGATATGCAGAAAAATTTGTCTATAAAAATTCACTGTATGTTTATAAGAATAAAAAATTGAAAACAACGAACAATAAGTTGGAGGTTTATTAGATAATATATCATGTCCCCAAAATAAATTACCATGCAGTTTTTAACAACTATGGTGTAGATAAAAATATAATAAAATAAAACACAATAACAGTTATAACATACTATTAAATAAATTCACCTAATAAAAGAATACGTTTAGTAGTATCCCAATCTTATAAAAATGTGTGTGTGTATTTGTATATCTATGTCTATGTTAATACTCATATCTACAAGAATAAAGAAAAAGAATATCTTTAAGGCAAGGATTTTGACTATCTAGTTCATAAAGTAGCCCAGGCACATAGCAGGTTAATAATCTTATTTCTAATTGATGAATTTAAGGCACTTCCAATTTTTAAATTTATGTTTCTCTAGATTTTTTAAACTTTCCACAATAAGTTTGTACTCCTTTTTTTAGTCAGAGAAAGATAATAAATTCTAATTTTGAAAAAATGTTAATGGATAAAACTAGTTATAGATAGAACCTAAGAGCTAATTGTCAATACAAGACTCATGAAATTTAAAACACCCTATTCAATCAGAGAGAACTGGGCAGTGTTATAGGGAGATTGACAAATATGTGATTATAATTTAGAAACTTAAGCCTATTCAGCTGTTTTGTGTTGCCCTTGTGTGTAGTATAATGATTTTCAAAATTTTGCACTAAATACCAAAAAAGAGAGAGCTCAAGATTTTAATTTCAAGTGTAAAATTTCTTCTAGACTTATCCTTAAACATTCATTCAAATTTTGCATTGTGCTTTTTTGGGGTTTTTTTTGAGACAGAGTCTCACTCAGTGACCCAGGCTGGAGTGTAACGGCATGGCTCACTACAACCTCCGCCTCCTGGGTTCAAATGATTCTCCTGCCTCAACCTCCTGAGTAGTTGAGATTACAGGTGTGTGGCACCATGCCCAGCTAATTTTTGTATTTTTAGTAGAGACGGGGTTTCACCATGTTCGCTAGGCTGGTCTTGAACTCCTGACCTCAGATGATCTGCCCGCCTCAGTCACCCAAAGTGCTGGGATTACAAGCATGAGCCACCACGCCTGGAAAATTTTGCATTATACTTTCTAATGCAACCAATTTATTTCATGTAAAAATATTTTATATTGTTTACCATCAAGTAAGATTGATCCTCTGAATATTTTCCATGCTATTCTGTGGTTGGTGTGCCTGCTGGCACTCCTTGGGTACCTTTAGGAGTATGCTTAGGCGAGGGTGGGAATGCAGTATTAGCAAACAGGATTAACAGAGTTCGGGAAAATAGAGTCAAAGAGAGTTTGTTAGCATGTGTTCAGAAGAGGGGTAGATTGACTAATTGATATCAATACGTCACCTGCTTGGCGGGTATATCTCTGCAGTGAAAAATCTCATAGGATGAGGATGAAATGAGGTATAAAATGAGTACAATGCCTGACCTGCAGTAAGTGGTCAGCAAATGTTAGCTGTTATTATTACTATAGAGAGGCTTCCTACCCAAATGTCACCACTACTTACAATATTAAACTATTTACTGTTACTCTGATTCAATGTGCACCAAGCCACATTCTTATATGACATCTCAGGCAGATTTTTCCCACAGGGAGCAAATTATCAAAATGGCTTCATGTATCCATATTTCTCTTTGGAAATTAATAAATGAGTCAGTCCTAAAATACTGATCATCTCTTCATGGGCTGCATAGTCAAATTTCCCTACCCATGGAGCTGTGAAAATAGACCTTGGAACATGGTGATTTTATCAAAGTAACACTGTCTCTTGAGGCATATCTAGACCATAACTCTTTCCTAATCAACTACTGTAGCTAATTTGCCTAACTACCAATGACAAGGATGTAATTTTCTAGTAGGTAGCATAGTCCCTAAAGCAGAAGATTTCCAAATATTTTGGCCATAGTCCATAGTAAAATAAATAAATAAAAAAAATACATTCTACAGTGTGATCTAGAACACACTTTGGAAGTTTCATGAAGCGGTACTTACTCTTACTACTATTATCTAAAACCAGAACAGTGGACAAACATTACTGTCCTGGGATCCACAGATGAAAACTGGTTATGCCTTCCTGCTTAGTCTATATTTTCTTCCCTTTCTGTTTATTTTACTGACCAGCCTGAACTGCATTGGTTCATGCCTTGTACACATATTCTGCTCTACTTATGACCCCTGGCTAAACTTGAGCTCCGAATATCAACATGAGCCCACATGTTGGTTATATCTACAGCAGCCATTCATCTTTCCTGGATTTTTCAGGGCAATTTTAATTTTACATTGTATGATTCCTGGCTTTGGTATAGAGTGTATGTTCTTTTGGCCTAAGTCCTCTGTTTGTCCTGGTCCACTAAATTCTGACCTCAGCTTAACCCAGGAACTGATAGTGACTGCGGACCTCATTTTTTTCTATATTAAATATCTTCATTCATTGAACAGACACTTATTGTGTCAGGCACTCTGTTCTCCAGGCCCAATTCTAGCTTACCCACACTTTGTTCATTCCAGCCGCCTCCATCTTCCAAATAGAACTGTCTCTGTCCACTCTTAGAAGGAGAAAGTCCTTTTCCTTAGTTCTTGATATACGTGTAGGAACTAATTTATGAATGGCCAATGAATGCTTTTTTGGCAGTCATGGGCTACCATCCTGATATGGTTCTTTTTTCCTCCTGATGATTGCTGTCTTACAGACAAAGAAAAATATTTTTTTCTGGGCTCAAATCCTTGTTCTGCCACTTATCTGCTGTGTGACATTGAGCATCACTTTTTCACTTGTTACCTCATAAGGGTTCTGTAAAGATTAAAGAAAATAAATAAAATTTATACTATTTAAATGCTTAATAAAACACCCAGCACATAATAATGGGTGAATAATGGTGGAGAATAAATGTTCATTCATTCCATTCACCTTTTTCTAGTTAGTAATGCATAAAGATAAGACACAGTGTGGTAGAGGGATAGTGTTAGATGTCTTAAACGCTTAGACAGTACTAAGTTATTCATGTGCCTTAACTGATCTAATCCTAGAACAGCTCAATAGTGTTCCTTATCATTTTACAGATGATGAAAGCTGAGGCCCAAGGAGATAAAGATACATGGCCAAAGTCACAAAATTTGAATTTACAGAGCTAGATTTGAACTGAACCCTCAAACTAGAAGACTGTTCAAACTTCTGACCCCATTTGTGGTATAGGATCCACTGGGGGTCAGAATTCTCTATAGATTAGATTCCAATTGCTCATCTGATACACCTGTATAATCACATTCCTGGACTCTCCCAAAGATGAAAATTCTAGCCTTCTTCCCATTATCCTCCACTCTGTATTAGTTAGGACCATCTGGGAAACTCTTGGGCGTCAAGTAGTTGGCAGAAGAAGCCAGAGTTCCTGATTAAAAAAGAATTGTGAACCATTTGACTATCTTTTTCATTCACCATTTTGCACAGTTCTGCAGCAGTCAGTATTATTAAGCATACTCAATAACTGACTCAGGCCAAAGCCAAACAAGTGGGGACGGGCTCTGTCTGGGCATTGAGTTTAATGCTCAGCTCATAGAGCTGCCTGGCTTGATGTTATGGCTTCTCAAACACACTTTTTGTCAGTTCCAAAAAGGCCATTAGGTTAGTACGTGCCTAACCACAGTACATCTGTCTATTTTGGATAACAACGAGCGCTTTTCCAGCTGTTTATTTTTCTACCTTCCTTCTTTGTTTCCCTAGGGCTTGAGCTTTTAGCATCCATGATTTATTTTCAAGCTGTTAGGCCAAATCCAGAATTATCATTCTAAATTTCATATGACTTGGCCTCATCCATTTTCGAACTTACTTAAACCCTAAAATACACACACACACACACCTTTTGTAATTTAACACCTGGCCAAACATAGTTTTAATTACCGCCACTTAATACATGCATCTATAAATTTTTCTTCTTTTTACATAATTTATTTCTTTGCATATGTAAAACATGCACATTATTCCGAAGCCAAAACTATGTAACAAGACAGAATCAAAGAAATCTTGTTTCCCAGCCCATCTGAAGGGAAGGAGGAGAAGGGTGGAGGGGATGGGCTGGGAAATAAGACTTCTTTGATGTTTTTAAACATCTTAAAAGTATAATATACATACAATGATGGAATCACATCATAAATGTGGAGTTTGATGAATTCTCATAGGCTGAGCATACCTGTGTAACCACCAGCAAGGTGCAGAAACAGAATATTACCAGCAACCTAGAAACTGCTCTTGTGCCCTTCTTGCTTGCTGCTCCCCATTCTCCCCAGAGACAACTGCTCTCCTGAAACACTATGAATTAGCTTTGCCAGATGTTGAACTGTAAGTGGAATAATACAGTATATGTTCTTTTGTGCTTGGTTTCTTTCACTTGACAATATATTTATGACATCCATCCATGTTGTGTGTAGTAGAAATGTTCTGTCTTTTTTATTCCTGTTACCATAATCTATCATATTGAACATACAGTATATCATAATTTGTTTATGACTTTTGCTGTTGATGGAGAAATGAGTTTCTCATTTTTGGCTTAATCAATAGTGCTTCTTAATACCTTCTTGTACATGTCTTCTGATACACAAGGTATACATTTCTCGTAGGTATACTCCCAGAAGTAGAATTGCTGGGTCATGGGGTACGTGTATGTTCAGGCTTTAGTAGATACTGCCAAAGAGTTTCCAAAAGTGAATGTTCCAATGCACACTTCTTTCAGCAGTGTATAAGAGTTCCATTTGTTCCTCATATTTGACAACACTTGATAATTTATGTCTTACTAATTTTAGCCCTTCTGGTAGGTATCTCACCGTGCTTTCATTTTGTTTTTCCCTTATACTAATCATGTATACTAGTTTTTAATTTATTCTTCTACTATTTAGTTTTGCCCTTTTATTAGACAAAAGGTAATTCTCTCCATATACTGTTTTCTGTTATGCACACTGATTTTTTTTCACTTAGTATATCCTAGAGATCTCTGTATAATACAGTGTAGTAAGATTTTATTTTTTTCTACAGCTACATAGTATTCAATTGCATAGATGTGCCTGAGTTTATTCAATCAGTTCCCTATCAATGAAAATTTAGGCTGTTTCCAAACATTTTCTATTATAAATGTGCTGCAATTAATAGGCTTATGCACACATCTTTTCATATTTTTGCTACTGTATCTGTGGGAGAGATCCTTAGAACTGGCATTGCTGGGTCAAAGACAAATGCATATGTAATTTTGTTAGGTGTTGCCAGATTTCCCTCCATAGGCATTGTACCATTTTTTATTTTTTACAAGTGACCAGTAAGATATGTGGTTATATTTTATGCAATAACCCTCTTCTCTTAGAATGCTCAATAGCCAGGGAATTAAGACGTTGGCAAACCTTTTAAGTGAATAATCTTTTTTTTTTTTTTTTGAGACAGAGTCTCGCTCTGTTGCCCAGACTGGAGTGCAGTGGTGTGATCTTGGCTCACTGCAACCTCTGCCTCCTGAGTTCAAGCGATTCTTCTGCCTCAGCCTCCTGAGTAGCTGGGATTACAGGTGTGCACCATCACTCTTGGCTAATTTTTGTATTTTTAGTAGAGACAGGGTTTCACCATGTTGGTCAGGCTGTTCTCGAACTCCTGACCTCGTGATCCGCCTGCCTCAGCCTCCCAGAGTGCTGGGATTACAGGCATGAGCCACCATTCCTGGCCTAAGTGAATAATCCTTAAAAGTAAAAATATTTGATTATCTATAAAACTACAACCTCATAAAGCATTTTAATGTTCCTTAAATTTTATATGTACACATTTTAAGATGTGTATATATAAAAATTGAGTTAGTAATGTAATGTGTATTCATATGCATTCATATAAAATGTGGTTTTTAATAACAATGTATTAGCTAAGAATGTTTTAGTTGTGAGTTTAAGAGGGAAAAAAGTGAGGCATTCATTGATTCATATAACTGGGAAGTCAAAGGCAGACTTGCTAGTCAGGTATAATGAGATCCAGGGACTCAAACAATATTGATAGGAAACTTTCTTTCTCCCCATCTATGGCCTCTGCTTTCCTCAGTGTTAGCCAGGTTTTCATTGCCCTTCCTGCTTGCAGTCTCACAAGGCAAGAGGTCTTCTCTTGTCAAGCATCCACATCTGTCCCTACAAAAGGACTCTGACTTTCACTGAGCTGTGAACACCTCCTCTGTGTCAGAGAAGGTGATAGGGAGTTCTCTCGACTGAAACAAGCAGAATAAAGGAAGCTGAGGTCCACTTTCCCTGCCAAAAGGTTGTGGGCTACTCTAAAACAACAGATGTCTTTTATAGCTGCGAATTCTGTTGTCTGGATACACTGAAATTAATCTAGCCTCTCTCTGGTGCCCACCTTAACATTTAGGGTGTTTCCATGTTTTGCTAGTATACATTATATCATCTAAATATTCTTATATTCTACACTTTATTTCTTTAAGATAGATCTCTATAAATGGAATTACTAAGTGAGAGGATATGGATATTTCACATATATGGCCAAATCCTTCCAGGGTGCTTGTAGTAATATATACTCTCAGCAGCATTGATGAGACTGCTCTTCTACCACTCCCAGGGGAGCATTAGGAATTTTAATTTGATAGGGGTTATCACATTGCTTCATGCTTGATTTTCACAAAACAATAAATATCTGTTCTGTTTATAGTAGGTATTCGATACTTAGCTCTTCATTTTATTTATGTTTCAGATTTTCCTATCTTCTTTTCCCAATGCCTACTTACTCTTCTTCCAATTTAAAAGAAAAACTGTGAAATAAAAGAAAGGAGAATATATCTCTTAAGTGCAAAAATGTCAAGTTCTCATATTTTCCCCACTATACTTAAGATTTATGAGATGCCTTGAGCAAGTAGCAAGGTACAGCTGTGTCATCAAGAAGTGACTTGTGGGTGTGTGCAGCTGGTCATCATTTCTTCAGGTCTCCCATGAAAGCTTCTGCAAACAAACATACAATCTGAAGACACTGTGCTTGCTATGCTAACTGGCAAGGCAAATCCCCTCATCCTTCTTCCAACCAGGTTGTTACTCATAAACTCCTTTTAGACAGAAATTCTGGAGTCATCACTAACTTTGTTCACTGCAGCGTGTATTAGTCTGTTCTTGCACTGCTAATAAAGACACACCCGAGACTGAAAAATTTATAAATACAAAAAGGCTTAATGGACTCACAGTTTCACATGGCTGGGGAGGCCTCACAATCACGGTGGAGGGCAAAAGGCATGTCTTACACGGCAGCAGGCAAGACAGAATGAGAGCCAAGCAAAAGGGGAAACCCCTTATAAAAACATGAGATCTCATGAGACTTATTCACTACCATGAGAACAGTATGGGGAAATCGCCCCCATGATTCAATTATCTCCCACCGGGTCCCTCTCACAACACATGAGAATTATGGGAGCTGCAATTCAAGATTTTATCAGCCAAACCGTATCACAGTGGTTCTCAGACTATGGGCCCAGAATGCAAATTCTCAGGCCCTACCGCAGACCTACTATATCAATAACTCTGGCAATCTGCGTATGTGGGTGTAATTGTGGTAAAATACTCAGAACATAACATTTTCCATCTTAATCACTTTAAAATTTATTTTTAATTGGCAAGTAAAATTATATTTATCATGTACAACATGTTGTTTTGAAATAGTATATGCATTGTGGAATGGCTAAATCAAGCTAATTAACATAGGTATCACCTCACATTCACCTCACATACTTTTTTTTTTTTTTTAAGTTTGAGATGAGGTCTCACTCTGTCACCCAAGCTGGAGTGCAGTGGCGCCATCTCAGCTCACTGCAATCTCTGCCTCCCAGGCTCAAGCGATTCTTGCACCTCAGCCTCTCCAGTAGCTGGGACTACAGGCATGCACCACCACACCTGGCTAATTTTTGTACTTTTTTGTAGAGATGGGGTTTTACCATGTTGCCCGGGCTGCTCTCAAACTCCTGGACCCAAGCGATCCACCTGCCTTGACCTCCCAAAGTGCTGGGATTACAGCCATGAGCCACTGCACCCAGCCACTTTTAATTTTCTTTTTTTTTTAATGGTGAGAATCTTAACTGTTTCTAGGTGTACAGTTCAGTAGTGTTAGGTACATTCACATTGCTGCACAACCAATCTCTAGAATTCTTCTTGTCTTGCAAAACTGAAACTCTGTACCTATTAAACAGCAATTTCCCATTCTCTACATCCCCCAGTGCCTGGCAGCCACCATTCTATTGTATGTTTCCATGAATTTGACTGCTCAAGGTACCTCATGTAAGTGGAATCATATAACATTTGTCTTTTTGTGGCTGGTTTATTTCACTTAATATAATGTACTCAAGGTTTATCCATTTAGCATGTGTTGAATTTCCTTCTTTTTTTTTTTTTTTTTTGAGATGGAGTTTCGCTCTTGTTGCCCAGGCTGGAGTGCAATGGCACAATCTCAGCTCACCGCCACCTCTGCCTCCTGGGTTCAGGCAATTCTCTCGCCTCAGCCTCCAGAGTAGCTGGGATTACAGGCATGCACCACCACACCCAGATAATTTTGTGTTTTTAGTAGAGACGGGGTTTCTCCCTGTTAGTCAGGCTGGTCTCAAACTCCCGACCTCAGGTGATCCGCCCGTCTTGGCCTCCCAAAGTGCTGGGATTACAGGCGTGAGCCACCGCACCCGGCCAAATTTCCTTCATTTTTAAGGCTGATGAATATTCCATTGTCTATATACACCACATTTTGTTTATCCATTCATCCATCAGTGGATACTGGATTGCTTCCACCTGCCAATCTGTGGTTTAACAAATCCTTCAGGTGATCCTCATATACACTTAAGTTTGAGAACTCCTGGTTAATTGAAAATAAAAGTGTAGGGATTGTCATCTTGACCAATCTAGAATTCTTTTCAGAATGTGTTAAATTATGTTTGATACAGCAAGCTATTCTATATAATGCATATGACCCAGGATGAAATATAATACCTTTTTGCTTATAGTAAGCACACAAGGATGTAGAATGGAATACTACAATGACAAAAAAAATTTAGTAATGTTTGAAATAAAAACTGTTCAATTAAGCAAGAATATGTATGATAATGTGCTAAGATAGGCTAATCTGATTTTTGAAAGGTCAAAACTAGACTGGGCTGAAAACTAACAGGTTAAAAAGTTAAGGTAGATTTTTTTAAAAAAGTAATAAAGGACACATGCTATAAATAACATAAAGGTAAACAGAAGCATTCTATTATATGCTTACCATGGAATTCAGCGAGTTGTTCATGGGGTTGACAGAGCTATTTTAAAATAGCTGAATTCTTTTGCAGTTACCAGGGAACATTTGCCGTTATGTAAACTACCATTAAGAAGGGTAGTCAAATATCATGAAGCAGAGCATTAACTGACAGCTTGAGGTAGTCAGTCAGTTGAGGACCCCGTGGTGATGCAAAGCATTGCATAATGGGCTACGTGGGCTTTGGGATGGGGAGATTCAACTTTCCCACAAGATCCCAGCTAGAGAATTGTGTTGGAGGCAGAGTATAGTACTAGACAGGCTAATGATATGATTTCAAATAGGAATTTTAATTCTTTCTCAAGAAATGAACATATGTATTTGGTTTAGTATATTTTATTTGGAAGGAGAAAAAGATCCAAATGATGATATAATTGATACCTGGCAAAGGCAAGGTATTTAGATACAGATGATTTGAATGAATGAATGAATGAGTGAATAAATGAGTAAATAAATAACATGCCAGATAATTAATTTCACTCACATTTATTGGATACATAGAATGTACAGGCTTTTAAGGGGAGGTCCTAGTGTATATAAATAAGTCAGCTGATTCACTAGGGAGTGAGCAAATAAATGAATTATTTCCTCTCCTTTGTGTCGCATGTCTAGTTCTCACTACTAACTGAAGGATCTTGGGCAAATTATTTAACCTCCCTGGGTCTTGGTTTATGCGTCTCTAAAATTGGATGTGTGTGGTGCCACAAGATGCCAAGATAGATGCCAAAGCTTCTGACAGTTTTCAAATTCTGTTTCTCATGCTTTATTTTGTAAGAAGCGGTGCTCTTGCTGATTGTTTATTAATTCATTAAAGCAATACTTATTGAGTACGTGTATGGCACTGTCCTGTAATTGCCCCATAACTTATTAAATCACTTTCCCTTTTCACCACTATAAAAAAGCACTGCTAAATGTCAGGGAGAAAAACCTCCATAAATGGATCACTATACAATTTATACCAAAATTGTAAGCACTCTTTGATTTCTGGTACTGCCTTGACCAGGAGTTAGGTTCTCTCCTACCTTTTCCAGAGTTTCTTTCTTTTTTTTGAGAGGGAGTCTCGCTCTGTCGCCCAGGCTGGAGTGCAGTGGCGCGATCTTGGCTCACCGCAGGCCCCGCCTCCCGGGTTCACGCCATTTTCCTGCCTCAGCCTCCGGAGTAGCTGAGACTACAGGCGCGCGCCACCACGCCCAGTTAATTTTTGTATTTTTAGTAGAGACGGGGTTTCACCATGTTAGCCAGGATGGTCTGGATCTCCTGACCTCGTGATCCGCCTTTTCCAGAGTTTCTAAGTTTCAAGAAGTGACGATCAGAACACCTGTGGTGAGTGCTGTCTCATCCTGATGCTTTCTAAAACATCCCCGGAGAACAGCTCTGTAAGGATCTCCAGGCCTTTCCATCGACCAGCACTACTGAGCAAAAAGGTTTTTTGTTTTTTTTAAATCATTTCAGAGGCATTTGGTTATTTAAAGATTTGAGTCTTTATAAACACATCCATCCCATGTGATAGAGAAATGGAACTAGCAGATGTTGCTGGATTTTTCTTTTTACCTAGGGATTGCATGGTATCTGTTTTTCAATTTCCAACTAAGTATTAAATGCTTGTATAATTTAAGTGTTTCATTTAATTAAGCTTAAAAATGTATTTAAACTTTAGATCAGCCTAGATAACTTGAAAATAGAAACAATTGGAGCAGTTCTGCCAGTTCAGGCTTGATCTAGAGTGCACTCCATTTTGAAAGATGTAGGCAATGATAAGTATAGGTCTAGTGGTTTCTGGACAAATCAACTGTAAATCCTTGTCTTTCAGGGCTATATTTATATAAGTAAGTTTATCACATTCTGTCTCTGCTTCCCATCATTTTAAGATTAGCCCATTTGTTGGGCCTGGAATGGGTGAAGAATAAGTCTTTGCTTAAAATTACAAACTGGTGTCAAGTCAGCAACATGATACACCTAAAAATTCTTATTATAGCAGAAAAGCACCTTGACATCCACAATAAATATATGCCCCAAAACTGTTTAAGTACCTAGTTTGAACATCTTGCTACTTTCCGTGTTTATGGGTTATTGCTCTGCCACTTGAAATATAATTGAATCCAGCAGTTTTTCTTCAGCACAAATGTATAAAATAGATCACTTATTGTTTGCTACACTGAGTGATGTCTACAGACTAGGCGTAAGGGAGAAAAATGACATGTGGTTTACATGCATATCTACGTTGGTGATTTTCCTCAGAGATACTAAGGGCATTATTTGACAATGGTAGACAGATTGACTTTGTAAAGTACAATATGATAATTCCTTTTTAATGAATATGTGTTCCAAACAACATCTTTTCTTATAGAGGGAGTAAATGTATTTTCTCTATAATAAAAGTAATTATATAAGACATTTAGGAAGTTGTATTTCCTCCATCCAGAACCCAAGTAGGCTAATTCTTTCTTCCTTTCTTCTCTTTTCAAGAGAGGCAGGCTCTGAAGGTCTGTGTCAGTGGCTTGTCCACATCTGAATGGTTCTTTTTATGGGGCGCAGAGTCCTGCCAGTGAAGCACTGACCCACCCTGTTCTTTTCCCAAAAAATAAAGGTCTCTGAAAAGGAACTCATTCCTCTTTGTTGCTTCTACAGACCAGCACTGAGGAGGTGAGAGCTTGCTGAAACTTTTGGTCCTCTCCTCTCCATTCCTGCTTTGATGAGTATCTTCTGCGCTACTCGAGCCTCACTCTCCTAAAAGCCTTCCTGCCTCAGGATTTGCCTGGGCACAGTCCATGCTCCATATAGAGGTCAGCTCTTCCAGAAATGCAAATTCAGTCATGTCACAGCCCTGCGTGAAATACAAAGTGGTTCCCGTCACCTTCAGGATGCACTTAAACATTTTGAGAATGTCATAAAAGGCATCATCATTATCTCTTGGCCCCTCCTGCCCACCCAGCCTCATTTCCTTCCACTTGGATACACCTGGTCTCTTCTTCAGTCTTACCTGAATCAGGTTTCTATCAGTCTTTCCATTTGCCACACAACATCTCCAGCTTCTTCATTTGACTGATAACAAACAAATCTTTCACTTTTTTATGGGAAGTGCCACTGGTCTCCATGCTGAGTTAGGTGCTTTCTCTATCAGCTCCTACAGTGCCTTGTGCGTGGCCTATCATAGTACTTACTTCACCTATTTACCCATTTACTCTTCTGTCTCTCCCATTACACAATGAGCCTGTCATGTTCATAGCCCTAGCCATTAAATCTTTGCCTTTACCTAGTGTGTCTCTGACAACAACAAGAGAGCCTGATGTGTAGTCATTTCTTAATAAAGACTGGTTGCAAGAATGAATTTATCCACCCATTAGTTCTTACTTTGGCTGACTTTATTTTAAAAGAGCTCTGTTACTAAAGGACTGGTTTTGCTAGCAGAACTATATATAGGGCATCTGTTTCAAAATAATTCTGTGCCTAATTGGTGCTACTTATAGGATTTCATATCAGCATTAGTATCCCAAAATATCACCTGGGTCACAACACTTTATACAGCACAGCAGCGTATGCTGAAATATGATGAGAAAATATTCTGAAATCCCAAGCAAATATTTCAGAAAGACCCTCTGTATACTTAGTTGTTTGTACAGAAGCTCCCAAGGTCTGTCTTTTCATGCATTCTCCTACAGAACGGGAGCTGTTTGAACAGGACTTACATCTACACTGTGTTATTCAATGGTTTAAGTCAAATGCTTCCACATGTATTGTTAAAAATATAGTTTTCTTTTTCAAACAATTTGTACCTATACTGTGTTCACCTGAGCACTTTGTTCATTATCAACTGGTGAGCAAAGTGAAAAAACCACTGGACCTAGGGCTGCAAACACCAGCTCTGAAATTGGGGATGTAATTTCAGAAAATAGATTTTTTTTTTTTTTTTTTTTTTTTGAGACAGAGTCTAGCTCTGTTGCCAGGCTGGAGTGCAATGGCGCAGTCTTGGCTCACTGGAACCTCTGCCTCTCGGAGCAATTCTCCTGCCTCAGCCTCCCGAGTAGCTGGGACTATAGGCGCCCGCCACTGCGCCTGGCTAATTTTCTTTGTATTTTTAGTAGAGACGGGGTTTCACCAACCTGGCCAGGCTGGTCTTGAACTCCAGACCTCATGATCCACCCGCCTTGGCCTCCCAAAGTGCTGGGATTACAGGTGTGAGCCACCACGCCCGGCCAGAAAATAGATTTTCTATTGTGCAAATTAACTGTGCCCAAGGCTTATCTTTCTCTTTTTTAAGATTTCCCTTTGGCTACAAAGAACATATTGCTGCAATAGCTCTTTTTTTTTTTTTTTTTTTGAGACGGAGTCTCGCTCTGTCGCCCAGGTCGGACTGCGGACTGCAGTGGCGCAATCTCGGCTCACTGCAAGCTCCGCTTCCCGGGTTCACGCCATTCTCCTGCCTCAGCCTCCCGAGTAGCTGGGACTACAGGCGCCCGCCACCGCGCCCGGCTAATTTTTTGTATTTTTAGTAGAGACGGGGTTTCACCTTGTTAGCCAGGATGGTCTCGATCTCCTGACCTCATGATCCACCCGCCTCGGCCTCCCAAAGTGCTGGGATTACAGGCGTGAGCCACCGCGCCCGGCTGCAGTAGCTCTTATATATGAGAATAGTGGTTTTCAACCAGAGCATTTTTACCTCTTAGTGTACATTTAGCAATGTCTGGAGACATCTTTGGTTGTCACAATGAAGGGAGGGTGGTGAGCATTTAGAGGGAAGACACCAGGGATGATGCTACATCTCCTACAATGCACAAGAAAGTCCCCTACAAAAAATTATCTGGCCCAAAATGTTAATGAAACTCTGTACTAGGATGGAAAAAGAAATAGTATATTTAGAAGCTGGAAGTGAGAATGTGTGATTTCTGTGATTGATTTGTGTTTCTCAGTATGCTGCTCCTTCACAGATCACAGAGTTGTCTGTGACCTTCTTTCTAGCAGTTCACAACATGGTTGTTTGCTTCTTTAAGCCAGCAGGAGAGTCTTGCTTGCCCAATCTGCTAAGAATGTCTTCTATAATGCAACATAATCACAGGAATGACTTCCATTACCTTTGTTGCATTCTATTGATTAGAAGAAAGCCACAGGTCCCACCTGCTCTCAAGTGGAGGGAATTAATCAAAGACACTGACATCAGGAGGCAGGAAATATGAGGACTACCCTAGGGTCTGTCCACACAACATATTATTGTCTTGATGGCAGGTGTGGTGTTTTGTACTGTATCAACCTTGTTACGCTGGGAAAATCTTGTCCCTGTAGAACATCTATGAGATTGGATGGCAGGTGGAGTGGCCATTAATCTCTGATGGTTGTCACAGTCAGAGCAGTGATGGACAGTTGCAGAAATGCCCAGCCAGTGTCAGCGGGTCCTGCTCTCCTGTGTTTCCTATCCAGCTTCTCTTCTCAACTGTTGGCCAACAGCTGCCCCAGCCTACCCCAGAGACTGACTGAAGACCTTCAGAGGCAACAGCAACATGAAAGCAGTGGCTCCCATCACCCTCCCCTCAGCCCCTCTGCTGCGGCTGGACATCTCGGTTTCTCAGATTGATAGGCTAGTGACTCCTTCCCTAGATCTTTCTCCAGGTTCTCCTGCAGCTCTCTGAGGTCAATTTCACACAGAAGCCCCTTCTTCCATAACTCTCAGGGAACTGTGCCCCTCTGACCAAGCCCTGACTGATGCAGATAGTGTTCCCAGGATAATCAGGAGATTTAAGCATATCCTGTGTGCTTCTTATTGTGTTAGTTGCTGTGGCCAATACAAAGTAATCTAACATAGCAGTCCCATGAAAATGGAACATCTCTTTTTTGTCTTGAACTCCTGGCCTCAAGAGATCCTCCTATCTTGGCATCCCAAAGTTTTGGGATTATAGGCGTGAGCCACCGTGCCTGGCCAAACATCTCTGTTTTGTTTACTGCTATACCCTCAGGGTTGGGAATAGTGCCTGGTATATAGTAGACACTCCATAAATATTATTTTCATGAATAATGGAAGATACTTATGTGTTTTGTGTGATATACATATGTATATGTGTGTGTAATATATTCCTTATATACAATTGTGTGTGTCTGTATGTATAATCTCCTTCCTTATTGCCTATTTTAGCATTTAAATATCTGTGGTGTCTAGCTTGACACCTGACTGTATTTCTATTCAGAACATCCTTTGGAGTTCAGACCAAGAAATAGGCAAACCTAGTTCAGGAAGTTGAACCAAATATCTTTTCTCACTATAAATACATTAATATTTAGAGAGCAAAACATATGGTTATTTATACAGTAAATAAAGACACGAATAACTTCTCAGTCAGTTCAGATAAGATTTTGCTACCAAAAGACCTAAGTACACAAATACCATTCGATGCAGCAATCTCATTACAGGGTATATACCCCAAGGAATATAAATTGTTTGTTGTAAAGTCACATGCACGAATATATTCATTGCAGCACTATTCACAATAGCAAAGACATGGAATCAACATAAATGCCCATCAGTGATGGAAAGGATAAACAAAACATGGTACATATACACCATGGAATACTATAAAGCCATAAAAAGAATGAGATCATGTCCTTTGCAGAGGCCATTATGCTTAGCAAACTAACACGGGAGCAGAAAACCAAATACCACATGTTCTCACTTATAAGTGGGAGCTAAATGATGAGAACACATGGACACATAGAGGGCAACAACACACACTGGGGCCTAGTGGAGGGTGGAGGGTAGGAGGAGGGAGAAGATCAGGAAAAATAACTAATGGGTACTAGGTTTAATACCTGGGTGATGAAATAATCTGTACAACAAACCCCCATGACACAAGTTACCTGTGTAACAAACCTGCACATGTGTCCTTGAACTTAAAATAAAAGTTAAAAGACTTCAGATCACTGCATGTGTGTTATCAAAAAAAAAAAAAAGATTTTGGAGCTGTTTGGATCTGAGGATTTTGAATTAATGTTAATGATGATAATAACAATATTAAAGTAAATTATTTATTGGAAAGCAATAATCATTCAAGCACTGAGTTAGACATTTTATATGTATAACAATAATAATAGAAATATGCTTACAAAAAACAAAGAACATGCTTTGGAGAAGGCAAGGTACACTACTGCCTAAATAATACAATATAATTTCTAATGCCCAAGGAAAGAGCTCCATATTCCTACTGTCATCCAAATTATATTATATAATATAAATATTTGCTAATTTGCTTAGGAGATTCATTTATCCCCTTTACAACAGCATCAAAAAGAATAAAATACTTAGAAATAAACTTAATAAAAGAAGTATACAACTTACATCTTGAAAACTATAAAACATTGTTGAAAGCAATTAAAGAAGGTCTAAATAAATAGAAAGGCATTTCGTGTTCACAGACCAGAAGACTTAATGTTGTTAAGATAGAAATATTCCCTAACTGATCTACAGATTAAATATAACTCCTCTTAAAATCCTGGAGAAACTTCTTGCAGAAATTGACAAGCTGATCCTAAAATTCACACGCAAATGCAAGGGACTCAAAATAGCCAAAACAATCTTGAAAGAGGAGAATAAAATAGAAAGACTCATAATTCCTGATTTCAAAACATGCTATAAAGCTACAGTAATCAAGACACTTTGGTACTGGCATAAGGAAAGACATAGACCAATAGACTAGAATTGAGAGACCAGAAATAAATCTCACATTTATGGACAGTTCATTTTCAACAAAATGCCAAGACAACTCAATGAGAAAAACAAACTTTTCAACAAAGGATACTGGAAAAACTGAATATCCACATATAAAATAATAAAATTGTACCCCTTCCTTACACCATACACAAAAATTAACTCAAATGGGTCAAATAAGTAAATTCAAAGGTAAAACTATAAAACTCTTAGAATAAAATCTAGGGGTAAAACTTTGTGACGTTGGGTCAGGCAAAGTTTTCTTAGATATGATACTGCTAAAAGCACAAGTGACAAAAGAAAAAGTAGATAAGCTGGACTTCTTCAAATTTAAAAAACTTAATCAGACATGGTGGGTCACACCTGTAATCCCAGTGCAAGGATCACTTGAGCCCAGGAGTTTGAGACCAACTTGGGCAGCATAGTGAGACAAAAATTCATCTCTACAAAAATAAAAATAAAAAATTAGCCAGGCATGGTGATGTGTGTCCATAGTTCCAACTACTTGAGAGGCTGTGGTGGGAGGATCACTTAAGCCTGGGAGTTTGGGGCTGTAGTGAGCCGTGCTTGTACCACTGTACTCCAGCCTGGATGACAGAGTGAGACCCTGTCTCAAAAAAACCAAAACCAAAAACAAAAACTTTTGCATTTCAAAGAATACCACCAAGAAAGGGAAAAGAATGAGTGAAAATACTTGTAAATGATATAGCTGATAAGGAACTTGTATCCAGAATACATACATGTCAGTAGTAGAAAGATTACCCTACTTAAAAAAAAGCAATGAATCTTAATAGACATTTCTCCAAAGAAGATATATAAATGTTCAGTAGGCACATCAAAGGATGCCCAATATCATTAGCCATCAGGAAAAAAAGTAACCAAAATCACAATGATATACCACTTCACATTGTCTAGGATGATTACATAGGAAGTAACAAGTGGTGCTGAGGATCCAGAAAATTTGGAACCCTGATTCACTGCTGTTAGGAATGATTAAGCATAGAATCACTGTATCATTCAGCAGTTCTACTCCTAGGTATATATCCAAGACATTAAGGAATATATCCACACAAGAAGTTGTATATGAATGTTCATAGCAACATTATTCATAATAGCTAACGAGTGGGACAATCTAAACATCTGTAAACTGATGAATAGATAAACATAATGTAGCATTATTTTGTTATAAAAAAAAGTACTGAGAGATGCTACCACATGGATAAATCTTGAAATATTAAGATAAAAAAAGAAGCCAGTCGCCAAAAAAACTCCACCCCACATATTATATTATTCCATTGATACAAAATGTCCAGAAAAGACAAATCTATAGAGACAGAAAGTCGATTAATAATTGGCTAGCACTGGGGGATTGGAGGTTAATGGAAAGTGACCAGTAATCTGTACGGAATTTCTTTATAGGGTGATGAAAATGTTCTAAAATTGATTGTGGCTGGGCGCGAAGGCTCGTCTTTGTAATCCTAGCACTTTGGGAGGCTGAGACAGGTGGTTGGCTTCAGCCCAGAAGTTTGAGACCAGCCTGGGCAACATGGCAAAACGCTGTCTCTACAAAAAAATACAAAAATTAGCCGGGTATGATGGTACACACCTGTAGTCCCAGCCACTTAGGGGGCTGAGTTATGAGGATCACTTGAGCCCAGGAGGTTGAGGCTGCAGTGAGCAGAGATCGTGCCACTGCTCTCCAGCCTGGGCAACAGAGTGAGACTCTGTCTCAAAAAAAAAAAAAAAAAAAAAAAAAAGTGATTGTGGTTAGGGTTGCACAACTCTGTTAATATGCTAATAACCTTTGAATTGAACACATTAAATGAATGAATTGTATGTGAATTATATTTCAAAGCTACTAGTTATATAAGGTACGCATACTTACATAAATATATGTGTATGCTATATATGCTTTACTACTTACATAAAGTATATACACATGTATATACATACTTTTTATATTGAAAAAACTGATATACAGTAAATATAGTAAAAATGTACCCCAAACATTTCCAGCGTGCTTGCTGTGCAGGCACTTGGATATAAAGACCAAAAGTTCCTGACTCTTTCTACCCTAGGAGTTCGCATGTTGATGGGTAGCTTCATGCGTCTCTGTAGGAGCTATGAGTCAAGCTATCTCCGACAGAGACCAGTGGCTAGTGTTCCCCAACAGACCTCAGCTAAAGGTCTCCAGTTAAAAGTGAGTCAGATTCAACATTCTCTTTGAGGTGTCTTACTTCCCTGCTTCTCTCTTTCGTCCCTAAAATGTTGAAATATTTAAGGTGCCTAAACTCATAATAAACCTAAAAAAAAAAACCACCTAAAAAGCCATGGTTCTCAGCAGGAGGACAATGGATAAAATATTTGAAAAAGAAGAATTTTATTCTGGCTTGTTTTCTTCACAGCTGAAGGCCTTCAGCCGTTTCCAGTCCAGTATCACTCTAGGCATGGAATTTTGGGCAGTAGAAAACATTTAGCGTTTGTCCATCATTTAGATCTAGATTAAAAATGAATGTATTACATTTGAACCCTGGTAATTTCTAATATTTCATATTCAACAATATCATGTCACTCATTGTTATGTACCATATGGTGCTTGAGCTAAAGATACACTAGTGCCAAGGTTATCAGAGAATATCCAACTCAGCGTGGACGACAGACATTATAGAAATAATTGTGAAGGAAAAATGTTAGATGCTGTGGGAACTGCTAACCTGTGGAAACCAAAGCATTAATGTGAGGAGGTAAATTTTATGCTGAAACCCAGGTAAAGGTGTGAAGGTGGTTACAGGTGTGGTCAAGATGGCAGTGCCTATAGAGAAGAGTATGGCAGGCTGGGGAAGAGCATGGGAGAAGGTCCCAGCAGAGGGAAATCTAGCAGAAAGAAGCTCATGCAGCTGAGTGTGAGGATTGAGGAGAAAGGGTATGAGATAAGACTGGTGAATTAGATGTGGATGGGACAGGCAAGGCCTTAAAGGCTGGGGTGAGAAGTTCAGATCTTGTTGTAGGGTCAGTGGGAAACCATTGAAAGTTTTAAGTGTGGAGCGCAGTAATCAGATATTTAAAGAGATCCCCGGGGCTGTTTTGTGAAAAACTTTTCAAATATGCATGTCATAACAGAAATATTTTTTAAAAAGAAGTTCAATTACATGTTTTCACTTCAAAATTTTCTTAATTTTGAAAACTCAGATGAAGCTTACAACTTCTTTATTAGAAATGACAAGTAAAATGCCATATTCAACTGATCCTATTTAATCACTGGATCATTCAGGGACAAAGCATAGAGAGTTTGTTTTTCAGTGATATTTTTCCTCATTCCAAACATTTGAAATTTGAAATTCAATAAAAACATGAACAAAGATACTTTTTAAGTTTCTAGGACAAATGTCACAAAAGCAAACAAATGGAGTACCAAATAAATTTTCTGAGGCTCAGTGAGTAGGGTGGGCAGTGGATGGCAGAGTTTGTGGGTGTTGGTATGCTGAAAATTCTGGGGCTTCTCTGTTGACTTCTAAAGAAGTTGAACAGGACCCCAGTGCTAAGTCCTAGAGAATGTGTGACAACATTCCCAAGAATGACCAACCCTAGGCAAATGTAAAATTAGGTTAGTATTAGAAAAAGAGATGACTAATTTCTCTGAGTGGCCTAAATACATTTTTTCTTAATTCCAGTCTTTAATTAGCTCAACAAGTATTTATTGGCATTCTATTTTGTGTAAGGACTGGTACTAAGTACTGAGATCTTTATATGTTTCTACCTATCTATCTATCCATATCTTTTAAAAAAATTTTTTTATTATACTTGAAGTTCTAGGGTACATGTGCACAACGTGCAGGTTTGTTACATATGTATACATGTGCCATGTTGGTTTGCTGCACCCATTAACTCGTCATTTACATTAGGTATATCTCCTAATGCTATCCCTAGCTACCCCCATCCCTACCCCCTACCCCCACCCCACGACAGGTCGTGGTGTGCGATGTTCCCCACCCTGTGTCCAAGTGTTCTCATTGTTCAATTCCCACCTATGAGTGAGAACATGTGGTGTTTGGTTTGCTGTCCTTGTGATAGTTTGCTCAGAATGATGGTTTCCAGCTTCATCCATGTCCCTACAAAGGACATGAACTCATCATTTTTTATGGCTGCATAGTATTCCATGGTGTTTATGTGCCACATTTTCTTAATCCAGTCTATCATTGATGGACATTTGGGCTGGTTCCAAGTCTTTGCTATTGTGGATAGTGCCACAATAAACATACATGTACATGTGTCTTTATAGCAGCATGATTTATAATCCTTTGGGTATATACCCAGTAATGGGATGGCTGGGTCAAGTGGTATTTCTAGTTCTAGATCCTTGAGGAAACACCACACTGTCTTCCACAATGGTTGAACTAGTTTACAGTCCCACCAACAGTGTAAAAGTGTTCCTATTTCTCCACATCCTTTCCAGCACCTGTTGTTTCCTGACTTTTTAATGATCACCATTCTAACTGGTGTGAGATGGGATCTCATTGTGGTTTTGATTTGCATTTCTCTGATGGCCAGTGATAATGAGCATTTTTTCATGTGTCTGCTGGCTGCATAAATGTCTTCTTTTGAGAAATGTCTGTTCATATCCTTTGCCCACTTCTTGATGGGATTGTTTGATTTTTTCTTGTAAATTTGTTTAAGTTCTTTGTAGATTCTGGATATTAGCCCTTTGTCAGATGAGTAGATTGTAAAAATTTTCTCCCATTCTGTAGGTTGCCTGTTCACTCTGATGGTAGTTTCTTTTGCTGTGCAGAAGCTCTTTAGTTTAATTAGATCTCATTTGTCAACTTTGGCTTTTGTTGCCATTGCTTTTGGTGTTTTAGTCATGAAGTCCTTGCCCATGCCTGTGTCCTGAATGGTATTGCCTAGGTTTCTTCTAGGGTTTTTATGGTTTTAGGTCTAACATTTAAGTCTTTAATCCATCTTGAATTAATTTTTGTAAAAGGTATAAGGAAGGGATCCAGTTTCAGCTTTCTACATATGACTAGCCAGTTTTCCCAGCACCATTTATTAAATAGGGAATCCTTTCCCCATTTCTTGTTTTTGTCAGGTTTGTCAAAGATCAGATGGTTGTAGATGTGTGGTATTATTTCTGAGGGCCTCTGTTCTGTTCCATTGGTCTATATCTCTGTTTTGGTACCAGTACCATGCTGTTTTGAAAAATATGCAATGCTTCACAAATCTGTGTGTCATCCTTGTGCAGGGGCCATGCTAATCTTTTCTGTATAGTTCCAATTTTACTATATGTGCTGCCGAAGCGAGCACATATCTATCTATATCTCTTTATCTATCCATCTTGATAAGGAGCAACAATCATTTGTAGATGGCCCATTTTGTCGATGGAAGTAAGTCTTTATTACAGAAAAATTCATTTACAGCTTATTTTGAAGACTTAATAGACAGATCTAATCTTATCTTCCCAAACAAAACAATATTCTTCCTAACAGACTGCAATTCCAGTAGTAAATGTTTTTAGAAAGAAATCTTGGGGCATATGGCATAAAAATAGATTCATGGGACAATAGAATAAAATATTTGAACTCACAACTGTCCATGGAAATTTTAGGAATATATTGTCATTTATCTGTATCATTGCATTCACCAGGTTTCAACATTATTAGTATTACAAAAGCTCCATTGTCATTCACTAAAAGCAGAAGTGACTCTGAGACACACCACTTTTATCCATACAACACGATATCCATCAATCATCCATATGCCTCCTGCATTCATAAAATCATGCAGCACATGCTATATGTGGAAACAAACTGATTTTTGCTTTCTATTATGATTTATATCATTATTCACACTCCACTGTAGTCTCTTTGGGAAGAGTTGGTTACCATTAGCGTTTGCTGTCAATCAGATTTTGCTTCTTTCCTTACTTACCCTTTTTTCATATCTGAACTACAGTAAAAGAACAAGACAAGAATAGAAGTCCTAATATTAAAAAAAGATCACAGAATATATGACCTTTAACCAACGCTGTGATCATTTGCTTCTTTTTAAAATAAGATATATAATTAGAACTGAAAAATGCCAATAAAATCCAGTCATTTGTATCTTTTCCTCATATAAAGAAAAGTTGGAAAATTAGTTGAAATGGAAAATGATTTTTAAGGTTTAATGCAGAATAATTCTTTAAAGTCATGACTAAGACTGATCATCTACTCAAGGTATTCACATTTCAAAGCATCCATTTAGCTTGCAACCTTATTTTAATCATACAGGGCCTCAATATCTTCCTGCCCTGCAGGTTTTTGTTTTCAATGGGCATTTATTTAAAAAGAAACTCCAGATTTATAAATAGATTAGGTGTGATGCTAATTCCTTAATTCTAGGAGGTTAGACTTTCATATTTAAAAAGGTCACTTATTTTTTCAATAGCAAACATTTAGGAGGTATTCATTAGGTACCTGGCATGGCTTTAGATTCTGACCTACAAAGACTTCAAGTCATGATTTTCCCATTTGGAGAAGCTTACCTTTTAGTGAGGAAAGTATGCGTGTTAAAAAAAAAAATCTACATACCTATCTATCAATCTGACAATAACACGTGGAAAGTGCTAACAGATAATGAAAACAGAACATGAGCCCTGAAGGCAGCATCACTGAGGAAGTATCACTGAACTGGAAACTTTCCTAGAAAAAAAGGAGTTTGTGAGATGAAGGAGGAAGAGGAAGGGAGAAAAAAATACAAGTGTCAGAGTTCCTAAAGGGGCTTGGTATTTTGGGGACTATCGGCCTGAGCACAGGAAGCATGGGATGAGTGCAAATGAGTTTATAGTGAAAAATATAATATTACATAATGATAAGTGAAATGTCACAGTAGAACACCAAATTTTTCCAGATATTTGCTATGCATATTCATATCTATCTATCTGACTCTCTCTCTCCTATCATCCATCTATCTATATCTATCTATCTATCTGTCTGTCTATCTATCTATCTATCTATCTATCTATCTATCTATCTATCTAATCTTCTAGGTAGCTAGCTAATCATCTATCAATCTGTATAACCATCCATCTATCTTTCTCCTCTAATGGTATCACACTTTAATTTCCCACAGAAATGTTTTGTATTTTGCAAACTGCTTTTTCTTAATACATCTTGAATACAATACAAATCATAGACAAGCAAATGGAAAACAACAAAGAGCAGGGGTTGCTATTCTTATATCAGACAAAACAGAGTTTAAACCAACATCAATCAAAAAGGACAAAGAAGGGCATTACATAATGATAAAAGGTTCAATTCAATTAGAAGTCTTAACCATCCTAAATATATATGCACCCAACACTGGAGCACCCAGGTTCATAAAACAAGTTCTTAGAGACCGGTGGAGAGACTTAGATAACCACGAAATAATAGAGGGAGACTTCAACATCCCACTCACAGTATTAGACAGATCATCAAGGCAGAAAACTAACAAAGATATTTGGGACTTAATCCCAACACTTGACCAGATAGACCTAGCAGATATCTTCAGCACACTCCACCCAACAACAGACTGTACATTCTTCTCATCTGCACCTGGCATATACTCTAAAATTGACCATACACTCAGCCTTAAGGCAATTTTCAACAATTCAAAAAAACCAAAATCATACCAACCACACTCTTGGACCACAGCATAATAAAAATAGAAATCAATACCAGGAAGATCTCTCAAAACCATACAGTTACATGAAAATTAAACAATCTGCTCCTGAATGAATTTTGGGTCAACAATGAAATTAAGGCAGAAATCAAGAAATTCTTTGAAACTAATAGAAAAGAAGATACAGTATACTAGAATCTCTGAGACACAGCTAAAGCAGTGTTAAGAGGAAAGTTTATGGTGCTAAACACCCACATCAAAAAGTTTGAAAGATCTCAAATTAATAACCTAACATCACACCTACAAGAACTAGAAAAACAAGAGCAAATGAATCTCAAAGCTAGCAAAAGAAAAGGAACCAAAATCAGAACTGCAATGAATGAAATTGAGACACAAAAAACCATACAAAAGGTCAACAAAACTAAAAGCTGGCTTTTTAAAAGAATAAATAAGATTGATAGATTGCTGGCTAAACTAATAAAGAAAAAAAGATAGACGATGCAAATAAACACAATCAGAAATGACAAAGGGGACATTTCCACAAACCCCACAGAAATACAAAAAAACCCTCAGAGACTACTACAAACACCTCCATGCACAAAAACTAGAAATTCTAGGAGAAATTGATAAATTCCTGAAAACATACAACCTCCCAAGATTGAACCAGGAAGAAATTGAAACCCTGAGCAGAACAATATCAAGTTACAAAATTAAATCAGCAATAAAATATCTACCAACTAGAAAAAGCCCTGGACCAGACAGATTCACAGCTGAATTGTACCAGATGTATAAAGAAGGGTGAGTACCAATCCTACTGAAATGGTTCCAAAAAATTGACAAGGAAGGACTCCTCCTCAACTCATTCAATGAGGCCAGCATCATTCCGATACTGGCAGAGACACAACAAAAACAAAAAAACTTCAGGCCAATATCCTTGATGAACGTAGATCCAAAAATCCTCAACAAAATACTGGCAAACCAGATCCAGCAGCACATCAAAAAGTTAATCAAATAGGCTTTATTCCTGGGATGCAAGGTTGGTTCAACATACACAAGTCCATAAATGTGATTCATCACATAAACAGAACTAAAATAAAAAACCTCATGATCATCTCAATAGACACAGAAAAGGCTTTTGATAAAATTCAACACGACTTCATGTTAAAAACCCTCAACAAACTATGCATTGAAGGAACATATCTGAAAATAAGGCCATCTATGACAAACACACAACCAACATCATACTCAAAGCAAAATCTGGAAGCATTCCCCTTAAGAACTGGAATAAGACAAGAGTGCTCACTTTCACTGTTCCTGTTCAACATAGCACTGGAAGTCCTGGCCAAAGCAATCAAGCAAAAGAAAGAAAGAAAGAAAAGGCATCCAAATATGAGGAGAGGAAGTCAAACTGTCTTTCTTTGCAGATGATATGATTCTATACCTAGATCATAAGTGAATTAATGCAGGATAAAAAAACAAATACTGCATGTTCTCTCTCATAAGTGGGAGCTAAACATTGAGTATACATGAACATAAAGATGGAAACAATAGACACGAGGGCCTACTTGAGGGTGAAGGGTGGGAGGAGGGGGAGAATTAAAAAATCTACCTATTGGGGCTATGCTCATTACCTGGGTGATGAAATCATTTGTATACCAAACTCCCATGACACACAATTTACCTGTGTAAGAAAACTTGCATGTGTACCTCCTGAGCCTAAAATAAAATTTGGAAAAAAATAAACCTCTCTAAACATAGAAAAAGTACAGTAGAAATATGATAGAAACGTTCCATTATAATCTTACAGACTGTCATATATGCAGTCTGTCATTGACAAAAATGTCTTTATGTCGGGCAGGGCTATATTTGCAAAAGACCCCTTTTATCATTGAACTTATAGTGCAGTAGCAGAGAGACAACTGTCAAGTAGTGATAATTCTAATGAATTTTAGGAAAGGGGAAGTAAAGGGTGTTTTGAAGTAAAAGGCAGAGAGTAAGTCTAGCAGTGGGTGGAGCCCTCATGAATGAATTAATCCATGCATGGATTAATGGGTTAATGGGTTATCAAGAGAGTGGGACTGGTGGCTTTATAAGAAGAGGAACATCAGCACCATAAGACAGTGGGTGGGGTTGGTTAGAGAAGAGAAGAGGAGGAGAGACCTGAGGTAGCGCTACCTCCGGATTCTGTAGAGTCCCCATCAGCAAGAAGTTCCTCACCAGAAGTGTCCCTCTAATCATGGTCTTCTCAGCCTCCATAAGAATTAAATTCCTTTTCCTTGTAAATTACCCAGTTTCCGATATTCTGTTATAAGCAACAGAAAATGGACTAAGACAGAAATCTGTTTCTCATATTTAGCGCCACATCCTTGACATGAATATACCAGAATGTACTTAGTCGTTCCCCTGGTGATGAACTTTTAGGATATTTGTGGTTTTTGCTACTACAACTTATGCTGCCTTGCGTAGCTTTAAGAGAATATACCTGTGGGATAGATTGATGGGCATAGAATATAGCAAAGTTTTGATGGATATTGCCAAATGACCTTCAAAGGCAATTCACTCCCTTCCAAGTTATATGAGAATGCTTGTTTCCCAAATCCCTTACAACACCCACCCTATTCTTTTTGTTTTTTTAATCATAGTAGTGCTTATTTATTTTTATGAACATTTTGTACAAGTTACTATGGTTTCTGAGAAAAAACTTAGAAAATGAAAATAAGAAACTAGAGGGAAAAAGCATCTTAAATTCCACTTCCCATCTGGTCTGTAGCCTTCAAACTTTTCACTGTGTAAGGATCAATTTGTGTCTTGTTTGGTCCATAACTGAGATATAGCTGGTAAATGGAACCAGCAGATTCCACTTCACCACAAATTTCTGGTATCCATTTAGCCCTGTTGATGCAAGGGGGCTTTAGAAAATTGCTAGGAAAAGGACTCAAAGGGTTTCTATAAGTGGCATTCAGATACATGTCATGTGGCAGACTCTGGGATATCTTAAACAAGCCACATCAAAATGAGTGACTGAAGTTCTCCTGAGAGCAAGCCACCTGATGGAAGAAAGAATTTGGCATAAATATCCAGACTATGCAACAGGTTCTAAGTGTTGGAGGGCAGCAATGAGTCATGGTGGTCATTACTTGAAACTTCTGATCCAATCACTCTGGTGGGCGTGCTCCCCAAGGACAAAATGGCTAGGTGTGCAAACAATAGAACAGTGATACTAAACTCTGTGATATCTCTTCCTGGGCCACCCTGCTGTGGGACACCATCCCCTCCTTCCGACCCCCTCCCCACAAAGCATAACCACAGAAAGGAGAACTTTTCACTTTTATTTCACAATAGACTGACCAGCAGGAGAGGCATTATAAGGGTTGAATGCATCAGAGGCTAGTGTGATTGCAAAGAGGAATGTGTGCCCCAACTCAGATGGCGACATTCACAGATCTTTGGCACAGTTACCAGCCACCGTGGTGAAGCTGCAATATGGCAGAGGCCAGTAATGGTCACAAGAGCAAGTGATATCCGTTCTCATTTAGAAGCCATGTGGCTCAGCCATGACTCTGAGTCCACTGAGTAGACTTGGGCATCTGGGGGAGAGGAAGCTCTGTTTCTCAGAATCTGTAACTGCATGGATATAGGAGTACTTAGTGCTAGTGAAAACCCTTTAACAGTATCTCACGGATACAGAATAAAATCCCAATTCCTTAATGGTTTTCAAGGATTTTTATGATCAGGCCCCTTCTTAAATGACTCTTCTCTATCTTTGGGACTCAGTTTATATCTTATTTGCTGTAGAAAGACTTTTATAAGCATCTGAGGCTAGTTTAGTTGTCTTTCCTCTGTACTTTTGTGGCATCTTCTTCAAATTCCCATTACATAACACTTACGTTATATTGTATGACATAGCATGATTGTCTATCTTAATCACAACACCAGAAGATTCTTGAAGGAAGGGTCCACATCTTATTCATTATTCATTGTTGCACTGCCCCCCACACTCCCTGTTACTGTGCCTGCCACATAGTGCACATTCAATATATATTTGTTAAATAAATAAATTAATGAATGGGGGATCTTATTAAATAAGATTAACAAGAAGTACAAATTTGTGGGAAAAGATGAGGAGCTTAATTGTGTGCTTCTTAATTTAAATATCTGTGGACATCTGAGAGGGTATGCTCAGTTGTGAATACTGGCAGGGTTTGAGGGATAAGTAAGACTGAAGATACACATTGGCAGTCATTAAGCTTCTCTACTTTTCTTTTTTCACTCCCCAATTTTTTATTTTTTTCTTAAAATTCAGTAACATTAACCTTTCTAATAATAAAAGAAAGAAAATTTGGAGACACAGATAAGTGTATATATATACTTATAGAAATAAATTACTAATAATATTCTCCCTCCCCTCAGCAGAGATTAATCATTGATAATACATGTGGATATTTCCTTCTGGTTTTATTCCCTTCTGCTCCCCAGTTTCTCTCTCTTTCTCTCTTTGTCTCCATATTGAACATAATTGGGTCATGTACTTACTTAGTTCTTTTTAAATTCAGCACTGTTTCATAAGCAATTTTCCTTGTTTCTAATTATTCTTTAAATACCTGATTTTTAACAGCCTTAAAATGTTCTATGGCATGAATGCACCATAATTATTTTAATTATCCCTATTATTGGGTATTTGGGTTGTTTCTGATCTTTTTGTTACAAATGATGCTTTGATAAACATATTTCCTTGCACAAATCTTTGAGTCATTGTTTTCAAGAAAATGTATACTGTTTTAATGCACTCTCCAATGGTATTTGCTATGGTCTGAATGTTTGTGTTCCCCTTGAAATTCACATGTTGAAATCCTAACCCCCAAGGTGATGATATTAGGAGGTGGGCCTTTGGGAGGTGATTAGGCATGGGGTGGAGTCCTCATGAAACACATTAGTGCCCTCATAAAAGTGGCCTGCAGAGAGAACCCTTCACTCCTTTTATCATGTGAGGACACAGAAAGTAGGCACCGTCTATGAACCAGAAAAGTTGTCCCTCACCAAACACCAAATTTGCAGGCTCCTTGATCTTGAACTTCTCTCCCTACAACAACTGTGGGGAGATGAATTTTTATTGTTTATAGTATTCTGTAATAGCAGCCTGGATGGACAAAGATAGCATTGGTGAGTGCTTACCTCCCTGCACATTTGCCAATTTTGAGGATTGGATTTTTAAAACTTTGCCAACTTGATGGATTGAAAAATGGCACTCACTGATGTTTAAATTTGCTTTTGTTTGATTATTAATTAAGATAGACTCCTTTAATATATTTGTTGACTATAGTTCTGTAGACCTATTTTATTCCTTTGCTCACTTTCTTTGATAGAGCCAACGTTTCTCATTATTTAGTGATGATTAGTTGTGTATATATTAATTTTTAGTACAAACATTTCCCCTAGTTTTATTCTTTATGTTTCTATATTCTATCCTCCACCTTGGAGAAGATTTACTGGAACTAAAAGATGGGATTTTAATAAAAGCTTGGCGAAACCCCGTCTCTACTAAAAATACAAAAATTAGCCGGGTGTGCTGGCACACGCCTGTAGTCCCAGCTACTCCGGAGGCTGAGGCAGGAGAATCGCTTGAACCGGGGAGGTGGAAGTTGCAGTTAGCGGAGATGGTGCCACTGCACTCCAGCCTGGGTGACAGAGCAAGATTCTGTCTCAAAAAAAAAAAAAAAAAAAAAAGCTTGAAAATGAAAGTAGTTGTTTGAATGTTCTGAAACAGGAGATTATATCAATCAGGAATGAATGCTTAATGATCCAATCAAAATTTAATACATTTTATTTATAATAGTTAAAGCTTCCGTCATTTTAGGGAATAGTTGTTTTACAAATGGCAGCATTAGCAGCAAAGATAATGGTAAGATGAATATCAGATGCCTATTCTGCCATTATTTAAAAAACTACCTTCTTACCTCTTTTAAAGAAGAATGTTTGAATTTATAAAAGTAATACATGCTTACTATAGAAAATATGGAAATGTATGAAAAAAGAATTTGAAGTCACCGTTCAGAAACAATCACTATTTACCTTTTGGTATATTTCTTTCCATACTAGGAAACATTTCTTACTCACATTAAAAAATATACATATGCGTATATTTGTGTGTGTGTATGTGTAACATTAAACTTTATATGTAGTTTTATATCCTAGTTTTGAAATTTATTTTAGTTTCCCATATTATTAAACTCTTTCTTAGCATAATTTTAATGGTTGAGTAACATTCTCTTGAATGACTTTGTGATGATTTATTTGTGACTTCCTTATTTTAAAAATTTAAAATTATAAATAACATCATGACTAACAGGTTTTTAGTTATTTTTGTTCATATTTTCAGATATGAACACTTAGAAAATGATGTTACTGAGATATAGAATATGAACTTATTTACACTTGCTTTTATATTTGCCAAATTCCCTGCAGAAAAGTTATACCAATGTTGCTCAAAACAGTTGTATATAGGCGTGTCCTTCACATTCCATGCTTACCTGCACTGAGTACAATCATTTTAATAATAATTGCTCTTTCCATAAACAAAAATATCACAGTGCAGCTTTTGATACCTTTATTGAGCTATAATTGACATACAATAAACTGTATAAATTTAAAATTAAACACATACGATTCTGTGCGTTAAAGATCTGTATCACCTGTGAAACCATCACCATAATCAAGATAATAAGTATATCCATCATACCCAGGTTTCCTCACACTCCTTTCTCCCTCCTGCTGGTCCTTGCTTTGTACTCCCTATACCATTCCCAGGCAACCACTGATCTGCTTCTGTCATTATTCCTTACTTCACATTTCCTAGGAGTCTATATGGATGAAATCATAAAGTATGCACTTTTTAATCTTGCTTATTTCATTAAGCATTATTATATTGAGATACTTCTGTGTTGTAGCATGTGTCAATAATTCTTTCCTTTCTGTTGATGAGTGGGTAGTCCATTGTGTGGATATACCATCTGTTGGTGGACATTTGTTTTTTTCCTAGATTTTGATTATTACAAATAAATCTGCTATAAATTTTATTTGTATACAAGTTTTTGTGTATATATACATATGTTCATATGCATATATATGTTGATATAGTTTGGCTGTGTTGCTACCCAAATCTCAGCTTGAATTGTATCTCCCAGAATTCCCACGTGTTGTGAGAGGGACCCAGGGGGAGGTAATTGAATTATTGGGGCCGGCCTTTCCTGTGCTATTCTCGTGATAGTGAATAAGTCTGATGAGATCTGATGGGTTTATCAGGGGTTTCAGCGTTTGCTTCCTCCTCATTTTTTTTCTTGCTGCCGCCATGTAAGAAGTGCCTTTTGCCTCCTGCCATGATTCTGAAGCCTCTCCAGCCATGTGGAACTCTAAGTCCAATTAAACCTCTTTTTCTTCCCATTTTCGAGTATATCTTCATCAGCAGCATAAAAACGGACTAATACATATTTGTATATATACATGTACATATGTATATACACGCACATATATATGAAAACATGCATATGTATATTTTCATTTTTCTTTGTCAAATACCTAGGAGTAAAATGGCTGGATCATAGGATAGGTGTTAGTTTAAGTTTTTAAGAAACTGTTAAATTGTTTTTCTAAGATAGTTGGGTCATTTTATATTCTTTCTAGCACGTGAGACTTTAGTTCCTCCACATTCATACCAATATTTAATTTGTTATCCTTACCAGTACTTAGTTTTAGACAGTCTAATAGGTGTGTAGTGGTATCTCATTGTAGTTCTAATTTTATTTTCCTGAAGACGAATGATATTGAACATCTTGTCATGTGCTTACTTGCCATTTGTATGTTTTCTTTGGTGAAGTGTCTGTCAAAGTCTTTTACCTAGTTTTCATCGGATTATTTCTTTTTAGTATTATATTTTGAGAATTCTATTTATATTCAATATACAAGTCGTATATCAAATATAGGACTGTCTGCTTTGCAAAGACATTTCCCAGTATATGGCTTGTCTATTTATTCCCTAACAGTATCTTTTGAGGAACAAGTGTAATTTTTTTATTTGTTCATTTATAGGTTGAAGAAGTCCAATTGTTAAATTTGTTCATTTATAGATTATGCTTTTGAAGTCATGTTTTAAAAATTGTTGCATAATCCAAAGTCAGATAAGTTTGCATCTATGTTTTCTTCATGAAGTTTTATATTTTTATTAGTTTTTAAAATTGTCATATTTTGTCAAAAAAGTATCATTTTTCTGCTGAATTGCTTTTGCACTTTGTTAAAAATTAGTTGCTGCTATATGTAGTTCTATTTGTGGACTCTCTATGTTTCTCTCTCTCTCTCATCTATCTTTGTTTTTACAGCAATATCAGATTGTCTTGATTAGTGCGGCTTTAACATAGATCTTGAAATAAGGTACTGTTGGTCCTCCAATTTTGTTTTTCTCCAAGTGGTTTTGACTATTGTGAGCCCTTTGCATTTCCAGGTGATTTTAGAGTCTGTTTTTTTTCAATTTAAGAAAAAAAAAAAACCTACTGAGATTTTTGCCTGGATCATGTTGAATTTATGGTTTAATTTGGGAAGAGTTGACGTATTACCAATATTGAGTCTTCTGACCCAAGCACTAGATATATTTTTACATTTACTGAGGTCTTCTTTAATTTCCCACAGAAATGTTTTGTAGTTTTCAGTGTACAAGACTTGCATATCTTTTGCCATATTTACTCTTAAGTATTTAATACTTTTTGATGCTACTGTAAATATTTTTTAAAATTTCAATTTCTGATTGTTTGTTGCTGGTATATAGAAATATACTAGACTTTGTATATTGACCTGGAGTCCTGTAACCTTACTGAACTCACTTTTTAGTTCTACTAGTTTTTAAAATTTTTTGTAGATTCCACCAGATTTTCCCCATAGATAATCATGTTGTCTGCAAATATAGACAGTTTTGCTTCTTCCTTTCAAATATGGTTACTTTATTTCTTTTTCTTGCCGTAATGTACTGGCTGGAACCTCTAGTAAAATATTGTGTAGAAGAGGTGAGAATAGACATCCTTGTCTTTTTCCTGATCTTAGTGGGAAAGATTCATACTTTACCATTAAGTATGATATTTATCTATAGGTTTTTCTAGATGCTCTTTATCACGCTGAAGAAGTCCTCTTCTACTCCCAATTTGCTGAGCGTTTTTATTGGAAATGGGTATTGAATTTTGTCTATATGTTTGCTCTGCATCTTTTGAGATAATCAAAGGTTTTTTCTTTTTCAAAGTTTGCTAATACAGTCAATTACATTAAAAATTTTTTAATATTCAGCCAAATGTGCATACTGGGATAGATCTCAGTTGGCTATGATGTATTATCGTTTTAAAAAATATTGTTGTGTTCAATTTGCTGAACTTTTGCCTTTATGTTTATGAGGGATATTGGTCTATAGTTTTTTTGTTTTTTGTTTTTGAGGCAGGGTCTCGCTCTGTCACCCAGGCTGGAATGCAGTGGCATGATCTCAGCTCCCTGCACCCTCCACCTCCCAGGTTCAAGCGATCAGGACCACAGGTGTGCACCACTGTGCCTGGCTAATTTTTGTATTTTTTGTAGAGACACGGTTTCACTAAGTTGCTCAGGCTGGTCTCAAACTCCTGGGCTCAAGCCACCCGCCCACCTCAGCCTCCCAAAGTGCTAGGATTACAGGTGTGAGTCACCGCACTTGACAGATGTATAAGTTTCTAATGTCTTTGGTTTTGGTATTAATGTAATGTTTTCTGGAAAAGTTGGTATGGAATTAATATTATTTCTTCCTTACTTGTTTGGTGGATTTCACCAAAGAAGCCATGTGGGCCTAGAGTTTTCTTTGTCAAAATATTTTTCAACTACAATTTCAATTCTTTAATAGTTATAGGGCAATTCAGGTATGTATTTCTTCCTGAGTGAGCTTTGATAATTTGTGTCTATTGAGGAATTTGTCTATTTAATCTAAGTTGTTGAATTTATTGGCTTAAAATTGTTCCTAATATTCAACTGTTATCCTTTAGTATTTGTAGAATTTGCAGTGATGCCACCTCCCACATTCCAGATACGGGTAATTTGTAACTTCTTTCTTTTTTGACTAATCAATCTGGCTAGTGGTTAATCAATTTGATTGATATCAAAAAACTAGGCTTTTTAATTTTATTGACTTTATTGTTTTTTCATTTTCTATTTCATTAATTCTTGCTCTGATCTTTATTATTTATTTTCTTTTATTTTGGGTTTAACTTGCTCTTCTTTTTCTTGTCACTTAAGGTTGAAGCTGAGATCACTGATTTGAGATATTTATTCTTTTCTAATATAGACCTAAACTATCCCCTAAAAACTGCAATAATTGTTGTAAATTCCTCTCTAAATACTACTTTAACAGTAGCACACAAATTCTAGCATTTTGCATTTTCATTGTCATTTGGTTGAATACATGTTCTAATTTTTTTTGATTTCTTTTTTCATCCATGGGTTGTTTAGAAGTGGAATATTTAGTTTCCATATATTTTAAGACTTTTCTAAAGATGTTTATGTCTTCTTACTCATTTCCACTGTGGTCAGAGAACATACTCAGTATGACTCGAATCCTTTTGAATTTATTGAGATTTGCTTTATACCCAGAAAATAGCCTACCGCAGTAAATATTGTGTGTACTTGAGAAGAATGTGTATTCTGCTCTTGTTGCATGGAGTATTCTGTAAATGTCAACAAGGTCAAGTTGGCTAATAGTATTGTTCAAATCTTCCATATTCTTACTGATTTTAAAAAATATATCAGTCAACATTCAAGTGATATTTTACTACTTTAGATATAGGGTAAGAAACAACTTCAATTTCTTTTTATTTGACTTTTGTGCTATTATTGCCATACACTTCACTGGTACAAATGGCAGAAAGCCCACTGTCCATTGCCATTATTTTTACTTAAACAGCCTACATCTTTTAAAGAGATTTAAGTGATGAAAAAAATTCATTTACCCACAGAGTTCCATTTTTAATCTCATCATTTCTTTGTATTTCAATCTTATATCATTTCTTTTGTGTCTGAAGACTTTCTTAGCATTTCTTGTAGTGTGGACCTGGTGGTAATCAATTCCTTCAGCTTTTTAATCTGTTGCCTGTCTAAAAGTCTTTAATAGGCTTTCAATTTTGAAAGATATTTTCTCTGGGTATAGAATTCCAGTTTAATAGTGCTTTTCTTTCAATATCTTGTTCTTTTCTCTTCTCACTTGAATTTTTTCCCGGTGACATAGCTGCTGTCATCCTTATTATTTTTTTCTACACGTAGCATATCTTTTTTTCCTCTGGCTAATTTTAAGATTTTTTTTTCTTTATCACTGGTTTTGAACAATTCTATTATAATATGTCTTGCTGTCATTTTTCTCATGTTTCCTGTGCTCAGGGTTAGTTAGGATTCTTAGATATGTAGGTTTATAGTTTTCATCAAATTTGAAAAAGTTTGAACCATTGTTCCACATAAAAATAATATTTCTTCTGTTTTCCCCCTGACTCTGCACACATGGTGACTCCCATTTCAGGTACATTCAGCTGCTTGAGGTTGTCCCACAGATCCCTGATACTCTTTATTTTTCTGACTCTCTTTCTCTCATTGTATTGTGAAGTTTCTATTGCTGTGTCTTCAAATTCACTAATACCATTCTACTGTAATGCATGCCCTGCTGTTAATCCCATCCAGTGTGTTTTTCATCTCACACATTGTAGTATCATCTCTACAAGTTTGATATTGTATCTTTTTTTATGTCCTCTATGTCTCTAACTTTTTAAATATATGGAATATTGTTATAATAATTGTTTTATTGCTTTTAGTTCCTAATTCTAACATTTGTGTTAGATTAATCACCTGTATTAATCCCAATTAACCCTGAGTACAGGAAACATGAGAAAAATGACAGCGAGGCATATTATAATGGAATTGTTCAAAACCAGTGATAAAGAAAAAAAAATCTTAAAATCAGCCAGAAGAAAAAAGATATGCTACATGTAGAAGAAAAAAAAATAAGGATGACAGCAGCTATGTCACTAGGAACAAATTCAAGTGAGAAAAGAGCAAGATATTTAAAATACTGAAAGAAAAACACTATTAACATGGAATTCTGTACCCAGAGAAAATATCTTTCAAAATTGAAAGCCAATTAAAGACTATTTTAGACAGGCAAGAGGTAAAAAAAGCTGAAAGAAGTTATCTCCTCATTGTGAGTATTTTTCTTTCTTCCTTGCACACTTGTTTAATTTTTGGTTGCATTCTAGACATTGTGAATTTTACCTTGTTGGGTACTGAATATTTTTGTATTCACGTGATGGTCTTGAGCTTTATTCCAGGATTCAGTTAGATTACTTGGAAATAGTTTGATGCTTTGGGGTCTTGCTTTTAAGGTTTGTTAGACAGGACTGGAGCATTGTTTCAGCTGAGGACTAATTTTCCACCACCGAGTTAAGTCCTTCTGAATACATTATGTAATGTCCCATGAATCATGAGCTTCTCCAGTCTGGCCAGTGAGTCCTGTGCTACTTGAGCTCCAGGCACTGTTCACCTCAATCCTTTCAGGAGATTCTTCCCCTGGCCTCTGGCGGTCTCCTCCTGTGCATTTGCTGATTAGTGCTCAGCTAAAGACTGACAGAGAGCCAGCCTCCTGCAGATTTCTGGAATTCTCTCTCTGTTCAGCTTTCTCCATCTCATTACTCCATCCTGCAGGTTCTGGATGCCTTGGTCTTCCTGGACTTTCTGCTCCATCTTTCAACTCAGGAGTCTGCTAGACTCTGCCTGAATCTCTCTGCAGGAGTTGTGACCTGGAAATTTTCTCAATGCAGTGAGCTTGCCTTGTTTGCTTCCATCTCTCAGGGATCACTGTCCTTCACTGACTGATATCCAGTGTCATGCAAATCATTGTTTCCTATAGTTTGTCCATTTTTCATTTGCTTCAGGCAGGGAGGGTAAATCTTATCATTGTTATTCATCTTAGCCAGAGCAAACCAAACTCATGGTGCAGTTTACATTTTACCTTTTTCAGTTTTTGGTGAGGTCAAAACATTTCCCCCCATATGTGTCAGTAACTTTAGTTTCCCCTCTATTTTTGTTGCTTTTTTTTTTTTTCATGGACATTAAATACTTTTCTCATCAATTTATTGGAGCACTTTATGTGTTGTTTCTTGGCCCATGTTATCCAGTATAGGCTGTGAGACAATGACTTGCTATTAGAAATTTGTTTTGTCCTGAAAGCCTCACATAAACAGTTATATAAATCAATGTGATTCTCACACTTTACTTGGTCCTAATACCCTTGAAAGGTACAATACACTCTCTTCAGTAAGAGAGGCTCGTTATAGCAGTAATTCTCAAGAAAGAAAAAGAAAAAGATTCCATCTTCCCTGTTTCTATGGAGGGTATATCAGTTTCTCTGCAGGAGCTCAAGGAAATATACGCTGTAGCTTGCAAAAGTCCCTGAGGTGATTTTGATAAGTCCTTTAAAGGTAGATGCTTCTTCTCCATTGAGATAAACTGATATAAACACTAATCATTAGACTGGTGAATCTTTATTTAGGGATTCTGAAAGGTAGCAATGGAGGTGCCCAAGGCTACTTTCAGTATTTTAGAAACCTAATAAATTTTCATTGAAATGTCTAAAGGCACTTATAGATGAAAAAACTGACAGATAACCAGAAAGTAAATTATTTGCTTTTACCTGAAGTTATAGCAACTGAGTGTGGTATTACTGGCTGCAGAATGTTAATCAGTGACCCAGATAAGTGGGTATATGTGTATAATATAACTAAGAAGTCAAAAATAGAAAATGAGTTAATTTTTATTTAATAAGTATACTTTGATATTGTTTAATAGACATTACCTTACAAACACATGCAATCCCTGAAGGAAAATAATAAATAAACGTGTTCTTGTTGGTCAAAGCTGAAAACTACTGTATAGACCATATCTTTTCTTAAATACAGAATTGCATTGGGAATCCAAATTCTCTAAGAATACAACTCTAGAAGCAAATAGAATTAGATGGAGAGAGAACCAAGGACAGCCCTTTTCTTTAGGCTTGGGAAGTGATTGTTTTCTGTTATTACTTAGACCGTCTTTTTCTTACTTTCAAAGTCATGTCACACACAACCTGAATTCCATTCCCTTCTCAGATGTTGGGCTCCAAATGTTGTTGCCGGAAAAAACCTCCACAGCATTGTGCTGCTGTGATTTTCAAAAGAATCTCACAAACAGAGTGAAGCTTCTCACATTTCTAAAATATCTAACTAAGTTGCCTAAGGTGGTCAAACTTTTAATTTTGCTGAACACGTTTTGTGTAAAATTTTTTACAGTAAAGTACGCATAACATAAAATTTGCCATAGTAAACATGTTAAGGTATATGTTTCAGTGGTATTTAGTACATTCAAAATGTTGTGCAACCATCACCACTATCTAGTTCCAGAAATTTTTCATTATTCCAAATGGAAATGCTGTGTGTTTCATTTTTTGAAGTTCAAAGATGTATAGCTGGTCAGAGTGGAGATGTTTTTAGAGAATCTCTGTAATTTTTCCCCTCTAAGAGGAAGGAAGTAATTTTTTGCAATTGTCAGTCACAAGTTTCAGGAGCAGCCCATCTGAAATCACAACTTGTTTGTCTTTGCCAGAAATTGAAGTCAGCTAGATAAAATTATTCTAACAAAAATATCTGGTTAAAATTCCAAGTATTATAATACTAATATAAACACAAAATATTGAATACAACCTAATAATGCTTCACACATAGTCATGATTTGTTTTCCTTTCTATTAATAGAATGTCATTTTGAATACTTGTATCATCTTTTCTAGAGCAAATAGCTGAGTAGTACTGTTTGAGGCACTTTCTCTACAAGCACTTCTGCTCACGTTTTCCCTCTTTTGGGGAATGGAGCTGCTCACTAACCCACACCAGAAGCCCGGGTGATGGCCTCCACTTATCCAGACTCATGCATTTGACACAAATATTTGTTGAGTATTCTACCATGTCCCAGGTACTGCTCAAGGCTCATACAATACAGTGGGTGAACCTGTCACATAAGAGCTGATATGGTTTGGCTGTGTCCCCGCCCAAATCTCATATCGAACTGCAGTTCTCATAATCCCCATGTGTCATGGGAGGGGCCTGGCGGGAATTAATTGAACCATGGGGGCAGTTACCCCATTGTTGCTGTTCTCGAGATAGTGAGTAAGTTCTCACGAGATCTGTTGGTTTTATGGGGGGCTTTCCCCCTTGCTTGGCATTTCTCTCTCCTATTGCCTTGTGATGAAAGACATGTTTGCTTCCCCTTCTGCTATGATTGTAAGTTTCCTGAGGCTTCCCCAGCAATGTGGAACTGTGAGTCAATTAAACCTCTTTCCTTTATAAATTATCCAGTCTTAGGCAGTTCTTTATAGCAGCATGAGAATGGACTAATACAAGTGCCTATGTTTTTTCCCAATTATTTTTCCCATTTCCAGTTAATTTTCAAGTCTAGTCACTCTTACCACTCAAAACTCAAATCCTTTCCCTCTAATCCTTCAGTTTAGGCAACGCCTCCTGACTCTCTCCTTACCTTCATTCATTTATTCAATATATAATGATTGAGTAATACACTGACCAGTATTGTGCTAGGTGATGGGGACACTGGTGTAATAAGAGGGTCTAGAGTGTAGTGGGTAGGGGTGAGAGGCATCATTTAATCAAGAGATCCCATCTCTGAGAAAGTAAAGGTTAGGCTGAGATCTGAATGAAAGGCATTAAAAGTCACAGACAGATGAGTCCAGTATTCTAGGCAGAGAAAACAACCCATTTGGGGTCCCTGAGAAGTGGAAATGAGAGCTTAGTCCCTTGGAGGTACTGGAAGAAAACTCATCATCAGTGGAATAGAAAGAACCAAGGAAGGCCAGGAGCAGTGACTCATGGCTATAATCCCAGCACTTTGGGAGGCCAAGGCAGGAGGATTGCTTGAATTCAGGAGTCAAAGACTAGTGTAGGCAACATAGAGAGATCTTGTCTCTACTAAAAAAAAAAAAAATTAGCTGGGTGTGGTGGTGCGCACCTATGTTCCCAACTACTCGGGAAGCTTAGGAGACAGGATCACTTGAGCCCAGGAGTTCGAGACCGGCCTGGGCAATATAGCAAAACCCTGTCTCTACAAAGAATACAAAAAATTAGCCGGACATGGTTGTGTGCACCTGTAGTCCCAGCTACTGAGGAGGCTGAGGTGGGATGCTTGATTGAACATAGGAGGTTGAGGCTGCAGTGAGCTGTGATTGTGCCACTGCACTCCAGCCTGGGCAACAGAGTGAGACCCTATCTCAAAAAAAAAAAAAAAAAAAACCCAAAGAAGTAGAGATGGGGTTGATTGGATGGGTTCCTTGGACCAGACTGAGCAAAAATTTGTGAACCCTATTAAGATTTTTTGCTTCTTTGTAAGGACAATGGGATTCCAAATCATTGTTTGAGCAATGGAGTAACCTGATCTGATTTGGATTTTTAGTTGACTTAATGAGAATGGATTGAGGGACTCTTTGAGAGACTGATACGCTGGTATCAGAAAGAAATGATGGTTACTTGAATGTAATGGTAGGATGAAGAGGTGGAGCAAAGGTTGGATTCCCTCAAGTCCTTGCTCTGAACTATAGCCAGAGTGATCTTTCCAAAACACCAACTAATTCTAATGATGCCCTGCTGGAAACTGTTCAGTGATTCCCCATTGCCATCTGGCTAAACACCTTGAAATTTAAGTTAAGCTTTTCCTGGATTGGCACCAGCTTACCTCTCCAGATGTCTTTTCAGTTTCCACCATCCACCTTAAACTTCAACCTTATTGAATTGGCTTGCTGTTCATTGAGTATCCCTCACACTTTCTTGTGCCAAGTTCCCTCTTTCTTGGAGCACCCTTGCACTCTTCCCTGTGTTTCAGGTCTTGGCTTGATAACCTCACTTCTTTGACTCTTCATGACTGGGCTAGTGGTCCTTCTTATGTGTTCCTATAGTCCCCTGCTTTTACTCTATAGTAGCACCTCATCAGTTTTCTCATCTGTCTTTCCCAATATAGTGTAAGCTCCTTGAGGTCAAGGATTTGTCCACTTGCGAATCACCAGCACAGAGAACAAGACTCAAATGTAATTGTGGAGTCAATATTGAATAAGTGAGTGAATCAATGACAATCCTTTCAAAGACCCAGTCTTAGAATTAAATGTGGAGTCTCAGAAGATTGGAATAAAATTGTTTTGCCAATTTGCAAGGGTCTCAAAACTCAGGACCTAAGAAAACACAAATTTATTTTAGAGATTAGTTCCCAGGCAATTAAGCTGTAAGTGTACTCTGACATTGTTCTGTAGAATACTGATCTCCAAAATGATTTGGAATATTCAGCATAAAGTTTCTGACATCAGATCAGAGGAGCAATTTTTTAATGCTTGGAAAAGTTAAAAGTTTTAAATAAATATTGCTTTTATTATAAAGGAAAGAAAGATTATTTAAAATTGTGTAACGGTTGAACATGTTCTACAGCTGACAGATTCCAGGATTCTTTCTGTTAATGTGGAATTAAAACAAGAAAAATGAAAAGCAATATTTTGTGATCTAAAAACTGCCAGGTAAGGGGAATTGGGGCAGAGAGATTATAATTAACCTAGCCATAGTTTTGGGAATGTCTGTGCCTTAAAACTTCTTAATGACTTACAACAATTTTGGTTTCTATATTTTATTTGAAATGACACTTGGATTCTTTTGTGCAAAATGCCAGGGTGTTAAATTAGTGCCATTTAGACAGACTGTGGGTAATACTCTATCAATACCCTGGCAGCTCTCCTCCTAATTCCATGAGTTTCCATGGCAAAGGATGGGCCTGGTGCTAGGATATAGAAGAGGGCAATGGCTATTCAACCAGGCTACTCCAAGGTCAAGAGCCTTGGCGTCATTTTTTACTCTTCTTTTTCCACAGCCCATGCATTTAATCCATCAGGAATTCTGTTGCCTCTAACTTCAAAGAATAGCCAGAAGGATCCATCTACTTCTTACCACCTTTACCACTACCATTAAGTCCAAGCCACCAGAACCTCTCACCTGGATTCTTGAGATTGCTGCACTGCTGTTCTCCTCGTTCCCACTCTTTCAACCCACCCCTTCATGGTCTATTCTTAATGCAGCACTCAGATGAGTCCTTCTGAAACATAAGGCAGATTGAATTACTCTTCTATCCCAAACCTCCCCTCTTATTCAGAGTAAAAGCTAACGACCTTGCAATGGTGTGGTAACCCAACTCTAAAATGGCTTTCAGTGATCCTCACATCCTGATGTTCCTACCCGGAGAATCCCTTCTATGCGGAATCAGGAATCAGTGTGTGACTTCCAGTTAGGTCACAAAAGGCATTGCAGCTTCTGTGTCAGTCTCTTGAATTATTTTCTCTGAGGGAAGCCAAAGACCATGCAGGGAAATCACCTTTGCAAAGATTATGACCACAAGAGAAGTCCAGCATGGCTGACTCCATCTTGCTTCTAGCCTCACAGGCTGGCTGTCCTTGCTCATTACTGGGCATAGGCCAAGTTAACCATGGGAAGAATTTAGTTTACAGCTCAATTTTAAAGTGAGGTTAATAATAGTCTCTCCCTGAAACTGGTCCCCTCCTTGTCTGGGGTCCCAAACTGCCTTTGTAAGATGAGTGTAGGGCCGTGAGATTAGGATTGTGGGAGGGGCCTGAATTCTGCTAAGATGTAGGTGTAGCGAAACGATAACCAGCTATTGTCTCCTAGCTTGCTTTTCTATAATCTCTTGCTGATCAGAAGTCATGTGGCCTGAGGTCATAACATATGTGACTTTCCCAGTTGCACCTGTAGATAGCATCACTATTGTAAAACCTAAGATTGCTCTTTTGAGATGCTTTTCAGACTTTTGCATTCTTGCAACCAACCTATTCCACCCAGACCTGTGATTCATGACTCAGCTGGTCCTGTGGCCTCCAGACCCAGAGGCAGACTCAGCTCATGAGGATGCTTCTGCATGCCCCTATGAGTTCATCCCCAACCAATCAGCAGCCCCCATTCCCTAGCCCCTGCTTACCCCCGCAAAAAAAACCTAGCCTCTGAGTTCTTGGGGAGACTGATTTGAGTAACAACAGTTTTGTCTGTGTAGCAAGCAAGAAGAACCCATTGGGCCTATACAGCAGAGCCCTCAGACAGCTCTGTGGAGAGACCACACAGAGAGGAATGGAGTGTCCTGAGCACCAGCTGACACCAACTCTTTGGCTGTGTGATGAACCTCTTCCAGCCTTATCCAGGCTTCAGATGTTTGCATCTGAAGCTTCCAGATGTTTGCATCTCCTAAGCTTCCCGAGTAGTTGGGACTATAGGTGCACACCACCACACCCAGCTAAGTTTTTTTGTTTTTTAGTAGAGACAAGATCTCTCTATGTTGCCTACGCTAGTCTTGGACTCCTGACTTCAAGCAATCCTCCTGCCTTGGCCTCCCAAAGTGCTGGGATTACAGGCATGAACCACTGCTCCCGGCCTTCCTTGGTTCTTTCTATTCCACTGATGATGAGTTTTCTTCCAGTACCTCCAAGGGACTAACACCCGACACCTGACTGAATCTCATGAAGAACTCCAAGTCAGAATTGCCCAGCTAGACCACTCCCAAATTCCTCCATACAGAAACTGCTGGGGGAGGAAATAAATAGTTATTGTTCTTCTAAGCCACAAAGTTTGGGGTGATTTGCTCTGCAGTGGGACAGCTAGCATCATCTTCCCCATAGTAGGGTTCTCTCTGGGCTCCAACTTTCTCTTTTTTCTCTCTTTCCCTCATTTACTTTCTTGGCTTCTGCCATCAGGCTTTCTCCCACTTTAAGATATTTGTTTGTACTTACTTCCCTTTTCCTGCTCTGAATTCCTCCTTGGGTGTCCCTGCAGCTTGCCCCGTCATTTCCCCCAGGTCTCTGCTTAAATGGCTCACTGCCCTACACCTGTCTTCTTCAGCCCTTTGTCTCACCTCATTTTTTCCCTAGTACTTGTCACCATCTGACATGCTATACATTTACTTGCTTATTTGTATATCATCTGTTTTCTACAAGACAAATTCCATGAGAACAGGAACTTTGTATATCTTAGAATCCCTAGTACCTACAGTGCCTGTTATTTAAACGCACTCAGAAAATATTTGTTGGTAATACTGAATGCGGGCAAGAATGAAGAAATGAATGAGGGAAATGTTACCACTTCGGAAGGACTGTAGGAAATTCTTATGGGTAATGAGAACGTTTTTAATTTACCCCAATCCTGTCCCCATGTCTTAGTTTGGAGTCATATGCTGATTTCTGTCAAGTGTATATTTAAGTCAAGAAATACCAGTCTTTTACCGTAATTGTAACAATATTCTAAAAATTGTTATCCTCAAAGTGCTACTTGCAACAAAGTTCTGTGGCTAAATCAATAATCCCTGGGAACAGTAAGTTTTATATCCTCCTTTAGAGGATTCACGGTGTACATGGGCACATAAAAAGTACTGAGAGTACTGAGAAGTCCTGCAAAAAAAGACACTTTACATTGTTTAACTCAATGTTTCTCAAATTCACTTACATAAAGAATGCTTTTTTTTTTTTTTTTTTTTTTTTTTTTGCAGTGGCGCAATCTTGAGTAGCTGGGACTACAGATGCATGCCACCATACCCTGCTAATTTTTGTATTTTTAGTAGAGATTGGGTTTCACCAGTGTTGGCCAGGCTGGTCTTGAACTCCTGACCTCAAGTGATCCACCCACCTCAGCTTCCCAAAATGCTGGGTTTACAGGTGTGAGCCACCGCTCCCAGCCAAATGCTTTCTTCTTAATACAGAACTGGAGTTCTAACTGATAATGCAGGCACTCACGAAGTCCTTCCCACACGTCGGATTCTATACCTAGCACATCCTCTTAATAACTCTATAAGGTAACTATTACTATTATCATCTTCATTTTACAGATGAGGGCACTGAGGCACTGACAGGTTAAGTAAGTTGCTTAAGGTCGCACAGTTAATTGGCAGGGACAGGATTCAGACCCAGATGTTGTTGGTGTGCCCACCAACACTGTAAATGAGAAATTTGAGCTCCTTAACTGATACTACTTTAAAACTTTACCCTTTCTGTGAGCATTAATAGCAATCGTAAGCCATCCCCTTCCTTTTCAGAGAACAAACCTCAGTATGCTTTCCTCTATAACAACATATTGGAGCCACTTCCCTATCACACCTGTCCTCAAATACTTTGATTAGTAAGAATTTGCCGTATTTCTAAATTTCTCTGAGGTTCAACAGAAGGAAAGTCTCTAGCTGAGAGAAACTGATCTGCGATAGAATTTTACATAATAGAAGAGTCTGGAAGAAGATTCTCTGAGGTTTGGGTTCAGAGTTTATGAAGAGTGGTGGTTCCCCAGGCTAGCAGCATCAGCATTACCTGGGAACTTGAGAGAAATGCACATTCTTGGCCTCACCCTAGGCCTTTGGAATCAGAAACTGTGTGGGTAGGACCCAGCAATAAGTTGTTTAATGAGCCCTCCAGGTGATTCTGATGTATCCACAAGTTTAAGGTGGTTCTTTTGTGCACCTACGGGTAATTCAGCCTGGGTGATATGAGTATCCCAAAGAGTAAAGGTTGGCATTCTTTCATCATGCGGTGTCTGTGTCTAAATATACTAATTTGTGAATTTCATAGCAAATCTCTAGAATCTTTAAAACATATTTTAGTCACACATCAAGTCTAAATAATTTTCTCAGGTGGAAAAATGAAAAGAAAGGCTTTGAAATTTCTTGGCTTTTAAACAGAATCTATTTAAGGGAGCAGACAGAGAACATCCTTTAGAATCCAAAAGGAATGCATTTAATTAATAGCTCGGCTTTATTATAGCTAATAAGCTAGTTATGTTTCCCCTGTCTGGCAAGGGATAATTGCCTTTTAATATTTTTTTTCCCTGTGTTGTAAAACACTCAAAAGAATATACATGATAACAACTTCAGCGTGCTGGAGCTGCCTTGACGGGCTAGGGTGAACTGATTGTGTACATCTTTTTCTATCTCTGCCTCCTATGGTGTCATATGGGTAGCTCGAAATCTCCAATAACGGGAGTATTTACACCATGGAAATCAGCAAATGTTACACATCAGAGCTGCTTTTTTTTTTTTTTTTTTTTTTTTTCTGAGACAGGGTCTTGCTTTGCTGCTCAGGCTGGAGTGCAGTGGCATGATTACAGCTCACTGCAGCCTCTACCTCCTGGGCTCAAGCAATCCTCCCATCTCAGCCTCCCAAAGTGCTGGGATTACAGGCATGAGGCATGAGCAGCTGTGCCTAGGCTGCCCTTTTTTTCTTTTTTTTTTATTTAAACTGTCAGCTGTTAAACATTTGCCATCACACCACTGCAAATGTCTGAAAGAATGCTCATTGAAGCATAGAGAAAAACAGGAGGAATAAGCAATTATCTATAGGGCACGATTGAATTAGAAAGGACAGTTATGCAAGTATTAAAAAAGAATCAGGTACATCATTGAAGGACATTATTGTCAAGTGAGAACAATTTGCTGGATAACATGCATAGTATGATACTGCTTTTTGTACATTCTTTTTAAAAGACGTGATGCTCTTGCACGCAATAGACTATAGTATAGTGTACACATAACTTTCAAATGGAAACTGGGCCACAAGATTCTATAGTGGACTAGGCTAGCATGATTTTTCATGGTGCAACAGAAATAGTGCAGGCTTGGGAGGAGATCAACCAACACTTAAGTCCCTTCCTAGCAGCATGACACTGGTCAAGTTGTTTAACCTTCCTGGGCCACAGTTTCCTCATTTGTTAAATAAGGATTCTGATACCCTTTCCTTAAAGTTATTACGAGACTTAAATTGGAAACCATCTCACCTGGTGCTGAGTAAGTTAATAGAAAAATATTAGTGATTTTTTCCCCCTCTGGGAGCCCAGTAGTAGCAGCAAGGCAAGCATGCAATGGGTGTAATCCTGGGTTGATGACCCATGCCCAAGACATGACAGAAAGTCAGGGGCCATGGGTCAGGGAGAAGGGGATGCCCTGTGGTGGTTAATTATGGAGTCTGGGGCTCAGAGGGTGCTAATGAGCTAGGTGAGTGACAGATCCAGAGAGTTTTACAGGTGGTATGGGTAAAAGGAGGGTGGAGGTAACGCACACACATGGACTAGGGAAACAAGACCTCAGAGGGCAATGCAGCCCAGGAGCTCATCATGATTTAGGGGCTGGTCTGAGAGATTGAGGCTGCAGTGAGTCATGTTCATGCCGCTGCACTCCAGCCTGAGTGACAGAGCGTGACCCTGCCTCAAAAAAATAAAATAAAAAATAAATAGGGTCTGGGTCTTGTCTTCAGTCCTGAAGGTCCGGGAACTTGATTTTGTGAAGGTACCCAGCGGCCATCAGACCTTGAGGATGGGTTCATTGGCTGCTATAGCAGTTGATAGTAAATCACTAAAAGCCCAATTTAAAATTGTTTGAACAGGCAATGTTATTAGCTGATACATCTGAAAATGTAGCAGTTGGTGTCTGCAGGGGACCTTATTGTTGCCTGCCTACTGTCCAGTCCATCTATCCTCATTGTGTAGCTGCAGTGCAGGTTAAGGAACTGGCCAGGCTCTGAGGGTCAGTCTTGACTAATTTAAGTCAATCATGATAATCTCCCTGCTTTTCCCTCCCCTTTGAGAGTGATTGTTTAAGGGATGGGTGAACCCATGTCAATTTGGGCTAATGTGATATGAAGGATCACACTCATTTTTGAGAATCAGAACCATGGAAATCCAATCCCTTCCACTGGATGTGATGGAGGAAGTGAGTAGCCCTGAATGTTGTCAATGTTAGCTAATAAGTACAAGGATGAGAGAGTTGAGATGAGGCACTCTGGATAGTAGAGCAAAGCAAAGAACCTGCCTTCTGATGACATCACTGAGCTGCTGAATCAATTGACCTGAAGCCTGTTCTACCACTGGAATTTCTACTTTGCAATGCAAACGTTTACACACTACTGAAGGTAGTTAGGTTTTCTGTCCCCTGCTGCTGAGATCATCCTGGCTGATACATGTGGGCTTCGGACTGGGTTTGGTCCAGGTTCTGGCTTGTGACCCATAAATCATTGTCTCACTCTGCTCTACTCTGTGTGTCAGCTTTATTCTCAGACCAAAGTAGCTGTATGAGTGTTAGCTATATTAGTCAAGGTTCTCCAGAGAAACAGAACCAAGAGTAGAGAGAAAGGGTTAGAGAGAGCAAGAGAGAAAGAGAGAGATATATTTATTTTAAGGAATTGGCTTATGAAATCATAGGGGCTAGCAAGTCGAAAATCTGCAGGGCAGGCCAGTAGGCTGAGGATCCAGTAAAGAGTTCATGCTGCAGTCTTGTCTGGAGGCCGCCTGCAAGCCGGCATCCCTCTTCCTCAGGGAACCCCACTCTTTTTCTCTTATGGCCTTCAACTGATTGGATGAGGTCCACCCATATTATGGAGAGTAATCTACTTCACTCAAAGTAAATCAAATATTTAAAATCCCTTCAGCAGCATCTAGACTGATATTTGACCAAGCATTGGAGCATTATAGCCTAGTGACGTTGGCACTTAAAGTTAAGCATCAAAATAGCTAACCGGCTTCCCGTGATGTCCAGGAGCAACATGCTTCCTCCTTCATCCTCAGGAATAGAAATCATTTCTGTTCCAGTTTTCTAGGCAAGACTTTTGAGTTTCACTCAGATTAGATTGGGTTAGGTCATGTGCCAAAATCTGAAACCATCCATGTGGCTGTGGTGTAATGTGATTATTGGCTAAAAACAATCAGGGGCTGCCTGGAGCTGGAAGTCGGGTCAGTTAGCCAAAAAGCACAAGGACAGGTAACTGATTGGAAAAGTTTTACTGACTGGAGGGGGACATGGGAGATGGATGTTAGATAAACAACCACAAGTGTTGGCTATCCTGACCAAACACAATGGATATGGATTTGTCAGTGATAGTGCCAACTTAATCATGGAAAAAATACAAATGTCAACCAGACTCAAAAGTTTGTGTCAGCTAATCAGTACATTTTATGTTCATAGACAAGATTCACAGGAAGCCAAATTGTGATCAGAAAGTTGTTTGGTGAGCATGGAATCCAATTTAATACAATTTACAGCAAACAAATATTAATTGAATGTCTACTAGGCAGGATGAAATTAACAGCTGGTGCCATCAAGTTGCAGTAGACTAATATGCTTATTTATACCATTAGGCTGCACCTACAAGTCTGGACACTGGTGCTGAAGACACACTGCTAAAATGTTCACTTTCTGTTCCTAGCGTTTGGCCCTAGGCTGCCAAGACCTTATAGCAGTGCAGTCTTTCTTCAGACTGAGTGTAATAAAATGGAAAAGATTTAAACTTTTGTGTTTTGCAATTACCTTCCTTGATTAGAATTTGAAGGACTCAGCCATCCCTTACACATTTCAAAACCATAATATCAAATTGTAGGGGTACTTTGTTGCCCTGAAGAAATTCCTCTCTGTGATTGTTACAACCATCAACTTCCCAGCCCAGACTACACACAGCGCCCAGGGTGACTTTCTTGTCTTTTAAGCCAAAACTCTTAAAAAAAATTTAAAAAAAAAAACAGCTTTATTGAGGTATAATTGATATTCCAAAGACTGCACATATAGTATTTAATGCATACAATTTGATGAGTTTGAATATATGCATATACCCATGAAATTATCACCATAATCAAGGTAATAAGCATATCCATCACCTCCAAAAGTTTCTTTGTGCCTCACCCCACTTTGTGGTAAGAACCGAGATGGAATAGGAACTTTTTTTTTTTTTTTTTGAGACGGAGTCTCGCTCTGTCGCCCAGGCCGGACTGCGGACTGCAGTGGCGCAATCTCGGCTCACTGCAAGCTCCGCTTCCCGGGTTCACGCCATTCTCCTGCCTCAGCCTCCCGAGTAGCTGGGACTACAGGCGCCCGCCACCGCGCCCGGCTAATTTTTTGTTTTTTTTTAGTAGAGACAGGGTTTCACCTTGTTAGCCAGGATGGTCTCGATCTCCTGACCTCATGATCCACCCGCCTCGGCCTCCCAAAGTGCTGGGATTACAGGCGTGAGCCAGGAATAGGAACTTTTTATAGGGGCCTGCTGGGCCCCCCAAGCACAGAAATAGAGAAAAACCTTGAGTTTCGTTAAGGAAAATTGCAGGCATTTAACTAGCCTTGAGAAGTAAATGAGTAACCCAATAGGCAAGACGGCAGTAATACCTTAAAACAATAGTCAAAGAAGTTAGAGCCATAAAATATTTGGTCCCCTAGAGAAAGATAACATCTTTCTGATGTTATCTGAGTTGTTCCCTGAGTTGTTCTTTAGAACATCTGTCCCTGAGTTGTTCTTTAGAAACCCGAACTCTTACCTAATGGAAGATGCCTTCTGCTGGCACATAGACCTCAGATAAGAGGGAGCTGAAGACTGAACTCTGACTGCCTCTTTGATCAGAATTTATTCCCCAGGGGCCTGGAGGAATTCATGTCCACCAGCCAGAGCTCAACATTTCTTTCTGCTGACCCGTGTTTTTACACAAAGCTTTGTTTCCGTAACCAATGGCAAATCAGAAAATCTTTGAATCCACCTTTGACCTGTGGGTCCCTGCTTTGAGATGTCCTGCGTTTTCAGGCCAAATGAATGTATGGCCTCCATGTATTGATTTATGACTTTGCCTGTAACCTCTGTCTCCCCACATTTAAAAACCCTTACCCCTAAGCCACTAGAAAGTTCTGCCCAATCCTCCTTGCTTAGTGCCCTGCAATAAATGTCTCACTTTCTCTCACTGCAAATTCTACTATTCTCTACAAAGTTTGGCTTTGCTGCACCAGGTGGGCAGACCCAAGTTTAGTTTGGCAACCAAACACTTAACCCTTTAACAAAAATTTAAGGGATGGACCCCTTTTAACAAAAATTTTAAGTGCATAATACAGTACTGTTAACTACAGACACTTATGTTATACAGGAGATCTCTAGAACTCATTGATCTTGCATAACTGAAACTTTATCCCCATTGAAAAGCTCCTAATCTCCCTGCAACCCCCACCAGTTCCTGGCAACAATCATTCTACTTTCTGCTTCTATGTGTTTGATTATTTTAGATACCTTATATAAGTAGAATCATGCAGTATCTGTCCTACTGTGGCTGGTATTTACTTGGCATACCATCATCCAAGTTCATCCGTGGTGTTTCATATGGCAGGATTTCCTTCTTTTTTAAGGCTAAATAATATTCTATTGTATGTATATACCACATTTTCTTATCCATCCACCCTTCAATGGACATTTAGGATGCTTCCATCTTTCGGCTATTGTGAATAATGCTGCGTTAAACATGGAAGTGCATAAATCTCTTCAAGATCTTAGTTCTTAGTGACTTCAGTTCTTTTGGGTATATACCCAGAGGTGAGATTGCTGGGTCGTATGATAACTCTATTTTTAATTTTTTGTGAAACCTCTATATTGTTTTTCACAGTGACTGCAGCATTTTACATTTCCGCCAACAGTGTACAAAGGTTCCAATTCCTCTACAGCCTCGCCAACTCTTATCTTTTGTTTTTTTGGTAATAGTCATCCCAACATCTATGACATGATATTGTAGTTTTGATTTACATTTCCCTGTCCAGAGTCATTTTTTAAAAACAAAATCAGATTCTGTCACTCTTTTCTTTAAAGCCTTTCAATGGCCTCCTGTTATCCTTGGTATACAATTCAAACACTTGCATGTGACCTACAGGCCCTTCATTTCCTTTAACTTGGCCCTCACGGCCTGACCATAGGCCTCATATTTGTGTTACTTTCTTATCTCTTGGCCTTTGTACATAATATTTTCATGCCTAGAATGCTTCTTTTTTTTTTTTTTTTTTTTTTTTTTTTTTAGGCAGAGTCTCACTCTGTCACTTACGCTGGAGTGCAGTGGCATGATCTCAGCTCACTGCAACCTCTGCATCCCTGGTTCAAGTGATTCCCCTGCCTCAGCCTCCTGAGTAGCTGGGATGACAGGCTCCCACCACCACACCCAGCTAATTTTCTATTTTTAGTAGAGATGGGGTTTCGCCATGTTGGCCAGGCTGATCTTGAACTCCTGACCTCAGGTGATCTGCCCACCTCGGCCTCCCAAAGTGCTGGGATTATAGGCGTGAACCACCGTGCCAGGCCAAATACTTCTTTTTCTTCCTTTGTTTAGCTGTTTGTCATCTTTCAGGTGCCTGTCTCTTAATGGTCTCTTCCTCCAGGAAGCCTCTCTCACCATCCTGTCCCCCCCAACCCCGCTGCCCCCTATTATTTATCCCTGCTATGCTTTTCCTTGCCCATAGACCCATAGATCCCCCAGATCTCCTCCCTGGCACTCATCACTTGTTCTCCTCTAGACTATAAGCTTCTTGAAGGCAGGGGCATGTCTCTATCACTTACATGTTATCCTCAGGGTCCAACTTGGTACCACCTCAAAAAGATATTCAGTAATTATCTGTGGAACAGCAAAGGGAGTGTTGAAGAAGAGAAGAATGACTCATGATTACTGATATATTTATTAAGAACCTGTTCTGGATAAGGTGTTGTGCTAGGCCACTGGGGATATGGAAGTGTTAGATTAGGGTCCCATGGATAACCGAGTCAGAGAAACATACAATTCACAAGGTCACAGAGCCTCTGTTAAAGATCAAGTAGATAATGTAGGTCAGGATTTCCCAGCCTTAACCACTACTGACATTTTGGAATGGTATTTCCTGTGCATTGTTAAGCTGCTCAGCAGCATCCCTGGCCTTTACCCACCAGGTGCCAGGAGCATCCCTACCCCCAGCCACCTCCAGCTGTAATGCCAAAATGTCTCCAGACACTGCCAAATGTCCCCTGGGCAGCACATTCACCCCTAGTTGAGAACCCCTAAGGTAGACACTGATAATCTGTGGCCTGGAGCATGGATGGAGACCTCAGAGTTGGGGCAGAAGCTTGAGACTCACAAAGTCCAGAGAATGGCTCTGCTGTCTGGTTCATGGGAAGCCAAGAGTATAAAGGAAGCAAATAAATAGAAAGCCTGGAGAATGTGATAGCTGAGTAATATGAAAGAAGGAGTGGGTCAGAGAGGAAGAAAATAAGCCAGCGTTCAAACCTCAGTGTGGTTGGGACAAGTTACTTAATTTCATGAAATCTCAATTTCTTCATCTGTAAAAGTGGAATAGTAATTATATCCACTTCGTAGAAATAGAGCAAGGATTAGATGAGGTAATATATTCAGGTGCTTCATATGGTTATTGGTTTTGAGCAAGTGTAATAAATGTTAGCTACTATTATTAGGCTTTAAAAGAAATGATAGGGGAGATAGAGAATCAAACTTGAAAGTTTTAATATTTAATTCTCTATCTGCCTTATCATTTCTCTCAAAGCTTAATAATTAAAAATTAAATTAAAAATTAGAACTCTTAGGATAAAAAATGAAATTATACTTTAAGTCTAAATAAGTTTAATAAAACTTAGTAAGTTATTATCACAGAGAAAATACATGAGCATAAAAATCACATAGCTATAAAAACCAATTATGTGGAAAAAAAAAGGGTTTCCAAAGTGAATGGTGCATTAAATATTTGGCTTCTCCTTTCTTGCTTTTGATCTAGAACCTGTAGGTTCCAAAAGTTCCAGGAAATAGGCTGTTTAGGCTTGCTTTCATTTTCAAGGTAGCTCTGTGCCTAGTGCATTTTGTAGGATCACTAACAGCAATTATGAAGAAGGTTGTAAAATGATGCTGCTGGGGATGTCAGTCTTCTGAGCTCTGGGGGGCTGGCTTTTCTCAAGTATCTCTGTGGCTTCTGTAGCCCTTAGTACGCTTACCTCCTTGCATGAGGTAGCTCTGCAAATGTGTATTGAATTGAATTGAATTGCCTTAATGAACTTCAAACAAGGCTTCAGGTGACTTTGAATTAAACCAGACCAGTTCCTCCAACCTCTTGAGGCTCATCACCAGTGGAAGAGAACACACTTCACATCTGCTCAGAAAGCAAAAAGCCTGCTGACTTAGACACGTCTTGTTTTGTGCTTCCATAGCAAGTTAAAAATCCATCTCCCAACAGTCCTGTGATTCATTTGCTCCACTGTGTTGTTAAATGAATTTTGCAGTTGTGATGTGTATTGTTTGTTTGTAATTTCAAGGTAAAACAAAGAATGCCATTGTATTATTAAATACAAGAAAAGAAACCTACATACAGGATCGCTAAACACACACACACACACACACACACACACACGCACGCACATGACAACTTGAAAAATGTCTCGAGCGATTAAGAACTATGTTTTCAGGATTTTTTTTTTTTTTTTTTTTTGACACGGAGTCTCACTCTATCACCAGGCTGGATGGAGTGCAGTGGCGTGATCTCGGCTCACTGCAACCTCCGCCACCTGGGTTCAAGAGATTGTCCTGCCTCGGCCTCCCGAGTAGCTGGGACTACAGGCACGTGCCACCACACCCGGCTAATTTTTGTATTTTTAGTAGAGGCGGGGTTTCACCATGTTGGCCAGGATGGTCTTGATCTCCTGGCTTTGTGATCTGGCCGCCTTGGCCTCCCAAAGTGCTGGTATTACAGGCGTGAGCCACCGTGCCAGGCCAGGATTTGGTTTAAAGAGCTGCTAAAACCCTCTCCTTTATAAGAAGGCCCGAAATACCAAGTTGGGATTTTTATCGCAGCATTTTCTGAATCAACTCAAGCTCTGTGGATGAGTCAGTAAGTTTCTATTATGGGCTTCATAAAAATTCAATGCAGTCGTGTAAACAATGAAGTTTTTTTTTTTTTAAATAAAAAGCAAATAAACAATACTTTGATTGACTGCTAATTGCCTTGTAGAGGTTGGGTAATTGCCTCCTCTTGGATTTCCCAAGGGTCTTTTATCCTTAAGACTGTTATTTTCAAGCAGAAAAATCCATCATATTTTTGAAATTCATAGCTGAGAGAAAGAGAAAGAGGTTTTCAGAGGTTTCTAATTATGGCACTTAGAATACAGTCATGTTTTTTTTTTTTCCTTCAAGGTTTACCACCTTGACTTTTCTCTCTGCTATTGACTTTGACTTCCCTATAGCCCAAATCAACTTTAGAGTCAGGAGTCAACAGCCATTTACTATTTATTTGTTTATTTTTTTTAGTGAAAGCCCATGAATCATTCCTTAAGTAGTCTGCCTTTCAGGAGGAATGTTGATTTCTTTCACCAACTGCGACCATCCCAGCTCATTTTTGTTCCATCTGCCTCCCAACAATGACAGACGAGATTGCAGGGGCTTTCAGACATGCTGATGACAAACAGCCAGAGACAGGTGACAATGAGCACCAGTCTTGGGGTAGTTTGTCACTGAGAGTTTGGAATTATTAAGCTCCAATTTACTCAGGAGTGAAATGAAATTTGTAGAGGGTGCTTTGGAATAGGATGAAAGGTCTTTAACTTCCACTGTGCTCTTCTAGAGGAAGCAGGGCCACTCATTTGGATGAGAGGCTGCCAGGAAAAAGAACTGAAAAAAGGCAGAAAAGCCCAGAGTATTTAATAAATATTATATTATTCGATACACTGAATATTCTTATTGGGCATGAGGTATAGAGAACTCCATCTCTGATGGATATGCCACCCAGGGGCAAACAGACCCTGACACATGGGAAGTATTCGCTATTTGCTGAATAAATGGATAAATGAATGAGTAGCTGAACTGGGCTGTGGCAAAATCCATCCAGTTCACCTGCTCTTAACCATAATATCAAGACACAGTGATGTGTTATGATGAGTTATAAAATATATAGCAACTAGTTGGTTAATAATTATAAAACAGGGTTCTGAAATTCTTTTTCTTTTTTTTTTAAAGAAATCAGAACTGATTCAAGTTTATATTTATAGTGACGTTGCTTCACGTTTTTCCATTCTGATATGATTTCTTTTGATAGTTACTGATGTCTGTTATAGTTGTGATTAAAAATGTGCAACTCGTGATCACAGCAACTTCTGTTTATTTTTTAATTTTACCCATGAATACATTTTTAAGGCAAGGGTAGATAAAGGGCATATGTAAAATACATCTATATTTGCATTGCATGAGAGTAAGAATGATGCTCTGCACTTATCTGTTAATAATAACACAACAGTTATGGTCATAGAATCAAAAGAGATTTTACTTGCATGGTACAAGTAAAAATTGCAATATTATTCATATTAATAAGATTAAAATTTATATTTTATTTTCTATTTTTAACAACAGAAATACAAAATTTCTTTATATTTGTTCTTTAGTGATATTCACTGACTTTATCAATATTAACTTTGGAGTGGAGGTCTAGAAAAAAATTGTCTTTAAAAATGTTCAGTTAAACAGTTAGATTAGCCGTCTGTATTATTGGATGCCTTTAGATGACTGATTTTATTACTCATATAAAAGCATATTAATAGATGCCATGTTCAAAATAAAAATGTGTGGCCCTATTTGCTTTATCATAAAATTGTGTCAAAAATTGGGGATATCCCAAATGCTGTGTTTATTATGCTTAGCTCATCACATCATATCTATCAGAGTGGGAAACAAAGGATTAAAGGATCCCAAGGGGCAGCAAAGTCTGCTAATTAAAAACACAAGGACAGGAACAGAAAACCAAGAACTGCATGTTCTTACTCATAAGTGGGAGTTGAAGAACAACACATGGACACAGGAGGGGGACATCACACACCGGGGCCTGCTGGGGTGTCGGGGGCTAGGAGAGGGATAGCATTAGGAGAACTACCTAATGTAGATGACGGGTTGATGGGTGCAGCAAACCACCATGGCACCTGTATACCTATGTAACAAGCCTGCACGTTCTGCACATGTATCCCAGAACTTAAAGTAAAAAAATAAATAAATAAAAGAAAGAAAAACACAGGTTTTGGTGCTAGACTGCATTAAAATTTGGCTTTGCCACTTGCTGGCTGTGTGACCTTGGGCAAGTTACACAGCCTCTCTGTTTCTTAGTTTCTGTATCTGTAAAATGGGATTAAGAATATACCAATACATGCAAAGTACCTAGAACAGATGTAGCATGTAGCAGGCATTCAGTACACATAAAAAATAACTACCTAAGTCTCTATCATTTGACATTCATTTTTAGTCATCTTTATTGTGGACTTTTGTTTTTCTTTCTTTTTTCTTTTCTTTTTTGTCCCTCTGAGGGCTTTTTAAAAGCATGCAGCAACAAAAGTCAGTTTATAAACTCAATATTTTTGACAGACTCTGATGTAGGGCTTCTATGTCTACTCAGCTCCACAGAAATGTTTTCTTTTCCTAATTCAACAGCATGGGTGTGTGCTTTTGGTAGCATAAAGTACAACTTGTATACCTTCTCACTCCATGAATCTTTTCTGCTGTGGGTCTGAATCAAGTGTTTTGATTCTTCAGCAAAAAAAGAAAATGGAATAACATGTTTTCAGCCTCAATTTCTTTTCTCTTAAAACAGCTCTGAATGCCTCACTTTCATCCTTGCAGGAACATCAAATTCTTGGCCAATGAAGAAAAAAGAATTATGTTTGTAGCTTCTTATTATGTAGCCAAATTGGTTTTAATTTTTGGTTGGCAAGGGTAGTGGTCCCAAGAGATTGTGCAACTTGCTATGTTGGAACTGAATCCATAATGGGGGGGATTCATTTTCATCTTGGAGTTTTTGGCACTCGGGCTATCATTCTGCGAGAACAAACAATTCAGCATTTGTCTTGGCGAAGACAGGATAGCAGTGTGAGGGAAGTCGCCTTCCATTTAGAACAGACCCCAAGCTGAACGCGAGCATCTCACACAAACAGATACAGAAAGTGCTGTCCACAGATGTTGATCCTGCTTGAGACCACCTCCTGCCAGGCTGCAGTGCCTCGGCAGGCAGACATTTCTCCAGCTTTCTCTGGAGCTGATATTTAGGAGAAAGAGGCAGAGTGGTTTGGAAACCCCTATAACATAAGATTCTGTTCTACTTGAGCTTGTCTCACAGTGATTTGCAAATTAAAACATCCTACCTAGAAAGGGATTTTTGTGCCATGTGGATTTTTAGTTCCCTGAAGTGCTTGGTGTAACTACCAAAAAATCAATATCCCCTAGCTGAGTTGTATAAGCATAAAGCCATGAGGAATGCTGCCCACATTGTCCTTCCTAGAGGTGATGCCACAGTCAGGCTCTACCCAGCCACTCCTCAGCTGTATTATTCTGTGTTCAGTTCTCACGATCCCGGCTGGTGAGTAGCGTTTATTAGATGGCACTTGCAGGCACATGCAAATCCACCTCCACTGGGCTGGGGCTTTTCAAAAACAAAATTGCTTGTGATCCTGAGGGCCCTCCCTCAGTATGCTGATCCATAGACAGAAACAGGACAGATAGCCGGGCGCGGCGGCTCACGCCTGTAATCCCAGCACTTTAGGAGGCCGAGGTGGGCAGATCACGAGGTCAGGAGATCAAGGCCATCCTGGCTAACACGGTGAAACCCTGTCTCTACTAAAAATACAAAAAAATTAGCTGGGTGTAGGTGGTGCATGCCTGTAGTCCCAGCTACTTGGGAGGCTGAGGCAGGAGAATGGCATACAAGCCGGGAGGCGGAGTTTGCAGTGAGCCGAGATCGCGCCACTGCACTCCAGCCTAGGAGACAGAGCAAGACTGTCTCAAAAAAAAAAAAAAAAGAAAGAAAGAAAGAAAAAAAAAAGAAAGAGGACAGATTTGGCCACAGCCACAAGAATGTAAATGCTGATGTTCATTTTTGAGTGTATCTGATCCTTCTTCTTTGACAGAGCTGTCACCAGAGGGTCCAGTCCAGCTTGAGCTCATTCTTTGAAAACCATGGCAGCCTCTCAGCAGCCCCATCTTGCAGTCTTCTACCTCCTGAGAATGCAGAAAAGCAATTTGGAGCTTATCATGCTGTTTCTCTTGCACCACAGCCCCGGCAGGCTGTTGAACGGGAATTCTTCATCTAGCTGGGCTCATTTGCAAACATCATGTTATTCTCTGCATACCATCTTGTTTTCATCAGAACTTTTTAGAAACTACATTGTTTGCATCCAAGTCTACATGTACCTCCTATATTAAGAATGTCTTAATTTTTCCTCATTAATATTAAACATTGCTAATTTATTTCCAAAATAGAATAAGATCTAAGGCTGTTTAGAAATGGTTATTTAGTTCTTGAGCTTAGAGACACAAACACTGGCAGGACCTTGACCCAAAGTGTCCCTGTTCACAGAGGGGCTCTCAGCTGAGATGTGAAGCTTCTGTCACCTGGGCTGCCTGCCTGGTGGAAAAGCAAAGATGTCAGCCAAGGCTTTAAAATGCTGCTGTCATCGTTATACCATAATATTGAGTTTGTCCGTGTACCTTGGCAGTTATAGGAAGAAGATATTTCCAGACCAGTCTATTCCAAAGTCATTAAAATATTTCACCCTAAAAAATACACTTTTGGGGCTTGTCACTATGGTTGGTACCTGTTGTCAAATACTTAATAACACAGAAGATGTGTGCTCATGGCTTGATCTTTCGGTAAAATTCCTAGACATTTTTCATGTCCTGGGTCTCCAACAGGTTTCAAGCAGGATTGTAATTCAGACAATTGTGGCACAGTTTTTGACAAAGAAAAACTGGTTCAATTCTATATGCGCACGGCTATTACCTTCATCTGGAAGTTATGTCTCTCCTGCTTTGCTATGAAATGAAATGGATTCTGCACAATATTACAGCTAGAAGTTTAAGAAGCTAATAACCTGTTGCCACACCAAAATATTTTAGAATGATGAACCACAAAAAGGATAAAATTGGACAAACTTCAGACCTGTTTCCAAATAATAAGCAAGGTTTTATGAATCGCTCTCTGTGAGGAACCCAGCCCCAAAAGAGTGTGTTTGGGGTTTCGATGAGCAGTTAGGTCTTGAGTTTTGTATATTTTAAGACACAAGAATGTTTTAAATAACAGATGGTTTTACTGAAAGATGTTTTGAATCCTGGCTGGGCTGGAGGGAGAACCACAGGGTTGAGGCATCAAACATCCAATCTTTCAGCACAAAAACAACTTTCAAAAATTATGCCATTTGTGAATGTCACTTAAAGTGTGTAAGGGACTTAGAGGTTAAAAAAAATCAGCCAGCCAGCTTGTTGTTCCTTCTTTTCTTTTTTCCCCCTTTGTAATCTTCTCAGGCCTTGAACAACACAGAGATATGCACAAACAGGCCACGAGGAAGTCACTTGTATTTGTTCTCTTGCCTCAGGTGCTGTTTAAAGGAGCATTTTGGAGTTAGCCTTCTGATGCCAAAGTGGACTCCAACCGGATTTAGGTGCCTTAGGTCACAGCAGTGGCCTTCTGGAAAGCTCATGTGTAACAGATGCTTTCCTTTTTCAAATGCCATTGCTCTTCCCTCCCCCAACCCCTCAGCTATATACCCAGGGGATTGTCAAGTAATTTCAATACTTTTTTTTTTTTTGAGATGGAGTCTCTCTCTGTTGCCCAGGCTGGAGTGCAGTGGCACTATCTGGGCTCACTGCAACTTCTGCCTCCCAGGTTCAAGTGATTCTCCCACCTCAGCTTCTTGAGTAGCTGGGATTACAGGTGTGTGCCACCATGTCTGGCTAATTTTTGTATTTTCAGTAGAGATAGGGTTTCACCATGTTGGTCAGGCTGGTCTGGAACTCCTGTCCTCAGGTGATCCACCCGCCTCAGCCTCCCAAAGTGCTGGGGTTACAGGTGTGAGCCACCATGCCTGGCCCAATTTTAAGACTTTTAAGAGAGGAAGAACTGCAAAAGAGAATATAGTCTCCCACAGAGAGGCAATATAATTTAGAGAACCTCCAAATTCAGAATCTTAGATTATAATTCTGGCTCTGACAATGACTTGTTGTGAAAACCGAGGAAAGGAACTCAATTTCTTTCTGTTAGCCCTCTAACATGGGGGCAAGTACTAAATTGGATGACAAGTTTTATGACCTACAGTGTGATGGCTAATAAATAGCATTTCGACATTTGATGTTACTTCCATAATAATCCCCAGCCTGCATTTAACGCTGTGCAAGGGGATGAGACTGAGGACATGGGCCCAGTGACAGTTTAAGAAAAGGCAATTTCTATGAAAAGCAAGTGCGAAGTGTGCCTCCCAAATAGGATTGCCAGATAAAATACAGGTCACCGAGTTAAATTTGAATTTCACATAATAACAGTTTTTTATTTTTAGTATAAGATAAGCATGCCTCAGAGATGGCGTAAAACACAGTTACCTTGAAAAAATATTTTTGTTTACCTAGAATACAAATTTAACTGGGTATCCTGGATATTTGCTTGTTGGCTAAATCTGGCAAGCCTACTCTAAAACAGAAGTATGACTCAAAAGGTGATAGGTGGAAGATGTTAGACACCAGGAGGCTCTCAGGTCAGAGAATTATTCTCAGGTGGAAAGTCTTGAGACTGGTTTGGGGGTGAGTTCCTAGAACAATTAGGACAACTGAGGCCTTGCTGTCCAGTTTGTGCTTTTAAACCGAGTCAGATTCAGTTCTTCTCATGTTCTCTCGCCTCTTCCTGCCCTACTGAAGTGGCCTCGTTGTCCGGGGTAAATACCCGAGGTTTGTTGCCTCATGCCAAGGAAATCAAGGACACGGACACATGTGGAGTGAGGTTAAGAGCAGAGGTTTAATAGGCAAAAGAAAGAGAAAGGAGAACAGCTCTCTCTCCTTGAGAGAGAGGGGCGCCTGAGTGGGACTTCTGGCCCATGGCGAGTGCACAGGGTTTTATAGACAGGCTTGAGGAGGCAGTGTCTGATTTACGTAGGGCCCAAAGATTGACTGGGCCAGGTATGACATTTACATAGTGCACAAGGAAGCCGGCCACCCCACCCTAATCTTTTATTATGCAAGTGGAGTCTCTGCTTGGCCGGTGCTATGTAGCCTGCTCCTTACTGTGCATGCGGTTGACAAGGAAAGGGGAAGATGGAGCCTCCATATTGGACATGCGTGGCCCCCAGGTAGCCCTTTCCTGTTAGCACAGCTGCTGGCATTCACCCATGCAAGTGCAGCTCGATTTTACAAGCTGCTCTTTGTTAGAAAACAAAATGATTTTGGGGCTGCTTTTCATTAAAAGGAAAACCTTACTAAGGACTTCCTTACCCTTACTATCTGCCTAAATAATTTCTTCTTAACTCCTATAGCACTTACTCAGAAAATGAATTAAAGTTAATTACTTCTCAGAAAACTTGTCGACTCAACCTTCATTCTACAAACATTTCACAGAGTGTGTACCATGTGAAACACTCTGCTGGTTGCTGAGGAGTAGGACAAGATGGGCATGGCCTCTGCCTTCATGGAGCACCTACTCAGGGAGTGCTAAGATCCCTTTGCACCTGGAGCTCTATCTGTCTCCTGGATTCAAACTCCAAACCACTCCCTTGTTTCCTACCTGCAATTTAGTATTATACCCACTAAGTACAAATTGGGTTCTACAGGTACAAGAGAAATAAAGATAAATAAAATGTAGTTCTTGAATGCAAGGAGCTTATGATGAAATGAGGCCCTTAGGCCAACAGCTACTGTATAGAAAAAGGTGGGCTATGGTAAGAACAATGAAAGGGACAGAGTGGAGCAGGGATCTTAAAAAATAATCATTGCATTAGTCTGTGGGCACTGAAAGGTTTCCTATAGCAATCCAACATGGGCTTGAGGAATGCCAAGCTATTCTCTCATAACTCTGGAATTTAGAATCATCAAGTTATGGAATCTTAGAATTGGAAGTGTCCTTAGACGTCTACATATCCAAAAATTCTTTCTATGGCCTCTGCTGAGCCTCATTTGGCTTTTGCTTGAATTCTTCTCACATCTTCCCAAGAAGTCCATTCCATTGATAGAAAACTAATTGTTAGAAATAACATTTCAAAACAGCTCGGTTGAAACCTGCTGTCTCTAAGCTTCCGTCATTGATTCTATACCTGCTGTTTTCCCTACTTACCACTTTAATCAAATACCTGAATGAAGATACAGAATAGCTTACTGATTTTTCCCATGATAGAAGCATAGGAGTGATGGCAAACACTACAAATGACTTAAAAAAATTCAAAACTAATAAGTGAAGATGTAATAGTAATATATGTAAAATCCTGCATTTAGATTCAAAACCATCAATTATAGAATGGGAGAGAATTGGCTTGGTAGAAGCGCCTGTGAAAGCAACCTAAGAGTTCAAATTAATTCTTAATTTAATATGAGCCAACAATATGATGTGACTGTTTAAAAAGCTAATAATCTTGGGCTGCACAGCTAGAACAGTGCCAAGATCATGGAAAGTAATAGCCCCAATATATTCTGCCTTGGTCAAATTATATTTATATGCTGTTTTCAACTTTGCATGCTACATTTTAAGAGGTGTATAGATACAAATGCTACCACTATTACATCTAGCAATAAGGGCATCTGCCCTGGTCACAGGTTTTAGAGGGCTCTACGTATGACAAACATTGATAGAGAAATACTTTTTTTCTTTATGTTTTATAGATTTTTTTGAAAATTGGATAACTGATCAAATGGAAATTTTGGTAAAGGGACACATGTGGGAACTGGACCCTACTCCAGCCTCACAGGAGGATGGAGGATGCTGGGATGAGCACATGATGGGGTACTTAGTGGGTAACGATATGGGGGGTGGCAGGGAAGTGCTGGGTAGAGAGCCCTGGTAAGGGCTCCACCCGTGGGCCTGTGCCCACGGACCTAAGTGGGGACAAGCATTCCTGTTTTTGTGCTCAAAAAGTTGCTTTTTGGCCCACCATGCCCTCCATCCTGTGCTCATATAAACCTGAGACCTTAAGCAGGCACAGACACAAGTGGCTGAACATTGAGAAGAGCAGAGGAACACATCAGCAGACACCAGCAGACACCGGCAGACACTGGCAGACCAGCAACAGTGGAACGACACAGACGCCCAAGAAAGTTAGGCCGGGGATGGTTGGAGAAGAGTCTGGCCACTGGGTGGCCAAACTCCAGGGGAACACCACCTTCCCACTCCATACCCCTTCCAGCTCCCCATATATCTCCCCATCTATCTGCCACCTCCACCACACAATAAAACCTTGCACTCAGCCTTTCAGCCCACATGTGATCTGATTCTTCTGGTACACTGGGCAAGAACTCAGGCTGTCACACTGGCCACCTGTCCTTGTGATAAGGCAGAGGGTCTATTAAGCTGACTAACACAAGCCATCTGCAGATGGTATAGCTGAAAGAGCATACTGTAACACGTGCCCACTTGGGCTTCAGGAGTCCTAGATGCTGCTGTGGGGCCAGAGCCCAAAAGCACTCTCCATGGCCTCTGCACCTGCCCATCTGCATGCTCCCCCTAGGGTTTGAGCAGCCAGGTGGGAAGCTAGCCACACCCCTGTCACATGCCCTGTGAGAGAGATAAGGAAACGCCCCCATCTCAGTACGACGGGGTAGTAGTTAGAAGAAAATCATAGCCTCTGTCTAGAAATCTGGCAAAGAGCTGGGCTGCTGTGTTTAATGTTGACCACCCCAAATACCCCAGAGTAGGTGTCTGGGCAGGCTGGGTTTCTCAGCTGACTGCACTTTTTTGAGGAGTAATTTTGGGAAGCCTTTTGAACTGCTTCTGTTGGAAAAGCAAGGCAGCCAAGGGAATTAGCCTGGGGCTCTCTATGGTGATAATGACCAGATGACCAGGCTTGTCCCTATCCTAGTGCCCGCCCTGGGCTCCTGGGCCCAGGAGCAGTTTCCATCTTGCCCCTATCCCAGCATATCAGTGCTCCCATCCAGGAAAGAGGATGGCTTTTTTAGCCTTTGCATTTCAAGGGTGATTCTCTGGGATGGCTGTGGGGCCTTGGGTGGAAACATGAGCTGGGCATGAGCCAAGCTCGACTTATAACTTCTAAATATTTAGACATACGATTAAGTGGCCTCCATTTATATTCTACTCAGCCTGTAAGTGTCAGATAAAACATTACAATTTCTCTAGTTTACAGGAAGAAGATTCCCTCTATTAAGGTTATATTAATGACCTCAAACAAAGGACTTGACCATCTGTATCCTTACCCTTCTTTTTTTCTTTTTTTCACAATTGAGTCATCTATGTAAAATACCTGACATACAGTAAGTGCTCAAAAACATTAGTTTTTTTCCCCTTTAACTTTCTTTTGTTCCCATCTTCCATGTACAACTACAAATATCAGCATTTTTCACAAGCTTCACCTTGATCTGAGCTCTGAAATTCTATTCACACAGGATCTTTTCTGTTTAGCCTTGATTCTGAGCCCCTTCTTCTAGTTTTTGCATGTCTTTTAAAAATAAGGACTACTTCCAAACTCTTGGATATCCACAGTGGTTTCCATAGATATTTCCCCCTTTCTTTCTCATCTAGAGTGTGTGCATGTGTGCCTGAAAGAGAGAGAGAGAGAGAAAGAATGAGAATGAAGGCAGGATTTTACTCCCTCAAATCCCCCTCTCTTTCTGAGACCTGTTATTTCCTTTTAGAGTCTCAAATCCTGGGTTTCATTATAAAACTTCCACATCTATCTTTTCTTTAGCCATTTGGAAAACAATTTAAAATATCAGTGTGCATATTTGAGTATGTTTTCCTTTGTATCAGGGTTCTCTGATTTTAGGTTATAGAAACAGACTCTGACACAAGAAAAAAATGTTGCCTGAAAGAATCCCTGAGGGTTCACAGATTTAAGGAGGAAGGATACCCCCGACCTTGAGAAGAGCAGTACTCAGACCAGCTCTTGGAATTTTAAAGAAATACTTGGTTATTGAGTGACTTGGCTCCAACTGCCTACTGTCTCTGCTCAGTGTGCTGGTTCCATGAAGCGAGACTCTGATTGGGCAGTGTGGTCAAGAGGAGTGAAGACCTGTAATTGGCAGCCTCTGTAGAACCTCAGAGGGCTTGGATAGGGCAGGTCCCTATGGAAAGGAATGCCAAGGGAGCAAATCCACACATACCCATCTCACATACTGAGCAATGTTTGAGATTATTGTTGAGGTCTCCATCACTTCAGTATTAAAAGTGTTCAGATTGAAGGCTAGAAAAATACATTTCTTTCATGAGCATTTGCTATCTGCTGTAAAATTCTCTGCCTCGCTTAAATATTTAAGACTTAGTTGAGGAAAGGAATATGAAGAATGGGAGAAAGAACAGGTTTGCCAAGTGTTGGGGGTGGGGAGAGAGGTTGGTGAGTGACTTTGGATCTGTTTAAAATGTCTTTGGGGCATGCAGGCAGGGCTGTCCAACAGCCAACTGGAAATATGGATCTTGAGCTCACGATAAAAATCAAGACTAAGACAATAGACTTGGAAGATAACTACATACTATTCATTCCATCTTTTAACTAGATACCCAAGAGCTATTATTAAATACCTACTTCATATCAGACACCATCCGGGGCTTGAATCACAAAGTCAAATAAGTCAAGGGGGGGCAATTTTAAAGAAGCATTTGGGAGACAATAGAGAAATAAATTAATAATTGTGATAAAGCATCTACTTGGGCAATGTTTGAGGTTTGTTAAAGATGCCAGGGGAATACAAAGGAGGGACACTGAAAGTGGTTCCTGATCCTCTGCTCTCACTTGCATTGATAGAATATATTCATACCCTTGACTCTGCTTTGATAGTAGAATCTGTCCCTATCCTGGGCCCATCCTGTGCCCCCTGCCCCACCTCTAGCCAGCCCCTTGAATGGTCTTTACCATTCTGTAGCCTCTCATAGTCCTGGAACTGACAATAAAACACCTTAGATGTAGAGATTTGGGCTAAAGATGACCTAATGATAATAAAGATATTTCGTTAAAAACATATTAAGAATATGCAGACATAGCCTGAAAAAGGCTATGTAAGACAGTATCTATTATTTTTTATAATTCTGTTCATTTCTTAACTTTCCTTAGTCAACCCCGTCTTTTTCAGCCCAATTAACTACTATGGCAGCATAGGTATACTTAAAAAAAAAATTCAGTGATCTAACTAGAATTACAATTTTAGTTGCACTATTTAACTTCATTAGGGTGCTGGAACAGAAGATCTAGAATAGAAATAATTCGGAATCCATTTTTAATTTTCTCTGCTACCAAATCTTTTTGAATGCTTATTTTTTCATTAGTTTTAAATACTTGTTCTGAACAGAGAGTACACCATAATGTTTTTGCAAAAAGTACTGACATCCTTTTTAGTACTAATGCTTAATCTGCATTATTTTTTCTGTTTAATTACATTGTATAAAAATTTACTATGCATTAGTCTTAAAAATGTTAATGGGTGTTTCATAATAGTCTGCTTTTTCCAATTATATAAAGTACCCCTTTCTTGGCCTTAATACTTTATTATATTTTAGCAGAATGCTTGATGTTTTGAAAAAGTACTTAAATATTTATGTATAAAGGTTTATTTATCAGTTTCTGGGGTAAATTTCAGTCTTAAAGTTCATGTACCTCTCCAAGTGAAGATGTCAAAATTAACCCATCAGCTTTAAAGGCAATTTTTAACGTCTTATCTTTCCTAGTCTACTATTTGTGGGGAGTCTGGACAATTGGGAATGAGAGTGAGAGACTGGGACAAGAATCAAGGTATCATGCTGCCTCAGTGACCACAAGTTCACATCAACCTACAAAGGTCCTTAGGAGAATGAGCTCTGTCCAGGCATTACACTATCAATATAGGGAGGCAATGTGGAGCCTGGGATATGAATGGCTCATGTACTCTGGTATTCATACACATCAGCACAGGCGTTTATAGGATCCCGCTCTTCTGAAGACCAGTAGCTCCTTATCATCCTTTTTCCCCCCTTAACTGCATTTCCATGGGTTTCCAATGTTTATCCTCTCCTTTAACATCCAACTCCATCTAAGTTTATTTCTCTGTTTTATACCAAGACTGTCTTATTTGTATAATGTCTTCCTTTGATCATGCCTGTTCTCCCAGAATCTTGCTGATCCAGACGTACTTAAAAAATTAGAGATTTTAAATCGTAAAATACACATAACATAATATTTAGCATTCTAACCACTTTTAAGTGTACAGTTCAGTAGTATTAAGTACATTCACACTGCTGTGCAACCAATCTCCAGAACTGTTTTTATCTTGCAAAACCAAAATCCTACACCCATTAAACAACAACTCCCAGCCCACTCCTCCTCCTGGTTTCTGACAACCAACATTCTACTTTCTGTTTCTATAAGTTTGACTCTTTTAGATACCTCATATGAGTGGAATCATACAATATTTGTCCTTCCGTGTCTGGCTTATTTCACTTAGCATAACGTCCTGTGGCTTCATCCATGTTTAGGCATGTGGCAGAACTTGCTTCCTTTTAAGACTAATATTTCACTGTATGGATATATCATATTTTGTTTACCTATTCATCTGTTGATGGACATTTGGGTTGCTTCCGTTCTTTGGCTGTTGTGAAGAAAACGCTGTTCTGAACATGGGTGTAAAATCTCTTTTCCAGACCAGACTCATTCTTTTTGATGACACATACTTATCTATTTTTAAAAAAGCTTTCGTCATGGAAAATTTCAAATGTGTGAAAAAGTAGAGAGAATAGAATAATGAACTTCAGAATACCTGTCACTCAGCTTCAACAATTATCAACTTGGAGCTTATGGTCATATTGCACCTACATCCCTAACCATAATGTCTACTCTGGGTTATTTTGAAGCAAGCTCTACACATCATATAATTTCATCTGCTAATATTTTACAATGTATCTCTAAAAGAGATAAAGGATAATAATTTTAAAAGAGAAAGGATAATACTATTTCCACATTTAAAAATTTAACAATAGTTCCTCATTATCAATACCTACATAGTTGCAGAGTATCCCAATTGTCTTAAGAATTTTTAAATAGTTAATTTGTTTGGATTGGAATCTAAATAAAATCCATGCGTTGTTATTATAAGTGTACAGATTAGTTTATATGTCTCTTGGGTCTTCTTTAATCTATAGGTTTCTCCTCTAACTCCTTTTCCTTTTCCTGGAAATTTCCTTAAATAAGATGTAAAATAATTTTTTGTAGAGTTTCCCAAACTTTGGATTTTGCTTATTGTTTCTCTGTGGTTTATTTAACATTGACTTCTGCTCCCTAAATTCTTATCAATTGGTAGTTAAATTTAGATACTTGATCAGATTTAGATTCTTTTTTTTTTTTTGTTTTTTTGGCAGGACTAACTTATGTTGTGTTTTTCCATAGGATGATATATAATATCTGGTTGCTTCTTTTTTATGATAATTATAAACTAGATCAATTCATTAGATGTTGCAAAATGGGAATATTCTAATTCTAACATTTCTTCTTCTTCATTATTAGCTAAAATAGTTCCATAACAATAATGCCTTCTCAATTATTTAATTTTCCTGAGGTATAGTTCTTATAGAAAAGTAGGATCAATGCTTAATTATTTTCATTTACCTACCAGTTTTCAAAGGAATGAATTGGCTCCTGAGCATCCTCCAAAAGTGAACAATAAGATTTTTCTTCTTTCAGTATAATATGAACTCAGTGATTTAAAATGTATGTGATGTATTTGAATTCATTGCACTTATTTTTTTATTGAGGTTGGCTGCTTTGACATGACCCTGATAGCCATTGATAGATTCTGAGCTATCTGTTCTGACAAAATACTTTAGACTCATCCTGTACTTTTCAATCCCAGGCTTGGTTACAGTCATATCTGCAAAGAACCTTGATTCCCTTATTGGGAGATGGCATTTAAAGATCACAGTCTGATTACTCAGGGAGCTCATTGCCACTGGATTACTGTAGTTTCTAGGTCTTTTTAGTGTGACAGGGCTAGGAAACGTGTTTTTCATTTTAAAGACAAAATATATCATGAATTTGTATTGGTACTTGCAATTCAATGTAGAGCTATAGTGTTTTCACTTAACCTCATGAATATTTTTTTTTTTTTTTTTTTTTTTTTTTTTGAGATGGAGTCTCACTCTGTCACTCAGGCTAGAGTGCAGTGGTGCAATCCCGGCTCACTGCCACCTCCACCTCCCAGGTTCAAGTGATTCTCCTGCCTCAGCCTCCCGATTAGCTGGGATTACAGGCGCCCACCACTACACCTGGCTAAATTTTGTATTTTTAGTAGAGAAGCGGTTTCACTATGTTAGCCAGGCTGGTCTCGAACTCCTGACCTCAAGTGATCTGCCTGCCTCGGCCTCCCAAAGTGCTGGGATTACAGGTGTGAGCCACCTCATGAATCTTATATCTGTATTTCCTTTACCAGAAAAAAAAATTTTTGTTCTCAATTATACTAGTATAATTACTCTTAAAAAAAAAACACTCCACAATACACATATAACAGTTTCAGAATAGGAATACTAACACTAGCACCAATAATAAGAATACTGGAAACAGTTTCATATTTTATTTTTGCAATTATTTTTGTCAGTAGGGTATATTTCGCTAAGGATGTATACAATTAAAGTTACTGTGTTTAAAACTACTTGGAAAATTTCCTCTCTGTGTGGTTTACTTTTATTTATGGGAATTGGGTTTTTAAAATTTGTTTTGTAATTACCTAAAATATTTACATAGTCCAAAAATCAAATCAACAAAGCAGGGTCTATTTTTTAAAGTCTAACTTCTATCCACATTATTTTGGAGTGACTTACAGGTATTCATTTTTATTAATGGTTTACTTTAAACCTAGTGCTTATTTATTTTACTGATTGACTACATTCAATTTCTATCAAGAAGCTACAACATGAGAAATATTCTCAAATGTAGGATGTTTGATATTTATACCTTTGGCATTGCTAAGCTCTAAGATGTGGTTCTAGCAATCGATGTGAAACAAGGAGAGAGGCTGATACGGATGCAGAAGAGTGAGAAAGGGAGAGACCTGTATGAGATGAGGTTGGTGGGGGCAGATCATAAGAGGAACTCAGATTTTGCCTAGTAAAACTGGGATCATTACTATTAATGAAACCCCACATGAATCCACAAACTTGTGGGGTTTGAAGAACTATGATTACAGATGGAATCTGCTTGGACTTCAGCAAGGATGTTGGCTCTACCGCATGTTAAGTCTATCAGTGCTGAATCTGAATGCCATGGAGTTGATTCAGATCAGCTCGACAGACAGGTAAAGTCAGCCTTCTGAAGCATGCCTGTGTGGCAAAGATTACATGAGGAGAGGGTCTCAGACTCAGGAAAGTGACAGGCAATGAGCAGGGAGCATTGTCTCTTGCTGTCACAAGTGGTCTGCTCACACACTCTCCGCCATTTTGTGCGTGATTGCTGCTACATTCACACGAAGGTGGGCAGGAAGACAGTGGTACCTGCTCTTTTTCCATTCTTCCATATCCTAGATTAGAGATGGCCAGTGCACTGACATTTTTCAAAGTGTCATGTCCCTTAAAGTAGAGGTTGATAGTAATGTTTAGCCCTAGTGGGTATAGAACAAATTCTCATCAACTTGTGCCTGAATCATTCAATTAACTTAAGCGTATATTGAATGTTCATTAGTGCTAGACTCTATGCTAGGCTCTGATGATGTAGCAGTGAGTAAATCACAGCCTCCATGCTTTTGGAGTTAATAGTTTAGTGATAGGAGGCTAGTGCAAACAATAATCACATCTGAACAATGTAGTAAGTCCTATGATAGGTCATTCACAAACTGCTCTGGGGAGTTTGGAGGTGGGACTCCAACCCAGCTCAGGGGGAAGGGGAGGCTTCCTGAAGCAGAGGATGCCTAGACTTCCTCCAGCTGATACTTAGACTCTGGTGGAGGCTGAGGGTGGAGGGAGGAGTCTGTGGAGGGACCATGGTGCAGAAATGGGTCACCTGGGCAGGGTAGGGAGAGCACAAGAGTGACACGCAGTAAATGTGCAAGAAGCTCCTGAGGGTGAGGTAGAAAGTGGCCAAGGCCCAGACCAGACACGACAGTAAGGAGCCCTTCCTGGAAAGTCTTAAATACCATCCTAATGCGCTTGGACTTTATTCTGGGGCTGTCAATAAGCCACTTAAGTAAGGGCTTTAAAAAAGGCAGAAGTATTAGGAATGAAGGGGACATGGTACATATGAGAAATATCTGTTTATTATAATTTTGTAACCAGAAAAAAAAACCTTTTCTTTATACAAAATTCAAACATTACTAAACTATGTAACATGAAACGTGAAATTTCACTGCATAAATCATTAATGGTTTTGTTACTATTCTAATTTGATTCATTCTGAAAGTAACATTATTACCTTTTGGAACTTTGTGTTTTTTTTAATTTTTTAATATGTTTTGGACAATTTTATTTTTTTTTCCATATATCTACCTTGTTTTTTCAACAGTGACCTATATTCCATTATTTGAAGGACATATTTTTTGTCTATTTGTCTATTGCTGGATATTCTCAACTTTTCTTTTCTTTTCTCTTTTTTGAGATGGAATTTTGTTCTTGTGGCCCAGGCTGGAGTGCAATGGTGTGATCTCAGCTCACTGCAACCTCCACCTCCCAGATTCAAGGGATTCTCCTGCCTCAGCCTCCTAAGTAGCTGGGATTACAGGTGCGTGCCACTACGCCTGGCTAATATTTGTATTTTTAGGAGAGATGGGGTTTCACCATGTTGGTCAGGCTGGTCTCGAATTCCTGACCTCAAGTGATCCACCCGCCCTGGCCTCCCAAAGTGCTGGGATTACAGGTGTGAGCCACTGTGCCCAGCCTCAACTTTTCTTTCTTTTTATTTTTTTAAATCAAAGTAATGTATATACAGTTGTCCCTAGGTATCTGTGGAGAAGTGGTTCCAGGAACTCACTTAAATATGAAAATTTACAGATGCTCAAATCCCTGATATAAATGGCATAGTATTTGCATATAACCTATGCACATCCCCCCATATATTTTAAATCATCTCTAGATTACTTATGATACCCAATATAATGGAAATGCTATGTAAATACTTGTTATGCTATATTGTTTAGAAAACAATGAAAAGGAAAAATCTGTGTATGTTCAGTATAATCTTTTTCCCAAATATTTGCGGTCTGCAGTTGGTTGAATTCACGAATGTGGAACGTGCTGATATGGAGGGCCAACTGTATATACTTTAAGAAGGCAAATAAAATAGTACTACTGGGCTTACAATGAGAAACAGGAGTTGCCCCTCCCATTTCTTCTCACCCCTGTTACCCTCTTCTTTGATGCAACGCCTGCCTACTCTTTTGATTATTTTCTTTAAGTCCCGTTTCTTTATTTTTCATTTTTAGAAAATGAAACGTACAAAAGGTCATATCCTAAAATAGAAGATGGGAATTAGCCTCCCTTAGATACCTTTTCTCCCCCCTACCCCCACATACACAAAACACTTTTTAAAAATTCCATCATTCCAGTATAGTTATATCCATGTTTTCAATTAAGTCAATATTCCATGTTGACAGTATCATAATTATGATTATGGAATTATTAGTCAGAGTTGAGCCATGTATATATATGTATTTTTTTTCTGTAAAGCAGCCACTTAATTAACCCCCAAAATTTTACCAAACTGTAATAACATCTCCTGGTACATTCAAACACCTTACACCTTCTAGCAGTTTCCCTTTCTTTTTGACAACATCCCTCCAAGAGTCCTCTATCATCCTGCTCCACTTAGACAGGTTCCTGCCTGGGCTGGCTGAACACCTGTTGCCTTGGAACTTTCTTCCCCATTATCTTGGGTATTTCTTTCTTCTGCTTTCTGTCTTGGGTGTCCCTGTATCCGGGTTACCATGTCTTCCTTTCTTTGGTTTACCCCCTTGTTTTGGTATAGCACATCTTCCAGTAGCTTCCTGAGAAAATCTTAAGGCATTTCATAATATTTTTAGGACAGAGAATTCACAAACTTGATGATTGATTGGACATAGAGCAATGAGAGAAGAAGGAATAAGAAATGAACCCCAAGCTTTTGTATGAGACATCTAAATGGCTGAGTGCACAGGAATTGGAGTAGGTTTGAGAGAAGAGTAAATCTACCAAATACACTGATTTGCCTGGGATATCTGGGTGCAGCAGCTAGCAGATACCTATCTGAATTTCAGGAAAGCTGTCAGCAATGAAGATCCTGACATCTTTCTTGAAATGCAAATTGTAGTTATCCATCTAGATGCGGTTGTTAAACTATGAGAATAAATGAGATTGGTTGGAAAAAGGACATAGAACAAGGGCAAGAATGTGCAAAGGATAATCAATTATATACGAATATTTAAAGGGTAAGCCAGGGCCAGGGAAAGAACCCATGAAGAAATCTGTGAAGAAACCTCAGAGAGGTGGGAGGACCAGGAAAAATTAGAGCCAATGGACAAAACAGAGACAGGTTATAAGAATGTGTAATGTATAATAGAATTTAAAGAAGAAGTGGGTTTATTAAAAATAATACAATACAGCCGAGCGCAGTGGCTCATGCCTGTAATCCCAGCACTTTGGGAGGTTGAGGCGGGTGGATCACAAGGTCAGGAGTTCGAGACCAGCCTAGCCAACATGGTGAAACCCTGCCTTTACTAAAAATTCAAAAATTAGCCAGGCATGGTGGTGCACGCCTGTAATCCCAGCTACTCAGGAGGCTGAGGCAGGAGAATCACTTGAACCCGGGAGTTAGAGGTCTCAGTGAGCCAAGATCGTGCCATTGCATTCTAGCTTGGGCCACAGAGCAAGACTCTGTCTCAAAAATAATAATAATAATAATACAATACAGATGGCAAAAGGATAAATGCATAAAAGTGTTTACTGAAATATTGTTTAGAATAGTAAAAACTGGAAACAAACTTTTAACATTCATCCTCTGGAGAACTTGTAATATAAATAATGCTATGGACTCATTAGAGGACAATGCCCCTATCAAAAGTTACACAGGCTTATGCTTATGCTTATTGGCATTTATATTTATTGTTTAGGAAAAGCAATGCAAGTCACTGCAAGAAATGAGTATTATATGATGCAATTTATGTAAATCTCTATGCACAGAGCCATCTGCTTGTGCATGTATGCATAGACTAGAAAGATGTTTGGAAGAATGTTCACCAAAGTGTTAACGGTGATTATCTTTGGAAGAGGAGATTTGGGTACGTTTTACTTGCTTCTTTGCATTTTAAGTATTGTTTAAATTTGTTACAATAATTATGTAATAAAAAAGAGCTATTTTTAAAGGATAAATGTTAATGATGTTAAATACTGCAGAGAGATTGAGTAGTTAAATGCTGTGAAGTGGGAACAGAAGAGAAGTTTGAAGGAGCTGAGGAGTGAATGGGATATGAAGATAACAAAATGCCAAAGATCTTTCTAGAAGCATGAGATGGGAGGGTGAGAGATAGAGAGATAGGTGGAGGATTAGACAATGCCTTTATTCCTTCATTTCTCCCTTTCTCCTCTTTTAATTCATTCTGAACACTATGGCCAGATAAATTCCCCAAATATCCCATTATCTTGTCACTCCCATGCAGGACTCCAGCGGCTCCCATCCAAGGAAGCTGGAATTGCCCAGGTGCCTTTCAGAGGCCTCAATAATCTGAATTCACTCACTGTTCCGCATATTAACTTGCTTTTTCATTCAAACCAATTTTCCTTTAAAAATTTAAACATATGTTTACTGAGCATGTACTATAGGCCAGGCACACTTAAAATCACTAGGTAGATAAGGACATTATGGTCTCTGCCATCATTGCAGTCACAAAGCAGTGAGGATGGCAGACTTACATACAGCTAGTACTAGTATAGAGTAATAGGGGCTGTAACTGACCTATGTGCTAATTGTTTACCCATCCATATGGACAATAGAGATAGATCATATTTGCACCTGCTGTTACTTCTGCACTTCATCTCATCACCTCTTCATTCTTTTTGAATGCCTAAATCCTCCTAATCTTTCACATCATAGATCAAGTCTAAACTTGATAGGTTTCTTCTTAGATCTGCATGACACTTGCTTTTTTATTATTCCTCTAGGTGTTTGATTGTATAATACCTTCCAATGTTAGTGAACTACTTATAAGTATGAACTACCACTTCACCAAGATGAGATAACCGTGAGCTTTGAAAGCTGTCACAGTACCTAGCACAGGGTTAAACAGGTAGCAAGTACGATTAAATGCCTGCTGAAATTTATCAGGAAACTTCCCTCCCAAGCTATCTAATATATTTAAATAAAATAAAAAACTTCAAAGGTGGTATATTTGAAAGCAACCTAATACAATTTGCACGGCGAAAAGGACCACTTTAGACAGAGGAAACAGCTGTGCAAAGACAAAAAGGTACAAACATTTCAATTCTGAGGGTTGGGGGAGTGCAGGTGACAAGACAGGGGTGGTTGCTAAGACTTCAGATGGATGGAATTTTTAAATGATGAGAACAATTTAGAGAAAGAAATAGATGATAGAACCCAATCAAGATAGCATATGCAATAAATAAAATCCAAACTTAGTCATTATGCAAGACAGGAAATGAAAGCTCAATTATTATTCAAGACTATAAAAGCACAAGTATGTTCTAAGTATGAGGTGACATTATGAGCCTGCAGTTTAAAAGACTATTGCAATAATAAGTATGTAAACAGAATTATGACTTTGCAAAGGCTGGGAAATCATCTTTGTACTGTAGGTGATACAAGTGACACCTTTACTAGGAAATCACATCTAATTTTTAATCTTAACATTTAAAAAGGAATGTGTGAACATCACAGAGCCCTGTTTCCCAAATTTTACTCCACCAAACATTAGGTCAGGAGGATGTTAATGGATATTCCATTTTTAACATGGTCTAATGAAACTGGGAAATATTGTTTTAGAAGATCCTGAAATCTTTTGATTAAAATGATGCGAAGATCCTATGAATAGAGTTTAGAAGAGAAGGGACTTTTTTCAGGAGTAAAATGAAACTGAGGGGAGGACAAGTGGCTGTAATAAGTAGTAGGAGGGTTATTATAAGCTGGGTACATTGCAGCTGCTTTTATCTCTATAAAGTCAGAAATTGATATATTGCAGCAAGAGAAAGATGGGTTAGAAATGGACTGCCTGGTGAGGGTGTGAGAGGGAAATGTTAAATTATTATTGCAAGAGATCATATAATCTTCAACTTTGCACAAATGACAGGAAAGACAGAGAACCATTTAAAGATGATTTATGTGTCCCACTGCCTGGAGCTGCCAGGCAGGTGACCCTTTGAATTTATTTCTCACTCTAGAATTCCATGAGTCTAGTACTGCGGACCCTAAGATGAGGGATATGACCAGAAGAATGTCTAGTTCCAGCTCCACTCCTGTCACTGACCTACTGAACCACCCTTAAAGTGATTATCATGATTTCTCATGGTATCCTGCAGGAATTTCCCTAGGATTAATTACACAATGCTTATAAGGTACTTTGAGCTTCATAGAGTAAGACATCAAAAATACTTACAGTAATAGGTCAAATCATATGAAATTGCTGGTATTTGATTATTTGTGACCTATAAAAATGGCAATTTCAAATGGTCTAACCTAATAAAATTCATCATTCATCGAGCCTGCTATGTGACAGGGATGGGCTGGTTTGGGGATTTGAAGATGATTAAGACATGATACCTGCCTTCAGGGAGCTCACAGACCAGTGAGGGAAACAGGCACTTGAGGAAAACACTGCAGTGCAGTTGGACAAGGGCCACAGTCGAGGGGACACAAGATGCTGTGGATAAAAAAGGAAGCCGCTATTCTCCTGGACCAGAAGAGCAAGGCCAGAAAGAGGCAAGCAAAGGGTGGCTTTGTAGAGATTGGGATATTCATTTAGGCTGGATTTTGAAGGTTGAGTAATTTACTAAGTGGGAAGGACCATTCTAAACAGAGGAAACAGCTGTGCAAAGACAAAGAAGTATGAAAAAACCTTTCCGGAGGAAAAAAATCATTTAAATATTAAATAATATTAAGATGAGGAGACATTAATTGAACCCTCTGTAAGTAATTCCTATTAGAATGTCCCTTTATTTAATATTACTTCATTAGTATTTATCATAGGTTGTCCATGCTTAACAGGGCTTGTGCAAGTTTTTCTGAATGGCTGTAGCACAGAATGCTTTTCAGCAGGAAAAAGAGATGAGGCTGGACACATTGCTGGCAGCCAGGTTGAGAAAAACCCTGTGTTCAGCAACGAGGAGAAGGGTCTCCATTCAGTGGGTGCTGGGGAGGCACTAGGTAGAGTGGCGACATGATCAGATTTGCATTTTGGAAAAGAAAGTCCATAGTGGTGGTTTTACGGAGGAAGGACCAAAAGCAGGTGCCAGCAGAGGCAAGGGCAGGAGCTGGGGAGCAGTGAAGAGGAGAGAATCCTGGCAAGCAGCGAAGTTTAAGGGACAAGAGCAGTTTGGGAGGCAGAAGAAGAACTGAAGAGAGTCCAGGGAGAAAGTGGCTTCAAGAAACTGAAATAAGTTCAGCGAGATAAAAACTCAACACTATCCCTGGGATCTGGAAGTTGCTCATTGGTGAGAGCAAGAGCAGTTCTGGTGGAAAGGACAGAAGTCAGATTTCTGTGGGTCAAAGAACAAATGGGAGGTAAGGAGCTGCCAGCAATGAATATGGAAGTAATTTTAAAGAAGGTTAGCTGGAAAGGAAAGAGGAGAGGTGGGATGGTTAGAGGGAGTTGCAGAATAGAAGGGAGACACGGTTGTCCTTTTTGTTTGTTTTGGAGGAGTAGAGAGTCTTGAGCAAGTGTGAAGTTGAGGGAGAGAAGCCAGGGTAAAGGGAGGGACCAGGCTAGGGGGCACAGAGAGGGAAGGAGGCAATGATTTCAAACGCCCAGCGAGGTTCCTTCTTCCAGAGCAGGGGGAAATAGGCAGGCCTGGATGCAGCTCTAGATAAGTTTGATGGTGAGGCTGAGAAGAGAAAGATTTAACATGTCTTGACTTCATCTTTTCTGTGGGATGGGAGGCAAGGTGGAGAATAGATAGGTTGGGTTGAGGGTGGAATAGGGCAGCTTCCCGGGAGCACTGGGGATGTGGGTTGGCTGCTGAGAGGTGACCAGAGCAAGGCAAGATTTGCTAAGCAGCACTGCAAGCTCAGCAGAAGCTGGAAACCACAAACTGTGGGGACTGTAATTAGATGTTTGTATTATTTTTTTCCAAGCAGTGTTCGGCAGCATGGATGCAGGAGATTAGAAGGGCGAATTTGGGGAAGGGTCTCTTGAGGTGGTGGGTGTAGTGAGAGTTAGGGTTACTGAGAGGGAATGGTTAAATAGACAAGCCATCATGGTATGATTCTGGGTATGTAGGAGAGGCAGTGGAACCCCCCCACCAGAGAACTGATTGGCCTGGGAGTGATGGATGGGTTCAGGATACATGAGACAGAGATGAACCGCTGGGCTCAGTGGTTCACACCTGTAATCCCAGCACTTTGGGAGGCCAAGACGGGCAGATCTCTTGAGTCCAGGAGTTCAAGGCCAGCCTGGGCAACATGGTGAAACCCTGTCTGTACAAAAAATACAAAAATTAGCCGGGCGTGGTGTGTGCCTGTAGTCCCAGCTACTCGGGAGGCTGAGGCGGGAGGATCACCTGAACCCAGGAGGCGGAAGTTGCAGTGAGCTGAGATCACACCACTGCTCTCTAGCCTGGGTAGCAGAGTGAGATTCTGCCTCGAAAAAAAAAAAGGCCAGGCACGGTGGTTCATGCCTGTAATCCCAGCACTTTGGGAGGCTGAGGTGGGTGGATCACGAGGTCAAGAGATCGAGACCATCCTGGCCAGCATGGTGAAACCCTGTCTTTACTAAAAATACAAAAAATTAGCTGGGCGTGGTGGCGGGTGCCTGTAGTCCCAGCTACTCGGGAGGCTAAGGCAGGAAAATAGCATGAACCTGGGAGGTGGAGGTTGCAGTGAGCCGAGATCGCGCCACTGTACTCCAGCCTGGTGGCAGAGCAAGACTCTGTCTCAAAAAAAAAAAAAAAGAAGACTGATCTTATGAGGTCTCATGGGCTCCACAGGCAAGTGCAATGAGAGCAAATAGAGACAGGGTGTTAACCACTTAAGGGGATAAGATTGGGGTATGGCCGATCAGAGTTCAAGGTCTCAATGATGGAGTTGGTTTGGGGTCATAAACAAGATCCCAGTGTGGCCAGAAGAGTGGATTGCTCAAGTGGGGCCTAGATGAAGGTGAATGGAGCAGAGTAGATTAAGAAACTTTCAAGCAAGAGTGAGAGATGGGTATTCCACAAACTGCTTCCTTGCTTGGGACAGCAGGAGAGTTAGAGTAGGTAGAGATTATGAGTCAGGTGCCAAAATGTCCCTTAGAAAAATATACTCGTAAAGTTCAGTTTCTCTTTGGGCATAATCTTCAGCCAATTGGTTTCATGTGCCATCATCTCCTACTGTGGTATTGATTTCCTTTCCCTTCCTTGCAGTAGGATTTGGGAAGATTCTTCTTTGATAAGGCGGGCTATTGCTTGCCTTCCTCTCTGTCTCAGCCTCCCTCTGGTTTCTCCATCATTTGCTGCCTTCCAAAGCTGTTGGATGGTTCATTAACTGCCTTCTGTTCTTGCCAATCATTTACCTGCCCAAGTAGCTGATTTCAATAGTCATAGAAATTTCCTTCCCTAGATGAGTGGACATTTCAGACCCCAGATTCTGTTGCTCTTTTCCCAGCATCCTTCACCTCCCTGAATTCCGAGGTTTCTAAATCATTCTGCCCCCACACTCCAGGAAGTTATTTGTTTGCCAACCCATTCTGTTTTGCCAAAGCTGCTTGACAAGTTCAACATGGACAGCTTGAAATTGATTTGTCATCAATATAACGTATTAAACTCTTAACTGACAGAGCAACAGTGCAGTTTTCCACAATATATTTTTTAGAGGTGGTAATATTCAGAACATCAAGCTTTAGGATATTCCTGTGGACAAGTGCTGAATAACTACTTTAGCTCCACTGTCAGTCACAGCCCGCCCCACAGTGGGAACCATAAAGCTATATCAAGTTAAAAGTTCTGGAGACTCTAGTCTGGGATCATGAAAACACAGTTTAGCTTCCTTTTGTGTTACTAATGCAGGGCCTCTTTCTGGGCTTCACAATGCCCCCCTCTGAAGTGAGTCAGCATTTCTGTGTTTGCTTAACTTCTAAGGTTACTGAAGCACTGAGGGGGACATAGTTGGTCCAAAGTCACGCTGCAGGGATCATGGCAGGTTAAAATCAGACCAAGAACTTGTTTCCACTAGGCAGGACTCCTTGAACCCTGCCGCATCTACTGGAAGCAGTTATGTTGATACAAGTCCTGCACTTCTGTCTTTAAATAGTCCACTGGCAACTGTGATTCTAAGTCCCTGTGTGGAATTAGTTCAGGCCCTTGTATGAAGTTCAGACTGCGGTTTGAAGGGATTCTGACAGTTTCTGCCAAATACAATACTTAGATCTAGGAGTGAGAAAAACGATGCAAGATGGCAGGGATATAAAGTGGAGGCTGAAATAGGTCTGCTCTGTGCCTGTGCTTTCCAACTGGCAGTCATACTGCACAGTCTTTTTTCCCTCTGGAAAATTTGTCTAAGTCCAATATCATTTTTCCCTTGAAACAATGAGATTGGATATCTAAGATGCAAGTAGATCCATGTGCACTGTTATTATTAATCTCCAGAAACTCTCCATGTTCCAGTGTGCCAGGATACAGAGCCAGGGAGGAAGGGTGGTTTCGGATTAATAGCATTCTAAATTTATCGTACGTTTTCTTAGCTTCTTTTCCTTAAACATAATTTCAAAGAGACAGAAATCCAAAATAGTGGATGTGGTCTTTTGTTGCTTACAGCGTGTCACTTTTCTACATGTAAAAAATTGTAGTCCACTGTCACTAATAATTAATCATAAAATTATCCATAGCCATCATAAACAGCAAACTCACAGTGAATGTACTTGGTTAGCAGTTTAGGATCTTAGAACTGAAAGGGACTTTAGAAATAACCTGGACCAACCTCCTACTCAATTTGTGCTGCAGCCTCCCTGATGAGATATCTAACTCTGTGGTTCTCAAACTTTGCTGAATATTGGAATCACGTAGGGGAGGTTTTAAAGATCTTAACGCCAGGGCTCCACCTCAGATCATCTAAGTAAGAATTTCTGGGGGTGAGACCAAGGCATCAGACTTTCTTAAAACTTCCCAGGGGATTATAATGAGCAGCCAAGTCCTGACCAGTGACCTCGCTTCTGCTCGGCTGTGCTCTGTGGTGAAGTCCTGCTTTGTGGGGTTGGTTGCACACTGATAGACAGTCCTTCCGAATAGAACTAATAGGAATTAATGCTTCTCTGGAAGCCGCATAGAACCAATCAGCTCCCTCCCTCACTGAAGCTCTTTGAAGATCTGAAGGCAGTAGTAAACAATTTGCAACATACTAAACTATTTCCTTACTATGGCCAAAAATACCAATGAAAATGAAACTCTTGGACACACTACTTCGTAGTGTGGGTTTTAATCCACTATTTGGCCATTATCCTATCCCGGTTTTATTGTTTTGACTCCTTGATGAAGTAATTGGGGACAACTGTCAAGAAGTTCTCTGGAAGTTAACGCCAGCGGATTTCTGAAGCGCCAACATGAGCTGTGTTTTGGTCCTTCCCATCAGCTGTCGAGTTCCCAGTGGCCTAGTTCTTCCTATCCCTGGGCCCTGCACTGCCTACCTCCTCTCCTTGGCTGTCTCACTTGTCTCTGTTCTCCCATTATCTGTGTTTGAGCCTGGGTGATGGCCAGGTCTGCAGAAGAGCAGCAGAAGGAAGAAAACAGAAGAGGATGTCACAGTCATGCCCCAACACAGAGACTCAGCCACTGAGTCCCTGAGGCCTGATCTAGCACCGTGTGTTAAAAGGCTAAATCCTGGAGTCATAGCTTTTGGTTGTAAGCCCTGGCTCCCCTACTCACTGCAGGGGGAACCCTGGGCAACACCCTTAATCTACCGGAGCCTGTTTCTTCATCCGTGAACCCAGGAGTAATAATAGTAACTAACTTCTATGAAATAAAAAGATAATCTGTGTAATATACCTGGTACAGTGCCTGGTATACAGCTAGTACCTAATCAGAATTAGCTCTTATTGTATTATTATAACCACAGTCCCCTCCCCACCCCCTTCCAAAGCTATCCCTGGTCCACAGGCCCGTCACCTACTCTCTCCTAATCTAAGCTCCGACGTGGGCTGCCTGACGTTACGGACCCTAGCTCCTGCCAGTCTCTTTTCTCTGCACCTGGCCAGTGCTTAGCTTAGACTCACCTGGGCTCACAGTGCCTCCCAAAGGCACTCAGGAAAAAAACCGTTAATTTTAGCTGTTGTTCCACTGGTTGGCATGGGTTGTGAGGGAAAACCAGCAGCAAATATCTTGCTCCTGATTAGAGTTTTTCTTTGCTGCTTTCAGTTTCCTTTCTCAAGGGGCCACATGATATTGAACTCAGAACTATGATTTGCCCTTCCCTTAAAGCATGCCAGGAAAATCATTACATTTTTAGCAGGTGCTGGAGGATAGGCTGTTTCCCTTTCCATTTAACAAACATTAGATTTTTGACCAGGCTTCCTTGAACTTCACACACTAGCAATGTGGCCTTTATTTTACTGGCTTCTTCATTTTATCAGTACTGCCAGCAAAACTCTGGGAATGTGATCTGTTAGGTCCTGTCTTCGCCAGCCAAGATTTAAAGGGTGCAGCAGATTGAAGATTTTCAAACTACAGAAAAGTGCTTTCAATATGTGTTCAGTGGGCAACAAAATGCTTCCTTTGTGGGAGTCCATGCTCCCTCTCTTGGGTTAATGGATGACTTTCCAGGGATGCTGCATAAAAGAGTGATTTTAAAAAACGGCTGTAGGCAGCTGTGAGATAGATTCTTCAACCCAGTATACATTTTATTGCTATTTAAAAACAAGTTTAAATTAGATCCGGTAACCATTATTCAATCATGTCCCCTCAAGTCTGTACATACGTCCCTCACTAGTGAGGGAAAAGGAAGTTGGTAAATTAAGTTTTGCTGAACAGTTCTCAGGTACCCCAACTGTCAGAACAGTTCCATGTGGGTCATATTTAAATCCTCCATTTGATTATTGCTATGGATTTGTTCAGGGTGGCTTCAAAGCAAGCTAAAAAAAAAAAAAAAAAAAAAAAAAGAGCAAAAAGCAACAGAGAGCCACCAACCGAGGAGAAAAAAAATGTTTGGCTCCAAGAACTCATTATCAGTATAAATAAAACAAACTCCAATGCTGTTCTCACTTCAAATTACATCCCTTGATTTTTCCACTCTAATTTTCATTCACTTGACTGTAAGTGAGTAAATCTTTCCGGGATCAGTGTAGGCTGGTACTCCTTTGTCCGAAGACGTGAATTTACCTTGCCTGCACAGACATGTAGACATATCCACAAATATACTTGCAGAAACTGCATGAAGTGGTCCCCAGAAGCTAAATCTGGCCTTAATATATAAAGAGGATGCAAATTCTACATTCACTCCCTAGAAAGTAGAGGACATCTTCTAAATTCTTGACCTAAGGTAGAGTTTATCTTCTTTGCGTTGAGTTTTTACTGTTTCCTACAGTAGCAATGGGCTTGTCACTGGTCCATTGTTGGGTAGTCAATAGTTCAATATGTGGTATTGGAGCAAGGAGTAGTCCTGCAATATTAACTTGATAACACCATTTTGGAACCAACTAAGCCAACCACCTTAAGATAATTAACACATACACTTACAAACAGCTTAATGCTGCCCTAGAATAGACATTACCTCATTCCCTTTCACTTGATTCATTCATTTGTTTATTCATCAAACAAGTGTTAATTTATTCATTACTAATACAGACTTGAAAATATGAGCAACACATTTACTGTTTCTAAAATTCGTGTACTGAATTTCCCTTGTCCTTGAGTTATATGGATATCAGGATAAAACAAAATCAATATTTGTTCTAGTCATCCTGCATAAATAGTTTTCCAGACAAATGGCTATTTACCATATTGAATCAACGTAGCCTGCTGGAATGTAAAAAGGTTATCTGGAAAGTGTTTTTTCCTCCGTGGGTCTGGGAACATAGCCTAGGAGGCTACTCCCAAAGGGAGGGGAGCAGACATTGATTGCGTGCCTATCATGGTGAGCCACTATCCCGACATTTACACACATGATAGCATTTTGTCTTCATAAACACCCTAAGAGATAGCTATTCTCACCTCATTTCACAGAGGAGAAAACTGGGATTCCAGAAGGCTAAGTAATTCTGTTCTTAAACTCTGATTTCAGTGACACGACATTTTCCTGATTTTCCCCTTTCTTCTTCTCAGTCTTTTAGCTTTTTCTCCTCCTCCCCTTTAACTGTGACTCAATTTTGAATACTATCTACATTTGCTGGTGATCTTACCTGGTACAATGGCTTTAAATACCACCCATGTGCTCATGACTCTCCAGTGTGTCTCTCCAGCTCAAACCTCTCCCATTACCATCAGACTTGTATATCCAACTGCATACTTGAAATTTACATTTGGATAATGAGTGAGCATCTCTGATTTAGTATGTCCAGTTTGGAGATCTTGAGTTTTTCTCTTCATATCTCTTTCTCCTTGCATTTGAACTACTTAAATAAATGACTCCACCATTTACCCAATCACTCATATAAATAACCTAGGAGTCACCTTTCTCATTACTATTCCCCCAGTTTATAACAAACATATATTGCAAAATCTCTTTGCATTTCTTCATCTCCACCTTTGTATAAGCTAATGCAAAATATCCCTGACTCTTGGAAACTCCCTATTTACCTTCCTCCATCTCCTCATCTAGAATGTAAATTTGATGGCTGGAGCTGCTGTAACCAGTTGTGAGAATGAGAAAAAAGGGACTATAGTCACAGAGACATTAGCCCTGATATACTAAGTCCAAAAGTTACATCTCTCACATCATATTCTAAGGGAAAAATAACTCTTGTTTCATCCAAAGTGGTCTGATTTTTGTCTATTACTAGCAGGTGAAAACATTTCTAAGGGATATATATTTTCCCTCCACTCCCATCAATCTATATCCACACAGCAGCCATAGGCGTATTTTTTAAAAAAACATAAGCAAGGTTTGTTCAGAACCAAATATTTACTGAGCAAATACTATGTGCTATGAATGCCTCTATAGATGTACCTTATAGTCACAGCAGTGAAGCAAACAAAATTGGGACCCCTCCAGTGAGCAAAACAAAGACCCTTGCCTTTGTGGAGAGAATCAATATGATAAATAAACAAATTACATAGTATGTTAGAAGATGTTATGTGCTATATGTGGGGAAAAAGAAAAATAAAGCAGTGTAAAGTTGGGCAGAAGTGAGGGATGCAATTTTAAACAATGTGGTCAGGATAGGCTTCAATGAGAAGGTGACATCTGAGAAAAGACATGAAAGGCCTAGGTGATCATGGAGATAGTAAAAAGAGGTTGTATTCCAGATACGTTTTGAAAAGAAGAATCAAAAGGATTTACTGATGGATTAGATGTGTGCTATAAGACATAGAGACAAGTCAAACATAACTTCCAGATTTTAGTTTGCACAATTGGAAAGATGGAGTTGCCACTGCTGAGGCGAGGAAGGCTAAGTGCATAGCAAATTTGTGGTATGACATAGACATCTCAGTTTTAGGCATGTTGATTTTTAGACATCTACCAAACATTTGAGGAGAGATGATGTTGAATAAGCAGTTGAATATGTGAGTCAAGAGTTCAGCTAACAGGACTGCACTGCAGGTATAAAGTTGTGAGTCATGGCCTATATGACATTTAAAGCCATGAGATTGTATGAAATTACTAAGACAGTGAGTGTAGTTTGAGATAAACAAAGAACCAGTGTCCCAGAACTGATGCATTATAACATTAATAAGTTGCAGAGAAGAGAACCCAGTGGAGGAGACTGAAAAGAAGCAACCACTGAAATAGGAGGAAAACCAAGAGACTGAGGTGACCTAGAAGCCAAATGAAGAAAGTGTTTTAAGGAAGAGAGAGTGATCACTGCTACTGATTATCGAATAATATGAGGACTCAGAATTGATCATTGGGTTTAGCAGCATTGGGTCATTGGTGACCTGACAAGAAGAGTTTTCACCAATTGTAATGAAAGCCTGATTGGAATGGGTTTAAGAGAGAGTGGGAAGACACTAATGGCAGTTCCTTTGAAGAGTTTTACTGCAAAGGCGAGAAAAATATTTGAGTGTATCTGGGGGAGTTTCTTTTAAAAGCTGGGAAAATGACAAGTTTGTTAAATGATGAGAATGATCAAGTAGAGATGTAAAAATGGATGATGTAGGAGAAAGGGGACACTTGTTAGAGTGATGTCCTTTGGTATAAGTGAAGGGATTTGCTTTATATCATGTGGTTTTAACACATGTCCACCCACAAGCCTAAAATAAAAGTTAAAAAAAAAAAAACTTGCCCATAATACTTTGACACTATTTCCTTCAATAGGTGGAGCTGCAAAATATGTGAAGCAAAAACTGCAAAATATGTGAAGCAAAAATTGATAGGACTGAAAGGAGGAACAGACAAACCCACAGTCATGGTTGAAAACTTTGATACTCCTTTCTCAACCATTAGCAGAATACCCAGACAGAAATCAGCAAGGACATGGAAAACTCAACACTGCTGAGCACCAGGATGGAATCAACATTTATGGAACGCTTCACCCAATAATAGCAGTGTCCATAGAATATATGTGAAATAGACTGTATCTTGGGCCGTAAAACAAACCTTAATGAATTTAAAAGAACGAAAAGGATACAGTGTGTTTTTCAACTACATTGAAATAAAAATAGAAATCTATAAAAAAGATAGGAGGAAAATCTCTAAACACATAGAAATTAACAATACACTTACAGGAGGAAAATCTCTAAACACATAGAAATTAACAATACACTTCTAAATAATCTATGGGTCAAACAGGAAGTCTCAAGGGAAATAAAGAAAACTAACTAAATGTAAGTCAAATTACAATGTATCAAAATTTGTGGGACACAGCTAATGCAGCAATGAGAGGGAAATTTGTAACACTAAATGTGTACATTAAAAAAAGGAAAACTCTTAAATCCATAATCTAAGCTCCTATCTCAAGAACCTAAAAAAAATTGCAAAATAAGCCAAAAACAAGCAGAAGGAATAAAATGAGAAGATTAGAATACAAATCAATAAAATTGAAAACAGAAAATAGTAAAAAATCAGTGAAACAGAGAACTGGCTCTTTGAAAAGATCAATAAAATTGAGAAACATCTTGCAAAACTGACAAAGACAAAAAGAAAAGACACAAATTACCAACATTAGGCAGGAAACAGGCTATCTTTATTGACCCTGAACATGTCAAAAGAATAATAAAGGAATACTATGAGTAACTCTACACACATATACCTGAAAATGTAGACAAAATAAACCAATTCCTGGAAAACCAAAAACGACCACAACTTACCCAACATGAAGTAGATTGAATAGTTTTATAACTACTAAGGAAATCAAATTTGTAATTTAAAAATTCCCCAGAACATCTTCAGGCCCAGATGGTTTCATCAGAGAATTCTACCATATGTTTAAAGAAGAGTTAACAACCAGTTCTACACAATCTCTTTCAGAAAATAGAAAGAAAGAAAAACTTCTCTATTCATTTTTTTAAAAGCTAGTATTGCCCTGATATCAAAACTCGACAAAAACAGCACAAAAAAGGAAAATTACAGACCAATATTCCTTATGAGTATAGACACAAGAATCCTTAATAAACTATTAGCAAATAGAATTCAGCAACGTATAAAATAAATTATATACCATGACAATGTGAGGCTTATTACAGGAAACAAAGTTGATTTAATATTTGATAATAAGCCAATGGAAGCCACCATATTATCAGGCTAAAGAAGTAAAATTTCATGATCATATCAATCATGGTAGAAAAAACATTTGACAAAATTCAATAATTCATGATAAAAAAACTCTCAGAAAATGGAATAGGGAGAACTTTGTCAACATTGTAAAGAGCACCTACAAAAAAATCTATAGCCAATGTTAAATTCAATAGTGAAAGACTGAATGTTTTCTCCGTTTTATCAGGACTTAAGCAAGACTGTTTACTCTTACTAGTCTTATTCAGCATAGTGCTGGATGTCCTAACTGGTACAATAAGGCAAGAAAAAAAAATAAAAGACATACAGTTTGGAAAGAAACAAATAAAACTATCCCTATTTGAAGATGACATAATAACCCACTTAGAAAATCCCCAAGAATTCACCAAAAAAAAAAAAAAAATTCTTAGGGCTAATGAGTAAGTTCAGCAAAATACAAGATAAACATCCAAAAATTGATTGTATTTCATATATTATCAATGAAACCCTGAAGACTGAAATAAAAATACTAACATTATTTATAATTATTCAAGAACAAAAACGAAATACTTAGATGTAAATCTATAAAAACATGAATAGTACTGGTATGATGAAAACTACAAAACACTGATGAAAGAAATTTAAAAAAATGAAGAGATATACAGTGTTCATGGATTGGAAGACTCAACATATTACAGATGTCAATGCTCCCCAAATTGATATACAGGTTTAACACAATTTCTACTAAAATTCCAATAGGATTTTTTTGTGGATATAGTCAAGATTGTTATACAATTTATATAAAATAAGGAAGTAGTATAGCTAAAATATTTCAAAAAAGTTAAGGAAGAGGAAACAATCTACCCAGTTTTGACCTATTACGTAATCAAGACTATGAGGTACTGGTGAAGGGATAGACATATAGATCAATAGAACACAACAGAAAACCCAGCAATAGACTCATACAAATATGCCCAACTGATTTTTGACAAAGGTGCAAAACAGTTCATCAGAGGAACGATAAGTTTTCCAAGAAATGATGCTGAAGCAGTTGGACATTCACAAACAAAAAAATGAAGCCTCACCATAAACCTCACCCATTATATAAACATTAACTCAAAATTAATCACAGACTTAAATGTAAAACATAAACTTATCACGTTTTTTAAAATGGGAGAAAATCTTTAGGACCTTGAGCTGGACTAAGAGTCTTAGACTTGACACCAAATGTACAATTCATGAAAGGAAAAATTGATAAACTGTATTTTATCAAGACTAAAAAGTTTTGCTTTGCAAAAAACCCTGTGAAGAGTTGAAAAGATGAGCTACAGAGTAGGGGGTCGTATTCGTAAACCACATATCTGACAAAGGATTAGAATGTAGCATTTACAAAATACTTTCAAAACTCAAGAATAAAAAATTGAACAATCCAATTAGAACATGGGCAAAAGAAATGAAGAGACATTTCTCTGAAGAACATAAACAGATGGCTAATAAGCACATGAAAAGATGTTCACCATCATTAGCCATTGGGAAATGTAAATTAAAACTATAACGAGATATTACCACATATGGGTCAGAATGGGTAAAATCAAAAATAGTAGCAACACCACATTTTGGTGAGGATGCAGAGAAATGGAATCACTCATACATTGCTGGTGGGAATGTAAAATGGCATAGCCACTCTGGAAAACAGTTTGGCAGTTTCTTGAAAAACTAAACATGCAACTACCTTATGACCCATCAATTGTACTCCTGTGCATTTATTCCAGAGAAATAATGCATGCAAAACCTATACATGCATGTTTATAGAAGCTTTGTTTGTAATAGCCCTAAATTGGAAATAACCCAGTTGTCCTTCGACAGGTGAATGGTTAAACTGTGGTCCATCCCACCATGGAATATTACTCATCAATAAAAAGGAATGAACTACTGACATATACAACAAAGTGGACAATGGACTCTCCAGTGAATTACTTAGTGAAAAAAGTAAATCCCAAAAGGTTATACTATACAATTCAATTTATATAACATTCTTGAAATGACAAAATTATAAAAGTCTATTACAGATGTGTGGTTAACAGAAGTTAAGGATGGAGGAAGGGAAGAAGGTGACTGGAAAGTGAAAGTGGCTATCAAAGGATAAGATGGGGAGTCCTTGTGGTGATGGAAATGTTCTGAATCTTGACTCTATCAATGATAATATCTTCTTTGTGATATCACTATGGATTTACAAGATGCAGCCACTGGGGGGAAACTGGGTAAAGAGAACACCCATTCTCTCTGTATTATTTCTGACAACCGCATGGGAATTTACATTTATCTCTTAAAATGAAACATTTAATTTAAAACATTATTTTTTTTTACTTCCAGTTGCTTTTAAAATAAAATGCAAACAAAATGTGGCCCACAGGTGTCCACTGATCCTATCCTCTGCCTAACACCGCAACCTCTTATTGTACCACGTTTCTAACTCCAGCCACATTGTCGCTTTACTTTAATGACATTGAGCTCTCTTCTACTCCTGGTTCTTTGCATTTGCTGTTTCCTCTGCTTGGGAATGCTCTCTCCCCAGCTCTTTACATGGTTTCTCATTCAGAGCCTGCAGGTCTCAACTCAAACACCGCCTGCTCAGAGAAGCCAGCCTTTACTTGCAAATCATGGGAAAGGAGAGCAACTAAGCCCTGCAGCCCACTGCCTGGGGGCTGAATTGCAATACCTCCATCCAATAGCCTAAAGGCCTAGGCCATCAGACTTAACACCAGCTCTGTGTCTGTGTTCCCATCTCTAAAATGGGCACCCTGTTAGTTTCTCCTTCACAAAATTGCTGTAAGAATTAAAGGGGGGCCAGGCGTGGTGGCTCATGCCTGTAATCCCAGCACTTTGGGAGGCTGAGGTGGGCGGATCACCTGAGTTTGGGAGTTCGAGACCAGTCTGACCAACATGGAGAAATCCCGTCTCTACTAGAAATACACAAATTAGCTGGGCCTGGTGGTGCATGCCTGTAATCCTAGCTACTCAAGAGGCTAAGGCAGGAAAATCACTTGAAACCGGGAGGCAGAGGTTGCCGTGAGCCGAGGTCACGCCATTGCACTCCAGCCTGGGCAACAAGAGTGAAACTCTGCCTCAAAAAAAAAAAAAAAAGGATTAAATGGGTTAACATAGTCATTTAAACTAGCACCTGAAATGCCATAAAGCCTACATAAGTGTTATTTATTATTATTTTAAAAACCTCCTGTAGTTACTCTCTATCTCTTTGGTTCTCAAGGTTTGATCCCTGGACCAGCAGTATCCCCATTACCTGAGAATTTGTGAAATATGCACACTTTCAGGCCATACCCCAGACCCACGGAAACTCTGAGGATGGAGTCCAGCAGTCTGTTTCAAGGAGCCCTACTGCTATGACTCCAATACGTGCCGCTTGAGTTTGAGGGCCATCAGTTTATCTCATCTGCCTGTTTACTTCCTTAATGTTACTATCACAGGTAGATATTATCTTTTTATTTATTTACATGATTAATGCCTGCATCTCCTTCCAGAAATCAGTATTCCACGAGGGCAGACTTATCAATCTTGTTCACTACTGTATCTCCAACTGTTGGCATAGCATCTGGCACAAAGTAAGCACTGATAAACTATTAACAAATAGACACATGAATGAACAAACTTGGCCAAGGTCATATTGTAACCAGGTACCCTGTTTTTAAGCTTTCTTTCTGTTGCCCTTTGTGTTAATTTCTTAGTAATGAAATAATAACCTTTACTCTCCTTTCCACCAGGCCCTCCCTTGCACTGGTAGCTTATCTAATTCTATGTTTGCTTAGAAGTTCCAAAGACTGAATCTTGAGACAATCCAGGTGCCTACGGAATTCTCCCCTACCAGGAGGTTGCTTCAAGGACACAGTTAATTTATAACCTGGTTGAGCCCAAGATGGCACCAGCCTATTCACCAGATGGAGCAGTAACTTAAGTCATCAGAACAAGTCATGTAGACCTGCACAGCCTTGCCCGTCTTGCATGCCCTTCACCCCAAACTCCTCTTTTTAACTCCTTTGCATTTTGCTTGAAAATTTGATACGGTTTCGTTAAGACAGGAGACTGGACAGTTTCTTCACTGCTAGCTATGGAAAAATAAAGTCACTGACTTTCTATCACAATTCATCCTTGTTATTCGGTTTTGCAAGTGGCAATCAACTGAATCTCCCTTTGGTTACAATCCATTTTTTAAATAACTGAACTGATGGATGTCGACTTCAGGCTGGCTTGCTCCCTCTGACACACTGAGAATCAATGGCACCCCAACTCCTAGTCATTACTCAGCAGTCCCAAGTTTCCCATATAGTGCTGTGCAAAACGGAAGTCACTAGCATGTAGAAACCCCCACTTCCAAACTGCATTTTAAATACAAATATGGCCACAACAGAGCCAGAGGTTCTTTGGTCATGGCAGTGGGCGCTTGCTCTTCCTATTGCATTGTGTTGTCCACTTCATTTTTACTTGTGATTGCCAAGGGAGCGTTTTCCTGTCATGGCAATGGGTCACCTTCTCTCTGTGGCTTTTAGTAGCTATGGCTGGTGAAGGGTTCCCTTCTCTTTGGGGGCTACTTTACATCTCAGTTTGGAGGCATCCCTTTTTCACCTTGGGTTTCAGTGGAGAGAAGATTCAGTACATAAGTACTCGCACTCTTTTCCGTGACACTACCATCTCTTCACTTTTCTCCTACTTCCCTGATCATTTCATCTCTGTCTCCTCTGTGGGCTTCTCTTCCTCAGCTTCTCATTGCTTCAGCTATTAGTTGCTCTCAGGGCCTGTTAGTTCCCTTTACCTGCACATTCCTAGGATGATCCCCTTCACTCCACAGCAGAATTTCCAATTCGAACCTCTTTGTTGGCACGTGGACCTCAGTGTCCCAAAGGAACCTCAGCACAGAATATTCAAGACTAAATGACTTATTTTCCTTTGCCCCTTCCTGTTATTCTCTTATATTTGTTAGTGGCACTGCCATCGATCCTGTTATCTGAGGCAGAAATCTGGGAGTGATTCTTTGTTCCTCTCTTTATCTCACTTCCTGTATCTTATCAGCATTCTAGTCCTTGAAATTGTACTCCTTATCATGCCTCACATCACCCCCTTACCCTCTCTGGTGCTAATCAGGGCTGCTGAATCACGTCACGTGGCCAGCCTGGCTGCAAAGCTTCAAGGATCTCACCTGGACTATTGTAATCATCTAATATCTTTGGTACTGGCCTTATATCTGTGTGAATCCTCCACACAACCACACTATGATTAAATAACTTTTTGAAATGCAAATTAGGCCCCTTTTGCTCCATTTTTTAAAATGATGTTAAAGGTCACGTGTTAAAGATATGATAAAATTCCTTAGTTTGCTGTACTAGGCCCTTCATAACTTCTGTGGATTGAATGTGTTCCCCAAAGATCATGTCTTGGAAAGTTAATTCTCAATACAACAATGTCATGTGGGGCCTATTGGGAGCTGTTTAGGTCATAAGAGCTCTGCCCTCATAAATGGATTTGAGTTGTTACGGCAGGAGTGGGTTTGTTATAAAAGCAAATTCAACACTGTCTTGCCCTGCCTTGCTCTCTCACCCATGTGATGCCTTTCTCTATGTTATGACAGAGCAAGAAGGCCTTCACCAGATGTGGCCCCTCAATCTTTGACTTCCCAGAACTTTCAGTCAAATGAATTTGTATTCGCTATAAATTACCTAGTCTGTGGTATTCTGTTATAGCAGCACAAAGTAGGCTAAAACAATGATCAATTCAGATGCCTCAATCTCTGTACCTTACTTCAAAACCTGCTGCTATGGACAGAGTTGGGTTTCCCCCCAGCATTCATAAGTTGACATCTCAGCCCCCAGTATGATGGTACTTGGAGATGGAGCCTTTGGGAGGTAATTAGGTCATGAGGATGGAGCCCTCATGAATGCGATTAATACCTTTATAAGAAGAAACAGGAGAGAGCCTTCTCTCTCTCTGCCATGTAAGAACACAAGAAGGCGGCTGTCTGCAACCCAGAAAGAGAGCTCTCACTAGGAACTGAATCACCTGGCACCCAAATCACTTCCCAGCCTCCAGAACTGCGAGAGAAGTAAATTTCTGTGGTTTAAGCCACCCTAGTCAATGGTATTTTGTTATTGCAGCTTCAGGTTACTACGATACCCATGCAACCTCCATACCAACCCTACCAGCATCATTAGCTTCTCAAAATCTTTTTGGCTGCACTGTCTCCTCAGGTAGAAATGAATATGCTCTTCTTTAAGCTCATCTGTATTGGTTAGGTTTTGCTGCACTAACAACTCCAGATTAGAATAAAAGACACTTATCTCATGCTCATTATATGAAGGCTGAGGGGTGCAGCTCTGCTCTGGGCTGCAGATTGGCTACAGATTTGCTCCACCTGCCTCTCCATCCCAGGACCCAGGCTGAAGGAACAGCTGTTCCCTGGGATATGCTCTTTCTTGTGGCAGATATCAGAAGTGCAAGTAAAAGTCCTAGTCAAAACACATGGTTATATTTAAAGCTTCTGTTCACTTGTGATGTACAACTTGCCTGCTCATATTTCATTGGCCACAGCAAGTCCCATGGCCAAGACCAACATCAGTGAGGTTGGGAGGTTTACCTCTAGAGAAGGGCAGAATGAATACCTGGGGAAAAAATCATACAATGTACTCCACTGCCCAACACCCGGCTCATATTTCATTCTAGTCCCCAGAATCCTTGATTTGCTTACCTACATTTCTCCTCCTGAAAGGTAGGGCCTGATTTCTTCTGTTATACCTTGCCAGCACTTAGTATAGTTGCTGAATGGGTAAATGAATTAATGATTGACTCAATAATTCAAAATGGAGAATGCAGGAAGAAGATTGAGTTTGTTGGAGAAGATAATTAGTTCAGTGTTAACCTCATGGGCTAAATATGTTCTGAACAGTGTCCTGGTAATGGAGCTGTCATTTTTAATACAGTTACTAAGAGCTAATGTGTTCTGAGAACTCTACTATCAACTTAGAATCACTCTTTTGGAAAGGGGCTAATAAGCTTAAAACAGACTGTAATGTTTTGATTGACTGATTACCTTGATCTTAAATTTTATCAAATCTGAAATATAAATGCTGATAGTTTTACAGAGTTGGCTTTTTTATTTTCGGAAGCTACGATTAAGACTAATTAAGTAGTTGTAAAATATAGATAGCCACAGAACTTCAAAATGACAGTAAGGGAGAATAGAAAGATAAGTGAGAGCAGAGCTTTTAGGTATCCAGGGAGTCCTCGAAACTCTGAAATTGCAAAATATTGAGTGTGTGCATATGTGCACTTTTCTGGAGAAACAGATTATAGTTTTGCATCAGATTCTTAAAGGGGTTTATAAATCACAAAAGATTAAATAAATCCATTATAACAGAGAGAGAGAAGACAGAAGAAATGACATTTTTTTGTATTCCCCAATGATAGTAATAACAATAATGTATTGAACTTTTATTTTATGCTTTTCACTGTTTTGAACACTTCTATTGATATTCTTATAATTTTTGAATCAACTCTATTATGATCTTCAATTCACAAATGAGGAGATTCAAGTTTAAAGATAAATACTGTAACCTGTTCCAAGTTATGTGCCTAGTCCGTGGCAGAGAAAAATGCCCCAACACTGCCCTCTTATCCAGCATACTGCATCCCCTTCAGTGCTCAGATTCATTTTACTTTACCCTTTCTGTCTTCCTAATAATTTTGGTTAAAAAATAGCTTTTAAATTTAACCCCCTGGCAGTCATGAACTGGCCAGTGCTCAAATTTCTGGCAGGGCAACCCCATTTGCAGGGCATAAATATAACTGAAGACATAACTGAATACTTAGATACGTTTTCATCATTGTGCAATCTCACTAATGGATTGGCCTCTTGTTCCAAGTGGAAAAGTTGTGGTGCCTCGCCTGATGGGCAGGCACTTTCCAAGTCCTGTTCAACTATTAAATTCTGCTTGTTAGGTTAATGAAAAGCAAATTTGCAGTACCCCTACTAATGTAAAGCATTCTAGCAGCAATAAATTTGTATGACCCTTATTTATCACTTCTTATTTAAGTAGTTGCAAACCCTCAGAAATGGCCTTTCATATTATGAAAATTCACTTGCTGAGGATAACACCGAAAATCCACCCCATTTCCAGAGATCATCTTTCAGAGAGATATTTAAATGAGGACATTAAATTGATTGTACTAAATGCAGTGAGTGATAGGGCATATTGTGTTTGCACTCAAATGGGTGTTGACTTTATGGTGTGCCTAAACTTAATGATAAATCAGTGTTAGGAACTTCAGCTGAAGAGTTCAGTTTCCCTGATCACCTTTCATCTCTGAGTGGTGATCTTGCATATTTGGCACTTATATGTGCAAAGTACCTTTGTCCTCCAAATGTCACTGTGGATGCAGGTGCATTTTATGATTGCTGCCTCAAAGATGGAGAGACTGACAGGGCTACGGAGAGTTGAATTAATGACTGACCCAACAATTCCAGACGGGGAATGCAGGAAGAAGATGGAGCGTGTTGGAGAAGATAATGGTGGCAGGGGGAGGGTCGGTAACCAGGGTGCTGGGCTTCCTTGAAGCAGCCAATATGGTCAGGCTCTGACATCACTGTCCTCATGTATCTCTTGTTCCTTCCGCCTTTTCCTCTTCTATTTTCCACCCTTTATGCTTCTCAATCATACTCCACATATACGACTTAAATTATAGGAAACAGTATATAGCATAGTGCTTAAGAAGAGGCTTTGGAGTCAAACAGACTTTAGCTCAGTAGAAGTGATCTTGGGCAATTCTCTCAACTTCTCTGAATCTCTTCTGTAAAATTGGGCTAAGAAGACAGAATTGTTACAAGGATTTTAATTTAATTAGATCATACATATAAAATAAGGATTTTAATGTAATTAGATTATGTAGATACATAATATCGGTCATAACTTTTGTTACCATCATCAGAAACAAAGCAATATGAGGCAGAATACAATGAAAGGTTTACCTCTATATTACAGACTATAGGCTGTAATATAGTCTCCTTTTATCAAAGGAGACTCGTTTTATCAAAGGAGACTCGTTTTATCAAAGGAGACTGAGGTCTGGAGAAACCTGGGGTGTCTTCTAGGGGCTGGGGACACTTAAGCCAGCTGCAAAAGATGACAAGATTTAGATTAGCAAACAAGAAGGGGAAGGAACTGTATAATTGTGGTGGTTTTACACTTTTGCAAATTCTTTGACACATTTCCATAAAAGTAGAGTCTACTTTCCCTCTGTTTGACTGTAAGCTGTCCTTGGTACCTTTCTTCTAATGAGTAGAATATGGTGGAAGTGAGATTGGGTGACTTCTGATACTATATTAGAAGATGTGATACAGTGTGTCTGTCACTTTGTCATCCATCCATCCATCCATCCATCCATCCATCCATCCATCCATCCACCTACGTAAGTCTATTGATTGATTTAATCAATTAATCTACCTACCTACCCAGATCTCTCTCCCTCTTTCTCTCTGACTTTAGAGACCTGAGCCACTTTGTATGAATTTAGGCTACCCTAAAGCCACCATGGAACCATGTCGGAAGACTACATGCCCAAGGAGCCACAGCTGCTCCAGTCCTGACTGTTTGAGTCTTCCCAGATCTGGCATCAGATATGTGAGAAAGCCTCCTCTCCCAGCCACAGTAATTGTGGGAGAGACTCTGGGTGAGAACTGCCAAGCTGAGTCCAGTTAACCACTAGAACCCTGAGAGATAATAATAAAATGTTGTTTTAAGCCACTAAATTTGGGAGAAATTTGTTATTCAGCCATAATAACAACAACCAAAGACATTCAAACCTTTATGATGTGGTTTGAAAGTGTGTCGCCTCAAAATCTCAGGTTGAAATGTGATTCCCAGTGTTGGAAGTGGGATCTGGTAGGAGGGGGTTGGATCATGGGGGCAGATCCCTCACGAATGGTTTAGTACCATCCCCTTGGTGATAAGTAAGTTCTCCCTAAGTTCATGTGAGATCTTCAAGTTTAAACTTCAAGTTTAAAAGTCTGGGACCTCTCCCCTCTCGCACCTCTCTTGCTCTGGCTCTCTCCATGTGACATGCTCATTCCTCTTCACCTTCAGCCGTGACTGTAAGCTTCCTGGGGCCCTCACCAGAGGCTGAGGAGATGTCAGTCCGTGCTTTTTATACAGCCTGCGGAACTGTGCACCAATTAAATCTCTTTTTAAATAAATTACCCAGCCTCAGATATTTCTTTATGTGACACAAAAACAGCCTAACACAATTTATAAACCAAAGCAAATTTACAAATTAAATCGTAAAACTACAAAACCAGTAATATTCAGTTGAAATAGGTTAATTTATGTTGACAAATGATGTTTTTCAGTCACCAGATTGATGTTTATGTCATTAAAAGGTGAATGCTACAGCACAAGCTTTTGGCAGATTGATATGCGAGCGCTGTGTGATGACTCAATTCTCCCACCACCCTGCTCCATTTCAACTACCATGAACCCATTGCTTAGACATTGCACAGTGGCATCTGGCCTCCATAAAGCACTAGCATATCATCACTGTGTTCTGTTCCTGCCTGTTTTCTTTTCACATCAGCCCGTAGCAACTAAAGGTATCTTCCTGATGCCAATGTGATCCTCTGTGCAGACATAAATCCAGGCACTGATATTGAGAGTCAACACCCAATATTAACTGGTTATCCAAAGAGCCCAGGTTTAAAAAAAACATTTATTTCTTTTTAGATTAATGCGAAAATGAAATGTAAAACTTAAACATTCTCGTAGGAGGTTATTCATCACACAGGAGGTATTAGAGAGCTAGGCTCTACTGGAAGGGAGGGTGGTACCCTCCAGGTAGGTCTAACCAAAAAGTTTGGCTGAAGTGGAATAGAGTCGTATTATAGATGGCCCTGAAAGCCAGGATCTAGAGTCTGAAAAATGAACTTGCAGCCATTATTGGTTCTTGAGTATGGGAGTGTGAGAGGATGAAAGCTCTATTTCAAGATTCACCTCACAGTTGTATGTAGATGATGAACAAGACAAAAGGTGAGGCTGGCGTCAAGAAGACTGGCTAACAGTCTCTATAATTTTACTAATCCTGGCACTTAAGAAAATCAGTGTTCACCAAGTTCTCACTGAGTATGTTGTACTTTACTGGGCTCTTTGAAAAATACAAAGTAGAGATTGTGAGTTGGATTTAGTTTCAAGACTTGGATTTATGGTGTTCTTCCTTCCACTCCTGCTTGTCATTGATAAATGATACAACCTTGGTCAAACCATTCATGTCGCAACACCTCTGAGACTTCATTTATCAAACAAGGGATAATGATATATACATTCCACCCTTGTTATAAATATTAAATGTTAAATACATATATATTAAATCTTCAAAAATCTTCAAGTCTTCACAGAATAGAATGAGTTTTTACCCTTTAGAGGACACTTTAGTGTTAGATTATACTTATATGAAAACATTTAAACTGTTGCAGAAAAAGAGATGATTTTAAAAATTGCACTAACTCTATTGTAACAGCATTAATAGAAATTTTGAAAATGGAAGTGAGCTCTCAGAATTCCACAGCTACCAAATATCGACTTTTTATTCTTCCTATTTCTTGCTAGTTCATATACATATAAATACATCCACAATGCATAGTATAGATGTATTGTTGGGGCCGAGCATGGTGGCTCACGCCTGTAATCACAGCACTTTGGGAGGCTGAGGTGGGTGGATCACGAGGTCAGGAGTTCGAGACCAGCCTGGCCAACATAGTAAAACTCCGTCTCTACTAAAAATACAAAAAAAAAAAAATTAGCTGGGCATGGTGGTGCGCGCCTGTAGTCCTAGCTACTCAGGAGGTTGAGGAAGGAGAATCGTTTGAACCCAGGAAGTGAAGGTTGCAGTGAGCCAAGATTACACCACTGCACTCCAGCCTGGGAAACAGAGCAAGACTCTGTCTCAAAAGAAAGAAAGAAAGATGTATTGTTATGTAGTGTTGTATTTTGCTTTTTTGGTAAACATTAGCATTTTCATGTCATTCTATAGTGTTCACAATTATTTTATAACTGTTCATCAGGTTGGTATAGTACACTTGACTTAACCAATCTCTTTATTGTTTGAAGCCCATCTATATGTGTAACACGTTTCCTTCTTTCCTTCTTTCCTTCTTTCCTTCCTTCCTTCCTTCCTTCCTTCCTTCCTTCCTTCCTTCCTTCCTTCCTTCCTCCTTCCCTTATGGAAGAGAGGAAAGAAGGCAGATTATAAAGCGCTGGGAATGGAATTATTGAGGCAAAGATAATATTTTTAAGAAATTATTTATTGAGCTCTCTTTCAAAATTGGAAGGTATTATGTATTTTAGAAAAGTCAGATTTTGGAGTATGATTGAAAACTCAGGACAGACAGAATCCAATTACTAGGTCTCTTCATTGAAATTCTTTATTTGTGACACTTGGTTTTTTTTTTTTGGTCTTAGTGGCATGGAAGAAAGCAGAAGGTTGCTTCCCAGTCAACTTTAAAGAGTCTTTTGAGGAGTATTACTTGTGTGGCAAGTGGGCTATTGTGGGAATAAGGGCTTGTTAACTGAGTTAAGCAAACGAGTGATTGAATCTGCCCTGGCAGAGTATGATTTAGAGTAAGTATAGTCTTAGCCCCGCAGTGATGTCAGATGGACATCAGTTCAAGAAAATCTTCAACCCCAGTAAAACGAGGTTAAGCTTGTGTATTAATTTGCAGATACTTCTCTGGTTTAGGAATGACCTAAGGTTTATCTGCCTGCTTACATTAATCATTTAAGGACAGCTGCTGGAAGCACAGTGGTTTAATGGGGGATGCCAATCCTTCTGGAATAAACAAGGTCACCAGGTGCCAGGGAATAAGTTCAGCTGGAGCATTATTATCCTGCTCCTCCAAACTTTTTTTTAAGTTACATTCTTGAAGATAAGGGGCTATGATCTGGGACTCACAAAGTCTGAAGGTTTGATAGTCCAAAGTCCCTGAACTTTGTCACACAGATGGCTGAACTGCCATCAGGGAATTGAAATGAGATCATGATGCAGCAAATTCTTCTCTGTGTGCCACGGTCCCAGTACTTATTGAACGGTTTTGTAAACAGTATAAATATTAACTGTCTCTTGTGTGCCAAGCCTGAGTTAGGTAATACTGCAACAGTAATGACAGCCTCTGAAAGTGAGATTTAGTCAGGTAAATGATAAAAGGATTTCAGTTTTGTTATTTGCTTTTGATGGGCACGTGGAAATGTCTGCCTCCATGAAGAAACAGACAGGCACATTAGTTCTCTAAATACATCCATTCTCAACCTTGGCTGACTTCAGAATCCCCAAAATACTGGAAGCTAGGCTCTACCCACATCAATTGAATTTGAAATTTCTGTGTGTATGTGGGGTGGGGGTGGAAGGATTTCTGGAATTTTAAATCCTGACTCAGAATTGAGGGAGGATCACTGTTCTCATGCTACTGCAAAAAGTGTCTGAGACATAGATATAAATATAATTAATTCTGATTGTTAACTATATATGCGTGTTGTTTGTTTAATGTCATTGACATTGTGATTATTCACAGAAATCCTGCCCCTTCCCTTCTTAGCACTGGTTCCTTATCTGTAGCTCCCAATGTTTATTTCTCCTAAAGTTTCCCCCAAACCACATTGCAAATCTGGACAGTCACAGCCTATAATCTCTTTTACAGCACCAGATACAGTATCATTTAGTTACCACGAAAATTCTGACTCCTCTTGGATAAGGGAAAAGGCATAATCTCTGCCAATGTTGGAGGCCAAATGTGGAGTTCTCATAGCTCAGGGAGGCTGGAGGGACTCCAGGAAAAGCGAATATGAAGACTCAGAAAATCATGGCTATTAGAGTGGAAGGGACCTTAGTGCCTAGTCATCTCATTCATGGGCAAGGGAAATGAAAATATGGAGGTCAGTACTTATTCAAAATCACACGCAGCCAGTTAGTGGGATCGTTGGGTTGGGAGCTTAGGTCTCTCAGTTCCCTGTCACCGCGTGGAGGGGAGAGGATGGCATTTTGAGGAAAAGCAGAGTGGGCATGGGGCATGTCTCCCTCTTCCACCAGAGCAGCTTTGCTGAAATCTGCTTTGCATAAGAGACTTTTAGAAAGGGTTGAAAACCACAGCATGCTAGAGCATACCAATGGTTCTGGTTTCAGTCACCATAATTTTTGCAAGTTCTGCTAATCCAACAGAGCTTGTTTACAGAACATTTAGCAGAGAAGTTTCCAGTTTTTAAAAACAGAACACACACACACACACCCCTTTAGAGACTCCACCAAACCCTATTTCTAGAGATCATTGCTCCCTTTAACTCAATCCTTTTAACTTGTGAAAGGGCCAAACATCACCGCATTGTGGACACTCTAAAATGCAAAAAGTTAACCTTTTTATGCCCCTGTGCCAGGACATTTTTCTAGGTTCACAACAAATATCCTTGGTTTTTCACTGTAGGACCTCTCCAAAATTCTTTTTTTATATTATGTATAGGTATGCGAGTTTCTAGCTCCAAGCTTTCTGAAAACAAATCAATTGTAATAGCTTTCTATGTACTTTTTCTGGGTGCAGAGATTATATCATGTAATTCTTACAATAACCTAGTTATTTAAATTAGCTCCATTTTACAGGTGAGGCTGGGAGGATTGGTCCTCTGCCTAGGTCAAATATCTCATAAGAGGGGACTTAAACCTCAGTCCCTCTAATTCCAAAGCAGTAAACTCCATCCCATAAACAATCATTATAAATACATTATTTTGGCTGGGAGCAGTGGCTCACGCCTGTAATCCCAGCACTTTGGGAGTCTGAGGTGGGCAGATCACAAGGTCAGGAGTTCAAGACCAGCCTGGACAATACGATGAAACCCTGTCTCTACTAAAAATACAAAAAATTAGCCAGGCATGGTGGTGTGCGCCTGTAGTCCCAGCTACCCAGGAGGCTGAGGCAGAAGAATCACTTGAACCTGGGAAGCGGAGGTTGCAGTGAGCCAAGATCATGCCACTGCACTCCTGCCTGGGTGACAGAGCGAGACTCCATCTCAAAACAAAAACAGAAAATTATTTTTTAAAATTTGTCTTGAGGCTTATAATCTACAATAGCTAAACAATTATGAGATATGCATATAATTGCAGTCAATAACAATCATGTTTTAGAAAAGTAATGATACAGGAAAATGCATATGATACACCTTTAAGTGAAAAAAGCAGGAAACCCCCAATTTTATAAAAGCAAAAAATATATATGCACACATGTAAAAGAGTTGAGGAAAATGCATCAAAGCATCAAGGGTGTCTACCTCTGGCCTGATGGTATCACAAATGATGCTTTTTTTCCTTTATTATAATTATTTCCCAATTTTCTACAATAATCATTCAAGGCCAGTCATGGTGGATCATGCCTGTTAACCCAGCAGTTTGGTAGGTCGAGGCAGGAGGGTCCCTTGAGGCCAGGAGTTTGAGATCAGTCTGGACAGGGTAGTGAAACCCCATCTCCACAAACAAACAAAATTAGGTGGGCATGGTGGTGCGTACCCATAGTCCTAGTTACTCAAGAGGCTGAGGTGGGAGGATCACTCGGGCCCAGGAGTTCAAGTTAACAGTGAGCTATGATTGTGCCACTGCACTCCAGCCTGGGTGACAGAGCAAGAACCTGTCTCTAAAAATAAAATAATAATTCAACAAAAATTAGCAATAATATACTTTCCACAGTTGTTTAAACTCAAAACTTCTGCAATATGAATACCCTGAAGAGCTGGAAGTACTCTCATGTCAGGATGCTATGCCACGGTCAGAGCGGGGTAACACAGTCACGGTTGAGGATGAAAAAAGAAGCAAGACATTCGGAGAACTTCCCTCCCAAACGTGGATATTAGTCAGCAGACAGGATGAAATGTGACAGCACTCAGATTTGGCTTCTCACAAATATGCCTCCCCAGCTCCTGTTCACGTTACCACTGACAGACCCTGCAATTACACGGACAACAAGTTAGACGTGTGTGTTCAATACCAAATAACTATCAAAGGTTTTTTTGCCAAGTTGTTGAAAGTAGTAACAATAGAATAGTATTGACAACACTGTTTCACAGCCAGAGTACAGTAAGTTTTCACTTAACATTGTCTATAGATTGTATGGTAAATGCACCTGAGAGCAATAACTTTAGCGTACCCTGAGGATGACCCTGTATGACAGATGCACCTGAATGTGTGTTCTGAGCTAGGGAAACTGGGAATGGCCAGCTGGAGATTTGTTCCTTGTTTATGAGGAACATCTGAGCCCCCTTCCTGTCCCATGGAACATAGGCCATATAGGGGAATCGAGCCTCCGAGTTTCGGGTTGAATGAAGGTTGCCAGAGGGAGGTTGTCAGGGGGAGGATATTAAGTGAAAATGTTCCATAAACTGCATGCCTTTTGCAAGTGGTTGCAGTTCTCCTGCTCAGCCCTTCACCACTGGACTGTATATAGGGCACGTCTGTCCATCCTGCTGCCAATGGGCTCTGTCTTCTGTATGTAAGCCTCGGTGAAACGCCATGTCTTGTTTGCTGGCTCTGGGTCTCTTCTTTGGCCTCTTGAACCTGGTGCCATCCCCATGGGAGCTGATAGGGGTTCTGCACAACATAGATTCTTACAAACTGTGACTTCAAATGAAACGGCATATAGCAAAACCAGTTTTACCATAGGTTAATTGATAAAAACGAGAATTAAAAACATCACCAAACTTCTAAAGACGCCAACACTTCTAACATAATCCATGTGAGCTATACATACATTTAAGAAAGATTAGTTTTTAAAGGTAAAAATTATTTGCCCATTTTTGTTGAATTAGTAAGTGATGGTGGTCATAGTGGTGGTGAGTTAAATCAGGAAATAAATATTTGCAAAGCAAAAATCGTAAGAGTACCTCCTGCCACCACAAAGTTCAAAAAAAATCACCAATCGGTTGTCCTTTTTGAGCACTTTTGTACACATCATTTATTGTTGGGCATCTGTATGATTGTCATCTCCTTTATTAATTTTTATTTGACCATAGTTTATATTCATTCACTCATTCCTTTTCCAACCTGCTTATTCCAGTTCAGGATTGCGGGATGCCAGAGCTTATCTGGGTAGCTGACGGTGGGAACCAATCCTGGACTAGATACCAACCCATAGCAGGGCCACTCACACGCTTACTCTCTCATGTTGGTACCATGTATACATGTCAATGAACCTAACACGCACATATAGTAGAAAACTGGAGCACCTGGAGAAAACCCACACAGACATGGGGAGAACGTGTGGGGATGCTATGTCTTTTTTATTTGCCGCGTAAATTGCCCAGGATATTGAATGTGTAACAGGTTATTTAGTGATTGGGTGCCTAATAGGCACTTTAAACTTATCCACAGATCACCTGGTATCTTCTGCTGAATCTGTCCTTCCCCCATCTTCACTAACTCAGTAGAAGGCGTTACCTTTAACCATTCGCTTAACTTCCCATCTATAAAGTGGTTCTGGCATCTTCACTTCAGTTTTAGACTATAACTAAATACAATAGGCTGAGTGGCTAAGAAACAACAAAAATTTATTTCTCACAGTTTTGGAAGCTGGAAGTCCAAGATCACCGTGTCAGTGTGGTCACTTCCAGTGAGAGTCTTCTTCTTGTATCCTTATGTGGTGGGAAGAGAACTGGGATTTCTGGGGTCCCTTTTATGAGGGCACTAATTCCATTCCTGAGGTCTCTACTCTCCTGACCTAATTACCTCTCAAAGGCTCCACCTTCTAATACCATCACATTGGGGGTTAGGATTTCAATATACAGATTTTGAGGAGATACAAACATTCAGTCCATAACAGCTTTCTTATACCTCTGACCCTTCCTCGTATCAGCTATGCTTCTCGAATTTGTTCTGAATCCACCCACTTCTTTTTGTCTGTGCTGTAACCCCATTAGTCCATGCCAAATGCATCTGGACTGATACAGTTTTCCTTCCAACAGTTCTTCTTGCATTCACTCCTGCTTCTTATAATCTGTTTTCAGGTGAATGAATGAACATATATTTAATTATATAAAATACAGGTATTCTCTTATTGATCTGTTGTGTAATAGGCAGTGTAAATGACACATATTCTTCAATGCATTTTCAAACACTACTAAATTGTTTTGGGATGAAATGTATTAATTTCTACAAGCGAGTGACTGCTTACTTTCAGCAAGTGCTCCGCCTTGATTGTGAGAGGATTCCACAAAGTGCAATGTGGTGACAGGTGCAGAGAAACTGACAGTGGGGGACAGGATGGGAGCTGGGGGCAAGCCCAGGGAGGGGACTAGGAAAAGTCCAGAACAAGGAGGACAATGACGTAGTCAGGCAGCTAATGACCACCAACGGTCAGGTGTGCTTAGTGTGCAAAGCCCAGCAAAGGTTGATGCAGGAATGGGTGGTGGTTTCAGGAACAGCTGTCCATGAATGGCAGGGTCTAGGCCATTTAGTAGGTTGTAGGTAGAACTCTGGTTCAGGGAGAACAAGACAAAGCAAGACAGATGAACCCCCAAACTTGTAGGAAGTGGAGTGAGGCACAGGTTATTAAAACGGGAACTCAGACTCAATGAGAAGGAGGTCTCTGTAACTAGAACTGATGCACAAGACGGAGCCTGGGTCTGGAGGTAAAAGTGGAAGTCCAGCCTTGTGCCCTGGGGTCCCCAGTCAAGCTGCATTGCAGACAGCATATATGACTAGAAGCAAAGGCTAGGTTAGAAGCCTTTCTGTCTTTCTGCCCGAGGTCTGCGTGAATCCTGGAGCAGTGTTCTCGAAGCTGTGACAGCAAAATGGGAACACCCGGAGAACCAGAAGAACATACCAAAGCCTGAGCCCCACACCTGGGGATTCTGATGTAAGTATCACAAACTGGGTGGCTTCCAGGATTTTAAAAGCCCCCAGGTGGGTCTAATGTACAGCCCAGGCTGAGAGCCTTGGCCCTAGAAACCGGAGCCGAACTGAAACACAGGTGGAGGGGTCAGTAGTGTCACTCGTGGTGGGGAGGGACACTGAGGGGTACCTGGAAACCAGGCAGAGTCTGATAAATCCTATTCCAAAACAAATGGCTTTCATTTTTTTTGACGTCGTTAGAAAATATATTTGTTTAATTTTACCTGGATTTTATTTCATTATTTACAAGACGATTTTTATTCTTCTTTCATTTGGTAGACTAAGAGACTCTTAAACCCAAGGTTACGGCTTGAGGACAATATATGGCACTAATTATTTTGCTGGAAGCAATATTGCTTAGTGATTTAAAAGGCAGGCCCTAGAGTCAGACAGACCTGGGTTAAGATCCCAGCTTGATCACTTGTTAAATCTGTAAATGAGAAACGAGATTAAAGGTAGCAACTGCCTATCCGATGAGGTCTTTGTAAGGATTAAATGAGCTTATATATGTAAAGTACACAGCCTGGTAACTATAATATAATATAATATAATACAATACTCATTTATCACCTCCACATAATAGTACTAATTTTCTTAGCTGAAATCTTTCTTTAAAGTTTATGATTTTCATTTTTTTTAGTCTCACACTATCATATAGGTAACTTAATATACACTTCCACAACATTTACACTCTATAGTTTTGAATTAATTAGGTGCTTTTGATTGCAAACAACAGAAACCAGTTTTGATTTCCTTAAGTGGGGTGGGGCAAATGGTTGGGGAAGATATATGGGACACAATAACTACCAAGTCATGATAAAGCCAGGAACCATTCAGAGCCGCTCCAAATGGGAAGACAAATCTAAATCAGATGCAAAGTTTTCTAGCCCTATTGTCTCTCCTCCAAATTTCACATCTTTATAATTTGTTTGAGCCATCTGCAGACCAATCTAAAGGGAAAAAGACACTGGATGACGCATTAGTTTTCTATTGCTACATGACAAATTACCACAAATTTAGCAGTGAAAAGATACGCATTTATTATCAGCTCATCCTATGGGTGGGGAATCTGGGTATGGCTTCACTGGGTTCCCCACTCAGGTCTCAGCAGGCTGACTTCTTGTCTGGAGGTGCTCAATCCATTTTCAAGCCCATTCAGAACTCTGGTTGTCAGCAGAGGTCATTCAACTCCTTGTGGTTATAGGACAGAGGTCCCATTTTCTTGCTGACTGTTAGCTGGGGGTTGCTCTGAGCTCTTTGAGACCACTCTCAGGTCCTAACCATGTGGCTCTCCCACAGCATGGCCATGTGCTTCCTCAAAGCCATCAGGAAAAAGCTCTTAATCAGGCCCTTCCTCAAAACCATCACTTAAAGCTCTCTCCAGCCTGCTGCGATGGAGTCTTCTGTAATATCATGGAATCCCAGAAGTGACTAACCCTCTTTGGGAGGCCAAGGCAGGCGGATCACTTAAGGTCAGGAGTTTGAGACCAGCCTGGCCAACATGGTGAAACCCCATCTCTACTAAAAATACAAAAAAAATGTAGCTGGGTTTGGTGGTGTGCCTGTAATCCCAGTCACTCATGAGGCTGAGGCACGAGAATCGCTTGAACCTGGGAGGTGGAGCCAGGTGGCGCCAACTGCACTCCAGCCTGGGTGACAGAGCAAGACTCCCTCTCAAAAGAAAAAAAAAAGGAGAGAAAGAAGAAAAAAGAAGTGACTAACCCGTCATATTTGCAGGTGCTGCTTACACTTGAGGAGAGGGGATTATTTGGGACATGTACACCAGAAGGTGGGGATCTTGGAGGACAGTACTGAGTTGAATAGTGTCACCCCTAAATTCATGTCCACGTGGGACGTGTGAAAGTGACTTTGTTTGGGAATAGGATTTTTGTGGATGTGATTGAGTTAAGATGAGGTCATACTGGATTGGGGGTGTCTTTACAAGAAGGGGAAATTTGGGCAGAGAGAGACGCAGGGAAGAAGGCCGTGTGAAGACGGAGGCAGAGATGGGCTGCTGCCATGAGCCATGGAACACCAAGAATGCTGGCAACCCCTGGAAACTAAAAGAAGCAAGGTGGGATTCTCCTTAGAGCATCTGGAGGGAGCACAGCCCCACTGATGTCTTGATTTCAGATTTCTAGCCTCCAGAACTGTGAGAGAAGAAATTTCTGTTGTTGAAGCCGCTCAGTTTGTGATATGTTGTTACAGCAGCCCTAGGACAGGAAAACAGGGCCCACCTAGAATTCCACCCAATCCAGGTGATTTATGAGAATGAAGCCAAGGGGCACGGAAGCAGCGATTCCTCTGAAAGGGAGGCCCAGGGCAGACAATCTCTTGGTGATCTCGACAGATCATACGGTAGATCCCTACCACTTTTCAAATTTTGGTTTGCATGATTTTAATTTTTCTTCCTCTTCCTTTTCTTCTTTTCTTTTTTTCTTGAGACAGAGTCTCGCTCTATTGCCCAGGCTAGAGTGCAGTGGCATGATCTCCGCTCACTGCAACCTCCGCCTTGTGGGTTCAAGCAATTATTAACCCTCAGTGTACCAAGTACTTGGGAATACAGGCATGCCCCACCGTGCCGGGCTAAATTTTTTTTGGTATTTTTAGTAAAGATGGGGTTTCACCATGTTGGCCAGGCTGGTCTCAAACTCCTTACCTCAGGTGATCCACCTGCCTCAGCCTCCCAAAGTGCTGGGATTACAGGTGTGAGCCACCACACCCGGCCTCTTCTTTTTTATTTCAGAAAAAAAAAATCATATTTACTTAAGAGTTGTAAGAATAGCACATTGGACTCCTGCCTACCCTTCACAAAGATTTATCAACTGTTATTATTTTGCATGGTTTTCTGTTCAGAAACCATGGAAAGGATAAAGGCATTGAGTCAGAAAGACATGAATTGAATATCCACTATCACTGGTTTTGTGATTTTAGAAATGTTATTTTCAAACACCTTGAGCTTTTGTTTAATCACGTGATGCCCTTTCACAGAGCTGGCTGAGAGCACATAAGGCAGGCCCGGAAGGCACCCAGCAGAGAGACTGGCACACGTGGGTGCCTCATACATGTGTGATTTTCAATGCTTTACACTGATTTTCCCGACTTCTTTTTTTTTTTTTTTTTTTTTAAGACAAGGCCTCACTTAGTCTCCCAGGCTGGAGTGCAGTGGTACAATCACAGCTCACTACAGCCCTGACTTCTCCCGCTCAGGTAATCCTTGCACCTCAGCCTCCTATGTGGTTCGGATCACAGGCATGCACCACTAAACCTGGCTATGTTTTGTATTTTTTGGTAGAAACGGGCTTTCTCCATGTTGCTCAGACTGGTCTCAAACTCTTGAGCTCAGGCAATCTGCTCCTCTTGGTTTCCCAAAGGGCTGGGATTACAGGCATGAGCCAGTGCACCTGGCCAGTTTTCCTGATGTTTTAAACAAAAATTTCTTTACCTACTTCATTTGATAAGGACATCTCCTCAGGATTCCTTTTTCTCTGTCTATCCCAAGTGTCTCCAGGCCTCAGTCACCCCTGGAGGATAAATGGGACAGACCAGTACACACTCAGACCGACCTTTTGCTGGCCCAGTGCCTCTGCTTGCTCTCACAGCATCTCCAGTCCACCTGACAACAACTGGGTGTTCCCAGAAGGTGTTCCTCATGTGTACTATTGCGCTGGTGACCATGTGATGCTGCTGAACCTCACTACTCTTCTTCCCATCCCCCAGGCATGGCCGTCCTCTCTGCCTGTTGCCACTATACTTGGCTGGTCACTCCACAGTGTCCCACCAGCCACAGTGAATGTGCCATTGCTTTGGATTGCTTTGCTGAACACAAGTGTCCACTCTGACAGTGGCCAAGTGCCAAGGTCACACAGCGACCTTCAGGAATGTGGGGGACCCCCTGACAATGGGGCATCTGTGCCTAATGCCCCTGACAGTTTAGAGAAGCAGCTCTTTTTGTTTCTACTCACAGCTTTCTTCTCTGCAGATGCAGACATGGGTCTGAAGGTGAGGCTGGGTAGATCTGGTATAGTTATTGTCTTGTTATTAGGAGTCCCCACCCCACTTCAGTGGCTACTTAAAGGTCAAAGTACCTAGTGTCTTCTTTCCTAGGTTGAGTTTTCTCTAAATAGGCTCTTCACACCTCTCCTTACCCCAGGATCCCATTATCCCCTTCACCTGGCCTTGAGAAGTGCCAGATGTTTCTGCATGCCAGCAATAAACAGAACTAGTGTGTTCTCCGGAGGCTCCTTAGCAGCCACATCAACAGGCCTGTGAGGCTTCCCTATCCCCCTAGATCAATGAATGTGTCTGGAAGGGTCTGGACCCTACAGAGAACAGAAGGCTCAAGCCAAGATCTTTCATATCTATATCAAAGCATCTTTGAATTCCTTCCCTTCTCTTCATTTCCCCTTTTCTCTTTTTCTTTCTTTCTATATCTTTATCAAAATTTTAATTCAAAGGGTACATCTTTTTGAGTTTTCTTTCTTTTTAACCAAAGAAGAATGTCAGAATGATCGTAAGAAAAATAAAGTCGGCAGTAACACACAAAAAATCAACTGAGCAATCTATTTAGTTTAATTTATCATCTCAGTACTGATTAAAAATATTATGGTTGAAGAGAAACAAGTAGAGAAATTTTTCTTTCACGTAGTTAAAAATTTTTAGTGGCATAGGTGTTCCATCTATCATTTGAAATGCCCACACGGGGAATATTCAAAATCTAAAACTCCAACAGCAATGTAACTTAGTACTTAAAAAGAACTGTGTGTCAGAATACAGCATTATTGCCAGAGGGATATTCCAAGCAGATAAAAGTCAGGGTAAAGATAAAACAACCATTTCAATTGAACAAACGTGGAAAGATTTTAGTTCAATAGCTGTTTGTTGAGTAGCCTTCCCTGGGTTAGCTGCTAGGTTCTAGTATTGAAGAGTCAGAAATACTTAGGCTTCTTTTTTTTTTTTTTTTTTTTTTTTAATATTTTAGGCCAGGTGCAGTGGCTCACACCTGTAATCCCAGCACTTCGGGAGGCTGAGGCGGGTGGATCACCTGAGGTCAGGAGATCGAGATCAGCCTGGCCAACATGGCAAAACCCCGTCTCTACTAAAATACAAAATTAGCTGGGCATGGTGGTGCACACCTGTAATCCCAGCTACTTGGGAGGTTGAGGCAGGAGAATCACTGGAACTCAGGAGGCAGAGGTTGCAGTGAGCCAAGATTGTGCCACTGCACTCCAGCCTGGGTGACAGAGCGAGACTCCGTCTCAAACAACAACAACCAAAAAATGAATACGGAGAGAAAAGAAAATGCAATACTTCCAATTCAGTAGTGAATTTTTTTTTGTTTTGTTTTTTTTGCTGTTTTGTTTTTGAGACAGAGTCTCACTCTGTCACCCAGGCTGGAGTGCAGTAGCACAATCTTAGCTCACTGCAACCTCCACCTCCTGGTTTCAAGCCGCTTCTCCTGCTTCAGCCTCCTGAGTAGCCAGGATTACAGGCACGTGCCACCACACCCAGCTGATTTTTTTTTTTTTTTGTATTTTTAGTAGAGACGGAGTTTTGCCATGATGGGCAGGCTGGTCTCGAACTCCTGACCTCAAGTGATCCACCTGCCTTGGCCTCCCAAAGTGCTGGGACTGCAGGTGTGAGCCACCGCACCTGGCCTAGTGAAATATTTTGTACCAATTACAGGATAATCAGAAAACAGTGTTCCTCCTCCATGAGGGACCTTGTGAATTGTTTATATGGAAGAAAGGTACTCAAGTTGGCACTGTCTTAAAATATAATTTTATTGTATGTTGTACTATTATCAATGGCCAATTGGCTATATCTGTCAACTTTAGTCCATAAATTGAATAGTAGAATCTAGTTGCTGTTAAGTGAAGAATGCTGTGCTGTCGTTCTGTAAAGTAGATTCCTTTCGCATACGGGATTTGACAGCAATAACAAGGGGCACGTGAATGCTCTTGTGAGCATGCTCAGTGGAAGGCTCATGGGAGTCTGATTAAAGCTGAGAAAAGTGGGGAAACAATGATTAACTCACACAGGCTGGGAATTAATTATCTCCAACCAACACATTCAGTATCAAAGTGAGCCGATCTCACTCACTGTCAGACACTGCAGAGTGAGAAACAGATGATGGTTCTGTGGCAAACGTCCTTTTGCTGAATATTCTACCTACGGTGAGTGCAATGATTGAAAGATGAGTTCAAATACTGAGGCATTTATAGCATCCAGCTATTATTGTTGCTCCTCTGGTTCTTTCTGGGCTCAATGGACGTCTCTGATTTCAACAATTCCCTTTAACAATGTATAACAGACGATGTAATCTGAAGTTCTGTGGAACCATCCCAGGAACACACGGAGATTCTTGAAAACACCCCAAATGTGGCTCTTTAATTATCCGGCAGCATGTTGTTTAGTAGCAGATGAAATACCAAAAATCTTTGGAAGGAGAAATGTTTTCAGGACTATAAGGCTAAATTGGAAATGGAAATGCAAATTTGTTATGTTTAGAGTAAGTTTCATGGCTGGGGCTTTTAAAAAAAATTTTAAATCAACCTCATATTTGCTCTCCCAAAAAGATGGAAAGTCTCCCTCTTTATTTAAGTGTCTTATCTTTTCTAGTGAAAATTAAAATAACTATCATTTTACTAATCATTTATTTTCCCATTTAAAATAACTTCATGTCTCTACCAGATACAGTTTTTCTTGTACAGAGTGCTAGAGTGAAAGTCAAATTCACAATCTTGTGATCCACCCTTCTGGGCATCTAGGGAGAAAAAATAAACAACCAACAACATATAAAAACATACTGTGACATTAAAATTGTATGACTACAGGGAGGGTGTTGTGGGGGGTTACCTATTTTCCTAGTCACCTGTGAAGTCCTGGCATGTTAGGGCAGCCAGTGAGGGATCTTCATAAGAGGCTCCAGTGGATCTTCAGAAGGAAAAAAAAAAAAACAAGATATATGGGAGCTGCCTTGTAGCCTTAGGACTGAGACTTGTCAATAAGAAGCACAGGGAAAAAGACTATCTTTTACCCTTCCTACAAGATCCAGTATGGACAGGGAATTTATTCTTGGGAGCAGAGTGAAGATATCTTGGGAGCAGAGATAACTCAGCCCCCAGAGGTGTAATATTGAGTGAAGCACTATGTTATCACTTTTGTGTTTCATCTACATAATCTCAGTGCCTAGCCCACTACCCAGCAACTAATAGGCATTCAAAAATATTTTTTGAGTTACTTTATATTTTCTTTTTACCAAACTTCTAGGTAACTTGCCCAACTTTAAAGATGCAAAGGATCTGTGAGAAGCAAATTATAGCTGTTATGCTAGAAGCATGTTAAGAAACAGAAAGTAGGGCTACAGAATTTGGGAGTTGTGCTAGTCAGGATACATTAAGCAATACTGTGGTAACAAAAAACCACTAAAATATTAGAGACTTAACATAATAAAAATTCGTTTCTAACTCGTGGAAAGTTCAATGTAGATGTTTCTGGTCATGTCCTCTCGGGTTGTTCTCTTCCAGGTGGTGACACAGGGATCCAGGTTGTTTCCAACTAGTACCTTTGTCATCCCCTGTGCCACAATTGTCCTCCACTCTATGCTTTCCAAACAGCCAACCAGGAAGTGAAAAGAAAATGTGGAGAAGGCATACCCACTTTTATATGTTTCTTCTTAGAAGTTATATATCGCTCCAGCGTGAGAGTTCCATTATTGAGAACTAGATATGAGGGGGCTGGAAAATGTAGTCTAGCTATGTACTGAGAGAGAAAAAGGAATTTGGTGAGTTTCTACCATGGTGTCATGACATGGTGAGAACCTGATAAATGTACCAGTGAGGAGAGTAAAAAGGTTGGGCTAATGGCTGGAGAAGCCGAGCTGGAGTGATAATGTCAATGTGGCAGCAATCATGAAGACCAAGGGAGAAGCAATCAAACAATAGCAGTAAATCAAGGAGACAGATCAAGGTGAGGGCAGTCACACTGAAGCATAGCAGAAGGCCAGCAGAAGTGAAGGCTGTGCTTTGGAGTGAAGGTCTGAGCCCATAGGCCTCCATGGAGAAGTACCTTGAGATGTTTCTAGGAAAAGGAAGTCGTTAGAGGGCCTGGGGATTAGGCAGGTCTCCTTGTGAGGGCCAGACACACAGACAACTCTCATAGGTAACTACTTATTGGCTGTAATCTCTGGGCCATAGAAAGGTGAATTTATTAGTTACAAGTCACATAAGAGCAAACATAACCATATGCATAGACATGCTAGTGTCTTTCATTGATTAAGCACTAACTGTGCTCAATATTAGAGAATATATATATATATTCTCTAATTTTTACAACAGTGCTACAATGTACTAATTTTCCTTAGTTTCCAGGAAGAAACTAAAGTTTAAAGAGATTAACTTGTTATCATTTTTGTGAGTGAAAAAGCTGGATTTGAACGTGGTGAATCTGACACTAGATCCCAAGCCACAGTGCAGTCACATCTATATTCATACTCTCTATTATATATGTGAATACATTTTTAAATTTATATTTTGTGACAGAGTGTATCAAGTAGCTATTGTTGCATAACAAACTGCTGCTAAATATAGCAACTTAAAAACAGCTCTTCATTATTTTTCACAAGTCTGTGGGATGGCTGAACAATTCTGCTGATGTGGGCTGGGTTTAGTTGATTTTGGCAAGTATCTCTCACACCCCTACAATCAGCTAACAGGTTGGCGGGGGGCTGCCCAGTCCGGGATGGCCTCAGCTGGGGTGGCCTGGCTCTTCTCCATGTGGTCTCTCATCCTCCAGCAGGCTAGCCCGGCTTTTTCTCATGGCAGTGGCAAAGTTTCAAGAGAGTGGGCGCACACTAAGCCTCTTGAGGACTAGGCATAGAACTGGCACACCACAACTTTTGCCACATTGGCCAAAGACAGTCATAAGACCAGCCCAGACTCAAGAGTGGGGAAATAGAATCCACATCTTGATGGGAGGAGCTGAAAGGTCACTTTGCAATGGGTTTGGATACAAGGAGGGGTAGAAAATGGGGTCATTTCAGTAATCAACCTACTGCATCTAACACCTTAGGTATTTTTCCCCTAAAAATAGGTAAGAGAACAGCATGTTTGCTTAAAATGTGGTTTTATTAATTAGTGCAATAGCACATGAGTCTTCCAAAATGTATATGTTGTCTAGTCCCTCTGGTCTAAAAAGGGCTGAAATGGACAACATGTTAAATGGATAAATACCTTTTTTATTTAGGGAGGCAGGGCACAAAAATACCCACTTCCAGGCACCAGATCCATCTAAATAGAAAATAGTCTTGTAGTTGATGATTTTTAAAAAGCAAAACAAAACTGAAAATTTGACTTCCTGTATGCCCTGCAAAGAAGGGCGGGCGGAGAAGCTGTGAATGTGTGAGGAGCAGCTGGCTTTTATTTTTAAACACATATTATTGCTACGCAGATTTTTTCTAGAAAAATGGAAGGAGACTTACTAAGGAATTCTAACACACAGGGATACCATTTCAAGTAGGTGCTAATGAGATTGACGTGGTCTTTTCAGAATAAACTCGTCTTTATAATCTATTCGTTTAGTCTATAAAGTGGGAAAAAGAAACACAAAATGCTGAATGAAATGTGGAAAATGCTAGAGATTCCTAATAGGCCCTCAAGAAATGTGTGGATTGTCAGAGCCAGGCTTCATTCACATAGACTTTTCCCTCAGGGAGTACAGTTTGGACATTCATAATTATGAGAATCTCCATGCCAGACTTCCGTAACACTAACATCCTTTGTTCAGAGGGAATTATCCAACACCATCAGTGCTAATTTCAGTGCCACAATATTATTCTTAGGTGAAAAGTTATGAATAAATTTAAAGTGTAACATGTAGAAAGCCAAGGGCAGGGCCAACCAAATGCTTCCTCTCCTCTTCTGAGCTCACTTATAGTAAATCTGGGAATGATATGGCAACTGACTCATAATTGAATTGTTTTATAGGTTTTATGGCCAACTTACAAAACTAATTTCTATAAACTTTCATCAGGGACGGTAAAAAATGTCTGCAGGAACCAGCGAGATAATATACTTGGCTAAGAAGGCAAGGTGTAAGTGGGTAGAGGTGATTGGGGGAATTATAGAATCCTCATTTAAAAGGAACTGATGAAAACTTAAACAAAAACACTGTGCAATCCAAAAAAAGCAAGTCTCTGAGTCAGATCTGACCTGACTGAGTCAATTCATGGCCTTTATGGTAGATCAACGTTAGATCAATAGAAAACTACATGCCTTTAATCATAACTCCTCTTGTACCAAATTAGCACAAGGATGAAATTAATTTTTCTTCTAATTTATTTTGTACCCTCTCCTTTAGAAAGTTAAAATAATATTACAAAATTATGTGCCAATCTCAAGAAGCACGTGTATATGTGATTATCACCTCTGAGATTTCACCTTGAGTGTTTTCTGGAATTGTCTACATGTATTAAGAAATGCAAAACTAGTATTTGGGGATAACAAAGATCCTAAACCCCATACTCTCTCTTGAAACATATATAAAATTTAGACCAAAGGGTTACTTTTTCTTGTATTACCCATGTGGGCTCTAAATAATATATTGTGAGACCTGAATGTAGCTGGGACTCAATGTGGCTTCACTTTTGTGCCATGTCAATGGAAAGAAACAGCAGAAAAGCAGAAATGAATATTTGTCTATATGATTTCATGCAAACAACTATATGTATCAATAAATTTCCTATTTTCTCTAATCAGAAAAATCACTGAAAACATGACTAGTCACTTTTGAATCATTCTCCACAGTGTTGCAGAGCATATCATCTTTCTTTGTAGAGAAATAGCATTGACAGCATGTGTTATGTCATCACTGGGAATGTCATCCCAAGGATTAAGTACCCATTTGTGAAATATTAGATCACTTGTTTTTATTTTTGTTTATCTTGTTTGTGTTTACACTTGATCTCTACAACAGAAGCACGTACTGTTTTGCTTTTGAAAGATCTTTAAAATAATTCTATCGATAATATCACCAATTACAACTGTGAGATGATATCCCACAAACAGACAAGTAAATCTGTATTAAATAGTTTTGCTCTTTTCTAACTGACCCCATCAGCTGATTCCAGAATCACCCAAAACTGGCATTGATTGAGATCAGTTCAGGCCAATGTCCCTTTCCCAACAGCACCAGCTGTTCAAAATAAAGTACAGTCAATGATAGAAAGCCTATAATATGAGAAACTTTGGAGGGATTTGATTATGATTCCTCTCTTTTAAAGGATACTTTTGAAAAAAAGAAAACATTGCAGTTTACAATAGGCACATATGATAATCAACTATTTCAATGGTATTCAGTGTTTTAGAAAAGACCAAAGGCATGGAAGTGGGGTTGCTGTTCTTAATGTCTAACAAAATATCTTAATCATCTTCTCTAATCTTCCACTATTTTCCACATAGGCAGAAGTTGCTACTTTGTAAATCAATTCCCCATTCCCAGTTCCCCACTATAGAATATTCCCCCCACATGCACCCAGCACAATGTCTTCCACTCAACAGTGCCTGACAATCTGGTTCTTCCTCTCCCATTCCTGCGTTTCCTTTACTTCCACATGTCTCCTCTATTTCCCCTTCACCCTCACTCCCACTCTAGAGCCTCCATTTGTGCTCCCTACAAAAAACTTTGGAAAGTATAGTCTGGCCTCTTACTCCAATTATTTTTCTTGGGAAAAAATTTGTCCATTTCCCAGATTCTGCACCAAAAACGAAAGTTCAGGTGCTGACAGCCACAAAGCAAAAACCCTTCCTGAAAGGCAGAAAGAAGATAGAAAGACTTCATATTCATTTATCCTTCTTATCCTTGCTCTGCTTCAACAGGCACTAGGCACATCTTTTCCTGTGTGCCATGCTGTGGGATTGCATAATCAGGACAAGGAAGCTACAAGCCCCTACAGGCCGTAAAAATGTAATGCTCATCAAACACAATGCTAAAGTCTTCTCATTTCCCAAACCACGTATTCTTCCATTTGATTTGCACATGCTTCTTTCAAGAACATTTTTGCTGAAATTTTTTGGCAGGAAAAGTTAATCTTATGCTCCAAAATGTAAGACAGGTAGTCAGTTGGTTGAAGCTTCACCTTGTGCTTACCAAGAGGTGGAAACAGTGAGATTCAGTGACTTTGCTAGATTTTAATTGGAATGAGAATAATATTTTTGAAGTAATCCAGGGAGTTTTCAGCCATAACCTGTTCTGGCAATCCACCTAAATTTAGTGACTTCAAAGAACCATGATTCCTGTGGGCCACAAATTTGGACAGGGCTTAGCTGAGTGATTCTTCTGCCATGCATAGCTTGGTCTGGGGGATGTCAGTGGAATTCCACTGGCTTCTGGGCTTCCTTAGACAATCTATGATAATTTCGCTCACAGGTCTTGTGCTGTGGTGGGGATGGCTGGAAGGCTGAGCTCCACCGCACCCTGCTTGTCTCCACATAATTTCAGGGCCTTTCCATATAGTCTTTCCAGGGTAATTGGACCTCTTACGTGGCAGGGTTCAGGGTTTTAAGAGTGAATGTTCCAAAAGACCAAAAAAAAAAAAAAAAAAAAAAATCTGCCATTCTCTGAACCAGAAATGGGCACATTGTTATTTCTAGTATATTCTATTGGTTAAAGCAGCCATTAACTCAACCAGGTTTAAGGTAAAGATGCAGAGAGCTACCATTTGAAGTCAAGAGTGTAAAAAAGAAATTGTGGTTATCTCTTACCCACTATACTGCCTTATCAAGATCTACACCTGGAAGACTAAGCTCATGTGGTTTCTTCCATAGCAGGGGCTGGCAAACTGGCCCACAGCACAAATCTAGCCTTCCACCTGTTTTTGCAAACAAAGCTTTATTGGAACCCTATTACACTTATTCATTCATGTATTGTCTATGGCTGTTTTCACACTGCAACAGCAGAGTTGAGTAGCTGCTACAGAGACCATGTGGACCACAAAGACTGAAATATTTACTATCTGGCCCCTCATAAAAAAAGTTTGCCAAACCCTGTTCTACAGCACACAGAGAACCCAGGTTATGACAAAGACAGTAGAAAACATACCCTTTCTGGCTAGGAGTGGTGGCTCAAGCCTGTAATCCCAGTACTTTTGGAGGCTGAGGTAGGCGGATCACCTGAGGTCAGGAGTTCAAGACCAGCCTGGCCAACATGGCAAAACCCCATCTCTACTAAAAGACACGAAAATTAGCCAGGCATGGTGTGGGGTGCCTGTAATCTCAGCTACTCAGGAGGCTAAGGCAGGGAGAATTGCTTGAACTGGGGAGATGGAGGTTACAGTGAGCCGAGATCATGCCACTGTACTCCACCCTGGGCAACAGAGTGAGACTCTGTCTCAAAAAAAAAAAAAAAAAAAAGAAAAGAAAACACACCCTTACACACCCTTTCCAGCCCTGGTAAACTGCAAGCAGAGAGAGGAGAAGCTCAGACATGTGTACTTGCTTGTGCCTTGTACGAGCAGGGTCCTCCAGGGGGTCCATAGTGAAAAAATTCAGCTGTTCAGGAATCTGAGGTCACTAAAGGTACAGGGCTAGTGGCATGCTCTTCTGGCTGTCCTGGAGATGGTGAAGGAGCTTTTAGGAGAAGTCCTGTGCTCAGGCACTGCCAATGTGGCAGGGCACAATACTGCAACAGGTGAGCTGGGGCAGCAGTTCTTATGTGGGGGTCAGAAGGCCCCACAAACTTTGGCAAACAGCACAGAGGTGAACAGTCCTTGGGAGCAAGCTTGGAAAGTTTATGACTGGGGCAAATGTCTGCAACCAGACAGACCCCTGTGGTCATCAGTTCAGAGACTAGACCAGAGGTCTCACTCACCAACAGAACAATAAGAGTCTGAAGCTCCCCGAAGGGATACAGGCCCTTGCACACACTTCATTACACTTGCCTACCCTCACCAAGAAGAGCATGTGGAGGAGAAAGTTGAGTCATCTAAGAAAGACAGCTTACACTGAAAGAGACTGCATTGCCATAAATTGTGGCGAATTCAAATTTTGTATCTGAATACCTTCTCCCAACTAGTCAATAAGGTAGGCCTGAAGAATGTCAGATTATTTATAGGGAATAGATAAACTATGTTTGTTTTACATACCTGAGTGATGAATATAAATTTTAGACCCTGTTACCATAAGATTATATGAGTTTCCTATATTCTATATTCTTTCAAGTTAAATCTACATTGTAAAGGTCTTAACATCATTGGTACAGAATGAACTCCCTTTTTGAGAGATGGAGGACATTCCTGTGGTAGATCGCAAAGAGAAGTTTATGAGCAGCTTGGCCTAGTTCCACTGGGGTTTGGATTGATAATGACCTTGGGCAATGCAGTGTAATATAATGTTGAAAGAAGCCACTAAGGCCAGGTTCCTACCAAGCAAATAACAGTGGAGTTAATTCAAATGACTCCCTAGCAAAGTGTCTGCCTCCACCAAACACCACTATCACTTTGCTTAACATGATAAAGGGTTCAGGGCACTTATTTGCAAATGAACTAATTCTGGCGGTTGGGAAACACTGTTGGAGGAGTAGTTTTTAGCTGGTGACTTCAAACATAGCTGTAGCAGTGTGATTTGTCTCTGGCATGGTTGGCAGGAACTGCTTAAAGACCTAGGGAAGGGGTATCCTGGATTTGAAAATAAGGGCAACCCTTCTCTAGGGAGTCAAATGGGTTCTTGCTAGGCATAGGAAAAGCCATCCAGGAAGACAGAGGTCTTAATGGACAAAGGGTCTACCTTGAGCCAAATTTCAAGGCAGGTTATTTATCGTTGTGTAATAAACCAGTCCCAAACTTAGTGGCTTAAAACAACACCAATTTTATTATCTCTCATGAGGCCATAGCTGATGGAGCTCAGCTGGGTGGTTCTTCTGCCCCATGTGATATCATCTGAAGCCACAGTCATCTGAGGATCATCTGGTTTTGGAAAATGCTGGTGGTGCTGAAGTCTCCATGGGGGTTGTTGATCAGAGCACCTAGATTCTCTTCAACACAGTCTCTCCATGTAGCTAGGGTCTCTGAAAGCATGGCAGCTGGGTTGCAAGAGGAAGGAAGTAGAAGTTCCCAGTTCTCTTATAGCCTGCACTTAGAAGTCTTAGAATTTCACACCTGACACATGTTGTTGGTCAAAGCGATCCCCTTATTTCTGCTTCAAGGGGAGCAGAAATAAGCCCTATCTTTTGACATGAGGAGTGGCATGGGCATACAGGGAGGGGCGAGATTGTTGTGGGCTATATTAGTAATTTTTCCAGAGAAACAGAACCAATAGGATAAGTTTCCAGTGCTCCAGAGAAACAAAACCAATATGGGAAGAAGAGAGAGAGCATTGTATTTAAGTAATTGGCTTACACAATTGTGGGGAGGCTAAGTCCAAAATTTGCAGAATAGACCAGCAGGCTGGAAACCCAGGGAAGAGTTGCAGTTCAAGCCTGTAGGCAATCTTCTGGCATATTTTCTTCTTTCTTGGGGAGGTCAGTCTTTTTCTGTTAAGGCCTTCAATGGATTGGATAAGTCACAGCTGTGTTATGAAGGGGCATGCTACTAAAAGTCCAGCAATTTAAATGTTAATCTCATTCGCAGAAAACACCCTCACAGAAACATCCAGAAAAATGTTTAGCCAAATATTGACACAAAATTAACCATGACAGGGGCCAAACTGCTATATTAGGCCAAGGCCTTTTCTGTCCACCCCCTTGTGATCACCCCTCTCCTCCCACGGCTGCCACTCCACATCTTCATTTTGCTTCTTTTTTTCCTTTTGGGCTTCAGGCTTTCACCTCCACCATTCTCTTTTCTGCCTCAGCCTCTGTTCTGGGCTCTCCCTTCTACTTTTATTTTCCATGGGCAGCACAGTTAATGAAATATTTTCCATCTTGGCTGGTGGGATGCCTCATTTGTGTGGCACCCAGGGAATGAAGTACTCTAAGAACGGTGGTGAGTGAGGCAGGAAGGACACCGGACTTGGAAACAGGCCACCCAGGGCTGCAGGAGGTACCTGCTGACTTCCCCTTTCAGACCCCACGCTTCCCTCCATTCATATGCAGATTGAGCATTCTTGAACTTTAGTCTATGTATCAACTGGAGAGGACCACAGGAGTGCAAGGCTTTCTCTTTCCTTCCAGGCACCATATGCGCTCTGCAACAGTGGCCATATGGAGACAGTGTTGTTTTTTTATTTGGCTTTGTTTTTAAAAAGCAGAAATTTCTGAGTTGATAGGAGAGAGTAGCACCTTGTCCAGGCAGTGGGAAAAGATGCATTTTTAACAGGTAAAACTTGGAGGGGGGCAGTCACATCTGTGGGTAGATAACTACCACCTGTATTTACGTGGAAGCATGAATTACCCTCTGAGCTTGAGGGAAAACATATCACAAAACTTGTATTTCACACTTTTCACCTGGTCTCTAGCTGTAGGATGAATGCAAAGCAAGTATATCTATGTCTGCAATATCTAAAAGCTTTTCCAATGTGCACATTTTACCTCAGAGAGGTCTCTTTGTTTGAATTTTTCTTTCTTCCTGAAATGATTATGAAAATACACTCACACACACACATACACGTGCACACAACTTCAATGGGTTGTTAAAAAGAAGAAACACTTTGAATTAACAATCAATAGACGAGTAAACATTATCTTAGGTATCCGAGTGAATAATAACATGTAAGGGAAAACCCAGAGTCAGAAAAACTGGGTTCATAAACACATATGAGCATCTCTACAAATCTGTGTGTAAATGCACAGAAAAAGTTCTGGAGGAGTAGCTACCCAGTATAATTGTGGTTATGTTGGAGAGGAATGGTATTAGGATGGTGAAGGGGGGGGCATTTCACTTTTTATTCTACATATTTTTGTGTTGTTCTAATATTTCATGCCAAAGCAAAGATGCATCTATTTCTTTACTTTTTAAAAATTGTGAAAGAGGGAATGTATTAATTTCTAGGGTTGCCATAGCAAAGTGCCACAAACTGGGTGGCTTAAACAACAGATATATAGTGTCTTACAGTTCTAGAGGCTAGAAGTGTCCAGGCTTGGTTCCTTGTGAGGGCTTTGAGAATCTGTTTCAAGCCTCTTGTCTAGCTTCTGATGATTTGCTAGCAATTTTGGCATTCCTTAGAGTATGGTAGATGCACCTGACAATGATAACTTGACTTAAGCTTACATTGAGAATGAGCCTACATGGCAGATGCGCCTGAATGTGTGTTTGGAGTTACAAAATCTAAGGAATCTAAGGAGCGGCCAAACCAGAGACTTATTCCTTATCCGTGAGGAACATTGGACTGTCCCCCAAGCCTGTCCCATGAAATGTAGGCTATGCAGGGGATTGAGGCTCTTTGTTTTGAGTTAAATGAAGGTTGCCAGGTACAGGTAGTTAGGGGGAGGGTGCTAAGGTAAAATGCTATGTAAACTGCATGCTTCTTACAAGCAGTGGCAGTTCTCCCGCCCAGCTCACCACCATGGAACCGCTCTGTATGTAAGTTTCCAGCTGATAAAACTCTGTGTCTCACGGGGTCTCGTTTGCTGGCTCTGGGTCTCTTCTTCAACTTCTTGAACCTGGTGCCATCCCTGTTGAGGTTAATATGGGTCCAGCACAGTATTTGGCTTATAGAAGCGTCACTCTGATTTCTGCCTGTCTCTTCACATGGCATTCTCCCTGTATGTGTCTGTGTCTAAAGTTTCCCTTCTTATGAGGAAACCAGTCATATTTTATTAGGGGTCAACCCTACTCTAGCCTGACCTCATTATCACCAATTATATCTGCAACAGTCCTGTTTCCAAATAGGGTCACATTCTGTGGTATTGAGGGTTAGGACTTCAACATATGGATTATTTGAGGGGACACAATTCAACTCATGCTAGAGCAGTGAAACAAAAATGAATGCCTTATATTACTTTTTTTTGTTGTTGTTGTTGACATGGAGTCTCGCTCTGTCGCCCAGGCTGGAGTGCAGTGGCACGATCTTGGCTCACTGCAAGCTCCGCCTCCCAGGTTCACGTCATTCTCCTGCCTCAGCCTCCCGAGTAGCTGGGACTACAGGCGCCCGCCACCACGCCCAGCTAATTTTTTGTATTTTTAGTAGAGACGGGGTTTCACCGTGTTAGCCAGGATGGTCTCGATCTCCTGACCTTGTGACCCGCCCACCTTGGACTCCAGCTGGCCAGCAGACAGCAAAGCCCGAACGGCCCCGCCCCCTCGCGGCGCCGTGCCCCCTCCCGCCCGCCTCCTGATTGGCCCGGCCTGAAGCTGGAGGAGGCCGCGCGCGGCAACTGCGCAGGATGCGCGCCCCTACCTGGCAGCCGGCGCCAGGCATCAGAACCCTGGTCTTCGCAAGCGCAGCCCCGCGGCACGTGGAGTGCAGTTTGCCGCCCTCCACAAACCTTGCACCTGTTCCCCTCTCCCTTTCCTTGGACCCGCGAGTCTTCTTGTAAATTAACAAGTGACAAGGGAGTGCAGTGCCTTGCATATAACAGGCGCATAGACAATGGCTTCTTTGTACAGCTCTTTTCGCTTAATCCATCTCTTGAAATATAAGTAGTTTTGAGAAGGTTCTGCTTTAGTTTGAGGCCTGCCTCTCCTTAACTGTCGGCCTGTTTCCAGTGTTGGCGTTTTCAAAAACTCTGATGTAACAATCAGTAGTCCTGGGTATCTGGGTTCACTTTGGGGGTTGCTAAAGCAACATGTTCTTCAAAGGAACCGAATAACTGATTTAAGGTGAAGCAAGTAAAAACAATTTAGGTAAAGTTTTTTTTTTTTTTAACTTTTGGAAACACTCTACAAAATATATTTAGAAGCTGAATTACCATGCGATTGGTAATTTGGCCATAATTTGACTTAGCACCTTGTGGAAAAGAATAGGAAATCGTCAGGCGAAGTCATTAAACTCTGAAGCTCCCAGGGGATCAGCTTTAGTGCCCTCTGTAAATTATCTGGGAGGGAGAATAGGCAAGCAATAAGAAAAATATTAAACTTCAGTACAGTACTTTAGTTTCAAAGTACTTTTCTACATATTTTAGGTCCAAAAAACATTATGTAAACAAATTGTTTGGGTACCACCCCCTTCCCTTCTCGGTGCCCTTTCAACAAACCCCACCCTCTCCCCAAATTCTTCCTCCTGTTCAGAGGCATTCTTGACAGTCAGATAAATGAATGATCCTGAAATCCGATTCAAATTTTAGGAGACTGATCTCAGCTCAGTATTCTCTCCTATCACACCTGTGGTTTGCTGCTGTCCATTTTACTTCTTCCCCCCGACACCGCCTAGATGTAGTCTTGCTCTGTCGCCAAAGCTGGAGTGCAGTGGCTGAATCTCGACTCACTGCAACCTCTGCCTTCTAGGTTCAAGCAATTCTCCTGCCTCAGCCTCCTGAGTAGCTGGGATTACAGGCATGAGCCACCACACCCGGCTATTTTTTTTTTTTTAGTAGAGACAGGGTTTCACCATGTTGGCCAGGCTGGTCTCAATCTCCTGACCTCGTGATTTGCCCGCCTCGGCCTCCCAAAGTGCTGGGATTACAGGCGTGAGCCACCGCGTCCGGCCCCATTGTACCTCCATGAGAGCCTAGTCTTGCTTTTAGGCAGCAACTAAACTAACAACTAATTTTTGTATTTTTTTTTTTTTGAGATGGAGTCTCACTCTGTCTTCCAGGCTGGAGTGCAGTGACGCCATCTTGGCTCACTGCAATCTCTGCCTCCTGGGTTCAAGCAATTCTCTGCCTCAGCCTCCTGAGTAGCTGGGATTACAGGCACCCACCACCACTCCTGGCTATTTTTTTTTTTTTTTTGTATTTTTAGTAGAGATGGGGTTTCACTATCTTGGCCAGGCTGGTCTTGAACTCCTGGCTTCGTGATCCACCCACCTCAGCTTCTCAAAGTGCTGGGATTACAGGCTTGAGCCACTGTGCCTGGCCTAATTTTGGTATTTTTAGTAGAGATGAGATTTCACCATATTGTCCAGGCTGGTCTCGAACTTCTGGCCTCAAGTGATCCTCCTGCCTGGGTCTCCCAAAGTATGAGGATTAAAAGCGTGAGTCACCGTGCCCAGCCCTTATTTATTTATTTATTTATTTTGAGACAGAGTCTTGCTCCATCACCCAGTCTAGAGTGCACTGGCATGATCTCAGCTCACTGCAACCTCTGCCTCCCTGGTTCAAATGATTCTCCTGCCTCAGCCTCCTGAGTAGCTGGGGATTACAGATGTCTGACAGCATGCCCAGCTAATTTTTTGTATTTTTAGTAGAAATGGAGTTTCACCATGTTGGCCAGGCTGGTCTGGAACTCCTGACCTCGGGTGATCCAACTGCCTCAGCCTCCCAGAGTGTTGGTATTACAGGCATGAGCCACGGTGCCCAGCCATATATATATATATATATATTTATATATACATTTATATATATATTTATATATACATTTATATATATTTATATATATATTTATATATACATTTATATATACATTTATATATATTTATATATACATTTATATATATTTATATATACATTTATATATACATTTATGTATATATTTATATATACATTTATATATTTATATATTTAATATATAAATATTTATACATATATAATATATAAATATTAAATATATAAATATTTAATATTTATAAATATTTATATAATTTTATATATGTATATTTTAAGAGACAGGGTCTCATTCTGTTGCCCAGGCTGGTGTGTTATGGCACTATTATAGCTCACTGCAGCCTTGAACTCCTGGCCAAAAGCCATCCTTCTGCCCCAGTCTCCCAAAGTGTTGGAATTACAGGCATGAGCCACCATGCCCGGCCTATTCGGAGACTTTAATTTCTTTTTCTTTTTCTTTCTTTTTTTGAGACAGAGTCTCGCTCTGTCGCCCAGGCTGGAGTGCAGTGGCACGATCTCAGCTCACTGCAAGCTCCGCCTCCCAGGTTCACGCCATTCTCCTGCCTCAGCCTCCCAAGCAGCTGGGACTACAGGCGCCCGCCACCACGCCCAGCTAATTTTTTGTATTTTTAGTAGAGACGGGGTTTCACTGTGTTAGCCAGGATGGTCTCGATCTCCTGACCTCGTGATCTGCCCACCTCGGCCTCCCAAAGTGCTGGGATTACAGGTGTGAGCCAGTGCGCCCGGCCTTATATTACTTTTAATTAAAAACAATCTTGGAAAGAGTTGTAGGCAGCCCCCTGCTGTGCATGAGCTCTGGCAGGACCGTGGAGTGGTCATTATCTTCTCTAAGCTTCAGTTCTGCATCTATAAAATGGGGCCAGGAATATCTGCCTGGAGTTATGGTGAGGATCAAATGATAAAATGCATACAAAAGAGCCTTATCCTGTGCAAATAGCTATGTGAAGGTAAGCTTCTGGAGGTTTGAACAGGGGAGGAGCTGAGCTCCTTGCACCCTGTGATTGAAGATGAAATGTCCAGTCTCGGGAAGCAATCATCTAGAACAGTCAGGAGATGCAGACCTGTGCCAAGACCTTGTGATCAAGAGGTGACAGATGTCACATCCAGCTTTACCTCAAAACCATAAGGTGCTGTCATAAGTTGAACCTGTGGGAAGGGATAACAGGCTAAAGTTTGCATATTTTAAGGCTTTAATTCAGTGCACAGAATGACAATTTTCATTTAAACAGATCTTAAGTATTTTCTGAGCTTCAAAGCATGGTCAAGGGGAAGCACAAAAGTCAAGAGAAAATAGGTTTATGACCTTGGCTTGGAGGAATAGTTCTTACCCTTATCTGGATCACAAATTCTTTGAAGAAACTGATTTTTAAGAATGAAACAAACAAGCAGATAAAAAATCATGGCCGCTTATCTCAGAGAAAGTCATCTAGACAATTTTCCATTATTTCAGGGAGCTCACAAATTTCAGGTTCAGAATGTCTGATATGAATAAAAGGTCTTAAGGTAGAAGGCACTTGAATACTAAAAAAAAAACCCAGTCTTAAGAAAGGAAACATATACCTAATGCTAAATGACAAGTTTATGGGTGCAGCACACCAACATGGCACGTGTATACATATGTAACAAACCTGCACATTGTGCACATGTACCCTAAAACTTATAATAATAATAATAATAATAATAATAATAATAATAATGAAAGGAAACAGTTTAGAAGGAGCTAGATTCTTTCTAGTTCAAGAATAAAAAAGAAATCATCCTCATTCTCAGTAGCAGAGAATTGCAAGTGCTTTCTCTTCATTCCACCATTTAATAAACCCTTGGGTTCATGGCGTCCTGGAGCACTGAGCTTTTTGTCCTTGAATGGAGGTGATCTGAGAAATCCTCCACCTGATGACTGGCAGTTAACTCCCAATGATAGGCACTGATGGCGAAACAGTGACAGTCTCTTTGACCTTTGTCTTAGGGAAGAGGTGCCTTGCAGGGTAACAGCAGCTTTTTTGAGTTTCAGACGTTTTATTTCTGCAGATCTGGGAGAATATCTGACAACATGAGAATGTGGCTTCCTGCAAGGAAGCCTGAAGAGCCCCCAGTGCACAGAGTTGCACCATTGAAGGGGAAGAGAGGAATGCTTATAAGTAGGGGGTATCTGAGATAGGAAACTCAGGGCCTGCTTCTATCCCCACTGGGGTGGGGGAAATAAACCAAAACCACCAGATGGTCTGAAGGAGCTGCTGGCAGGGCAGATCTGCAGCCTCATTCCCACGTGCAACTACCTAAAGAGTTGGATCTGAGCCCCTGTGCCTCCACGTGACAAGGAAATAATGGAATGTTTTGCATACACCAAAGAGGGGTCCAGAGGTGATGAATGGTCTTAGGCAGATCCATGGTGTTCCCCACCCTCCCTGGGAATGTGGCCCCCAAACAGCAAAGGTTCTTGAGAGCCTGTGAGGACACAGAGGAGCTCAGGAAAAGCTGCACCTGCAAGGGCCTTGTGCCTGAGCATGAAGGAAGCTGCCAATCACATGGACCAATGAATGATCAAAGATTCGAGGGAAACCCAGCGTCTCTCCCAGGTCAGAATGTAGAGTGGCCACAGTGCGACCTGGTTGGCATATCTGTCCTTTCCCTTCTCACCCTCTGTCTCCCAGCTCAGATGCAACCTTGTATACACTGATTGACTAAGATGAATGGGAACTCTCAATGGAAACAAATTAAGTTTAGCTGTATTTATGTACATACATATATAAAAATATACATGTGTGTGTGTGTGTGTGTGTGTGTGAGTGTGTATTCCTTGCCCTCCCAAGATTGTGGCACCCTGATTCTGCTACATTTTTCCTGTTGACCTATACTAAGGAAAAAATGTTATTACTTGGACTTAGAACATCTTGCTATTCTTTTCTTTAAAAATTTGTATAAATTAACCTCAATTATACTTATTACTGAGTGAGAAGTTGGCAACCTGGGGTTTGGCATTCTTTCATATTTATGGTGCTACCTTTTTCTATAATACTGAACTACAATGGCTTGAGCCACCAGCCCATATAAAGGGAGAAATCCAGGGTCCTGGCAGACACCTCTGGGAATCCTCAAAGGGCTTATGTATATCAGTTGCACAATGGCTCAGACCTTCTCCTTCCACTGCACCCTCAGCCTAAGGTCTGTTTTTCCACGGCTGTGGGAGGAGGCTTCTACTTCCTACCCCATCACCTTGTGTCACAGGCCACTCCATTTCCCACCTCTCCCCATAATATCATTGACACAGGCAATGTTCATAGCAGATTTTATTGAAGATTTGCGAGGGGCAACAGAAAAGAGTTGCAGCCCAGAAAACAACCTACAATTGAACATTAGATATTTCCCAAATATTCCTGCCCCCAGGAACACCTGGCCAGCCATTGCTTTCTCTCCTTCCTCCAGCCTCCTGCCAGGAAGCTCAGACTCCTCTGGGTGGCCGAATCTTCTTTTTCTTTTCTCTGTGCAGAGCAATGTAGCCTTTTCTTTGTTCTGCTTTCTTCTTTGAAGTGTTCTGCCCTGCAGCCTGGTTTTTCATGTCTAATTGGGTGATCAACAACAACAAAGGCCCTCTTTAGGAGGGTTTCTAGCCTCAGCATTTGAAATCACAATTGTTTTTCTCAAGTACTTCAATCCTCCAGTGAGAATGAATGGCCCAAGACCCATGCTGATTTGGGGCAGGGAATTTTTACAGTTTACAACCTTCAAAGTGTCCTTTTGCCCCAGCCATCATCGAGTTTTTGGCCATTTTGGAATAGGGTGAATGAGCAGCAAGACAACCTGGCCAGTTTGGTCATTTTGACCATCTCTCTTATTGATCCAGAGTCTGCAGACCCATCAGTTCTATAACAATCCACAATCATCATTAAGGCAACCAAAACAAGAGGGCGGGTGGCATCGCTGGTCTTTTCACACATACAAATACAGCCCATGTCCTTCTGCAGGAAGAATGACATACCTGAGCTCCTCAACTGTGGAAATGAAAAACCGACGTGTTAAGATGGGAGAAATCGTAGATAAAAGATGACTAAAAATAGCAGCCACACAAAGCAGCAGAGCTGCCTAGAATACTAAAAGCTAAAAAACAAGTCAGCAATAATTACTAACATAAAAATGTTGGCTTTATTCTCAGCTCAGGTTTCAGATCTTATATGCTGCACACTTGCAGTTTGGCTGGAAGGAATTAGGCAAAATCGAATATGCTATTACCTATAATCTCATCTGGTTTAATTTTAAGAAAGTTTTTAGTTAAGGGAGAAAACAAGGTTAAGGGAGTATTGGTACAATCTTATTACATTCTGGAACAGTGAGGGTAGACTGGACCAGAAAGCACCCATCCCCTACCCTCCTACTGATAGTGGCAAGAGGCAGACAGATCCTAGGCAGACAGGGGCGGGTCCCTGGTGAAACCCCACCTTCAAACCAAAGACAGCTTGTAAAGCCTAGCTACAAGTCCTGTCTAAATCCACAGACAAGGTTGAGAAACCTGTCTTCCTGTTTGGCATGCTTTCCTCTGATTGATCCCAACTCTTCATCTATTTTACATATATGTACCTTTCTCTAATTGGTTTTTTACACTGTTGTGCCCACCTTAGAGTGGTGCCTTTGTCTTACCCTTGTTTTGCAAAGCAATCAGCACATACTTCCCATTCTGAGCACATAAAAGCCCCAGACCCAGGCACACAGATAGACCACCCAGCTTCAGGTGGGGGACCACCCTTGCATCCCCTCTCTGCTGAGAGCTGTTCTGCCACTGAATAAAATTCTTCTCTGCCCTCCTCACCCTTCAATTATCAGCATAACCTCATTCTTCTTGGTTGCGGGACAAGAATTTGGGAACCGCCAAACATAGGTACAAGCTATAACACAGGTGAGCTGAGGCACGCCTGGCCCAGCTGTGGGCTGAGCTGATGCACAAGCCAGGCATGGCCCAGCAGGCCGAGTGGGCAGGGCACCTCCCACAGCCATGGAGGTCCCAGGTTAGCAAAGTGGCCAAGAAAAATCCTGGGTCACCACCAGCCAGGATTGCATCTGTTGACAGAGTGCCAGATTGCTGAGAAAGTGTGCAGGGCACCTACTTCGAATAGTTCCTTTATCAGCAGCCTGCAGAACCTGCAACAATCACCACAGGATCGATTTTCCTCAACCAGAATGAGCTCAGCCCCTCAGTGTCTTAAGCATGGGGGGATCCTTTTAAGAATATGAATAGCCTGGAGACACAGTCCCTGCACCAAGATGCTTCTCCACTTGCTTCCTTTGGAGTTGACTCCTCTGAAATGAGACATTTGCCCTCATGGCCTGTTTTACAAAGTATACATATAAACACACCCTGCCATTTTTTGAATGCACTGTCATGATTGTTTTATTAAATTAGACACTTAAAGAAGATTAGTGTCTTGAGGGCAAGTTTTGGTGTGATGGGGGAGGAGAAAAGGGCTAGTCAAATACAGGTGCTTAAAATGAGTTTCAGATAAGGTACCATGGAGTACTATGCAACTGTAAAAAAGAATGAGTCATTCTCAATGTACTATTAGGGAAAGAGCTCCTGGATATATTGTTGAGTAAAAGAAAAAAGCAAATTTATTCAGTTACCACCATTTGTGTGGAAAGGAGTAAAAATAAGAAAAACTATGTGTGTGATTTTATTTGCATAAGGGTACACTGGAGTAATATACCAAAAACTAAAATTATAACTCATAGGAGGCTGAGGTGAGTATGATGGGGTGGGAAAAGGAATAGGTGGGAATCAGGGTAGAGGTAAGACCTCTTAATGTATTTCTTGTTATATTGTTTTGATTTTTGAACTCTGTGACTATATTAGCTACTCAAATACATAAATGATTTAAATAAGGCAAAATAATAATAGCCCATTCCCTTTTTCCATCTCCTGAATTCAGTGTGTTTTGTCTTTGAAGGACCACATAAGTCCTACATAGATTAATTCATCAATAAGCCTGAAAACCCACTGCAAGTGTGGTATTATGCCAGGTACCTGCCAGGCCCCTGCCAGGCCCTGGGGATGCCCCATGGGCAGGGTACACCTAGCTCTGCTTTCAGGAGGTTGACAGCTTGTCTGGGGGCAGGGCAACTTAAGGCAGACAGATTGCTGTAGAAGGGGAAGACTCCAAGAGCTTCCTTGGACCTCCCACCCGTGTCTTCCCTTGCCCTGGTAACACTGTCCTCCGGGCTCCCAAACACTATGGCTCCCTCCTCTTCCATGATCACCACATGTTTCTCAGGTCCTTCTCTTCTGACCCATGAGTTCCTGTAAGGTGGAAGCCCTTACTTATACATCTCTAGGCCTCGTAGCCTAGTTCTTGACACAGCCTGCACCTACCGAATACTGTTTGAGTGAATGAATGGATGAGATGCTTTCCAGGGTGGGCAGCCTGGGGGCAGCAGGGGCAGGAGAAGGGATCCTGGTAAAGGAAAGTGACCACTAGAGGCTCTGGAACAGGGAGGGGAAGGTGAAGTTCTAGGCTTGTTTCATCTTAATTAGGTTGTATTGGTTAGGGCTCTCCAGAGAGGCAGAATCAATAGGATGCATATAGAGATACATGAGAGAGGATTTATTAGGGGAATTGGCTCATGCGATTATGGAGGCTAAGACATCCTGCAAGAGGCCCTCTGCAGACTGGAGACTCCAGAATGCTGGCAGCATGGCTTGGTCTAAGTCTAAAGGCCTCAGAAACAGGAAAGCCAATGGTCTGAGAACTGGGCAGGGCAGGGGCCCATTGTGGGGCATGCTAGTATAAGTCCTGGAGTCCAGAGGCGAGAAAGTCTGGAGTTGTTGTCCAAGGACAGGCGAGGAAGGGCTTATCCCAGCTCTAATAGACACATGGACACATTTGCCTTTTTTTTTTGAGACGGAGTTTCGCTCTTGTTGCCCAGGCTGGAGTGCAATGGCATGACCTCAGCTCACTGCAACATCTGCCTCCCGGGTTCAAGTGATTCTCCTGCCTCAGCCTCCTGAGTAGCTGGGATTACAGGTGCCCGCCACCATGCCCAGATAATTTTTTGTACTTTTAGTAGGAACGGGGTTTCACCATGTTGGCCAGGCTGCTCTCAAACTCCTGACCTCCAGTGATCCACCTGCCTCTGCCTTCCGAAGTGCTGGGATTACAGGCATGAGCCACCATGCCACGCCCACATTTGCCTTTTTTCTGTTTTTGTTTTCTGTGCACCCCAGTGGATTGGATGTTGCCTACACACATTAAAGGCCGATTTTCCCCACCTAGTCCACTCCGACTCACGTGACAATGTTCTCTGTAAACACCCTCGCTGTAAACACAGACACACCCAAAGTGATGCTTTATGAGGTTTCTAGGTATTCCTTAATCCAGTCAAGTTGATACCTAAAATTAACTATCACATGGGCTGGAATGGGTTTGTTACCCTCATCAACCTCTGCCCAGGAACTGGATCCCTTCATGAAACCCAGACGAACATATCAGCTCAGAACTGATCAGACATTGAGTGTAGAATAGCATGCATATGGGGTCTAGGCAAAACAACTCATGTATCTCCCAACTCAGCAAGTTCTCCTAGGTCACTGCCACTCACCGTCTCAAGACACAGAGGGCATCAATCGTAATAAATACAAATGAGGTGAAGTTCATGTTGCATGGTAAAATTATCAAGAAATTGATATTCAGGCCAGGAGACAGCACTGTTATTTGTCTTAGAGATTTACCTGCTGCACTCTGCCTGAATAGATTCTTAACTGGATCAATTTCAAACCTAACCCTCTGTTTTTCAAATGTGGCAACTTAAATCATTTACTGAAAAGAAAAACATTTCTTCAAGCTTTGTGTCTTTCTTAGTTATGGATGGTCTTCTGGGGTCGATTTTGAAAGCAATTTATGACGATTCAGCCTCTGGACTCCTATTCACTGCAGCATGTGTCAGGTGGATAATTCTCCCAGGTGGTCATCAAAGCGAGCCCTACATTTACAAGGTGGTTTCTGCACTGTAAGCATTTATTTATGTGATTTTGCCTGTCATGCCAATGAGGACGGTCTCCCCTCCAGCTTTTAATTACTGTGGGCCCAGAAATGAATGAAAGTCCTTGGGGAGTAGACACACAGGGCCAGGGTCACAAAGGGAAGGTTGCCTGAGCTGTCAGCTTCATCTATGGCCCTGATAATAAGCTGCAGGCCAAGTTGAAAAGAAAGTCACTGAGCTTGGTCAGCAGCCTGGGGGCCACCAGCATCAGCATTAAGCTAATGAGACAGAGACAAATTAAAACCATTTTCAGGATCAACAGCTGTCCTTGGGCCTCTGGCTCATAACTGGCTTTATGTTTTCCTGGACTGCTGCAGGTGCAGATCTGGGAGGAGAGAGAAAATGAGATCTGACTGAGACAGGGTGCCCTGACAGGGTGGGTCACCCCAGAGGCTGCCTCTCTGTTCTCAAATTCTGCATGGGAGCAGAGGGACATGCAGAGCCCAGACAATAGCAGGGAGAATTGATTCAAAATAGAAAGAAAGAAATCAGGAAACTGAGAAACAAAGCCACACATAGACAGAAAATGAAGACGAGGTAACAAATAAGAGTGATATAATAGCAGTAAAATAAAGTGAGGGGTGAGAAACAGGCAGAAAATGAAACACAGGTTTAGAATAGATGAGGAGATACATAATTGGACAAAAGAGGAGATTTATAAAAGGCATTGCAAATGGAAAATGAGATGGAGAATTCATGTCTATGTGATATATATTCGTTATAATAGAAAGAATAAATATTATAGCCCTCTTGAATAGTTGCAATGTATATTTGCATATTAAAAGCTCTAAAAAGTCCTCCAGAAAAATATTTAATTCTCTAAGCTTCTTTGACCCTAGAATACACCTCTTCTCTTTTTTCTGTGTGATAACAACCCAGAATTTAGTTCCCATTGTGAGAAAAAGCTGCAAGGGATTTTCATTCTTCATAATTGACATGGGAAGAGTTTATCTTATGTGATTAGGCCAATATATTAATATAAGAATGGGCCACTTTACCAGTGATCAAGTTTGTGGTCTACTTCCTGGAACCTATACTTCAACTTGCTTTGTAGCTCTATACTTACTGTGGGAAGGGAAAATAAGGCCCTGCAGTAACATTCTACACACTTGGCAATTTGTGAAAGTCTTTGGGAAGCATGATGTGAGAATATCAGGGTCAACTTGTATAGGTCAGGAGTTCAAGGGATACATCTGGGCTGAAGGTACAGATTTAAAAACCATGAGATTAACAAATGAAAATGAAGTGATCAAGAAAAATATTAAATACCTGGCTCATGAAACTGTAGAATTAATAGAAAGAAAAAAAAGAAATTGATGTCTTTTTTCATTGTCTTATTTCTTCATTTTATCATGTGTTTTAAAATTCTTGGATTTCTCCCATTCCCTTAAGAAAAAAAAGAAAAAAAACACCAATGAATCTGCATTGAAAACCAAAAGCAATAAAAAAATAGGAAAAGCAAATTTAAGGGTTTTTTGGTTTTGTTTTTTTTTTTGTTTTTTGAGAAAGGGCCTCACTCTGTTGCCCAGGCTGGAGTATAGTGGTGTGATCTCTACTCACTGCAACCTCTGCCTCCCAGGTTCAAGTGGTTCTCCCACCTCAACCTCCCGAGTAGTTAGGACTACAGGCACGCCCAACCATGCCCTGCTAATTTTTGTATTTTTTGAGTAGAGACGGGGTTTCACCATGTTGGCCAGGCTGGTCTTGAACTCTTGACCTCAAGTGACCCACTGGCCTCAGCCTCCCAAAGTGCTTAGATTACAGGTGTGAGTCACTGTGCTTCGCCAAATTTAAGTTTTGAGTAAAAGCAGTGAGACTGATTGATTTTTGTAACAATCACTAGAAAGAAAAAAGAAAGGAACATGTATTAGGCATCTATTGTGTTGTTTTATATGCCAACCAAAGAGTGCCGGTTTCTTCAGAGCAGTCATCTCAAGATGCTGTAGTTTTATTCCAATCATGTCGCCAGTGCTCAAATACTTCTTGGTAGTTCACTTTCAGGCTTTCCTTCATATGTATCATCTTTATATTCTTTTCTGGTAGCCCATTGTCAATGTTTGAGTATAGACATAAATTTTTATAAACATTCCATAGTAATTTAAAAAATACATTTTGGTATATGGGTGGATTATCAAGCTGATGAATATTATTTGGAAACAAAAATGAGATAGGACCATAAAGGTTTGAAACTGGTTGTGAAGGTGGCTTGTAAAGATCTCTGACAATGTTTCCTTATGAAGGTCTCCAAATATTTTGGGCAATCTTTGTGAAAGAGGGCTTAGCTTTAGCTTTTAAGCCGTCTGTCTTACTACTTTGGATAAAGATAAATAAATTTTGACCCAGTTTTTTAAAAAAGAGTAACTTATGCTTTATGGTTATACTTGAGATAGGGTAAATGAAAAAAAGCTAAGACAGTAGATAATAGAATGCCAAATATAGATGTAAAAGAAATGTAACCTCAGGATTATGGGGAAAGAATGCATAAAATGAGAAAATAGCAAAAAGCACATGAGGATCAATTGCAGGGATAAGAAAGTAGAAGAAAGGTGACATAGAATGAATGAGGTAATGGGTAAAATAAGTTGAAGAATGGACCAGGCATGAGGAAATCTAACAAATGAGATCAGGAATAAAGTAGTGAATGAGAGAAAAGATTACACAGTAAATTAGAGATGTTCATTTTATGGGCAAGGAAATGAGAAAATGGAAATGAATATTAATAAAATTAATCATGGCAACCAAAGCTGTGGAAAAATGGATAATGAATGAATGAGTGAGCAGAAAGAATGGATGAGGGAATGAGAAAATGAAAAAAAAAAAGAAGGCTGAGTGATTGAAATCATGAAAGTGGAGACAGAGAAAAAATAGACAGCTCTAAAGATGAAAATAAAACTAAGTTGATTAGCATAATGGGAAAAAAGAGATCTGCTGTGAAGAAATGAAGAGAAGGAATGGATACTTTCCAATCTAATCAAAACCTTATGGAAAGTTCTGTAGTTTTCTCTTGGGGGTGTCTGCTGCTTTTCTCTCCAACCAGATGTGGCTGGATAGCCCTGGAGAAGAGAAGGGCCAGGAATTCTAGAAGCAGAGAAGGGCCAGGAATTCTAGAAGCAGAGAGGGACAGCAGCCAGGGAGAGACACAAATCACTGAATTGCAGAGATGTGGCCAAACATAATCTTCATTTAGAGGTCCTCCAATAAAGATAAAAACTCTAAGCCTTATATTTCACTATCCCATTTTCATGTCTCTGAACTCCTTTAAAATCAATGTTTTCTTCCCTCATCTGAATTTATTCTTAAAGGAATTAAATAAGAGAAATGAGTTTTGCTATTATCGTTAGGAGATGAGAAAATAAAATAATTGTAATAATTGTGCTGTAGTGGATTCCTGAGTGTTTGCTCAAATCTTTTTAGTTTGGCATGTGACCATCCATCTAGCTAAAAACTACATTTCCCAGCCCCCTTTGCCACTAGGTGTGGCCATGTGACTATTTGGACCAATAGGCTATGAACAGAATTGAAGTACACCACTAATGGGTGAATCTTGGCCTTTAAAGAGCTGGCCATGCATTCCCATTTCCTTTCCTAATTCCTGCCACCTGGGAGAGGGCGAAGGTGGGAGTAACATCCACTTCCACCCAGCAATGGAAGCCACATATTGGGAAGGTGGCAGGCAGAGCAGATCCCAGACAACCAGAGCATTTCTACCAGATCTGCACCACATATATCTGGATCTTTATGTGAGAGGGAAGTTCTCTCCTAAATAAGTATATTTTGAGGTTTCCTTGTTATATCAGCTTAGCCAGTGCTCTAATACATTACCTGATCTTAGAATTAAAAATACCACTGATTATTAACAGTGTGTGTATGTATGTATGTATTTGTGGATACACACACACATATAGTATGTATTGATATGCTGTATTATTTCAATGTAGGGATGGATACATATTATCCCAGATGTAGAGATTGATATATAGCATGTACATAACATAGCGTATTATATATACTGCTGATATAAGAATGGGTTTATTGACATTTTTGTGAGATCTTCCTCATGGTCATCAACACATTTAAGCTTTTAACAAATTTTTATCACTTTCTGTTTTTCATAAAGACTGTTTCAGATTAAGAGTAAGACCTGTATCTCCCAAACAGCACCCCTTGGCTATGTGGTGCAATCCTTGAGGGAATGCATCACAAATTGTCAAGTGACTTGGGGGTATCTAAGAGTTAAGGGCAAAGATTCCAGAACCAAACTGCCTGTGTTCTTATCTCAGGTCCAGCTCTTACTAACTTTGTGGCTGAGGAAAAGTTACTTCCCTGTGCTTCAGTTTCACCGTCTGTAAAAGGGGGATAATAATAGTGCCTACCTTCTAGTTGTGGTGGGAATAACTTAAAGTAATATATGTAAGGCACCCAGGACAGCACCTGGCACATAATATGCGTAAAAGAAGTGCTTGTTGTGATCGCTTTTGTTATCATTGTTGTTGCTGTTATTATTTTTAACATTTTGCCATTTCCAGAGTTGTCTGAAAGCAGCCAGGGTTGGTAATATACCCATTCAATAGATGAAGAAAATGACTATGAAAACCCACATTAACTTCTTAGAAGATCCATGGCTTATGATTTCCATAAATGAATAATTTATGGAAGTTGATTTTTTTCCCCCAGGTTCTATGTTAAAAAGTGTCTTTGAATCACCAAGGAGAACTTTACTGTACCCCCTAAAATACTAACTATAAACCTTATTATCAATAAGTATTTGTTAAGAGCCTGGAAGAGAAAGACAACTAAGTTAGCTCAAATAAAGTAAGAGAGAGTTGATGTAACTCTCCCAAGGTCACACAGTGTGTAAAGTTGACATGAGAACCTTGGCAGTTTGTTTTTAGAATTGCAGCTCTTAACTCTTAAACAGCTTCTGGATGTCACTTCACAATGTACTCATAATTTAAACTTGTCGCAGCCACAGGCTTCGCCTTATTATGGCACCAATCTCAGGCGAGGAATTTGATTAGCCCATATTCCGTCTGACGTCTGTCCTTGGTCCTATCAGCTGTGGCCACAGGGCTGGGTCACCTGATCCAACATGACTTCCCAGACGGAACCTACCGGTGGAGGCTGGGAGTGGGAGTACTTCCAAAGAAAGAGAGCTTTAAGGACACAATCACCTCAAAACCTATCTTCTAAAACTAAAATGTGAGAAAGAAATTTAGATGTGTGAGTAAATAAAAAACTATGTTAACCTGTTTATGGGAACAGGCCAGGGAGCTAGACAGAGTTGGCTGCCACCACTAGATAGGCAGGACCATGGACCCCATAAGAGAAGATGACACTGCTCAGAGGAAGAACATAAAGAACATGTGACCTGCAGAACTGCAGTGACTGGAGGAAAAGGGTCCCACTGAGCAGCCTGAGGGCTCACAGTAGCACATGTTCCAGAGAGGTTAAAAAAAACCAGGAGGGGGACTCAGAACTGCCCTCTGGATTTGGCAATAAAGGTCCAGCCATTTTTGTGGGAGCAAATCAGGGGAAAATGGGCCCGACGTAGAAAGCAAAGTGTTGATGAGAGCATCGTGGGAGGTGAGGACATCGAGACAAGGAGGGCAACTAGTTTTCAAGCTCAGCTCTGAAGGGAAAGAGAGCCATGGGCAGGAGGTAGATGGAAAGGGGTGCAGGCAGAAGGGTTTCCCATTTTGTTTGTAGTAGAGTTTTGAGCATGTTTTATAAGCTGAGGAGAGTCACTAGAAAATAATTGGTTGAAGATGAGACAGAGCAGTTAACTGATGGAGATATTTCTGACTAGGGGGTTATAGGATTGATTTTGGACAGAAAGAAGGCTGCATCTATTTTAAATTACCTGGCAGGTTTTACAGAATTGATTGATTAAAGTCAAGTTAACGTGGAAAAGTGCTGGAGAAGTCCTGAATGTTGTGGTTATATTTGTTTTTAAGTTGTATTTTAAATCAGAGTAATACATGCACATAGAGAAAAAAGAATCTCGATGAGCTTATAATAAAAGCAAGCAGTTCCTGCCCCACCTGTCTCCATCCATATCCCACATCCAAACACTGTCACTATTAAGAATTTTAATGTTCTTCTTTTTAATTCTTTTTTATTTATCTGTGTTTTTTCCTGAAGAATATAGTTCCCCTGCTTATCTGCAGTTTCGCATCTATAGATTCAACTAACTGTGGATCAAAAGTATTCAGAAAAGAATCCAATTTTTTTAAAAAACCAATATAGCAATAAAAATAATACAGATAAAAATACAGAATCACAACTATTTACAGAGCATTTATATTATATTGGTTATTATAAGCAATCTAAAGATGATTTAAAGTATACAGGAAGATGTGTGTAGGTTATATGGAAGTACACTTTATACAATATTTTATATACATTTTTTATACTTTACATACATTTTACATAAGGGGCTTGAGCATCCGAGGATTTTGGTAGCCACAGTGGTCCTGGAACCAGTCCCTGAAGGATCCTGAGGGACGATGATATGCCTATATCCATTTCCTAATTTATCAAATATAGATTCTGTTTGACTTTCTGCTATGATAGGTGACGATTTAGATGACTTCCATTGTTCACACCTCCCATAGCTCCTTCTTAATAAAATTCTTTCAGTATTTTTATTTCCTCTTTGTTACTTTTATAAATTTAAATGCTATTCTCAGAATCTTATTATTCCATTCATTCATTCATTCATTCATTCATTCATTCATTCATTCATTCATTCATCGTTCCACAAATATCTATTGAGTGCCTTCAGGTACATGCCTTGTATTCCTGTAGGGGGCTGGAAATATAACAGCAAACAAGATGAACAAGGTCTCTGCTCCTGTGGGGCTGACATCAGGGTTGTAGGGAGACGGGAAATAAGTGTGCAAACAAATTAGAGACAGTATCTCTCAATTCCTTATTTTGTACGATTAAGATGCCAGCACCCTTACCTTTTTCCTCACTTTTTCTATTTTTCCTGTTCCCAACTTTGCCACTTGTCCTTTAATTTTACATTGCCAGAACATTGTGTTTTGAAAACACAATGATTTGGGGGTTATGTTTATTCTAAAAGATGAAAATCAATAAACAGTGCTTTCATTGTTGTGTTTTGTTTTTGTTTTTTTTTTTTCCAAGACAGAGTCTCACTCTATTGCCCAGGCTGTAGTGCAGTGGTGTGATCTCAGCTCACTGCAGCCTCTGCCTCCTGGTACAAGTGATTCTCCTGCCTCAGCCTCCCAAGTAGCTGGGACTACAGGCATGCACCACCTTTCCTGGCTAATTTTTGTATTTATAGTAGAGACGGGGTTTCACCATACTGGCCAGCCTGGTCTGGAACTCCTGGCCTCAAGTCATCCATCCACCTCGGCCTCCCAAAGCGTTGGGATTACAGGCGTGAGCCACCACGCCTGGACTTATTGTTGTGTTCAAATATTGTCCCCAGCACAGCGAGGTAGGGTATTGTGCTTCCGGTCTCAGGTAGTGGTTCGTGGCACTCAGGTGCTGGAGCCAGACTGCCAGGATTTGATCCTGGCTCTGCCACTCACTAAGTTTAGGCCTTTGGCAAGTTCTTCCTAATCCTCTCTGTGCCCCAGTTCCGTTATCTATAAAATGGGTATAATAATAGTGCCTGTCTCTGAATTGTTATGAGGATTAGGGAGCTAATAAACATCAAGTGCTTAGAGTGGCTCCTTGTCTGTAGTTTGTGCTACATAAATGTTACCTATTATGAATGCATTTTTTTTTTCACTTTTCTTCCTCTGACTCCTCCTTGTTTTTCAGGACGTCTTCTTTGTCATCTTCTTAAATAATTCGACATTCTCAGGAATACTATTAAATCCCTTGGATACTAATTGCCCCCGAATTCCCTCCCTCCTGGAGTTCTTTATCCTCCTGAAGCAAATTGGACTGCTTGTTCTTAGGCCTGCCACACAGTTACCTCATTAGGATCCTCCTTCATTACGCCTCTGGGTTGGATCTACTGTTGTCTGAATCCCATGTGAGCTAGGACAGACCACAAAGGCCAGTCCAGGCAAGGCAAGGAAAGAGGACAACCTAGAATTGGGCACGATTACATTGACTTCAGTTTAGTGTTATTTCAAAGGCTGCCCATGAGATTAATGATATATAATGGTATCAGTGAGCTTCACCTCCTCCATCTCCCACCTCACAGCTTCCCTTGTTTCTCGTAAAAATCTAGGGGTCCCAGCAGCCAGGAGGGTAAGTGACCTGACTGGTCAGGGAACCCTAGAACGGCAGGCTTTCTGCCTTTTTCCCCTTTCAAAGGAGGGAACCAGGGTGTTCCAAGCCATGCCATCTGGCCTTGATGTTGAGTTCTAGGATCCAAATATCTTGCTACTCTATAATTACAAATCCCAACTCTTGTATTTTGTTTCTTACTGCACCATTGAGTACTTGAGGCTTCAGGGCAGCCTCCTCTTTCTTTGATTTCCTTTACTTTTTGTTCTGGGTCACATCAAGTCATCTCCTATGGTAACTGGTGTGGGCTATGAATTTCCAAGCCTGTGTAGATTTAAACATGTATTTATTCTAGTTTCCCACTTGATTGACAGTTTGGCTAGGTATAGAATGATAAGTGAAAATGGTTTTCTGTCAGAAATGTTGAGTCCCTTCTTCAGTGTCTTCTAACTTCATGAGAAACCTTGAGGCTAGTGTGGTATTTTGTTTCTTGTACAGGACCAGGGAAGCTTCTCTGGTGGGAAGATTTTCAGATATTTTTTTAAAAATTAATATTCTGACATTTCACAACCTGCTGTGAATGTTTTTATTTTACTAGGCTGGGCACTTGCTGGATTTTCTAAGTATGAGCACCCCTGTACTTTAGATCTTGGAAATTCTCTCATATTTTTCATTTGATCATTTTTTTCCTTGTTTTCTTTTCTTTTCGGTCTCTTATTAGTCTGATGTCAGATCTTCTAGAATGATAATCCATAACCTTTAATTATTTTTGTTATATTTTCCATCTCTTTTTTGGGATACTTCTTTCTGAAAGATAATTCTAAATTTGTCTTTGAACTTAACTCTTTACTATTTGAACTTAACTCTTTATTTCAGTTATTATTAAATATATCTTTTATATCTAAGGGTTATTTCCTCCATTTTTTTCATAGCATTCTGTTATGTTTTCATCATGCAATATCTTCTCAAATATCCCCGAAGATAATCATTAATTTATTTTCCTTTAAGTTTTCTTTTGTTTCTTGAATTATATGTTCCTTCTGGTGTTATGCTTTTTCCCTGTGTTTTTCTTGGTTCTTTCTTCCGTGTCCAAGGCTTTCCTTGGATGTCTCATCTTTCTTGGCTATCCACACATTTTAAGGGTAAGGCCTTGAAACTTATTAAGAACCTGATATGAGGCAGGTTACTGATTGGCAGGCTTCTTTTTAGGGTCATCAGGCATGAAACTGGCTCTTATTCTGAGAGTTCCAAAAATGCTTGAATTCAGAGACCTTTGCCCTGTAATCATTTATTTCTGTAGAGAACAATCCTCCAATTAGCCTGAGGTAGAGCAGATTATGTAAAAGCTCTGTAGTCTTGGATTTAAATGGCAAGTATTAGTATGAACTCTTCTATCTTATATCTGTAATTCCTTTTTAAAATACAAAGAATCTGGTTTTCAGGGACCCAGGGGATACTAGAATGAGAAAGTGCTGTTTTTGTGCTCCAGAGTTCAGTTTGCACATGGCAGCTAGAATAGACTTTTTTAAAATAAACTTTTAATTGTAGAACAGTTTTAGATTTACAGAAAAATTGTGAAGATAGTACAGAAAGTTCCCATATATCCTACCCCCAATTTCCTCTGTTACTAACATAGTAGTATGGTGTATTTGTCATAATTAATGAATAAATACTGGTACATTATTATTAACTAAAGCTCATACTTATACTTTGCTCAGACTCCCTTAGTGTTTACCTAACGTCCTTTTTCTGACCCAAGATCCCACGTTAGATTTAGTCATCATTCTCCTTAGGCTCCTCTTGGCTGGATTTTTTTCTCAGACTTTTCTTATTTTGATGACTTCGAGGAGTACTGGTCAGGTATTTTGTAGAATGTCCATCACTGGGATTTGTCCGATTTTTTTTCATGTTTAGACTGAAGTTATGAATTTTGGAGTGGGAGACGACGAGGTAAAGTATCATTCTTATTACATCATATCAAAGGTATATACTATCAACATGACTTATCACCATTGATGTTGACTTTGACCATCTGGCTAAGGTAGTGTTTTCAGGTTTCTCCACTGTAAAGTTACTTTTCCCATCCTTTCCATATAGTACTCTTAAGAAGAATGTAATTATGTCCAGTACACACTTAAGGAGTAGGGAGTTGTGTTCCACTACGTTGAGGGCAAAGTATCCACATAAATAACTTGGAATTCTTCTGCACAGAATGCCCTTTTAAAAGCACAAATAAGGGTATTTTGAGCCTTGATTAAAATGCTCTAAGGACTTCTCTGCTTTCTTAACATAAAATCCAAACACTTTACCCTGGGCCATGGGCCTATGCCATCTGGTCCCCACTTTCTGTGGTCTCCATGGGCCATGGTCCTATACAATGTGCTCCTACTTCTTACTCCAGGCTTCCTACAGGCCACATATGATCTGCCCTGATCTTTCTTCTCAACTCCATTTATTCTTCCCCTCTCTCAGTATGCTCAATCACACGGGCCTACTTTTGATTTCTTAAAAAGGTCAAGCACATTCTCATTTTAATGATTTTACCATAGCTGTTGCCTCCTATTTTTACAGGGCTAATTCTTTCTTGTCATTGAGGTCTTAGCTTAAATGTCCCTGACGATATGGCTGCCAATTTACTTTCTATAAAATCATCCTGTTTCACTTTGGTCATAATACCTATCTCAGTCTCAGTAATTTCAGGTTCATATTCTGTTTATCATCTACCTCTACTCATCTAGGATGTTCAAGTGTTGTGAGAATAGTCTTTATCTGTCTTGCCTATTACCATGATACTTTTACCCAGAACTGTGCCTGATGCTGTAGCAGTGAATAAATGAATGACCTCATTTACCTTCCCCTGGAGGCCTATGGAGAGAGAGGATATGAAAATATGAAGTCAGTCTATCACCTTGAATCAGAAGTTTCTGCAACTATGTTTAAAATGGTTAAAATAGTAGTTAAAAATGGTTAAAGTTGATTATTCGTGAGAAATCAGTAAATAAAGGCAACATGAAATGCACTTTTTAAAAGGAAATTCATTATATGGCCTTCAGTCAATAAAGCACAGGGCTCACTGCCTGGCTTTTCAGTTTACTTTAGGTTAAGTGAACCATTACTAAGTTGGGAGCTTCATTATATTTGCATAGTTAAAAGCACCGTCACCTCCAGTGTTGTCTTTTAAATAAAAAGCAGCCTTCCCAGACTTAAAATTTACACTGATAGATTCCACGGTCTGGAAATAAGTTGGGCTGAAAATGAGCCAAATTAATCTCTACTTCCTCCTCAGTTACACACAGCAAAAAGGCTTTCAGTAGCCCAAACCAAACTCTTTAGGCATGAATTTCCATCTTGGAGCTCCACCTACCAGCACCAGTGAGTTCTCTCGTCTAAGAATGTAGCCAGGTGGTCTAATCAAAGAAAGAAGGATCTCTGTTGCAGTTAAGTTAGGCATACAGGCTGAGTTTTCCTTAGCTGAAGTGCTTGGGACCAGAGTGTTTCTATTTTGGAATATTTGCATTATATTTGTTGAGTATCCCAAACCTAAAAATCTTTTTTTTTAAATTTTTATTTCCATTTGGGGAAGAGGTGGTATTTGGTTACATGAGTAAGTTCTTTAGTGGTGATTTGTGAGATTTTGTTGCACTCATCACCTGAGGAGTATACACAGAACCCAATTTGTAGTCTTTTATCCCTCACCCCTGTCCCACCCTTTCCCCCGAGTCTCCGAAGCCAACTGTATCATTCTTATGCCTTTGCATCCTTATAGCTTAGCTCGCACTTATGAGTGAGAACACACGATGTTTGGTTTTCCATTCCTGAGTTACTTCACTTAGAATAATAGTCTCCAATCTCATCCAGGTTGCTGTGAACGCCATTAATTCATTCCTTATTATGGCTGAGTAGTATTCCATCATATATACATACCACAGTTTCTTTATCCACTCGTCAAAACTAAAAATCTGAGATCCAACATGCTCCAATGAGCATTTCCTTTGGATGTGATGTTGGCACTCAAATGTTTTGGATTTTGGAGCATTTCAGATTTTGGATTTTTGGATTTTGAGATGCTCAACCCGTATAGGCAGGTTATATTTAGTCAGCAAGAAAAGACAGTAAAAGATACTTTGCAAATTGTTCCTGAAATATATGGCATAGACTTGGTCTGACCCAAGTTTAGTTTTCATATAGCAGTTATGTATTCAGAAAGGCTAATATCTGGGGGCTGGTCACAGTGCCAAGTATGGCATTCTAAGCTTTGCCTACCTATTTGATGGAATATGGAGGCTCCAGTTTCCATCCATATCTGCCTCACCATGAGCTTCTAGTGTCTCTACTCTCAGCTTGAAGAAGCGATCAACTATAACATAAATCACTGATGCTGTGTACAGCACTTAGAGAGACTTGGGGTCCAGTAATTCCATCACCTGGAGATTTCATAATTTTCCATCACCACCTGAAGATGGAGGTTCTTTTATTGTTGTTTATTGTTAATTATTTTATTTATATGTTAATTATTTATGTTATTATTATTTTATTGCTTATTGTTATCCATCATGTATTTTATTGTTGCTGCACAATTCAATCCTGCAAAGCTTTTTACACCTTTGCTACTCAAGTGTGGTCCAAAGCCACATGTTTGGCATCACTTGGGAGCTTGTTAGAAACGGATGTTCAGGTCCCTCCCCTGACCTAGTGCATCAGAACTTGCATTCCACTAGCATCTCGGGTGATTCATGTGCACATTAAAGTGGGAAAAGCCCTGCTTTGGCCCACCAGGTCTGCCCTGTACCAAGCGGATGGCATAGCTGAATAACAGGCCTCCGAGGTCGCCATATGTTCACAGGCTTGGCTCTGAAGCCTGTCCACATCCCCTTGATTTCTGACCCCATGGGTTGTCTTTCTTTATGTGGCTTCACTGCTGATATCTAGCATCTGGCACTGTTCTGATGGTTTTGGCCTATTCTTCCCTCCATTAACAGGATGGTAATTCTTCCCCTGGGTTTACCACCGAGGTGAGCATGGGTAGAGGTGAGAAAGCAAGGGAGTTGAGAGAATGTCAGAAAGGTGAGGAACAGAAATTTTTTTGAAGTATCTCAGGTAAAAATATGCTACAAGAAAACTAAAATATTTTTGGAACCCAAAAGAAAAGCTGTGGTCCCAGAACTCAGGGAGCAGGGCTGCCCCTGAGCCCTCAGCGGCAGTGATTTACAGACACTGACACCAGTGCTGCATCATCCGTGAGCTTTAGCTACCACCTGACTCTGCTGCTGTGTCTCTTAGATCAAATGGAGTCAGACAGAGAATTTGGTTCGGTCTGGCCTATGGAATGCTTCTCTGTGCATTGAGGGGCGGAGGGTGTGCTCAGGTCTGATCTAATCAGCTGTGGTTCAAGATGAATTTACAAGATGCAAATCCCATTGCTGAGGTTGGGGGTGCGAGACAGGTTCTCTTAGGTGAAAATGTCGTTGGAGCGGTTAGCATTTCTAATATGGTAACTTAAGCCACAGTGAAGAAGGTATATGCTGAGTTTTGGGGTAACCCTTATTTCTGTATACCAGCTAACCTGTAATCTTCAGACTTCCTGGCTCATTAGATCATGATGCGTAGTTTAACATGGATTATGATGTGTTTATGATAGTCTTTTGTGTTTATAAAACAGATTTTATCTGCAGTCATTGTGGGTATATAGTTTCTTGAGACAATATCCAGCTAAAGACATCATACATAATACAAATAATCTATATAGGGCCTATGGGAGAGCTTCAAACGTACTTAAATATAATATTAGTTCACTTTAGGTTTAACTCAGAAGACGTAGCTATTCTAGTTCAAACATTTTAAATGAGCATAGTTCTAGATCAGTTTGTTTCGGATGTTTTCGTTAAAGCTTTTGGTTTAGTGAAGAAAAAATAGTATATGGGTTTGGTTCAGAGTTCTGCAAATAAGGATGGTTCATTCCTGTTTTTGTACACAGGATATTTATTCAATGCAAGTTCTTGAAGCGTATATAGTAACACAAACATACCTTAATTATAATTCTCTAAAAGGAAGTGGAGAAAACTCGAAGTCCTTCTTGTTCTTCCTGTTGCCAGATTGGTTTACAACTGAACTGTCTTGATGAATAGGTTTTGGTGATATTTTAGAACGCTTTCTAGTAATGAAGATCCCAATTTTTCCTTGGTTAGACCATTCCAGTAGGTTTTTCTCATGAGACATTCTCCCATATAATTACCTGCAATTCCTCACATGGCAGTTTACTTTCTTAGCCTTGTTTTCAGCAGCATGGGAGAAGAGCTGGTTACTGTCTTGTAACTGTCCACTGAAGAGATGAAGAGGGTCAGCCTTCTCAAGTTCAAGTGAAACAAACACACTTTCAGCTGAGTGTAGACTCCTTAGGTGTCTTTAATTAACTTGTCTTCAGTTTGTCACACAGGTGGCCTTAGAAACTGCAGGTATGAGATTTAACTTAACTTGATAGCCACACCTTAGTATAATATCTGGCAGTCTTAAGGAAGCTGCTCAACACACATTTAGCAAGTGGAAGGCACGTGAAGTTTTGTCTGTATCAAAAGTCTATCTTTCTACCAAATGAGTTCCCAAGGAGATGGTGACAATTGAGAAAAAGGAATCTAAGATGATGTAAACATTTATTAGCAATAGTATACATTTTTCCATCTCTGTTAGGTGGATTTGGAGGTAAGCATATTTATGAAATAGAGAAAAACTTGCAGTGAAATAGAATTGTATCGACTCAGAATTAATGAGAATTTGGACAGGGGATTACATTTACCTTTGATTACTTATATTAAAAAAGGGGGAAGTCATTTTGAAGCACATTAATAGGACATAGAGAATTTTAGAGAACATGTTTAACCTGCTTAAGAAAATAAGCAGCCCTGGCTCTTCACATTTGACATGCAAATCTCAAATGATCCTTCTTTATTTCTTGAAGCAATTTTGCTGGGAGCTTTACATGAGGAAACATTGTTGATGATGCACATAATAATTCTATGCTTGAAAGTAATAAAATATTCTAATTCAGATTCTAATTCAATGTAGCCTTTTCCAATTGCTTCATTTCCTCAGGCTTTACTATGTTGCTGCTACAGAAAGAAATACTTGGGGACAGTGGGGTAAAAAAACACTTTGGGAAATATAATCTCATTAATAGAGAATAGTTTCCCAGCTGACCGTCAGGAAGAATAGAATGAGCAAACACATGCAGCAAGCTGGGAAATTTTTATGTAGAACCAATTTTGATTTATGTGAATGAATACCATCTTCCTTGAGTATTTACCACATGGTCTCCACATTCTGGAAAAGGGACGATGTCTATGTAGTCTCTTAAAGACTGGCTAGGTTTCCTGAGACAGGAGGGCAGAAGAGTATGCAATAAAACAGGTTTATGCAGGAGGATGCATAGTGAAGCTGACAGAAGTGACATTTGCTGTCAGAACCTTCAGGTGCTTTTCAAAGCTCACCCTTACCTTGCCTTCATTCCTCTAGGAATGCAGTTGCTCTCCTGGCCTGGGCAGTGGCCTCCTGTGGCCAAGCCTGTCTCAGGCTGCAGCACTGGCTCTATTGTGCATGACAGAAGCCCCCTGTGATCACTTTGTCCAGGTGCTAAAACGATCAAGGCTCTGTCACCAGAGGCTTAGTGAAAAGATGTCTCTAAAGGCAATCACGAACCAAACCCTAGCTCTCCAGCACTACACTGGGCAGCTAAGCTCTGACTACAAGGTGTCATCTGTTTAGCAGTTCAGTAACCCTTTACTTTGAGAGCCTGGTTAAATTATTACACATCTTATGCATGTATCAAAATATCACATGTTCCCCATAAATATGTACAAATATTATTTATTCAAAAAAAATCTGACTAGCAAGATATCAGCCCAATCGGCCTTGAGGGAGTCTTTTAAAAATGCTATTTATAGTGCATAATCAACCTAATCCTATTTGCAAGTACAGTATCATACATAATGAGCCATTTGATTTGCAAATTTTCTAATACCATTAATCTGACAACTTTTGTGCCAGGTCAGAATGCCTGAGAGGCCTGCCTTCATTAATAACATCTTACAGCTGATACTTCTGTGGTTTATTTCACATGTGTGGGCGTGTACAGGAAGGGGATATTCTAGAAGGGAGGGTGTTCTCTGTACCCTTGAGTCAGGCCTTTTGTCTCAGCTTGTCGGAGTCATCAAATGGTACAGGAGTAGGTGTTGAATAGCAAGGTTCTGTTCCTGATTTGGCCCCTCACACTTGTCTGTGTGATCTTGAACCAGTCATGTACCTTCCAAGGGGAACACATGATCCTCTCCTCCAGGCAGATCTCCCCAAACCCCCCTAAGTGGGTGCCTCTCACCATATCCCCCCAGTTCTCCATGTGCATGCTTCTATCATACAACCAACGGCATTGTATTGCAGCAGTTTTTTCCCCCAGTGTGTTTCCCTTACTGGAATGCAAGCTCCATAAGGGGAATGCAAACTCAGTAAGGGGAGGGTCTGGGTGCTATTCACCTTCAACTGCCAGAACCTAGCAAGTAATGGCACACAATAGGAAATCAACACATTTGATCATCAGAATTGAACTAAGCTGTCTTCAAGTTAGAAAAGCCAGTGATTCTAAGTTAGGCAGTATTCAGGGAGAAGTAAAATGGGAATGTTCAGATAACATTCGCTGGTGAATCTGATCATAAACTGTGACCGATACTGTTGAAACTAATTATTCTTATCCTTGACTACATATTAGAATTGTCTAAGGAACTTAACAAGAAATAAATAAAAACAGTGCTCCTTCCCTGCCCCCTCCAGCAAGATTCTGACTTAATTGGTTACTGTTCCCACCCTTTTCTACAACATGGGGTCATAATTAACCCCCTCTTCCCAAGTGATTCTGTGTGCAGCCAGGGATGAAGATCACTGGTCTAAACCTTACTCAAAGTCAGTATCAAGCTATTACTAGCTAGTAGAGTTTTCAAACTTCATACATAAAGCATCAAACAAGTAATTCATGCTCATTATATAAAAAAACTTAGAAAAATACATATAAGCAGAAGAAAGTGATAAAAATATCTATAATTATACTATAGAGAGCTCCTTTTTACATTTTGCTACATATACATTTTTTTCTCTAAGAAAAACACAGATTCTGTCTTGTAACTTACTTTTTTCCCACTCAGCAGTGTATTGTAAACATCTTTCTATGTTAGTAAAAGCATTTCTTCACCACTGTTGATTAATTTTTAATGGACAGAACAATAGTGTGGTGCTTCTTTCAACCTGTTTCTTTGCAGACCAACATAGGGCATCCTCTTATGCATGTTTAGAATTTAGATTTGCTGCAGAAATAGTGTTGTTTTCCTTAACATCTCAAACAATCATTTCTCACACAATGCATCTAATAAGGAGTATTTTCTACTTTTGGGGTATCTATTCCATTTCAGATACAACTAGAGATCTGAGGATAAAAGATCAGGCCAGACTGGATTTCTATGGTAGTATTGATGCTAACCAGCCTACTGTTTGACAGAAAGTTTTTTTGGGAAACTTTTTATGTTTTGAATCCTGTACATAGGATAGATAAAATCATGATACTCAGGTTACAAATGGTAGTAATTTTAATGTTTTTATAAAATTATTTTATGTGTAAAGATGATATAATTGGGTAAACAAATACTAAATAAACTTTGTGTTTAACCTAAATCACAGTCTAGAAACAGAATACCAACATAGTTGTAAAGAGTAAAAAAATTAAGAAAATAAAGTAATTTTTAAAAAATCACTAAAGATATCTGTGGGGATTGTCTGGTTATCCAATTATCTCCTGAATCTCCCCAAGATTCTGAGTTGAGACACTTTTCTTTCTCCCATGCAACTCCCCACCCCATCCCCAAAACAAAAATTCTGGGAACTCTGGAAACCATCTGCAACACTGAGGCACTGTCACTAATACTAAACACTTGTGACTCACACCTGTAATCCCAGGACTTTAGGAGGCCGAGGCAGACAGATCACTTGCGGTCAGGAGTTCGAGACCAGCCTGGCCAACATGGCACTTTAGCCAGGTGTGGTGGCGCACACCTGTAATCCCAGCTACTAGGAGGCTGAGGCAAGAGAATCACTTGAACCTGGGAGGCAGGGGCTGCAGTGAGCCGAGATCATGCCACTGCACTCCAGCCTGGGCGCTGGAGGGAGACTCCATCTCAAAGAAAAAAAATAAAATACCATAAACACTAATGCAGAGGGTGGGTACTTCATCTCTTCTCTCCCAGGCTTGCCCTTTGTTCCCCTGGAGAATGTGAGTGGACTTACCAGACTTGTCCGGTGGGGTGCTCTGTGTTTCAATATTTGTGTATCCCTTTCTTACCATTTTGAATTAATTCCTGAAAATTCTGCCACTAAGTGAAAGCTGTTACATGAAAAATTATTTTTAATGGGGAAAATTATGATTAATTTCATCCCAATCCAATATATCTAACCAATTTTTACAGGTGAAAAGAAAACATTTCAATTGAATGATAAAGATAAATATATATGAGCAATGTACAACAGTTTGAAAATAAGTAAATGTAATGTGTGGATGAAAAGTGAGAAAGGTTTATGATACTCACCAAGGGGGGAAGAGAAGCTTGATCACAGGTGGTGGTGGATAGAGAGAGTGTCAGGTGTAAGAGGTGGGGAAAAATCAAGTGACCAATTTAGGCAGAGTGTCTGGGCTCATCAGCACACTCAAACTGCACTTAATAAGATTAAAGCACAGGCAAACATCATTAGGGCAACACAAAGGTGAGAACCTTTGAAAACAGGTAGAAATCGTGCATGGGCACCACAGACTGAAGAGCCGTAGAATCTGCTGCATCCTCACCCCCATTATTTGGTGTGTGCAAGAGTAAAATATCTGGCATTCATCCAAACATGGGGCAGGATTCAAACTTGCTCCATATGATATTTGCTATCTAGAAACTGTGATATTGTGTAAATTGATTCATATGTGTTTTAACTGGAACTGTAATGTTGAAATAGTACTTCTCATGATGTGTTTACTTGTGTGCTTTTGAATAAAAAATCATGACACACACAGACAGAAACATACACACAGACACACATATATACATATACAGACACACATACACATATACATGTAGACATACATACAGACACATACACACAGACAGATGGACATAGACAGACACAGCACACACACATAGACACATACATATATGCAGATGGACACACACACACACACACACACACACACACACACACACATACACCCTGCATAGTCTATTGCCTGAAATCTGGTTTAACTTTCCAGAAGTCATTATGGTGAAATATCATTAACCAAAAGGCTCTCTGTCAGGTAAGTCTGTACAAATATGCCCTAGTCAGAGACATGGTTTCGGTATTTTAGGAAAAGGTAATGTGAGTCTGGATGTTTCATTTGTGTGGGTCATTTCATTCATCTGGATAAAGTACAGGATTTTTCATAATGAGCCTGCTTTTTAATTTTTCTAATTTTCATTTCCATTAAAGAGACAGTTTACCGGTAGTTCAAAGATTTGTGTGAGTACAAGATGGATTTACGATAATTGTGGAATGTATAATGAATACACAAAAAGGTTTTAGGAAAGCACACAGCAGTGATCACATTTTTCGAGAACAGTTGTTGAGTCTTACTGGTGGCAATGATCATTCACTTTTTCAGCCAGTCGAATCTCTTGTTGCTGTGTTAATAGCTCAGTCATATTTGTAGTCATTTACATGTTTTCAGGCATTAGGCATTCCATTTGGTTAGAGCATGAGAAATTTTTGACATTAGGAAATAAAAATGCCTTAAATATTATTTGTTAATTGTTTGACATTGGCTGTTAAATTATCAGAGCAGCACCTATAGTAAGGGAATAAATTATGAAGCTGAATGCTAAAAACAATGCTTACCCTTTCATAAGACTAGACTACATTTTTTAAGCAAAGGATAAAGCCCGAGTCTTTTCATTCTATAGGTGACATTACTATATAGTTAAGCATCTTAACCAAGTCAGAAACAGAACAAAACGGCCAGGAGTAATTTTAATTTTGCCATCTAATGTATGAGAGGTAGGAAATACTATGTCTCAATTTTTTAAAAATGAAAACAAAACACTAGAAAGGCTCTAAAATAAAACACTCTTTTCACAGTTCTTCAAGCAACCTACCAACCTCCTACCAATTCAAACTACAGTTCTAAGGGGGAAAGAGGCCTCTAGTAATTTCGGGGTTGTGGGGGAAAGGCATGGGGCTTACTGAACGGAAGATAATGAAAGTCTTGTCTTGCTACTCTGCATTTTTACCTTGAATTTATTAGGTGTATGCTTTCCCTTTCTGTAATACATTATGCACTCCCTCTAGTGTCAGAATTTGTATATGATCCGAAACCAAGTTTGATAAAGTGCTGCTATAAACATTAGAGTAAGGTTCAGGCTTCTAATTGTGCCATATTTCAAAGATATTAAAGGCCACCTAATAACATGAAGAACAGCCCTGCATGAAGTCACCCTGGCTAAGAAAAGAACGCATATTTTAACCTGTGTTATGAAGAGTTTCATGCGCGTCTGTGTGAACAGACCACCAAACAGGCTTTGTGTGAGCAACATGGCTGTTTATTTCACCTGGGTGCAGGCAGGCTGAGTCCGAAAAGGCAGATAAGTGTCGGGGGGGCGTTTTATAGGATTTGGGTACGTAAAGGAAAATTACAGTCAAGGGGGTTTGTTCTCTGGTGGGCAGGAGTGGGGGTCGCAAGGTGCTCAGTGGGGGTGCTTTTTGAGCCAGGATGAGCCGGGAAAAGGACTTTCACAAGGTAATGTCATCACTTAAGGCAAGGACCGGCCATTTACACTTCTTTTGTGGTGGAATGTCATCAGTTAAGGTGGGGCAGGGCATATTCACTTCTTTTGTGATTCTTCAGTTACTTCAGGCCATCTGGGCGTATACATGCAAGTCACAGGGGATGCGATGGCTTGGCTTGGGCTCAGAGGCCTGACATTCCTGCTTTCTTATGTTAATAAGCAAAATAAAACAAAATAGTGTTGAAGTGTTGGGGCGGCGAAAATTTTTGGGGGGTGGTATGGAGAGAGAATGGGTGATGTTTCTCAGGGCTGCTTCAAGCGGGATTAGGGGTGGCGTGGGAACCTAGAGTGGGAGAGATTAAGCTGAAGGGAGGTCTTGTGGTAAGGGGTGATATTGTGGGGATGTTAGAAGAAACATTTGTCGTATAGAATGATTGGTGATGGCCTGTATACAGTTTTGGATGAATTGAGAAACTAAATGGAATAACAGAAGGAGAAAAACAGGTATAAAAGGTCTAAGAATTGGGACGACTCAGGATATCTGATTAGAGAGTGCCTAAGGAGATTCAGCATAGTCCTGCCCGCAAAGATTATTTATTTACTTCAAGAGTTAAGAGTGGCAGTTTGGGGATAGCACCAGGAGATTATCAGCTGTGATGGCTTGGAAAAACAGTGTAAACCGGCAGTGTAAACAAGAGCAGGGCATGTATGAGTAGTTGAGAACGAATAGGAGTATGACTAGACAGAAGATAGTAGGGATGACAAGTTTTTTGGGGGCACAGTCTAAGTTGGTCTGGTGTCTGGAATGAGACTGGGGCCTAATAAAAACGAGCGTCTATACAGAAGCTTAAATGGGCTGTACCCTGTAGCATTCCGAGGACAGGCCTGAATTCTGAGAAGGGAAAGTGGTAAAAGTATTGTCCAGTCCTTTTTAAGTTGCTGGGTGAGCTTGGTGAGGTGTGTTTTTAAAAGACCTTTAGTCCGTTCTACTTTTCTTGAAGATGGAGGACCGTAAGGGATATAAAGGTTTCACTGAATACTAAGAGCCTGAAAAACTGCTTGGCTGATTTGACTAATAAAGGCTCATCTGTTATCAGACTGTAGGAATTATGTCTGACAGAAGGGAAGAAATGACTGCGGTGGCCTTCTCAGACCCTGTAGGAAAGGCCTCTACCTATCCAGTGAAAGTATCTACCTAGACTAAGAGGTATTTTAGTTATCTGACTCAGGGCATGTTGAGTAAAACTAATTTGCCAGTCCTGGGTGGGGCAAATCCTCCAGCTTGATGTGTAGGGAAGGGAGGGGGCCTGAATAATCCCTGAGGAGTAGTAGAATAGCAGATGGAACACTGAGAAGTTATTTCCTTGAGGATAGATTTCCACGATGGAAAGGAAATGAGAGGTTCTAAGAGGCGGGCTAGTGGCTTGTACTATAGCATAACCTGCCTTTGCTGGTGTGTGGCGATTAGGCCTGGTGGAACTGCCATCAATAAATCAAGAGTGATCAGGGTGAGGAACAGGAAAGAAGGAAATGTGGGGAAATGGGGTGAATGTCAGGTGGATCAGAGAGATACAGTCATGGGGGTCAGGTGTGGTATCAGGAATAATGTGGGAGGCCGGATTGAAGTCTGGGCCAGAAACAATGGTAATTGTGGGACTTAAAGAGTGAGTACAGCTGAAGGAGCCGGGAAGCAGAAAGTATATGCGTCAGGTGTGAGGAAGAAAATAGAATTTGGAAGTTATGAGAGCTGTAGAGAGTGAGTTGAGCATAGTTTGTGATTTTGAGGGCCTCTAAAAGTATTAAAGCAGCGGCAGCCACTGCACGCAGACATGATGGCTAGGCTAAAACAGTAAGGTCAAGTTGTTTGGACAGAAAGGCTACAGGGTGTGGTCCTGGCTCTTGTGTAAGAATTCTGACTGCGCTAATCATGCCTAGGAAGGAAAGGAGTTGTTTTGTAGAAGGTGCTGGGGTTTGAGAGATCAGTTGGACACAATTGGCAGGGAGAGCACGTGTGTTTTTATGAGAATTATGCAGAGATAGGTAACAGATGAGGAAGAAATTTGGGCTTGACTGAAGTAATGGGGGCTGTCTGTGAAGCCTTGCGGCAGTACAGCCCAGGTAATTTGCTGAGCTTGATGGGTGTCAGGGTCAGTCCAAGTGAAAGCGAAGAGAGGCTGGGATTAAGGGTGCAAAGGAATAGTAAAGAAAGCACGTTTGAGATCTAGAACAGAATAATGGGTTGTAGAGGCAGGTATTGAGAATAGGAGAGTATATGGGTTTGGCACCACGGGGTGGATAGGCAAAACAAGTTGGTTGATTGATAAGGCACAGATCCTGAACTAAACTAACTTATAAGGCTTGTCTGGTTTTAGGACAGGTAAAATGAGGGAATTGTAAGGAGAGTTTATAGGCTTTAAAAGGCCATGCTGTAACAGGTGAGTGATAACAGGCTTTAATCTTTTTAAAGCGTGCTGCGGGATGGGATATTGGTGTTGAGTGGAGTAAGGGTGATTAGGTTTTAATGAGATGGTAAGGGGTGCATGATCGGTCGCCAAGGAGGGAGTAGAGGTATCTTATACTTGTGGGTCAAGGTGGAGGGATACAAGAGGAGGAAGCAAAGGAAGCTTTGGATTGGGAAGAAGGGCGGCAATGAGATATAGCTGTAATCCAGGAATAGTCAGGGAAGCAGATAATTTAGTTAAAGTATCTCAGCCTAATAAGGGAACTGGGCAGGTGGGGATAACTAAAAAGGAGTGCTTAAAAGAGTATTGTCTAAGTTGGCACCAGAGTTGGGGAGTTTTAAGAGGTTTAGAAGCCTGGCTGTCAATACCTACAACAGTTATGGAGGCAAGGGAAACAGGCCCTTGAAAAGAAGGTAATGTGGAGTGGGTAGCCTCCATATTGATTAAGAAGGGGATGGACTTACCCTCCACTGTGAGAGTTACTCGAAGTTGGGCGTCCGTGATGGTCTACGGGCCTTCTGAGGCGATCGGGCAGCATCAGTCTTCAGCCGCTAAGCCGAGAAGGAGTCAGTCAGAGAGCCTTGGGCCAGAGTTCCAGGGGCTCTGGGAGTGGCTGCCAGGTGAGTTGAACAGTCCAATTTCCAGTGGGGTCCCGCACAGATGGGACATGGCTTAGGAGGAATCCTGGGCTGCAGGCATTCCTTGGCGCAGTGGCCAGATTTCCAGCACTTGTAGCAAGCTCCTGGGGGAAGAGGTTCTGGAGGAACGCCTGGCTGCTGTGGTTCAGGTATTTGGAAGTTCTTGTGTGCTGGAGATGTGGCTGGGGTTTGTCTCACAGTGGAGGCAAGGAATTGCAACTTTTTTATATTATTGTACACCTTAAAGGTGAGGTTAATTAAGTCCTGTTGTGGGGCTTGAGGGCCAGATTCCAATTTTTGGAGTTTTATTTAATGTCGGGAGCAGATTGGGTAATAAAATGTATTTTGAGAATAACACGGCCTTTTGACCTTTCAGGGTCTAGGGCTGTAAAGTGTCTCAGGGTTGCTGCCAAACAAGTCATGAACTGGGCTGGATTTTTATATTTGATAAAAAAGAGCCTAAACGCTATCTGATTTGGGATAAAGAAAAAGGAGCATGAACCTTGACTATGCCTTTAGCTCCAGCCACCTTTTTAAGAGTAAATTGCTGGGCAGGTGGGGGAGGGCTAGTCACAGAACGAAACTGTAAACCGGACCAGGTGTGAGGAGGGGAGGTGATAAAAAGATTACAGGGTGGAGGAGCGGAGGCTGAGGAAGAATTGGGACCTAGCTCGGCCTGGCGAGGAGCAGCCTGGGGAGGAAGGGAGAGGTCAGATGGGTCTGTAGAAAAGGAAGATTAGAAAGACTCAGTGACACTTGGGGTTGGTACTAAGGGGACAGGCGGGAGGGAAAGAAGGAAGATTTGGGATGAGTTGCACTGGGCACAGAGACTAGGAAGGGACTGATGTGTAAAAGAATGCCTGGACGTCAGGCACCTCAGACCGTTTGCCTATTTTACGACAAGAATTATTTAGATCTTGCAGGATGGAAAAATTCAAAGTGCCATTTTCTGGCTATTTGGAACTACTGTCGAGTTTGTATTGGGGTCAAGCGGCAATGCAGAAGAAAATAAGGCATTTAGGTTTTAGGTCAGGTGTGAGTTGAAGAGGTTTTAAGTTTTTGAGAACACAGGCCAAGGGAGTCGAAGGAGGAATGGAGGGTGGAAGTTTGCCCACAGTGAAGGAAGCAAGCCTAGAGAAAAGAGAAAGTAGAGAAACGGAGGGAAGGGGTTCGGGGGTTCTTACCTTCTAGAAAAGTGGGCAAAGGGGTTGGGGCACAGAGATAAGAGGTCGGGGCGTGGAAATAAGGGATTGGGGTGCAGAGATACGAGGTTGGGGCTCGGAAGGGATTGGGGTGCAGAGATAAGAGGTTGGGGTGCGGAAATAAGGGATTGGGGGTTCTTGCCCCGTAGAAAAGCGGGACTTGCTGCTAAGGGTGAAGGAGAAGGGGTTGAGGGGTACTTGCCCCTCTCCCAGAAAAGCAGAGAAGGGGTAGAGACAAGGAGAGAAGGGGTTGGGGTACTTGCCCCTTCCCCAGAAAAGCGGGACTTGCCGCTAATGGTGAAGGACCAAGGCAGGCGTCCCTGCGTGGTCTGACACCCTTGAAACGTGGGTGTATAATCAGAGAGCGTCCCTGCAATGATTAAACACCAAGGGAAGGCTGCCTTCCCAGTCCGTGACCCGCGCCGGAGTTTTGGGTCCACGGATAAAACGTGTCTCCTTTGTCTCTACCAGAAAATGAAAGGAATTGAAATTAAGAGAAGGGAGAGATTGAAGTGTAGCGCCAAGATTGAAAGGAGAAAGAGGTTGAGGGATAGTGAGGGAAGTTGGAGAAGAGAGGAAAAAGAGGCCGCTTACCGGATTTGAAATTGGTGCGATGTTTCTTGGGCTGGTCGGTCTGAGGACCTGAGGTCATAGGTGGATCTTTCTCACAGAGCAAAGAGCAGGAGGACAGGGGATTGATCTCCCAAGGGAGGTCCCCCGATCCGAGTCACGGCACCAAATTTCATGCGCGTCCGTGTGAAGAGACCACCAAACAGGCTTTGTGTGAGCAACGTGGCTGTTTATTTCACCTGGGTGCAGGCGGGCTGAGTCCGAAAAGACAGTCAGGGAAGGCAGATAAAGGTGGGGCCGTTTTATAGGATTTGGGTACGTAAAGGAAAATTACAGTCAAAGGGGGTTTGTTCTCTGGTGGGCAGGAGTGGGGGTCACAAGGTGCTCAGTGGGGGTGCTTTTTGAGCCAGGATGAGCCGGGAAAAGGACTTTCACAAGGTAATGTCATCACTTAAGGCAAGGACCGGCCATTTACACTTCTTTTGTGGTGGAATGTCATCAGTTAAGGTGGGGCAGGGCATATTCACTTCTTTTGTGATTCTTCAGTTACTTCAGGCCATCTGGGCGTATATACGTGCAAGTCACAGGGGATGCGATGGCTTGGCTTGGGCTCAGAGGCCTGACAAAGAGACCTCTTCCAAGCTTTTTACCCCCTCCTCAAAGTGACCTATAAATTAACTTAGAGCTTTATTAAAGCTTTAAATTCCTTTAGTAATCTTAAGTATTTATTAAATCCTAAATTCTGTAACAACAACCAAAAAAAGAACACTACATATAAACAAAAATACCCCACCTGAGATGAAAGAAAACTGCAGCTCGAAAGCATAAAGCCCATGGGAACATCATGAAATGTGTTATTGTCAAGATTTTGCAAAGTTTATTAGCTATTTTTTTGCTTTTTCTCGGAACTAGAAGTTAACATGGCTGTTTTGTGTCTGTGTAAAGCACATCACATAGACACTGCTGTTGGTGGCCTGTCCAGCAGAGATCCCCTGTTTCTCTTCCCTAACACAACTCTCTTGTTGTTTGGGTTCCCTTTGCTTTCCTACTCAACCCACAGGCCTGAAGGAAAGCCGATACCACTCCCAGCTGCAGGGGTGGCCCTGGGTGACCTGTGGGTAATCCCATCCTCCTTCCCAGTGAAGGCTCAATAATAGGCTTGTGACCCAATTCTGGCCAATGAGAAGCATCAAAGTTCTCAGTCTTCTGGGCAAAGTTCCAGAAGTGACACTTTTCTTTTAGATACTGACATGTACTGATGTGAGGCCTGGAACTGCTGCAGCCATCGTGTTACCCAATGTGAGGGTAAGACTGACACTGTGTGGGAGGTTTGAGGCAAGAAGGTCACAGGGCGATGCAGCAGAAGCCCCTAGACAAATTGATTGGAAACCCAACCTGCTGCTGGGCCTTTAGGCATGGGAACCCATATGTAGAGTATTGTTTGTCAGTTTTATTTGGGATTTGTATTACTTGTTGACAAAATTATCTCCAACCTTACAACTCTTGTCATAGTTAATTAAACAACCTTCTTATATTGAAAACCCAATAACATATAACCCAGTTTTACATCCACTTCCATGCCAATTCACACAAAAAACACAATATACAATTGTTAATGAAGATTGTATTTGTTATGTATTATTGCAGAACAAGTTACCCCAAAACATAGTGACTTAAAATAATAGTAAACATTTATTAGCTCTCAGAGTTTCTGTGAGTCAGGGATTTGGGAGCAGCTTGGCTTGGTGGTTGCAGTCAAGATGTTGGCTGGGGCTGTAGGCATGTGAAGGCTTGACTGGGGTTCGAGGATCTGCTTCCAAGATGGCTCACAGATACGACTGGCAAGTTGGTGCTGGATGTTGGTGGGAGGCCTCAGTTCCTTCCCTCATGAGCCTGTCCATAAGCTGTTTGAAGGCCCTTAGGATGTGACATCTACATGGCTTCCCATAGTCAATTCCCATGACCCCTAAAGTTAGTGATCCACCCAAGAAAGTAAGAGCCAGGTGGAAGCTACTGTCACTATGACCCAGCTTCAGATGTTATCATAGCATCATTTCTACCACATTCTATTCATTAGAATCAAATCACTGAGTTCCGCTCATATTCAAGAGGAGGAGAATAAGCTCTACCTTTTTTTTTCTAGATTAATAAACTTCATTTTTAGGAGCAATTTTAAGTATGACAAAACTGAGTGTTCAGATAGTTCCCATATAGCCCCTGTTCCACACACATGTATAACCTCCCCCACTATTGGCATCTTGCACCACATTGGTACATTTCTTACAATTGATGAACATGTGTTGGAACATCACCCAGAGGCCATCGTTTACATTAGGGTTCACTTTTGGTATTGTACTTTTTATGGGATTTTTTTTTTTTTTTTTTTTTGAGACAGGGTCTCACTCTGCCACCCAGGCCGGAGTGCAGTGGTGCAATTACAGCTCGCTGCAGCCTTGACTTTCTGGGCTCAGGTGATCCTCCCAGCTCAGCTTCCCAAGTAGCTGGGACCACAGGCACACACCACCATGCCTGGCTACTTTTTAATTTTTTTGTATAGACAGGGTTTTGCCATGTTGCCCAGGCTGGTTTTGAACTCCTGGGATCGAGTGACGCTCCAGCCTTGGTCTCCCAAAGGGCTAGGATTACAGGCATGAGCCACTGTACCTAACCCATTTTATGGGTTGACAAATTCACAATTCACCATTGTTACTCCAAAGCACAGGGGCTTAAAATAAATAATAAGCTCCACTACGTTTTGGAGTAACAATGGTAAATAGTTCCATTGCCCTAAAAATCCTCTGTGCTCTGCCTGTTTACTCCTCCCCGTCTCCTGATCCCTGGCAGCCACTGATCTTTCACTTTCTCCACAGTTTTGCCTTTTCCAGAATGAAATGCTGTTGAAATCATACAGTTTGTAGCCTTTTTAGATTGGCTTCTTTCACTTAATAATATGCATTTAAGTTTCCTCCATGCCTTCTCATAGCTTGATAGCTCATTTCTTTTTAGACCTGAACCATATGCATTGTGTAGATATACCAAAGTTTGTTTATCCATTCACCTACCAAAGCTACAAGATGAAATCACACTTCTAGAAATGAGGTAGTCCTGAACAATTCTCAACTATCAATAACTTATTTTCTTACAATTAAATAAAATGTCTCCCTGAATACTTAACACATTTTAGATATAAGCCAATTAGTTATAAATCTTCCCACCTCTAACATACACTCCTGAGGCTTATTCATTCTTTCAAGAAATATTCACTGGTCCTCTACAGTCTCCCATGCAAATACCAAGCGTACGGCAGCCAGCACTGAGCAGACAGACACAGTCTCTGTTTTCATGGAGTGCATAGCCAAGTGAGGTGTGATGGAATGGAGACTCCCATTCAAAGACTCTATTATGGAAGTAAGCACTTGTGGTCTTTGATCATGTGGTTGAAACCTTTTAACTCCTAGACCTGACACATTTATTTGAAGGGAAACCGGGAATCTTTGGAACTAGGTCCACCAAGGTCTTGCTGTCATGATTCTTGAGTGAAAGCCGTATATGGGGGCATAAACAAAGAAATTATAGGCAGGTTTTTTAAAACTGGAAAAAACTAGGAAGGAGGCACAGATTTGCCTTCAGCTGAGCAGGGACAGGTTCCAGCTCACGCTGACCTTTCCCTGCCTATGGTTTTAGTAATCTGCACCACAGTACTTAGCACTTGGTTCCTGCCCATGCACTGTCTGGTACAATTTAAAGTGGCTTCTAGTCCATCCATGGATTTTCTGCCCAGCAGGCTAGTTAGCTTCTTGAAGGCAGAGAGTTACTCTTCCTAGAAGTCTGTGTTACCTTTCTTATAAGCCTTTCCTTGGGGCTGAGCTCAGGGGGCCCTCTGTGAATGTAAATGTAAGCTGATACCTGGGCAGGCCCCAGTGTCTCCAGTGTCCCTAAGGTGCCCCTCCCCTTTCGTTTCTCTTTTCTTTGCTTTTTTTTTTTCTCTTCTCCTTTCTTTCCTTTTTTTTTCTTTTTTTTTTCTTTTTTTTTTTTTTGAGACAGAATCTTGTTCTGTTGCCCAAGCTGGAAAGCAGTGGTGTGATCTCCACCTCCTGAGTTCAAGTGATTCTCCTGCCTCAGCCTCCCGAGTAGCTGGGATTACAGGAGCCCGCCATCACGCTTGGCTAACCTTTGTATTTTTAGTAGAAATGGGGTTTCACCATGTTGGCCAGGCTGGTCTTGAACTCCTGACCTCGTGATCCACCCACCTCAGCCTCCTGAAGTGCTGGGATTACAGGTGTGAGCCACTGCGCTCGGCTCCCCCTCTCCCCTTTTTTCCTTCAAACCCATCACTCTAGACTTGGTCTTTTTGCCTCAGCATCCTCATCTTGCCTCCAACTTCTCAGGGTCTGTCTCTGTGATTTTCTCTTTTCAATCTCTTTCCCGGCATGAAGGTGACCTGCTTTATCTTCATTCATATCACACACATTTACTGAGCACTACTATGTACCAGGAACTATGCTAGGTGCTGGGGACACAAAGGCAACTAACACATAGCTCCTTGCATTAAAGGGCTTTGTAGTCTCAAGATGAGGGAGACTCAAGTGAATCAAGGATTATGGGACCATGTGAAAAGCACTAAGACACACACTAAGACTCTGAGAGCCCCAGGGAAGGGCCAGTCAGTCAGGTGGGAGTATTACATCAGACTTCTGGAGAAGGAGGGTGTTTTAAACAGATGACCCTAAAATATTCAAGCTGCAAGAAACCTAAGTAACCTAATACAACTACCATATTTACAAATGAGGAGACAGACCCATTGAGGGGGTGGGACATTGTCAAAGGTTACATTCCCTGCTGCGGACAAAGCCAAGACTAGAGGTAGAAGTGGGATGTAGCTGGGTTTGGCAGTGGGGGTGGAGGTGGAGGTGTGATGGTGCTACAATTCTGGCCACAGTCTAAAGTAAAAGTAGAGTCCGGGTGTGGTGGCTCATGCCTGTAATCCCAGCACTTTGGGAGGCCGAGATGGGTGGATCATTTTAGGTCAGGAGTTCAAGACCAGCCTGGCCAACATGGCAAAATCCCGTCTCTACTAAAAATACAAAAATTAGCCGGGTGTGGTGGTGCATGCCTGTAGTCCCAGCTATTCAGATGGCTGAGACAGGAGAATAGCTTGAACCTGGGAGGCAGAGGTTGCAGTGAGCTGAGATGGTGCCACTGCACTCCAGCCTGGGTGACAGAGCAATACTCCGTCTCATAAAATAAATAAATAAATAAAGCAAAAGTGGAAAAAGGTAGCTAGTCAGTCCAATAACTCAAGTGAGAGATAAGAGATGAAGAGATTATGGTGGCATGGACCAGGACAGAGGGTGAAAAGTGATCAGATTCAACAGACATTTCAAAAGGAGAGCTGGCAGGTTTTGCCTATGGTCTAGATATGCTATGTAAGAGAAAGAAGAATCCTGGATGGCTCCAAGATTTGGGTCTGAGCAACTAGAAGCTTGGAATTTTCAACAACTAAGGTGTGGAAAATGGTAGGAGCAGTAAGGAAAAATACATATTTGTTTTGGAACATGTCGAATTTGAGATGCCTATTACATATCCTAGCAGAGATGCCCAATTGCCAATTGCATATACAAGTCTGGAGTTGGACTGGAGATATGTATTTTGCATGTATCTGTATGTAGATGGAATTTAAAACCATGAGATCATGTGATCACCTAGAGAAAGAGTGAAGATAGAGAAGAAAAGAGGTCTGAGGACTCAGCCTGGGACACTTCAGTGTTTAGATGGGAAAGACAGAAAGAACTAGCAAAAAAGGCCTCAGAAGGAGTGGCTGATAAGGTAGGAAGAGAACCAAGAGAGAATGTTTTCCTGGAGGCTAAGTTAAGAAAGGAGGAGGGTGTGATCTACCATCAAATAATGCTGATACGTTAAATTAAATGGTTAGTGAGAAACTACCACTGGACTTGACAAGATGGAAGTCATTGGCAACCTCGTCAAAAGCAGTTTTAGTGGAGTGAGGGGAACAACAGCCTTGTTGAAGCAGATTCAGAAAGAGTGGGAGCAGAGGGAGTGGAGACAGAAAACCCTTTAGAAGAGTTTCACTGTAAAATGAAGAAAGCAATGAGGCAGTATCTGTAGAGTCAAGATTTTTTTTTCTTTTACAAATAGGTGATTATCTCTTTGTGTCCTGATGTAAATGATCAAGAAGAGAGGGTGCAATTGTTGATGTGGGACAGAGAGAGGAAACCTGAAAGAGCTGCATTCAGGGTGGGAAGAGGGAGGGAGCTGATGCTGAAGCTAAAGGGTTGATTCTGAAAGTGCATGGGCTGCTCACCGCTGTAACAAGGGAGAAGGCCCATTAGGCGGGTCAGAGAGGCAGACTGCTGGTTCTGGCAGGGGGAATGGGTGGAAATTTGCCTCTAATCGTAGAGAGAAAGTGGGGAAGAAGCTGTTGGATGTTTGAGAAGAAGAGAGCTATGTAAGAGTCACCCAAGAGACTGGAACTGTGAGTTAAGTAGGTCATTATAGGTGGACAACAAGACCTCTCAATAACATTAGAGTTTTGTGATTTTGCACTTACAGCAAGGTCAATCAGCACAGTTGTGTGTTCTCCTTCAGTCACAGTCAGCTGCCTTGGAGCTGGAGAGAAGTGAGCAGAGGACTGGATTTAACCAGGGCTGTGTTTTGCTGAGGGTGGGAGAGCAAGTACAAAGATGGACCAAGGGTCTAAGTTGGGAAAAGAGGAAATTGAAGCCATAGGGGTTAGAGGAACAGTAAAAAGTAGTAGGGCCAGTGGATTAGTGGTTCAGTGGGGTTGAGGACCTGTTGAAATTAGTGTACTGGGAGAGAGACAGAAAAATAAGAGATGGGGTCAGAGAGTGGGAGGATTGAAATTGAGATTATGGGGAGGGTGTACTTTTTGACAATGACTCAATGTAGGGCATGGTCATGGGAGTGGATTTGTGGCTGGTAGGGGTGGGAATGGGAGTGTGGAGGGTCATCGGATGAGCAGAGGTCAAGAACGAGAAGTCAGAGTTTTGGAAGAATCATCTATGTGGATTCTGAAATCACCAAGAACTATATCAGGGATAGTGTTGAGGGGAAGGGAGTGAATCAGGTGCTAAAATTCTCTCGGGATAAGGAGGAGTGACCTGAAGGTGTGTAGATGAGTGTGACAATTTTATTACAGTCTTTAAAGGCAACAGTATATCAAATATGACATAGAACCACAAATCTGGACATAGAACCACAGCCCACCTAACTGCTTCCTAGACAGTATGGGGAGGTCATTTATCTTTGCTGGCAGATAAATACAAGATCTCTTTCATAGATATCAGTTAGTGCAGCTGCATTCAAGCAACTGCTCCATATAGCAAACAGTACTCAATATTTCCAAGAGGTGCTTGAGAAACTGCCAATTGTGTTGGGAGAAGGGGGAAGGGAATGGCGGGAGGGAGTGTGGAAGGGAGTTGTCTAGAGGAAAAAGAGAAGCAAGTGAAGGGGTTCTATGTTCTCTGCTCTATGTCCCACACAACCCAAGAAGCTCTATATTTAATTGTTTAAATTTGGGCTTTTCACTTGTTGTGTGCAATACACATAGGACACATCCAACTCTCACAGACCTTTCCTTGCTTATGAAGTTAGGATTCAAAGAGAATTCCAAACATGTTCCTTACAAATACAATCAGTTTACTGTATGGGGTTTCATTATGCAGGACAATTATAAGGGCGTAGAGTTTAAGTCAAAACCCATCTAAATCCACAAAATAACGGATTGGGGGTCTATTTAAAATAAACTTCTCGGGAATTCCACTTTTATTGGGAACAATTTATTTCTCCTATTTTATTTGCTAAGTTTTTATTCCAGTAAACGAACAAGTTTAGGCGGAGGTGTATAACACATAGGCGAATATAACCATTGATTTTTTTTGCACTGATATAATTTTATTGTGGCATATGTTTCATCAAGATGTTGTGACATTACCTCAGGGTAGGCTGACACATTCTCCTTACTATACAATGTAAATGTTTCCTTCAGGACAAACACCAAAAGCTGGCAAATCCATTTTGCTAAAAAGCCTCTTAGATTATGCACTATTCATCCCCAAAGATGAAGCCTGACCACTGAGAATTTTTCTTTGTTTTAAATCATAGAGAAAAGCTTAGTTTTATGGTTACTCTTCTATGTGAAGGTCAAGAAATTGTTCTTGTCTGTATTTATCTTCCTCTGAGAAGGTGATCTTGCCTCTTCTTTTAAAAACAAATTCCAAAGTGTCCCACCAGATGAAATGAGCAAGCAATAGCTTTCTTGCTCCAGTGACCAATGTAGTGAATAAAAAAAAAAAAAAAAAGGCTTTGCTTATCTGGCATTTGGGTAAATTTGCTTGGGAATAATGACATTGGTTCACCCAGTTTTCCTCTGAAGTTCAAACATGCCCAGAGCAGCACCTGGTCCAGAGATTTCCATGCAGATAGCATCTGAGGTCTACAGGGCTGCCTGTGCAGAGTGGCACCCAGGAAGGTCACAGACAGTTTATGAGTGCCTGTACAGAGGTCTGGACCTGTTGTGCACTGCTGTTTTTTGATTAGGGCTCCCTGAGAAGGTTCAAAACATTCTTTTTGTAAATCTGCATGTGGCTTTTCTCTACTGCTAATAAGCTGGTAATAATGAGGTTTATTTGCCAGTGCCCATCACTATAGCAGATAGTTTGGGTCACTGGGTTCCAGGGTCATTCTCTGGACCTCAGTTGGAGTGCTGTGATTGGGATAGAGCTGGTAAAAGGACCAGGGATGAAATAATATATAAATTTAGGCCTGAATCCTAGTCACGGAAACCCAATCACCTTGGACACCTATTCTTTTATATTTTGGTGAGAGTGGTCCTTGGTTTACATAGGGCACATTGAGTTTTGATTATTTTACTACTTCTCACAGATGCAAGCATTGGAGCAGTGAGAACACTATATTTGAAGTCAGAAAGCCTCAAGACCTGGCTCAGACATGAACAGTGCAATCACAGGGCAAGCACCTAATATCTCTCACTTTCAATCTTTCATCTACCTCACAGAGCTGTTGTGAGGCTCAAATGGAACTTTATAATAGCTACTCAGATACAAAGCTTATTATGAAGACAATTGTGTATACTCGAAACACACTCAAAGATCATTGTTGTTTGGCCTCTCCTTGTAGAAAAAAATGTTAAGTTGTTTTTATGGGGTTCACTAGATGGATATCCAAAGCCCAGCATAATTTCCACAGCATAATTCCTGCCATATTTGCTACTCGTTGAGTGAATGAATAAAGGAATGAAAGAGTGTGTGATGGAATGAAATTGTCAGAGACATAAGTGTGTGGGTTTAGCTGAGCTGTCACTGCAGCCACCATCAAACACTGGCACGTGCTCACATCACTCACTGGTTCAGGAGGGCTTGGGGGAGCACCAAGTGCTGTGATGAGAGTAGATGACCCCAGTTGGTGGGTGCTATGGCAGACCCAAGACATGGGCTACCTGGAGGGGCGCCTTAGGCGAGTGAGGACTGAGTGAGGGTTATGATCGGAGGGAGAAACTGCAGCAGCTTTTGCTTAGAGTTAGTCTGATCATTCTTTCTCAGAATGGCTCCAACCATTCTCAGGATAGTCATAGGACCTGGTATGCCAGGGTATAGCAGCCAGTAGTGGGCCTAATTGGGAGTCATGGAATTGAGCATGTTCTCTGATGTTCTCACAGTTGTGCATCCCTTGGCTCTCACTTTCCCCTCAGAGGAGAGTGGATTTCAAGTTCAGTACAAGTTCCGCTTCCACCCAGCATGTAGGAAGCTGAAGATAGTGTCACTCTCACCTTAACAAGTAAAAAGCTTGATAAACAATAGTGACAGTTCTTCTTGAAACCATTAGAAAGATGAGGTTTAGGCCATCAAATAGCCTGAAATCCAAGAAAAGACGGGGACTTCCAAGGAGAGATGGGAGGGAACCACCAGCTCAGCAGAACAGAGCATAGGAGAGATGCCCAGGCTACACAAGGATTAAGAAGTGAATATGAAGGATTCAGCTAAAACTGTAGATGGTGGTAAATCGCAAGGGTGGACCAGGGTGAGAGTAGAGAGTTGTGAGGAGCTGCAGTCACAAGGGGAAGTCACAGGGACACATGCAGATTCTTCTCCACAGGCCTTTGCAGGTGCTCCCTGAGAAAGATGGCACAGGGAGAAGACCGCCTGGAGGAGGGGGGTGGCCACATAATATGTGGAGAGAGCTCCCCTCTAGGAGGTGGAGTTTAGTTGCCTTCTCCTCAAGAGTGAGCCAGACTTAGTGCTTCTGATGAATGGAGTTTGGAAAGTGAAAAAGTAACTTTATTGTGGAGAAAACTGTTAGGTGATCCAGGTCACCATCACCAATGATAAATCAAGTGGAACTCATGGGCCTCACGTGATTCTTCCACCTCAGCCTCCCAGATAGCTGGAATTATAGGTCAGTTATGGCTTTTTATTTGGGAGCAATTTTACGCTTTACACAAAATTTGCAAAGGTAGTTCAGAGTTCTCGTTTATCCTTCATCCAACTCTCCCTAAAGTTAACATCTTATATAACCATGGTATGTGCCCTGCCATGATGCCTTGAGAAGGACACCTCATCTCTCTGGCATTTTTACCCCAAATCCATAAGCCCAGTCTAGTTGTGAGAAAACAGAAGACAAACCCAAACTGAGAGACGTACTACATACTATCTGACCAGTATTCTTAACAATTTTTTGAATTTTTGCATGAGTGAAAAATCAGACCTTGACAATGACCTTGAGCAGTAGGATATAAATAACTCCCACACACTTAGCATTCCAATAATGGAACACTAGGCATAAACAAGTTAAAAAGGGTCATGAAAAACAAAGGAAGATTGAGAAGCTGTCACAGGTCACAAGAGATTCAGGAGACATGATGATTAAACACAAGGTGGGATCCAGGATAGGATCTGAAACCAAAAAATGACATTAATAGAAAAACTGGTTACATCTGAATAAAATAAAAGCTTGCTTCATAGTAATTTACCGGTGTTAATTTCTTAGTTTTGATACGTATAACCACTGTTATGTAAGATGTTATAATAACATTAGGGAGAGTTGGATGAAGGATATATGAGAACTGTGAACTATCTTTACAAATTTTCTGTAACTGTAAAATTGCTCCCAAATAAAAACTTAAAACTCGCTGATAGTTTCAGCTACTTGAGAGGCTAAGGCCAGAGAATCGCTTGAGGCCAGGAGGTCGAGTCTAGCCTGGTCAACAGAGTGAGGCACTGTCTCAAAAAAAAAAAAAAAAAATGTTAAGGAACTGGGGATAAGGGAAGGTTTGATGATAAAGGGGAAGGAGGGAAATTTTTGAGGTGATGGAAATGTTCTATATATGAACTATATATGTTTGTCATATATATATATATATATAAATAAAACTCACTGAACTATATCCTAAAAAGGGTGAATTTTTTATATATAACAGTTATACATACAGTTGACCCTCGAACAATGCAGGGCTTAAGGGTTCCAACACCCCTGCAGTTGAAAATCTGCATATAACTTTTGACTCCTCCAAAATGTAGCTACTAATAGCCTACTGTTGACTGGAAGCTTTACTGATAACACAGTCAATTTATACATGTTTTGTATGTTATACGTATATACATATTTTATATATTACACAGTGTATTGATATAATAAAAGTGAGCTAGAAAAAGAAAATGTCATTAAAGTCATAAGAGTCAATGTATTTACTATTTATTAAGTGGAAGTGGATCATCATAAAGGTCTTCATTCATCTTCACGATGGGTAGGCTGAAGAGGAGGAGGAAGAGGAGGGGTTGGTCTTGTTATCTCAGGAGTGTCAAGAGCAGATGAGACTCTGCATATAAACAGACCCATGCTGTTCAAACCCATGTTGTTTAAGGGTCAATTGTATATATATAAAACAGTGTATAAATTATACCTCAATAAACCTGACTTTAAAAAATACACAGTGCATCATTGTTGGGGACTTACATAGATGTGAGCCTTAGTAGAGAATGAAAGTGAAAGCCTCACTCTTTAGAAAACTCATCATGCCCTTGTCTTTCCCCTACTAAGGACCTCACTTTCAATACATTTTAAAAAATCATATTTATCTCCAATTGCGTTTTTTTAAAAAAAATGCAAACTATGGGAGATGGGCCAAGTTTTCATTTTTCATAATACAGTAAAAATATTTATAGATATTTCAGCAGCTCTGGCACAATACACAGAACCAGTGAGTCCACATTACAGCAGAAAGTCAGTGGGTGACAGTAAGTCAATTTCTCCTCTATTACACTGCTTCCTGTTGGCGGAACAGTAGCAACCAGGAGAGCGGTGCTCAAAGCAATCAAGTGGCTCTTTAGAGCAAAGGGAAGGATAACTTTAAAAAATATTTATTAAAGATGTATATGGCATAAAACAACTTTTAAAAATTATTTTGTATTTTATTAACTAGTTATTAGTAATTAATAAGATTCCCTTTGTCTTCTGTTCCCTAGCCCTTGCAGGAAACTAGAGTTACTAACCTTCCAGAGATATTTTTATGCAAATGTGCATATGCATGTATTCTTTTTAATGCAAACAGAAGCGTATACTACTTTCTTCACTTTGCTTTCTTTTTCTAGTGTTTTTAAAAAAGATATGCTTATCGGTCTTAGTCCATTTGGGCTGCTATAACAGAATACCATAGACTGGGTGGCTTATAAACAACAAAAAAATAGTTCTTATATTTTGAGAAGTCAAGATAAAGGCACTAGCAGATTCAGTGTCTGGTGAGGGCCTGCTTCCTGATTCATAGACAGCCATCTTTTTGCTGTGTCCTCACAAGGTGGAAGGGGTGAGGGAACTCTCTGGAGCCTGTTTTATAAAGGCATTAATCCCATTCACAAGGGCTCCACCGTCATGGCCTAATCACCTCCCAAAGGCCCGACCTCCCTAATACCACCACACTGCGGGTTAGGATTTCAACACATGAATTTTCTTGGGGTGGGGGTGACACAAACAGTCGGTATACAGCACTGTCTCATTACAAGATGCATTTGAAGCAGTTTATTATAATCTATGTAAAATAATTGTTTAGGAAAGTAAAGAGTTGTAAAAAAATAAAACTAAGTCAGCAGAGAGTTTAGTACAAAATACACATGCCCTGAAACACTGTACAACAAGAGGTGGGCTACTAATGTGGCTCTGAGCTTTCTAGCAGCAAATGCAGAGGAAAATACAAGCAGTTATATGACTGTCGTGCCCATAACATAAAAACTAACCATTCTTTTCTTACATTTATGTATTCCCTCTGTGATAATTTTAAACTATTGAATTAAAAACAAAACAAGCAACATTTATACCAAAATCATAAAAATATCACCAGCTGGTTCTACAACCTGAGAAACATTTTTTTTTTCCCCCCAGGGAGCCTCATTTTTTTAATGAAAATCTTCACATCCTCACCTCATCTTGTTATTTTCACTTTATGTATGTAGAAAATTAATCCACATCTCCACAGATAGAGATGACTTATGTTGGAAACGTGGAGCCCATGGCTGCATAGTATTCCATTGTATGGATGTACCATAATTTATTTCCCCAGTCCCTTCTGGATGGGCATTTACAGTGTTTCTAGGATTTTGCTCTTGCAAACCATGCTTCCATGAATTTCCTCATGCATGCATCATTTCACACATCTGTAAGCATATTTGTAAGGTAAATTCCTACAAGTGGACTTGCTGGGTCAATGTGTATGGCTAATGTTTATTTTGACCAAGGCTATTAAAAAATTGCCCTTCATGAACAGTGTGCCAGTTTCTATTCCACACTCCCACATGTGACTGTGCCTGCTTCCTTGTACTTGCCCTGCTTAGCATATGATCCTACTCTGTGATGTTGAAAAACAACTCTTACGAATGAGAATGAACATTGTTCTATATGTTTAAGAGCATAATTTTTTCTTTCCTTTTCTGTGACCTGTCTGTTCATATCCCTTGTTCATTTTTTTTTCTATTGAACTCCGAGTGTGTGGCTTATTAATTGTAGGAACACCATCTAGATTAAGGACTTTATCCCTTTGTACTATCCGTTGCATTTTTCCCCTTGTGTGCTATTTGTCTTTTGACCTTGTTCATGGCATTGTTTTTGGCCATGTAGAAATGTTTTGTTTTTATGTGTTAAACTTTCTCAATGGTTTTTAAAATGACTTACGATTTGGGGTTACATTTGGCAAGGTATTTCCTACTTCAACATAATCTTCACTCCTTTTCTCAAATTCTTTATGTTTCAATTTGGAATTTATTTAGTGTATGAAAGTTGATTCATGCTTCAAAGTTATCCTCTTCCCGATAGCAATCCAGTTGTCCCAATAGTGAATAATCTATCTTCTCTCCCCACTCCTTGATTTGAAATGGAGACGGACAGCTTCTTAGCCTGAAAGGAACCCGTGGTAATCTGTAAAATACATCCCAACACTGCTTTCTTACACCTCAGGCAACAGGGGAATCAAAGCCTCCATGTGAGGCCTCAAGAAAGGCCAGTTCAGCTCATGCCCCCTCCTCACCCAGCAGACCAGGTGGACACCGGGCTGGCCTGTGCCCCTGTACATGAATACACTATAGACTTGTGCTCTTATATCTCACCATGGATGCTCTGGGCAGATAAGATTTCCAAATACCTTGTTTTTTTGTTTTTTGTTTTTTTTTCTCCAAGGGTGAGTTTCTCCAGAGAGTGTGACCTTCTCTAGGTGTTCCACTAGAGGGTGCTTCAACTATACATATTTACATAGACGTAAACATGACCTATGTTGTTTGTGTGGGCTGCACACACACATGCCAAGCAGCTGCTTTTTCCCGAACAGTCTATGACATGGGCATGCAATCTGATTTTTAATTCCCTCGACTCCTTCCACACATGATCAGATGACCTTCTCAAAGATCCCTCCTCTCCCAGTGAGCTGCTGGAACCCAAGGTAGTGGGAAATGGAGATCTACTGAATGGAAACTCTTAGCAGTGGTAGGAAAGGAGGCTCATGGGTTGATTTCTGTTTTTGCTCTTTTTCTCTGGAGGAGACTTTTAGGGATGATTTGGGCCTTCAGGGATTCCTTTGAAATACAGGAGAGGGCCACAGCTCAATTAAAAGTCACCGATAAGTGTCCAAAATTTGGGAGCCACATAGGCAGTGGGATGGAGCTGTTATTGGGTTGATGCTCCCGGAAGATGAATCAGGGTCCGTGGGGGCTATGGGGAGATGGAGTAAGGGGTGAGAATTGCTGAGTGGGTCAAGCAGGTGGGGACTAGCAATCATCGGGGAGAAGCTGAAGGATGCAGATTTTTCAGAGATTTCCCTTTTAGGAAGGGAATTGCAGTAGTGGTTTAGATGATTACTTTTTTTCTAAAAACTCAAAGTGGAATAAACAAGAAATGTGGACTTGGGGGGACTGGTGAGCAGAGCATGATACATCACAGAAAATGATGAAAGGAGCCCAGTAACTTCTCGGAGCTGAAGATAATAAGGTAGGCATCTTTAAGAGACAGTGAGCAGCAGCTTTTGAACTTTGGTGCATATTAGAATCATCTGGAAGGCCTTTTTAAAGAAATCTTGATTTCTGGGACTCGGACTCATGCATAAGCATTTTTTTTTTAAGTTTCCCAGGTGATTCCAACGTGCAGTCAAGTTCAAGAAACAATAGCATAGATCAGTGGTTCTCAAGCTCAAGTGAATACGAGAATCACCTGGAGAGCTTACTCGAATACAGCTTACTGGGCCATACCCAGAGTTTATGATCCAACAGGTCTTGGGTCGGTGACCAAAACTGAGTGCTTGAAATATGGTTAGTCTGAATTGAGATGTGTGATAAATTTGAAATACACACCAGATTTCAAAGACTTACTACCAAAAAAATACATAAATTATCTCGATATTTTTATATTGATTACATGTTAAAATGATAACATATTGGTTTTAATGGGTTAAATAAGATATATTATAAAAGCTCATTTCACCTGTTTCTTTTTACTTTTTAAAATGTGGCTACTGGAATATTTAAAATAACATATGAGCTTCCATCATATTTCTATTGATCTGTGCTCATTTAGATTAACAGTGCACAAAAGACAATTTTTAAATCACCTGCATAAGAGTTACCTGAAGTGCTTGTTAAAAAGGCAGTTTTCGTAGTGATGGCTTACAGATTCAGAATGTCTTGGGGGTGGGGGGCGGCGGGGGGTCAGGGAATCTGCATATTAAACAGCTTCTTGGGTGAGCTTGACGTGCTAAAGTTTCACATGCTGGCTTAGGCAAACAAAGAAAAGGAGGGGAGAAATACAAATTTTTCATTTAGGATTTGCTGCATTCATGACATGGTTCAAGGCCAATGAAGTATTCAGAATGAGATGATTGAGGATGCTACATCTTCATAAATGAAGCCCAAGTGAGGGAGTGACTTGTCTGGGGTTAGTTGAATTGGAGAAGTAGGAATTTGGGACATCTGTCTCCTCGCTACTCAGAATGTAGTCTCTGGATCAACAGCATCAACTTCACCTTTGAGTTTACTGGAAATGCAAATCTTAGGCCTTGCCCCAAACCTACCGTCTTAGTCCATTTGCGTTGTTAGAAAAGAATACCTGATGCTGGGCAATTTGTAAAGAAAAGAGGTGTATTCGGCTCACAGTTTTGCAGGCTGTATAAGAAGCATGGCACTGGCACCTGCTTGGCTTCTGGTGGGGCCTTGGGCTGCTTCCACTCATGGCAGAAGGTGAAGGGGGGCTGCGTGCAGACAGCACGTGGAGAGTAGACCAAGAAAAGAGGAGGAGGTGCCAGGCTCTTTTCAACACCAATTCTCTCAGGAACCAAAGGTGAAAACTCAATCCCTTTATGAATGGCACCAAGCCATTCATAAAGGATCTGCCATAAGGCTCCAACAATGGGGATAGAATTTCAACATGAGACCTGGTGGGGCCAAAAAATCCCATATTCAAACCATAGTACCTACTACTCAGTTTGCATTTTAACAAGACGCTAAGATGATTCAATTGCACCTTAAAAATTGTTTTACAACTTTATTTGGGCATATTTTACATATGTAACTTACCCATTTCAAGTGTACAATTCAATAATTTTTAGTGAAATTACCAAGTTGTACAACCATCACTATAAATCAGTTTTAAAACACTTCTATAATATTACCCCAATAAGATCCCTCATTCCCTTTACTGTCAATCTGGTTCCTTCCCATCTCTTTCCCAGGCAACCCCTGATCCACTGTCTCTTATAAATTTATCAGATAAGTGGAGCTATACAATATGTGATCCCTTGTGTCTTGCCTCTTTAATGTTATGCTTTTTGTGGTTTGTCCATGCTGTACAGATACCAGTACTTCATTTCTTTCTATTGCCAAATAACATTCCATTGTTATGATTATATCGCATTCCGAAGCAGGAAATCTCCCTGACTCCTTTGTGGTGGGAACTGGAGTGCACAGGTGCTAGAACTAGCCGCTGCTTAGGTGCCAACAGGGGCGGACTCCACTTGCTTGGTCCTGCTGTGTTCTACTCCTCACAGGAAGGGGAATGCTGGTGAGTGGGTGCAGGAGCCAGGGTGAGCACTTTTGGGCACCGGCAGGAACAAAACTGTGTGCAGCCCTCCCCACCCCAGTAACACCTAGGGGGGTGCCCACAACCCTGAAGACCCAGAAAGAGTGTTACAGTCAGTGCTCTTTTAGCTTTGCTGTCCACGGATGGCTTAAGTGTTAACAGCTCAGTGGAGGGTTAGTCTGGCAGCCTTTTGCACCTGCACCCCAGTTCTTTTCTGGCATCCAGGAGGAATGAAGTTGCATGAACAAATTGGAGATGGTAAATGCCAAGGATTTTATTGCTGACCAAAGTGGCTCTCAGATGGAAGGGGAGCTGAAAAAGGGATGGAGTGAGAAGATAATCTTCCCCTGGAGTTCGGCTGTCCCCAGACTCCTAAGCAACGCCATCAAGCTGTCCCTCTAAATCAAGCTGCTGCTCTTTGACATCCAACCGTAGTCTCTGATGTTCTGCTGCTTCTCCTCTTCTCTTCTTTTCCTCTGCCAGTGGAGCCTGGGGTTCTTATGGGCACAGGATGGGGAGCAGGTTGGCCATGGATGGTTTTGGAAAAGGCAACATTCGAGTGGGGAAAAAAGTGGGAATGTATGCTCCCACTTTGGGCCGTGGCTCCAGGTTAGAGGATGGCACTCTAGCTGGGGACCGCCCTCTTCTGCCCAGAATTTCCCTGCCTTCTGTCCCTATCAATTCTGTTTATGTGTTCATTAGTTGATGGGCATTTGTGGGGTTTTTTTCCCAATTTTAGGACCATTATGAGTAATACGTAAAAGAACATTTGTGTACAAGTCTTTTTGTGGCATATATTTTTATTTCACTTGGGTAGATGAGAGTAGACTCACTGGGTCAAATGGTACTGCACACTAAGACTTGAGAAGCACTGTTCCAGACCTTTTCTGTGTGTGCCAGAATGTGATAACCCCTTGGGTAATGGAGTGCTCATGGGCTTGTCCAGGTCTGAGTAAGGCTTGGTTCTGTTACTAGTAATTGTGTGATGTTGAACAAATAACTTTATTTAGTTGGTGAAGTAGATTTATAATCCCTACTGCATAGGGTTACTGTGAGATATAGAGCCACAAGTAGACTTTGGAGCAAAAGGAACCTAGGTTGAAGGCTAATCTGGCTAACTTTTTATGGCTGGATAAGTTGCCAAACCCCCAAGGCCAGTTTCTTTGTCTATAAATGGGGGATAATAATAATATATTTCTTGCTAGGCTTAAATAATGTGTTCACTACCTTAACAAAATAATCAATAAACACTGGCAACTATTACATAAAACACCTAGCTCAGATTGGGTGCTCAGAAAATGCTGGGTCACTACAAGATGGTTTCTACATCTTGGATCTTTCCTGGGGAAGAGATCAATTAAGAGGACACACACACACACACACACACACACACACACACACAGCCTGAGTTATTTTGCTTTGTGTGGTAGAACCAGGAGTTTCTCCTAAACAAAGTTAAACCTTCTCGATGAACTCACTTGTGATTTGTAAACATTCAACTCCAAGTCCAGGAGACATGTCTGTGATGCTGAGGTTTCAGTTCTGGAACATGTAAATGTACACTACTTGGTTACAGGCTCAGATTAGCTCAGGAGCTTCTTGAGCACCATGGCTTAAGGAAGGATTTACCAGGGAGTCCTGGGCTATATTAACTTTACTTAGCAGAGCAGAAAAACAACCTGCAGCAGCCATGGGGGTCATGGGTCAGTGAGCTTGACTGACCATTTTTTCAGATAATTCTAGGACCAGCTTTCAAGGGGAAAGTGAATACTGTCACCACTTCAGTTAGCCCCTGTTATAACCTAGACGTACACCATGCTGACATGCCCTCTTCCTCATTCTAATATAAAGACCTCTTGCAAAAAGACAGACATTTATACATGGGCACAGGATGCCTAATTATAAGAGCTTTTGTGCATAACCCTGTCCTTAGATGAGGTCTGATGCCCTTGACTCTCCTCATCCATTCCCTTTGCCCATGTGGCTGCAGGCTAACATGACTACCTCCCTCTCTGTAGCAGGAAATGTCCTGCATCTCTGCTGGCCAAAATGTGTCCACAGTCTGTTGTGGCTGTGAGGACCCACTCAGTGAAGAAGTGAGGAGATCTCTTTCTTGCTATCTCTAGAAGGCCACTGTATTAGCTTACTCAGGCTGCCACAACAAAATATCTCAGATTGCTTGGCTTAAACACCAGAAAGTTATTTTCTCCCTGTGGTGGAGGCTGGAAAGTCCAGGACTGAGGTCTGGTAGGGTTCAGTTTCTGGTGAAGGCACTCTTTTGGGTTTGCAGGGGCTGCCTTCTTTCTATGGCATGGCAGACACATGGCAGAGAGAGAGGAGTTTTCTGGTGCCTCTCCTTATAAGAACACTCATCCTATTAAATCACAGCCCCACTCTTACGACCTCGTTTAATCTTAATTACCTCCTTATAGGCACTGTCTCCAATACAGTCACATCAGGGGTTAGGGCTTCAACATAAGGGTTTTGGGGGACACAATTTAGTCCACAGCAGCCACTTACCAGAAGGATGGTTTAGGAAGATCCCACTGTTTGGTGAATACAATGGTTCTCCCTGTTGGTGGAGGCGGGGAGATGTGAGAGCTGGAATGGGAAACATCTGCTATAAAGCTAATGCCAGCCAGTCTTGTGTTAGGCTTGAGAAACTAAGCCCTAAATCAATTGTGTTCACAGGGGTAAAATGATTATCATTCCAAAAAGGGAGGATAAGAGTTGAGAAGTGGGTATCGTTTCATCTTATGCATTAAAAATGGGGGGAAAAAAGAAAAAGCCTTCTGACTCAGGCACCAATTGCTTAGCTTTAATTGTCTATGTGACTGTGATTGCAAAGTTGTCTCCCAGAATTTAGTGGAAGTATTAAAGTGTATTAGATCGCTGCTGGGGCTTAATGACAACAGGAATCATCCCAATTCAGAAGGCAGTTATTTATCTGGTGACCTTTTACAATGTGGCAAGTTTTCCTTCAGGATTTTTTACAGTGACTGATATTTCCAATAAACATGGGTCTTTCCCTTCCCCCCAATCAATTGTTGGTATTTGAATGTCATGAAACTAAAAGCTGTGAAATTAAACGTGCTGTGCAAGTTACGAAAATGGGGAGACTGAAATGAGACTGTAGGTCCCTTTTATATAATATCAGTGCACCATTATGATACAAATTCAGGGAAAATGGACTGTTGTGTTGATGGGAATATGTAGCATTGGGCATGGAGTGTTTGTTTGGAGGGGTTAATGTCAATTTCTTCAATTCAACACTGCCATGATTGCTGGGTCATGCCAGAGGACTTTGTATTTGCTTTCCCAATTTCTATCCCAATCAGCTGTGACACTGCAGACAATTTCTTTTGTGATCTGCAGAGCTCTAAGGTCAAGGGAACGGGGGCCTGGATCAACCCATCACAATACATGGACTTCTAAAGGTGCTTTTATGTATTGATCTGAAATGTCTCTGTGATTTCCAAGCACATGTGCTTTAGTGGACTGTATTTATGTTACCGTGATCACTGATTGCTCTCATAATCACTGGAAGGGAGGTTGCTATTCCCATCTTTGATTTACAAGTGAGAATGCTGTGTTCACAGTGTTTTAAATATAGGTTTAATTTTTCGGGTATGTTACGGCCAACAGATCAGAAGACAACCACTATTGAGAAGATAATTGTTACAGTTCCCAAAAGGAGGCACGCTGCACCACACAGGGTCCCATGGGGAAGCACCAGGGTGGATCAGGAGGCAGAGGGGGTTAGGGGAAGACTTGGGCAACAGGCTTTATCATGATTTCCCTGGAAAAGGAATGGGTGAGGCAGGGTAAGCAGGCTGAGGATTGACCATTTCAGCATTTCAGCAGGCTCTGGGTCACACAGGTTGTCCCCAGCCATCTGGTACCTGACCCTGGGTGATGAGAGCAGGTGGATGATGGCCCAGAAGGCGAGAGCCTGATAAAGCAGGTGGTTGGGGTGTGAGCTCTGGAATGTTTTGTTTGCATATCAAAAGTGTGCTTGCAGATAAGTTCTTTATTATCTCTAGAAATTGGCTGTCTCCGGGAAGGGCAGTTTCTCCAGGGTCAGCAAGGCCCCAGGTGTCAAAGCATCAGAAACACATTGTTAATAAACAGAGGAATGAGGTGCTGTGCATTAGGACTCAGGGCTAGTCTGGGGCAGAACTGTACTTAGAAAGAAAAATATACAGGTTTCTGGAACCTAACCACAGCATCATAGTTTCAAGCTGAAGAAGAGACCTCCAAATCATCCTACCTTCTTATATGAATGAGGAAATTGGAGCTCAGAGAGGCCATGAGGCCTGCCCAAGGTCACCAAGCATCATGACTTCTTTCTCCTCTGTCCAGTCCCTTTCTACACCATCCTGATTTGCCCACTACTTTCCAATGTTATGACCCTGGTCCTGTCTCTCCCACATCCCTCCAATTACAGGCACACGGGGGAGGATTTCTCTTTTTTATCCAGTTTCCTAGACGTGAGCAGTGATTATGTAATTGGCCCATTTTGGTTTGGGGCAGCGTCAGAGCAAAAGAAAGTGGTTTATTGGAAGAGGTCTGCATCAAACCAAGCTCTGCTTGAAAGAAAGGAGCTCTCTATTCTATTCATAAACAGACAATCCTTCTGATGAGAGAGTCTCAGTGTTCCCTTTTTGATCAATTTACCCTCAAGACCTTACATCTTTTTCATAATATGGCCTCAGGTCTGATATATTTCCTTTGGTTCTGTTACAGTAACCAGCCCCCAGTGTCTAGACATTTCTTTTTCTACGAAGGTAGGAGGGTATATTGATTTTTGCAGTTTGTAAGTTTAGTTTTCAACAGAGTTTCAGATCTGCAGTATGAACAACTTTCTCCAGTTTGAGTTGTATGGTCAGCGAGCAACTTTCTCAGTGATCCTCGACCTTGGATGCACATTAGAATTATCTAGGGACCCTTTAAAAATCCAATGCCAGGCCGGGCATGCTGGCTCATGCCTGTAATCCCAGCACTTTGGGAGGCCGTGACAGGTGGATCACCTGAGGTCAGGAGTTTGAGACCAGCCTGACCGAAAAGGTGAAACCCTGTCTCTACTAAAAATACAAAAATTAGCCGGGTGTGGTGGCAGGCTCCTGTAGTCCCAGCTGCTCAGGAGGCTGAGGCAGGAGAATTGCTTGAATCTGGGAGGCAGAAGTTGCAGTGAGCCGAGCTGAGATCGCGCCACTGCACTACAGGCCTGGGTGATAGAGCAAGACTCTGAAAAAAAAAAAAAAATCCAACGTCAGATCCCCCTCCTCGGACATTCATACTTGATTGATCTAGGGTGGGACCCAAGAAATGGGATATTTTTGCTTCTCCGGAGTGATCCTACCGTGGAACCGGAAATACAAATCACTGAGCTAGAGGGAAACTGGCCAGCAGTGACAGGAAGGTGATGCCCTGGATTCATCTGAGAGTATCCATAGGCCTGAGATACAGAAACCACTGGCCAGATGGTCTTCTCATTTCACACAGGACCCACCTGTTCCTGCCCCTCCGTCTGAACACAAAACCTGATGACACCACACTCCGCCTGAAAATCCTTCAATGCTTCTCTACTAACTGAAAATAAAGTAAAAAAATCTGCGGTGTTGGCGTTGTGGTTACTATTACTAGGTAACAAACCACTCCCAAATGTCAGCCATTTTATCATGCTCATGGATTCTGTGAGTCGGGATGCAGACAGGACACAATGAGGACGGCTTGCCTGTGCTCCACAGAGTCTGGAGTCTCTGCTGGAAACTCCCAAGCTGGGGGCGGCTTAATAGCTGGGAGCTGGAATGATCTGGAAGTGTCATCACTCACATCTGGAGTTGATGCTGGCTGTCGGCTGGGATCTCAGCTGGGGCTGTTGACCTGAGCACCCACCTGCGACCTCTCCTTGTAGCCTGGTGGCCTGAGTACCAGCACGGTGGCCTCAGGCCAGCTGGACTTCTCAGCTGGCGGTTCAGTGTTCCAAGAGTCAGAAAAGTGCTTCGTTTGACCTAGCTTCAGCAGTCACATAGCATCGCTTCCTTCTGCTGCATTTGTAAAGCAGTCATAAACCTGCTCAGATTCAAGTGGAGGGGATGTAACCCCGCCTCTAGATGGGGGAGGGTGGCAAGCTCCCATTGTAGAAGAGCATGTGGGATGGGAGATATTACTGGAGACATCTTTAGGATTTTGCTCAGCTGTAATGGCTGCATCTCATTGTCTTATTCTTCACTCCAGTCCAGCTAAAGTGTTTATAGTTCCCAGAAGACACAATTCTCTTCCATACTGCCTTTGCTTCATGTTTTTCCTTTTCTCTAGAATGTCTCTCCTGCTCAAATCCCCCTTCCTAATTCAGCTGCCTTGTAGGGCTCGGCTGGAGCAACACCTTCTCAGGGAAGGTGTTCATGGGGTGCTGGGTGCTCCTCGGTGCAGCTGTGCCTCTCTGTGTGTCTCTCAGATGGGCCTTCATCCCACTGCAGGCTGTTGGGGGATTCAGGTCTCCCTCTCCCTCACTATTCTGTAAGTTTCTTCAGGATAGAAGCTGTTTTCTTTTAATGTTCCCAACACTTAGCAGTGTTTGGCCTAAAGTGGGTGTTCAAAAAATAGTAATAAATGTAGTTCTATTATGGTCAGCACACACCTTTTAAAACTAAGATTTAAAAATTAGACTTGCCTCCTAGGCTTGCAACACTTCCGCAATATTGAAGAGCTTAGGGAATCCCATGGGAACAGGGACTCACCAGTTTCTCCTGCTTTGCACTTGTCCCTCAGCCCTAAGTGGCCATTTACATCCCTTTTGGTTTCTCATTCCCATTACAAAAAGGCCTCCCTTGAGTATTAACAATAAATTTGTTAATGTTGCCGAAGTGCTTAGAAGATGGAAAGAGCTGTATGTAAGCTAAATATTATTATTAATAATGGTATGAGATTGATTATTCATTTCCACAGAACTTCTCCTATTTGGTCTGCGCAAAAGTGGAAATTGGTTGTGTTAAATTGGCTTACCTGCTCCATTTGGCGCTGTCAGGAAAATCAGTGAGACACACATGAATATTCTTCCATGTACATAGCCATTTTCAAAGTTAGACGATCATCAATATTTATTGTAAGCAGTTATGGAAAAAAATGGATGAATATTTAACACATGGGGGCATTTAGGTATTATTAAATGTGCCTGGCCAAGCAAATTTTGAAGCTATATTTGGGCTTTAACTTACAACAGAAAATCCATATTATTAATTAGATACATGGTCATGTTTGAAAGGCTGTCGCTAGAATGGTCTTGGAATCTGAAGGCAGAGAACAACTTCTGAATGGCAAAAGCTACTCTATGCCCTTATGCCTAGCAAGGAGTTCCAGACAATTGCAGGATGGTGCCTTTAGACATTTCCTGGTCTTACTGATGAGACAACATCCTAATGTCAGATACGAGAAATTCCCAATTTAGAGACACATGTGCTTCATAGGCCCTGGATTCCCATATCACAACTGATAGCGAACTTTGCAAGAAGGGACATTGCTCACTGAAAGGTTTGAAGGAATAGGCTCTGATTCCAGAAGTATCAGAAAGATGATGGAGCAGGGGCTGTGGGAAGAGCATGGGAGTATTAACAGGAAGTAAGAAAAATGTGGGTTCTAATCCAGTGTCAGCTGTGTGGCCTTGGGAAATGACTTTTTAAAATGACTTTTTCTCTATCGACCTTGGTTTTCCTCATAAGTAAAATGAACTATGAGATCTTTAAAGTCCTTTCTGGAGCTAACTCTCCATAACTTTATAGATGTTGTATTGAACTCAGTGTATGAAGCACCCACATTTGTTTTGCCCTACCCAATAACCCTCCTCCAGAACCCACTCAGTGAAGAGCCCCAGACATTGGGCTCTGATTTGGCCTTTGGACAGGAGTCAAAGCGGCTATAGCTTCCAGGCCTGACCCAACTGGGCCCAGAGACTTTGGCTCCTGACAGTACTTCTGGGCTGAGATGGAGCCCCATGACAGAGGGTAAAAGTTAGAAAAATTTTTCTGTGAAGAGCCAGCTAGTAACTATTTTAGATGGTCCCTGTTGCAACTACTCCATTCTGCCCATGAAAGCAGCAACAGAGACTACCTAAGCAAATAGCTGTGGCTGTGTTCCAATAAAACTCTGTGGACACAATTTCGAATTGCATACAGTTTTCCCATGTCACAACATATTTTATGTCTTTTCATTTTTTCCCAATTGTTTAAAAATATACAAGGCATTCTTAGTTCAAGGACACACAAAATCAGGAGGACTGCCCATGGTATGACTGGGGAAGGGTCCACCTGTGGTCTTCAGGGTGAGGGAGGTGAGATGACACATCCTATAGGGGCGCATAATCCATGAAGTGAAAGCAGCACCCACCTCCTCCAGCTCATTAATTCCCCACTAAAGGCGGCAGCACAGAGGAACACACTCTATTAGGGGGTGGAGAGTGTTCCGAGTTCTTCTGTTTCCTGCCCTTTAGGAGTCCACCCACAGGGTATCCCCTGCGAGGCAGCAGAGACACGATGAGCCATGTGAGGGTTCTCTGTATTAGTCAGGGTTCTCCAGAGAAACAGAACCAATAGGTGATATATAATACATACTCCTGTATGTGTGTGTGTATCAGTATGTGTGTGTGTGTGTGTATATAGATCTGTGTGTGTGTGTATATATATATAAAGATCTCTCTCTCTCTAAATATATATATATATATCCCTACTTCTCTCTCTCAGCTAGTGAATGACATTGCTTCGTATTCCACTGAGAAAATGGAAGCATTCTGAAAGAACTTGTAAACGTTCCCAGAACCACATCTACCTGCCTAACAAAAAAATTAATATATATACAAAATTATATATATATAATTATATATGTATATATATATTTATTTATTTATTGAGAGAGGGAGAGAGAGAGAGAAAGGAGAGATTTATTTTAAGGACTGGCTCACACAATTATGGAAGCTGAGAAGTTCCAAGATCTGCTGTTGGCAAGCCGAAGACCCAGGAGAGCTGACTGCATAAGTTCCAGGCGGAGAGCAGAAGAACACCAATGTCTCAGCTCAAAAGTCAGGCAGGTGGAATTCCTTCTTACTAAGAGTTTTTGCTCTATTCAGGCCTTCGGTTGATTGGATGAGGCCCACCCACATTAGGGAGGGTGATCTGCCTTTCTCAGTCTATGGATTCAAATGTTAATCTCATCCAGAAACACCTTCTACAAAAAGTACAAAGGAATTAGCCAGGCATGGTTGTCTGTGCGTGTGGTACCAGCTACTCAGGAGGCTGAGGTGAGAGGATTGCTTGAGCCTGGGAGGCTGAAGCTGCAGTGAGCCACAGTCACACCACTACACTAAGCATAGGCAACAGGGTGAGACATTATCTCAAAAAAAAAAAAAAAAAATCAAGCAAACAAAAAGCAAAGAAATTGAGCAGTAGCTGGAGGCATAAGTGGGTTGAGTGGGAATGTGTATGTATGCGTGTATGTGTGTACATATGTTTAATATGGGTGATATAGTTTGGATAGTTTTCTTCTCCCAAATCTCATGTTGAATTGCAATCCCTGATGTTGGATGTGGGCCTGGTGGGAGGTGTTTGGGTCACGGGTGTGGATCCTTCATGGTGTGGTGCTGTCCTTGTGATAATGAGTTCTCATGAGATCTGGTCATTTAAAAGTATGTGTCACTTCCCTACCCCACTCTCTCTCTCTTGTTCCTGCTTCTGCCATATGACATGCCTGCTCCCCCTTTACCTCTGCCATGATCATAAGCTTCCTGAGGCCTCCCTAGAAGCCAAGCAGATGCCCGCACCATACTTCCTATAAAGATTGCAGAACTCTGAGCCAACTAATCCTCTTTTTCTTATAACCAGTGTCAGGTATTTCTTTATAGCAATACAAGAAGAGCCTAATGCCATGGAGCAACAATCCTATATGTGAAGGGAAATAATCTAGAATAGAAAAGGAAAGTCATAATGCAAGTAAAAGAAGAAAGAATTGCTGAGGTGATGTGCTTGAATAGAAGAGAGGGATTGGGAAGGAGGGCACAAGTGGAGTGTTGGCCATGGGCAGCCCTTGTCTCTCTTCTTCATAGCTGCAGCAGTTTTCTACTGATTTCTTTGCTTCCATAGGAATAAGGGGATGCTGGGTGCAGTGGCTTCTGCCTATAATCCCGGCACTTTGGGAGGCTGAGGCAGGAGGGTCCCTGGAGCCCAGGAATTCAAGAACAGCCTGGGCAACATGGTGAAACCCTGTCTCTACAGAAAAATACAAAAATTTGGCCTGATTTCCTTGCTTCTAATCTTGCCACCCACAGTCTAATCAGTAACTCTCACAAATACAGTAGCAAGAGTGATTTATTTAAAACATTAGTCAGATTATGTCATTTTTCTCAAAACCCTCCAAATGGTGTCACAGCCACTTAAAGTAAGAGCCTGAATCCTTATAAGGCCCCACTGCCCAGCTCCCTGTGGTCTCTGTGACCTTTGATCGCTCTGCTCCAGTCACATTGATCACCTGGCTGTTCCTTGAACGCATCAGGAATCCTCCTGTCTGGAATGTTTCTTCCTCATGGCTCACTCCTTCACCTCCTTCCTATGTCTTCCCAAATGTCCCCTTTCAGTGAAGCTTTCCCAAAACACCCTAAATAAAGTTGCAACCCTTCCCATTTTTTTATGGAGCTTGTGGCAAAAGTGAGGCAAAGAAAGTTTGTGCCTAAGATATCTTGCTTTCAAGTGTCATTAATAATGTAAATTATTCCCAAATAGCACCAACCTAGTTTGTCTACAAACTACCAGAGGCAAGTAGGCACTTGGATCAGATAAATTTTTTAATGTCATAATTTTTCTTCCTTCTGGAGTAAGCAAGCTCGAAACTGCCAGAATGAGTGACCATGAGTTGGCAGTGGCCAGTGTTGCAAGAGATTACAACTCTTGGTCAAGGGCAATGTAGATGGCTTTGCAAACTCATTCCACATTCATGGAATCCCGGACATTTTCAGTGTGGATAGTTTTGTAGCCAGGAGACTTGATACTTGGTCTCAAAGGAAATTAAATCAATATTTTTACACCCTGATTTCATAAACATCCAAATTTTTTTATGAATTTAACTGAGAAATTTGGAATGTTTCTTGCAACATGCATTTCATATAACCCTTAGCATATTAGATTCCCTGAGACTCTAAATGTCCTGCCAACCAAGGAGAAAAAGAGGGCATCCCTTGCTCGAATCCTGCAGAACTTCTTACCCTGGATCCCTTGCACTCACCCTTACTGCAGTCACTCCCAATTGTAGCAATTGTAGCTGCTCTTCTCCAGTTGGTCTGCTGTGCCTTCCAGTGGAATACTTTTTGCTTCTTTGGGGTGTCTCCTATTCTGAAGTCTGTCAGACACACTGATATTTCCTTCTTTCCCTCCTCCCCATGGCCTCTGCACCACCTCCAACACGCTGCAGGGTTTGTGAGTGTTGGAGGTTGGTCTTTACCCACTCATAGTTTGGGGTTTGTGGGAGGACTTTTCACTGGCTTTGTTGTACATGTTGTCCCCCTAGGCAACCAGCCTCTATCCCAAACCTCCCTCTTATAAATCTTATGGTAGGATTTATTATCCAAAGGATAATAATTTAAACCCAGAGAGGGTAAGGAACTTGCCTGGGGCCTTACAGCTTGCAAGCAGTGGATCTGGGGTTGAATCCCCGTCTGTTTGACTTCGAAGTTTTTCTCTTTACATTATTCAAAATGACATCTCTTAATAGTGTGATTATTAACATATGCCATTTACTCTTCTGGGACAATTATCCTCCCTTCGGGTTTTCCCCCGAATCCCTAACTCTGCTCAGTGCCTTCTGTTGTGCTCCACCTACATTTGCTTTTTGGAGAAACATATTCATTCCTGTGGTTTCATCAGTCACTTCTGTACAATGTTTCTATTTTCCCGCTCTCCAAATGTCTCTCCTTTAACACCGTATCCCAGCTCTTACACTGACTTTGGGACATGTTCATAGGGATGTGAATAGGACCTACTTTAGATTCAAGTCTAAAAAAAAAACAAAACAAAAGAGGCAGTGCCTCCCCTGACCAGAACCTCCTCCCCAGGCTCTTCCGCTACATTTCCGCTTGCCTGCTTGATTTCACACCATCTGCTCCATGAAGAGGGGCTTCTCAGTAGAGTTGTCACGAGCATTATGAAGTGTTAGCAGCAGCTGGTTAAGCATATTTTTGCTACAGTAGAAACATGGGGGTTGGATACAACAGCACAATATGGACTATTTTGGCAAGGAAGAGTAATGGGTGACAGATGTGGTACATGATGTTTCCGAGCTAGAGACCAGCATGACCTGAGCATGTCTCAAAGGCAGGATATACCCATCTCCTGTCATGTGGAAATGAACAGCAGAGCCTGGACAAAAGCAACTCTGGAAAATCTGGCTGAAAAATCAGCTCTGGGGTGTGGGTAAAACCATTACTTTAGATGTGAGAAACTCAGAAAGTCACTGAATTTCTGTGCCCTAGTTTTCTTATCTGCAATGCTGAAAATCCTAGCAGGTACCTCATAGCATTGTAATGAGGATTAATTGAGATAATAGAAGGAAATCTTCTAGTTCAGTGACTAACACATGGTAAAAGAGCTCAATAAATATTAGGAATTATTATTATCTTCTTTCTCACCATTATCTGTATGTTATGTAAAGTTGAACATGCCCACTGAAGTGTGGTATTTTAAAGGAAACATATGAAGCAACATAAAAGCAAAATAGGTTTTATTCATTTATCCATTTACCCAAGAAATATTTATCAAGTGCTCCCATGTGCTGGACATAGTCCCAGCATTAAAGATACCACAGTAAACCAAACAGAAGAGGTCCCTCATGGACACTTTGTTCTAATGAAGGAAGACAGAAAATAAGCCAAGAGAAAATAAATTAAATATACAAACAAAACCAAAAATATTAGAATGTGATATGCATTCTGCAAATAATTAAAACAGATTTCTGAGACAATGACTGAGTGGATACTTTAATTCGGATGGTCTCGAATGGTAAGCAAGAGGCCATCATGTGAAGGTCAGAGACACAGCATGCCCGACACAAGGCATAGGAGTGCAAAAGCTCTAAAGTGGGAAGTATTTTGGTTGTCTCGGGAGGGGAAAGGAGGCCAGGGTGAACTCAGAGAAGTAGGCAGGCCAGATTGTATAGGGCCTTATAAACAAGGGCAAGGAGTTTGGAATTTATTCTGGGGCAACCAGAGTCGTTGGTACTGGATTAGTTCTCTTACAGTAAACAACTGTATAACTGCAAAAATGTATGAAACAATGGCTTTCAGACATTGGATAAAAGGCAGAGCAAAACTGATCCTTGAAAGAAGAGAAGCACCTTGGCTTCTGTGTGGATGCACTTTCTGGAACACAGTGTAGGGAAGTAGGGCACAGGCACAGCATAGCAGTCTCACTGAGATGAGTAGGCAGAGATCCATGTTTGGGGGTGCTAAAGCAGCTGCAATTTCACAGGGCAGAATGCCAGAAAGGAAGGAATTATACCCAGAAGAAACTCCAAAAATCTGCATAGGAGTTCTCTTCAGTCTTCGGCCAAATATTAAGGTACACATGCAAAGGGTAAGGCTGATGGCTGGGCTGAGAGTAGCTTCTGGGGAGCTGTAAGCTGAACAGAGATTTCAAAGGTCAAACAGTGCTCTTAAGGACAGATTGAACACTGCACAAGAGAAAAACAATAGAAACTGGCTAAACTAAAACACACAGAGAGAGATAACCCTGAAAAAATGGAAGAGAAACTTACTGACTTGTAGGACATTGTCAAGCAGTCTCACATGTGTAATTGGAATCCAGAAGGAGAAGAGAGATATTTGGATAAATGATGCTCTAAAACTTTCCAAATTTAAAGAAAAATATTAATTTACATTCAAACAGCTCAAACAAACCGCAAGCAAGATAAATACAAAGAAAATCATACCTAAGCACATTACAGTCAAATTGCCATAAATAAAAAAGAGAAAATAGTAAAAGCACCAAAAAAAGACACATTGCATTTGAAGGAACAATGATAAGATTAACATGTCTTCTTATAAGAAACAAGGCAAGTTAGAAGATGGAACAACATCTTTGAAATACTGCCAAAAAAAAAAAAGTCAACCTAAGTTTTAGATCCAGCAAATGTATCCACCAAAAAATTAAGGCAAAAATAAAGCTATTTTCTGATAAATAAAAGCTGAGAGAATTTGTCACTCTGGGAATTGTACTATGAGAAATGTTAAAGAACTTGGAAAGATGGAGGACTGGAGGAGGTGGGAGGGAGCTCAATGGATATGAGGTGAGACAGGAGATAGGAGGAAGAAAAGGGAATCACAATGTAGATGGTCTGAAACTTATCATGGGGTTGCATCCTAATAAACCCATCCTAAGTTGGAAATATTGAAAAACTAAATGCATTTAATACATCTAACCTGCTGAACATGATAGCTTAGCCTAATCTATCTTAAACATGCTCAGAAAATAACATTAACCTACAATTGGGCAACATCATCTGCAACACAGCACACTGTGAAATATTGGTTGTTGAGCTTTGTGATTGCGTGGTTGACTGGGAGCTGCAGCTCACTGCCACTGCCCAGCAACCAGAGAGAATATTCTACTGCATATTGCTATCCCAGGAAAAGTTCAAAATTCAAAATTTGAATATGGCTTCTGTTCAACATATTGCTTTTGCACCAGCATTAAGTCAAAAAAATTATAAGTCGAACCATTGTAAATTGTTTGACTTATAATTGTAATGCCTTCATCTGTAATGCCTTCATTAGATTGCTAAATCAAAATGTCCTTCAGGAAAACAAAGGAAAATGATACCAGATGGACACTCATACCTATACAGAGAAATGAAGAGTACTTTTAATTGTTAATATGTGAATAAATATAAAAGACTTCTCTCTGGCCAGGTGCAGTGGCTCATGCCTGTAATCCCAACACTTGGGGAGGCCAAGGTGGGTGGATTGCTTGGGCTCAGGAGTTCGAGACCAGCCTGGGCAACCTGGCAAAACCCTATCTCTACAAAAAATACAAAAATTAGCTGGGTGTGGCGGCATGTACCTGTAGTCCCTGTTATTCTGGAGGCTGGGTGGAAGGATGGCTTGAACCTGGGAGGTGGAGGTTTCAGTGAGCTGAGATTGCACTACCGTACCCTAGCGTGGGTGACAGAGCCAGATCCTTTCTCAAAAAAGGGAAAAGAAAAGACTTCTCTCCCTCACTTCTTAATCTCTTTAAGAAATACTTGTTTAAAGCAAAATGATAAAAATGTATCATGGAGTTTGTAAAATGTAGGAGTAAAATGTATGTCAATAACTGTACCAGGGACAGAAGAGGGCAAGTGAAAGCATACTGTTGTAGGTTTCTTATACATGAAGTAGTCTAATATTTTTTCAAGGTAGACTGCATTAAGTTAGTAGAGCTTATTGTAATCTCAGAGGACCCAATAAAAAAAACTTTAAATGAAGCACAACTAAAATGTTAATAGAGGAAATAAAGTAAAACAATAAAAATAATTAACACAGAAAAAGGCAGTAAAAAAGGATAAAAGGGACAAAACCCAGATATCATAAATGGAGAAAAAATAAAAGAAGGTAGTCTTAATTCAATTGTATTACTAATTACATGAAGGCAGATATCTTCAGACTAGATAAAAGGGCAAGAGCCAGACATAGGCTATTTACAACACGTATGCTTTAAATAAAAAGACACAAGTAAGTTAAATATATAAGAACTTAAGAAACATAAAACTAGTTGTAAGGAAGCAGAAATAGCTATATTAATATCAGACAAAGAGACTTTAAAGCAAAAAGTATCATTAGGGATAAAGGAGATATCTCATAATGATAAAAGAATCAACCCATTAAGAAGACATAATAATCCTAAACATGTATGCAACTAATAACAGAGTTTCAAAATACATGAAGCAAAAACTGACAGAAATAAAGGGAGAAATAAATCTACAATCATAACAGAAGATTTTTAAGATCCCTTTCTAGTAATTGATAGAACAAGTAGATATGTATGATGAGAAGCCATTGGCAGGTTTTAGGCCAAGGCAAGCACAATCTTATTTGATTTATAAAGACTGCTCTGTCTTCAAAGTGGAAAATGGATTGTACAGAAAACCAGGAAAAAGTTAAGAGGTTAATACAGTAGACCAAGCAAGAATGTTACTGGCCTGAACTAAGGTGGCAGTGATGGCTCTGGGGAAAATGGACAGATTTGAATATCCCCTCTTGAGATATCCACAACCAGCCAAGTATAAGAGCCTTCTAGGCATATACTTGCTCAATCTTTGACTCTACTTCTCATGCAGTAAGTAAAGCTAGAATAAACAACTAGCTGTATTAGCCAGGTGTGGGGGTGGGTAGTCCCAGCTACTTGAGGCTGAGGCAGGAGAATCACTTGAGTCCAGGTGTTCGAGGCTGCAGTGAGGCATGATTGTACCATGATACTCCAGCCTCGGTGACAGAGCAAGACCTTGCCTCCAAGAACAAACCAACCAACCAACCAACCAACCAACCAACCAACAAACAAACAAGCTATAGTTACTCTGCAAACCCAAAGTCTAACATATTCCCATTTACCCTAGGTTAGTAAGTAAAAAGCAATCCAGTTTGAGGCAGATCAGGAGTGGAGTGGATACATTTGCTGATGATAAGATTGTCAAACCCTCATAGGAAAGAATTTATTGAATATGAACACAGAGTCAAGATTATATTTTTAAGCTTGGTGCTTTCGAGAACATTTGAACTCTTGCTTGTCCGGCTATTGGCGTATATGTTTGTGGCAGAACATTTCAGTGGGTACCCTTCCCTTAATTATTTGTGCTGAATCCGGCTGCCCATTTTGTCTTCATCGTGCTTTCAGGAAGGCAAGTGAGTGGGAAATGGACCCACCAGTGTGGACAGCTGTAGATGTGTTTGTTGGGTAGAGGTCCTTGCTAGTCCTGGTCATTAGCAGGTGCTCACAAAGGACTCCACTGTGCCTAAGCTCCATTCCTGTTTATACAAGAAAAAAATGGAGCCCTCCCAGACTGGGACCTGAATACAACCCTACTGTAATTTAACAGATATTTTAAAAACATTTTTCTGTAAGCTGGGCTGTTGTGTGTACTACGCTATGGTGATGAAATGGTGAAAAGCCAGAAAATTTCCCTGTTCTCATGTCTACTGTTGAATGAGAGGAGACAGACATTAAGCAGATCATCAGGTGAATAAGTGATGAGAATTGTGTTATGTGTGATGAGGGAAAGGTACTTGACAACATATAACACTACTGTGGGTATTTGGGGGAAGAGTCCTTGAGGAAGTGACCTCTAATCAGAAGTTAGAGAAGAGAAACTGGATGAGGATGGGGGGAAGAGCAATCCAAACAGAGAAAAGGCAAAGACCCACAGAGGGAAAAGGAGCAGGGCATTTGAAGGACTGCAAGGAAGCCCATGAAGCTAGAGAGAAGAAACAGAGAGACAGAGAAAGGTTAAAGAGGCTGCAGAACTGGGTAGGGGACAGATTATTAAGGGATTTTTTCCTATGAGCAGTGGAGCAATGGGAATTCAATCTAAGGCTTTATGCTTTAAGTAACACAGTGCAAGAAAGTCTCAAAGACCGATTTCTGGGAGCTTAATTTATTGTTGCAGGACAGAGTTTGAAATGCATTCATCCTGGGCTTTAAGATTCATGAAGAATCACCAGAACACTGAAGTCCTGGGGTTACAGTTGCTGAAGCTGAAGTCCAGGGGTGGTCTGTCATTGAAGCTTCAAGCTAGGAATGGTTTAGGGAAGGCCCAGAACTTGTATCTCAGGAGCTGAAGGAGCCACCTGGAAAATAGGCTGTACTGCCCGTTAACACAGCATCTCTTTCTTTGATCCAATTACTGAATTAGAAATGGGGGTGTTAAAGATGAATGGAAGTTTTTAACATTAATCACCATCTAATGATGGCAAAGCCTGGGAGATGTCAGATTTTATTCGATGGATTTATCCTAAAAGTGATATGTACACTGACAGTTGAGGAAATTAATGGTTTGACTTTATGGAGGACTGACAGGATAAACTGACTCTGACAGGCTAAATTAACGCAAGGCTGTAACAGAATGTAAAATGCCAACTTCATATTTTGAATGTAATGCTTTAGAGGCTTTTGATATTGATTTCTAAACCTTGCAGATATGTTTAAATAAATGAAAATTCAGGAGAGGACACTGTCTTGAAGAGACAACATCACAGCAGAGTGATGAATAAATAATTTATAAGTGGAATTTCAACCATGCCCATGTTTAAAATTCACAGATTTATTAATATAATCAAATATGGTAAAGCAAAATGAATCAATTTCAGACTCGTGTTTGCAATTTTAGTGCATATGTAAATTCCTTGAGGGCAGAAATCTGTCTAATGCATCTCTGTTTTCCCAGTACCTAGACAGTGAAGGCACACAGCTGCCACTCAACAAATGTTCATTGCAAAACTGTGTGGCATATCAATCAGTATTAGTAATTGATACCAGGTTATTGGTAAACATTTACCATTTTTCTAATTTATATAACATAAAAATTATATTTATAGACAAAAATGAATTGCAGGATTTCATGGAAAATATATTTTACTAAACTTCTTAACCTCTAGAATAATTTGGAAAAAGTGTTTTAATCAGAATGATGTAGTATCTTCCAGAGTCAACTACATTGAGCTAATTATTTTTTATCAGTTTTTCTATATAAAAGAGATATACAATTTACATTTTTCTCTCTTTTTTTTTCCTAAACACATTTTCAATGTGATCAGTTCCTTTCTAAAGAGAAACTTTCAGAGCACAAATGTGATTCAATGATTGAGTTTGTGTTCCTATCAAATTTTACTCTTCATAATTATTGCCATACATTTCCTTTTGAGGCCGTTATTTATTGGCCAATCCACCTGGCTTAAATTGGACAAGATATAAACTTTGACAAAAGTAAGATTTTTAGCACTATTTAGTCATAAATTTTACAATATGTGGTTTTAACTACTGTCAGTTTTATTTTGTGTTGATTTTTCCTTCCAGTAATTAATTACGTATTGAAGAAAATTCCATTGGAAAATTGTGAGAAATGTTGTAAAATGTAGAGATGTAGAAAGATCAGGCTTGGTGGGAGATGGGAGTGGTTTGGATGAACAGGAGCTAAGACAGGGAGATGGGAGAGACAGAGAAAGAGGTAAAGGGGCAGAAGACAGGGAAATAATGCCTTCGTGAAATTGTTAAGTCAAAAATATTTACGTTCATTAAAAGAAATGTTTATTATTAATGAGTTCTTGCGCTTGGCACCTGCAAATTTAATTTAGAATAAAGTTAAATACACATTTTCACTAAGTACAAAATGACATTAATCTGCTAAGAAATTTTAGAAATGCTGAATTGCAACCTGCTTGCAAAATCTCATAATAGTTCTCTGTATTGAATAAGGGCCCTCTCTGAAGCTCATTTTCCAAACATAATACCCCAAGCACATTTTGGAGGTGAAAGATCCAGCCTTGAAATGCAGGAACCACTTCCTAAGCTTGGAGACAGAGCCTGCGAGTGCTCATGCACCATTTTCTAATCTTATTCATTAAAATACTCATTCCTTGGGAAATTGCTATGAAGCAGTACTTTTCCCATCGATTTTTGACCACAGACTCCAATGTATGAATAAAACGTTTATTTAAGTCACTTACCCATTTTTAAGGTGTATTATGTCTCTTTTTACTTACTGTGTAAGTGTTCTTTATATTTGTGGATTTTAGTCTTTTGTTTATTACATGTGTTGCAAACATCTCCCAAGCTGTGATTCTCTTTTCACCCTCTTTATGGTATCTGTGATGAATAGAACGTCTTAATTTTAATGTACTCAAATTTAGCCATTGTCTTTTATGGGTTCTTGTTTAAAAAATACTTTCTAACCCTGAAGTCATGAAACTATATTCCTATAATATATTCTAAAAGCTTATTGTTTTGCCTTTCACATTTAGGATTTTAATCTACGTAGAATCAATTTTCCTGTATGTTATTTGGCAGAGGTCCAATTTCATTTTTCTTCATAACCCAATTTTCCCAGGTCCATTTATTGAAAAGATCATCTTTTCTTTGCTGATTCTTTTCAATTTGTCATGCATGATGTTCGTATTTAAGTCACACTTTTGTGTTCTTCATTCCTCTTGCATCTCAGACCTATCATCTGTCCCTATCTTTCTGCCTGAAGTAAATTTTTTATAATTTCTGTTGATGGAAAACAATGTTAGCTTTTGTTTGTCCAAAAACGTGTTTATCCCCATTCTTACAAGATATTTTCCCCAGATATGAAATTCTAAGATGGCAATTATTTTCGCTTAGGACATCATTCCAATGTATTTTGGTTTCTACTGTTGCTATTGAAAAAAAAAAAAAAAGCAGTGAGTCTAATTGTTGCTTTTTTTTTTTTTTTTTTTTTTTTTTGAGGCGGAGTCTCGCCCTGTCACCCAGGCTGGAGTGCAGTGGCGCGATCTTGGCTCACTGCAAGCTACACCTCCCAGGTTCACGCCATTCTCCTGCCTCAGCCTCCCGAGTAGCTGGGACTACAGGCGCCCGCTACCACGCCCGGCTAATTCTTTGTATTTTTAGTAGAGACGGGGTTTCACCGTGTTAGCCAGGATGGTCTCCATCTCCTGACCTCATGATCCGCTCGCCTCGGCCTCCCAAAGTGCTGAGATTACAGGCGTGAGCCACCACGCCCTGCCCAATTGTTGCTTCTTTATAGGTGACCTGTCCTGCCCCTTCCTCCTCGTACGGTGGCTGCTTTTTAAAGATATCTTTGTTCCTGGGGATTCTTCAACCAAAAGTGCATTTTATTATAGAGAAGTGGAGAGTTTTTTATTCCTTCTTTCTTCCTCTTCTTTCTAGAGTGGAAAGGACTGAGCATATGTGCATATATGCTGGAGAAAGGATCAGAGATGTTGAAGATATAGAAAAGAAGTTAATAATTGATGAAATGAGGTTCTTGAGGAAGAGGCAAAATATAGGGCCCAGAGCTCAGGTAGGAAGCAAAGATGCCAGCTGGGCGCGGTGGCTCACGCCTGTAATCCCAGCATTTCGGGGAGGCCGAGGCGGGTGGATCACCTGAGGTCAGGAGTTTGAGACCAGCCTGGCCAATATGGTGAAACTCTGTCTCTACTAAAAATGCAAAAATTAGCCAGGCATGGTGGTGGGCGCCTGTAATCCCAGCTACTCGAGAGGCTGAGGCAGGAGAATCACTTGAATCCGGGAGGCGGAGGTGGCAGTGAGCCGAGATCGGGCCATTGCTCTCCAGCCTGGGTGACAAGAGGGAAACATCATCTCAAAAAGAAAAAAAAAAAAAAAGCAAAGATGCCTTTGTTAGAAGAGAAAGGATGAGTGTCAATATTCTTAATACTTGTTGCTCAACAGTGAACAGAAAGTTATCGGGTTTTGCGTGATGGATTCCAGCTTGTCTGTAAAGAAGAGGATGGATCATTCATTATTTAATAACTGCATTAAGTGCTAGGAACAGAGTGGTGAGAAAAGAAGCATATTCTTTGCTTTCATGAAGCTTATATTCCAAAGAGGGAAACTTACCCTGCATAAGCAAAAAAAAAATAAAATAAAATTTTTAAATCATCAATTGTGATAACATGCCATGAAGGAAATATACAGTGTACTGTATGTAATGAAGAACAGGGTGAGAGTACCTCTTTAAATAGGACAGTTAAGGTTAGTATCTCTGGATGGTGAGACCTAGAGCTCAAGAAGCCAGGGATCCTGGAAGAACTTCCCAGGAATAAGGAAGGGCAGGTACAAAAGCCTGAGCTGGGAAAGAACTTTGCACTTCTAGGACCTTTCAGAAGATCGGGGTGCTTAGGGTACAGTGAGAAAAAAGAATGGACGGGGCGAGGTTAAAGAGCTACCTGGAGAGAAAATTATGCCAGACTTTGTAGGCCATGGTAAGAGGTTTCTGTTTGTGTGCAAGTTAAATGAATAATCATTAAAGGTTTTCTTAAGCAGAAAAGTGATTTGATATGACTGTCCTTCCCCAAACTGCATCATTTCCTTACTGCCCTCATTCTACTCTATCTCTGATAACTGTAGTTATTAATCTAGTATATAAGCTTTCCTATACATACATACACACACATGTATACACACACGTATATACACACATGTTTGTATATATTTGCTGCATTTTGATTTTTTTCATTCAATAGTATCTCATGGACAGTTCTCTATGTCAATTAGCATAGGTTATCATTCTTTCATTTTTAGTATATTCTTTCATTTTTAGTATATGTGCTGCTGAAGCTAGCACACTCAATCTTTTTGTTTATGACTTCCATATATCGGGCATTCCCCTTATGTTTTGATTGTTGCTTCTAGTTTTGGCTTCTAAAAACCATGCTGGAACAGAAAATCCCGTATGTATATACTTACATATTCATGCTGATATTTCTAGAGGATATGTTCTCAGTAGTAGAATTGCTTGATCAAATTATGTATGTATTTTTTACATTAAGATGTTTCCAGATTCTTTTTCTAAGTTCTTATTTGTTAAGATTTGTACCAAAAATATATGTATCCTTCCCCCAAGTCCTTCTATGTTGCTTTATCTTTTTTCTTTGTGATGAATGCAAGTATACGTATTTACATAGGCATATATACATACATATGTGTGTGTGTATATAAAATTTAGTACTTTATAGTGAGTTAGCTTTTTTTTTTTAACTAGTCAAAACAGCGGATCCACAAACAGTAGTAATATGAGGTTGGGTCAGAGGGGAGTCTAAAGGATTTTGCTGCTATTTAGGGAGTGTCTCTTAAATAATACTTAGTTTCAACACCTAAAAAGTGGATAGAAACTTGAACGAATAGTTGCCTCATAATGTCAATAAAGAATTGATGACAGTAAAAGTACCTGCTAGACATGTGCCATCCAATACAGTAACCATAGTCACATACGGCTGTTTAAATCTTAATTTTAATTGAAATTAAGTAAAATTAAAAATTCAATTCCTCAGTTACACTAGCTTCATTTCAAGTGTTCAGTGGACACGTACACTTAGTGGTCACCATATTAGGCAGCACAGATGATGTCCATCATTGCAGAACGTTCTAGTGAACTGTGTTGTGCAATAAAGAACTCTGATATCATGTTACAGTGATACAACTATATATATAAAGAGTTATATATATAGTTATATTTATATAGTTATATATAGAGTTATATATATAGTTATATATAGTTATATATAGTTATATATAGTTATATATAGTCATATGTAGTTATATATAGTTATATATAGTTATATGTAGTTATATATATAGTTATATATAGTTATATATATAGTTATATATAGTTATATATATAGTTATATATATAGTTATATATATAGCTATATATAGTTATATATAGTTATATATATAGTTATATATATAGTTATATATATATTTTAAAGGTTTTTCATTTATCTCCTTCAGTTCTGCACTGAGTTATTTCTTGTCTTCTGCTAGCTTTTGAATTTGTTTGTTCTTGCTTCTCTAGTTCTTTTAACTGTGATGTTAGGGTGTCAATTTTACATCGTTCCTGCTTTCTCCTGTGGGCATTTAGTGCTATAAATTTCCCTCTAAACACTGCTTTAGCTATGTCCCAGAGGTTCTGGTATGTTGTGTCTTTGTTCTCATTGGTTTCAAAGAACTTATTTATTTCTGCCTTAATTTTGTTATTTACCCAGTAGTCATTCAGGAGCGGGTTGTTTAGTTTCCATGTAGTTGTGCAGTTTTGAATGACTTTCTTAATCCTGAGTTCTAATTTGATTGCACTGTGGTCTGAGAGACTGTTTGTTATGACTTCTGTTCTTTTGCATTTGCTGAGGGGTGTTTTACTTCCAATTATGTGGTCGATTTTAGAATAAGTGTGACGTGGTGCTGAGAATGTATATTCTGTTGATTTGGGGTGGAGAGTTCTGTATATGTCTATTAGGTCCACTTGGTCCAGAGCTGAGTTCAAGTCCTGAATATCCTTGCTAATTTTCTGTCTTGTTGATCTGTCTAATATTGACAGTGGGGTACTAAAGGCTCCCACAATATTGTGTGGGAGTCTAAGTCTCTTTGTAGGTCTCTAAGAACTTGCTTTATGAATCTGGGTGCTCCTGTATTTGGTATATATATATTTAGGATAGTTAGCTCTTCTTGTTGCATTGATCCCTTTACCATTGTGTAATGCCCTTCTTTGTCTTTTTTGATCTTTGTTGATTTAAAGTCTGTTTTATCAGAGACTAGGATTGCAACCCCTGCTTTTTTTTTGCTTTCCATTTGCTTGGTAAATATTCCTTCATCCCTATATTTTGAGCCTATTGTGTCTTTGCATGTGAGATGGGTCTCCTGAATATAGCACACCGATGGGTCTTGACTCTTTATCTGTTGGGAGCCAAAAAGGCCAAAGGGATTGTGACCAGCTCAGCTTTCCACTGGAGGCTATATGATCAAACAGCAAACGGTTTATCATGAATGCAGGATGTGGGCAAACTCACACTGTGCCTGCCGCCAGAAGGTTTGCTGAGGGCGGTCACTCCCTAGTGCTGGGCTCCTTGAGGTTATCTACTGGGATATCTAGAGCCTATTGTTCAAGGAATGCAGTCTTGCAAGCCTACTCTGGCCTGAGCAGCTGACCTCTTCTTCCACCCCCCTTCTGGCTATCTCTTTTACCAAGAAATTCAAAGGGCTGTGGAAAGTCTGGGCCCTTATCCACTAGAGGCAAGGTGCCCCTTCTTCCAAATACACTCTTTTGTCTTTCTCTTTATTCCTACATTCGCCCCCCTTTGTTCAATCCCCCAAGGTCCATGCAGGTAACATCCAATTTGCCAGTCTGTGTCTTTTAATTGGGGCATTTAGCCAATTTACATTTACATAATATTTATGCAATTTACAAATACATAATATTTACATTTAAGGTTAATATTGTTATAAGTGAATTTGATCCTGTCATTATGATGCTAGCTGGTTATTTTGCCCATTAGTTGATGCAGTTTCTTCATAGTGTCGATGGTCTTTACATTTTGGTATGTTTTTGCAATGGCTGGTACTGGTTTTTCCTTTCCATATTTAGTGCTTCCTTCAGGAACTCTTGTAAGGCAGTCCTGGTGGTGACAAAATCTCTCAGCAGTTGCTTGTCTGTAAAGGATTTTATTTCTCCACTTATGAAGCTTAGTTTGGCTGGCTATGAAATTCTGGGTTGAAAATTCTTTTCTTTAGGAATGTTGAATATTGGCCCCCACTCTCTTCTGGCTTGTAGGGTTTCTGCAGAGAGATCCACTCTAGTCTGATGGGCTTCCCTTTGTGGGTAACTCGTCCTTTCTCTCTGGCTGCCCTTAACATTTTTTCCTTCATTTCAATCTTGGTGAATCTGACGATTATGTCTTGGGGTTGCTCTTCTCAAGGAGTATTTTTGTGGTGTTGTCTGTATTTCCTGAATTTGAATGTTGGCCTGTCTTGCTAGGTTGGGGAAATTCTCCTGGATAATATCCTGAAGAGTGTTTTCCAACTTCATTCCTTTCTCCCTGTCACTTTCAGGTACACCAATGAAACATGGGTTTGGTCTTTTCACATCATCCATATTTCTTGGAGGCTTTGTTTGTTCCTTTTCATTCTTTTTTCTCTAATCTTGTCTTCATGCTTTATTTGAGTTGATCTTCAATCTGTGATATCCTTTCTTCCACTCGATCGATTTGGCTATTGATACTTGTGTGTGCTTCACGAAGTTCTCATGCTGTGTTTTTCAGCTCCATCAGGTCATTTGTGTTCTTCTCTAAACAGGTTATTCTAGTTAGCAATTCCTGTAACCCTTTATCAAGGTTCTTATTTTACTTGCATTGGATTAGAACAGGCTCTTTTAGCTCAGAGAAGTTTGTTATTACTCACCTTCTGAAGCCTACTTCTGTCAATTCATCAAACTGATTCTCTGCCCAGTTTTGTTCCTTTGCTGGCGAGGAGTTGTGATCCTTTGGAGGAAAAGAGGCATTCTGGTTTTTGAAATTTTCAGCCTTTTTGCGCTGGCTTCTCCTCATCTTAGTGGATTTATCTAGCTTTGGTCTTTGATGTTGGTGACCTTCGGATGGGGTTTTTGTGTGGACGTCCTTTTTGTTGATGTTGATGCTATTCCTTTCTGTTCGTTAGTTTTCCTTCTAACAGTCAGGCCTCTCAGCTGCTGGTCTGCTGGAATTTGCTGGAGGTCCACTCCAGACCCTCTCTGCCTGGGTATCACCAGCAGAGGCTGCAGAACAGCTAAGATTGCTGCCTGTTCATTCCTCTGGAAGCTTTGTCCCAGAGGGGCACCCGCCAGATGCCAGCCAGAGTTCTCTTGTATGAGGTGTCTGTCGACCTCTGCTGGGAGGTGTCTCCCAGTCTGGAGGCATGGGGGTCAGCAACCCACTTGAGGAGGCTGTCTGTCCCTTAGCAGAGCTCGAGCACTGTGCTCGGAGATCTGCTGTTCTCTTCAGAGCCAGCAGGCAGGAATGTTTAAGTATGCCGAAGCTTTGCCCACAACCGCCCCTTCCCCCAGGTGCTCTGTCCCAGGGAGATGGGAGTTTTATCTATAAGCCCCTGTCTGGGGCTGCTGCCTTTCTTTCAGAGATGCCCTGCTCAGAGAGTGAGTTAGCTTTTTCATTGATTTGCTTACTCTTTGGTCTTTCTCTTCTATGAATTGTTTCTTCCTTCATTTTATTAATAGATTACTTGCCTCCTTGTCATTTTGAAAGATCTCTCTACATGATAAGGTATTAGCTGATTTCTACATTGTAAATAAAGATTTTCCAAGTTTTTGGTTTTGATGATATTATAATATCTTTCACTACTGCAAAATATTATTTTTATATAGTCAAACACAGTTGTTTCTAGCTTCTAGATTTTAGTCTTGGTTAAGAAGTCCTCTCTCAATCCATAAATTTTACATGAAGTATTTTTATTTACTTTGAAAGACTATTATTATTATTTTAAAGCATTTAGGTTATTAAATCACTTGTAAATTTTTTTTAAGAGATGCAGTCTCACTATGTTCTCCAGGGTACAGTGTAGTGGCTATTGATCGTCACAGTGCACTACAGCCTCAAACTCCTGGGTGCCAATGATCCTCCTGCCACAGTCTCCTGAGTAGCTGGGATTACAGGAGTGCACCACCACGTCTGGCTTTTTTTTTTTTTTTTTTTGCTATTTTTAATACGTTTTTTTCCTGATCAATAATTAGTCGTGCCAATAATTAGTTATTAAATAATACCCCTTTCCCTCTTACTGGATACATCATCTTTGTCATATGCTACATTTCCAAATATACTGACATCCATTTCTGGATTCTTTACTGTGTTATGTTCATTTTTTTTCATCATCTTGCATTGATCTATTTGTATATTGATTTGATTTTGCCTCTACATTCTAAAATATCTTGTTCTGTTTTAAAGCATGTTCACATATCTACTGAGGCAAGTGCACCCTTGAAACTGTTGTTATTCATACTCGTCATAACTATTCTTGGGCATTTTTCCTTCCATTCAGACATTAAAACCTCCTTCTTCTCTACTCCCAGCCCACCTCCCATCAAATAAAGGACAAAATCCAACCAAACTAAAAAAGCCCACAAATAGCCCTCAAAACAAACAAAAAGAACCTGTTTGTATTCTAATTGAAATATTAGATTTATAAGTTGATTTGGGAAAAAATGGCATTTTTAAAGACATCAATTTTCTTATCTTAGAACATGGCATATTTTCCCTTTTATTTTGATCTTATTTTGTATTCTTCAATAAGCTTTTACAGTTTTAATCATCTAAGTCCTGGACCTTTTGTTTAATTTATTTTAAAATATTTAATAGTTTTTGTCATCCTGGTGAAATTATTCTCTTTCCCATTTCCATTTCCAGGAGCTTATTGCTATGATTGAGACAATTTTGGAACATTTATATTATTAGGCACCTTAACAAATGATACTATGAACTCTGCTAAACTTTTCTTAAAGTTGCTTAGGAATGTGTTTAGAGCAAGCTGTGCTAGCCTGTGGAGGTGAGAGAATAATGGGTATGAAGTTTGTTTGGTCCTGATTACACTGTGTACTGTCCTCTAGCAATTATTTTGAGAAGTATAAAACCCCAAGATGACTGGTGTGCTCCTGGCCCAGGTCAGCTGGTTCCCCACTCTGTGCAGTCCCAGTTACAGGCTGAGCACTCAACTTGTGCTTGTAAGGCTGGGCCTGCAAGGGGATCGTTCCGCTTCCTAAGAGTCTTAGATGTCCTCACCCCTTCTGATGCTTCATTTGCAGCTGCACACTGGCTGGTGAGGGTTTGCGGGTGAGGAACCTGGTGCCTCCATTGCAGGATGTCACTGCTGCTGCTGCAGATCCTAGAGCCTCTCTATGTCACCCAGGCTGGAGTGCAGTGGCATCATGACAGCTCACTGCAGCTTTGACCTCCCAGGCTCAACCAATCCTCCTGTCTCAGCCTCCTGAGTAGCTGGAAATACAGGCACGTGTCACCATGCCTGGCTGGTTTTTAAAAGAATTATTTTTGGTAGAGACAGTGTTATTAGTCTGTTTTCATGCTGCTGATAAAGACATACCTGAGATTGAGTAATTTATAAAGGAAAAGAGATTTTAATGGACTCACAGTTTCAAGTGGCTAGGGAGGCCTCACAATCATAATGGAAGGCAAAAGACACGTCTTACATGGCGGCAGATAAGAGAGAAATGAGAAGGAAGTGAAAGTGGCAACCCCTTCTAAAACTGTCAGATCTCATGAGACTTATTCACTACCACGAGAACAGTATGGGGGATGGTGGAAACCACCCCCACGATGCAATTATCTCCCACTGGGTCCCTACTACAACATGTGAGAATTATGGGAGCTATGATTCAAGATGAGATTTGGGTGGGTACACAGAGCCAAACCATATCAGACAGTTTTCCCTACATTGCACAGGCTGGTGTCCAACTCCTGGGCTCAGGTGATTCTCCCACCTTGGCCTCCCAAAGTGTTGGATTTATAGGCGTGAGCCACCTTTCAGTAACCTTGATGGCATTACCCAAGTGTCGGTAGTCTCTGTTAGTCCGTGCTTGCTTTAACCACTTGTCAATACATGGCTGTGCTAGATCATATAAGTTTTCCTTAAATACTGACTTTTTTCATTACCTAGTCCTTTTTATCCCATTTAGTATTTTAAATCTTAAGTTACACATTGTGCGATTTTAACTCTGCTTTCTCTTTGCTTCTGCCTAGCATCTCTACACCTGAGACTTTATTTTCAACCATTCCTTATAAATTGCTAAATATTTGTTGCCTATAATTTTATCCACTTTGTAATCAAATCTCATCATTGTGTCTCCTAAATGAAATTTGAATCTGTTCACCTCTCTCCATCCGCACCTTTGCCACCCTAGCCTAATCTATCATCACCACTTACTTGGACTACTGCAATGCAGCAGCCTCTTAACTGGCCCACTCTTGTCCTTTTGGCCCCCATCTCTGCCACAAAATATCTCCTCCACAATGCAGACAGAATGGCCACTTCAAAATGCAAACCTGATAACATCTTACCTCCCACCTCCTCTCCCCTAAGTCCTCACTGGTTTTAGAACAAATACGAAACTCCTCCTCTTGGCCCTGCCTGCCTCAGGCCCTGTCTGCCTTCCCAGCTCACTCTCACCCTCTGCTCCTGACACATTAACCTCCCTTGGACCCTTGTCTGGCCCTGTCCCCTCCCACCCAGGGCATTTGCATGGCTCATTCGTTCTGCCTGGAAAGCTCTTCCCTCCCCTCTTCTACTAATTAAGGCTCCACCTCATCCAGTAAATCCCTGCTCAGGCATTGTGCCTTCAGGGAAGTCTGTGCAGACCCCATAATCAGAGCCCCTCCTGGCCTGGGGCCCTCTCCCTGTAGCACATCATACAGCTGCCAAGTTCCAATTTTGGTATGAGTGTTAGAGGTCTGTCTTCCCCACTGGACTCTGCATCCTCCCAGGAGGACAGGGAGCATATGGGCTTCTGCTCACCCTTTGTCCCCTGCTGGTAGCATATTGCCCAGTTGAGGGTAGGTATTCCAAAACTATGTGTTGAGCAGGTACATGAATGATTAGCGGTCGCAGTGAACTTTTAATAACACACATGGGATGGCTGAGAATCCTGGAACAATAACCACGTATCCATAGCTAGCCGGGGCTTCCCTCCCACACCAACTTACCTGCCTTTCCTAAACCAGGCAGCTGCAGGGATGCTCAACAGGTGGGTGTACTTGAGCCTCGGACTCTGGGGGTCCTGAGGAGGAGAACCAGTGCAGGGCTTCCTCTTTCATGAGTTAGTCAAGAGCCTGGAGAGTAGCACTGGAGAGCCCCAAGATCGGAATCAGGATCAAGAATAGGTGGTTTCTGGAAAGAGCTTGACACACAGAATTCCATGCCTCACAGGCTCTGTGTGGGTGTGCCTGGACTGGCTGGCCACCAATAGGTAGAGCAGGAGCTGAAAGGGTGGCAGAATGCTACCTGTTCTGGGCCTGGGAGTGAGGGGGGCCCTTCAGCCAGAGTGCCTTCCACATCATGCCTCATCAGGGGCCTTGGAGCCCTCTGTGGGCTGCACCATGACCCACAGAGATGAGAACACTTCTTTTACTGTACCACTTGCAGAAATGCCACCATTGGAGAATTTCAACAACTTCAGTGAGCCCCAGTGAGCTGATAGAGAAAAAGAATTCATCTGAGAGACCCAGTAGCCAAAAAGAAATATTGATAAGCACAAAGAGAGCCCATGCCCAGCAAATAGAGCTGAAGAAGGCAGACAGGACAATGTGAAGAAAAGTAACAATGAAAGTGTCAAGGAAGATTAAAGTACAGCAGTTTGTGGAGCTAATAGATAATGTTTTCCCCAATAAACAGTGGAGCAGATGCCTTAAATGAGAGAGCAATCAATCTTGGGATAGAAACTAATGTCTAAGGTCACATAGAAGAAATATTTCACGTCACAGAGCAAAAATATAAAGAGGTGGGAATGCTTTGGGAAAAAGAAGGTTAGAGAATTGACCCAGAAAATCTAGTGTCTTGGTAACAAAAGGAGATAAATAGATAGGAAAATGTAACAAATAAATACAGTTGAATTCTGCTACTATAGCTTAAGTGGGCTCCAAAAAGTCAATTGTAAAAACTATGAGGTGTGCATTACTGTGAGGTCAAGCAGTGTCCTGGGTGGACCTGTGTGGATTGCCAGCCTGGAATTTCTGGATGTCCAGCTGTGTGATCCAAAGTCTTCCTGGGCCAGCTGTGGGTTGTACTACCTGCTGACAGCTCTCTGCTCCAGCTTAAATATCAATAGGGACATATCTGGATGCTATGGTTGGCTGGGACCTCTAGATCAACAGAAGCAATCTGAGAAATCATCCAGTTGGTTGGTGCTCATTTCATCAATCTGATGTGAGATTGGACCAGAGGAAAAATGATCCCACTTCCCAAGGCAAGGTTGCCTGCAGTTTCACCACCTGGCTGCCATGTCATCATCGATTCCATGCCTCTCCTCCTTTCCACCACATAGAGCATAAGCATTTTAGACCACTCCTGTTTGTGATGGGAGATGGACAGATGACAGCGGCAATATGGATCTGCATTTTCATGGGTTTGTACCGTAATAAAAGAAGCATCCCTTGGCTGAAGAAAAATCTGCAGATTGAAAGCACTTACCAAGTTCTAAGCAAGGTCAGAGAAAAATGCCACTGATGTAGGTATAGTTTTATAAAGTTCCTAGACTATATGATTAGAACAAAAGCTAACAAGCTCCTAAGCAAAAGTAATAAATAAATAACAAAAGAAAGGAAAAATAATCAGACGGGCATTTGCAACACAAGAAGCTAGAAGATGATTAAATAATATCAACATTATGTAAAGTCAAAAGGACTAGGCAGGGCAAGACGGCTCACGCTTGTAATCCCAGCACTTTGGGAGGCCAAGGCGGGTGAATCACCTGAGGTTAGGAGTTCGAGACCAGCCTGATCAACATGGTGAAACCCCCATCTCTACTAAAAATACAAAAATTAGCCGGGTATGGTGGTGAGCGCCTGTAATTCCAGCTACTCAGGAGGCTGAGGCAGGAGAATTGCTTGAACCCGGGAGGTGGAGGTTGCAGTGAGCTGAGATCGCGCCATTGCACTTCAGCCTGCGTGACAAAGCAAGACTCTGTCTCAAAAAAAAAAAAAAAAAGACTAAAACTCAGAAATTGTTCTTTCAGAGTTAAAGAAAGCTATTCTAAAGGGAGTAGAATTTAGATGTGTCATCCACATACTCACCTAATAAAAATACTCAAGAAAGGTTTTTAGCCTAAAACAAATGAGTAAGAAGAAACCTTAGGATAGAGGATGATGAAAAGGAGGGAAACAGTGGTTAGCCACAGAAACTGTCAATTAGATTAAATGTGGATTAAAAAAAAGAAGTCTGACTTCTGTTTCACATAATATGGTAGCTTAGATCTCTTGAAATCTTATTATAAAACACCTGGAAATAGTGGATAAAATCTTTAAAACACCCTTTTAAATATGGCCTAAGTTGCAACAAAGTACAGGAGCTCCTTCAATGGCTGGAATGAAATGAGTTCATAAAGCCAGAACTAAGTGGACCCTGGAACCATCAGCTACTCTGCGGGCTTCTGTCAAACCCTAAAGGCCTAGAGCTTCTTGTCTCCCCACGTGCAGGGGAGACAGGAGACCAAGCCCCTAGGCCTGAGCAAGACGCAGGATGTGAGCAGAGATCCCTCATAAAATCCTGACCACAGAAGCCCAGTGAAAGGGTAAACTGGAAAAATTCCACAGCTCAAAGGCAGAGAGGAGAGAAAAAAATCTGTCTCAGCATTGGCGCTGGGTAGAGGAGGAATACAAAGCTCCTTTGAGAACCAGGGACTCGAGGCTGACCAGCAAGTAGTCTCCTGCTTCAAATGTACACTCTTGGCACGGTTGAAAAAACTGCACAGTAAAAACTTCAAGCAGACTCATAGCACCAGGCGTTTGACAAAAGCAAACAGAAACACTTTCAGGAGGAATGCACCCTCAACAAGTCCTCAGAGAATTCCCCCAAATTAAATTCCAATGAAGATAAATTTACAGTAGAAATACAAGCAAACAAGGCTCTGTGAGCCAAGTCAGCAGAAGCAACCATAATGGAATCAAACCTAGACAATAAATATATTGGAATTGCTGGAAATTTACCTGGATAACTCTCACAGATACAGCATAAAATAAAAAGAACAAGTTATGGAACATACGCAGTTGATAGTCTATTTAAAGTTAAAGTAAAAAATGAGGAAAACTAAACTATACAACAAACATGTTTAATACGTTTGAAAACAGGGAATATAAAAAAATTAAAAATAAAACCCACATAAATAGAAGCTATTGAACAATTAAGAAAACACCAGGTCTAACTAGGTTTATAGATTAAAACTAGATTACAAAAATGTACATGAACAGATCATATAAGATTGAAAAATCTTATACACATGCTTTATGATAAAAGAAAAAGAGGGACTCTCCCCCACCAGCTCATTCTAACAGACTAGCACAACTTTGCTAATGAAAACTAGACAAGGACAAAGTGAGAAAGGGAAATTATAGGCCAATCTCTCTCCTGAACATAGATGCAACAATCTTTAGAAAAATATTAGCAAAGCAAACTCAGCCATGGATGAAAAAATAATCCATCATGATCAAGTGAAGTTTATTCTGAAAATGCAAGTGTAATTTTACATTATAAAGACTATTACTGCTCTTCATCATATTAACAAAATAAAAAAAGTGATTATTCCAGTAGATAGTTGGTAACTGTTAAGTACAGTGTGTCACTCATAGCATCTGCTGTATGTATTTGTTAAGTAAAATTAATAGACACAGAACAAATATTCAATAAAAATAGTTCATAATTTTTTAAAAAACAAAACTTTATTAACCAGGACTATTATATAGAGTATCTATCAGAAATTTGTTTTCCTTTTGACATTATTTAGTAAAACTGAAGACATATTCATCCTAACATCCAGAAATTCTACTCTCACATATATAATTCAGTATATATGCCAGGAGTATGTACAAGAATGCTCAAAGCAGCATTCTTGAAAACAAAAAGCTGGAAACAACTCAGGTGCTTAACAAATGAATTAATAAAGAAATTTTGGTTCAGTCATATAACAAAATATTACATAGCATTAAAAAATAAGTATGCCATGTGTATCTGGACAGCTGTCATAGACATAACATAAATAGATAGAAAAGTGTTATGGACTGAATCGTGTTTCCCAGAACTTTATAGGAAGTTTTAACCTCCAATACCTCAGAATGTGACTATATTTGGAGACAGGGCCTTTAAAGAGGTGATTAAGGTGAAATGAGTTCATCTGTGTTAGCCCTGAGCCCGTATGATTACTGTCCTTTTTTTGTTTTTTTTTTGTTTTTTTTTTTTTTTTGAGACAGAGTATCGCTCTGTCACTCTGTCACCCAGGCTGGAGTGCAGTGGCGCAATCTTGGCTCACTGCAACCTCCACCTACCGGGTTCAAGCAATTCTCTTGCCTCAGCCTCCCAAGTAGCTAGGATTATAGGCGCCTGCCACCGTGCCTGGCTAATTTTTGTATTTTTAGTAGAGATAGGGTTTCACCATGTTGGCCAGGCTGGTCTCTAACTCCTGACCTCAGGTGATCCACCCACCTCAGCCTCCCAAAGTGCTGGAGCCACCGTGGCATGAGCCACCGTGCCCAGCCGATTGATGTCCTCATAAAAGGAGAGAGGACACAGACAACACACAGACCAAGGGGCAACCATGTGAGTGCACAGCGGAAAAACAGCCACCTGCAGGCCAAGGAGTGAGGCCTGAGAAGAAACAAACCTGCTGACACCTGAATCTTGAACTTGTAGCTTTCAGACGGTGAGAAAATAAATTTTGATTGTCCTTTCTATGATAAAAGTCTTAAGAAAAGTAAGGGAACGAGAGAAGAATTCTGCCATCTCTTGAGCTCCATACATTGAAATATTCCTTTCATGAGTGTCTGAGTGTTAGTTTCCATCCCAAAACTGACTGCTCTCACATTTAATGCATCCACTCTACTCTGTTGGTAAATCCTTATCTATTAGCTCCACAAAGAGCTGCACTTTAATCTTCCTTGACACTCTCATTGTTACTTTTCTTCGCATTGTTCTCGCCCTCCTTCTTCAGTTCTATTTGCTGGGCATGGGCTGTCTTTGTGACAATCAATATGCCCTTTTTGGCTACTGAGTCTCTCAGATGGATTCTTTTTCTTTATCACCTCACTGGGGCTCATCAAAAATTGTCGAAATTCTTTAACAGTGGCATTTCTGCAAGTGGTACTGTAAAAGAAAAAGACACATAGTTTTGCAGTGCCTACCTTCTGCTGGGCAATATGCTACCAGCAGGGGACAAAGGGTGAGCAGAAGCCCATATGCTCTCTGTCCTCCTGGGAAGATACAGAGTTCAATGGGGAAGACAGATCTCTTACACCCACACCAATAGTTGGAACTTGGCAGCTGTGTGATGTGCTACAGGGAGAGGGCCCCAAGCCAGGAGGGGCTCTGATTCGGGGGTCTGCACAGACTTCTCTGAAGGCACAATGCCTGAGCAGGGATTTACTGGATGAGGTGGAGCCTTAATTAGTAGAAGAGGGGAGGGAAGAGCTTTCTAGGCAGAACGAATGAGCCAAATGGGCTGTGCAAATGCCCTGGGTGGGAGGGGACAGGGCCAGACAAGAGTCTAAGGGAGGTTAACGTGTCAGGAGCAGAGGGTGAGAGTGAGCTGGAGAGGTGGACAGGGCCTGAGGCAGGCAGGGCCATGAGGAGGAGTTTCATATTTGTCCCAAAACCAGCAAGGAGTCACTGAAAAATGTGAGGACTTGGGGGAGAAGAGGTAGGAGGTAAGGTGATCAGGTTTGCATTCTGAAGAGGCCATTCTGTCTGCATTGTGGAGGAGATATTTTGTGGCAGAGATGGGGGCAAAGGGACAGAGTGGGCCGGTTAAGAGTCTACTGCATTGCAGTAGTCCAAGTAAGTGGTGATGATAGATTAGGCTAGGGTGGCAAAGGTGCCCAAGGAAAAAGATGAACTGATTAAAATTTGTTTAAAAGCACTATTGGCAGGATTTCATTATGCATTGGATAATAATCATATTTAACAGTTGCTGAATGCCTTTTTTAAAATAATGTGCTAGGTACCATTCTAAATACCTTACGTATATTATCTCATTTACTGTTTATAGTAGCCTTATGAGATAGGTGCTTTTATAAGACCAATTTCACAGGTGTGAAAACCAAGGCAAGAGACTTTAAGACATTTACCCAGGCTGGGAAGTGGCTACCCCATTTGCCATCAAATTAGATATAAGGACATGGGCCTGAGGGATGAGGGAGAGGCAGGTGTTAAGGGGGACTCTTGGTTCTGGTTTATGCAAACTGCATGGACTCTAGGGCCTTGTGCTGGGCTAAGAAGCCTTAGAAGAGGGCCAGGTTTGGGGAAGGAATTCGATTTTAGCTTAGTTTTTACCATGATGAATTTAAGATACTTTGAGATATTCAAGAGATGTCAAGGAGGCAGCTGAATATATAGGTCTGGAGCTCAAAGAAGAGATGCAAGCTAGGCATCCAAATATGTTAGTCATCAGCATAGTCATTAGCATAATTGATGTTGTGGGCACTAATGAGATCATGGAGAATATAGAGTAAGAGGAGGAGAGTCTAGGATAGAGCTTGGAGGATCTTTAATATTTAACAGCTAAACGACAAGGACAAACCTAAAAAACAGAAGGCCCACACAGTTGGAGGAAAGCCAGAAGACTGATATGTCTGGAAGCCAAGGAACAAAGAATTCAAAAAGGAGGAAATGGCTAATAGTGTTAAACGCTGCTAAGAGGTGAATTGAGATGAGGATGAATACATGGAGATGTCTGGATGTGTGGGAAATGGAGGGAGAATGGCAGAGAGCTAACAAAGAGACCAGCTAAGAGACTGTGGGTGTGGTCCAGGCATGGAGTGATGGTGGCTTAGTTAAGGGGTTATTGTTGTCATGGAGAGGGAAGCATGTGTGTGTGTATATATGTAAAATATTTTTTTACTCTCTCTCTCTCTCTATATATGGTAGGCCAAACTTGCTGATGGATTGGAATCAAGGATAGTGCTATGGTGCCATAGTTTGAATGTTTGTTCTTCTGAAGCTCATGTTTAAATTTGATCCAAATTCTGGAGTTGGAGCCTAATAGAATGTGTTTGGATCATGGGGGTGAATCCCTCATGAATGACTTGGTGCCTTTCTCATGCTAATGAGTCCTCACTCCATTAGTTCCTATGAGAGCTGGTTTAGAAAGAGCCTGGCACCTCCCCAACTCTTGCTTCAGCACTCACCATGTGATCGCCACACATACCAGTTCCCATTCTCCTGCCATGACTGGAACCAGCCTCAGAGCATCCCCAGATGCAGAGCCCAATCTTGAACTTTTCCAGACATCAGAATCGTGAGCCAAATGAATCTTTTTTTCTTTATAAATTACCCAGCCTCAGATATCCCTTTGTAGCAACACTAAAGGGAATAAGATAGTTTCTAGCTGTGAAGCTGGTGCCTCTGGGTAAACGGTGTTGCCATTTACTATGATAGAAAAAGAGATGAGGAGGAATAGATTTAAGGGTAGAAATCAAGTCTGTTTAGGCCAGGCTGTTTTTGAGGTGTCTGTGGAATATTCAATAGATAGATAAGTAGTTTTGGACACAGAGAAGAGATCATGGGAAGAGTTACAGATTGTGGAAACTTCACCCCTGAGACAGCATTTAAAATATTGGGCTGGAATTCATCAATCCCAGAGAGAAGGAACATGGCTGTCTGCTGAAAATCAGAGGCAAAGTAGTAGAGTAGGGGCTCGAGGAGAGTACTAATATTTTGTCAAGTGGGTAGAAGAATAAATTGATAAAGGACACATAGGAAGACTTCATGTCCTCAAACAACCTAAAGACTACACTTTAGTAGCACCTGTATGCAGAGCTGTGTGATTTTCTCCGACCAGGCTCAGCAGTCTGACTTTGGGAGATGAACTGGGGACTTTAGCTTTTTGAGCTCTAAGATTTTCCCTGGATTTTGGATTTGTTTTCTTGATTTCCCATATTCCAAAGTGATGACTTGATCCTGCAGTGAATATAGTTGACCTGGAAGAACGACATGAACATCTGCAAGATCTGTAACAGTCCTGGATGCTCGTATCTTCCTAACTCAGAGATATTGGTACAGGCATGAGTCAACCTGAGCTTCTGGTGCCCATTGGACACCTACCACCTGAGTCAGCTTCCCCAACCCTACCACCCAATCCAGGTGTTCTCCCTCATAGTCATTTTCTCATGTTGCCAGAGTCCTAATTCATGAATTTGTGATTCACCTGCCTAAGTTGTGCCTTTCATTACCTCTCATCCAGACAGTGGCAAGAGTACCATAACTGGTTTTCCCGCATCTAGTGCCTTCCCTCTCCAATTTGTCTTTTGGTTGCTGGATTAATCTTTTTGAAACATAGCTCTAATCCAGTTTCTCCCCAGCCCAAACACCTCTGATAGCTCTCTATTTATAGAACAGTAATTTTTAGACTCTGAACAGCAGTGCCCTAGGGGTTCATAGAAAGGAGAGTGGGTGTGTGGTCTAGGAGGCCTGTATCCCCCTTGCCCTACCTAGCTGGCTCTGAATTTGATTTGTACCTGTTTTACACATCAGTCTCTGGTGTATAATTACAGACTTTACAGAATTATAATTAATTAATTTTCAGAGAATAGAGAGCAAGGCCCTTCAAAATCTAAGCTCATTACCTTTTAGACCATCTTTTCTGTACTCCTCTGTTCTAGCTAAAAGAAGCTGTTCTTAATACCTCTATGCATTTGCTCATGTTAATGTCCTTCACTGAAACTTCCCTCCCATCCCCAAATGTTCAAATCCAATCCATCTTTTACGGATCAAATGGTCCCTTCTCCATGAACTGTTCCTTGATTTCTTTCTGTTGGAATTCTCTCTCCTTCTTCTAGATTCTGAGAACATTTTATCTGGCTCACTCTTATGACCCTATCTTATGTTAGTATTTATTTGTTACATGTATGAATGCAACCCCCACAATTGGGGTACAAATAGATTCACATCTCCTTCAACATCTAATGTTTATTAAGCACCTATTGTGGGCCAAACACAATTTTGAGTGCTAGTGTAACAGTAAGAAATAAAGCCTCTGCCCTTGTGAAACTTATATTCAAATAGGGGTAAGAGGTGATAAGCTGGTAAATATGTAATATGAGATAGTGATTCGTTCTGTGGGTAAAAGCAAAAGTGGATGGAAAGAGAGAGAATGCTGGCAGGAGGGAGTGCTATGAGGTTGCAAGGGAAGACCACCAATAAGGTAACGTCTGAGCAGAGTCCCGACAGGTGAAGCACTCAGGAAGAGTATTTCAGGCACAGGGATCAGCAGTGCAAAGGCCCTGAGGTGAGAGCATGTTTGAGAAACAGGAAAGAGGCTGCCTTGCCTGGTGCTGAGTGAGCACGGTTAAGCAGATCAGAAATGAGATCAGAGAGAGGGCAGTATACAAGAGATCCGGTAGACCAGTGAAAGGATTTTGGCTTTTACTCTTTTATTTATCCAATTAATTGAGCACTCATGTGTTTATATTAGCAGAAAGTCAGTTATCTCACCTTTGAGACCTCTTTTCCACCCCAAATTGTTAACACTTGAAGTTTTATTTAAAAGAGGTTAGTTTTGCTTCTGTGTGCCAGGAGAAAGAGGTCACTCTGGTCAGTCTATTACCATTGTGGCTTTAGTTGTTCCCACGTGGGATTATTATGGAACCCTTGTCATGCACAGCCAGGTGGATGCTTTTCTGCTGTTATGGCCACGCCTCAGCTGGTCCAAATCCCTGCCCAGGCCATAGTGGGACCCTAAACTGGAGCTAAAGGATCACAGGTTTTATATGTCATCAGCTCAGCCCGTTAGTAAGCCCTTGTTAGTAAAGCTTGGCTACCTTACCAACGGGCTGGACTTGGAGTGGCCTCTCACCATAGCCGCACACTGCAATAGCTGCTACACTGCCCACAGTGGCCCTAGACCCCAGCAGAAGCTCAGCAGAACTTCTATCCAGTGCTGTAGCACAACACACCTTTATGAGCCAAATTCAACCATATGTGTTCAGCACGGAGGCGCACCCTGTGAATGTTAAACTATGTCTTCGGGTGACTTCACCTCTAGACGCAGAAGAGGAGGCTGGCATGCTATTTAGATTCCATCTCACCAGGCATCTCAGGCTTATTCCTTCCATGTGATGCAGGAATTGTCTGCTTGACAATTGTGTAATTGACAGTAGGAATCTGTCTGATTTACCTAAGAAACCTCCCCAGCACCCAGTTCAGTAAATGGCACTCAGAAGGCATTTGTGGAATGAAATCTGCTATCTTTTAAATGACCAATTCAATCTTCTTCATTCGTTATGAAGTGTTTAAAAATGGGCTACCAGTGAGGAAATGATTTTCCTATTCCACTTCCACCAGCTGGTATTTGTGCACTGACTGGAGTACAACTGTGCTTTCACATTTTATTCAAACGGACTCTGCTACACCAGATGCTCTTGCATTTCTGCTGGCTGGTCAAGAGATGGCCTTGCAAATGGGCCAGGAAGCGAGGGAGGAAGAAGACCAAGGGGAGGCGGTGGTGAACTTGTATTTTGCTAGGGGAAGAGCTATGAATGAGAAGGGAGGGGAGGCAGTGCATAGCAGGGTAGTGGAGGTGTCTTCCCAAAACTGTCTCCTTCCAAGAACCTGCCCCCCAGAGACAAAGAGGCAGAGTGAGATCAGGGCTGGGAAAATCACCGTCGCCTTTTGAGGATTTAGTTGTGCCATTTCATTTCTCTTTCTCTCTCTCTCTTTTTTTTTTTTTTTTTACTCATACAAAATGTTATATATTTATGGGGTACATGTGAATATTTGTTACATGCATAGAATGTGTGATGATCAAGTCAGAGCATTTGGGGTGTCCATCACCTTGAGTGTTTATCATTTTTATGTGTTGGGAGCATTTCAAGCCCTCTCTTCTTGCTACTCGAAAACATATATTACATTGTTGCAGACTGTAGTTATCCTACTCTGCTATCAAATATTGGGGTTATTTCTTCTATCTAACTTCCATCTAACACACTAACCAACCTCTCTTCATCCTTCCCCACTGACTCACACACGCTTCCCAGCCTCTAGTATTTATCATTGTATTCTCTATCTCCATGCGATCATTTTTTTAAACTTGCACATAGTGAGAATTTGCAGCATTTGTCTTTCTGTGCCTGGCTTTTTTCTCTTAACATAACAACCACCAGTTCCATCCATGTTGCTGCAAATGACAGTATTTCATTCTTTTTTATGGTCAAATAGTATTCCATTGTGCATATATACCACTTTTTCTTTATCCATTTGTCCGTAGATGGACTTCTTGAATTCAATTAGCTGGAAGGTTTCCTAAATGGCTCCATTTCCACCTCCCTCCAGAGAGTCAGGGAAAAGTGGCCGTCAGAACTCAAAAGAAGATAGATCTCAGAGGAGAAAGCATTCTCTTCCACAGTCCGCTTGGGGCTGCGATTATTTCTTTTGAGAGCCCTGAAAACTTAGCTTTATCTACTGTGTGACTTTCTCTTTAAGCTGTACCTGGCGCTCCATTAATTAGCAAGTCTCTTAGTTAAACGCGACTCAGTCTTCATGCTTGGGCTTGTGATCCACAGTGAAGTCAAATGCTGAATCCAGTGCCTTCTCGCTATTTCCATGGCAACCAGCCACAGTCATCCTGGTGGAAGTTTGTGCCTTCATTCTAGACTCCTGGGATAGAGAGGCAGGGTGAGGAGAGAGACAAGCTCTATTCAAATACAAATATCCTGAACAATAGCTCCACAAATGACTCTGTGAAGTGGATTGATTTGCAGAACACCTACTTACTTAGATCCAGCACAACTGCCTGCCTTCCTCACTCGATGTCCGCTCATATTTCCATACATCATTTAAAGGGATATTTTTTATTTATGTCTTTAGATTAAGTCTCATTTTAGAAGTCTGTTTCTGGTAAAGAAGTCAGAGTTACGCTAATCTTCTTGACATTCAGCTTAATTTAAAATTAATCTCTTTTCTTAATTGTTCATATCTTTTCACTATCAACCCCTTCCTCCCCCAAGTAAAGCACATTGACTACACCAATTATTTGGCTCCTAGGACAGTAGTCAAGTAGAGACCACACCAGGGACTGTGCATGTGATTCTAGTCTAACTTGCCAAGTTAGAGCCGGTCCAGAATCTGAGGATGGTTCTTGTCATCCCAGATACTGTGGGAAAATTGCCCTTTGGACATTTTCTGAGGTGCTGCTGTTGAAGCTGAAGACCCCAGGACACTCTGAATGAACTTTGTAACATGTATGGGTGACTAAGTACGCGACTCCTGCTGTACCCATCTTTCTTGCTCTCAGCAATCAAGTTTTGACTCATGGCAATTGAGATGGAGCTTTCCGCGAAGTCGACACCTGATAGGAAAAACAAACCGACACTTGCCTTGTCGTTCCATCATCAAGTTCAGATTGCCGCCTCCCTCCACTGAGTCATTGTGTGAGAAGGAGGACTCTTTGAACTGGCATTTAGGGGATAGTTTCAGGATCATATTTCTCAGCCATTAGCTCCAATCTGTCATGGGGAGTGCAAAGCTCAGTTCCCAGTTGGCAGTGCTGAGACACCCCATACTCTCTCCTGTTTGTCATCCTTGTCTTTCTTCAACTTACTCCTTCCTCTCCACACTATTTCTTTTTTCTTTTTCTTCTTTTCTTTGAGACAGAGTCTCACTCTGTTGCCCAAGCTGGAGTGCAGTGGTGCAATCTCAGCTCACTGCACCCTCTGCCTCCCAGGTTCAAGCAATTCTCACGCCTTAGCCCTGCCAAGTAGCTGGGATTACAGGCACCCACCACCATACCTGGCTAATTTTTATATTTTTAGTAAAGATAGGGTTTCGCCATGTTGGCCAGGCTGGTCCTGAATTCTTGACCTCAAGTGATCTGCCTGCCTTGGTCTCCACACTGTTTCTGAATGACTATACATGAGTGATGAGGACACAGCTGTAGAGGTAGGACAATTGCTATGTCATTGATGAATGTAACCTCCATCCAGACAGGAGATATCATATATGGTCTTTGGCCACCACGACACACTGGGACTCATTATCGGACTTTAATAATCAGAATTTCAGAATGTAGAAGAAGTGGCCTCTCCTTAGTGTTAGTTCTTGCTGGTTCCTGAAGTGAGGAAATATATTGCCTTGGTACAAGTTTGTCCAGAGCTGACTTATCCATTTGGTGCAATACACAGAGTGCCCAAGGCTCACGATGTTATTAGTGGTCCATGAAGAGGTTTTAATTTCTTTTAAAGTCAGAAGAAAAAAAATACAGTCCAGCTTGAATTATACTCATCTTTAAGCCTGTGTAGTTAGTCATGAAATACCATTTAAAATATTTTTTATGGAAGAAAGGGCCCATGATGGCAAAAGTGGCTAGAGTCCCCAAAAGTCATAGTGCAGCCCTTGTGTCTGTCATTTCTAGTTGTAAATCCATTTGAACAACAAATGACACACATGATGATGACAATTTAAGATGTTATGCCGAGGCAGGTGGATCATCTGAGGTCAGGAGTTCAAGACCAGCCTGACCAACATGGTGAAACCCTGTCTCTACTAAATAAAAAAAAAAAAAATTAGCTGGGCGTGGTGGCATATGCCTGTAATCCCAGCTACTTGGGTGGCTGAGGCAGGAAAATAGCTTAAACCCAGGATGCAGAGGTTGCAGTGAGCTGAGATCCTGCCATTGCACTCCAGCCTGGGCAACAAGAGCGAAACTCCATCTCAAAAAAAAAAAAAAAGGATGTTAATGACACAGCATGCAACAGGAGTTTTTAGAACTAGCAGTCAGGATTGGGTGTCAAGCTACTTGTCCTTTTAAATGGTGTAGAGTGTGTGTGTGTGTGTGTGTGTGTGTGTGTGTTTGTGTGTGTGTATGTGTGTTTGATTCACTGAAGGTCTTCTACAAGTCTGCCTTCCCACATCCCTGTCCTTGGTCAAGTAGCTTTCTTCTAAAATCTTTCTGAAAATTTAAGAATTGTCCATTATTTCTTGAGGCACTCAGGAAACTAACTTGGTCATTTCTCATTATGAAACAGTTCATGTTCCCAGTTCCTTGGAAAGGCTGGAAGGATGCTTTTGAAAGCTGGCTATTTTAGCCAGGAGCGTTAATCATGCTGATTCTGCTGTCAACTGAGGTTATACCATCTGATCTTCCATTTCCCTTGTCACAATCATTTATGCTCTACCTCTTGACATGACACATAAGTCCCTTTTTATTCTATTACATATTAAATACACCAAATACATGAACAACTCTTTGTTATCTAGTAAAATAGAATATAATGTGGGTCCATCTCGGCATCTTAAAAGCATCTAGCTACCCGAAGTGCCTAAAGGACCTGCCAGATACTTTTACCTGTAGGGCAATGAGGAAGCACAAATTCCACAATGGCTACATAATAAGGTTACAAGAACATAAAAACGTTAAATTATGGGTTTTTGTTATTGCTGTTGTTATTTTGTTTTTTTGCAAGGGGAAGATTCTTGAAGATTGAGTCTACCCTGTATATGGAAGAAAGGAAACCAGTCGTCATTGACTACTTCTCTGTGCCAGCTTCTACGCTGGGTTCTTCAACAGATTATCTTTGAGCCTCATAATCTACCTGTTGTCTTTATGTTACAGGTAGGGGAACCAGGAGACAGTTAACTACCTTGCTGTAAGTCACATAGCTAATATTTAGTAGAAATAGGATTCAGACCCAGGTTCGTGTGATGCTCCTCCTTCTCTACACCCTGGATCAGCAAACTTGTTCAGTAAAAGGCCAAACAGCAGCTGCTCACACTGCCATTATAGCATGACAGCAGCCATAGACACGTTGTGAACAAATGGACAGGGGTGTGTGCTTGTAAAAGTTTATTTACAAATGTAGGTAACAGCTGGACTTGGCCCATGGTGGGTAGTTTGCTATGCTCTGCTTTTTGCTATAGGATTTCAACCCTGGCTGCCATTGGAATCACTGAGAAGCTTTGAAAACTCTTGGTACACAGGCCTCATCCCATATCAATTAAATTAGAGTAATTTTTAAAGAAGCCTTCCTGGGTGATTCCTACAAGCAGCCACAGTTGAGAACCCCTGCTCTACAGCTCATTTATGAATCAAAGCAGCCAAGTTAGAGATACACACAGACACACACACATAAAACCAATGAAATTTACAGCTAACCCTCTCCATGTATCCAAATCTTGTTCCATCAGTAGCCAACCAAAATCCTACCTTCTCAATTACACCTTGCTTGTCTTGATCAGAAAAGTTGAGACCTCCCTTATCTGATTTTTACTGACATTGTGTTGCAGAATTAGCCCTATTGCAACGTATTTTGTATAATTCAATGGTTATTCAAATCTTCTACTACTATTTAAATCTTCTACCATTATTTAGACATGTGGGCAAACCTTCTCTTCTCACACAGTCTGCAAACTGTGGGTGTATAGCTTACTACACAAGATCTAGCTTAAGGACAGCTACAAGGTAGTGCTTGTAGGTGCAAGGAACTTTCTTGAGAAGGACATAAATGAAAATGTTGGGGGTTTGAAAATAGATTTTAACATAGTTTGGTAGAATTCAGTAATCTTTGTGATCTCTCCCTTCTCCCCCAATCTGCTCCCCCTTCCATCTTCCCCAACTTCGTTAGTATCAACTCCATCCTTAAAGATCTTAGAATTGAGCCTTACTTTTCTCCTTTCTCTTACATCTACATCAAAATCAGAGAGGATAAATGAGCAGTTCTGTCTTTACCGTATACACAAAATCTGACCATTATTTAACACGTGCCCTGCTACTAGCCTGGCCGAGGTCATCACTTCTCACCTGGATTATTGCAAAACCTTCTAAAATGCTCTCCCTTCGTCTGCCCTGGCACCCTATTCTGCCTATTCTCAGCACAGCATCCAGAATGATATTGTTTAAAAAAGTTTAACTCTGCTCTAAATGTTCCAATGGCTTTTTATTTCACTCAAAGTGAAAACCAAAGTCCTGAAAAAATATGCCATTATTTATCTGACCTCATCTCCTACTACTCTCCCCATTGCAGCTCTCCCAGTGTCAACACTGGTGGACTCCTTGCTAATCCTTGAACATGCCAGATGTGTTCCCACCCCAGGGCCTTTGCACATGCTGTTTCTGTTTGCCTGACTGCTCAACTCCTTGGTATCTATATGGTGACCTCTCTCACTTCCTTCAAGTTTTTGTTCAAAGTCACCCAGTGGAGCCTTCATGACCTCTAACACTGAATCTCCTTTTCTCCTCAGATATACCCTACTTCTCCTTTGTGCTTTGTATCTCTCCATAATGCTTCTTGCCTTCTGACTTACTGTGTAACTTACTTGCTTGTTTTGTTTATTGACTATCTCCCCTACTTTGAAGGTAAGCTCCATGAAGGCAGGATGCTTGCCTTTTTAAAACCTGTATCTAGTGCCTAGGGAGATGCCTAGCACATTACAAAGGACATCTGTCATTGAGTAAAGGATAGGCTTTCAGCCTGCTAGGCAGTTTCCTTAGAATACATATGTTGGTGACATGGTTTTGCTGTGTCCCCACCCAAATCTCACCTTGCATTGTAATAATCTCCATGTGTCAAGGGTGGGGCCAGGTGAAGATAATTGAATCATGGGAGTGGTTTCCCCCAAACTGTTCCCATGGTAGTGAATAAGTCTCATGAGATCTGATGGTTTTATAAATAGGAGTTCCCTGGCAGAAGGTCTCTTGCCTGCTGCCATGTAAGACATGCCTTTGCTTCTCCTTTGCCTTCCACCATGATTGTGAGGCCTCCCCAGCCATGTGGAACTGTGAGTCCATTAAATCTCTTTACTTTATAAATTACTCAGTCTCAGGTATGTCTTTATTAGCAGTGTGAGAACAGACTAATACAGTTACTATGATGGGCATCTCTGGTTCTGGTCCATCAGGACCCATTCACTTCTCTTATGGTGATAGGATACTTGTATTCCATAAGAGACCCTGTTATTTGAATTCATCAAGCAGTTTCCTCCCCAATTCCAGCTCCAAGCACGGGCCTGCATGAGTCTGGCTTTGAATGCTCTGTCTCCTTTGAATGCACTGAATAGTTATTACAGTGGTTGGTTTTGAATTGAGAATGTCCAACCTAGGTGAATCCAAATATCGCTTGTGACCTCTCTGAGAGAGATTTTAAAACATTATTTTCCCATTGGGGTTGCTAAATCGGTAGAATGAGGGGGCTGGCGTCATTTTCACCATGTAGCAAGAACCCATTCGAAAGACAGAGATAAATAGGATTTAAACACTATTGTTTGGACTTTACTCACACATTTCTAAAACTAAATCTTCCCTGGATATTTCATCTGTGTTAACTCAATACATTGCTGTTATTATTTAAGCTTGGGTTTCTGTTACTTGAAACTGAAAGAGTCCTGGGAAAAAAAATCTGGTATGAAAAGACTAAATTTCATTGCTAAAAATCTTTTTATTTTTACTTTTTCCAAAGACTGATTACTTTAAGAAACTGAGGTAATACAATAAAAACAGAATACACATGCAATTTATGAAGAGATGTTACAGAGGCTGCTTTTTATTGTTTGGTAGAGAATAGTGTCTAATTTTTTATAATTAACTCAGTCAACATATTTAGCACTATTAAATTTTTATTGAGCTTTAAATTAGCAAATTAATGCATGATATGAGTTAGATTCTGTAGTCCTAAATAAGGAAAGACATCAGGGACCTCCTTATGCTAGGTTAATTACAAAATAAATGGCAGAAAGGGCTTCAACTTTAATGCAGTCTCTCACCTTAGTATCCCCCTTGCATAGTGCCTGCCACACGGTTGATATTCAGTAAATTGTTGATGAGTGAATCAAAGAATAATTGAGTGATTGAAATAGCAAGTTGTTCTTAGCATTCTATTGGGTCATAGACTTGGATGAAAACTCTTCCCAGAAAAATGCATACCCTCATGCACATCACACACACACACACACACACACATAAACACACACACACACATTTGCATAAAATGTCTGGATTTTGCAGTGTCCTTGAAGCACTCATAAACTTGGAAGGTGTCCCTAGATCCCAGGTTAAGAAGTGCTTTGAATGATCCCCCTGCAATATATGGCCTAGGCAGTATTTCCATCTAGAATTTTAGTACTGAGAAGGTGCAAAACCTTATTATAAACATGGACTGTTGAGGCAGGTTATTGCATTGGTGGTTCAATGGCTAAGTGGTTTTGGAATTAAATGTGGATTGCCTTGGCCAATACATGTGTGTACAACCTTGGGTAATTTAGTTAACCTCTTTAAGTTTGCATCAATTTCCAAATATATAAAATGAAAATAATAAGTCAATCTCCTTCATGTGACTTAATTAAATACTGCACATAGAACAATTAGCACAGTTCCTGTTATTCAATAAGTGATAGCTGATGATGGTGTTAAAGCCACTTATAAAAGGCAATATTTTAAGTAGAGTGAACTCATGTTGTCTAGCTCAAGTGGGAATATTGCCAGCCAACAGGGAGATAACTATGGGCTCTTTCATGGCTTCTTTGGGTTTAATTATTTGTGACATGAAGTTATATTTTCTAATCATTATAAAAAGTTGATTTTATTGCCTATAGGATAAAAGTGATAATCACTCTATCTAGTCATCAAGACCTTTATGTAAGTAGAAACCCATGAACCAGCTAAGGCTTAAAATTTAAAAATAAATTTAGTTAAAAATTGATAGAGTTGGCCAGGTGCAGTGGCTCAGGCCTGTAATCCCAGCACTTTGGGAGGCAGAGGCGAGCTAATCACCTGAGGTAAGGAGTTCGAGACCAGCCTGGCCAACATGGTGAAACCCCCTCTATACTAAAAATACAAAAATTAGCCAGGCGTGCTGGCAGGCACCTGTAATCCCAGCTACTTGGGAGGCTGAGGCAGGAGATTCACTTGAACCTGGGAGGCGGAGATTGCAGTGAGCTGAGATCATGCCATTGCACTCCAGCCTGGGCAACAAAAGCAAAACTCCATCTCAAAAAAATAAAATAAAATAAAATAAAGTTGAGTCACCTTATGAAAGACCCAGCCAGAGTTGCCATCACTCAATTTCTAGGCTTTCTCTTTCATGATTGTTGAGAGATTATATATTGGTAATAAACTGGTTATATTAATTGTTCAAAGCACAAGAACTTCTTCATCCTCTTGGACAAGTTTCCTAATTAAAAAAAGATGCTTTTACATCATTAAAAGGAGTATGTAAAAATTCATGAATAAACAATGAGGCAATTTCAACATGTTCATTGGTCAGTTAGAAAACATTATTAATTATTTGCTCTGTGCTGCCCTTCTTTTCCATTATTGATTCATTCCCCATAATATTTATAGAGGATCTGTTATGTGCCAGGAGCTGTTCCAGGTTTGGAGGGCCAAGAGATACTTGTACCTGGGGTCAAAAGAGTGTTATAATAGACTAGACTCTCCATTACTACCTTCAGTCTATAAGCCAATCAGTACCTAATGATTTTCTTCCTGCAGTGTTACTGATGGTAAAGAAGAAATGTCCCTATGTTAGGGCTCAGCACTGAAGCTAAGTGAAAACGACCTGCTCCTCATTCTCTCCACCTTATGTGGCCTTGCTCTAAATCAGGGCTCTCCAACTCAAATGCCTTCAGAAGCCACAGAATAGCTTAAATGTGGAAATGCTGGGTTTAGAAAGACAGTGAGCTGCACTTGGAGGGCTCTGAGCATCGTCTAGAGACATTGATTCTGTTTTTAAAAACATGATGCTTGCTTGAGCAAACTCATTCAGTTTCTAAATGCTCCTCTCAATGAAACCCCAAAGGGAGAGGCACTGAAACAGGCATGGGCAAAATTTTTCTGTCAAGGGCCAGGTCACAAAGATTTTCGGCTTTGCAGGCCATACAGTGTCTGTCACAACTACTCAACTCTGCTGTTGCAGCTCAAAAGCAGCCCTAGGCATACATACACAAATATGCATGGCTGTACTCCCATGAAATTTAGCCGCCCATAGCTGGCCAACTTAGCATTCTGAGAGCCAAGCAGTTCCTTGCACATATCAGGTGCTCAGGAAACATTGGTAGATTCCATGTAGTAGAAGGTGTATTCCTCATGACCAAGCTGGTGCTCAGAGCTCAATCCTCCCCTCCCCAGAAAAGGGCTGAAGATGAACATCTCTCACTTAGAAGAATTTCTTTCTCTGGGCAAAATCCAGGGTTGAACTAGATGAGCCCTGAAGTTCCTTCTATGTTTAAAAAACTTGAGGAAAAGACAGAAGGCAGAAAATAAAGTTCCTTGAAGGTATACTCTGTCCCAGCTCCCAACTGCAAATTTAAGCAGATTAGGAAACTCCACGTATCTATGTTTTGCACAACATGTAAGACATAGTTATTTTACTGACTTGGAGGCTAGAGATGATTTTGCCTCCTGTGAAGACACCATCAAGCCACCTTGGGTAAAAAGTGCTGTGCCTGCCAGGCACAGTGGCTCACACCTGTAATCCCAGCACTTTGGGAGGCCGAGGTGGGTGGATCACCTGAGGTGAGGAGTTTGAGACCAGCCTGGCCAACATGGTAAAACCCCACCTCTACTAAAAATACAAAAATTAGCTGGGCATGATTGTGGGTGCCTGTAATCCCAGCTACTCAGGAGGCTGAGGCACAAGAATCACTTGAACCTGGAGGGTAGAGGTTGCAGTAAGCCGAGATTGCACCACTGCACTCCAGCCTGCGTGACAGAGTGAGACTTTGTCTCAAAAAAAAAAAAAAAGTGCTATTTCATTCCCAGTGTAATAGCTTAAACCACTTGAACTGTCAGCTGCTTCCCAAATAGAATGTAAAATGATTCCCTAAGCAAATCACTCATCGTTACTTCTGACTTCCATCAAATAAAGTGAGTAGTTGTTACACCATCTAGATTCGTTCCTATTGCGAAATATCCACAACACAGCCTGATCAAGCCATGTTTAGAGAGTTTAGATTTGTAGAGAATAGACAAAATGCCTCATGTCCTTTTCAGGGAGAAAAAGACAAGAGAGAAAATCCAAATGAAAAGGCCCAGAATCCTCTGATTACAGAAGCCAAAATAACCAAAAGGTGATTCATAGCAACTGTTATTACAAATAAGAGTCTGGGTCTGTTTTAGAAAGTTGTTAAAAGCAGAGAAGGTGGCCTAAGTGCTTTTTACAAATTATGCTTCCTTTTTATTTTCCTACATATAGCACTCATGGAAAAAAAAAAAAAACTCATAAACAGGAGCAGCCCGGTCTGTTTGCTTGGCCAAGGGCTCTTCAAAACTTATAGAAGGAATAGGAACAGCATTTGAGAGGGAAATGAGGTAAGAAGACTTGAAAGTACACTATTTTCATCCAGTCCATTCTCTGTGTTTTATAGTTACTGGGTGAAAGGGTTAGGTGAGGATCTTCCTATTCTACAGGTGGGTTGTTCAGAGGAAGTATGGTAGAAACAAGTGCTGCAGTCATACTGCCTGGACTGAAAACCAGTCCTTCGCCCATATCCTTGGGCAAGGTACTGATGTGCTCTATGCCTCAGTTTCCTCATCTGTAAACTTGAAAGCAACAATAAAACATGTCACATAGAGTTCATGTATGGATTAAGTGATATACAATTCAGCAATCATGGAGCCTGGCATATGTAATAAGTGTTAGTAAATGTCAGCTGTGGTCCTGTGGCTAGAATTTTGTTGATGAATAAGATGCATAATCATTTCAAGAGACTTTTATTAATTTACATCTTGCTTTCCCACTTCTGGGGACAAAGATCCTTTAAAATTTTATACTTTAATTTGTGATACATATAAGGTTAATTTTTCTTTTTGGTCAACCAATAAGAAAACCCAGTAATACAAATTTATATTCTATTTCAAATTCTCATGATGCTACCAGGGTCAGAAATGTCATGTTTCAACAAGGTGGCTTAGACAGGAGATGACAATTTGATTAAAAACTTTCACTAGAAAAATTGCCCTGTAACTTTGGGTCCCTAAAGCACAAGCAGAATAAAGCAGATGGTGACCGCCCTATAACAAATATAAATGACATAATTGTTTACTTGGTACAATTTAAATTCAGCCGTTAAACTTCATACAGTCAATTTTGGTAACTGATCCCCTCTGATCAAAGATTAAGTGCCTTGAGGCAAAAAAAAAATTGTTTTGACATTGTGAGATCAATAAGTGCTGGAAGCCACTAAACTGGAAGCTAGTGACACGGCCCTGAGTGTATTTTACAACGTAGATTTAGATTTCAGTACAAAGTCTATTGCCATTGTTTAAAATATATGAAAGAAGTTAATATCAGCATGTGAGAAATCATAAGTGTGATTTCATTTTATTCTTTTGTCTGGTTTTGGGATAAAATTTATCTGCTAAATAATTCTTCTAAAAAGGTCAAATTGAATTAAGAGTAAGGTTTTAAAAATGCTTTTCTAAAACATTGGTCATTTAATTGTTTCACTTCTACTAAAAGCTCTTGAATATGAGCACTCATTTAATTCTGTAAATTACTGAACCCAAGTGCTTTCGTTATGTAGCCAAAGCCCACGTGCGTCTAAGTTTTTCATTTAGAGACAGGCATTGATTTTCAACATTGCGCATCCCTCTCCAGGCACCTTGCCTTTGCAGGGGTGTGAGCACTGTTACTATTTCACACAACCATATGTGGCTTAGGCCCTGACTAAGAGATTTCTGGATTTAAAATGCTATTCTTTTCTTGTGGTGATGAGTGTGTTGAGAGACCAACCATCTTTACCTTCCTTTCAGGTCAAGGATAATGGCAGGTCTTCTAACCTCCCCAAAATCAGATCATTAGGTTCTCAACTTTCCACTCTCGTGGCTGCTACAGTTGCCCACATCTCTTTCAAAGAAGTTTTACTGAGGGCACTAGGCAAGCACACCTAGGAGGCATTCCTCAGTACATCCCTGGTTTTAATTTTGTAGCTTCCTGTAATGGAGGACAAGCCCACTAACTCCTTACTTAAGGGTAGTTCTCTTCCCACCTAAGGGTTGCTGTTCAGGAGGGGCGATGGAGGAGCACTGACTTCTCCTTAGCATTTTAAAATATTAGGGCACTGTAAAATCCCAGCTTCCTGTTGACCTCGTCTCTTCAGAACCTCATCAGGCACAGACGCAATGATGCATAGTACCTACAAATAATGGCACTGTAAAATCCCAGCTTCCTGTTGACCTCGTCTCTTCAGAACCTCATCAGGCACAGATGCAATGATGCATAGTACCTACAAATAATAGGTGCAGGCACCCAGTAATTCCCCAAGGTAGACATGTAGTTAAACTAACCAACCTGCCTGGATTGTAATAGACACTCCAATGCCGAAATGGACTACTCTGAATCCCCCAAGATAACAGATTGTAATCCACCTCCTTTTGAATAATTGTCCTCCTCTAAACATTTGAACTTTCCGATCTCAGGTATCAGAAGTGTGCGTATTTTTTACTCCTTTTTTGGGGGTGGGTGGGTGGGTGGGGGATGGAGTCTTGCTCTGTCGCCCAGGCTGGAGTACAGTGGTGGGATCTCGGCTCACTGCAACCTCAGCCTCCCGGATTCAAGCGATTTTCCTGCCTCAGCCCCCTGAGTAGCTGAGATTACAGGCATGCCATGCTCAGCTAATTTTTGTATTTTTAGTAGAGATGGGGTTTCACCATGTTGGTCAGGCTGATCTCAAACTCTTGACCTTGTCATCTGCCTGCCTAGAACTCCCAAGACTTTTTTGTAAAAAAAAAAAAATGTGGTACTACTAAACAGACGTCATACCCATGTTTAAACAAATTCTATTCTGAGGAACTGGAGAAAGAGAGAGAGACAGAGAGAGACTAATATTTCCTCCACTTACTGAGTGGAAGCCCTGGAGTCAGAAGGAGAGAGGAGCACCTACTATTCACTCAATATTTTTGCTTTGTTCTCTAACAGTGGGAGCATCTTGCCACACTAAGCATGATTCTAGTATTTACAAGATGCATATTTTTCTTTAACATAGCTACTAAAATTGAGCCAACCACTTCATTGATGCTCTACTAAAGAGATTGCAATTTGTTCCACCACTGTAAGAAAAGCTAGTGTTGGGGACCTTACTGAGAGACTGAGATGGCTTCCAATGCAGCTCTTTGCTAAAGGGTTTTTAAGGGTAATGATGACTAGAGAGAATGTTCACTTTATATTGTCTTTAGAATGGAACTATTGGCTGGGTGTGGTGGTGCACGCCTGTAAACCTAGCACTTTGGGAGGCTGAGGTGGGCGGATTGCCTGAGCTCAGGAGTTCGAGACCAGCCTGGGCAACATGGTGAAACCCCATCTCTACTAAAATACAAAAAATTAGCTAGGTGTGGTGGCCTGCGCCTGTAGTCCCAGCTACTCGGGAGGCTGAGGCAAGAGAACTGCTTGAACCCAGGAGGTAGAGGTTGCAGTGAGCTGAGATCTCACCACCACTGCACTCTAGCCTGGGCGAGAGAGCAAGCCTCTGTCTCAAAAAAAAAAAAAAGAAAAGAAAATAGAATGGAACTGTTGCACAAGATGCTTCTCTCTCGTATTTTTCTCTGTAGCTAGTTTTCATAAGCTGAGCCTGAATGTATTCACTACTCAACTTATTCAAAGGGTTTCTTTACTTACTTGGGCTCCAAATGGCACACTTCTCATGAGTTGCATTAGAGACAGAGAAACCAGATACTCCATATTAATAACATTATAGTTTTTTTTGGTCTACAGATTCGGTTTTATCTGCAGGAGCATCTCCCATGAGAGTTGAGGAAATTCATAACTGGTTGAACAGCTGTTGGCATTGATCAATGTACTTCCGGATGGACACGGCCCTGGCTTGTTTGGCATTTACATCCATGCCTTGGCTGAAAGTTTAGAGGGCACAGTGATTTCATTTGTGGATGACAAGAGCCTGGAAAGGATAGCAAATTCATTGGCTGATAGAATTAAGACCAAAAAGACTGACAGGCTGGAGCAATGGGATAAATCTAACAAGATGGATTTTATCAGCAATAGAAAGAAGATCCTGCACTTAGGTAAAACAAACCAGGACTCAGGGCATATTCTTAGGAAATTATTCATATCAATCTTGAAGTCTGGGATAATTAAGTGCAGGTACCTGATGTGCATGTGGTAGTGATGGTGAGACGTGGTTTAGCAGAAGCAGTTTTGCAGAAGATTTGAGGGTTGATATGGCTGCCAAAATCCAGTGAGATCTTAGGTTATAGAATTAGAAATAACAGCAATTACCATGGTAATGGTGGGGATTGGGGCAGTGAAAAGAAAAAGTGGGAAGGAAGAGGTCAGGAATGTCTTTCATTTTAGGAAAGATCTTCTCCATCATTTAGTGTAATATGTCCTCTAGTACCTTTCTGAGAATAAATGGAAGGAAAATTCAAGACATTTGATTTCTAAAAAATCATTATTCAACTTTCATGTTTGATTAGTAGGCTGAGGAGAAAATTTTAGGTTGGAAATGCTTTCTTTTAGAATTTTTATATATATATGTATTTTTTACTATACTTTAAGTTCTACGGTACATGTGCACAACGTGCGGGTTTGTTACATATGTATACATGTGCCATGTTGGTGTGCTGCACCCATTAACTCGTCATTTACATTAGGTATATCCCCTAATGCTATCCCTCCCCGCTCCGCCCACCCCACAACGGGCCCCGTTGAGAACATTTGGACACAGGAAGGGGAACATCTTTTAGAATCTTAAAACTATTCTAGCCATTATTTTCTGGCTTCCATAATTGCTGTTGAGAAGCTCAATGGCATCCTTGATCATTCATATTGTGAAAGTTGTCAGAATCAAAATGGAGTCACTGGTGCTGAAAAAGCCTGACAAATAGAGCCAGGCTCATTTTCCTTTAAAACACTTTGTCTTCTCTTACTTCCCTAAATACACATAGAGTTGACTATGACATGCATATTCCCATTGCAGTGCTGTACTCCTAAATATCTTTTTCTTTTAGAGGGCTTCTTTCTGTTTCTTATTTAGGTTGATAGTACAAAACCTGTTTTTCTCTCCGGAAGTTTCTTCTCTTTGTTCTAAGAGTTTTGAAAACACAGCGGCGTGCCTCATTCATTGTATTGGGCTCTCTAATGATTTCTCCAATATTGATACTCACATCCTTCAATTCTGAACGTTTTTCTTGAATTATTTTTTTGGCAATTTCTTTCCCCTCATTTTATCTTTCTGTAATTATTATTATCACTTTTTTCTGTTTTCTGTGTACCAGGAAGTCTTCTAACCATGGAACAAACAGTAACTCTTCTAATCTTCATTGCAGCTCTAATTTCCATTTCTTTAACTTTTTGCTCTATTTTGGGGAGCGATTCCAAACCTTATTTTTCATATTTTACTTTCTAGGAGCTTCTTTTTTGTGTTATCTGAATGATCTTTTTATTTCAAGTATTCTGTTATTATTTCATGAGTGCAATATATTTTCTGTACCTGAGGATAGCTTTTATTTGTTTTCAACTTTTTAAAATCTCTAATATCTGTTTCATCCCAGTTGCTTTTGGTCACTTTCTCATATTAGAGATTTTCCTCAAATAGCTAATGATTTTTGGCTAACACTTCATATGTAACATTGAGATATTGAGAAGCTAATTCAAAGCTCTCTTCATTCGACCTTACCATTGTGGTCTTCTTAGTAGGATGGTATGGCAGGGCTATTTCATTTGGGAAACAATTGGTATCAGTATCTTTAGGTCTTGTCTTCAGGCTGATTACATTCCCCAGAGAGGACACTTCTAGTTGCCTGACTAATAAGAATACATTTGGCTTCCAGCATTATCAGAACCTAGAGGAGAAACAGGGTATTTAGTATGTAAATTTTTTGGATATTGAATTCTTTTGTTTTCAATATATACCTCTGCCCTCAATTGTTTCATTTCTCTCAGTCTAGAGACCCTCTGATTTACCCGCTCCAGAAAATAAACTTTGAAACTTCATGGCTGGGGTTGGCAGTCACCTAGCTGCATCAAATTGGAGAGGGGATCCAGGAGTCTAACTGCTTCTCAAACGGAAACTAAATCAGTTCTGTTCTTTTCAGTTCCACTTTTCCTCCCATGTCCAGAGGCACCTGACAACACCAACTCCTAAGCTTCTTGGGGTTCTGCGATGTATACCAGACTGATCTTGGCTTTCCTACAACTTTCCAAAGTCTGCTAAGTTAGATGCCATTTCACTGTGTCGCTGCTGTTTCTTCTATTCTCTTTGTGGGTTTATGCCTTTAAAACAATCCATTTACTGTAATTTAGTGGAATTTGGCAAGAAAATCGAAGTTAAATCTGTCTGTTTAAGAAGAAGATCTGTGTACAGTTTTTATTGCAGCACTTTGGAAAGGCAAAAAACTAAATACCACAAGAAGGCACTTCAGTTAAATAAATTTTGGAATTCACTGTGGTTCATTCCCTACCTTGGAGTACTAGACAGTCGCTAGAATGAAGGTGTAATATCTATAACAGTTTATTTGAAGGATTTCCATCATATATTGTTAGGTGGAAAGTAAGGCCCAGATAAATGTATAAAATAGGATTCTACTTTATTTATCTATCTATTTATTTATTTATTTATTTGAGACAGAGTCTCTCTGTTGCCCAGGCTCGAGTGCAGTGGTACGATCTCAGCTCACTGCACCCTCCATCTCCTGGGTTCAAGCATTTCTCCTGCCTCAGCCTCCTGAGTAGCTGGGACCACAGGCGTATGCCACCATGCCCAGCTAATTTTTGTATTTTTAGTGGAGACGGGGTTTCACCATGTTGGCCAGGATGGTCTCAATCTCCTGACATCGTGATCTGCCCGCCTCGACCTCCCAAAATCTGAGATTACAGGCGTCAGCCACCATACCCGGCCAGGAATCTACTTTTTAAAAACAAATGACAAAATTTCTATAAATGTTAATATATATTTATAAGTTTAGTTTAAAATTGATTTCCCCATTTGGGGCAGGTGGGGCTGGGGAGAGGCTGAGGGAGTGAACACAGAATAAAAAGTAAAGACTAGAAGAAAACAAATGTGTTTATAATAAAAGCATATGTATAATGTTCTATTAGTATAGTTTTATTTACACATTTGCATATATATATAGAAAGATGTATAAATGCACAGTTACTGAAATATTAACAGTGATTTACTCTGGATAATAGAATTATTTTTGCATTTTTCCTTACATATTTTTGTACTAATTTCTCTTTTTTTGTGGTGAACTCACGTTATCTTAATAACGTAGAAAAAATTCTTTAAAAATATAAGGTCAAAGTGACCAGAAGAGGCTGGGCGTGGTGGCTCACTCATGTAATCTCAGCAGTTTGGGAGGCTGAGGCAAGCAGATCACCTGAGGTCAGGAGTTCAAGACCAGCCTGACCAACATGGCGAAACCCTATCTCTACTAAAAATACAAAAATTAGTTGGGCATAGTGGTGCATGCCCGCAGTCCCAGCTACTCAGGAAGCTGAGGTGGGAGAATCCTTTGAACCCGGGAGGTGGAGGTTGCAGTGAGCCGAGATAGCGCCACTGCACTTTAGCCTGGGCTGTGAGACTCCATCTCAAAAATAAAATAAAATAAAATAAAAACCAAAGTGACTAGAAGATAAAATGATTTACAAATTGAAATAGCAGAGTTTATTCCTAGCATAGTGGATAAGGACACAGCAATTGGAGTCAGAGAGATTTTATTTGAAATTCTGGCTGTAACATTAATAAGGCTATTTAGCTTGAGGCTTAAGAGCAAGGGTTGCCTGGGATTTCAATCCCAGCTCCACTGTTTACTGGGTGTGTGACTTTGCACCAGCCACTTAACCCTCTATACCTTAGTTTCCTCACCCAGGAAAATGAAGATAATGATACTACTTGCCTCATAAGATTGTAACAAAGATTAAAAGAGTTAACATTAGTTTAATGGTTAGAACAGCGCTATACACATGCTTGATTTCCCCCTCTTTCTTTGCCTTGTTTAGTTTTCATTTATAGATTTTTTGATATTTTATATTATTTTATTTTACCTCTTCTTTTAGCATTTCAACTATATACATTTTTTAAAACTTTTCCAGTGGTTGCCCTAGGGTTTGTAATATAAACTTTTAATTCATGTAAGTCCACTTGCAAATAATACCATTGTGCCTTTTCACATATAGTGCAAGTATCTTATTTAAAATATTTTCAATTCCTTCCTCCCATCCATTGTGACATTTGTTCTGCTTATCAATATGCTCTAATCACTCAGTACGTTATTACTACTATTGCTTTAACCAAAAAGTTATCTTTTAGATCAACCAATTCTCTGATGCTCCTCCTTTGTAGATCCAAGTTTTTGACCTATATCCTTTTCCTTCTGCATGAAGAACTTTTAATATTTCTTGCAGAACAAGTCTGCTAGTGAGAAATTCCCTCAGACTGTTTGTCCGAGAAAGTCTATTTCTCCTTCACTTTTGAAGGATAATTTCTCTGGATTTAGAATTCTAAGTTGGCAGTTATCTTTTTTCAATGATTCAAAGATTTCACCCCACTTGACTTTTGCATGGTTTCTGACAAGAATTCTGCTATAATTCTTACCCTTGTTTCCAGTGGCAACAAAAACTTTGGCCCCAGCAGTTTCTCACTCTCCAGCTACTCCACTGGCAACTTCCAACAATTTGTCAAAGTGACCACTTGCATGCTCTTGCCAGTCTATGGCTCCAGTTGCTTCTGTTCCAGGTAAGCAGACCTCTGCTATATTCTCTGTCTCTCCAGATTTTGGGGTGATCATTTGTCCTGTACAAGTACAAGTCATTGATTTTCAGTTTGTCCAGCTTTTTCTTGTTGTTAGGATAAAAGTGGTGACTTCCAAGTTCTTATGTGTTGGAACTGAAACCAGAAGTCTACATACTTGTTTCTAAAACCGGGTTTCTTAAAAACTCTCTGAACCTCAGTTTCAACATTTGTGACTGGATGTAACAATATCTACCTTCTATGGTGATTGTGGGGAATAAAGGAGAAAATGTGAAGTGCCTAGCACATAATACCCAGCAATGATTGGATAATGGTACCCATCCCCTCCTCTCCCCTGCAATGAAATCACTAGAAGTGTGCAGGCCAAAGTAGAAAGAACCCCGGGTAAGAACAAGGTGAAGATTTAGTATCAGAAGGGGGAAAAAGTTCTTTACAATCTTTCCTGCCTCTGATTTTCCATAGTCTTCTCACTCCCATTTTCTAAATGTGGTCACTCTTAAGAGAAAGTTAATTAACAGAATATGCAAATTAAAGAGCAGTTATAACACTAATTAACATTTTCATAATAATAGCTAGTCCAGTTCTGTACATGTGTAAATCAAGACATCAGTGTCTCTGCTGCCTACAGAACTTCACACTGGAAAATTGCAATTACTTTGCTATCAAAGCAGAACTGAGAAGCGTGGAAATGGTGGCTTCTAAAAGCCTCTTCGTTTAACACAGTGTCCGAATAGGTCGATACCATGCTCTGATAGATGAGCAATGACTTTGAGCTTCATTGTGGCCCATCCTTTGGTTGGCAAGCAGTGGATGGAATGATGACACAATAGCATCCCCTGCAGGACTGAGGTAACAACCCCAGAACTTGAGCGGCGACTTCTTTACCTCTTCCCCCTCCCTCTTTCAGTCCCAGGAAACTAAAGCTGTACCTTTTCAAAATGTGGGCAAGCTGGATTTTGCTGTGCTTTGCTGGAAGATAGTCACAACTTGTTGAACAACTCCCCTGAGGACAAAGCAATTGGGCGGCTCCGAACGCTCAGGGAAAGAAGTTGTGTTGGTAAAGAAATTGCTGGCCAGGTGCGGTGGCTCACGCCTGTAATCCCAGCACTTTGGGAGGCCGAGGCGGGCAGATCACGAGGTCAGGAGATTGGGACCATCCTAGCCAACACGGTGAAATCCTGTGTTTACTAAAAATACAAAAATTAGCTGGGTGTGGTGGTGCGCGCCCATAGTCCCAGCTACTCTGGAGGCCGAGGCAGGAGAATTGCTTGAACCGGGAAGGTGGAGGTTACAGTGAGCCGAGATGGCACCACTGCACTCCAGCTTGGTGACAGAGTGAGACTCCATCAAAAAAAAAAAAAAAAAAAGAAATTGCTGTGCCAGCCATAGGAGTTTTTGTGCAGCAACATAAGCCATCTTCCCATACATGCTTTGTGCAGCATTAGCTGAAGACACACACCTGAATTTATGGGGCTCAGGATGGCTCTCTGTCCCTTTATTATAGATTACATGCTGGAAAATCAGGATAGAGCTAGATACTCTTAAAAAAAAAAACAAAACAAAATTTTGCCACTATGACCATGTCTTTGTAGGCTGTGATAGACTTGCTTTCTAAACGCTTCCTCCATCTATGCTTTCCAACATTCACTGAAGTTTTCACTCTCCTATGTTTATGTAAATGGGACAAAACTCTTGATTTTTCAGTTAATATAAGAAATTACACAAATGCATTGACTTCAAGTTCTTTTCCAGTTCTTTTCTGGTTTGATAGAGTGATATTTTCATTAATTACACTAGTTAAGAATTGTGAACCCCCAAAATATGAGACAGGTCTCAGTTAATTGAAAAAGTTTATTTTGCCAAGGTTGAGGACACCCGTGACGCAGCCTCAGGAAGTCCTGATAACATGTGCCCAAGGTGGTTGGGGCACAGCTTGGTTTTATACATTTTAGGGAGACATGAGACATCAATCAATATATATAAGAAGTGCATCGGTTCAGTCTGGAAAGGCAGGACAACTTGAAGGAAAGTCAGGAAGACTGGAAGCGGGGAGGGGGCTTCCAGGTTATAGACAGGTGAGAGAGGAACAGTTGCATTCTTTTGAGTTTCTGATTAGCCTTTCCAAAGGAGGCAATCAGATATGCATCTATCTCAGTGAGCAGAGGGGTGACTTCGAATTGAATGGGAGGCAGGTTTGCCCTAAGCAGTTCCCAGCTTGACTTTTCCCTTTAGCTTAGTGATTTGGGGGCCCCAAGATTTATTTTCCTTTCACAGAATACTGAGCTATCCATCACATTATTACCAGAACAATAAACTATCAAGTAAGATCAATACTCAGAATTACCTTTTTTTAAAGATTATTGGTTCTTGTGAGAAATAACTTCCAACTCAGATGGTTCAAGGAATTACTTATAAAGGTATGAGTAACGTTAAGGGAAGCTGGGGTACCCAGAGACCAATAGCAGTGGGAAACCATCTCTATCTGTAGGGCTGGAGGGGCAAGGGGAGCCCAAGGAGAAGTGGATCCCTGAAGAAGTTTCCCCTGTCACCTCTAGCCCTTTCCTGGGCAGGGGGGCTGGTGCCATAAGTAGAAACGTAGCCCAAAATAGAGAGAGAGTGGGAATGAATACCCTGCCCCGTAATTCCCGAGTGAGGAAGGAAGATGCTCATTCTCAGGCTCATGCTGCCCAGGGTGGAACCTGAGAGTGAAGACCTCCTTAGATTTTGCATGAGTATTTTGCTTGCTTCCCCCAAGTCTCATGAGGCCCTCCCGTTGGTCAAAGCCACCCAGGCCCATGCACACAGGGCAGGGCGGGGTCGGAGTGGGGTGCTGGGTGATGCGTTCTGTGCAGTACAAGGCTTAGAAAAGAAGAGAATGGATCTTGGGAGCAGGGAAGAATAATGGAAAATAACAAGCACTGTTATTTTGCAGGCCATGGCAACAATTTCTAGTTTTAGGGCTTTTACAAGATTGCTTTGTTCATATTAGTTTTCAAGGACAGATTTTTGATAAAGGAAGAAAATAAGTTGGTAACAGTCATTCACACACAAAAGCAAGACTGATACTTGTCTGACTGCTCTCAATTTAGTGTTTTATCAAATTAGATTACTGGAACTAGTTTTATGGGAAAAAGATTTGTCTCCCTCTGTAGAAGGGGAGAAGACGGCATCTCTTTCATGTCTTTCTGAGGTTCCTTTTGTTAATTATGAAGGCATGCATTTTTAAGGTCAGGCTCTGAAATTCCATTAGTTAGTAGTATAAACAAAACAAGCTAGCTGGTAGGGCTCTGTTTTATTGACGGAAATGGGCAAAATGAAATTTTACTAATAATAGTGAAATAAGGAGCACATAACCTTATTCTTCCATACACACTTGATACACACCTTTTCTTTTCTTCCTTCCTTCCTTCCTTCTTTCTTTCCTTCCTTTTTTTTTTTTTTTTTTTTCAGAAAAACAACACTTTTAACATTTCATAGGCATCACTCTGTGTGTAATGACGAGGAAAGGGCAACCCAGCACGTTCAGGAGCAGAAGCCTAGTGGTCAGCTAAGTGTCCTCTCCACTCGGCCACTCAGCCCTCAGACCCTCCTTGCTGTCTGAGGAGCCCATTCACAAAGACAGACTGCCATGGCCCCTGGGAGTCCTACCAGGCTGATTGGATGTCAAGTGATAAATCAGAGAATACCAAGCACCTACTGTGCAACTATTCTATACATTTCACTGGACATAATTTTGAAATACAGAGATAACTCAAAAGGAAATGCATTCAGAGTAAAGCTTTTTTGTATAAAATCAGCCTTGGCTCAGACATTGCTGCCGAGAATTTTAGTCTCTTCAGTTATGGTGGCAAGAGCTAAGAAAAAAAAAATGTGGAAGATATTGAGCAGTTATCTATATCAGGCACTGTTAGGTCTATTTTAAGTATTAGCTCACTTAAGGTTATCACAGCCCTATGAAGCAGTCCCAACTTTTAGTCCTTGTTTTTGTTTTTTTGAGAGGGAATCTTGCTCTGTTGCCCAGACTGGAGTGCAGTGGTGCAACCTCCACTTCCCAAGTTCAAGTGATTCTCCTGCTTCAGCCTTCCAAGTAGGTGAGATTACAGGCACCTGCCACCACGCCTAGCTAATTTTTGTATTTTTAATAGAGATGGGGTTTCACCATGTTGGCCAGGCTGGTCTCGAACCCCTGAACTTAAGTGATCTGTCTGCCTTGGCCTCCCAAACCACCGCACCTGGCCTAATCCTTTTTTTTTTTTTAAGATGTAGAAAAGAGGATCCCAGAGCTCCTGAGGGTAAAGCTGGAATAGGAGTCCAGCCTCTCTGCCTCCAGTGCCCCTGGTCTTAACCAAGCCACAAGCATCTTGGAGCAGATGAGGCTGCTCATCTGCCATCCAAAACCCATTTTGTTTGGGTTTTGTTTTGTTTTTGTTTTTGTTTGTTAGTTTGAGACAGGGTCTCACTTCGTCACCCAAGCTGGAGTGCAGTGATGCCATCATAGTTCACTGTAGCCTGGAATTCATGGGCTCAAGTGATCGTCTTGCTTCAGCCTCCTGAGCAGCTGGGACTACAGGCACATGACACAGCACCTGGCTAGTTTTTTGTTTTTTTTTTAAGAGACAGAGTCTCACTATTGACCAGGCTGGTCTCAAACTCCTGGCCTTGAACAATCATCCCACCTTGGCCTCCCAAAGTGCTGGGATTACAGCCATGAGCTGCTGCATCCAGCCTCTTTTTTAAATTTAAAAAAGTATTTAGGAAAATATATTTTTATATGTAAATTTAAAGACCATTATTAAGGGATGTTGGGACAATAAAAAGCTTCTGTGCAAACTGTAAAGTTTCCCTCATTTTACTTCTAGTGGGAGTCAAACATACAAGCTTTCCCATTTTGTTTGTGAAGTATCTGTTAAAAAGAGAGAGAGACTGGAGGGAATGACTATTGATGGAGGAACTCCTTTCAGGTGCTAGGGATTCAATTCAGGAACGAGCAGGATAGACATGGTTCACCCACATGCAGCGTCTCTGAAAGTAGGAAGATGTTTCCAAAATACTAATGAAAATAAAAGCAGGTCACACAATGGTATGTACAGTATAAGCATGTTGGGATTTTAAAAAAGAAAAAACTGTTTGGGTGTTTGTAAATGGAAGCTTATTTATCAAGATGTTCTCTCTAGGTGGTAAAATGGAAAGGATTTTAGCTTTATTCAAGTTGCTTATACATAATATCTAAATTCCCTAGAATAAATTGATGATCATGAACTCTCAAGACAAGAACTGGGCCTCATTCTTCTTTGTAATTGCAGCACCCAGACAGGTGCCAGGTACAAATGGGCACTCACTCAGAAGTGGTTGTTGACCCAGAGAATGGTCTGCAATATTCAATGACCACAGGCTCAAATGGCACATTGCTTAGTTCCGTGTGATTGCAGCCAAGTTTTAGACAATATCAACTACGTTTATTTTACTGACTGATTCGAGTGTGCTGGGTGGGTTAATTGTCACACCCAAGTAGAAACATAAGAGCAAATTCCTATCAGTACATGAGGCCCCTGACTGGGTTGAATCTTGATATGACTCAGGTTGGTAGCTAGAGTTTGGGGGTCTTTGCCCTTCACACTGCAGTGACTGTTAAATTCTGCTGAGATGTGCTAGGTGTCCTGAAGAAATGGAGATGGTGTTGGACTAATAGAAATGTTAACAGATTTTTATTGCTTTATTGAGTTCCTCAAATTATGCTTTTAGGTATAAAACATTATTTAGAAATTGTTAAAATGCATAATTTTGGTCCATTGCTTTTATATTATCCATACCCATAATTTGTATTACGGATTTGTTTTGTTCATGTGCAGGCTCTTTAGACCTTGGGAACAGGAAAGAACAAAGTGTTATGTATGCATTTGCTGGCATGTGAAGGGCTGTGAAATGTAGTGCTGGCTTCGACAGATAAGCCAGTCAATTTAAGTTATATTAAATGAACTCACTTTTAAATAGAGCTATAATTTCAGCCTGGTTGGAAATGGGCAGGGATGATAGGGTGAAATTTAAAGTCTATAACAATTTCTTTTTAGGACATGATTTTCCAGATTTGGGTTGGGAGGCAACACATGATGATCTATTATAGTCAGTGCTTATGGGGGTTAAAATAGAATCTCAGTCATTTACATCCATCCCAGACTTTCTCTTTCCCAAATCAGGTCTTACCTCATGTTCTTTTATATCTAATTCTTACAAGCTTTTATAAAGCTCTTTGTTTTTAAACTTTTTATTAACTTGGGATCTGCAAACAGAAAAAAAAAGTACAAATATTAATTGTACAGTTCAATTAATTAACTCAAAGCAAACACACCCATGTAACTACCACCCGGGTCAAAACATAGAACGTTACTGGTACTGCATGAGCTCCTCATACCTCCTCCCAATCAGTGGCCCCTTTATTTCTCCCCAAAAATAACCACTCTTCTGACTTCTACACCACAGAATAATTTTGCCTGATTTTGAATGCAAATTTATGCATCATGTGGTTATGTGTGGCTGTAGATCATTCATTTAATTGCTGAATAGTATGCTCCTATTGATGGGCGTTAGACTTATTTCCAGTTTGGGGACATTATGATCCTTCTGCTTTGAATAATTCTGTTCATGTTTTGATTTACATATGCACACTTTTCTGTTGGATATATATCTAGAAATAAAATTGCAGGATCATATTGTATGTTTGTATTCAACATAACAATGTGATACCAACCAGTTTTCCAAAGTGGTTAAGCTCTTTATACTTCATCAGTAGCATATAAACATTCTCATACTGCCATGGTCCTGCTAATGCTTGGTCTTGTCCATATTTTTAATTTTAGCTATTCTAGTGGGTTTGTTCTAGTACTTTGTTGTGAGTTTAATTTGCATTTTCTGGATAATTAAGGAGGTTGAACACATTTAATATGTGTATTGGCTACTTCTTGGAGTCTCTTGCCCATTTCTTCTGTTGGGTGATTGGCCTGGTCTGTTGTTTTGTAGGATTCTTTATGTTCTGCATATGTTATTCGTGTTGCATATAACTCCTCTTACTATGTGGCTTCCTTTTCGCTCTTCATATCCTTTTTGATAAACCAAAGTTCTTAATTTTAATGTAGTTCCATTTATCAATATTTTTATTTGTTGTTATTGTTCTTTATGTCCTGTTAAAGACATCTTTGATTGCTCCAAATCAAGAAAGTATTTTCCAACATTAGCTTCTAAAAGCTGTATCAGTTCTTCTTTTACATTTAGTTCTATGTGCTACTTGGAATTGATTTGAGAGTATGATGTGAGGTTGGATTTTGGAAGCTTTACCAGGCTTTAGAGCTCCTACAGTTAAACAGAGCTTTGCTTTCTATCATTTACAATTTGCATTTTAAACAGAACTTTGCTATCATTTAGAATTTTCATTGTATACCTGATAAATGAGATATTTTAGATGTATTTACAGAGATTTTTGAATCATATATGACTCTCATGTATTCATAAAAAGAAAAATATAAGCAATTAATTGGTTAGTGTGTGGGTATCCACTGCTTGACCCTGTAATTCCTCTTCCATGCTTTTCAGTCCTGCTATGTGCTCCAGGAGGCTGACCTGCATGGACTCTATGAAAAGGCTTCTTGCCTTTTGGATTCTGGTTGGTTCAACCAGTGGGGAGCAACAGAGGGAGATCAGAGGGTAGAAAGTCTTAGGGTGGGGTATTTATTCCCCCCAGCTTCCTCCCTTCCAGGTCTTTTCCCTCTACCAAAGGCTACAGCTACCCTTCTATACAGTTACCCTCTTGCGTGTCTAAGAAGCATTCCTTCTCCTTGTCCCATGGAGTGAAAGAGTAGTAACTGCTCCCTGCTCTTCTGGCCCAAAGGTACTCCACTCTCCTTTTCTGATTGTCCTAAACCCTTCACCCAGTGGCTGGATGGATCCAGCATGCTGCCGCCTTCCAATATGTCCACCGTATTTCCATCTTCAATAACGGCAAAACCTTATTTCAAGCAGCAAGCAGGGAAGCAACTGCCTACCATAAGAATATGGTGGGAAAGATACGGCAAGGCTCAGAATAATGATAACCAACTATAGCCCCACACTCATAATGTCCTTGAACATGTAGGACGACTTCTGATCCCAGAGTCACAGTGCAGATTCTGAGGAGTTGATAAGTGCCACTGAACAGAATGAGTACATTTTCCCCATCACTAACGGTACTCAAGCACTACACTTGAAAATTGCTCTAATCTCAGTCCAGAGACTGGCCCAGCAATATGAATTTTAACAAACCTCCAGGTGATCCTTACGCATACTCAGGTTTATAAAGCACAGATATACAATATTTTGAAAGTTGGGGGATCTACGGTGATCTCCATATTTGCCACTGGATTAAATTACTGGATATTAAAAATACATATTCATTTTTACACATCAGATGTTACAAAGATGTGTAAAGTTCATCATTTTCTCTTCTCCATTCCCACTCTTTGAAGGGAAGCAAATTTAATAGTGTGACAGGAATTCATTCACACCAATCTATGTTTATTCACACATATACAAATATATATACTCCTATATGTGTTTTTTCCTTTTCATTCCTTCCATTTTTGTTGTTGTTGTTATTTAAAAAATGAGATCACATCCTAATACACAAGATTGCTTTGCAACCTGTCTTTTTCACTTAATGTATCATGGATATCCCTTCAGGTCAGCACATGCAGTTCTAATTTCTTTTCTTTAGAAGTTGTAGGATATTCCAAAATACGAATGCTTCATGTCTTATCCAATCATTTTTCTATTGACTGACATTCAATATGTTTTCTGTTTTTCACAGAGGCTAAATTAGAGGGCTCCCACTGTGAAAATAATTTTTTTGGCCTTGAATGTGAATCATAGACTGAATTTAAAACTAAAACTAAAAAGGCTGATATTTGAGAGTATTTTTGTGCATAAAAAAGGGCCTCAAAAGATACATAACTCAGATTGCCTGAGCTGTTCAAGCTAGGCTTCTCTGTTTTCTTTTCTTTTTTTTTTTTTCGAGACAGAGTCTCACTCTGTCTCCCAGGCTGGAGTGAAGTGGCGCGATCTCGGGTCACTACAACTTTGCCTCCTGGGTTCCAGTAGTTCTCCTGCCTAAGTCTCCCAAGTAGCTGGGATTACAGGCACACACCACCATGCCCGGCTAATTTTTGTATTTTTAGTAGAGACAGGGTTTCACCATCTTGGCCAGGCTGGTCTGGAACTCCTGACCTCAAGTGATGTGCCCGCCTTGGCTTCCCAAAGTGCTGGGATTACAGGCATCAGCCACCACGCCCAGCCTGTCTCTGTTTTCAAGCATTCAGCAAACACTTGTCAACTGTCTTCTAGGTGCAGGCTTTGTGCCAGTTGCTGGGAATGAGATTGTGAACAAGACAAACATGATCTTGATCCTCATGGAACTTGCTTTCTGTTGGAGTGACATGTAGGCACAAAAGGCAGCTGTAAAGCAGGGCCAATGATGTCAACAGAGGTGCCAGGGAAGGTGCTGTAGAGAAGGGGCACCTAACCAGCTCTAGGAGTATCCCAAAAGGTTTCCTGGAAGAGATACCAAGTAAGCTATGACCTGTCAATTGAATGGAAGTTAGTCAGATGAAGGAGGAATGGTGTTCAAAATTGAGAGGCCAGCGTGGTGAACTTGGAGAATTTGTGAGTTGCATGAGGGAAGGATAGATAAAGCTGGAGGAATAAAGAGGATCCTAGTCATGAAGCCACTTGAAAATTTCAACTTTTTCTTTTATTCACCACATTCCATGGCAATATGATTCTCATAGGAAATGCAGACTTGGCTGAAGACAGATTACATGGTGCCAGGACCTGTGCACAGGTGTCATGTGTAAGCTAAATTGTTTGGGGAAAGACAAAGAAAATGTGGGAACCATGTGTCTGTGAAGGGGCTACATGAATGAGACAGAGGTTTTAGCAGCTGCCATCAGTAAAAGAAGATGATGAAAGAGGCTTTCTGGGAAGTCTTGTTTGTTTGTTTGTTTTGTAAAACCCTTAAGCCACCACTTTTTTTTTTTTTTTTTTTTTTTTTTTTTGAGACGGAGTCTCGCTCTGTCGCCCAGGCTGGAGTGCAGTGGCGGGATCTCGGCTCACTGCAAGCTCCGCCTCCCGGGTTCACGCCATTCTCCTGCCTCAGCCTCCCGAGTAGCTGGGACTACAGGCGCCCACCATCACGCCCGGCTAATTTTTTTGTATTTTTAGTAGAGACGGGGTTTCACCGTGTTAGCCAGGATGGTCTCGATCTCCTGACCTCGTGATCCGCCCGCCTCGGCCTCCCAAAGTGCTGGGATTACAGGCGTGAGCCACCGCGCCCGGCCTAAGCCACCACTTTATGGACAACTGCAGTAAAAGGGCTCTGGTGTTTCTCAAGACTTCTTAATGAGATCACTGTTTGTTTGAATGAGATGCTGCATTGAGCGTGAGCCAGGAGGGTGACAGTTATATTTGGGTTACACATCTGCTATATCATTAACCCTGGCCACAAATCTTTTCAGTAGCCTGAAGGCCAAGTGCCAGGGCAGGAAGCCAAGCAGTGACAAAGACTACACCTATAGTCTAAGGTGTGTTCTTCCCATTTCATCCTCACTACCTCCTGTCCATGAGATAACATACCTCATGTGGGTATCTGCCTCCTCCCACTCCCAGATGTCTATGACATGGCTGTATGCATGTCATACACTGTGAATGTTTCCACGACAACACGTAAGACAGCTACACCCTCTCCTTCTTCTCATCTCTGTCTCTAAAAAATTGGCCAGAGTCATCTAATTCCATGCTGCACTTCTCAGAATTCTGAGTGCCGCCTCTTAGAAGGTCTTTCTTTCCTATTTTTAGCTAATACGTGCTCACAATAATGCATTCAAACCATATAGAAGGATATACAGTAAGAAGATATACTATAGGAAGTCCAGTGCTCACCCCACCCCCACCCTGCTCTCAGAGGTAACCAATTTGATGTCTATCTTTCTAGATTTGTTTCTACACATATATACAATATACATCATATATAACAAAACTGAGATTTTACTCTACACTTCATAAGGTAATTGCTTTTCTTAAAACAGTGTATCAGGGATATCTTTCCATAGCAGTACATGTAGAACTTTTTCTTTTTAACTGCTAGACCTGGTACCCATGGACCATAATTTAATTAATTCTCTGTTAATGTACATGTGGTTTATTTTCAACTTTTTCTGTACACAGGTTTATGGAGATGTAGATATATCAATGTGTATGGATGCAATCTATTCTACAGGATAAGTTCCTTGTAATGAAATTAATGCCTCAAAGGAATACATTTTAAAGCCTTGCCTTACATTCTTGCCCAGACTACATAGTTCCAGTAAATTTCTTTTATTTGTGTCTTGTGAGGACTTCCTCATGCCGATGTTATAACAAATTTTCCAAAATTTTGTATGATAGTTTGCTTTTTTAATGCTGATAGTTTTTTATCCAGGGACCACCAAGTAGCCTATCTTTGTAAATAAAGTGTTTCTGGAACACAGCTATACCTATTGGTTTCCATATTGTTGATGACTGCTTTTGTGCTACAATAGCAGAGGTGAATACTTGCCAGAAATTATATTGCCCCCAAAGCTGAAAATATTTACCATCTGACCCCTTCTAGAAGATGTCCAACTAACGCTTAGAATTTATTTTATTGTTTATTTGTTTTTGTGAGGCAGGAACTTAACTTTATCTTCTCGGTTGACATAAAACCGTTCAATGAAAGGTTCCTCTTTTTCCTACTGATATAAAATGAGTCATCTAACAAATTCTGCTTCAGGCTCTATTCTGTATCAATGATTAATTGCTCTTTTTGTCAATCACTGCCATGCATGTCATTTCTTCAGTTTTATAGTTTTTTTTTTTCTCCAATAGTTTTATAGTTTAAGTGTTTATGTTTGGTATATTGTCCTTAAAGCCTTTTGTGTTTTTTCATTCTCTCTTTCAGATGAATTTTAGAATCTGCTTGTAAAGATCTCAGTGGGGTTTATAATCAGTATTTTATTTACTTTAGTTTGAGAGAGAATTGAAATCTTTACAATATTTTATGACAGTGACTGTTTCCTCATGGCCTCACCCACACTAAACATTATTTTTTTCACCTTTGCCAATGGGCAGATAATAAGGGTGTTTTAATCTAGTAATCTACAATGGATAAAGTAAGTATTTTTAGCTTATTGTTTATTTTTTCTCAGCTTTTTCTTACTATATGTTAAGATAAGGAAACGCTGCAATTAGTAAATATATAAAACAGGAATTTTACCACATTGCCAGCCTTGCAGTTTCCTATGCTGCAAAAAAGTTTTAAGGACTGGTCAATTGAAAGACATTGATCCCTAAAATAAGATCTTTAGCAAACATCCTCCCTATTGACTCAACATCGCTGCTCCAAAAGGCTCCATCATTATTTCTGTTGCCTAAATTAATTTTTAATCAGCTACATGTTGAGTGAACAAGTACAAATAATCCTCTCCTTATACAAGCAAGCCCCACGAAGGACGGCAGAGAGTGGCTTCATTCCCAGCTTCTCTCTATCTCATCTGGAATAACTAGCCCTGCTTCCCTGCTCTCTTGAGCTTCCACCAGCCTCAGCAGGGGGAGTGTCTCTGTTTGGATTCCAGATAAACAGCTTCTGGATGGAGATTCGAGGTCAGGAAGTTCCCTGGGGAGTGCTCTTGTGATTGGAGAGAGAAAAACTGAACTACTATACAGTCATAGAAAAGGTCCCCACAGTCTTGTCTCACATTCTGGAGAATTGTCCCAAATTAGGGCAAGGGGGCTTGGTCTTTATACCTCTGCACTGAGGAGACTTGGGTGGGGGCTGCCACTAGAGAGGGGATTTGACCTTGAGTGAACCAGCTGTCCTCAGCTGAGGGTAATTCCCAGAGGGAGACTCAGCCGAGAGTCAACATCCCCAGGACTTAGGGAAGTGAGTGCCTCACACCCGAGGGGGAAATCTGGGCAGCACACCACAGCATCCACTACAGGGAGCTCTTCACCTTTCCTCCTGCCACTCAGCTTACCTGTGAGCTGAAAACTCAACAACTTTTGGGTGCATTGATTAGCTTTGGTACTTAGCCTTTCGTGTAAATTTCTCATGTCACATGCAGGTAACATTTTGTTTCTCCTAAACACATCACCAGATTCATAAGCCAAATAGCAGGGAACAAAGGCTGCAGAATTATGTTTTTACCACAATCTCAAAATATGTTATTCAAGTAAATGGGGAAAATATATTCACTTTTTTTTAAAAAGAAAATTTTATATACTCATTGAACTAGCATGTTCTCTTGTCACTTTTTAAAATGTACAGCAAATGAAAAAGTTTACAGATTACAAGGACATTTTGCAATAAATCAAAAAATATATTGCAAAATGATTCCTGTGGTCTTCAGTAATAATAACAACATCAATAGTCTTAATGGCTATCATTTGTATGGTGCTTTAGTGCTTACAGAATACTTTCAGATCACCAACTTGCTTGAGTCTTATGAGAGGCAGAAATGATTATGATCTGAGGCTTACAGAGGCCAGGTAACCCATGCCTCAGTCCAGCACCAGCAATAGCCCATGGCCGCTGCAGGTCTGGTTTGTCTCTGGAGTCCTCCTACCTCCCCTTCCTCAATCTTCTCCCCAGCTCCACTCTGCCCTCGCTCATGCTCATTATCTGTTGTTCCACCCAAAACACCCACACTCCCCAGCCAAGATCCCTCCTTGGGAAGGACCCATGTCCTGCTTTATCTGTGTCTGTGCATTAAAATCTGCTCTCAGATGGCTGTCCCTGGGAAAGGGACTCATAAACTATTCACACCAAGCTAGTAATGTTCAACAATGATGTATAAACTGCCCTCTACCCCCACCCAGGTATATGTTATCTGCTTTTTAACAGGACCATATGGTGTTGAAGTATGGAGCAGGTTAATTAGAAAGATATTTTGGAGAGGGCCTTCCCACCTGCCCCCTCCTCACCTCATTCATGTTATTTTATTGCTCTACCTGTGAAGCATTAATCATGTAGAGCACTGGACGTGGAGTCAAAAGAATTGAATTTGAGTCCCTGCTCTTGGACAGGTACTTAACTTTGCTGTCCTCAGTCTCGTCACCTCTGAAATGTGAAGATTGGATTAATGTTTCACTTTGCAAGGTGATTGGAGTGACCAATGACACAAAAATCTCAGAATTACCTAAAACAGAAATTTTGTCAAAGCTCCAGGACTAGAGAACTTGTACTGGAGACGGTGCAAGAATGAGACCAAGATCTCACTGCCCCATGGGCCTCACACCACCAGCCACTGGGGTCCCAGGAGGCTCTCCTGAAACACGTGAGCTGCAAGGCTGAGCTGAGCTCTGCCATTAGCTGTTACTTGACACCCTGTCTTCCCTGTACCACCGCTGTTTTTACATGTTTTACTTTGGCTTGTCCTTGAGTATGTAACAGAGATGATGTCATTGAAATACCTCGTTAGGCATATCTCCTCTCAGCAATTTAGTTTCTAATGCCCCCTCCACCATTAATGCTGTTTTATGGCTCTAGGAAAGGGGAAGGTGATTACTGCCCAGAACAAAGAAGGTGGGAAGAAAGAGGCGATATGGTATAGAGGCAACAGGTGGAAAGGACAAGTAGAGGCCCTTTTACCAGACAGAAAACAACATATAGACATGATAAGACTATGGTTCAAATGCTGCTGCTCTTTGGGGTTAGCTCAGTGTGTATGGGGAATGGAGGAGAAGTAAGAATATAGAAAACCCAGAAAAAGGGAAGGGGTTTGTAGGATGCTTTTCTCCAACACTGGTGTCCAGAGTAGAAAAAAAAATGGCAACATGCAATATTTAGGTGGATAAAAGGATAAGACAATACCCTCTGCTTTCCTGTGTGTATGGCAGGGGAGGCAGCTCAGAGTGCTGGCTGGACCACGTGTGCTCAGTTGAAGGGCACAGTGTCCCTCTAGCAGAGGATTGAGAGTAAGTGTTCAACCTCTTAGATGGATGTGATTCACAGCCAGAGATTAGTGGATCAACAGCATAATGAGAGGCAATGTGAAGGCCCAGTTAGACAGGACACATGATGCTTGAACCACCCTGAGAGAAGGGATCACAGCCAAGAGCACTTCAATAATGAGTGAGGGCAGAGGCTACTGCTGCCCAGACACGAGTGGCAATAAATTGCTGCTTCTTTGGGGGTAAGAAGTCCCTGGAGGGCAACATTTAGGTCAAAAGTCCTTCCCCCAACACCAAGCTTCTCCTTGCACTTAGATTATATGTCGGAAAAAGGAAGGGAAACTTTTGAAGGAGAGAAACAATCCAGATATAGAGTTTGAAATTTAAATTGATTACATACCTAAAATGAGTCAGAGGAGATTGAGTTACATTTAATTGGTAAGTTTAACTCTTCTCACCATCAATGTGAAAGTTACTTTGCAAGAAAATTAAGTTCCACAAGGTTGGAATAAAAAAAGTTACCTTTTTCAATATATATAATAGATAGTGATCAAATCAGGGTAATTAGCATATCCATCATCTCAAACATTTATCATTCCTTTGTGTTAAGAACATTCAATATCCTCCTTCTATCAATTTGAAACTATATATTATTGTTAACTCTAGTCATCCTGCAGTACTATAGACCATGACAACTTATTCCCAAGGAAAGTTACTTTCAAAAAATTTTTTCGAGATATAGTATGAACCACAAATAAATGTCTGTGCTATAAATGAATAAACAGTCCACCTTTAACATTCTGGCAAATCCCAATCTTAGAAAATACCATGTTAACAATGTAGAAGACAATTTTTAGTTCTCTAGTATAAGTTGTTCCTCTAGAGCAACTGCATTGTAATCTTTCAGGATGTAATTACTATTCATCATTCTGTTATGAAAAACTACCAATAAAGGCTGCTAGGGACTGATACCAGGAACAAGGTTTGACAATTTCCAACAAGTTAATTATTTTTAAAGTTCCTCCTATCTCTTGATCCTTGTGGAACACTGACATCGATTTTGGCATTATGAAGAAGTGGCCTGGGATGTGGCTGTCTTTCTTACTTACTGCCTCCCCTCACACTTTAGTAGCTGAGATGTGGGAGAATGAATGCTACATCAATGGGGAAACATTCTACAGTTATGCATAGGTAAACAGTTATACCAAAGTCATTTCTCCTTGATAAGATCAGATGCAACAGGAATTTAAAGCAATGACCCCATTCAGATCTTTCAAAGATATTAATTGCCAACTTTGTTAGAGAGATCCCGCAATCTGGGACTCAGAGGCTATAGGTCATCAATGTGGTAGGTGCCGTGAGTGAGGGACAAGTCAGGGTTTGCATCTTTATTGGTCCTTTCTTTCCCTATTGAATCCATAGGACTCAGATTTCTAAAGGCCAGGTTGATGATGTAACTAAATTAGCTATTGAAATCCCTTTTTGTAAAACCATCCCTAATTAATGGTATGACAACATACACACCTATTTGCTATGTCTTAGTGGAGGGAGAGAACAAGAATTTAGTGAGCACTCACTATATGCCAGGTATTTTGTCAAGTATCTTATTCATTTCCTCATTTAATTCTAGCAATTGTGCAAGGTTGTATTAATCATGTTTTCAGAAGCTGAAACTAAGGGAGACAGAGAATGTGACTTGGCTGAGATCATCCAAGTAGTAAGTGATGGAGCATGATTATAACTCCTGTTATAAGAAAGTGCCTATTCTTTCTTCTATTCCATACTTCTTTGATAGGAGCTGATTTTCTCACTATTCTGTGGTTTCCTTAACTATTTATGGTATAAAGTTATGTGCATCTTCCTTTCTCTTTGATGGTAGCCTTACTGATACATTTGCCTGAATACAGTTGTGTAACTGTCTCGTGTACATGCAGGAGACATAAGGAATGACTGCCATTTTGTGGACACACAGGACATAGTAACGAGTGGAGAATCTGTGACTGTAAGATCCAGTTGAGTAAAATTCAAGTACTAAGATGATACAAACAAATTAGAAATGCTGAATAGAATATACAATGTTGAAAATGTAAAATAGAGCTCACAAAAAGAATAACAGTACCAGAAATTAAAATTAAAACTAAAAAATCAAAGATCTAAGCAACTGTGCTCATGCTTCAGCCTTTCTAAGATAGTACCAGGAATAAGTTCAAGTAAACTAGGAACTTAGATTTTAATGCTTACACGAGGGTGATAAATTAGGCCTCCAGCCCAAGCGAATTGGGAAGGTGGAACTGATCTTTCAGCATAAACACAAATAGCCATCAAATAGCGGTTTATTACAGATACAACAAATAATGAAAGGATGGACTAGAAAAAACTATGCCCATGGCTTAGCTTGCCTGTCCATGCCTGTGCTATAAAAGTGGGGAGGTTGTCTTCATAGGGAACTGAAACCCTAGTTGTACATCATGGTGGTTTGGCAGTTAGATTTCTATTACCCCCATAATCCAAAAGTCACCAAGCCAAAAAATTGATATGAGATGGTTGGTGATTCCCCTGGCATACTTGGCAAATATAAATACAAAGCTGCTCTGAAGGATCATTCCCACAATCCAAGTTATATGGAGTTTCCACAGGGAAGCAGAACACAAAAGATAGATGGGTACACTTACTACACTGAGGTAGTAAGGGCTCAAGGACCCACTGAAGAGAAATTCAGAAACTAGAAGAAAGATTTGAATAAATTATTCAGCATGCAGCATAGATTGTAAAAAATAGATGGGAAATAGAAGTAAATTAAGAGATTTGGAACACAGAATAAGAAAGTTTACTCAATAGAATTTGATGAACAAAAGAACATAGAAAGTAAGAGAGAGACAACATTTAAAGAGGTGGCTGTGAATAGATAAAAGGCATAAATTCATGTATTTAAAACCACAATAAGTCTCTACAAGGATAATAAAAAGAAATCCCACATCTGAACACATCATCATCCTGAAATTCAGGCCACCAAGACGAAGATAAATTCTTACAATCAACCATAGAGGAAAAGATGAAAAGCAACCATAGTGGAAAGATAAAAAAAGATAGAAAATAAGTTATGAATGACTACAGACTTCTCAAGATCAACAGTGGAGGCTGGGAGTCATTGAAATACTAGCTTCAGAGTGTTAACAGAAAATTGGAGATGTAGAGCACTGTATGCAGCTAAAGTGTCATTCAAGAGTCAGGGTGAAAAACATATATTTACAGAAATGACTAAAATATTTTAGCATTGAAAGACCCTGTCTTGAAGAACTACTGAAGGATATACTCCAGGAAGAAGGAATTTGAACCCAGAAAGAAGGAATACATTGAAAGAAGTAATAATGAACAACGAACAACAAAACATTGGTAAACATGAGTAAATATAAATAAACCTTGACTATACATTTAAAAAAAAAATGCCTTTCTAGCTTGGGAGGACAAACAAACAAAATGTCTAGAGCGGGTTATTGTAATTGAACAGATTTTAATGCCCTTACTTTGTTTAGGTAGAAAATATAGTATCCAAGCTAGCAGAGATATGAAGTGGAATTAGGAAATTTGATTTATTCAATAGAAGGCAAGAAAAAGAAAAAAAATGAAAAAAAAAAAGCATGGCAAAGAGAAAGAACAAAATAAGTTGTAGAAATAGATCCATATATATTCAGTAATCATAATAAATGTAAATAGTCTAAATTTACTAGTTAAGAGAACTTTTTGTTTACATTTTTCAAATAGCTACATTGTGTTACAAAAGATACAACTAGAACTTAATGGCTACTAAAGGTTGAAGGTTAATAGATAAAAGAAATAGGTAAATATCAATTTTTTTAAAGCTAGCATAGCTGTTATGAGTATTAGACACACTAGACTTCTAGATGAAATGCATTTTTGAGGTTAAGGAGGGTTGGTACATGATAATAAGGATCCCAGGTCTTTCTGACATCTTAGCAATTCTCAGTGCTGCCTCTCCCTTGTGACCATAGTGCATGATGTCACACAATGATTTAAATTACCTGTGGGTAAAAAGGTATAACTCAAGGAACATTGGTATATAGTCAGACTGGCCTTGGTTAAAGTTCCAGCCTCGCCAACCACCACGTTTGTTGTCTTGTTTCATTTCACCTCTCTGAGCCTGTTTCCTCATCTGTAAAATGTGGCCAGTGTTTCTGCCTCTCATGGTTTCAGTGATAATTAAAATAATTAAAGTAAATAAAGGGCCAATTTATACTAGTTTCTAAATAAATGTTAGTTCCCTCATGCCCTATTTCTTATCACCAAATAAAACCTGCAAAACTTACTTATAACTTTAGAAGGCAAATAGCTATTTAGGATTTCAAGCAGAAAACATTTTTCTTATGAAGAGTTAATTATCCATGAAATTAAATATTTATGCATTCATAGAACCAATGTATTTATAATGTTACAATATGAAAGTGGCTGGTCTAGAAATTATAAGATGTTTTAATGTCTTCACAGCTGATGTTTCTCCATCATGGGAATATTTTTACATTACCTTTTACAATTATCTAACGGGAATAATGTACTGTAAGGTTGCTTAGGAAAATAGCATGCAGTTGAACATTTATATTCAGGTGTGTAAATGCTGACTGCTGGTTGAGATGCCCACTTGTAAGCAGCTTGACACTCAAGCATGTTTTCCCTTAAAACAAGATCATAAATGGCAGTTTGTTTCCCAAGTTGGGTGACCAACTTATCCAGGTTTGCCTAAAGCGGAGCGATTTCCCAGGAGGCAAGACTTTCAATGCTAAGCCTAGGACAGTCCTGGGACAACCAGAATGGTTGGTCACCTTGCCAGGCCAACACCCCAAAACTGATCTGCCTGCCTCAGCCACTGCTGCTTCATCGGAACCCTGCTCTGCCAGGAGCCGAAGTTCCTCCTGTTGTATGGCTGGGCACAACACTTGATCTCTGACAGTCACCTGAGCCCCCAGGGACGAATAGCTCTGGCTTCTGCGTGGGGAGATAAAATAAGCATTTCCTGTCTGTTACATTTTATCCCTTAGACCCCAGTGTGCCTTATCCTATGCCTAGAAAACACATCTTTCAAAAACATGATATTTTTAGCTCTGATCACATGCTCTTCTCTGATTGTTGCCCAAAATGAGGCCCCCATGTTCAGGGTGGAGGTATAAGCAGCAAAAGAGGATCAGATGCTGTCATATCCCCTCCACAGTCCTTATTCTCTCATCCCACCACCCACACATATCAACTCAGACAACAGATGCTCACTCTGAGATGCATGGTCCATCACCACTTCCCCAGACAGTGATTTCAGAATCCCAGTTGGAGCTTGATTAAGTACTGCACAGCCATTTTTCTAGGAATATGATGTTGTTAATAATGACCTTGACATCCACAAAAGTAAAGCACAGGCTATTGAACAACTGCCATCCACCAAGGTCCAATTCAAATGACACTTCCCATTCCTCACATATACTAGTGGAAATGATTTCAGCCTCCCCTGTTCTCCCATAGCACTTACTTTATGCTTCTATTTAAACATTGATCATGATCTGCCTTGCATTATAGTTCCTTAAGCATGTGTCTATCTCCTTTATAAATTGTTAGGTCTTTAAGAGCAGGGAAACTGTCTCACTCATTTTATATCACCCCTAGAACCTAGCAGAGTACCAGTCACAGGGAGACTATTCAATGAATATTTCAGAAATTGATAACATCCTTGGGACTCTAGAAACCCATTAGAGATCAGCTGGTTCCATTTTAACCTGATCAATAATCCAGCCTGTTAGAAAGAGTGACTATATTAAATATGTTCTGCCAACATTGCTTATTCTTGCATTAAATTTCACAGACCAGTTAATTCAGTAGGCCGTTCTGGTTCGAGAAGACTTGGCAGTGATAGAAAAGATACAGGTATTAGAATAAATAAAATTCAAATTATTCTAGGCAAGCTTTAATTGAAAACTTATTTGAATGATGTTATTCTCTCTAACAGATAATTCCCAAATAGTAAGGTGTTATTTAGTGAGAAGAAAGGGTAAAATGTGACTTTTATATTCTATAGAAAGATTCTCATTTCAACTTAAATTGCTTCATAATACCATAGTAAAGCAGCCAAACTAATGAGTGAAGTCAAATTTCAGATAAATACACCGAACAAATCAGTTTAAAATTCAATTAAATTCTGAAAAAGCAAAGAATTCTGAAATTAGGAATAAATTGGGAATCAAAGGAATCCATGTCTTATAGATAAAACAGTTTGAAAAAAAACAAATTCTTTATGTTTAAATATCAAAATAATTTACCCAAGGACATAAAGAGTTGTAAAATATACCCCCTAAATAGAGCCAATACATTAGTATGCAATATAAGTGGTAACAATTGGTGAAAACTCCAAAATCTTCACTAAATTCAAAGCCAGGAAAAAATCATCAGTGACCCAAAAAGCATTTCACAGAATTTTGGTACTTCAATATTCAAGACTCTTTGGAAAAAAAAAAGATTTTTTAAGAACTTGATATTAAAGGTAATGCCAGGTAAATCAAACTTCCAAGATGACAGAAACGAACTGTGTATTCAACCAGTAACTTTCAGAGATCCACAAAGCTATGGTTAAATAAACTTTCATATTTTTGTCAAGACCCTGCATAAATGCTACCTGTACCTCCTGAAAGAACCACAAAAAACCTTTGTGAGGCTGTTCAACAAACATTGCACTTGTTCTGGCTCCTCTGGGATCATTCTCAGTATTTACAATCAACTTCAGACTGAACTAGCTCTCGTGGAGAATCCTGTGCGTCAGGCAACAAGGGCAGTATCAACATATCCATACCACCCTTCCCATAATTGCACAGCATTTGAATACTGCAGCATCAGAATGAGTTTAAATTGATAGCTATTACTTAGCACATTAAAAAAAATGAGCCCGTATGACACATATGATTAATTATATGTTATTCCATTCTGATTTTAAAAAGAGAAAAAGATCCTGTGTGATTTCACACTGTGCTGATTTTTCTAATAGGCAGAAGAAAAGGCAATAATTTTATTGTGACAATATTACATTCCTCCTACCCAGAACCATGATAAAAGAATATCCCACTGAAACACCTCATTCAAAAGGTTGTTTTCCTTTATGATGATAGAAAAGGTATTTGTTTAGTTCTGATGACATTGTAAATGATTCCAATGTTCTGCATGGAGGAGAAAAGAACAATTTTCTATTGTATACATATTAATATGTAACCATATAAGCATAATGTTTGTGCATTAGAAAGAGAGGAGATAATTAACTGCCATCATCATGTTTACCTTCCTGTCATCAGTAGCACATGTGGGACCTGCACATGGGTGTGCTAAGTTGGTGAAAAGAAATTGGTTTTGCTATTACTTTCAATGTCAAAAACCACAGTTACTTTTGCACCCATCTAATAATATTGAGCACTTGCATCCGCCATCTTTTTTTTTCTTTTCTTTTTTTTTTTTTTTTTGAAGACATAGTCTTTCTCTGTCGCCCAGGCTGGAGTGCGGTGGTGCGATCTTGGCTCACTGCAAGCTCCACCTCCCGGGTTCACGCCATTCTCCTGCCTCAGCCTCCCTAGTAGCTGGGACCACAGGTGCCCGCCACCACGCCCGGCTAATTTTTTGTATTTTTAGTAGAGACGGGGGTTTCACCGTGTTAGCCAGGATGGTCTCGATCTCCTGACCTCATGATCCGCCCGCCTCGGCCTCCCAAAGTGCTGGGATTACAGGCGGGAGCCACCGCTCCCGGCCGCATCCACCATCTTTACTTCACCTAATGGGAAGCATCACACGATGGTGTGCAAACTCCAAGCCGGTGCTGTTTTTTCCTTCTCTTTAAATCTGTTTTTCTGTTCTGACCCTTGTCTAGGCAGGGGAAAGAGGATGCAAGATAAAATATTCCAAAGAAATAGCGAATCCTTGCCTTCCTGACCCTGGGTGTGGAACCACCCTACAACATTTATTCTCTGAATTTGTTAATTTGTCCGTAAGATTATGGTTAAGAGATCTCAGTCTGAGAAGTCTAATCCTAATTTGGCTGAAGGAAAAATATTGGTAGAGAGGCCTCAGTATGCCCTGGAGTCAAGTCTGTAGGAAGAGCAGATGGGATGTTTTTAAAAAAAATAAATAAAAAATAAGGAATGCCTGGGAGAAAAGAGTTTGAGATGACTGTGAGACTAGACTTGATTTTGTTCTAAATGAGGTTTTCGCCTTAGAACATAACCCAGTTGTCCAGGCCTGCCACTATCAAATTCAAAGTATGGGAATCACAAATAATTAAAAAGTAATCAAAATATGCATTACTGTGTCATATCTGCATGTTCTCTACCTCCTATCTGGCATTCTTCATTTGGCAATTGCTGCTCATCCTTCAAACCTCAGCTCAAGCATCAGTCAGCTGCCCTAGGAAGTCTGTCCTACTCCTGCACTCTCCTCAGCCTGGGGTGAGTGACCTTCACTATCCCAGTAAAAGCACGGCCCACTTCTTGTTAAGGAAGGAGATATTGCTACCCCTGAAATAGGAAATACCAATTTTGGACATACTGAACTTTTTTTTTGAGACAGGATCTCACTCTGTTGCCCAGGCTGGAGTGCAATGGCACGATCTTGGCTCACTGCAACCTTCACCTCCCGGGTTCAAGTGATTCTCCTGTCTCAGCCTCCCAAGTACCTGGGACTACAGGCATGTGCCACCATACCCAGGTAATTTTTGTATTTTTAGTGGAGATGGGGTTTCACCATGTTGGCCAGGCTGGTCTCAAACTCCTGATCTCAGATGATCCGCCTGCCTTGGCCTCCTAAAGTGCTGGGATTACAGCTGTGAGCCACCGTGCCCAGCCAACATATTGAATTTGAATGGTCTATAGGATGTCCACATTTTAGCCTTAACCCATGAGACCTCTGGCCTCTGTTCTTTCTCTTTTCCTGTCTCCCTCTGCATGGGAGACAGTTGCTATTCTGACTGATTCATTAGGCCACATTGTCTTAACAGGCAGGGACACAACTGAAAGGTAATGAGCAGTCACAAGTGGCGTTTCTCTTTTTCCATCTGCTGCTAGAAGTGACAGGCTGGCCCTTCTGATCTATGTGGCTATTTGTGTAAGTGAATTTGGGAATCTTCCCCAGAAACCTTACTTTTCCTGTCACTCTTCACTAGGCTGCTGAGATTTGGTTTGGAAACGGGGTGCTCTGGAGGCTTGGGCGGCAGCCAGGCACCCTGATTCAGCTTACCAGGCAGCCCTACATTTGGGCCTCATTGGATGCTTGTTCACCTGGCTCTGTTTCCTAGTTGGCAACTGACTCTTATATGTACGGCTCCCTTGTTAGGAAACTGCAAAGGGAAGCATGATGAGTGGGAAGGTTCTAGCACCTAACTACTTCTTAGACCTCTGACACATCTCTGCACTTCCAACAATGTACTGTAATTATTTGCCTCCCTCATTAGATAGTAAATTCCCTGAGAAACTAATCTTTGTATCCTCACTGCTTAGCACAATTGTATCCTCAGTGCTTAGTACCAATACATATTAGGTGATGAAAATATGTTAAGTGAATGAATGAGTTTGGCCATTCTTAGACCTAGTTCATCAATCTAGCCTCTGCTACTCTCTCTCTGTTCCTGTCAAGTAGAGCTCTGAAGGTTCCCTTCACAAGCTGTGCTAATCCACACAGTTTTTAGCCCAGACCCAAAACCTCCTATTCTCAGGTCAATCCACATTCTCTGGTAAGCATTTTTCAACTAGTCGGCCCACACTAATTTCCTTTTCTCAATAGTTCTCACACAATTTGTTTAGTACTTCGTTACTCTCTAATTTGTTTTCAGTGTGGTACACCAGAGTTATGCTCTTAACTAGATCATACACAACCTGATCTCCATTTGCATTCACTGCTGGAAGACATTGTCAAGCAGGGCAAAGTTTTCAAGTAAAGAGGAGCTGCTGTCTTGTCCCACTAACTTGAATGAGGTAGGATAAGTCACTTACTTCCTATAGGCCTTTCTGTGAAAATTGGGGGAGTATTCATCTGCTTGAGTATGTCTTGGGTATTGCAGGAATCAAAATAAAAACATGACACCTGCAAAATTTATGCACACATTATACCTCATAGATGATGGACTAGAGCTAGGGTGAGAGGAGACCTTAATAAGTGCTGATGGATTTACTTGATAATGATTATGTTGCTCATAGGGATCTCATTAATGAAGGCTAGATTGTTCTTACTATAACTCTAGTAAGCATTATCATTATTGTTTGCAATGACAGCTGAGTGATCCAGTGCCTTTAAACCTATTCTATAACCTATTTAAACGTATTTCAAACCTATTCCCATTCTAAACCTGAAAATGTTTGAGAAATATTACTATAGAGAATCTCCTGAAATGCAGTTTTGCAGTTTTTTAAAAGTTTGCTATCTTTTTATTTCTGAAAGCTAATTCTGGTTCATTAGGGATTTAGAATTCAACACAGGAGTCATCAAAAACTTCATTTTTACCCACTTCTTTTCTATTACTTGTAACGTTATCTTAACCTGAATTTTGATTCCCATAAAGGTATACATGGAAATTTAGGCAGGAATAATTATCCCCATCTCATGGATGAGAACCCAGCCATGTAGTGAATTTGAAGGTCAGAGAGCTTGAAAGTCACTGAGTCAGGTTCATGGGGCCCACACGGTGTGAAGGTTAAGTCCTCCTTCCAATAAGATGAGGTGAAGAAGCAGAGGGATCAAGGCCTGGGTTGAGTATAAGTAAAAGGCGGTTGTTTAATGCTAAGTTTTCTAGGCATTTAGGTTTGATGAGGTAAGAGATTAAAATTTTTGTTTAAAATTGAATTCCTGGATTCTCTCTGAAGGGGTAATATACATTATTCCTGTTTGCTCTTCTCCATGTAATCAAGAGTTCTACAGTCATGCATCAATTATCAATAGGGGTACTTTCTTAGAAATGCATTGTTAGGTGATCTTGTTGTTGGGCAAACATCATAGAATGAATGTACTTACACAAACCTGGATGGGTATGGCTTTCTATACTCCTAGGCTATATGATATGGCCTATTGCTCCTAGGTTACAAACCTATACAGCAAGTGACTGTACTGAATACTATAGGCAATTGTGACATAATGGTAAGTATTTTTGTATCTAAACATAGAAAAGGTACAGTAAACATTCAGTATCATAATCTTATGGGACCACTGCTATACGTGTGGGCCATCATTGACCAAAATGTTGTGAAGTGGTATATGACTATATGCGTGGTGATGAGTACTCAGCTTATTTGTGCTGAAAGATGGATTTTTCAGTCAACTTTCTTTGTGTATTACTAATTTTAATAAAGAAAATTCCCAGATATACTAGGTTAATAACTTTGATGTGTAATAAATTATGACTTACTTAACTTTTTAGATTTTAAAAATGCTTTACATATTGGTATTTAGTTCCAAGAATAAAGAAATAAAAATAAAGGAAATTTTAGGGAAATTGCGGAACAATTTTATCTTAGTTTCATTAAAGGAAATTACATTTTGCAGCAACACTGACTCCATTGCCTGAAAAAAAGTTATAATTTTTTATATGCAGAGAATATTGTATATTCTACAAGATTCCCTAGGTCATGATGAATATTGCTATTCATGCATTTTTTGGTAAAGTTTTAAGATGTCATATAAACATATTTATACATATTTTTTACAGTGTGGTATGAAGTACCAGTATGGGATGAGACTCATTTTCTTTGATTTAGAAATGACATGTAAAAATATAATAACATTCATTCTAAAGTAAGCCCATGCAAGTAGGTACTTGAAGGAGGAAGTTTAATAAATTTCAGCTAAATTAATTAACATGCCCCATGTTGTATGAAAAGATAATCATCCCACTCATTGTATTTCTCACTCAAATTCTAACAGTAGTGACCAAAATAGATGTATAGACCTCAACGGTCTGATATGGTAGCCACTAGAGACTTAATGGCCATTTAAGTTAAAATTCATTAAAATTAAATAAAATTTAAAACTCATCTCTTTATTTGCACTTACTACATTCAGGGGCTCAAAAACCACATGTGGCTAGTGGCTGCCATATTAGACAGAGGGATAAAGGACATTCCACAGAAAGCTCTAGTTAGTCAGGAAGTTCTTCTGCTGACAGCACTGGTTAACAAGGTTAGCAAAAGGGTTCCAATGTTAATGGGGGGAAAGCTCAGAAAAATTTCCCAAATTAGCATTCCTTTGATCAATATCTTCAAATGCATCTATATGTTTTACACACATACACACACACCACACAGCTGATCTTGGTTATCATGAATAATCATATCTTCATATCTTTCATAGCCGCTGTTTTAATATTAGCGAAACGAACCCTGAATCTGCTAGTTGAGGGAGACTATAATGACTAATTGTTAATAATAAGTTTAACGAAAATAATCCTCACTATTGTAATAGATTTTTCATTGAGGAGGATACACTTTTGAATGCATGATACTTTATTTAAACACACATATATACAATGATGACAAAGGAAAACATTGCAGAATTCAGCACAGTGGCTGCATGCATTGGTAGGATGGGTGGATTCTCGTTTTACACGATGAAATATGGGCTGAAAATAGGAAAAGGCCAGAGAGCAAGTCTCATTTCCCATCACCACATTGCAGGGTCTTCAAGCCTGTAAAACATAAGAAGCAAAGCATGTAAGGAAAGCTGCCCAACTTCCTGAGGTATGAGCAAGGGTGAGACATTTAGATCTGAAGTGAAAGATGACCGGGAACTGTTGAAAAGTTTCCTGTTGGCATTCTAAATAAGAAGCCATGTGGAATATCAGATCGTGAGGCGGAGGCACAATATGCACAGCCCCAGCTGAGCAGCATTCCACGATGTTGACAGGCGTCTTGGGCAAACATCAGAGAGAGCATTTGAAAGGCTCTGTATGTATCAAAGGAGCCGAAGAACACCCCGATCTTTTGAAAATCAAAATTACAGAAATCACATGAAGCTGTGACAGGAAAGTTATTGTTCCTCAACTCTAAATATGCTTCCTTTTCCTGCCAGCTTTATTATGTAGTAAGATGCTACTTATTAGACTATAATAAGACCTTTATAATAAAATAGCACTCATAGGCAACTTCAAGACCGTCAAGTTTTGTCTCCTTCTAACTGCACCTGATGGAGTCTGTCAATCAGGTTGCAATTAATTTTACTTCATGCACTAACTGTGTGACCTTGGGCCACAAAACAAAGACAAAAACCAAGGTTCTAAGTAGGTCTGCGTTGTTATTTTTCTAACAGTAAGTCGATATAGTCTACCCTAAACTTTTTACTGTGGCAAACATCATATGCATGTCAGTGAAACATGGAAAGACATTTACTGCTTAGTGTTAAAGACAACCCTGGCCAGGCATTATGGCTCACAACTGTAATCCTAGCACTTGGGCAGGCTGAGGAGGGAGGATCTCTTGAGGCTGGGAGCTCGAGGCTGCAGTGATCTTTGATTGCACCACTGTGCTCTGGCCTGAGTGACAGAAGGAGACCTTGTCTCTGAATAATAATAATAATTATTATTATTATTATTTAATTAAAAAAAGATAACCCTTACAAATTTTCTGCCTGTTTCCCTTGCATTTGCTATTTAAGTCTGGGCTGGTTCCTCCAGGGACAGGAGCACTGGAGTTTTATCTCAGTTCAAATCGTTGTTCCCTTTAGAGAAAACAAATCTCACAACTCTATACTAACACCCTTCATGCTGGCTGGCCATTTTAGAAGAGAACTGAGGGAGGTTAGAAGGGAAGGTGGGTGGCCCAGCGGGTCACCCTGCTGAGTCTCTAGGGAGAACTTGATGGAGAGCCACGTCAGTCACACTCACTGAGCAAGTGTTGTAGTGACCTCTTCTGGGGAACTTGGTTCTTGACATTGTAGAACTTGGTTTAAGGCAGCCAAGCTGCCACAGACGTGGGTGGACCCTGTGAACTATGATCTTACTGTGGTTAGAGACAGGAAGCAAGGACTGAAGAGTCAGGAGGTTATGAAGATGGAAGAGGACCAGGCTCCTCTTCAGCAGCACTCCTTGTCCAGGAGGCACCAGAAAACCTTAGCTCAATGTTTAACACTTAGACATTGGTGGGCACCTCTTTCCAAGACAGACCCAAACTGCAAGAAAGTCCTGAGACTACAGATAAACTCCTAAGAATACTGTCATTCAACGTGCATTCGTTGAATGTAATAAATCACTATATGACACAAGTTGAATTAAAATATGTCAAAAAGTAATCCAGAGCACCTAATTTACCTACAGCTTCATGTAAAACTGGGAAAGTTGGAGTAAAAACCACATGGGACATTTCCTAGGACATCTGGACACTCCACATATATAAAATCTACAGATCTTCCCAGCCAGAGATGGACAGTTGGTCATTTCAATTTAGAGTCAGGGACTCACTCTATGCTCCCCTGACTCCAACAATGTTAGAAATTCTATATAATTTCTAAGTTAAAAGTCAATTATTTTTAAAATCGTCAAAGGAGCACCAAATAACCTGAGCTAAAAAAATGTTATTCCACAGAAGTTTAGAGATTTGACAATGAGTACATGAAAAGAGAGGTCTCCTCTGCCTGCTTCTTCATCCTCATTTCTGCCGAAATCTCCCCTAGTCTAGAAGCCTGGTGGTGCCTCCCACCAGGCACCTGTCTCTGACTTCCCTCCCCTGGGCACCTTGAGCTCTGCAACAATGTCCCCATCACAAGCCTTGTCATACCGAGTTCTGGGAACATTTTCTGTGCTTTCTCTCATCAAGAGGTCTGAAATCAGTGTCTCTGGGCTGGATCGTTTTCCATATCTGGAAAAAAAAAAGTCTTTTAAAGCAAGTTTGGAATAGGCATAAAAACCTTTAGGAAAAAGGAAGATAGTCTCCTATTTGGGATATGAAAACTAAACATTATTGTCAGGTGTTCATCTGTAACAAGCAAGCTAGGTGTATGAAGCATATATTATCGAAACATTATCATAAATATTATTTCAAATTATTTGTATATATATTTAAACTTTGCTCAAATAATAAATAATCTAGGAGGTTATTTAAACCGAACCAAAATTCCTAGTCAAATTCCTGCCTTCTTAAACAACCACAAATAATATGTATAGAGATACATACTTTTATAACTAGGTGACAGGAAATTTGAAAACATGGAAGCATGATTGTAAATGTTTCCACAATTAGTTAATTGGCTATTGTTCTGATGATACACAGCAGTTTAAATCTTAACAAGGAGACCAGATGATATTTCAAAGACAGTCCTAGAAAAAAAAAATCAGCAGATTGCCGTCCAAGACCCACCTGTGTCTTTGAATCCCAATTTTCTCGTTTGTAAAACAACCCCTGCTTAAATCAGAGTCTTTGTGAACATCCAGTGTGAAATGTGAGTCACAATGCTTTCAAAGTGACAAAGTGATACACGCATGCAAATTACTGCTGTTGAAATGCATCCATTCTTCTGGCTACCAACAGACCCTGGGTCTTATATTTTCCATATTCATTCAAGGTGCCAAATGCTAAAGTCTTTCCTAATGCTGTGATTTTAGCCTCCCTGTAAGTCTAAAGGAATCTAACTGATCCATGGAAATGTTCTTTTTTTTTTTTTTTTTTTTTTCTCCTGTAGCAGGATATGGGTGAGACAATACATACAGGTAAGGTTTCGTTTACCTGTGAGGGTAGTATATGCTCCCCACTCCAGAACACTACAAAACGGCCAGACAAGTCTATACCAAATTGCGTCTTTTGAAGAGGCCATTTTTCTCTTTCTCAGAAAAGGCATTGGACACCATTCGCCACTTTGTTTAGAAATAAATTAGTCTGGTATGGATTGGTTAATAGGTCCAACAACTGAACAAAGCTGACAGAGGGTATATTCTAATTGCCAAGCAAAATTATATCTAAATTTTTTGGAAATATTTTCTATGACTGTTCTTTTGCTGAGACTCAAGGGAAGCAAAAACAAAACAACTCCCTGTCCCACTCCCATCATGTGTGAGATTTTCTCAAAGATTTTCTGGAGTTGCGATATTAGACTATAGGTGTCTGCTTATACTTATTTATTCTGTCCATCCATTGGTTTTACTAATCGTAAAAGTCTAGGGCAACTGTAACTCATTTATCTTCATCATGCTCCAGTGAGTAAAAGAACTGCCAACTTTTTATCCAATTTACCAGTAAAGAACCTAAATCTGAAATAGGAGGATTTGCACAGTCATAATCTTGCATCCAGTTCAGTACTGTTCACTCTTCTTCCTTCTTTAATTAATTCTGGATCATCCTTCCCCTCTACAATGCTGTAACTTTCAAAGATTGAGTCCTTAGAGTAAAGATTCTCAAACCTGGCTGCACATTAGAATCACCTGGGGAGTGTTAAAAACACACTCTAAAGCCCAGGCCCCATCCCAGAGGGTCTGATTTAATTGGTCAGGGGTGGATCCCAGCATCAGTGTATTTTAAAAGCTCCCCTGATAATTTTAATGTGCAGCCAGGAAGGAGAAACACTAATCTAAGGCTGAGTTTCTCTGGGACTGGCTATTCTGTGTAATGGGGGCTGTCCTGGGCATGGTAGGATATTTAGCAGCCTCCTTGGCATCTATACACCTAGGTACCAGCAGTGCCCACCTCCAGTTGTGAAAACCAAAAATGTCTCCAGACACTGCCAAATCACACCTGGGGAGCATAAAATCACCCCCAGTTGAGAACCACTGATTTAGGGGGCTATATAAATAAATTGTAGGAGACCCACACTCTAGAATAAGTAATGCAGCTTCCAGAAGCAATGAGCCAGGGGTATATATACAGCAAAAGGAATATAAGCACAAATTGAGTGCAGGGGGAATGCTGGTGGCGGGGGGCGGGGGGAAAGAAAGATAATGATATCAGATTATATCTATACTAAATTAAAGCACATCCACAAATGACCCTGTAATTTTCAGAAACGCACATAGGAGTGGGTGTCTGTGGTGGGAAGGAGAAGATGGACGTACATTAAGAGCCTCTGCTGGTTTCTAAGAAGGAGTTTATACAAAGATGAGACAGGAAACTCTGCCTCAGAGACCAGCTCATTCCCATCTAAGCTGAATCTCTTGCCATGAAACCCAAGTCCCTTTCCTTTATGTTTTTTTCTCATCAAACATGTTGGAGATAACACTGCCTGTTGATGGTGGTGACAACATCCAAAGACACTCAAAGGAGGGCTCCAATTCCATAATTCCTATAAAAATAGCTTCCATGAAATGTCATTAGCTTCATGATTTGTGAAATGAAGATAATTATACTCCCTTCAAAGCTTTGAGGTAACGACTGAATGAGAGAATGCCTAGGAAAACATTTTAAAATGCTAGAGCTTTGTAAAATGGTAAAGCTTTATGGCAATCATCTTCGGAAAAATGAGTTCTACTGTGTATTATGCTACAGCTAAATAACTAACAAAGGTTTTTCTAGAAAAAACAGTTAATATCTTTTTGTTTGTACAAGTTCTCTTTGATCTGCATGACGGCATAACATAGCAAGAATTTGAATCAATTAACTTTCTGGGAAGTATGGAATATAAAATATTATTGCTTTTTGCTAATTAAAATGATCAGATTTCAAGGGATCACAAACAACTACTATTTAATTCTGGCATTTTCATGTTTTTCAGATTCTATATAAATTGGGGCTTTTTCAAAAGTGTTTTAGGATGTTAAATACCTTTTTGATGAAACAGGAAAAAGCAAACTTTATTTTAAAAGTATAAATCTTCCCCCCTTTTGGATCCTTTCCAACTACTCCCTGACTTGTAAACAGTAAAAATATGGACTAAATAAATAAATATATAAACCCCACAATACTTTAAACATATAATTTAAACATGTTAACTAACATTAATGCTTCTAAAGGGCTTATCCTTTAGATACGGTCAAATGACTAAAATCATTTAATCTCAGTAATTAAAATAAGATATTAAATGATTTAGAACTAAGATCAACCAATTTTGAAAACAAAATTTAAATCCTATGTAATTTGTAAAATAGTTTGGATTTGATTTTTCCCTTAATTGTCAATGTTGAGAGTGAAAATATGGCATTTCATTTTGACTTTCGGAATGTTCAGAATAAAGTTTACAATTTCTCAGATTCCATGTAATCCCTGAATTCATCCTAAAGTTACTGGACCAACGTAAGTTTCTTCTTAATGAAATACCAAGTGGGCACTTTCTTTTCAGAATTCACCAGCTATAAAATAGGGAGACCTCTGCATTTTAGATAAACTGTTTTCAGGCTAAATCTCTAATTATTGGGACTAGAATTTTCAAATATGGGAGTGAGACTGCAAAAAAAACACAGTGAAGAAGAAAAGAAAATAGCTCTATTTGTCTTTTTCTAAATACTGTCATTCAATTAGCCCTGGGCAGGCCGGAAAGTCTGACAATGTCTGTGGCAACCCTGCAGTTTACTCCTTGGTTTGGTTTTCTTTGGTGGTCGTTCTGTTTCTCCTAGACACCTTGCTAGCGTTTCCCCCTACAGCATTTCTCTGGCGCATTCTTGCCCCTTTCACTGGGTACTTTCGAGATTTCTGGACCGGGCCCCACTGCCGTAAGAACCACAACAAACCATAAGAGGTGAGTGAGAGGAGATTGCCAGCCTACCAGCCTGGGGAACCTGAATCTGGGGATCACGACTCTGTGACTGTAGTTGCACAAAATGGAAGGTACCCATTTTGTGTAGAGTGTGCCCTGTACAAACATTTACCTAGAGCTGACTAAGTGCCTGATACTGTCCTGCCCTGGGATAGAGCGAAGGAAAAGAAACAATCCCTTTCCCTAACATCCCCAGGATCTCCTGGTGTGCAGGCACTGGCGCTCCCGGAATCGGTCCCGCGGTCCCACCCACCTCTGCCTGGTGATGAGGTTGATGTAGTGTCGCAGCGCCGAGTAGTATCTGGCCATGTCCTCCGCTGGTGCGTCCTCGCCCGGGTTGTCCGGCTTGGAGGGGTACGCCTCGGCCAGCGCACCCAGGCACACGAGCAGGGACAGGGCGAGGGTCAGTCCGGACAGCCCCAGTCGCTTGTTACCTAGCATCTGCAGGCACAGAAGGCTCAACGGACGGGCTTGGGGATTCAGAGCACCCACGCGCAGCACCTCCCTCCTCTGCCCCCCGCGCTCCTCCTCCTGCTACCACACGCGACCCCCAATCCGCTCTCGTCCCAGTCCCGCAGAGAGAACCCAGGAGTGGCTAGCACCACCTTGCGGGCTCCGGGCGCCGTCCGGTCGGGACCTGCCCCTCTGCTCCACCTGAAAACTTCGCGCAACTTCGTTCGAAGTCTCAGGGACCAAGAAGCGCGCGGCGAGAGTGCAAGGTGGGGGCCCCGCCAGTTTAGCATTCAAAACCGAATTGGAAGTTCTTCCTGCTGGGTCACTTTTCTCCCTTCTTGCCCAAACTCTTGTCTGGGAAGAAAAGTTTCTTCTCTGTTACTTCTGGTCTGCCTAGCTTCAGGGGATCAACGCTGACAGCAGAGATCACCTCGGGGTGACGACTGCGGTGGGGAAGGGGAAAGAGAATTGCTCCCTGGGCCAGAATTGCTCCAAAGAGATTTGGAGCCCAAGAATCCAGGGAGGTGGCAGGGCGCGGGGCTCTAGAGCTCCAGGGATTCCTCACTCGATGGCGCTGCCGGGGAAACCTTCCTACCGCGCACCGCTTCCTGGGCCTCAAGGCGGCGACCCGCAGGGAGACCGCCAGCTGCCTTGGGATAGCGGTCCCGGGTTCTCCCTCCATATCTGCTAAAAGGTAACTCAGAAGAACCGCCCAGCGGGAAGGGCCCGGGAGAAGGGCCGTGGACAATCAGAGGGGAGCAGAGGAACAAGTGGAATTTAGCCGCCAAGAGGGCTGGTCCGCGTCGGGGCGCGGAGCCGGCATAGTCCGCTGGGGAGTGGAGCGCGATCATCCCAGGGCCCCAGGGCTCCACAGAGCGGGAGGCTGCGTCTCTAGCAAGTTCGCGGGCGCCCCGTTCGCTCCCACCCCTAGACAGACGGGTCGTAGCACTCACGGTGGCTGGCGCGCGGGCGTGGCTGGGCGGCAAGTACTATGCTGTCGGGCGAGCGTCTCCGAGGGGTGAGAGCCAGCGGATGGGGTGCAGAGAGCGGGTCGCGACAGGGCTTTTATGGAGCTTCCTCGCCGCGGCAGGAGGGGCCTCGGGCAGTCACGCTTGGGTGACTCCCACCCGCCACTTCCCGCCCCTGAGTGGCGGGGGGAGGGGGCTGGAACCGCAGCCGCACGAGTGTCGACTTAGGGAGCCACCCACACCCCAACCCTCCCGCCCCAGGCACTGCCTGAAGAAGCGGGGCCTGGGACCGCGTGAGCGAGGCAGCGCACTCCGAGCGCGCTGGACAACACCAAAGCCCAAGTATCTGCCCTCGGGCAGTGCCCGATCCCTGCTTTCCTTCTTTCCTTCTTTCCTTCACGCCCCGTCTAGTCCTGCCAGAGATAGGAGCAGCCCAGACGATTCTTGTCTCCTGCCAACAGGACTACCAACCCACTGGGTGCCGGAGTAGGAAGCACCTGAATCCTCTTTGTGGTGGGGCATCTCCACGACTAGCGCGGCATCCTCGCCGGGCACAACTGCGCGCTGTTGGAGTGAGGCAACTGGGCGCACAGATTTTTCCTGTACTTAGAACAAGTCGGAGGCAGCTGCCGGAAGTCTCCGGCTAGAGGGTCCCAAAGCTGCGCTCCCCACCCCACCCCCGCCCGTGGTTTCAGGGGCTTCTGCCCCTTCTCTCAGCTGGTTTTTCTAGATCAGCCTTCCTCAAGTACTCGCTCAGACGCAGCGAGCCAGGCTCGGTCGAGACATGAGTGTGGCGACTCAAAATTCCCCAGAGGGGGAACACGGTAAACCTATTCCCCCAGTTTGCTGAAAAAGAGCCACGCTTCCAGCTTCTAGAGACTCTTTTAAGCTCAATTTTAAAAATATATATTTTTTCTTTTTTGGTCCAAAGTGACGGTGGTTAAATGAACAACAGTTTCTGTCTTATTTACTAACCCTTGTATAGTCCTATGTACGTTCAATTAACGTTGAGAATGTGGGTTCTGATTAAGATGAAACATGTTAAAAACGATGAACATTAATTTGCTCATCGCGTTAAACCTGTTGAATGAATATGCAAGATACAGAAACTATTATTACAGGATCAAGATTTTATGCAGTGGACTGAGATCTGAAAGTTCCGTGAATGAATGCTCCTGTATCTTTCTAAATAAAATGGCATTTTATTTCTAAATGAAATATAAGTCTGAATCTTTCTAAATAAAAAGGCATGTTGGGAAATTAAAGCATTAAGTTCCATGTTATTTTAATGCTAAAAGGACAAGTGATTCTGTTAAACTGACACTTAGTTTTTGTGCTGTTCCAACAGCATTGAATTAAATATCAAAAACCGTGAAGCAAACAATCCTTTGCATGTATGTGTTTGTGTGTTTGTGGGATCAAACTATAATTTTGGAGACCAACATCCCTTTCACTTGGCAACTGCTTCTCTTTCTGTATTACACAAACATATGCTGAGGACACAAAAATCAAGGCTCTCAGAGTTGCTCGGGGGTGCTTACAAGACACAGCCTTCGGTAAAAGTGCAAAACATCTTCTAACTTAGAGCTCTTCCTAGATAAAGGGAAAGTTACAGTCCACTTTTCAATAAAATAATCTTATTTTAGAGTGTATCACAGATTCATATCAATTAAAATCTGAACTTAAAATGTATCACTGAATTTGGGAAAAATTACTTCTAGGAAGGCCCACACCACTATTGAGAGAAGAACACTGTGGAGGCTTGATTAATTTAGCTTAAGATAATGTCATTGATTCTCAAGAATAAGAACTTATTCTGAGGGTTAAGGATTCAGAGAATAAAAAATAGGGGGTGATATGCCCTACATGTGCTTACATCCTTATCTCCTTTCTCTCCAGTCCAAGCCACATCCCCTGGCCAAAATACAAACAAAACCAACTGTTGGCAACTCAACCCTGCATCTTCTCCTAGCTGCTGAGCCATTTCTCTCCTTTGTTTCAAAGTCAAGTTGTTTATTTCTAACAGCTTTGTTAAGATAACATTGAGATACTGTTGAGCTTGTTGAGATTCAAAAGGAGGTGAATCAGTGGAGACTAGAGAAGGTAATGACCGAGAGAAGTCAAATAACCGGTAAAGGTCCATGTGGTTTGCAATTAGGAGGTCTTACTGATAGCAGGTTCATAGCTTGATTCAGATAGAACCTGGACCACATGAAACCCAGTGGTTTCATGACTAAACCTAAGGTAAAGAAGCAGAAGGAATGAATAGATACTGCTGAATATATACAAAGCTACAAATGTGTAAAATATTCAATTGGATATATTCTTACACATATGCATGTGTGTTATATGCTCAGGAAGCCATCACTGAAACCAAGAAAATGAAGATTATACATCACTTCCCCAAATTTCCACATGTACCTTTGTAATTCCTTCCTTTTGCCTCTTCCTCACCCCCTCCTCCATTGATCTGCTATCACTAGAGATTTGTTTGCGTTTTCTAGAATTGCACATAAATATAGTTCCACGGTAGGTACTCTTTGTCTGACTTCTTTCACTTAGCATCATTATTTTTGAATCCACTCACATTGTTAAATGTAGCAATAGTTTATTCTTTTTTATTGCTGGGCAGTATTTCATTATATGATATACTTCAAAATTTTTAATCAATTCTACTGCTCATGAATTTTTGGTTATTTTCACTTGAAACTTTTACGAATAAAGCTGCCTTGACATTCATATGCAAGTCTTTGTATGGACATAAAGCCTTTAATTCTCTTGGAAAATACTTAAAACCAGAATGGCTGAGTCAGACGGTGAGTGTATATTGGCCCACAGTTTGTTGGTGATCTGTTTTTGCTTCTGTTTTGCTCATTTTTTCCTTCATATTTTATTTTGGATAGTCTCTATTGCTATGTCTGTGAGTTCACTAATGTTTTCTTCTGTAATATCTGATTACTGCCAATCCTATCCAGTGTATTTTGCACCTTATACCTGGTAGCTTTCATCTCTAGAGTTTCAACTTGAATCTTTTTTTTAAGTTACAGGACAATATAAAGCAATGAATCTTTTTTATATCTTCCGTATCTAAACGTGTCCACTCTTCTCTCTAGCTTCTTGAATATACATTAATAATAACTTTTGTACTACTAACATCTGTGTGATTTTTGTATACTTTGGGTTGATTGATTTTTCTCCACATTATGGCTTATATTTTTCTTCTTCTTTGTGTGCCTGATAATTTTTGATAGGATGTCAGATATTGTGGATTTTACCTTGTTATTTGTTTTTTTGTCTTTCTATGACTGTTCTTGAGCTTGTTCTGAGACAATTAAAAATTTAAAGACAGTTTTATCCATTCAGGTCTTGGATGTGAGTTTTGTTAGGTGGGACCAGAGCTGGTTTTAGACTAGGTTTACTCTTTCCACACTTTGAGGCAAAATTCCTTCTTTTTACTTTAACTGGTAACTGACTTCCCCCCAACACGCACACCTCAAATTGCACAGCTCTCCCCTCTGGCTGTTCAGATAGACACTATTCCCAGCCCTTGGTCAGCATCAGACACAGTTTACCCTTATCTTTTTGTGTAGTTCTTTTCCTGGTCTCAGGTGGTTTGTTCTTGTGTATAATCTGATCAATAATCAACTAAATCCTCAAGGGGGACACCCTTCAGACTTTCAGAGTATTCTTTCTTTTACCTGATAATCTTCCTGTGGACACTAGCTGCCCTGGCTCCCTACACTTCCAGCCCCAGCTCCTTGGCCAGGATGATTCAATTCCTTCCTTCTGCACTGTAGCCTGGATGACTCCTTCAGGCAGTGTATTCTCATGCTGCTATGAAGAAATATCCAAGACTGGGTAATTTATAAAGGAAAGAGGTTTAATTGACTCACAGTTCTGTATGGCTGGAGAGCCCTCAGGAAACTTACAATTATGGTGGAAGGGGAAGCAAACACGTCCTTCTTCATATTGCAGCTGGAGAGAGAAGTGGCGAGCAAAGGGGAAAAAACCTTTTATAAAACCATCAGATCTTGTGAGAATTCACTCACTATCATGAGAACAGCAGCATGTAGGTAACTGCCCCCATGATTCAATTATCTCACACCAGGTCCCTCCCACAACACGTGGGGATTAAGGAAACTACAATTCAAGATGGGATTTGGGTGAGGACACAGCCAAACCATATCAGGCAGTGATCTGGGACCATTGTATGGCTCTTGTCATTTGTTTTCTATCTCTAAGATATTACTGTCCTTTACTGATGTCCAATGTTTTAAGTGTTGTTTCATCTATTTTTGTCTAGTGTTTTAGTTGTTTCAGCAGGGAGGGTAAATCCAGTTCCTGTTTCTTCATCTTGGCCAGAAGAGCAAGTCTTGTAGCAAGGCTTCTTTAAAAAGATGTTTCTATTCATTGTCTCTGGTTATTCACCATAGGTGTAGTCATGAAACCACTGTGATCTAGGTTCTATCTGAATCAAGTTATAAACCTGCTATCAGTAAGACCTTCTAATTGCAAACCACATGGATCTTTATCAGATATTTGACATCTCTTAACCATTACTTTCTCTTGTCTCTCTGATTCACCTCCTTTTTCTCTGAATGTACCACCATCTCCTTTGCTGACTCACCCTTCTGTACCCATAGTCTTAGCCTTAACCTTTCTACTGCACACATAAGCTCATCTACTCCTACAGCTTATGATCCTGAAATCTCTCCCTTCAGCTCAGATTTCATACCTGGAAACCAGGGCGATACGTCTAGCTCAGAAAAACTCCATCAAGGGCCTCAAATTTAGATTATCAAAGTGGAGCTTCCACTAACATGAATGTCTAATTAAATATCATATGAAGTGTAAAATGTTTTCAAAATTCTTCCATTGAACTATAAGGCCCCACATATTTTGGACCCTACATACCTCCTAGGCTCATCTAACATAATTTTTTTCTTCACTCCCTGTATTTCTGTCCATTGTCCTCCTTTCTGCTCCTTAAATATGCCAATCAGCTTTCCTATTTGGGCCTTCATTGTGCTGTGTCTGCTCTCTGAGATATTCTCTCTCCCTACTCTTTACCTGGCCAACACCTACACAACCTTCTGGGTTTACCTTGAAATATTTTCTGAGTGTTCTTTAGGTCCGTTCCAAGAGGCCAAATAGGAACAGCTCTGGTCTGCACCTCCCAGCTGATCGACGCAGAAGATGGGTGATTTCTGCATTTCCAACTGAGGTACCTGGTTCATCTCACTGGGACTGGGCGGACAAAGAGTGCAGCCCACGGAGGGCAAGTCAAAGCAGGGGTGGGCATCGCCTCACCCAGGAAGTGCAAGGAGTCAGGGGATTTCCCTTTCCTAGCCAAGGGAAGCCATGACTGACTGTACCGGGAAAATTGGGACACTGCCACCTAAATACTGTGCTGTTCCCACGGTTTTAGCAAACAGCACACCAGGAAATTATATCCCACACATGGCTCAGCAGGTCCCATGCCCACAGAGCTTTGCTCACTGCTAGCACAGCAGTCTGATATCGAACTACAAGGTGGCAAGCCTGGCTGGGGGAGGGGCATCTGCCATTGCTGAGGCTTGAGTAGGTAAACAAAGCTGCCAGGAAGTTCGAACTGAGCGGAGCCCACCACAGCCCAATGAAGCCCGCCTGCCTCTGTAGACTCCACCTCTGGGGGCAGGGCATAGCTGAACAAAAGGCAGCAGAAAGTTCTGCAGACTTAAACGTACCTGTCTGATAGCTCAGGAGAGAGCAGTGGTTCTCCCAGCATGGTTTTTGAGCTCTGAGAATGGACAGACTGCCTCCTCAAGGGGGTCCCTGACCCCTGTGTAGCCTAACTTGGAGATACCTCCCAGTAGGGACCAACTGACAACTCATACAGCCGGGTGCCCCTCTGAGACGAAGCTTCCAGAGGAAGGATCAGGCAGCAATATTTGCTGTTCTGCAGCCTCCACTGGTGATACCCAGGCAAACAGGGTCTGGAGTGGACTGCCAGCAAACTCCAACAGACCTGCAGCTGAGAGACCTGACTGTTAGAAGGAAAACTAACAAACAGAAAGGAATAACATCAACATCAACAAAAAGGACATCCACACCAAAACCCCATCTGTAGGTCACCACCATCACAGACCAAAGGTAGATAAAACCACAAAGATCAGGAGAAACTGGAGCAGAAAAGCTAAAAATTCTAAAAACCAGTGCGCCCCTTCTCCTCCAAAGGATTGCAGCTCTTCACCAGCAATGGAACAAAGCTGGACAGAGAATGACTTTGACAAGTTGACAGAAGTAGCCTTCAGAAAGTCAGTAATAACAAACTTCTCTGAGCTAAAGGAGGATGTTCGAACCCATTGCAAGGGAGCTAAAAACCTTGAAAACAGATTAGATGAATGGCTAACTAAAATAAACAGTGTAGGGAAGCCCTTAAATGACCTGAGGAAGCTGAAAACCATGGCAAGAGAACTACGTGATGCATGCACAAGCTTCAGTAGCTGATTTGATCAAGTGGAAGAAAGGGTATCAGTGATTGAAGATCAAATTAATGAAATGAAGCAAGAAGAGAAGTTTAGAGAAAACAGAATAAAAAGAAATGAACAAAGCCTCTAAGAAATATGGGACTATGTCAAAAGACCAAATCTACATTTGATTGGTGTACCTGAAAGTGATGGGGAGGATGGAACCAAGCTGGAAAACACTCTTCAGGATATTATCCAGGAGAACTTCCCCAACCTAGCAAGGCAGGCCAACATTCAAATTCAGGAAATACAGAGAACACCACAAAGATACTCCTCGAGAAGAGCAATCCCAACACACATAATTGTCAGATTCACCAAGGTTGAAATGAAGGAAAAAATGTTAAGGGCAGCCAGAGAGAAAGATTGGGTTACCCACAAAGGGAAGTCCATCAGACTAACAGCAGATCTCTCGGCAGAAACTCTACAAGCCAGAAGAGAGTGGGGGCCAATATTCAACATTCTTAAAGAAAAGAATTTTCAACCCAGAATTTCATATCCAGCCAAACTAAGCTTCATAAGTGAAGGAGAAATAAAATCCTTTACAGACAAGCAAATGCCAAGAGATTTTGTCACCAGCAGGCCTGCCTTACAAGAGCTCCTGAAGGAAGCACTAAACATGGAAAGGAAAAACTGGTACCAGCCACTGCAAAGACATGACAGATTGTAAAGACCACTGATGCTAGGAAGAAACTGCATCAACTAACAGGCAAAATAACCAGCTGAAATCATAATGACAGGATCGAATTCACACATAACAATATTAACCTTAAATGTAAATGGGCTAAATGCCCCAATTAAATACACAGACTGCTAAATTGGAAAAAGAGTCAAGACCCATCAGTGTGCTGTATTCAGGAGACCCATCCCACATGCAGAGACACATATAGGCTCAAAATAAAGGGATGGAGGAAGACCTACCAAGAAAATGGAAAGCAGAAAAAAGCAGGGGTTGCAATCCTAGTCTCTGATAAAACAGACTTTAAACCAACAAAGATCAAAAGATGCAAAGAAGGGCATTACATAATGGTAAAGGGATCAATTCAACAAGAAGAGCTAACTATCCTAAATATATATGCACCCAATACATAAGAACCCAGATTCATAAAGCAAGTCCTTAGAGACCTACAAAGAGAGTTAAACTCCCACACAATAATAATGGGAGACTTTAACACCCCACTGTCAATATTAGATCAATGAGACAGAAGGTTAACAAGGATATCCAGGACTTGAACTCAGCTCTGCACTAGGCAGACCTAATAGACATCTACAGAACTCTCCACCCCAAATCAACAGAATATACATTATTCTCAGCACCACATCACACTTATTCCAAAATTGACCACATAGTTGGAAGTAAAGCACTCCTCAGCAAATGTAAAAGAACAGAAATTACAACAAACTGTCTCTCAGACCACAGTGCAATCAAATTTGAACTCAGGATTAAGAAACTCACTCAAAAGCACACAACTACATGGAAACTAAACAACCTGCTCCTGAATGACTACTGGGTAAATAATGAAATGAAGGCAGAAATAAAGATGTTCTTTGAAACCAATGAGAACAAAGACAAAATGTACCAGAATCTCTGGGACACATTTAAAGCAGTGTGTAGAGGGAAATTCATAGCACTAAATGCCCACAAGAGAAAGCAGGAAAGATCTAAAATCGACATCCTAACATCACAATTAAAAGAACTAGAGAAGCAAGAGCAAACAAATTCAAATGCTAGCAGAAGGCAAGAAATAACTAAGATCAGAGCAGAACTGAAGGAGATAAAGATACAAGAAACTCTTCAAAAAATCAGTGAATCCAGCAGTTGGTTTTTTGAAAAGATCAGCAAAATTGATAGACCATTAGCAAGATTAATAAAGAAGAAAAAAGAGAAGAATCAAATAGACACAATAAAAGTTGATAAAGGGGATATCACCACTGATCCCACAGAAATACAAACTACCATCAGAGAATACTATAAACACCTCTACGCAAATGAAGTAGAAAATCTAGAAGAAATGGATAAATTCCTGGACACATACACCCTCCCAAGGCTACACCAGGAAGAAGTCAAATCCCTAAATAGACCAATAACAAGTTCTGAAATGGAGGTAGTAATTAATAGCTTACCAACCGAAAAAAAAAGCCCAGGACCAGATGGATTCACAGTCAAATTCTACCAGAGGTACAAAGAGGAGCTGGTACCATTCCTTCTGAAACTATTCCAATGAATAGAAAAAGAGGGACTCCTCCCTAACTCATTTTATGAGGCCAGCATCATCCTGATACCAAAGCCTGACAGAGACACAACAACAACAAAAAAGAGAATTTTAGACCAATATCCCTGATGAACATCAATGAGAAAATCCTCAATAGAATACTGGCAAACCGAATCCAGCAGCACATCAAAAAGCTTATCCACTATGATCAAGCGTGCTTCATCCCTGGGATGCAAGGCTCGTTCAACATACGCAAATCAATACACATTATCCATCACATAAACAGAACCAATGACAAAAACCACATGATTATCTCAATAGATGCAGAAAAGGCCTTTGACAAAATTCAACAGGACTTCATGCTAAAAACTCTCAATAAACTAGGTATTGATGGAACGTATCTCAAAATAGTAAGAGCTACTTATGACAAACCCACAGCCAGTATCATACTGAATGGGTAAAAACTGGAAGCATTCCCTTTGAAAACTGGCACAAGACAGGGATGCCCTCTCTCACCACTTCTATTCAACATAGTGTTGGAAGTTCTGGCCAGGGCAATCAGGCAAGAGAAAGAAATAAAGGGTATTCAATTAGGAAAAGAGGAAGTCAAATTGTCCCTGTTTGCAGATGACATGATTGTATATTTAGAAAACCCATTGTCTCAGCCCAAAATCTCCTTAAGCTGATAAGCAACTTCAGCAAAGTCTTGGGATACAAAATCAATGTGCAAAAATCACAAGCATTCTTATACACCAATAACAGACAAACAGAGAGCCAAATCATGAGTGAACTCCCATTCATAATTGCTACAAAGAGAATAAAATACCTAGGAATCCACTTACAAGAGATGGGAAGGACCTCTTCAAGGAGAACTACAAACCACTGCTCAACTAAATAAAAGAGGACACAACCAAATGGAAGAACATTCCATGCTCATGGGTAGGAATAATCAATATTGTGAAAATGGCCATACTGCCCAAGATAATTTATAGATTCAATGCCAACCCCACCAAACTACCAATGACTTTCTTCACAGAATTGGGAAAAACCACTTTAAAGTTCATATGGAACCAAAAAAGAGCCCACATTGCCAAGACAATCCTAAGCAAAAAGAACAAAGCTGGAGGCATCACACTACCTGACTTCAAACTATACAAGGCTACAGTAACCAAAACAGCATGGTACTGGTACCAAAACAGAGAGATAGACCAATGGAACAGAACAGAGGCCTCAGGAATAACACCACACATCTACAACCATCTGATCTTTGACAAACCTGACAAAAACAAGAAATGGGGAAAGGATTCTGTATTTAAATAAATGGTGCTGGGACAACTGGCTAGCCATATGTAGAAAGCTGAAACTGGATCCCTTCCTTACACCTTATACAAAAATTAATTCAAGATGGATTAAAGACTTAAATGTTAGACCAAAAACCGGAAAAACCCTAGAAGAATAACTAGGCAATACCATTCAGGACATAGGCATGGGCAAAGACTCCATGACTAAAACACCAAAAGCAATGGCAACAAAAGCCAAAATTGACAAATGGGTTGTAATTAAACTAAAGAGCTTCTGCACAGCAAAAGAAACTACCATCAGAGTGAATAGGCAACCTACAGAATGGGAGAAAATTTTTGCAATCTACTCATCTGACAAAGGGCTAATATCCAGAATCTACAAAGAACTTAACAAATTTACAAGAAAAAAATCAAACAACCCCATCAAAAAGTGGGCAAAGGATATAAACAGACACTTTTCAAAAGAAGACATTTATGCAGCCAAAAGACACATGAAAAAATGCTCATCATCACTGGTCATCAGAGAAATGCAAATCAAAACCACAATGAGATAGCATCTCACACCAATTAGAATGGCAATCATTAAAAAGTCAGGAAACAACAGGTGCTGGAGAGGATGTGGAGAAATAGAAACGTTTTTACACTGTTGGTGGGACTGTAAACTAGTTCAACCATTGTGGAAGACAGTGTGGTGATTCCTCAAGGATCTAGAACCAGAAATACCATTTGACCCAGCGATCCCATTACTGGGTATACACCCAAAGGATTATAAATCATGCTACTATAAAGACACATGCACACATATGTTTATTGCGGCACTCTTCACAATAGCAGAATTGGAACCAACCCAAATGTCCATCAATGATAGACTGGATAAAGAAAATTTGGCACATATACACCATGGAATACTATACAGCCATAAAAATGATGAGTTCATGTCCTTTGTAGGGACTTGGATGAAGCTGGAAACCATCATTCTGAGCAAACTTTCGCAAGGACAGAAAACCAAACACTGCATGTTCTCACTCATAGGTGGGAATTGAACAATGAGAACACTTGGATATGGGGTGGAGAATACTACACACCGGGGCCTGTCGTGGGATGGGGGGTTGGGGAAGGGATAGCATTAGGAGAAATACCTAGTGTAAATGATGAGTTAATGGGTGCAGCAAACCAACATGGCACATGTATATATATGTAACAAACCTGCACGTTGTACACATGTACCCTAGAACTTAAAGTATAATATAAAAAAAAAAAAGAAAAAAGAAATATCACTTCTCTATGGAGGATTTTCTTGGTCTTCCAGCCTGGATTAGTTCCCTATTATATGCTCTAACAGGACCTAAATTTCTCATTAGTTACATATACCTACAGTTCAATCTTACATGTATTCTTTAGTTATTGTATTAGTATTTGTTTAATATCTATAAATTTTGTTATGTTAACTTAATAGAAGGGACGATGCATCTCTATTATGATTCCCAGCACTCAATAGATACTATAGTTTGGTTTCTTTGACCCCTCCAATGTTATGTTGAAATTTGATCCCCAATGTTGGAGGTGAGTCCTAATGGGAAGTGTTTGGGTCATAGGGGTAGCACCCTTATGAATGGCTTTATGTTGTCCTTGTAGTAATGGATGAGTTCTTGCTTTATTAGTTCCTGTGAGAGCTGGTTGTTTAAAAGAGCCTACTACCTCCCTCCTCTCTCTCTTGCTTGCTCTCTCGGCACACGATTTCTGCACACACCAGCTCCCCTTCACCTTCTGCCATGAGTAGAAGCAGCCTGAGGCTCTCATCAGAAGCAGGTGCTAGTGCCATGCTTCTTGCACAGCCTGCAGAACCATAAGCCAAATAAACCTCTTTTCTTTATAAATTACCCTGTATTCTTTTATAGCAACACAAATGAATTAAGACAATAGATTTCCAATAAATATGTATTGATCAAAATAAATATCTTTATGCAACTGAAGTTTATAACTGAGTTTTAGAAGGGCCTGATAGAACAGGGATTGGCAAACTGTAACCTATGGGCCACCTCCCTACCACCTGTTTTTGTAAATAACGTTTTGTGAGAATGCAGCCACACCTATTCATTTACATATTGCTTATGGCTGCTTTCTTGCTGCAATGACAAAGTTGAGAAGTTACAACAGACACTGTATGGCTCACAACGTCTAAAGTATTTACTTTCTGGCTCTTTATAGAAAGTATGCAGAACGTTGATTTAGAATTTAAATATTTTACATAAACTATAGGTAAGTAAACATGATAGACAATTTGAGGGTCCTGAGCGTGCCAAACTACTTCCTGCCCGGGGCTCTTCCTCATTCTATTTTCTCCTGAGCATGCCAAACTACTTCCTGCCCGGGGCTCTTCATCATTCTATTTTCTCTTTCAGCGAACTCCCACTTATCCTTCACATTTACTCTATATGTCATTTCTCCATGATCCCTCAATCTAGATTAGGTTCCTCTCCAACTCACCTCATTGTATGATCCCACGATATCTTATAATTTACCTTTAAAGATCCTTTAAAGAACTTTATCTTTAAAGATAGCTCTAACTGTCTATTTAGGTATATAGTCAAAGTGTTATTTTTAGTTTGATGTGTCTAACATTTCATAATTGTAAGCTCCCTGAGAGCAGGGATACGTGTTTCGTTTTGCTCACCATTAAAATCCCCATACTTAGAATAACATACTTGTATACTTGGAAGATACTTGGCTCTTAGTAGGTGCTCAATAAAAATGAGTTAAATGATCATGAGACTTGGCGTGTGATTATATATATAACTTGTAGCTGAAGTTTGTTAGGGTTTTAGGGGTCCAACAAATAACAACTACCCACCACTCCTGCCGCCACCATGGCACCATGGAAACTGATCAATAGTCAGAAGTCAGACATAGAGATCAATATACGAGGTTTGTCACTAGTAAACTATAGATTGCAAGACGTACCTTTAGCTCTGCTTGCTTTTTAAGAAACAAACTCTAGTTTTTCAACATTTATTTTACTTCTAGCAAGCCACATAAGGCAATTTTGCATGCTTTGTTTCCTTTCTAGAGTTATTTTTAATTTTAATGGTGTCCTTTAACATATGCATGTATTCAAACACTGCTTATTGCTTATCTCACATATCAACATTTTCTTTCAGGTGTTTGTCTCAAAAGAATTTAAAAGAGTAGCCACTCTGTAAAGTTAGAAAGGAGTAATAACATTAATATGCTTCTCTTCTTTAATACCTTTTCTTCCCCCCATGGATCACACGGATGGTGAATAACAAGAAATCAAACAGCATCCTCTTGAGATGGGAACTTTCTTAGTGGAACTGAAATTATGAAAATAGGACAGAGAAATGGCACAATTAGTTTAGATGTTAGAGAAGCAAGGGATGATAAGGACACAACATTTATATTTTCTAGTAACCTAGAAGACCACGTTATCCATTATATAAAAATTAAACTAAATTTAAGAATGATAAAGGATGATAATCTAATAGTTTAATTTTAAGAAATAATCTGAGGATTATTTTCTCTTAGAGAATTTATGCTATGTACATTTATATTATGTAGTTTAAAAAATTATTTTAAAATTTGTTAATGCATACACATAATTTCTTTTGATTAATTTTTTGAATTATCATTTGAATTTTTTTTTTTTTTTTTGAGACAGAGTCTAGCTCTTTCGCCCAGGCTGGAGTGCAGTGGCACCGTGGCGCCATCTCGGTTCACTGCAAGCTCCGCCTCCTGGGTTCACACCATTCTCCTGCCTCAGTTTCCCGAGTAGCTGGGACTACAGGCGCCTGCCACCATGCCCGGCTAATTTTTTGTATTTTTAGTAGAGATGGGGTTTCACCATGTTAGCCAGGATGGTCTCGATCTACTGACCTCGTGATCCGCCCGCCTCAGCCTCCCAAAGTGCTGGGATTACAGGCGTGAGCCACCGCACCCGGCCGTAATTTTTTTTTAAAGATGCAACTTGAAAGTCTTGCTCCTATCCCTGTCAACATTTATCTCATTTTCCTACCTCCCACTGGGGTAATCATTTTTATTAACTTTTTGCATATGTTTCCCAACTTTCTTTATGCAAATAAAAGCAAAAATTAATATATGTTCTTATATTTCTCCTTTTCTTATAAACAAATGCAACATGCTATACACACTGCTTGGCATCTTGATTTTATTATTTAATATTCTCTCTTGGACATCTTTCCATTTTAGAACTAAAAGCCATCTTCAATCTTTGTTAAAAACAATTTTCGACAGAAAAAATTTCATTGTATAGATGTATTGTAATTTTTTTACCAGTCCTCTATAATGTGCACTTTGTTTCCAGTCTTTTGTTATTAAAACGTAACGAAACTAATAACTTTATAAATTTGTCATTTTTTATATGTATATTTGTAGGAAAGTTTCTCAAACGTGGGATTGTGAGGCTGGACACCATGGCTCACACCTGTAATCCCAGGCACTTTGAGAGGCTGAGGCAGGCAGATCACTTGAGCTCAGGAGTTCAAGACCAATCTGAGCTAGCGAACATGGCAAAACCCTGCCTCTACTAAAAATACAAAAAAGCTAGCTGGGTGTGGTGGCACGAGCCTGTAGGCTTAGCTAGTTGGGGGGCTGAAGTGGGAGGATCGCTTCAGTCTGAGAGGTTGAGCTTGCAGTGAGCCGTCTTCACTCCTTTTCACTCCAGCCCAGGTGAGTGGGAAAGAAAAAAAACAAAGTGGGATTGTGGGTTCAACAGACATTTGTAAATCTTATACATAGTTGCCAAATTGCTGTACATAGGGGATTTAAAAAGTCCCACTCTCACTAACAATCTAAAAGATGTCATTTTCCCACAGCCTGAACCACATATAGTCACATTTTGGATTCTTATAATGTGACAATTAAAAAAGGGGGAAGGGGAAGAGGTATTTTGAATTATCTTAAATTACATTTCTTTTATTATAAATGAGATTAAGCATCTTTTCATGTATTTACAAGCCATTTTTTACCTTTCCTTAAAAATTTTCTATTATATATAATATTAGATATTATATAAGAATATCTAAAATATTCTTTGACCTTTTTTCTGGGTTGTTGATCTTTTTAAAATCAATTTTATTCATTCTTTTAATAAATATTTTGAGAGCTTACTGTGGCCAGGAACTGTTCCAAGCATTTGGGATATATTTAAAAACAAAATACATACAAGGCTTACAGTTTAAACAGAAAATGAATAAGAGACACAATTTTACAAGTAAATGACTTGGTTTGTGAGACAGTGATGAGTGCTATGCAGAAAGTCACAAAGACTTGAAGAAGGTGAAGGAGTGAGCCACGCAAATCACGGGGGCAGAGCATCCGAGACCACAGAAAACCTGACATGATGACTCTAAGGAGGGCATGAGCAGAGTGGTAGCAGGGAAGGGGTGAAAAATGGTTGGATTCCAGATATATGTTAAAAATAGAGCAAATAATCTGTGAGAAAGAAGGAAGACAGCCAAGGATGACTGCAGATTTTTTGGCCAGAGTAACTGAAAGTATGGGGTTGCCCCCAACAGTAACAGGGAGTAGGTTTGGGGTTGGCATTGGGAGCTCAGTTGAAGATATGTCAAGATTTGGATGTCTATTAGACCCTGAGATGTCAGTTGTATCTCCAAATCTGGAGTTAAGGAGTGAGATCAGGCCTTGATAAATAAATTCAGGAGTTGTTTGCCTTTTGATGACATTTAAAGATATGACAATAGATAAGATGACCAAGGAATTGAGTGGAGAAAGAGGCAAGAAGGTGTCCACATCAAGTCTTGCAGTGAGCTGACATTGAGAGGCCAGAAGGTGAGAAAGGAAGAGCAAAGTAGCCTGAGAATGAGGGACCAGAGAGGTAGAGGAAAACCAAAAGAGTTTGAGATTTGGTATTCTAGATGTCATGTGCAAATGTTTTTTCAAGAAAGAGGAAATGGACTTCTGCATCAACTGCTGAAAAGTAAAGTCAAATTGACCACTGGCTAAAATTGACCACCGGCTTGAGCAATGTGGGAGTCTTGACAAAAAGCAGTTTCAGTAGAAGTGGCAGAAGGAAAGACACTAGATAGGATTTAAGAGAGAAAAAGAAGATATTGGAGACAATTCAGGGAGTTTCACTGCAAAGGAAAGTAGTAAAAGGGGCAGTAACTGGTGAGGGAAATGACATCAAGAGAAATGTCTTTTAAGATGGGGAAAAAGGGAGCATATTGGTCTGCTGGATGGAATGATCAGGAAGAAAGAAAAAGTGGCACTGAAGGTGAGAGCTTCTAGAAGATTTTATATATTTGAGAGTTTCTTCTTTTGTGAAATGAGTTGCAAAAACTAATTTGTGGTTTGTCACTCATCTTTTGACTTTAATGTGTTGTTTTTGCCTTACAGAAGTTTTAAATTTAAAGTTGAATGTATCAATCTTTTCTTGTGTGCTTCTGAATTTTAGCTCTTAGTTTATTTAAAAGGCCTTCCACACTCTACAGCAGAGGTCTGTGAAATAGGGCTAAGGACCAAATCTAGTCTCTCACCTGTTTTTGCAAATAAAGTTTTATTGGAACACAGCCACACTCATTTGTTATGGTTGCTTTTGCACCACAACGGCATAACTGAGTAGTTGTGACTTTAAAATGGTGGTAAATACACACTACATAAAGTTTTCAGTATAACAGTGAATGATGAGAAAATACTATATTTTGGGTGGAACTATGTATAACCACTAAATAGAATAGTAGACAACATTTCTTATTTAATACTATATATTCTAGAGCAGTTTATGTTGTGGGGAAAGATGTTTGGAGAGGGTGGTAGCTTACAAATCTAAAGTATTTACAACATTTGACACTTTATGAAAAAGATTTGCCAATCCTTGCTCTATGGTAAAAAGTAAATTTGTTCATGTTTTTTTTTTTCTTGTGCTTTTATTTTATGATTAATTTATTTTTTCTTTCCTTTTTGTTTTGCTTTTTCTTTTTTTACATAAAAACGTAGCTTTTGTCCTGATATAGTGAATAAATTAAAGTTTCAAGGTTTTTTTCTCTATATTGACAATTAGTTTTCTCAATGCTGTTTACTGAGAAGTCTATAATTCCCCCGCCCCCTCACCCACGACCGCCAGCTTTGGGATGCCGCCTTTAGCATATACAGTAATAAATTCCTATGTGTGTTGATTTCTGGATTTTCTGTTTTATTCCGTTGGTCTTTCTGCCTATACAGGTATAAGAACCACACTGCTTTAGTAATGTGGGTTAATACGTAGTTAAGGCTTGTTCCACATTTGCCATCATTGGTCTCTTTCTTTCTTTCTTTTTTCAGTGTTTTTGATTTTCTAGTAATTTTTCATTAGGCTGAATATACTTTTAATATTTCATCACCTTCCTTTATGTTACTTTTTTGGTTTATTTTAGTAGTCTTGTGTTTCCTTTGTTTTCTATCCTTTAAGATCTGTGATCTTTTTTTTATTTCTTATTTTGGCAATTGGAAAGTATATAATCTGTTTTATTTCCGCTAGTGTTTCTCTTAACAAATTTGAGTAATTTGAACCGAACAATGGTTGTTATTTTGTCTGCCCACCTAGTCGCTTCTCCTGCCTTCTTTTTTTTTTTTTTTTTTTTTGTGATGGAGTCTCGCTGTGTCACCCAGGCTGGAGTGCTTGGCTTGGCCCACTGCAACCTCAGCCTCCTGAGTAGCTGGGATTACAGGCACCCACCACCAAGCCAAGCTAATTTTTGTATTTTTAGTAGAGATGGGGTTTCGCCATGTTGGCCAGGCTGGTCTCGAACTCCTGACCTCAAGTGATTCACTCACCTCAGCCTCCCAAAGTGCTGGGATTAGAGGCGTGGGCCACTGCTCCCAGCCCCTGCCTTCTTCTTTGTTAATAGGTCCCTGATATCTGTATTTCCAGCCAAGGGGCTGAATTATGGTAACTCTCTCACCTTTGCTAATGATTGGTTAACGGTTGAATTTCTGACCTGTTTCTGGCCAATGAAATATTAGGTTAAGTCAGCTGGGGGACTCTAAAAAAGGGTTTTCTTTCTGTCAAGGAAGAGGCATGTCCTTTGCCATAATTCCCTCTCTTTCTGCTTTGGAGATGATACTTTGGAGGTGATGCTGAGAGCTGTGGTAGCCATCCTACAGTCATGAGAGCAATATTGAAAGTACACTGTGGCTGGCAGAATGCAAAGACCAAAAGGGCCTAGGTGCCTGACAAAATCAGTGAGATGCCAAGCCAGTCTTGGGACTTACAGCCTTTAGATGTCTCATTAAGTAATAAATGACCATATGGTTTAAGCCACTGGTAGCTGGGTTTTCTGCTACTTGGAGCCAAAAGCATTCCTAATTAACAAGCTACTTCTCATTCTTGACTTTTTTCCTCTATTACTTTTGTTATTTTTTTATTTTCAAGTTATTTATTTTTTAATAAAAGAAATCTCTACTTGGGCCTTACTTTTACCTTTCTATTTATAGTAGATTTTCCTTTGTTTTCTTACCATGCTATCTGGGCTCTCGTTGACTCCTTATCTCAAAGATAAGGGCTAACTTAGGCCTTCTGTATTCAAGAGTTGTGTTACATTTGCTTTTCTGTTGTCTGAGATGGTGGCAAGGATGGGACTGAGTGAAGTCTGGGAGAAAGTGTGGAACCAGGGCTATGGGTATCACAGTTGGGGGATTTCGACACTGCTTTTTCTATAAGTTAGTTAAAAATCCTGTACTGAGGTTTACTCTGCAGAGTTGGAGCTATTTCTGATTCTGTGATAAAAGCCCGTGGCTTTCAGGTTGTTCATCAGGTCCTGGGTGAACTCAGAGCCTTTTCTTCTCTCAAAGACAAGCTGCCTTCAGTGATTCTTTTCCCCTCTCCTCTCCCTGCTTGCTTCTCCTGCTTCTTTCTGGGATTTAGGTAGGAAGGTTATGAAAAAAAAATGGATGAATAAAGAGTTCGTCCCTATTGTCCCTTTTCTGCTTGCATATTGTGTTTTATTTTCCCAGCTAGTGAAACAAACCAATCCCAATTCTTAGTAGTTCTTCCTATCTCTGATAAATGAATATCTACTTTTCTCTCTTGGTATAGAGAGGCAATCACTTAAAGGGATTCTGAATCTTTTCTTTTGAGCTTCTTCTCCAACTACCATTTCTCAATTAGCCTGCTTCCTTCCAAATTAAAGGGTATCAGTGAGCTTTTTCAGTCATTGTTTCTTCAGATTTTTGTCCACTGTACTGCTTCCGGAGGAGTCCAGCATAAGCTACGGTCAATTTCCAGAATCTGCTGTCTGTAGATATTTTTAAACCCTTATAGTATGGTGGTACTTCTTCCTTAATTTGAAAGCTCCTAACATCTTTCCCCCTTTGGCTATTCTTACTTATTTTATGCATTTTGTTAGATTTGGAAGCAGGGAAATTTCTTGATCCTGCATTTTCTTTCACAGAGAATCTGTGAAATTGAAAGAGTTTATTGATAACACTGCTTCTATTGCTATGTATTTTTAGCAGTATCTAGAAGTACATGTACAAGAGAACTGTGGCAATTACAAAGATTATTTGGACCAAAATTACCTCAAAATCTACCTGAAACATCCATATAATTGCAGGAAAAAATATATTTTTTAGATTTGAATATATTCTGATAATAGCTGCAATTCTCTCCTCCACTTTGCATGTGCAGGCACAAACTGAAGATTCTGAAATAGCACCCATAGTGCTGAGATGAGACTGGCTTTGTGTTATTCTGACCAGTTACAGTTTGTCTTCTATTATTATTAGCACGTGTCCCATACTTCTAGTTTTACCAACCCATACAATAGAAGAATCCTTATTTTACTGAGAATAAAACATTAAAGGTGACTGTGGGAATGACAAGTTCATTTTGCCACATTGAAGGCAGACTTTCTAGGAAGATATTGACTTCCTGTTGTGTAGATGACACAAATGCTGCAGAAAGCAACCTGCACCTCAGGTGACAGCACTGATGAGCCTGTAGGCTTATTGAAGAGTCTTGTCTTCTCTTCTGGTAAGTTGGATTTGAAGAAGTTTCAGGCTTGATATGAGGATGTATCATTTCAATTTTAAAGACTGGTGTGGAGAGTGTGGACTGGATGTCCTTCAAGACCCACTGAAAGGCACTTCTAGACTCCTAGGACTCCAGACACCACCACTTTCCCAACCTCATTTGCTGATAGAATTCAGATATGATTTAGATCAGATCCAGTTGCTTGGGACTTTGATTCAAAATTGAATTATAACACTAATGAAATGTCCCATTTTCTCCATTTATACCATTAAGCATTTTAAAAAAGTTTTTAACAACTCTGAGTTACGAAGGGCATAAGTTATATAAGGAGAGAAACAGGCTGTGGGCATCCTCTTCCTAGCCCAAACTGAGGCAGAGGCAGTGTGGCCTGGAGCAGGTGGCCCTGGTGGAAGGTTCCAGATTCTGCAACTTCCTGACTGAGGCAGGAGCGGCAGTGTTCTTGGCAGCCTGGTTCTGCAGTGAGGTTTCCGGAGTTGTTTCTGGAAGCTCAACCTAGAGCCTGCGTCTTTGCCACCCACCCCTACAGACTCTACCCTTTAATAAGTCTCTTTCTGCTTCAAGTAACTAGAATAGATTCCGAGGCCTGAAACTAAGATCTCCGAGCAACAGCAGGACCATGGGAGAAACACTGTTAGATTGGTTCTCTTGAGTCTCAGAGATGGAAAACACAGGCCTCTATAAGGCATTACGCCTCATCCAACTGCTTTCAGGGGCCCACTTTAACTGCTGGAGCGAGGAAAATGGTCCTATGGAGATCTAGGGCATGATTCTCAGAGATGTGTGCTGTTGGAAGGACAGCTGGCATCTGGAAGCATGAAGGAGCATGCAGAGTCCAAGAACTCCCACTAAATCTTCCTTCTCCAAGGCTGCTCACTTCACAGCAAGAGTGTCATGACAGTTAGGATGGCTTGGCGGCAAGTAATGGAAAACTGTCTCCCCAAATAAGAAGCCCAAAGATAGGGCATCTCTGTTATAAGTTAATTCAGCTGTTCAATTATGTCATCAAGGCAGAGGTTCTCTCCACCGTTCTGCTCTGTCATCAAGACATGATGGCTTTGACTTGGAGATTAGCTCCCTGAGGGGTTGTTAAATGTTTGTCCCCAGCTTTGGTTTCATTCAGATACACCAACATCCATTTGAAGAAAGGTTTGCATTTTTTATTGATATATAATAGTTTTACATACTTAGGGGGTATGTGTGATATTCTGATACCTGTATATGATGAACAGTGGTAAAATCTGAGTACTTCAGATATCCATCACCTCAAATATGTATCTTTTCCCTGTGTTGGAAACATTACAAAGCTTCTCCTCTAGCCATTTTGATGTATACAATAAATTATTAACTATAGTTTCCCTCCCTACTATTGAATACTAGAACTAACTCCTTCTAACTGTATTTTTGTACCAAAATGTGCATTTTTCTGTGTGATTTTTCTTTCTTTTTTTTTTTTTTAACAAATGCTAGAACTTTGTGTGGATGCTCTTAGCTCCCACTTCCTCCTGCCTTCCTGGTTTTGAGCTTCTGCCTAACCCGTTCTCTAGCAATGGGAATGGGAGCTCAGGAGTTGAATTCAATCAGTCAGAATTTACCCTGGATTGCAAGATGGATTTGCTTTTCCCTGAGAGTAAACCCAAATAAAAAAATTTGCTGTGACAGCAAAGAAGAATGGGAGGATGGCTGTTAGGCAACCAACAGGGTCACTTCCCAGGGTGTAGTTTGTGTGGGTTTCGTTTTGTGTTTCAAACTTAATATTTTTTCCTTTTTTTTTTTTAGTGAAAAAGCAGCATGCTCAATAGAAACAAAGTAACCAGTACAAAAGTCTTACAGTAAAAAAAAAAAAAAAGACTCTCTACCCATCCTTATGCCATAACTTACACAAAAATTATGAAATATCATTAAGAGAAAAATTTAAAATTCTAAGCAAATGAAAGGGAAAATTTTAAGATTCTAAACAAAGGAAGGGAAATAACATATTTATGGATTGAAAGGACTGACATTGAAAAGATTCTACCCAAATTGATTATAGATTCAATACAATCCCAGTTAAGACCCAGCAAAGTTTTTCTAAGAAGTCAACAATTCGTTTCTCACATTTGTGTGAAAATGCAAAGGGCATAATATCCAAGATAACCTTAAGAAGAAAAAAACTGGAGACTCTACATACAGGACATTGTGGCTTATTATAAAGTTCCAGTCATTAAGACAGTGCAGAGTTGATACTAGGAAATATAAAAACATATCCATTCATATCTAATGACTCAATTATGACTTAGTTTCTGTATAGAGGGGGGAAGAATGGTCTTTTAAAATAAATGGTACTGATTCAATTGGATATCTATATAGAAGGTGTAGGTAGTATTTTTCTCCATTTGCTTAGAACTTCTAAATTTTATTTTAACCATATTTTATATTTTTTGTATATACTTTTTTCCAGATTAATAAAATTCTTTTCTATTTCTAATTTGCTAAGACATTTTATCACAAATAGATTTTGAGATCCTTTTGTAGTTTGTAAGTGTGATGATTGGGTTTTTTCACGCTCATGTGTGAGATATGCCTTCCTTAAAGTTTGTTACATCATCAGCACATTACCCATCTGACAAGAAAAAAAATAGATTTTGACTCTCATCAAATACTTTTTTGCATCTACTGACATAATCATGTGGTTTTTCTATTTCACCTTGTTAATGTGTCTGATTACGTTGATTCGTTCTCAAATTTTAACACTCTCGCATTCCTGGACTAAAAGTCACTTAGTCACGATGTAGTAACCATTTTATATATCACAGGATTTAATTTACTGTTTTTACAAAAATTCTTATATATATTTCATGAGAGAGCTTGGCAAGTAATTTCCTTTTGAGTAATGTTCTTTTCAGAATTTAATATCAAAGTTTTGCTGGCATCATAAAATATGTTGGGAAGTGTTTCTTCTTTTTCTTTTATCTTGAAGAATTTTAGGAAGAATCCACTAGTGAAGTCATCTGGGCTGAGGAAATTTTTTGTGGAAAAGTGTTAATTTATACGTTCAATTACTTTACTAGATATAGAACTATTTAAGTTTCGTATTTCTGTTTGTCAATTTTGGTAAGGTCTATTTTTATAGGAATTTTCTCATTTTCCCTACATTTCCAAATTTATTGGCATAAAGTAGTTCCTCATATCTGTTTTTTTTTTTTTTTTTGAGATGGGGTCTGGCTCTGTTGCCCAGGCTGGAGTGCAATGGTGTGATTTTAGCTCACTGTAACCTCCACCTGCTAGGCTCAAGCGATCCTCCCACTTCAGCCTCCTGAGTAGCTAGGACCACAGATACACACCACTACATCCAGCTAAGTTTTTTTTTTTTTTTTTCTTAGTAGAGACAAGGTTTCACCATGTTGCCTAGGCTGGTCTCAAACTCCTGAGCTCAAGCAATCCTCCTGACTCAGCCTCCCGAACTGCTGGGATTACAGGTGTAAGCCACTGCACCCAGCCTCACTCTTATTTTTTAATATCTCTGTTGTCTGTAGTGATGTACACCTTTTCATTCTGACATTGATAATTTGTGACTTGTCTCTGTTTTTATCTGTCCTTGTAGCTGTCCATTAATCTTACTAATCTTTTCAAAGGATAAACTTTTAGCTTTTTATTTTTCCCTATTTCATGCTCATTTTCTATTTATTAATTTCTTCTCATTTTTTAAATTGACTTTCATCTACTTTGGGTTTAATTTGCTGTTGTTCTAACTTCTTGATTATACTTAGCCAATTGCCATTTCAACATTTCTTTTTTCTAAAATATGCATTTATTGCATAAATCACCCCCAAATGCAAATTTAGCTACATCTCATGAGTTTTAATATATTGAATTTTCATTATTATTCAAGCGAAAATATTTTCTAGTTTTTATTGGAATTTCTCATTTAACCCATGCACTGCCATTATTATTGTACAATTTCCAAATAGTATTTTTTAAGTTTAATTGTACTATGGTCATAAAACATACTGTGTATGATTTCAATCCTTTGAGATTTTCTGAAATTTGCTTTATGGCCCAACATAATATCAGTGTTAGTAAATGGTCTGCGTGCACTTAGGAAGAATGCATATTCAATTGTTAATTGTGTTGTTCAAATCTACATACATATTTCCTTTTTTTCCACCTACCTATTCTATTAGTTATTCAGAGAACTGTGTTATCACCTTGCATTTTGGTAATAGATTTGTTTTTTGGTAATAGATTTGATTTTGGTAATAGATTTATTTCCTTTTTTTGGTTTCTGTCAATTTTCACTTTATATATTTTAAAGCCATAATATCAAGTGCATGTATTTTTAAGTTATTGTATCTTGTTGGTGGATTGGCCGTTTTATATATAAGAAACACCCCTCTTACTCTCTAGTGATGCTTCTTGCCTTAGATTCTACTTTGTATATTGATGTAATTATACTAGCTTTGGGGGGGCTAATGTTTGCATGGTGTATTAAGCCAGTGTCCCTGAGAAGCAGACTTTGAGTACAGAAGGTGAGAAGTAAACCTAGGAACACTGGTAAGGTTGCCTGAGTAGACACGGAAGGGAAGGAAGCTGACAATGGATGCACTAGTGAGCTGTTGGCTGTTTACAGCTAGGGCTCACTTCCCCTCTTGGAAGTCTCCTCTTGGCTCCTCAGTGGCTTTGCTGGGAGACTGCATGGGAACACCTTGGAATTTCTCCACCTGAAGGTGAGCAAGCTGGAGTATTTACTGCCAGCTCACATCCTCACTAGACAAGGGTTGCTCCTGAGGGCATCAGCTCCTCAGAATTTCTACTCTGTCCCATTTCCCACCAGCTTAAATTCACCACCAGCCTGCTTCCAGGGTTAAAGAATGCCCTCAGGCAAGACCTAGTGCTACATGCCACTGAAAGACATCTGGAAAGTCATGACGAATGCCAAGAGATGAAGCAGGGCACTCACAGTGTCTTCTACTCATGGAATCTATTTCCCTGTTCTTTCACTTTCAACCTTTTTTGTGTCCTTATGTTAAAAATGTGTCTCTCATAAGCAGCCTACAACTATTTCACCCCCACCCAGAGTGACCATCTTTGTCTTTAAATTTAGCCAGTTAGTTCATTTACATTTAATGTAATTACTAACGAATTTGGTTTTATAATTATCATGTTCCATTTGTTTTTTATTTGTCATCATGTTTTATGTTCATTTTAAAAAATTTCTTGCCTTTGGATAATTCAATTTTAAAATTATGTTATTCTCTTCTTCCGCTGTTACTATATTATTTTCCTATTGTTTTGGTTTTTACTCTAGAGATTCTATACTAAATACAGTCAAATACAAATTATACTTTTACCATCTCCTTCTGGATAACACATGGACCTCAGAACTGAGATCTGGAGCATTTACTAGGTCAGCAAATGGACATCTTTGGTGGGTCCTGGACTCCATTTTTTTTTATTTTCTAAGGACTGTGAGTCAGTCTTCCAAAAACCCTCTGCTCTGCTTCTCAGTGGCTTTCCACTTAGCTTCTTCATCTCTTGCCCTCTGCAGCAAAAAATTTTCCAATTCATTCAGAGAGAAACCAGTTGTTTTTGGGCTATTTCCCTACATCTCCTCTTTCACCATGATCTTAACCACTGAAATCCTTGGCAACCCTCAACTCCAATTTATTTTATTATTTTTTATTGTTTATTTTATTTATTTATTTATTTATTTATTTATTTATTTATTTATTTATTTATTTTTGAGACAAGGTCTTGCTCTGTCACCCAGGCTGGAGTGCAGTGGTGGGATCTCAGCTCACTGCAACTTCTGCCTCCCAGGTTCAAGTAATTCTTGTGCCTCAGCCTCCTAAGTAGCTGGGCTACTCAGCCACCATGCGTGGGCACCATGTCTGGCTAATTTTTGTATTTTTAGTAGAGATGGAGTTTCACCATGTTGACCAGGCTGGACTCAAACTTCTGACCTCAGATGATCTGTCCACCACGGCCTTCCAAAGTGCTGGGATTACAGGTGTGAGCCATTGCACAGGGCCCCCAACTCCAACTTTTGTCTCCTCAGTTCTCTGAGAGCCCCCAAAGTTCTGCAGGTTTCTCTGTTCCTTAACAGCTACCCTCCACCTTGACTTGCACTCTCTTGCCAGCACCAAGAATCAGCAAGTGCCCCAGAAGGGAAAGCAACTTCCAGGATATCTGCCTACTTGGGCTGTCCCCTTTCCCTTGCTTGCCTTAGCAGCTATTCAAATGCCTTCAACAATGTTTTATGTGTATTGTCCAGCTTTTCTGGTTGTTTTGACGGGAGGGACAGTCTGTTAGAAGCTACTCTATCATAGCCAGGAGTGAAAATTCTTCTCAAATATATTTACTCTGTCATTTTTTTGATGGACATTTAATTTTTTCCCTAGTCTCCACCTGTTACAAAAATTGTAGCAAGAAGTAAGTTTGGACATCTGTCTTTGCTGATGTGTGCATGTGGCTGTTGAATTCCTGGAAAAGTAGTTTCTTGGTCAAAGAAAGCATGCATTTGAATGTTGATAGTTCTTACCAAATTTTCCTCCCAAGAGATGTATCAATAATGTGTGAGAGAGTGTGTTTCCCCAAAGAGGGTGTGTGCTTTTATAGAAGAGGTACAGGAGTTTCTTCAGAGGTACCTGAAGATAGGAAGATGAATGTGTCTGCTTAAATTCTTGGTCCCCCCATCTGGCCTCAGGACAAGATGGAAGGGATCCCCTTTCCAAAGTGAAAAATCCATGTCTGTGTTCAAAATATCTTTGCTCCATAATAGGACTAGAACCCAAGGGAAGTAAAAACTAACTGAGCCACAAGGAAGAGCAAGTTAATAAATGGACCCATAATGAGGATGGAGAATTCCTACTGTTTCTATTAAACTATAGGGGTTATGGGAAGCCTCTTTTTATAGACCTGTAAAATGCTGATGAGCTCACCAGAAGTTCTTTTCCAAATACCCATGGCTCTAATTGTTTCAGTGTTAGTTCAAGAAAGTTATTTTCATTTTGAAACAACTTCAAAGTTCAAATTTTGAAATACAAAATTTCCCCTTACATGTCTAATGGTTTTGTACTATTGGGAAGTAATGACTTAGGTTTTTATAAATGTATTTGGGCATCTTAAGGATGGGTCAATTTGTTAGCTTTCCGGGAATGTCAAAGCATAATATTGATAACTCCTTATTTTATTACCCTTATTCTTATTTGATAAATTAAGGTAGTACCTGATTTTGCATTTGGAAGCATTTATTTCATTGTTCAAAGACTCTTTTTCTTTTTCTTTTTTTTTTTTTTTTAGATGGAGTCTCGTTTTTGTCACCCAGGCTGGAGTGCAGTGGCATAATCTTGGCTCACTGCAACCTCCACCTCCTGGGTTCAAGCTATTCTCCCTCAGCCTCCTGAGTAGCTGGGATTCCAGGCGCCCACCACCATGCCTGGCTAATTTTTGTACTTTTAGTAAGACGGGGTTTTGCGATGTTGGCCAGGCTGGTCTTGAACTCCTGACCTCAGGGGATCCACCTGCCTCAGCCTCCCAAAGTGCTGGGATTACAGGCATGAGCCACCGCGCGTGGCCCAAATACTCTTTTTCAATTCAAATTCTTTTTTTTTTTTTCTCCCTCTCTCATTAGGTCCTGGGGGAGATAATTTAAAACCACCTACATGAGAGGGCCTTCAGGAATAATTAAATCAAGCACACACTGTGTGCACCTTTGGCTATTTTAACCAAATCTTGAGAGCATCCTCTCTGACTGGGAAACACACTGCAGCCTACTCATGAGAATATTATTGTTTAAATTTCAATGCTACAGCAATACTATCTGGTAAGATAATTGTCTCCAGTGGGATGAAATAAGGCCAAGAAACCAAAGCTCTCCAGCCTCTTCTAAGTTTGCTTCTGATGCCTGCCTCTCATCCTCGCTTCTTCCAGCAGACCCCAAGCTGCCTCCAGCCTCCACTGTGCCAATATTCTTAGAGCAGTCTGGTTTGCTGGCATGTTTTTGCCTCAGTATTCCATTTCTCACACCCTCTGATGGCCATTTTATTTTATTTTTAAGAGGGGAACTAAGATAGGTGGCCTGAAGTACAGTAGTAACTTCCTTGAATCACGCTGTCCTGGCTAATGTCAATGAGATAACTAAGGCACATCCACAGATCACATTCTGGGCCTTTAAAAGCACTGCATACAAACTCAGTATTTCGTTTAGACAGTTTTCTTATCTTCTTCAACTGGACCTCTTTGCTGACTCATGTCAGCTTTGAGCTCATATTAGTCTGTGAACTTTACCTGGCTGAAATTCAGTTTGGCCTGACTTTGCCATTCTTGATTCCACTTTTGATTCAGACTAAAATATAAGGTAAGGCTATGTTCAATACAAGAACCTTACAATCTGATGAACATGGACTTACTCAAGGAAGAGATTTATCTGCCTCATGTGAGAAGAAGTCTGGGTTGAAGTAGATTAGGGCTGGAACAGTAGTTCAAGGATGCTATCTGGGAACTGAGCATTTTTTCTTCCTGCTCTACTGCCCTGAGGATGACTGATGTACCTCCAGCATCAAGCTCAAATTCTAGTCAAGAAGAAAGAAGCAGCAGAAGAAGCCCAGCCAACTTGGGATTGTTTCATTCATCAGATCTACCATTGTCTCTGCTAGCTGCAAAAAAGTCTGGGAAGGTAAGTTTTATCTTTCTAGTGCCTATAACAGAAGAAAGCATGGAATGGGATGTGAGTGGATTTTAAATGATCCCGTTTTCAGTGTCTACCTAGTAGGTTTGGGTTCTTTTGGCATCTTGTCCTACTCATTCCAGGTTTCATCTTCAAGATTCATCATTGAGAAACCACGCCAACCACTTCCCCTTCCGCTGCAAAGACAGGGCAATGAAAGCTGAGATATAAATATTCTGTCGTTTACTTAGAATATTTTTCTTTAATGTTGGGAGAGCACAATGGCCGGATGTCAGAAAATCTGCATTTTAGTCTTAGATTATTTATCTAAAACTGTCTTGTTTTGAGCAAATCATTTCAAGTCTCTGAGTCATCGTTTTCATAAAATGGAAGAGTTGGGCCAGAATCTTCTGTCCTTCCCTCTTGCCTAGGATCTCAAATGTCTATTATTATAACAGTCCCTTGTTACCACAGGGACTCAAAGAGGCCAGGCCCAGAGAAGAGGCCCCACCCTGCTGCCCATCATGCTCATCTTCCCCTATCTTCCAGTTGTCTCTTAGAACCTCTCAGAAGTTGGACAGAGATAACTAAGGGGACTAATATGAATTTAAAACTATATTTTTCATTGTCCTTATTGACTTTTGGCTTTAAAATATGAACTATTTTCAACTTTGTTGGTAGAACCACAGTTCCCCCTTCAGGTAGTGGTGGCTTCTCTGGAATCACAGGAGTGACCTAGAGATCAAGCCATTGAAATGGTGTCATCTACCATTCATTCACTGCTTGGCCTAATATGGCCCAGGGAGCTGCCTTAGAACCAGTCTCCCATCTTGTTGATATAGCAAGTTTTCTTCAGGCCTGTGCCTATAACCTTAGCACCTACTGAGTCTGTGAAATACTTCCAAAACTTGCTTAACTGTCTAGAATCCTGAAATATTGCTGAAGATGGAAGGAAGTATCTGAATATGCAAATGTATGCAGCTACTGTAAATCCTCTAAATAACTTAGAACACATTTGGGGGCTAGGATTTGTGATTAATTTTCAGATATTTTCTACAACTATTGTCATTAGTTTATTCTCTCAACTTCTTTTCAACTCAGGCATCTTTTGCTTGGCAACTGGTTTACCTTATCATGGATATAAAGTAGTTAGATATGTACATTGTGTTTAGTGCAATTTTAGTCAAAGGTTTGGACTCTCTCTTCATGTCATGATTATCCTAGAAAATGTTCGAACTCTCTCTTCTAGTGGGTTCTCCATGGGAGAAGGGGGAAGGGGTGCAAGGGAGATTGTTGGGGGATTGACCAGAGAGTATGTCTCCAAACTGTATGTTCAGTGGGCAACAAGCTGACCATGGATGCTGCAGCCAGGGAGCGGGGTGTCCTCCACAGCCATGTCTCTGGGGCAAGGCTGGAGCTGAGTCAGCTCTCTGGGTCTCTTGGAATCACCTTGAATGTTCTTCCAATCTCCTCAAAATGGGGTAGTTCTATCTCTTCCTCCTGGGAACATTATTCTTCACCTAGAATCTTCTGGGGCATAAAGGGAGAAGTTGGGATGAGGTAGACCAGATGTCTCTGAAACTATACATCTGAGAATTTTAGTCTCATGCTGCCTTTATTTCTGCTTCAGATGGAGAAAGGATGAGATCCTAGCAGGGGTTCTTAAGGAGTCTGTGGATAGAATTCGGGATGTCTATAAACTTGAATTGTAAAAATACATCTTTATTTTCACTATTCTTTAACTAAAATTTAATATTTAATCATGAAAGTGGGCAACAACCACAGCAGTGTTAGCAATACCTGTGATTTTGATACCAATAGGAATCATAGTAAGTTTATGTCATGTTAAAGTTATTGCAGAAACAAGAAAATAGCATTATATCCACAACAACTTTAAAAATGTGGTGATTAGTGGCCCCCACCACTAGATTTTATTTAAAGCATTAATGAAAGAGTATATATTTTATAATGGCACATTTGAAATATTTTGATAATATTAAAAGCATTTTAATATTACTGTCTTTCTTTGATTTTTGTTATGCATTTTAAAATTTTTTGAGGAGGGATTTTAGCAGATTACCAAAGGGGGTCATGGCACAAAAAGTTTTCAGGACACCCACCATAGGGATGCAAATTTATAGAATACACAAAGGACAGAGATGGAGGGAAAACATACTTTAAAATGTAAACAGATTATCCTGCTAACCACAGTATGACAGAACTAAATATAAGCCCATCTGCAAAAGTTATTTCAATCTAATGTATATTTCTCCTAACTTGATTAGCGTCTGGGTACAAATGGGGCAATGTTAATGGTGAAAGCCACATTTCCCTTGTATCTACCACCTACTCCAGTATCTCCTACTTTTACTCAAATCTCAATTTTTGTGGGAATTTCTGAAAGTGTTTTTGTTTCTTCCTTTCTTGCTCTCTTTGTGGTTTGATGGTTTTCTGTAGTGGTATGCTTTAAATCCTTTCTATTTTTGTTTCGTACTTCTAAAGATTTTTGCAGGCCAGGCACTGTGGCTCCTGCCTGTAATTCCAGCACTTTGGGATAACAAGGCAGGTGGATCACCTGAGGTCAGGAGTTCAAGACCAGCTTGGCCAACATGGCGAAACCCCATCTCTACTAAAAATACAAACATTAGTCAGGCATTATGGTGGTCACCTGTAATCCCAGCTACTCAGGAGGCTAAGACAGGAGGATGGCTTGAACCCAGGAAGTGGAGGTTGCAGTGAGCCAAGATCATGCCTCTGCACTCCAGCCTGGGTGACAGAGCAAGACTCTGTCTAAAAAATAAAAATAAAAATAAAAATACTAAGATTTTTGCTTTGTGATTACCATGAAGCTTACATAGATCACCTTATACTTAGCCTATTTCAAGCTGATGACAGCTTAAGTTTGATTGCATACAACAACTCTATACTTTTACTCCTCCATCTCACATTTTGTTTTTGATGTCAGCTTACTATCAACTTAACAATAACATAGTCACTTAACACATATTTAATATGTTATGTGTATTATATACTGTATTCTTACAAAAAAGTAAGGTAGAGAAAAGAAAATGTCATTAAGAAAATCATAAAGAGGAAAAAATGTATTTACTATTTATTAAGTGGAAGTGGATCACCATAAAGGTCTTCATCCTTTTTGTCTTCCTGTTGAGTAGTATGAAGAGTAGGAGGAAGAGAGAAGGTGGGTCTTGCTGTCTCAGGAGTGGCAGAGGTGGAAGTGAAAAGTGGAGCAGGAGAGGCAGGCAAACTGGGTAACTTTTACTGAAAAAATTCTTGTATAAGTGGACCTGCTCAGTTTAAACCCATGCTATTCAAGGGTGAATTGTATTATTTCTCTTGTGGCCTGCAGAATTTCTGCTGAGAAATCTGCTGATGATCATATTGGCACTACTTTTTATGTGGTGTATTTCTTATCTCTTGATGCTCTTAGAATTTTTCTTTGTCTTTGAATCATGATAGTTTGATTATTATTAATATGTGTTTTGGTGAACTCCTCTTTTGGTTGAATTTGACTGTAGACTTCTAAGCTTCCTGAACCTAAATGTTGGCATCTATCCCTAAATAAGGAAAGTTTTCAACAATTATTTCTTTAAATATGCTTCCTGGCCCTTTTCCTCTTTCTTCTCCTTTTGGAACTACATTATGCAAAGGTTTGGTCTCTTGATGGTGTCCCATAATTCCCACAAGATTTATTTTTTTTTTCATTCTTTCGTCTTACTGCTCCTCTGACTGGATAATGTCAAATGTTTTGTCTTCCAGTTCACTAATTCTTTTTTCTGCTTGATCAAGTCTGCTTGTGAAGCTTTCTATCAAATTTTTCAGTTCAGTCATTATATTCTTTATCTCTAGATTTCTATTTATTTTTTATTGTTTCTATTTCTTTGTTACACTTCTCACTTTGTTTATGTATTGTTTTCCAAATTGTATTTAATTTTCTATCCATACGTTTTTGTAGTTCACTGAACAACTTTAAGAGGATTATTCTGAATTCCTTGTCAGTTAATTCATAGATCTCCATTTCTTTAGGGTCTATTAGTGGAATGTTATTAGTTTATTTTGGAGGTGTCACAATTCCCTGGCTCCTCATGATCTTGTGTACCTGCATTTTTGCATTTAAGAAGACAGTCCCCTGTTCTGGCCTTTGCAGATGTTCCTAAAGAACATCTAGAGATAGACCTTCACTATTCAGTCTGTGGTTTTTGAAGGACCAACTAGTGATGACCCTAAGCAGGTAGAGCTTGTCGTAGGAGTTGGCTGCCTTTGCTCTGATGTGGAATGGAGCTTTTGGATGGGCTCTACTATCTGGCAAAACCACTGGGTGGGCTCTGCTATGAGGTGGAGCTATTGGGTGGGTGATGGCAATGGCTTCTAATCAGGTCACAAGATGTAGTCCCTACTGGGTAATTCAACTATTTGGGATTTCTAGTTGGGCAGGGATGCTGACTGGGCTCTGAGGTTAGGTGGAGTCACTGGTTGAGATGAGCAGGACCAGAGTCTATGCTCCTTAGAAATGCACAATTGAGGATTGCCTCCCTGTCAGGGTGGAACCAAGGAGTGGGCTTTCGGCTGAGTGGAACTGCTGCTTGTCTTCCCATGTCAAGCAAGTCTAACCCCTATGCTTTGTCCAAAATAGGCAAAGGCCAGCATCTCCCTACTTGGTATAGGTTGGTAGTGGGCTCTGAGGTTGGCATGGAGACTAGCTATCTAGGGACTCAAGTTAGGTTGAACTCCCACCATGCTTCTGAAGGCAACCAGCTCAGCTTTGCAGGTGGGCTCTGAAGTTGGCTGATATTTCTAATAGGGTGCTACAGCTGGCAGAACATAGAAGTACCACCAAGATCTGCATGCTGGTCACTACAATCTCTGCCTCCTTTCTTTGTTTCTATGTGACCCAAGGTGGTCTAACCATGCCATTATCCCCAGTTTTCCCTGTGAGGTGAGGCGAGATTGGAGTGGGCTTCCTGGAATGCTAGGAAAGCTGGATAACTGTCTCTGAGTATCTTTTCTCCCAGTAGAAACTGTGGGCCCATGGAAATCCTCTCTGTTTAGCACTGGGCTGAACTGAGGGAGAGGTAGCACAGCTGTAATGAGGCTGTTCTCCTTACCCTTCTAATTTAATTCCATTCAGTTCTGTGGACCACATTGGTGTCTCAGGCTTGTTCCTTGCATTGGGGTTTTCAAAAAGTTGTTCTGGTCTTTGGATAGTTGCTAGTTGAATTTTCTGTGGGGAAAAGTGGAGGCTACAACTTCCTATTCCACCATCTTGCAGACGTCATCCCTGAAGATATCTTAAATGAGCTCATGATCTTCCTCTTTTAGCCACTCTTAAAATATCTATGCCCCAAGGTGCATTCTTTGAGAATCAAAGTTTATTTTCTGTAGTTCCTAAGTTACAAAGCCCCATTTGGCCAGAAAAATGCCACATACCCTAAAACTCTCCACCTTATTTCAGTGAAGTAAGGAACTTACTCCCCTTCTCACTCTTCACCAAAGCCCCAGAAGCTTTGGCTTCTTTGGCTAAAAGAGTCAATGTTGGGTTTGGGGCTTATTGAAAGGGGAAAGTGGAGTCACATGAGGGGAAAGAAGATGGCAGTGGGTTATTTCTCTTTTGAAAAGAAAAGTCACTTTAGCTCCTTCGGATAGTCCCTCTATTCTTTTTCTTCCTTTCTTTTTTTTTTTTTTTTTTTTTTTTTTGAGACGGAGTCTCGCTCTGTTGCCCAGGCTGGAGTGCAGTGGCGTGATCTCAGCTCACTGCAAGCTCCACCTCCTGGGTTCACGCCATTCTCTTGCCTCAGCCTCCAGAGTAGCTGGGACTACAGGCGCCCACCACCACGCCCAGCTAATTTTTTATATTTTTAGTAGAGACGAGATTTCACCATGTTAGCCAGGATGGTCTCGATCTTCTGACCTCGTGATCCACCCGCCTTGGTCTCCCAAAGTGCTGGGATTACAGGCATAAGCCACCGCGCCCGACCTAGCCCCTCTATTCTTAAAGGTTCAAATCTGAGTCCCTGGGATGAGCTCAGGAAATCACAAAGTATACATCATGCTATTCCCTTTACGATCTCCCTCTTTCCAAAACCCACTTCCTCTTTTTGAGCCCTCAATGTCAAATTATCTCATTTAACTTGATTCTTGGTAAGCCTGCCCTCCTGATTTATCCAAACCACTTAGACCTAAACTATGAACCCCAATATGTTGAACACATTTCTCCTTTGCCTCTCCAGACCAAGTTCTACACTTCTCTACTCTGCTCTGTGACAAGAGAGGCTGAAATTTATGGAAGGCATCAACAGGCACCCTTGTCCTCTGCCTCCCAGTTGGGTTCAGCCAATGGGAGGTACTATGGGGAGATACACAGTGAGAGGAAAGAGAAGTCAGGGCCTTTTCTTTTTCTTTCTTTCTTTCTTTTTTTTTTTTTGAGACAGAGTTTCACTCTGGTTGCCCAGGCTGGAGTGCAATGGCTTGATCTTGGCTCACCGCAACCTCCACCTCCCGGGTTCAAGCGATTCTCCTGCCTCAGCCTCCCGAGTAGCTGGGATTATAGGCATATGGCACCACACCTGGCTAATTTTGTATTTTTAGTAGAAATGGAGTTTCTCCATGTTGGTCAGGCTGGTCTTGAACTCCTGACCTCAGGTGATCCGCCCACCTTGGCCTCCCAAAGTGCTAGGATTACAGGCATGAGCCACCATACCCGGCCTAAGTCAGGGTCTTTAATTCCTCTAGCTTGCTCCCTGCCAGGTCACCATGAGCTTAGAAACATCATTGCTGAAGACACAGCATCTGCTAGGTGGCTGTCTCTTAGATCTATGGGTGCTGTCTCTTAGATCTATGGGTACTTTCTCTGGCTTCTGGTAATCCCTCCTTTCTCTTACCCCTTCAGCCTAGAGGACACAAGCTCTCACTGTTGCTGGCCTGGAGTATTGAAACAGCCCTTCTTTCACATACCTCTGCATGCACCTATGTAAACAGTTCCTTTATTGAGCTCTCCTCAGTTCCCCATTTGAGTGTGCTAGGTGTTGCTGAGATCCTGAATGATTTACCTGGCTGTATCACTCAGTCTCAAATTATAAATTCTCCGTTTTGTCCCTGTTGATTAGGAGAGAAGCAAAACCAAAGCATACTGTCCCACCAGTTCTGTGTATTCCTCTGTCCCCCTGTCCAGCTATCTCTGAGCATGTACTGTGGATCCCCATGCAGAGGCTGACTCTTTGCTGTGAAACCCAATGACAAATATGCAGGGCTTTCTTTATCATTGTCTCCCACTCTGTGTTGATTTTTCACCATAGAAAGAACAGAGCAAGGCCTCTAGCAACAACTCAACTGCTGGGATCACAAAGAGGAAAGTAGAAAGAAGCAAAAATATAAACTATACTATTACCAAAAAAGGCAACATTAGGACAGGAGGCAACCTGCTCAGTATTATGGGGACAACTTTACTGGAACCTAAGACTTTGGAGAAGAGATCTTTTCTGCTTGAGCATTAAAATATGTGTACCTGAGTCAATCCCAGCAAATGGTCATGCTGCTCAGATAATCTCTTCTCTGGTAGCCACATTGCTTGAATCATTTATCTTCCAGGAATCTAATTGCAAAAGTGATCATTCTCATTCTCATTTATTATTGATATTCCCACAGTGGGAAAGACATTGTGATTGGTGCTTCCGTAGGAGTAGGGCCATTTAGGAAAAAACGGTAATGTTTAACGCACAGTAGGAAGAAAGAGGTATCCAGAATAAACATTTTCTTAAAGCAGTAATCCAGCTGGTGGTATAATACCTGTTGCAGATATTTCTCTGCCTGTTTACAGTACCACCATCCACACATTGATTAGCATTGTGGGCAATACATAAAGGAATAATAACAATTACTTGAGGCCCACTGCGAATTAAGCATTGTACTTGAATTCATCTAATTCTAACAATAGCACTATGAGGTAGACATTATTACTCCCTATTTTACTGAAAAGGAAACAGAGACTCTAGAAGTTGTCCAAATTCACATAGTAAGGGATAGGGCAAGAGGTCAATCTGAGAGCCTTAAGCAGAAGTGACCGATTGGACCTTCTGGTTATAATTTGTGAAAATAGGACTATGTATACACACCCATATATACATACACAGAGTGGTGTACTCAATATAAAATTAATAAGTCAATACAAGGTCCAAATGGATAGTGAGGAAAATATATGTAAGACTACTGAGAGAGACAGAGTGTGTGTGTGTTCTTGTTTCCGAGGCAGTCACCAGGAATGGGAGATTTAAACTGGGCTTTGAATAGTAAAGAAGTTTGGGATGGGTGGGGCGAATAGTGTGGGTCAAATCACAAGAGCGGAAAAGTACCAGTTTTGAGCAAGTATAGAAATTTGGTTGGGGCAAGGGTTCATACCGGAAGTAATGAGAAATTAAGCCGGAAAAGGAGACCAGCTGTGAGGGAAATGGCTATCAGTCTGCAGTGATTAGACTTTATACTGCTAGAAAGGAGATGTGAAATGATTAAGCAATGTTTCAGAAAGATTGACCAGTCACACGACAGAGTATGTGAAAGGAAACAGATTAGATTTATGGAGCCCAGGAAGAGGGTGACAGCAGTCATCCAGGTGTGGAGTGAAAGAGGATTCCGGTGGTGGCCAGGCCACAAAAAGATGAAATGGATGAAGAGACATTTAGAAGGAAAAATCAAGAAGATATGGCAACTGCTCATAATATTTAAAAAAATAATAGCTAATTCATTCATTCATTTCCACAAATATTACTTAAGTGCCTTCTTTGTGTCAGGCACAGTTATGGGCTCTGGGTGTACTGCAAAGAACCTAACAGGCAAGACCATTTCCCTCATGGAATTTATATTACAATGGAGGAGGCACATGATAAACAAACATGTGAAATATAACTTCAGGTGGATAATTTGTGCAATGAAAATACATGAAACAGGATTAAGGGGCAAGATAGCAAGACACCCTCTGGGTGTCTCTGAGGATGCAATATTTGAGTGGAAATCCAAATGAAGTGGGTGAGTAAACCATGTGAATATCTCTGAGAAAAGTATTCCAGGCAGAGAAGTCAGGAAGTGCAAAGACCCTGAGGCAGCTACATTCAGCCTGTGATCAGAACAGCATACCACTGCAACCAGTGCAGAGTAAGGTGGAAGTGAAAGTGAGGTTGAGGAGGCAACAGGGGTGGAATGCTGATGGGCTTTAATGGCTATGGAGAGGACATTGCATTCTATTCCAAATGAGATAGAAATGGAAGGGTTTTGAAAAGGGGCATGGCATGATCTGATTTACAATTTTAAAGGCTCACTCTGGCCACTTCGTGGACACCTGATGATGGTGGAATGAGCATAGATGCAGAGACCACTTAGAAGTTTATTACAATAATCCAGGTGAAAGTTGCTAGTGGCTCAGATTAGTGAAAGAGAAGGCAGTAAGAAGCATGGGATTTGGGATGTGTTTTGAAGGTAGAATGAGCAGAGCTTTCTGATGGACTGTACACAGCACATGGAATAAAGAACCAGAGAAACCAAGAAGGCAATTCTGTGAGACTTTATGCTCTCAGATTCTTAAAATCTACCTTGGAGTGGAGTTAATCTTGGTTATTTGATTCTTTGCTTTTTCTATATTCCATTCATCCATCAGTAAGTATACTAGACTCTACCTCAAAACACATCCTGGATCTGTTCAGTTGTCATCACCTTCCTCACAAGCACACTGCTCCATACACCATTGCAATGCCCCTTAGCTAGCCTCCCTGCTTCTCCTCTTGCCCCTCCCCTGATAAACAATTCCCCACATCTGCCCAATTTGATTGGCCTCTGCTAAAACCCTGTTAGTGAATTATTGGAATAAGTATTTAGAATAAAACCCAAAAATTTCAGCCTCAGATTACAAAATCTTACATAATTTGTGCCTGATGGCTTTGCTGACTTCATCTCATTCCTCTCCTCCCCTTGCCCTTTCACTGTGGTCACTTTCAGTTTCTTAAGCATACCAAGCCTTTGCTCTCCACAGTCCTCATATCTTCAAAGCCCAATTCTTCATATTACTCAGCTCTCATCTTTAATATTACATCCTTGGACAACCTTCTGAAACACCCAAGTCTTGTTTGACTTGGGAAAAGTCTCATTCCCTTCTTCTTGAATTTGAGCTGGCCTTAGTGCCTTGCTTGACCAATAGGATGCAGTGGAAGTGACATTCTGAGATTTCTGAAGCTAGGTTCCTTGCAACTTCTGCTTGAGCTTCTTGGAACACTCCTACTGGGAGTCCTGAGCTGCCATCTAAGAAGTCTGACTACCCTGACAGTGCTGTGCTGGAGAGACTGTGGGTGGGCACTCCAGTCAACAACCCCAGCCATCCACCCAGGCACCAGACACCCAGACAAGGCCAGCCATCAGCCAAATACCACCCAGATTAACACCACGTGGAATGGAAGAATTGCCTGGCTGAGCCCTCCCCAAATTCCTCATGCACAGAATTGTGAGAGAATAAAATGATTGTTGTTTTAATCCATTAAGTTTTGGGAGTTTGTTATATAGCAATAGATAAATAGAACACTGTCTATCACAATATTTTCCTTATTTGCCTAAGATTGATCATTATTTGATATTTTTCTTGTTCATCCAGTTACTTTATGAGTCAGCTATCTATATAACCTGATCTATCTATCTATCTATTATCTATCTATCTATCATCTATTTACCTCCACTAGAGCTATCTACCATCTATTTACCTCCATCTATTTACCTACACTATCATCTATCTATCTATCTATCTATCTATCTATCTATCTATCATCTATCTATCTATCTATCTATCTATCATCTATTTACCTCCACTAGAATATCGGCTTCATGAGAGCAGAAGCCTTTCCTGTGTTTTTACTGTTCTACCTTTAACACCTAAATCAGCGCTTGTACACAGTTAGGAGCTCCATAAGCCCTGTCAAACAAAAGATTTTCTGCCTTTCTGAATATCCTAAGGGCAATGAGTACAACACACACACACAGAAATGCAGAGAAGAAAACCTGGGTAATCTCAAAATATAATCCTCCAGGTTCGCAGATTAAACAATATAAGGATAGTACTATATTATTAAATCAATCAATAATTTATTAACTAGCAAATTAAACAGAAAAAATCCGACATGATTAGACACCAAAAAGACAATTAATTAATTTCAGAAGCCATTCTTGGTTTTTAAAAAAACAGTAAAAGAAGAAGAAAACTATAGTACTTAAAATTGATGAAGATTATTTACCAAAAAGATGCAGTAAACATCATATTGAGGCAGTGCACTGCTTAGTGTACAGATAATGTAGAGAAAATGTCTGCTGTCCGCTATTAGTGGGTCTAGCATTTCTCATCCAAAGTGTCAACAATCTGATCCTGCATTATAAAGTTGTGTTTTTCCAGTTGTGACCAGTATGTAATTTGTTACATGATATTCTGGCAACATGTAAATATCCAATTCTCCATTCATCTTTCCCCTATTTGCTTTAGCATCCTCAGATGATCTTAGCCTGAGTCTTCTTTTTAAATGGGTTGCAAAATGGCAATTTTCTAATTTTATCATTTTCCCACATTTATTGGCTGCCATTCTTCTCTATGAAGAACTATCCCTTATCAACTGGGGCTACTCGGTTATCCTAATGTAGACTTTTTCTGGAAAAGCAGGATAAATACTAATTCTTTCTGCTTAATAACCAATTTTGAAATGAAATAGGTTTAATAACCACCTCCAGTGGTGACCCATGAAGCTTCTTTTTTCTTTCTTGCATTTGTTGTTTTTTTTTTTTTTCAATGTGGCTTTCTCTGTTTGGCTCCATCTATCTACCTACCTATCATTACCTATATAGGAAAAGCAGGTCTCTGAGCTGATCTGACACTGCCAGGTAAGTCTCAATGTTCTTACTGACTGATCTAACACAGGTAAGTCATGTTGCTATCCTGTTGGACATGAACAATCTCACAGAACATCCACTGCAGACAGTCATGGTGCAGCCCACAAAATACCAACCTTCGCCTCTCTTGGCTAATATGAGTGACTGCTCCTTACCAATTATGGCTTTATCCTCAATCTAATCTGCCCTGCCTGTAGATAAGATTTATTGAGATATTCAATCATAGAATTGCTTCTGCTTTCTGACAACACCCAATTTAGAACAAACCTTACTTGGCCACCCCCCCACCCCCCGCAAAACTATCCAGCCAAAGCCCAAATGCCCAGGTTCTTTCTAACACCTTCTTACTGAGATGTTTCCTTCTCCCCTCCTCCAATCTCCGCGCCATCAGCCCCTGTTCCCTGTGATATGCATTCTCCTTTGCTGCAATAAGTGAGAGAAAGTCATCTAACTTGTTCAAGTACAGCTGTTTCTGGTGGTCTTTTGCTGAAAAGAATTAAGAATTTTATATTATGATATATGGTATACTTACCTTCACATATATGATACAAATGAAGATCTGTGTGTGTGTATGCTCAAATCCATTATAATAATAACTATTATTATTGGTGCTTAAATTCTCCCAAGTTTATCTGTGGGAGACCCCCTTCGAACTTGCTTATGTGACTCCGTGGCCCAGCACCATTAGTCTCTGAAAGCATCCTTGGGTTTTGGCATGCAAAGATGTCCCAGGCTCATCTTAGGCATTCCTTCCCCCAGACCTGGACAAAATTTAAAAGAGCCAATGATTTCAGACGTGGAAAGTCAAAATACTTCATAGCTTGTTGGCTGAGTTGAATTTTTGTAGTTCAATGTTTTGGGAAAATAATTTAAAGGTATTTTTAAATATTTAAAAGTATTCATACTTATTGACTCAGCAATTCCATTTTGGGGGACATCTAACAGGAAGAAATACAAATGGGAAAATGGAAAATACAGTAATGTGTCCATAAGGATGCTAACTGCAACACTGATTATGTTGACGAAAGAGTAGAAACTAAATATCCACCAAAGGCAAATGAGGGACTAAGTTATAGAATATCCAGGGTGTCGAATATTATGCGCTCTTTTATAAGAATGAATTAGAACTATAGCTGGAAAATAGCTGTGAAATACTGATAAACATGATATATAGCATGGTCTAATTTGGAGGATAAATCCTATACTTATATTTTATTTAATCATGAAGGAAGAATTTTAACACCCTGTTAACTAAAAGGAGTAGAAATGAATGCAAGCCATATTTGATTTTAGTGTAAAGTGTATTTTTTTAAATTAAATCATAAGGAAGGGCTGGGCACAGTGGCTCACCCCTGTAATCCAGCACTTTGGGAGGCCGAGGAGAGTGGATCACGAGGTCAGGAGATCAAGACCATCCTGGCTAACATGGTGAAAACCCGTCTCTACTAAAAATACAAAAAATTAGCCAGGTGTGGTGGCATGTGCCTGTAGTCCCAGCTACTCGGGAGGCTGAGGCAGGAGAATTGCTTGAACCTGGGAGGCGGAGGTTGCAGTGAGCCGAGACCGCGCCACTGCACTCCAGCCTGGGCAACACAGCGAGACTCTGTCTCAAAGGAAAAAAAAAAAGGAAAAATAAGTAAGCAACAACCCAACTAAAAAATGGAATTTGATTTAAACAGTTTTTAATTCATAGGCAATCCATAAGACAAAAGATAGACATTTTAGGGAGAGAGTTAGCCAGTGCTTGTACATGACAGTTTCTTCACAAGTGCCTAGATTTCTCCCAGGAGAATGCCATCCAAGCCCCCCTTGTAAAGTACCCTGTCTGCCATATTGAGTCCCAGGTCCTATATATTAAGAACAGAAGTGGCGATTTGGATGCAGCTCCTTATACTTCTTTGTCCACTGTTACAAAGAGAAAAACACTCAACTACTTAATTGATGGGGAGAGAAAGTTCACCTTGAAGCATCATAGACTGCCCTGTAACTAAAGTGTGCACTTGGCATATACATACATATGGAAATTTTATGAGACTGGGGACAAAACAACTCTGGGAAAAGTACCTGAAGTCATTATATTTTGGTGATTTAAAAATAAATTAACAGAGCTTTTCAAAGATAGGGGCACTAAAGCCAAATGGAAAATAAAGCTGAAATGAGAAAAAGGTTCATCCCTACCACCGCAGAAGGACTTTCTGCCGAAGTAATTTCCGTTTTCCGGGTGAGTGGGTTTGCATTCTAGCTACACTAATGCAATAGTTCTATGTATGAGTAATTTTAGAGCTCCACTCAGCAATTCCAACTCCACTGATAAAGCCTTCTTGTGGCCAAAATAGTATGTTTACCCTTATCAAAAATGCATTTCCATATGAGAGTAAATTGTGACAAACATAATAAAACATTGCGACTAACAATGCCATAAACAAACCCTGATTCTGCTCATGACGATGAGAGCTTTCAGTAATCACACAGTACATGGTTTAAGTATAATTTTCTGATGGCACAATAGCCCCAAGCAATTTTTTTGTTTGTTGTTTTTAAGGCATGAGATATTATTTAGAAAGTACCCATTGTCTGCAAGTCTAATGTTATAGGAACAGGAAGCCTAACAATTCTTCTCTTTCTTTGAACACATTTCTCATTTATCTTACTGGGGTTTCAAAAGAGCCCAGAAGAGGCGACCCTCCCCTGTGTAATCACATGACTCGGTTTTAAGGTCTGCTGCTTTGGGCACCAATTTGTCACTAGCTCCTGCTTAAATGCCCTGAATAATTTAGATACCTGCGGGTGATGGGAGAGACGGTGAATACTGAATCTTCTTCCCAAGCAAAAATACCCAAGTTTTAAGTTTTAGCTGAGAGCAGAAGTATAATTTCTTCTTTTAGTGACTATGGGGTTGGTTGTGCTATTTGCCTTCCCTTATGTTAACCTAAATTTTGACTCTTTGAGAGCATCCTCAAGTCAAATGAGTTTTATCTTCTAGCAAAAAAGAAAAAAAAAAAAAGAGGTTATTTCTCTTTCTTTAATATTTAGGGAGGGCAGACTGCTCTCCCTTCTCTTGTTACCCATTTTTTCTCTAGGAAGGGTTGATGATATCAGTGGTCTATGTACTCCAGTTCCCTTCTCTGCTTAATGTAAACCTCCCTCTCCTGCTTCCATTCATTGGATGGAAACCTCTATGTCTTGGCATATACCCGGTCATCACTTCACACTACACTTTCTATTGAACCTACCAAATGAGACTTACCATTCTAGGTTAAAAAAAAAAACTTCTTTTCCATTTAAAATGATTTTTAATACAACCACACTTCACATGAAAAACCTCACAGACTAGCACAATGTCAAGCATTTAGTAGATAATTAATATTTGTTAAATGAAATATTCTTAATCATGAATTTGTCTCATACGTTCAAAGCTTGGGGTGATGTTGCCAGCTGTGAATAAAGATGTGATAGTGTGATACAGATTTACAGGGAGTCGAAGGAACATGTCAATGCTACCATCAGTGGGCAACTTATCAGCACCTGAATCACTTTCCTATGGGATAGAGATCTATTCTATGCAGAAATTGGTCCTTACAGTTTCCAACTAAAGGCAATAGAAAGAAATGTGCATTTAATATCTCCCGCAGGGCACGGTGGCTCACGCCCGTAATCCCAGCACTTTGGGAGGCCGAGACGGGTGGATCAAGAGGTCAGGAGATCGAGACCATCCTGACTAACATGGTGAAAACCCGTCTCTACTAAAAATACAAAAAATTAGCCGGGCGTGGTAGCGGGCGCCTGTAGTCCCAGCTACTCGGGAGGCTGAAGCAGGAGAATGGCGTGAACCCAGGACGCGGAGCTTGCAATGAGCCGAGATCGCGCCACTGCACTCCAGCCTGGGCGACAGAGCGAAACTCCATCTCAAAAAAAAAAAAAAAAAAAAAAAAAAAAAAAAAAAAAAAAAAAAAGATAATATCTCCCAATAGATTTTAGGATCGATTCTATCACAAGAACTTATCTGAGTATCCAGAAAATAATCAGGCAATAACTGTTCACCTCTAGGAGTGGCTAAAAATATATTCTGTTCATATAGAAAAGATCAGTAATTTCATTTGTTTCATTGTGAGAATAGTTCTACAGATCATGACTGGCTGATAAAGTATTTTTACTGATTAAATCTTGTAATTAGTTACATATGTGCTTGCAAATAGTAACAGGAACAGCAAATAACATTATTTGCATTTACACATATGCTTGCAAATAATCACAGGATCAGCAAGTAACATTATTTGTACTTACCTATATGCTTGCAGATAATCACAGGATCAGCAAGTAACATTATTTGTAAAGGTCCAAGCATGTTACATAATTCAGTGTGAATATCATATTTGACACAATATGAACAAGATAAGTTAGAACAAAATCCAGATGTTTTCTTTTAACTAAAAAAGAAAACTGCTGCAGTATTCAAGTTCAAATTTTCTTTTCTTTTCTTTTCTTTTTTTTTTCTGAGATGGAGTCTCGCTCTGTAGCCCAGGCTGGAGTGCAGTGACGCGATCTCGGCTCACTGCAACCTCCGCCTCCCGGGTTCACGCCATTCTCCTGCCTCACCCTTCCGATTAGCTGGGACTACAGGCGCCCGCCACCGCGCCCGGGTAATTTTTTTTTTTTTTTGTATTTTTAGTAGAGAGGGGGTTTCACCGTGTTAGCCAGGATGGTCTCGATCTCCTGACCTCATGATCCGCCCGCCTGGGCCTCCCAAAGTGCCGGGATTACAGGCGTGAGCCACCGCGCCGGGCCTCAAGTTCAAATTTTCAAAATGCTCCAGGAGTTGCACAAACTCTCGGAGTCTTGATTCCTAAATCATAAAAAGAAACTCATGAACTTCCACTGAGCATAGGTTGAACTTTCCTCGTAATATCCTTCCCAATTTAGTCAGACCTTCCTGCACTTCCCAGATGTGCCAAATAGTAGGATTATATGGATTGCCCTTCCCATCTATCTGTCCTTAAAACATGGAGATTTCTGCTTCCTTTATTTTTTAGTTTTTATTTGAGATAATTTGTCACTGAAAATTGCAAAAATATTGCGAAGAATGCTGCAATCCTTTGTAATAGTTTAACAATTTTCAATGATTCTTGAAATTGATTCATCAACACAGATTCTCTGAGTGTTGACAATTTTCAAATTTGCTTTTGTTTCCCCCTCTCTCTCTCTATACATATAATTGTATTTATATGCACATATATGTATATTATATATACATACATTTTTAATAAACATTTGAAACTAAGTTACAGACATGCTTTCCCTTTACTTGTAAATACTTCAAAGTATATTTTTCTAAAGACAAGAACATTCTTTTATACAATCACAGTATAAATTATCAGCATCAGGAAATTATCATTGATTCTACATTATTCTTTCACATACAATACTTACTTAAATTTAGCCATTTTTTCCCCACTAATGTCGCTTATAGAAAAAGGGGGAAAAATCCAGTTCAAGATCAGACATTGCTTTGATGTCATGTCTCTTTAGACTGCTTTAATCCTTCATGAACTGAATGTTTTTGATGTGCACCGGTCAGTTCTTTTGTGGAATGTCTCTTAATTTGAGTGTGTCTGGTGTTTCCTTGTGGTTAGATTTAGACTGTGCATTTTTGGTAGGAAAGCCACGGTAACAATATTGTGTTCTCAGTGCATCCAAGCAGGAGGTACATGAAGTGTCTTTGCCCCATTACTGATGTTAACTTTAATCACCTCTTGCTGGGTGAGGTGTCAGAGCCCTGGCATCAGAAAGTGGTCCACTTGCAGGTTGGTAAGAAGAATTTACAGACAACAGTATAGGTTTGAAAAAGAAAAGTTTTATTAGAAAGGAAAGGAAGAACGCTGCAGAAGAGTGCAGTGAGGCCCTTCAGCGAGACAAGGACTGAGCGTGCCTGTCTCAGGGGTATTTTCCTTAGGGGTATTTATGAACCCTAAACGGGGGCTTAAGGGTAATTTGGACCATGTTAGCCACACAGGTCATAATAATGATGATCATAATAAATCATAATAAATGATGACATTTGTAGACATTGGTGCCTAAGTCAGCAAGGAATGCACGAGGAGTTTCTATATGCTTGCATTCCAGAGATGTATAGAAATTCTAGTTACTTATAAATTTTTGGGAAAGAAACCTGGAACCAGATGCTTGCTTTAGATAATAGGGAAGTCCAGTTACTTCTGATAAAGATTTTTGCCTCTGGATGTTCTGCTGGATGGCCACCAGGTGATCTTTGCTCTCCTCATTTTCCCCCTGACAAATATCTTGGTTGAATCTTTTCCGCTTTATATTCCTCCATCCTCATGTCTACCTGCTGCCTATTGCGGTCTCAAGAAAGGGAAAATGGCACAGTGAAGAGGAGCATTGGGTCTGTCTGGCTACTTCCTGCTGAAAGGGGCCATAGAGGGGATGAGTTGCATTTTTCCCTTTCTTGCTCTCTGTCATGAAGGGAATGAAAGATCATGAAAAACTTGAAACTTGTTCATGGGGAAAGACCGGATTCCAGCAAGAGGCCCCATGTAAATGGAAGTTGCTGTTGCAGGCCGATATTGGGATTGCCTAGTCATCTACAGGTGGAATCCTTGTAATCTGGAAGATATAAACTTAATGAGAGTTTTAAAGAGGCAGGATCAAATATTAAAAGAAGAATAACGAGGAATAAAGGTCCAAGGAATGGGAGAAGCCAAGTGATTTCTGGAAACCAGTCAGTAAAGGTTTTGGCACGTTTTGGTTACTTTGGGAAAGTGTGTGTAGCCATTTGGCTTATTTGAACATTAATGTTCAAATTAGTGATACAGGAGCTAGAAAGAAATTATTTAGGCAGATAGTGAGAGCAACAGAGTCCTCAGCAGAATTTCTCTTTTAACAAAAGGCAGCCCCAAAAATAATTTCTGTTCTAACAAAGAGCAGCCTGAAAAATCGAGCTGCAGGCATAGATAAGCAAGCTGGAAGCTTGCACGGGTGAATGCTGGCAGCTGTGCCAATAGAAAAGGCTACCTGAGAGCCAGGCGTGTTCAACACGGGGGCTCCATTTTCCCTTTTCTTTGTCACCACATGTACAGTAAAGCAGCAGGCAACATGGCACCGGCCAGGTAGAGAATTCATCTGCATAATAAAAAATTGGGGTGGGGGTGGCCAGATTCTTGAATGCTATGCAAATGGCATGCCCGGTCCAACCAATCTTTTGCCCTACGTAAATCAGACACCACCTCCTCAAGCTCATCTGTAAAACTTTCTGCATTTCACCATGGAAGTGGCAACCCACTTCTCCAGGACCCTTCTCTCTGCAGGAGATAACTTTTCTCTTTCTTTCACTTATTAAACCTCCACTCTTAACTTTACTCTTCGTGTGTCCACATCCTTGATTTCCTTGGCATGAGTCAACAAACCTTGGGTATTACCCCAGACAAATGATGCCACTTTAGTTTCCACTTTTCCAGACACATTAATGTAGGTGCAACAGGTTTTGCTGACGACAGCACAGACTCCTCCTTGTTCAGCTAGGAGGTATTCCGGGGCTCATCTATTATCAAAAGCCATTCCCGCTAGTGAGTCCAAAGACTTTTCCAGCACCGATAGACTTGCACCAGTTTTTGCTAAGGCTGTTTCAAGGGAGGAGGTAAGTTCCCATAATATGATTTCATGGTAGCTAAAACCTCCCCAAGGGCTGAGGGTTGCGATACCTCCTTTAGGTATTGTCTGCCAGGTTTTTCTACAGGAAAGTTGTGGCTTTCTCCCTTAGAATTAATAAGTGATTTGCGGGAAGTTATTTTGAGACTACATACATATCCAGTATGTCATCAAATTACCACTCATTGATGATTTTTTTCTTCTTCTTTTAAGTTTTTCCTGGCATCTCACAATGTTTTTTCAAAGTAAACTGACAATAACCTTCTTTTCTTTATATAACCCATTTTGCAATGGTTTGGGAAGTTCTATTGAAATTGAATTTTTAAATTTTTATTCATCAAGTGTCTACTTGTGAGAATTTGTTAGAAAAATTTTAAACTCTCTATTCCTCTCTTTATGTGTAGAATTATAGCAGACAATTTTAATGCAGTTAAGCTAGTCCTGTAATTCAGCAAAACTGTTTGAAGACTCGTTGATTAAAATGCACTGCCAGTAAATACATAAGAAGGCATCAATTTGATAAATCTCAAAATGGGCTTCCAGGGAAGAGGTGAAAGTGAGAAAACTTGGCATATTTAAATTGAGGTGCACTTTTAAGTGAAGATACATGTTCCTCCAGCAAAACAGCTAGCCAAAGCTCTCAATTTGAAATTAAATGTTGATGACTAATTGCTTTCCACATTCTATTTCCTCAAAGTTGCTAGAGTGAATGTTTCTTTGTTTCACAAATACTTATTTGAATAATAGAGCTTTGTGTTTTATTCTGCATAATCTCTTCATCTCTCAGGATGTTCTTTCCCTGCCTTTAACTCTGGGAATGTAAAATTCATTCATGGGTGGCAAATAGAGAAGAGTTGTAGAAGAAATGATGGAACTCCTACTGGGCTGAAGTATGAAATTATTCACCCAAACCAGAAATACATTATTAATTCAGCTCTGTCGAGATTACCTAAAAACTACTTGTGGCTGTATGTTCGCTAAGGATCCCAGTAGGGTGTCGTTTTAAGAGGCTTTTGCACTCAACAGAATATATCATCTCAATGACTTCAGTGGAAGCTCTTTAATAAGGTGGTCCATTCTTGTAAAGCTCAACTAGATCAGCAAAAAGCACCATATACCTGTAGCACGCTAGCTCCCAACCTTGACTCTACATTGTAACCACCTGGCTCCCATTCTGAGACTCTACTGGTATTGGTCTGAGTCTAATGACCTGGCATTTAAGGCTTTTAAAAGCTCCCCAGGTCATTCTAATGGGCAGCCAAGGATGGGAACCACTTCTGTAGAAGGTTTTTATTTCCCCCTTAAGGCCTAAGAAATAAAATTCTAGTCTCCCTATTTATGCAGATTTCTGTGAATTACTATAATTTCCAGATCCCCCACTAGTGTATTTCTATACAGAGGGTGAATAAAAAAACAATTTTTCTAAGCTGTTTTGTACACTAGGGGTTGCTAAAAACTTCACAGACTAATGGACTAAAAAATATCTTATTTGGCTTAAGTTTCACCTAAGAGAGTAATGAATTAGAAATATCTTATTCTCCTCATTCAGTTCCACCGTACCTGTCACATCATCACTTCCTCTTCACATTTGTTTCCATCACTATGATGCTTTCAGATATTGGCAGCTAAATGAGCTGGTTCTGGGGTTGTTATAATTATTTTAGTAGCGTTTATCGAGTGCCTCCTAGCTACCAAATGCTTCATGCATAACTTCTAAAATTTTATTTTAAGCAGAAAATCGTCAGCTTGAAATAACTAAGAGAAAGCCAGGATTAGAACCTGGGTCTGAGAGGTTCCAACGTCATTACTGTGTCTACTGATGAAGACCCTGTAAAAGACATTTTCCCTCTGTTAATTAGTCCAACACACAGCCCATTCCTTCTCTTGGCAATTGTTATTGGCTTAGAGGCGACCATGGATCTCCTGGGAAAAAACTCAGCTATATTCCATGATTGAAAGATACGTTAATGCTGCCTTTCTCCTGCAAAATATGAGTAAGGAGGCACAGAGCCTTGATTTCTGCTGGCTGCCATTTTATGACATGTGGGAAAAAACAAACAAACAAAAAAACCCGAATTTAAAGGCAATGCTGAGAACAATGGAAAGTTCCAAAAAGTCAGCAGTGGGGCCAACATTATCCATAGGCAGCTGCCTACATAAGTGATTTCATGGGCACTGGAAGGATTTCCCAAAACAACTCCTTTCTGCTCTTAGGTGCCTGGAATGCCCTTAAAGGAGAGACTCTGATTAGGTATTTAAAATGAAGACTTAATATGCAGACAACTTGGAACAAGGTAACTCACTGACTCATATCCAGTGGTTGACACAAGAATATTTTCTGGGAGCAGATTTGGAGGTGAACACACAGAGATGCAGATGGCAGGAAGGAGGCAGAGAAAGAGACGCTGAAAAGGAAGGTGGTGGTTGGCAGGAGGCTGGATGGTTCTAGGACTAGCGCCAGGAGAGGTCATGGAATTTGTTTCCCCAGCAATATATTCTGGCTGAAATGGCTTCCATATCCTCCTGTTTGAACAAATGCAGGTGGCCTAAAGGATTTCTCAGGGATGCTTTTTTTCTTTTTTGGTGTACATTTCTATGAATTTTAACACATGTATAGATTCATGTGAACACTGCCATAATCAGGATAAAGAACAGCTCTACCACCTCAGTAAAGCACCTCATGCTGTATTTTGTGGTCATCACCTTCCCCACCTATAATCCCTGGCAACCTCTGACCTGTCTTCCAGTGCTTTTTTTGAGACCATCAAATAAATAGAATAATACAATCTGTAAATTTTTGAGACTAGCTTCCTTTTACTAAGCATAGTGTTATCCAGGCTGTCATGTGTATCAATAGCTTGTTCCTTTTTACTGCTGAGTACAATTTCATTGTATGTATCTACCACGGCCTATTTATTCATCCATTAGTTGAAGAACATTTGGATGGTGGAAGAGAATATCTTTGTCTTATTCTGAATTAAGGGGCATTCAGTCTTTCAGCATGGAGTAGGATGTTAGCTGTAGGGTTTTTGTAGACACCCTTTACAGAGTTGGGGAAGTTCTCTTTTATTCTTAGTTTGCTGAAAGTTTTTACCATGAATACATGTTCTAGTTTGCCAAATGCTTTTTCTGCTTCAATTAATATGATCATGTGTTTCTTTCTTCTTCATACTGATAGTTTGACAGTTCCATTGATTCATTTTTGATGAACAAACCTTACATTCTTGGGATAAATTGCCCTTGCCATGGTGTATTGTTCCTTTTAATGTATTGTTGGATTTGAATTTGTTGATGAATGTTGCTGAAATATTTTGTTGATTGTGTTTGTGTCTATGTTCATGAAGGATACTGGTCTGAAATTTTATTGTACTGTCTTTGCCCAGTTTTGGTACCAAGGTAATGCTGGCTTCATAAAATGAGTTGTGAAATGTTCCCTCTTCTTTTGTTTTCTGGAAGAGAATGTGTAGAATTAATGTTATTTCTTCTTTAAATGTTTGATAGAATTTGCCCACCAAACCATTTGGGCCTGGAGATTACTTTTTCAGGAGGTCTTTATCTAAAAATTTATTTGTAGATAAATTATTTATTTTATTTATTTTTTGATAAAAGTACAGATATAGTACTATTCAGGTTATCTATTTCATCAAAGATGAGTTTTGATAGTTTGAGGAATTACCTCATTAAATCTAAGTTGCCATATTTATATGTGTAGAGTTGCCTGTCGTATTGCTTGCTATCCTTTTAATGTCTGTGGGGCTTGTAATGATTTCCTCTCTTTCATTTATGATCATGGTAATTTGTTTCTTTTTTGTCTCTTTTCTCTTTCTCTCCTTTTTCTATCAGTCTTGCTAAAAACTTACCATTTTTGTTGCTCTTTCCAAAAAAACCAAGCTTTTGTCTCACTAGTTTTGCTTTTCTGTTTTCAACTTCATTTACTTCTGCCATTTATTTTTTTTCTTCTGTTTGCTTAGTTTTATTTTGCTCTTATTTTCTACTTTCTTAAGGAGAAATTTCCATTGTTGATTTGAGACTTTTTTCTTTTCTAATATAAGCATTTAATGGCTTACATTTTCTGCAAAGCACTTATTTCCCGGAGCCCTCAAATTACTCCTCACTGCCTTCTTTCCAAGATTTGTAACTGCATTCAGCAGGAGACACAAGGTGTGGTATGCTTCCTCTGTCTGACCCAGAACTGGCTAGTCTTTGAAAATAAAATTTTTCTAGGAATTTTCTGCCAAAGAAAATTCCTCTATTTCCAAGCACACACACCAGCAAGATAAAAGTATGGCATTTTTCTGGTGGTTTGCCAGAAGTGCATGCTTAAAGCTAATGGCTACCAAGATAAACTTTTTTTCATGATTGGTGCTTAGCTTTTGAACAATTTATTATTATTATTATTAATTATTCCTCCAAACTTCTGTTATAGAGGATATATTGTTAACCTCTCTTTAGAGAAGAAAGCCAATGCCCTCACAAGAGACATCTTTTGGATGGAGTGTCTAAAGGCTCAGTCAAGCCCCCAATTCAAATGGCACAGGAGAAAAAAAATTGATCCCCCGTAGACATTCCTATGGCCTACCTAGTTTGTTCTCTAATCCATTTGGCTTGACCTAGAAGTAGCAAGTCAGTTCCAATGAATTGAGATAGGGAATCTCACTGCACTATTTGTTTTCCAGTGTTTGTAAAGGAAAAAAGTCAGGGAATGAGCCAGGATTATGCTTCGGAATCCCGAGGCCTCTGGCTCTTGCTCTTTATTCTCCTTCGTCAATGATACAAGGATACCTTGTAATCGCTCTGTCTCCACCTCAGCCACATATGTTTTAATATTTAGTATTTGCATTGGCTAGGAAAGCATCATTTCCACTGCTAATCTATCTGTGTAGTCATGGCCAAGATTTTCTTTGTTAATTCATATAGAAATCAATATAGGCTGGTGCAGTGGCTCATGCTTGTAATACCAGAACTTTGGGAGGTAGAGGCAGGTGGATGACTTGAGCTCAGGAGTTTGAGACCAGCCTGGGCAACATGGTAAAACCCTGTCTCTACTAAAAATATAAAAATTAGCTGGGCATGGTGGCTCATGCCTGTGGTCCCAGTTACTGGGGAGGCTGAGGTGGGAGGATCTCTTGAGCCAAGGAGATAGAAGCTGCAATAAGCTGTGATCACGCCACTGCACTCCAGCCTGGGCAACAGAATGAGACCCTGTCTCAAAAAAAAAATATTATAAACAGTGCACAATCACTCAGATGAATGTGTGAGGCCCCGCCTTATATACATCAGCCCCTGAAATCCCACATTTTGTCACAATGGTATAGGCTGAGTCTTTCCATTAGTGAAGACAGACTACAAGAACCCCCTTCAAAAGCAGAAATCAAGATATTTTCCCATCATTATTGCAACTCCATAATTTGATCTTTGGTTGTAATAATAAGAGTTGAGCTTTGAGGCTGCTGTCTGAACATTTGGATAAGCAAATTAAAATAAACCTAGCAACTGGACAGCTATTTTCTGCCACTGAGCAGCTTATAGAGGATCACCATATGTGTTTTATACCTAGAATATCAATTTTTAAAAAATTTAACCCAGAAAAAAATTTGAACCCAGAAAAAATGAATTAAGCCCTAAAATGATTCTCAACCTCATCCAAATTTTCTTGGATGATTTATGAGAATCCCGTGAAATCCTAGAGCATCTTCACTACAACCGCCAATCATATTTGGGCAACAGATGTGCAGAAGTGACAGTTAGTAGAGAATTCTGGTTAACAGAATGTCAGCTATTCAAGAGTTCACTTAGGCACCAGGAAGAATTTATTTAAATATTGACGTGGATGACAACCCCTTCATCTGAAATACACATGAACTCACTGACCTGCCTGAAACTCCTCTCCTGTGCCTGTAATCATCTCCCGGCAGCATCTTGGCCACAGATTGTCACCATCTGGATCATAATACAGGAAAAACATGATGCTTAGTAAAACAGAGATGAAGGTGATATCAGGAGCTGTCAGCATCATAATATCTACGTACTGGGAAGAGACGTGAACTTGCCTTTTGCAAAGAAGTTCTGATTTCCTCAGCAATGTGTCCAGGCTTCCTGTACCAATTGCTCAGACAGCATCATGTTTTCTTGTTTTCTTGTGACTTGCTGAGAGCCTGAGGTATCTTGAATTTTATTTATCTCCTAAATCATAGAAGGAAGTAGAGAAGTCTGTAATTACTAGTACCTCATATTCACCGGAATCCTCGTGAGGGGACCCCCACCATGCCTATTCATCGGCCACAGCATTCCCTGCTTAGATGTTTTCCAGCCTTTTCTTTTCCTGTGACAATAGGTTTTTCTGTTACAGCATGATACACTAGATCTGACTGGGCTCCTACTAGTCCCATGGGCAAGCCAAAGGTTCTTCTCTTCCCGTTGGAGGTTCTAATTCTACTGACTCTCTCCTCTCTGGCTCCCTTCACCTTGGGAAAAAAACACACCTGAACCAAGACAGCTTCCACGTCATTAAGTTACATGTGATTGGTAACCAAAAATTTACCAATCACAGATAGGCTAATTAGTTTATGGAAACACAAGTTGAGTCAAGACAGGCCGTATGTAATTTTCTATGTAGATGTGTGTAGTTATTCCTTGTATCTTTTCCTAAGCACCCTCTTCCTGCTTGGGATGTAAGATCCAGCCTGTGTGGCTGTTACAGGTCTTTCAGCCAAAATTCCTTGGCACAGGTTTTGATGGTCAGTTTTATTGATTCAGAAACTTAATTTTTTTTTTTACTTCAGTGTATATTCATGTCTGGAAGAGGGACTCACTTAAGCTAAACTAACAATAGATTTATAAACTAGATTATCTATGTATTATTAATTTATAGGCAGATTCAGATGTAGCTAAAAAGCCACATCTGATAACCAGTAAGTGGCAATCCCTTAACTAAGGTTTAGACTTATTGGAGAAAAGCTGAGATGGAGCAGAAGGTTATTTGATGATGTGCTATCTGAATAATCAAAATGAGATGACCCTAAGGCAGTGGTTTCAACCAGGGGTGGTTTTGGCTCCAAGGAGGCATTTGGCAATGTCTGGAGACATTTTTGATTGTCACAGTTGGAAAGGAGGGTGCTATTGGCATCTGCTGGGTAGAGGCCAGGGACACTGCTCAACATCCTCTGATGCACAGCACAGGCCCCTGCAAAAAAGAATTATTCATTCCAACTATGAATAGCGCTGAGGTTGAGAAATGCTGCCTTAAAAGAGAGCTCTACCTGGGTCTTACACTTCTTTTGTCATTTTCTCCTTCTCTGCATGGAGGCGAAACACAGCAAAGCATAACAAACAAAACTCCTCAATAAATCAAATCAAATCATTAACTTCCCTATGGAGCCAACAAAATGCTAGCTATTAAATGTCCCAGTTGTTCCACAGAATTAGCTGTGAATGCTTTCTGGCACATTTATTCCTCCTCTGAGTGAGAGGTGACAGCATCATTTAAGAATATGTATTTCTTTTCAGGCATCGTATGCATGAGAGGAGGAAACATGCTGGGAGGAAAAATCTTGGGGTTCTGATCAAGTCACAAAAGGGCAAAAAGCACACACTCCAGCCTGGGTGAATGCACAGAGAACTGTCCACAAGGAAAGATTAAATAATTACTGTTAAATAGCTCATCAAAGCTTTGGGGGTAGGGGTAAAAAGGTAAGCTTCTTTAAGGAGCGTCCTGCTGCAAACAAGAAATGCAAGCTTCTCCTGAAAGCTTTTGGATTGGGATGAGTAGGGAGGGGTTAGGATAGAGGTCAGGGCCTGGGGAGTTAGAGCTGCAGGTTGGGGAGACAGCCGGAGAGCCACGGTAAGAACAGGAGGAGGATTTTCTGGATTCGGGGTGGTGGAGTAGCTGGAGCTGACATAGGCCCCTGCCCTTTGGATATTACCGTGGTCCTGCCAGTGACCTCCCCCAACAGGGCCATACCCCAAGGTTTCAAGTCCTTTGTAAGAGTCAGGCAAGTTGATCCCAAATGATACAACACAGCAAAGCAGCATTGGCTCCCCAGGCATCATGACCAGACCCAGAGGAGACACATGGAGAAACAGGGGTTGCCCCAGGGCAGGCAATGCTGACGTTAGTAGAAAGCTGGAGGTCTGGGGCTGCAGGCAGGCACAGAGCTGGGTGGCTTCAGATGATACTCGGGCCTGCCAGTGGGAGGCTGTGGGACTCTGAGCCCCATCTCCATTTCTGTAAAATGAGGAAGTTAGATTAAATCACAGAACAGATTTTTCCCTACTCTGAAGTGTCTGGTTTTATCATTCATATCTACCGCATACTGTTCATCAGCTGGTGCCTACACTTTTAACCTCAACTTCCTTTCACTAGCTTTGCTCTGTCCTCAAGTTAATGGTTAAATCTGAAAAACATTTTTTTAAATCCAAAGGTAATTGTTTTGAAAAAATAATAATACAGTTTTGAGGGGGCCTTCGTCTGGGTTTGGCCTCCCCCAGAACCCAAGCTGGAGATAAGGATTGAATATAAGCACTTTTCTTGTGAGATGATCCCTGGAAACACCGGTAGATATAGGGAAGTGAGACAGGGAAGGGACAGGAAGAAAATGAAGTGTGTTTTGTGCAGTCAGGCCATGCTGGAGCTCATCTGCTCTGAGGCCACAAACTCCTTTTTACAGGCTGAAATGTCCCTGGGCAGAGAGTCACAAGTGTTCACGGTTAGCAGTCTTTGGTGTATAGAGGTGAGTGCCACATGATATGGATGACTGGTTCATAGCATCTGCTGCAAGGCCTGTAGGCAGGAGTGAGTTGGGAGCCCAGTGGCTGTGTTCTCATGCACAGTGTAGCTTGGCCTTGAGACTGAAATGAAAGGCAGGTTATCTCAGAGCTACAGGCTGCTCTTGGGGTCATGGAGATCGGGACTGAGAAAGCTAACCCCAAAAGAAGGCAAGGAAGAGCAAGAGCTCCCAGGGGAATGAGGCCAGAGGGTGTGAGGCAGCACTCTCTATGTGCAGGTGGCAGGTGGACTTAGGGTGAGCAAGAGCAGCAGAAGCTTCACCTCTAGACTTCCCTGAAGCAGTGGGAGGGTAAACTCCACCTAGGAGAAATTTCTCATTGATGTGTCCTGGCCAGAAGATGGGAAGTGAAGGTCTTTCTCTTACAAAGAGCAATGCAAGTAAACAATTCAGAGGTGTTCAAGGCAGTTTAGTTACCTTTAGTCTGCAGCCCCCAAAGCCCTGAGGGCATTGGATTATTGAATGAGGTCTGAGAATTCACACAGACGCTAAGCATTGTCCTATATATTGAATAAATGTAATGCCTGGCACTTATATGTACTATAATATTTCAAATACAAATTCTTTTAAAAGTATGACTGATTATACAATAATCTTTAGTCATGTATTTTTTAAATTAATGAATAACAATACATGCATACATGGGGTTATAAAATTATTATGACTTTTAGAAGAAACTGCAGTTATGGAACTTTACACGCATATCATTTCATCTGACCCTCACAAAAACCTTCTGAGGCAAGCACTGTAGTATCTCCATTTTGCAGAGGTTAACTAAGGCTCAGAGAAGTTAGATGACTTACCTGAAGTCACAAAGCTAGAAATTGGAGGATCCAACTTAAGACCTGTTGTGCTGCCTCTGCACTGCACACTTCCAGTGTAAATTCATGTACAAATAAGTACACATGTACAAAATAATCTAAAAGAGCAAGATAATCAAAATAACCAAAAAACTAAGAGTTGAACTACCATTCGGCCCAGCAATCCAATTATTGGATATACACTCTCAGGAAAATGAATCATTCTACCAAAAGGACACATGAACCCGTATGTTCACTGCAATGCTACTCACAATAGCAAAAACATGGAATCAACCCAGGTGCCCATCAACAGTGGCCTTGGTATTTAAAATGGAATACCATGGAATACTATGTAGCCATATATACCATGGTACATATATACCATGGAATACTATGTAGCCATAAAGAAGAATGAAATCACATCTTACGCCGCAATATGGATGCAGCTGGAGGCCATTTTCCTAAGTAAACTAATCCACAAACAGAAAACCAAATACCATGTGTTCTCACTTATAAGTGAGAGCTAAACATTGGGTACACATGTACATAATGATGGGAACAATAGACAAGGGGGACTACTATAGAAAGGTGGGGCAAAGACTGAAAGACTACCTATTGGGTACCATGCTCACTATGTTGATTATGGGCTCAATCATACCCCAAACCTTAGCATCACGCAATGTACCTTCGTAACAAACCTGCACATGTACCCTCTAATCCTAAAATAAAAGTTGAAAAAGAAAAAAAAGCCACAAAGTTTTAAACGTGTCTTTAAAGGATTTTAAAGGAATCTCTTAAGTGAATCAGGAAAATGGAATTAATGCAGTGATTCTCACCTGGGGGCGATTTTGTCTTCAGGGGACATTTGGCCATGTGTGGAGATATTTTTGTTGTTGTCACAACTGAGGGATGCTACGGGCATTCAGTGAATAGAGATCAGGGATGCTGCCAAATGTCCTACCAGGCACAGGACAGTCCCCCACGACAAAGAATTATCTAGCCAAAATGTCAACAGCACCAATTTTGGTTTGATTCTGTAAGTGGAACTCCTAAAGGCCGGGCCAGAGCACCTGAGCCTTTCTGTTACTCTGACTCCCTTATTTGGGTAAAACCAAAAGAAGGCCCCGATGCCCTGGCTGTGCTCACGGAGCACATCAGGCACTCTCCCTGTGTGCTGTCTTCCGGCCCTGGACGTGGCTTCTACACCAAGAACAAGCTGCTTTCATCAGTGTCCTTTTGGGTAATATATTTTTAAAATGTTTACCAAGTAACTGGAAGGTAAAAAATTAGAGAATAATTGAGAAAATATCCGTCCATGTCCATTTGTTCTTGGAAATCATGACCAGCATTACAGCCACAAAGAGCAAGGTTGGCGTTCCAAGTACCAGTATATAATGAGGGACAGGAAGCACCTACCTCGCTGGCCACTGCATGTTGCTCTGTACATTGTGCTTGCCAAAACCAGGTCTGTCATCATTATCCTGTTAGATACTGTGGTAAGGGTCTTGCCCATAAAAGCTGTAGTCTCACCATTTCATCGCCTTAAAATCATCTTATCGACATATACTTTAATGCCCACTTCATTTATGGCATCATATTGGAGGGTTTGGTTTTTTTCTCTAATTGATCCTTATTAATTTTCAAAGTTCTGACAGGAAATATCATATTAGTAAGAACTGAGCCAAATCTATTACCTTGAAAAATCATCCATCTTTTCACTCATTAATTCATTCCCTATTCATTGAGCCCTTTACTACACTAAGTAGGATTGCTGGGTCCTATAGTATACACACATCAGGTTCTGTGTAAGCTTACAGTTACAAAAACAAAGACAGCAGCTCACCATCTAGCTAGCTGAGATAGAATTACTTTTAACACTGCTGACTGGGAGTGGTGGCCTGTAATCCCAGCACTTTGGGAGGCTGAGGTGGGCGGATCACCTGAGGTCAAGAATTCGAGACCAGCCTGGCCAACATTGTGAAACCCCATCTCTACCCAAAATACAAAAAATTAGCTGGGCGTGGTGGCAGCCACCTGTAATCCCAGCTACTCAGGAGGCTGAGGCAGGAGAATAGCTTGAATCTGGGAGGTGGAGGTTGCAGTGAGCCGAGTTCACATCATTGCACTCCAGCCTGGGTGAAAAACAACAACAACAACAACAACAACAACAACAAAAAGGAAAAGAAGAAAAAACTGCCACATAACTTATGATTTAGCAATTGCATTTTTCAGGGGCTAGCTAAAGAAATGTCCACACATATGTGGAAAGATGCAGCTACAAATGTTTACTGTAGTATGATTGGGCTAAAAAAAATGGAAACAACCCAAATATTCATCAATATAATAACTGCTAAATAAAATGTGGTATATGCACACTATGCAATTTTATATAGCTGTTAATAGAAAGGATCTACTTCCATAGGTAAAAATACAGACAGGTCTCTAGGACACAGAGTCTTGGAGAGAAGGACCCTAGAGATACACACCAAACTCATAGCAGTAGTTACCCCTAGACACGTGGGAGGAGAGGGAACATGAATGAAGAATTGTGGTCAAAAAAGAGTTTAACCTTTTTTTCCCCAATATCATTTATTGAAGAGCTATCCTTTCTCCATTGTGTGTTCTTGGCACCCTGTTGACGTTCAGTTGGCTGTAAATGTGTGGATTTATTTCTGGTCTGTTTATTCTGTTCCACTGGTCCATATGTCTGTTTTTATGCCAGTACCATACTGTTTTGATTACTGTAGCTTTGCAATATATTCTGAAATCAGGAAGTGTGATGCCTCTAGCTTTGTTCTTCTTGCTCAAGATTATTTGGCTCTTTGGGGACTTTTATGGTTTCATATGAATTTTAGGATTACTTTTTCTATTTCTAAGAAAAATCCCATTCGAATTTTGATAGGAATTACTTTGAAACTGTAGATTGCTTTGGGTAGTGATATAGTTTGGATATATGTCCCCTCCAAATTTCAAATTTCATGCTGAAATTGGATCTCTAATGTTGGAGGTGGGGCCTGGTGAGAGGTGTTTGGGTCATGGGGGGTGGATCTCTCATGACTAGCCTGGTGCTGTCCTTGGGGTAATGAGTGACTTCTCACTCCGTTAGTTCCTGTGAGATCTTGTTGTTAAAAAGACACTGGCACTTCCTTCTCTCTCACTCCCTCTCTTGTCACGTCATATGCTGACTCCCCTTCCCCTTCTGCTATGATTGGAAGCTTCTTGAGGTCCTCACCAGAAGCAGATGTTGGTGCCATGCTTCTAGTACAGCCTGCAGAACCATGAGCCAAATAAATCTCTTTTGTTTATAAATTACCCAGCCTCAGGTATTTATTTATAGGAATTCAAGCAGACTAAGGCAGGTAGTTTGACATTTTAAAAATATTAATTCTGGCAATCCATAAATACAGGATATCTTTCCATTTATTTGGTCTCCTTCAATTTCTCTCATCAATGTTTTATAGGTTTCAGTGTACAGATCCTTCACGTCCTTGGTTAAGTTTACTCTAGGTATTTTTTTTTTCTTTTTGATGCTACTATAAATGAGATTGTTTGCTTAATCTTTTCTGGATAGTTCATTGTTAGTGTATATAAATGTAACTGGTTACAAAAATTACATTTGTGTTGATTTTGTGTCCTGCAACCTTATGAATATTTTCATTTTTAAAGAAGATAGTCTGTGTCGCTTATGCATTTTGCATTTAAAACTAGTAAAAACCACAAATCATTGCAAATATAAGGCAAAGCAGTAGTATAAAGAAGGGAAAGCTCTGCTCTACTTGGGAGTGTTAAGGAAGACTTCAGGGAAAAAGAAGTCTATGAATTGGGATTTTAAAAGGCTAGTAGGAGTCTGACAGGCTGAGGTGGAAGAGAGGGGCATTATTACAAACTAGGGCAGCAGCAAAGATACAGAGATGCAACCACACTTTGGGCATTTCCACATAACTGGCCCATTCAGTGGAGAGGAATGGATTGGGGCAGAGGAGTGTGACACTGAGGGAGGCATATACATCTGGGAGTAAGACTGCACTGGAAACAGTGATTTTTATATATATCTTGCTCAGGAGTTTTTGAGCTTACTCCTGTAAGCAATGGAAAGCCTGCAAATGAGAGGTGACATAACCAGATGTTGAATTTGGAAAAAAAAGAGTGATTTTTCTGTCCTGAGGCTGCAGAGGACAGATGTGCTCATTACCCAGCCAATTTATAGCATCACAGCAGACTATCACATGTCTATATTGGTGTTCCTTACATTGCCTAGCATATATGGATTATTATTCTTATAAAGGTTTCCAAGCATAAAGGAAAATGTGAAGTATTTTTGCTATTAAAAGTAATGGCAAAAACCACAGTTGCTTTTGCACCAACCTAATAATAAAACATATGCCTAATATACAGATTTCAGTAATTTTTAATTAAAATGATACCACACATATGGAAGAGTGCACAAATCTTAAGAGTAAGCTTGATGCGTATTCACAAAGCAAACACACCTAATAAACCACAATAGAAATGAAGATGTGAAACATTACCAGCATTACAGAAGGCTCTTTCATGACCCTCCTAGAAATCACACTCCCAAAAAGTAACCACTATTCCAACTTCCTCTGGAGTTGATATTTGAGTATAACATGAGGTAAGAATTAAGATTTTTTCACTGATATTGCTATGGAATTGGTCCAGCTCCAGTTATTGAAAAGACTGTCACCACTCCCAACCCCTGCACGTCAGTGTCATCTGTGTTGCAGAGCAGGTGACTCTGTGTGTATAAGTCAGTTTCTGGACTCTACTTGGTTCCATTGTCTATTTGTATATCCTTGTGCCAACGCTTTACTGTTGTAATATGTGTAACTTTATAGTAATTCTTGATAGCATTGTGAGTTATTCAACTCTGTTTTTCAATTTTAGCAGTGCTTAGCAAGAGAAACAAGTTTGACCAAAAAATAAATAAATAAATAAAAATCATCAGTGCTATTCTCAACCTATTGCATTTCTGTGGAAATTTTAAAATCAGATTGTGAGCTGCCCCAAAATGCTACCCGAAGTTTTATTTGGATTGCATTGAATTTATGGATCAATTTGGATGGCAATTGGTATCTCTATAATTTTAAGTCTTCTAATCCATGAACTTTGTACATGACCACAACTATTTTAGGACTTCTTAAACTTCTCTCAGTAACCATTTGGTAGTTTCCTGTTTAAGAGATCCTTTGTTAGATTTGTTTCTATGTTTTATTTTTTATGCTAATGTAAATGCTATTATATTTCCATTTTTATTTTATAATTGCTTGCTGCTAGTATATAGAAATGCAGTTAATTTTTAAATATTTACCTTTAAACCATTTTGGCTAAATATGTGTATTAATCCTAATAGATTATCTGAACATAATCAGGTTGTGTGCAAATACTGACAGACATTTATTATTTTCAATTTTTATATCCTTTATTTTTTCGTGCCTTATTATACTGCATAATACCACTAATACAATGTTAAATAGAAATGATGATAATGGACATCCTTGTTCTGTTCTGATCTCATAGTGAAAATCTTCAGTATTTCAACATTTAGTATATTGGCTGTAGGATTTTTGTATTATACTAAGGAAGTTTCCATTTCATCTTAGTTTGAAGTTTTTATTTTGAGTGAGTGTTGAGTATTATAAAATACTTTTGAGGCATTTGTTGAAATGATCATATGATTTTTCTCTTTCATTCTATTAATAGTAGAATTTGCTTGTCTAGGTCTCAGTTTCTCCCATCTGTAAAATGAGTAGATTGGGTCAGATGATCTGAGTTCTTCCTCTAATATTTCAGGGTGCATGAATTTTCGCTGTCATTAAAACATTCCTTGGTACCACCAGGGTTCTTCTTGGACTGGCCTTCAGAGAAGTTTCCCTAGAGTGTTCTAGAGTGACCTCCAGGAGGTCAGAGACTTGAAGCACTATCAACTTCCGAGCACCTGCAGATATGTTATGAGCAAATCTCTACCCATCTTATTGGCCCACTTTGACCCTTTCAATGGAGAAGAGAAATGACCAACTAGAAGGCCTAATTCGAGTCCCCTAGTGTAGGTAATTCCAACCAGTCTGATTCCATCTCAACTCAAGGCTGGAAGGATGAGGAGTCCTGAAGTGGGAGCTCAACACCTTGTTCTGTGAGGAGAAAAGAAGAAATTCTTTTTTGTTGTTTTTTTTGTGGTGGTTTGTTTTTTTAATTTTTATTTTAGGTTCCAAGGTACATGTGCAGGAAGTGCAGGTTGGTTATATAAGTAAACATGTGCCATAGTGGTTTGTTGCATCTATCAACTCATCACCTAAGTATTCAGCCCCGCATGCATCAGCTATTTTTCCTAATGCTCTCCCTCCCCACACCCTACCCCTTGACAGGCCCCTGTGTGTGATGTTCCCCTCCCTCTATCCATGCATTCTCATTGTTCAGCTCTCACTTAGAAGTGAGTACATGCGATGTTTGGTTTTCTGTTCCTGTTAGTTTGCTGAGGATAATGGCTTTGAGCTCCATCCATGTCCCTGCAAAGGACATGATCTCGTTCCTTTTTATGACTGCAGAGTATTCCATGGTGTACATGTACCACATTTTCTTTATCCAGTCTATCATTGATGGGCATTTGGGTTGATTCCATGACTTTCCTATTGTGAATAGAGCTGCAGTGAACATACATGTGCATGTATCTTTGTAACAGAATGATTTATATTCCTTTGAGTATATATCCAGTAATGGGATTGCTGGGTCAAATGGTATTTCTGGTTCTAGATCTTTGAGGAATCACCACCCTGTCTTCCACAATGGTTGAACTAATTTACATTACCACCAACAGTGTAAAAGCATTCCTGTCTCTCTGCAACCTTGCCAACATCTGTTATTTCTTGACAAAAAGAAGAAACTCTTAAAGATGAGAACCTTAATGAAGAAGACTTGAGAGAAGGGTGAGTTTAAGAGTTAATGTATTGGAACTAGGTAGAGGTAGCAATTGTACAGCACTGTAAATGCACTAATGGCCAGTGGATTATACACTTTATAATAGTTAAAATGGTGGTGGGGTGGTGGGGAAGTCCAGTACACAGCACTTAAATGCTGTCTGCAAAAATAATGTTAATTCTGATGTTCTCCATTCATGCTCCACTAAACTTTTGAAAAAAGAGATTAGACTTGGGCTTTAGAGTAAAATTAAGTCCAAAGTGTGAAAACTTTAAGTAGACAGTTTGGGATCAATGCAAGGAACACTGTTTCACCAGTCTGAAATGTCCAAAGATGAAACAGGCTGTCTTGGGGTCAGTGAGTTGCACGTTGGTGGATTCAAACTCAATGCACTTGGAATTGAGAATTGGCTGGTGGGCTGAGGTGACTCTAAGGCTTTGCTAACTCCAACTCTGACTCATGCTCCTTCTCATTTGAAAGTCGTCCAGGCCTTTCACCTTCCTCATAAATAGTTTCTTTAAAGCCAGGTGCGGTGGCTCACGCCTGTAATCCCAGCACTTTAGGAGGCCAAGGCAGGTAGATCACGAGGTCAGGAGATCGAGACCATCTTCAGCATCAGTATATTTACTTTTTGCTTTTACTCTGACTTGCCCAGAGGAGATGTATAGCAAAAGGAATCACATCCTACTGGTTGGTTAACAAGGGAGGCTGCCTAGGTTCAAATTGAGGATCAGACAAATTACTTAGCCTCCCTAAGCATCAGGGTTTTTTTTCTAATAAAAGGTGTTAATAATAATTAGTACCCACCGCTAGGGTTGTCAAGAAGGTCATTTTCAGCCTGCACCCTAGCCAGCCACCATCATAGCCTCCAGCAGCGAGTGGCACCTCTTTCACCTCCTTGGGTTTCCTCTGCATCTGCCGTGGTCTGGGAAACTGGATAACCGTGCTTGTTAGAACTGAGTCCAAAGCCTCCAAGCAAGGGGCGCTGTCCCATAAAGAAAAAAGCTAACACAGTGAAACCCTGTCTCTACTAAAATTACAAAAAATTAGCCCGGTGTGGTGGTGGGCGTCTGTAGTCGCAGCTACTCGGGAGGCTGAGGCAGGAGAATGGCGTGAACCTGGGAGGCGGAGCTTGCAGTGAGCTGAGATTGGGCTACTGCACTCCAGCCTGGGCGACAGAGCGAGACTCCCTCTCAAAAAAAAAAAAAAAAAAAAAAGTTTCTTTAAATAGATAAGAGTTCATTGCAGAGTCAGGAAATCTAACTATTTAAAGGGTGTTGCCATTAGATGACAGTGAGTCCAACTTCCCAAGGGTTAGAAGGTTTTGGGTCATTTCTCTGTTATAAGAGTATTATAAGCCTAGTTTGAAAATAGTATCAGAAATAACAAATGGAACAATTATTTTCAATAAGAATGATGATTGCTATGTATTCCAGGTGTTTTTTTGCTGCAAACAGCCCCAAATTTAGTATAAAATGGAAACGATGAATTCTGTGGGTCAGGAATTCAGGAAAGGCATGACAGAGATGGTTTGCTCCTGTTCCATGATGTCTGGGGCCTCAGCTGAAGACTTGGTGGTCTGGGGGTGACTCCAAGGCTGGGGGCTGGAATGACCTGGAGGCTGCTTTATGCACATGTCTGGGGCCTGGGCAGGGGCTTGGCAGGAGTGCCTACAGATGGGTTCTCCATGTGGCCTGGGCTTCCTCACCCAGTGGGATCTTCAGGGTAATTGGGTTCCAAAAGTCAGTGTCACAGCAGAAAGGGAGGAAGCTGCATCTCTTCTTGTGACAGGTCTCAGATGTCACACAGCGTTACTCAGGCTGCGTTCTACTGGTTACGTGTGAGTCGCAAGCTCACTCAGATTCAAGGGGGAGGAGACCTGAACCTCTTCCCTTCCAGGAGCATGTGGGATGGGAGAGATTTTCACAACTACCTCTGGAGGCTAGAATCGGCCACACTGTTGACATCTTTCTGTAATATCATCAACAAGTCCTTCATATCGCCCAAAACTCTACCTTCTCTTCTTCCCACCATTCTGAAACCACGTGCCTTCCAGCCCTCCTTATTACAGACAGAAGGGGTTTGCAAGTTATTTCCCTTTTCTTTTTTTTTTTCTATCATCCCTTTAATTTCACCACAAGGCACCTTACTATTTTATCTTCTTTTGTATTACTTCCATTTCTCCTCCTCTCTCTTTGTTCCATTTATGAGTGAAGGGGAAAAACTCTCAAGTCTTAAACAGAATGATAAAGATCTGCTAGAGACACATGAAGGAAAAGAAAGCTGGATGTTTCGACATTTGCTTAGACAGAATGAGGAACCAGAGCCATGGAAGTCCTTCAAAGTGATAAGGAGGCCTTTTTTAGAATCCCTCAAGTCCTTCTCTGCCTTTCTAGGTATGCCAGATTTCCCTCAAGAATAAGGTTTTAACATACATGAAAAACTTGATTTTATCATATTTTATTTCAGTTATATTACAGCTTAAATAAGCTTTTGTGGTTTGGCCTGGGAATGTAGTATGTATTCCAAGTTTTTAACTAGTGACTAACAAGTGAGCTTAAAAACCCAAGGACCTTGTAAGCTGGGGGTGGCCTGTGTAATGCTTCTGAGGCTCCTAGCCTTAGACTGCAATTTACTACTTGCTCAACACCTTGGCCAGCTGGAATCCAGGACAAGGGAGGCAATCCTGAGATCAGACAAGCCAGCTGCACTCTGCTAAGTGCTGTGCACAGCCAAGGTCTCAGAGCTGTCTTCTGTCTCCACAGCCCCTGCGCTTTCTAGTCCACTGACTGACCTTGTGGCCTGGGGCAGCAGGGGAAACTGAAAAGGTAGATGTTCCATCTTGTCGCCCTGCCCTAATGAAATTTCACTTTTCAAAGCCCATTCTGGAACAAACTACAAATCCCATCAGAATTCTGAGCGTTCATGTTCTGATTAGGGGCTAAAGAGGGTAGACTTCTTATTACTAAATCCAAAGGAAACTGCACTTCAACCAGGTTCACCCAGAAGCAGCAAAATGATTGACTTGGGGGAAGGTTAAAGTGTGGAATAAATCCCATGATAGGAACTTGCAAGTACTTGCTCAGTTAAACATAGCGGTTATGGGACCTAACCTGAAGGCAACTCTGACTCTCACTGTCAAGTTTACCCATTCATGCAAAAGTGGCACAGCTCTTGTAAGAAGAAAACAATTGTTCCTGGCATATTACCACAGGAAACTATCTCTCATTTTCCAATGCAATGAAAATATGGAATCATCAGATATATTTCTTCAAGAAATAAATACACAGGGTCTTGAAATTTTCCTTGTAGGAGTACAAGGAAAAATAGAAACAATATTAAAATCTTCTTCAACAGGCCGGGCGTGGTGGCTCACGCCTGTAATCCCAGCACTTTGGGAGTCCGAGGTGGGCGGATCACGAGGTCAGGAGATCAAGACCATCCTGGCTAACACGGTGAAACCCCGTCTCTACTAAAAATACAAAAAAATTAGCTGGGCGTGGTGGCATGTGCCTGTAGTCCCAGCTGTCGGGGAGGCTGAGGCAGGAGAATGGCGTGAACCCAGGAGGTGGAGCTTGCAGTGAGCCGAGATGGTGCCACTGTACTCCAGCCTGGGTGACAGAGCAAGACTCCGTCTCAAAAAAAAAAAAAAAAAAAAAAAAAAATATTCTTTAACAGGGCTCCCACTTACGGCCACTCTGATCACCAAGTTAGTGTTGGCCCAGCCTCTAGCCCCAGAGAAGCCAAGAATTAGTGCATCGATATTTCTCGTCTTCATACTGCACAGTGAAGTCAGTAATTGATCTTGTCTGATTCATTAGTAAATCGCCCCTGTCCCCTCATTCTGTGCGTCCATTGCACATCCTTGTTCTCCCGGGACCACACATTTCCCTGTGTGTTGCAGGTACTTCCAAAAACAGTCTCCTATAGAGACCTACTGCTCCAGTAGTTTCTTATCAAGGGCCCATTTGTACAGGGGAATAATTTTCTAGTTGGAAAGCAATAGACACAACTTACTTACATTTATTTTTAAAGAAAAAAATTGTCAGCGCTAACGGAGCTAATGTCTCCTGCTGGGATGTTAGGCTACTGAATTATTCTCCTCCAAGCGATTTGTAGACCCATTAATTGAGAAATTAGAGAAATAAGGGCACATATGCCTATGTAATTAAACTGCCCATTTTGCCTTTCTTCAGTAAAGCAGTTTCCAAGGATGTTAATTGGCCGGTGAGTTTCCCCGTGCCTGGTAAATCTTGATAAGTTGTACATTAAAAAAGAACTGCTTCCACCTTTAAACTGTCAGGGGGCTTTTTTTTTTCTTTAAGCAGATTTAGCACTTTGAAGAGTTAATTACAAATCCAAGAAATATTTCTGTAAGGTGTGCCTCTTGGCATATTGGATGCTAATGGCCCCTTCCTGCCATTAAATGATAAAAATTTTCTATTAGATTTTTTTTTTCTTTGCCTGTGACTGTGGTGAGGGAGCTTTCCTGAGAGCAGCCACCAGATTGCTGCTTTGTTTTTAGCGAGACATTCATTTCCTCGGAGTTTTGCTTTATGAGGAAACTATTTGATTTCTGTGTCTGCAGTTCTCCCAGTCCAGTGTCTGCCATTCATCACCCCAGTTATCCTGATGTCATCACAGATACATTGTCCTTTTTATGATGATTGTGGGAGAAATGACCATTCGTGTCCTTGGCTTCTCTGTGTCTTTATCGGCCCTGACACATTCCTTTTGATAGTTAATTGTCCCTTTTCTCCTTACTTTTATTTCCAAGAAAGAAAATAATACATGTATACTTTACTTTAGGAAAAAAAAAAAAAAGAAATGGCAAAGTGGAAGAGAGAAATTGTGTTTTGTGCAGTTTTTAAACAAGCAGCAATGGTAACTGGCAAGAGTCCTTTCAATATTTTTTACATCGACAGTTTACAGCAATCATTTATTTGTCCCAGATTTTCTGGGACAGTCTCAATTGCAAATATTTTGGCCTGCTCTTGTCTCTTCAGACAAATGCATTTAAAATAGGAAAGATTTTAAAAAACTCCTTTGTTGATGAATATATCCTGAAGTTTAAGTTCAAAAAATATAACCGCAATGAGCATCTGAGTAAGCACAGATAGAGTTTACAGTTAAAATTAAATGGTGCAGAGGCAAATCTAGCATATTTTAAAGGGGTGTGTGTGTGTGTGTGTGTGTGTGTGTGTGTGTGCGTGTGATTTCACTGCCGATAGAGGCAAATAATAAGCAGGTCAATAAATAAGTATAATTAGATGCATTGTCAAATTAAAAAAAGAAAAAGTGCAGGCTTTGGAACAAAACAGATGTGGGTTGGAGTCCTGGGAGCCTCGGTCGGAATCTTGACTCCATCATCTAGAAACAAATTCCCACCAAACATGTCTGAACCTCAGCCATATTAAATGAAAACAATAATATTCATCTGATAGGGTGGTGGTTAGGGCCAAAAGAGCAAAGGTTTGTAAAGTTCTTAGTGCAGTGCCTAGCATATAGAATTGCCCGAAATAAAAAGAGGCACATTCATAATAGGATTTTTAGGAGTAACACAGCTATGGTATAGTTAATAAAAGACTTTCTGGAGAGGGCAGGAAGGAGGAAGCAGTGAGGAAGGAGAATCCGCAGCGTTCTGGCAGGAAAGTACTTCTTCCTTCACCGTGTCTTGTCTTAAATCAAGTGAACCCAGGCTCCCACCTCTGCCCAGACCTGGAGCCTAATAGCCTAGGAGTGGATGAGCTGGGCACTAGAGCGGCCCCAGGACTTCCCTTGGATGTCCCTTGTCAAAGAAGCCATGTTGTCTGTGTCCCTCTGGGACGTAGACCCATCATTAGAGCATCTTTGAGAAAATCTGTGCTCTTCCAACCCATTTTTCCTATTGAGCCAGGGCTAGGGCAGGACAGGTTGCCTACCAGGTCTGCTTTCCTCCTCTTCATTCCAGGGCCCACTGCATGAGTGAGGAGCAACTCACTGCTCACCACCTCATCACAGCTGCTTGAAACTGCCACTTCCAGAATCATGTGAGTGCACTCGGAAACTTGGCAGCAGTTGTTGGTCAATTGCTCTTTAGAGTAGATTCCAGAAGTGGGTTCTGAGCCAGCTGTAAGTGGAGATGGATCTGGTTAACCAGTGGCTCTCAAAACCCAGGTGCATTAGTCTCATCAGGTGGGCCTGTTAGAAATGCAGCTTCCTGGACCCTCTCCTTGGTGATTCTGAGGCAGCAGCTATTTCTACAATGTCAAAGAATGAGCTTCTCAATGCATCTATTATTTCTTTAGTGTGTACCCAACCCAGCGCTAAGTGCTTTGCATACATGATCCATTTTTGTTTCTCCTCAACCCTGTGAGGCAGCTATCACTGACACCAGCTAGGAAGCTCAGGAAATCGAGGTTTGGAGAGGTTAAGTTACCTATTTAAGGTTACTCAGCTGGCCAAACTCTGTAGGCCAGCGATGCTGAAGCCCTGTGTCACAGGTCACTCTTGTCCACTGGATCCCCACCAGCCCCCCAAGTCTTCTCTATGTGAACTCCACTGAATTTGTTTTGGATCTGGGTGGACCAAATGCATGGTTCTAACTTTATGAAACAAGAAACTAAAAACGTAAACACCACTTTCTAATGGTCCTTCTGGGTAATCCAGGGCCCTTAAAGGTCCCATCTTGCCTTATAAAAGAACCATTACTAGGCATAAAAGAAGATCCACTTCCCCAATGTTTTTTCCACTCTCCAGTAAAAGAGTTTATTGAAGACTTCTTTCTACTGTCTTTTGTCTCTGAAATAAAGATGTAACAGGCCATCATTTCTGTAATCCTTTTAGGTATTTTTTTCTACATTTCAATGGCAGTAATATTTCTTCGATATGCTTTTTCACCCTGTTTGTCTAAAGTGGATGTGAGACAGTTTGAAGTGATTGGCTTTATTATTATTCTGATATTTCCATTGTTTTCCATTTAATAAGAAACATGTAACCACAGGCTAACAGGCTACTCTTGGATTTCTACAATTTTTCCAAAAGTATTATCATTTTGCTTTCAGATAACACTCCAAAAAAATAAATATTATTGTATCAACCATTCTACTTAGCATGGGTTTTGAGTATTAGAATTGAGCCCCAAGATTGAAGTCCCTTGTTAATTTCACTAGCAACACATATGTGCATCCGCTTAGTATAACACAACTAGGGTGACTCAGCATGGAGAAGAGATTTCCGTTTTCAATTGTGAAGACCATGGGGAGGATAAGAATAATTCTGAGGAGCTGTTAGGAGAATCTTTTGGCTGTTTTTCTTTCTAAAACCAAGAAGATGTGGAAACAGCAGACTACCCTCCTCTTATCTAGAGGCTGTGCCTGTAATTTTAAAAAATATTAAATTGGGAAGCAGTTGATGAGCTATTTTCTAAAGTCTAGATAAGCAGCAAATATATGCTAATCCTAAAAGAGAGGCCATTTTTGGTGGGGAGCAGACTGGAGCTTTGTTCTAGAAACTCTTTCTCAGTTAATAAAGCCAGAATGGCCTTGTAGAACCTCAGTTTCAACAAATCATAGTTCATTCTGTCTAAGCAGAGCCACTATATGTGATTGTGTTGGGCTCTCAGGGCCTTGGGGTACCTGGCTGAGGCTGAGTGAGGTTGAGTCATCTCACAGCCTGTCCTCTGCAGGCTGAACCCATCCAAAGGTGCCATATGCCACCAAGGCATGCACCTGTAGGCTTGGCCACCCAGGTAGAGCCTGGGTAACCTAAGGTGTACCCTCTCCTCTTTCCTGCTTACGTCACATGGTAAATGTGTCTGTTGTTACTAACAAGAAAAAGGAATCAGGAACAGGGATTGTCTCCAGGAATGAGCCAAGTGATGGAGTTTCTTATAGAAAATACTATTCAGTTTTAATTTGTGTAGTTGATTTTCAGATAGTCATAAGTAAATATTAAATGTTTATAAAAATGCAAATAATTCCTCATGGTTTAAAAATTGAACTTCAAACCTCTCACAAATTAAATATAAACAATTAATAGAGTGGTATCTTGGGGTAAGGATAAAGCAGAATCTTTTGGTTTTTTTTAAATAAAAAATAGAATGTAAAATTTTAAAAAGGGGCAACAGTAATGACAAGGGAAAATACATGGTGATACTGAAAAACAGTGCTTACCTTGTAAATGCCACAGAAAAACCCAAAACATTCAAGGCAGAGTGTTATAGAAAGCAAACTCGAAGCTGCACTGTAGAGATGCAGTGACAGATCTGAACAGAATCTCTGTCCACTCAAACCAATAACTGCATCCACGCCTTTGGAGGTTCTGCTGCAGTCTCTCAAGCAGTGCAGTTTTTCTGGGGACATCTGGCAATGTCTAGAGACATTTTTGGTTGTCACCACCTGGGGGTGGCTACTGGCATTGAGTGGGGGGGTGGAGGTCAGGGGATGCTGCAAAACATCCTACATTGTTCAATACACCACAACACCCCCACTCATGACAGAGAATATCCAGTCCAAAATGTCAACAACAGTGCTGAGGTCATCAGGAAACCCTGCTCCTTTAGGATTGCATCCAATCCTGAGCAACAGAAAAATCCTACTGCTGCAGTAACTTAAATAATTAAGAAGTGTGTCTTAATTATTAAGACACACTTAATATAAGACACACTTAATTATAAGAAGTATAGTGGTTGCCAGGCCAGAGCTTATGTTGCAGTCAGTGATGTCATCAAAGGCCCAGGAGCCCCAGAAAAACTCTTAGAAGATGCACATTTCAACTGGGCACATTACCAAAGTCAAACTGAGCTCGCTAGTAGGAAAACAGAGTCATGGATATTGCATAGGCCAATGGCAGGGTCAGTCACAGATACCCTTTCCCTTTGCTGTGATGCCTCTGCCTCTAGCCTGCCTTAACTACCCAGCAAAGCTCTATCCAGCCACTTTCTACCCAAATTTGGCTCTTCATTGGAGTCTTCCAGGCTATTCCCAGGCCACACTGATTTCCCTGAGCTAGATTTCAGTCTTTGGGGGCAAGGAGAACCGCAGGGCCAGAAAGGAGGCCCTAAGGGACAGAAATAGAGCTTTTGCCGCAAGAGCAGTAGTCGATGAATTGGACTTGTTTCTTTGCAGGGAGATGGAAAGGTTATAGTAAGATGGCATGGACATCTGTGAACAGAATAAAGAGATGCCAGTGAGGAGAAGTAAACTCAGATTTTTTTTTTTAGTTGGGCAAGCTTAGTTACTTCTTAAAGTAAAATCTCAAGTAAAATCAATAGCAAATTCAAAAATATAATGTAAGGATTTTATAAAGGGTTTCTGGCAACGATTACATAATAAACCAGTGGGTGGGAAAGAAAACATAAAAAGTAACGCCAGCTTGCCTATTATTACTAATAGGCAAGGCTATTAATAAATAGCTAGCTTATTATTATTATTGCAATACTGCTAGCAATAAAGATGACAAAAATCATAATCATAAGGTGAAGGCTTTGAGTCAATCTCCAGTCCACTGGAGCCCACTGCAAAGAAGGATACCGAGGTGTCATCTGAGCTTGGGAGGAGAGTAGGGTGATATTTTACTGATTAGTAATTGGTAGAATCTTCCAAGGATGTGGAAGGGGAAATAGTGTTGAGTGAGACATATATCTTCCTAGCCATGACTTTGTCTATAAATCCAGATAACAGGTTGGCCACAGAGACATTGGTCATGAAAAAGTGGGCCATACAGTGGTCTCCTTATGACAATGTGTGGACTCTCCCTGAAATTACCAAAGAAGTTCCCAAGACTTGGCTTTTCCTGCCAGTCCAGAGAAAGTTGATGAGATTATATCTTAAGTGTTCTTTACATCATTCTTGCACTGATCATTCATACATTTGCTGGTGGCTTCCAGCAACAGCTGCTTCCATAGGACCCCATCATCCTAAAATGGCTCATTATGCCAGCCTAATGAACCAGTCCTCTAAATCAGAAGTCCTTTGATCTATTTAAAAATGGAACCCTGGCAGTCCCCAAAAAATCCTGCTAAGCAATTCTTAGAAGACTGCTTAGTAGGGGATAGATCAGGATTTACTGAGCTCTAAAATGACCTCCCTAATAATTTGGTAGTGTTTTATTTCTTTTTCTTTTACACTTCTGTTCTGATTTCCCTTGAAACAATATCTCTCAGAAAACCCTATAAGACTGAAACATTTATCCTGTTTTTAAACACTTGGACTCTCCCTGAGAATTGCACTCTGTTGGTAAGGAATGCTGCTTAATTCTGTGTTCTAAACAGCCCCTCAATAACAGTGGAAGCGCTCAGTAAATACTTAGTAATCAATTTCAGTTACATTTGCTCAGAATGATCAAAATGGCATGGCTGTACTATTGCACATGCATTAAGTGACATTAGAGTGATATCTTTTAAACCTATTTTCAAACGTATTTAGAGTTTCCTTGCCAGTGTGTTTGATATAACAGGGCATGTGTTTTGAAAGAGGCTGAAGGAGAAAAAGGGATCTGTGCATAATGACCATAAGCGTATCCTCCGGTTGCTTTCCTGTTTCAGGGGCATGTAGGATGTACTTAAAAGGTCACTGATTAGTCCAGTTCCATATCAGTAAACAGTGTTTTGAAACAGACAGAGGAAAATAATAGGCAATGGAGTTTTACCAATATAATAAAGTAAAAAGCAGGGAAACATGGTTTATAGATTTCTCCAGAGGGATGCTTTCAAATATGACAGAATGGCACCTGAATAGCACACTGTGGACATATTTCACCGGTCTTTGATCAGACTTGATATCTAGATTGGATTTTTATTCTGCATTAAAATGTAGATTGATCTGGCAAAATCTGATACAAAATTGCACAGGAAAGGATGTTAAGCTGAAGACAGTGTAGAGTCTTGCTCAATGGGTTTGGGAAATCCAGCCCATAGATTTGCCTATCATCCACGACTGCCTTGGTAGCTCATCTAAATTTGAATGGGTCTATGCACTGCCACCCCTACTTTTTTGCTCTTTTTTCCATCTTGCACCCAACTGACATGAGTCAAAGGCCTTCAGTGTATCCCTTGGCAAATTCAGGTGGTTTTCCACCCAATAGCCATTCTATCTTGCTAAGCAAACTGCGATGTTGTTTAGGTGTCAGTTGACCATGTGTCTCAGAGACACCTGGATTTCACCCACCATCCCTCCTCCTCTCACCCAGAGGAAGATTCTTGACAGGTCTAAGCCCATCACGGATAGTTCCAGTCTCCTTCACTTTGGTTGGTTTAAATATGGGCATGCGGCACAATTCTGGTCAGTGAAATATGAGATGAAGTCTGTGGGGAGTGCCTAAAAATATTCCCCTTGCTTTTAAAAAGTTCACAAAACCCATCCTTGTCTTTTTTGGACATTGATGTCTACATCAATGGGAGCATCCATCTTGGAGCCATGAGAGCTGCTGGCCGATGGAGGAAAGCCAACACACTGAGGTAGCAGAGCAGAAGGAAGAAAAGAAATGGAATCCTTTATTACACCATTGAGATGCTGAGTTCACCCAACCTGCCCACTAAAGGTAACCACTATCCTGAGGTAGTAGACACTGTGATGTACCACAGATCCCTTCTTCAGGACAAAGGCATTCATTTCCTCAGCTACCAGAAATATTCCTTCTCTGGAAATCACATTTGGGTATTGCTTCACTCCAAATAGGTCCCCTCCTTAGGGGAAGCCTGTGTCTGATAATTGATTTGTATGGGGCACAAAGGCCTAACCACCTTGCTTCAATGGGGGAATAACTCTAAAGAACATCCCACCTCTAGAGTTTTTTGTGGATCAGCTAAGGCCTTGTGATTGCATTGCAGTTTAACTTCCTCTTCTGTCCAGTACTGCTTCTCTTTCCTCTTTACATGTGTTGTTCATGAAAGCACTTGTCAATAAATCTTCTGCATGCAAAACTCCCTCTGAGTCCACTTCCAGTCTAACCCAGCATAAGAGAGTTAATTTTTAAAGTAATCACTCCTTTGCTTTTTAAAAATGACTTTGCCACCGAAACTCACATGCATCCTTAAATGCCGTATATTATAACAGGTGCCTGGTCCCTTCCCCAAGAGGACTTTACATAAATAGAGTCATACACCATGTGTATTTTTTGGTGTCTGCCTTTTTCACTCAACACTATGTTTGTGAGGTCTCATGATTTATTGCATAATACTTGAATTTTATTTATTTTATTGTGTTATAATATTGTAGAAATTTACCACAAACTATTTCTACATTATACTATTGATGGGCATTTGGGCTGTTTACAGTTCGGGGGCTATGATAAACAATGTTGCTATGAAGATTCCAGTACATTTCTCCAACACACACTTGCGTGCATTTTTGTGTGGTATATATCTAAGAGTGGAATTGCTGGATCGAAGAGTTGGCATAGGTGCAGTTGTAGAATTCTGTCAACGGTTTTTAAAAGCGGTTGTGTGTACCAATTTACTGTCTATTAAAGTATAGGATTGTCGCTTCATATTCCTGCCAATACTTGGTTTTGGGGGCTCTAATTTTAATCTTTACGATGGATATGTAGAGGCATGTGTGGTCTAATTTGATTTACCTTATTGCTAATGGGGTTGAGACTTTTTCACGTCTCTACTGACCATTTGGATATCTTCTTTAGAGAAGTATCTGTTCATATCTCCTGTGTATATTTTCACTAAGCTGTTTGTCTTTTTCTTATTGAGCTTTAGTGTTCTTTACCTATTCTGGATATAAAGCATTTGTTGGTTACAGATGTTACAAAAGTCACAGCTTTCACTGGCTTGATTTTTCACTCTCTTAATCACATACTGTATCTTAATGAAAAGAAGTTCTTAATTTCAGTGTAATCAAAATTATTAATCTATTCCTTATAATTAGTACTGCTCTTTTGGTTCTGATTAAGAAATATTTGTCTCTCCAATATCATGAAGCTGTTCTTCTATGTTACTTTATAGTTGTTTTATTGCTTCATCTTTTATACATAAATATGTCTGCAGTATACTTGTAATTGTTTCTTGTGTACAATCTGAAATTATTTTTTCCCACACCGATATTTAACTCTCCCAGCACTATTCCCTGAAAAGGCCATCCGTTTCCACTGATCTTGGCAACACTTTTTTGAGAAATCAAGTGTCCGTACATGCATGGGCCTGATTCTGGGCTTTTCATTCTGTCCTAATTAGTCTATTTGTTTATCCTTTCATTGGCACCAAATTGTGCTAACTATTATAACTCTGTAATATTGATACCTCCAATTTCTTACCGCCCATTCATCTTTGGGAGTTATGGTTTTATCCCCAATCCTCCACCAAAACCGCTCCATCAAAAACACTCTGCAAAATCTCCCTGGTCAAGTCTCTAATGACTTCCATGATGCCAAACCAAATGGCCCATTCTTGGTCCTCATCTTACTCAACCTCTCAAAAGCCCTTCACGCACTTTTTTCACTAGGATTCAAGGAAATCCCACTGTCATGATTTTCTTCCTAAAGACCTGGCCATGTCTTCTGAGTCCCCTTTGCTGAATCATTCTCCTCACCCTAATCTCAAAATGTTCAAATCTCCTAGAGCTCAATCCTTGAACTTCTCTATCTACACTGTCCCTTAGGTGATCTCCTCCCATCCCATGGCTTCAATTCCAGCTACTCAATGATAGCATCCACATTTATATCACTAGCCCCAGCCTTTCTTTCAATTGCCTCATTGATATCTCCATTTGGATGCCAAGTAAATGCCTCAAACTTAAAATGTCCAAGACAAGATTACTGCCTTCCATCTTCTTCCTCAATCTAATCCTTCCTAGTGTTCCTCATCTCCGTAAATGGCGTCATTCAACTAGTTTTTCAATTCAAACCCCAAACTTTATTGTCATCCTTGATACCAAATACATTCTGAATTTAATCACGTTTGCCACCTCCATGAGTCCCACTCTGGTTTACATGAATCACTTAAGAATGTCTAGAGTTGGAGAAAACTTAAGCTTAAACCAAGGATCAGCAAAGTAGGGTCACCAGACCAAATCTGGCCTGCCATCTAGTTTGGTAAATAAAGTTTTATTGAAACACAGCCATTCTCATTCTTTTGTGTGTGGTCTATGGCTGCTTTTGTGCTACAACAGCAAAGTTGTCATTGTGATAGAGACTATCTGGCCCATCAAGCCTAAAATATTTGCTACCTGGGCATTTACAGAAAAATTATCCTGACCCCTGACTTTAGGGGGTCATTACTAGGCTCATGTAAGGACATCCAGAGGCATGTGATCAAAGATTGGTGCAGGGGCCAAATGATATCATGAAGGACAAAAGATCTTTCTAGTTTTCTATTCTGTCATTCTTGGCTTATTGCCTTACAGTCACAAACTGACTACTGCACCTCCAGGTATCATGTTCAAATTCCATATAAGAAGAAGGGGATAAGCTAAGGAGAAAAAGGAGGAAAAAAAAATAGTGTCAACCATATCTGTCACCCTTCTTACCAAAAAAGCAGGGATCTCCCTAAAGCTTTCTCAGCAGATTATCTGTTATATCTCACTGGCAGGAGCCACATTACATGGCCACCTAGAGCTGCAAGGGGAATCAGGAGACCAAACATCTGGCTTTTCAGCTTGTCTAGTAGATGAAGGAAAGGGAGAGGAAATGGAGAATTGGTGCTGGGTAAGCCATGGCACAGTGTGTGCATATGAACCCATTGTTATTTCTCTCCTGGACAACCTAACTGGTCTCCCTGCTTACATGCCTGCCCTTCACAGTCTATTAATCACACCAAAACCAGGCTGATGGTTCTCAGAAACAAATCACATTTTGTCACTTTTTGCTCAGAATCCTCCAGTTGCTCACATCACACTTAGAGTAAAATCCAAAGCTTTCCAGGATCTCAATTCTGATGGTTCTCCAGTCTTCTTCCTACCTCTCCCTTCCTGTTTCACTCTTATCCAGCCACACTGGCCTTTAGAGTGTTTTTTAAACACACAAACCATCCCGCCTGGGGGGCTCTGCTTGGGCATGTCTTGTCCCCACATTGTCACAAGACTTGCTCCATCACTATGTCCTGGTCTCTGATCAAATACCACCTCCTCAGAGAGGGCTTCCCTGTCATCTAAAATAGCACCCATATCACTTTTCTCTCCTTGCTTGCTTTATTTTTGTTCCTAGCACTAATAAGAACATAACATTATAATTGATGTTTATTTGCTTAGTTGCATATAGAATATAAGCAATGACAGTATTTATTTCATTACTGTATTTCCAGACCCCTAGAAGTAGGCCTTGGCACAGAGTAGGAGAAATAATTGTTAAATGAATTAGTGGATTCCCATTACTAGCAGTTTGTCCATGTTTAAAACTCATTTTTCCTGATGTTCACAAGGAAATAGTATGATCTGAAAGTCTGGAATCTTATTTTATTCCCCCTTTGTCTCTGGGTAATCCTGAGGATGTCCATCAGTCTCTCAGAGTCTCAGTTACATCATCTGAAAACCAGGGTTGGGGACAAAAGTTGCTCTCTAAGTAAGTGCTAGTCATCCTCAATTCAGCAAAAGGATCCCTATCCAAACAGCAAAAGGGGCCCTATCCAACCAGAATGTCAGCAAAAGGATCTCTATCTAATCAGAGATAGGGCAAAGAGTCTGTTCCATAAGATCCATCCAAAAGATGCCAGATACCTCCTTGTGCCCAAGAGCTTGGCTTTCCTCTGCTCTCTCTTTTGAGGCTTGTCCCTTTTACAGAGATTTAATATATGTCACAGAAACAAGGTAATGAATCCTTTCTCTTTCAAAGCACCTTTCATTCAACCATCAGTATAAACAGCCAGAGCATGATCGATTGTAAGCAATGGACATATCCTCTCCTTTCATGGTTGAGCTTTTGTTGCTGCATTGTGTCTTGGCTATTGTGCAGTCTATGTTCCATGTCCTATGTGCTATATAACCTGAATTTTTGAATCTTCTTATATATACAAAGCCATGCTGTGATTCTGGGAAAGGTTAAGGAAGAATAGGCAGCCCACTGAAATGTGGCAAGTCAACACTGTGAGACCTTTGGAGGTGATCAGGTAGGGAGAGATCTCTGGGGACTATGTCTGACTGTCACCTACCCTGAGAGGAGGAAAAGGCCAGAACATGGCATGGTCCCCTCCACTTAGGTCAGCAAGAGTGGGCAAAGCCCAAACCCTGCAGGAAGACTGAGGTTCAAACAGCCAGAAAATTGAAGAAGAAACTGACTGATGTGGGGAACTAGGGCCACTTCCTCTAGCTTCTTTTGTGTAAACCTCCTGGAAAATGATGCTGCCATGAGTTGCCAGTTAGAACTGACTCAAATCAAATGAGCAGGTGAAAAGTTTCCTAAATTTCTGTTTCATACTGTTGATGGTTAATAGATAGATTATGGGAGGTGGTTTCTCCCTCCCCCACCAGAAACTGGCCGGAAAACTTACTCCTCATCGATGTGTGAGCAGTGGTCAAAGTATTTGTCATGGTGTAATGTGTCACAGAATGACTTTTATGGCATTACAACAAATGCAGGCAGAGATCAGCAAGGCTCATGAGATTTGTTGTCACATTAGAGTTGACCTGAAAACCTTCAAAGTCATGTATTTGTGATACAATTCACCCTAGCACTTTTCAAGGCACAAATATTCACAGTATATCCTATTAAAACACACACTCAGAAAGCCACTGTTATAATTATATGCTTCATTCATTCATTTAATATTTACTTATTACTATCATCAATACTTTCTACAGTGAGTTCTAACACATCCCAGACTTTAAGATCATCTTTGAAAACATTGCTTTTTCCATAACAAGAAGTGTATTCACTTAACATACAAGTAGATTCCTTATTCTGTTATACAATTCACACATTGTCACACAAGAATAATACATTATCCTGGAGTTGAACCTGACTTTCTCTGTATCAAGGGTGATTAGTCGGCCATTTGTCTTGTTATTTCCAAGTCAAAATTAATATTTGCGTGCCGATGGAATTCCTTATCCTTGTGATATTTTTCAATATGTGACTAGCAAATAGATTCTAAACATATTCCGAGCAGGCATCTCATATTCCACTTTATGCAAAGCACTGAGATTGAATTCACAAAATTTTTCAAGTTGCAAGGAACCTTAGAGTCATGACCTCTCATTCTACAGATGATTGACAGCCAGGTAGAGTGACTCGTTCAAGGTCACCAGCCAATGAGTGGTTAGATTAGGATTCTTTCACCTTTACACCCAATTTTCTGGTGTTTTACACCACATTGCCTTTGGATTTGATGTAGAAGAAACACTTTTTCAAAGTCTGGATGGATAAAAATGTGACATTAAAAATATTACCTTAAACTTTAAGTGGAGGAACTCCAGAACCTAATGTATTTGAATTCTCATTAGGAAGAGATTTTATTCAAAACCACCCAGCAATGGTCTATTACTTTATGGGCATTCTACATTTCTCTATGTTCTATAAATTATTCCCAAAAGTTAAAATAATCAAAAACTAATCACCAGAAGTTCAAGCTACTTATTCACATAAAGTTATCAAGTATTTAAATTTCAAAAATGTAAATTAGAAAGACAATGTTCTTTTTATGTGGTTTGTAGTTTGTAAATATATGATAGACATTTCCATATCTGCAAATAATCTAATAATCTGTAAACCTTGCAGTTGAGAAGAAAGAAAATAACACCTCTTGGAAATGGCTCATGAATGTAGCCTCAAAGTCCACGGATATGCATCTGGGTGCAAGAAAAAGAGCATTAACATAGAGGAAAAGTCTCTGCCAGATACAAATTTGAGTTTTAGAAGATTTCTACCTTTTAATTTAATGTGGACATAAATGAATATTAGTAATGTGAAAGCTTTTGAAAGAAGAAGATGCTATGGTAACTTCGCTTCAAGGGGTACATCATCCCTGCAATGGGAAAATGCCCAGAATTTAGAATGTGTAAGCAGAACCCATATGAAGTCCACAGATATCTGGGTTGAGCTACAAAGCATTAGGCTTTCAAACCCCAGAGCTTCTATTACTGGACAAGTGAGAAAAACCAGCTGCACTTTTGCATTCTAGTGGTAGGCGGAGGAAGAGTAGCACTCTGAGTGTCTTTCATCACACTCACCCAGGTTATCTTCTCCATCTGATAGCTTGGCAGACAGGTTCACTGAATTGGATGCACCAAATTCGAGTAACTCAAATCTAAAGTCAATCAGCCTTGTTTTGTTAGTCTCTGAAACGAGCTTTTAAAAAGTGTCCTTTCTGTAACTCCTGAACACAAAACTGTCCTCATTCTCCTGTGTAAATTGCTTTCTATGACAACACCCCTCCTGTACACAGCTCTTTCTTTAGGCTCAGACAAGCTTCCTTTTTACTTGCACTCAAATCCAGAACTTTGTAAACAGGTTGCTCCCACCCTGCTTCATAAGGCTTTCCTCATTTTACACAACTGTCAAAAGCAACAGAGGCCAGAGTGGTGGGAGGCAGCCACGGTAGGTGTATTGATAAAAGATGCCAGCGTCCTAGTTCCAACTCTGACACCCCCTTTCAATATATAAACTTCTCGCCACACTGAAATGTTCATTATGCCATTCAGAAGTAGAGGTCTAGTGGGACAATTTGCTGTAAAGCGCCTCCGTGATTATAAAGAGAAAATCAGTCACTTATTCTGTGGGGATTGTTCATAAGACTGACAGACATGCTCAGTGTGGAGCTGGGAGTCTGCACCTGGTCAGGAAACTGCAAGATGGGACAACGGTTTCTCTGTTGCTAATAATTATGCCTTGGGTTTAATCACCAACTTCATGCCTGACAAAATGGAAGCCAAAGACTGGGGAAATGATGAAGCAATAGGTATTTAAATCATGGAACATTTTTCATTCAATTAGTATGGTGATGAGGCGCGCCGTTTGTTAGGGATTCTAGCTGATGCCGACAGTATTCAATTTAAGGTTAGTTGAAATGACGGCAGCAGAGTTGGAGAAGTGACATACAACAATGAATATGTCAGTTCCCTATAGGCTGGAGATAGACTTTTGATGGCTTGAATCATAGCTCAGAAAGCTAAAATTGAAAAAAAGAAAGTAATTTGCTGCCTGATATTCACAGTACTTTCTCTTCATTTTAGTGAAAGCAAAGAATGGGGTTAGGAAAAGACAGACAGCCTAGAGGAAGAAAACAGATGACTGTAGTCTGTAAATTCCATTTGCATATCATTAATCAATTTAGGCAGCTGGATGGTCTGGGCCTATTACTTAGAATACTATGTTAACCCAGCCCACTTTGTACTAGTCTAATTGCTCCATGGTACAGATAATACCACAGGAAGTGATAACATCACTGCTCTGGCTTTGAAGCTGTCAACTTGACTTTTTTTTTTTTCTTTGACAAATTTCACAATGATAATCACATCTCTCCCTGGGAGGTTGCTTCTTGATGTCATACTTTTAAATTTAAAATTGCTTATGAAATGATCTTCTACTTTTTCCTTCTCTCCTTTCCACCATTTGCAAAACCCTATCCATTCCGAGAATCACTAATCTTCACTAATTGCACAAACAGCATGTGAAATCTCTGCCAGGAGGTCTACTTTGATGCCCACCCTGCCATGAATATTAATGTATAGGCTTTTCCCAATGACTCAGGAAAAACTCAAGAGGCAGGGTCTATTGAGACACCATGTTTATTGCCACAAAGTGGCAATAGAAAAAAATTAATTAATTGAACAATTGGGAGTTCAGCTATTCAGTTCATTATCTCAAAGTGAAAGAGATGATAAAGATAGGATTAACTCTAGCTGGATGGGGATAAAAGGACCAACTTCAGTCACCTCTTAGTTAGCCACAAATGTGTAATCCATGCTGTGGAGTTTTCTGGGGTAAAATTTTAAATGCAAGTGTTTCTCCTTAGCTAAGGGTACGTAGATATCCTCTCCTATTATGTATCTATTGGTGTGTGCTCTGAGAATACTAAAGAGTAATTTTAGTATTAGCCCAAGTACTGGATGACTGTGTATTACATATGCCTCTGTTCTCATTCCTATGCCTGCTGGATGGGATGGACAAGGAGCTGGCTTTGAGGACGGAAGTCCTGCCATACCTAGCCATGTGATCTTGGGCAACCATATGTGGGCTTCAGTTTTCTCATGGGTAAAATTAAATAAAAAGGTGAATCACTGAAGTTTCTTCTGTTCTTATATTGCATGATTTTAACCTTTTAAGTCAACGTGTATTGAACTACTGATGGGCCAGATACTGTACCATGTGCCTCCCAGGCATTCTCTCATTTGCTCCTCCCAGCAGCCCTCAGAAGCAGATACAATTATTCATCCCATTCACAGGTGAGGACACCGAGGCCTAGAGAGAGAAAAGTCAAGCTCTGCATCTCATGCCCAGACATATGCCTGCCATGTGCCTCCCTATAACAGGTCTTAGGTGTTACTTTTTCCCTTCCTTCTTTCTTTCTCTGCCTTTTTTCTTTAGTATTAAAATTATTGTTTTTATGGAAATACTATTTGCTAATTGTTTAAAAAATCAATAAATACATAACAGCATGAATAACAAAACAAAACTAATCTACATCATCACCATCCAGGAAAAACTTACTAATATTAGGTAAGCATTATTCCAGATACCTTGCTATACACGTGTACACCCAGCTGGAGCTGGCTAGACACACAGACAAAATGGGCAATTATTTCTAGAAATAAAGTGTGTAAAATTATATTTTACTTGGTTCTAAGAATGAAAAAGAGGAAACTGAAGAAATGAGTCTCTGCAGGAGGTATTATTTTCTAAAGAAGCTCTTTAGGGTTAAGAAAATAAGTTTATCAAAAACAGTTAGTTAGAGATGGACAAGGTCTCACTCTCTCACCTAGGCTGGAGTACAGTGGCACAATCAAGACTCATTACAGCCTCAACCTCCCTGGCTCAAGTGAACTCCCCATCTCAGCCTCCTGAGTAGCTGGGACTACAGGCACATGCCACCAAGCCCAGCTAATTTTTTTTTTTTTTTGTATTTTAGTGGAGACAGGGTTTAGCCACATTGCCCAGGCTGGTCTTGAACTTCTGGGCTCAAGCAATCCAGCCACCTCGGCCTCCCAAAGTGCTGGGATTACAGGTGTGAACCACTGTGTCTGGCCTATATACTTCATATTTCAATTTCAGACACCATTAACTAATTCTATGCTATGAAAGGTGAGGAAAGTAGCCCTAATTCCCACGTTCTGACACCTTCTGATTTTCATTAGTTATATTACTTTTTTTTTACTCGATAATAATAAGATTTTTAACATTTACATTCTACGCTATACTCATAATTCTCAGGATTTGGAAGTAACTTCATAACTCCAGGATTTGTAGGTTGGGTTCTCAGTTTAAATGGATTTATTGCTCACTTGTCTTTTTATCACATAGCTTCTTCATTCCTGAATACTTTCATTCTGACTCATGTCTTAGTTGACTGGAGTCTATCAAGTGGATTTTTCAAGGAGGACTCAGAAACGCTGAATCTCTAAATTCTTCTGTGCTTGGGAATATCTGCTTGATGCTCTTATGTCTATACAAACACTTGCCAGGATTTACTATTCTTGGGTCATTTTTTTCCCTCAGAATTTTGTAGACATTGCTACATCGTCTCCAGATATTGGGACTGTGGGGAAGTCTGAGGCCAGCACCATTTTCCCCCATGGGTAATTTATTATTTTCCTTAGGCCTGATATCTAAAGAATTTTTTCCTTTATCCTTGACTGTAATAACTTAAAATACCATCACGCCTCCATGTTGAATAATTTTTATCAATTTGTCCTGGGTGAAACGTGGGGATTGTTTTATTCTGCAGATCCAGTTCTTCAAGGCAGGGTAACAGTATGCTTCCATATGATTTGGAAGATAATAGATAGGCTCCCCCCATATGAAAGTGCCCTCCTATAACCTTCTTACTAGTAAACCACTCTGTCTAAAACTATATCTTGTTCACTGTCATTTCCCTAGTGCTTGGCAGTATCTGGCACACAATGGACACGCCAAAAATATCTGGTGAAATAGAACACAGGATAAACGGAAACAAGGAGGGTTGGGGAGAGGCTAGAATGAGAAGGGCCACTGGAAGGAGGGGCGAAGATTTTACTCTGTGCATTGCTATGTCGAAACAGTAATCCTTTAAACACTACTCGATTTTAATCCACTCAGGAAAATCACGGGTGGGATGAACCACCGTTGACAAGGTGTTGTGCCTACCCCTTAATGTGGGGGGTGATGGTAAAAAAGTTTAAACCCACTGGTTGCGCTAAGAAGCACTTGAACCCTTTCATCTTGGACACTGGTCTCCCAACTGCACTCCTGCTTGAGTGTTTTCCTGATTCAATTCATCTTTCCAGCTGCCTTAACAGTAATTTTTTTTAAAGAAACAACTAGAAACAAGTATTCACAGAGACAATCTGCAGTCTTCGATTCTTGAATATTTCCCTACTGATTTTTCTTCAGGAAGAAGCAAAGAAGTCTAAGTTCTTTGGAGTAAGATGCTCTCAAATGCCTAGGAACACTGATCTCCTAACTTGTCTTCCTGCTTTGAGTGTCCCTCTGAGGTTAAAGTTCCTGCCTCAGTCTCCAACAATGGTAAGTACAAAATCAATGTTAGTTCCTGACCGCTCCCCCTCTCTGTGTATTGGTCAATCACTGTCTGATCATACTGTACTGAAATTAATTCTTGGAATGTCTGTCTTCCCCTAGACTATAAGCCTCTCTGGGCAAGATCCACGTCTTACTCATTTTTGTGTCTGCAGTTTAGTTCCTGGTTCATTGTAGGTTCTCAATAAACGTTTGTTAGAATGAGTTGATCTCTTGGATCCAGTGCCCCAGAAAGATATGTAAGTACTATTTTTATCCTTTCCCATTGTGTGTCCACCTTCTCTCCAATCCTAGATCACCAAAAGTGAAGCAGAAGTGATGAGAGTAGCAATTTGTAGTATCAAAACGACTTCTTATAGTGCACAGAAAGCCCAGCACTGTCTCGTATGGGAGACTCGTGGTTCTGCCACTGTCTTGCTGGGTGACCTGAGATAACTTCTTTTCTCTCTGGGTCTGATTCCTCACAGGTCATTTCCACTGCTGCCCACTGAGGAGTGCCACTGGAGATGATCTCACAACAAAGAGAGGGGGAGAGGTCAGGAACTAACATCTATTTTGTAGTTACCACTGTGGTATGGTTTGCAACATGGCTCTGTAACCCTCAGGATCCCTACCAGATATTTTCATCTATTCCCTTATTCTCCTCAGGTCCCTGGCCCTCCCCTTTCCTCTGTGCTCTCAGCAGCTGACCTTGTCTTTTCCTTTACTGAGAGTAGAGGCACCTCTTACAAATACTCTGGCCTCTGCCTGGACTGACTGGGCTAAATTGTCTCCGAAGATGGCCACCAACCATTCCTCCCACCTGTCTGCATGCAGGCTGCTCCTCCCGTCAGAAGATGGAGACTGCTTCCTTGCCCTTCAATCCAAGCTGGCTCATGACTTGCTTCAATGAATAGGAAATGGCAGAAGTGATGCTCTGAGGCTTCTGGGCCTAGACTTTAAGAGGTGTTGCCCCTTTCCTTTTTCCCTCTTGGGATCCAGCCTACCACATAGAGAAGTTTGGGTTGACAACTAAATGTGAGAGAGAGACAGACAGAGAGAAGAGGGAGAGCTGATTCAGCTAGACCTTAGTCATTCCAGCCATCCTAGCTGAAGCACTAGCATGTGAAAGAAGCCACCTTCTAACCTATCAATCAGAGCCCCCAATTTTACTGACCTCAGTCAACACCATGTGGAACAGAACTACCCCAGGGAGCCCAACCAACCCATACAATCATGAGAAATTAAAAACTGATGTTGTAGCCTCCTGAGTTTTAAGGTAGTTTGTTACACAAAAATACTGGAATTTTGACCCACCTTCACCTCCAATGCCAACCTAGTAAACCTGGATATATCTTTCAAAATTTGGCTCAAGTGTCAACTCTTTCATGAACCCTCTGTATCCTTTTCTTGCTCATTCAAGCCCTATTTTCTCTTCTCCTCCCCAAAATTCCATAGTACTTTGTATTACAAACTATGTGCTTACAACCCCCAAAGTCTCTGGGCATCCAGAAGGCAGAGATTTGGCTTAATTCATTTTTGCCTCTGCCTAGCCTAACACCCGGCACATTTAGATATTTAGTTATTGTTTGCTGAATGAATGGATGCATGAAGAAGAAAATTTAACAGATGATATCTACAGGCACATCTGGCTCCAAAATTGAATCATGTCATCTAGCAATGCTCAGTAAAGTTAACATAAGCAATTTCTCATACTACACCAAAGTGGAAGGATGACAGACAGCACACTACACAGAAGAGTTGAGATGTCCAGGAGATTAAATCCCTTGCTTGAACTTATTGTTTGAATCAAGACAAATTAATTAACATCCATGCATTGAGTCCAGTCTATGAAAATGTATAAGACTTAGTTGCCCCTTCCAAGAGTCACAAGCAGCCAAAATTTATTAAAGGCACTGCACTGGGCACCATTGTTTCATTTTACAGATGAGTCAAGTTAGGCCAGAAAGGCCTCAAGTCTCACATTTGAAAGAAGGTGGAGATGGGATTCCACCACAGGCCTGTCTGACATTTAAGCAGAGCACAGTTTTGCCTAGTCCAGAACAAAACACAAAAGTGGGAGAAAGCCAGAACAACCCTTCAGTCATAGAACCAGGCAGGTGATAATGAAGGCCATGTCTTTTGGCAAACCTCATTACCGAATAACAACAAAGACCTAAACACAGCCTCAGCCATGGTCTAGCACACATCATCTTCACCCAGAGCACTGCAGTGCTTTCTTAGTGTCTATGTACTCTTAGGCCTTCTTTCATTTCCATGCTACTTTCAGAATTAACTTCCTCAATACAAATATGATCCAGTTATGCCCCTACTGTAAATCCACAGAATAATGTGGCCTCCAACCACACCTGGACATTTTTTCTTGTTATCTCCAATCATTCTTAAACACAGGTGATAGAGTTTGAATATTTGTCCCCTCCAAATCTCATGTTGAAATGTGATCCCCAAGGTTGGAGGTGGGACCCGGTAGGAGATGTTTGGATCATGGGGGTGGATCCCTCATGAATAGCTTTGTGCCCTCCCCTGTAGTGAGTTCTCACTCCATTCATTCAAGAGCTGGTTTTTTAAAAGAGGGTGGCACCCCTCCTCCTCCCTCTTGCTCCTTCTCTTACTATATGACCCATCAGTTACCCTTGGCAAAAGCTTCCTGAGGCCCTTACCAAAAGCAGATGCTGCTGCCATGCTTCTTGTACAGCCTGCAGAACCATGAGCCAAACAAACGTCTTTTCTATATAAATTACTCAGCCTCAGGTGTTCCATTATAGTAACACAAATGAAAGGACACAATAAATGACTGGATGACCAACTGTCTCCAGCACAGGTGTGGGTTATTTTCAGGGCTCCATGCATTTGTACACGCTGTGGCCTCTTCCCATATTGCCCTTCTCTCCCTACAGACATTTAAACATCCTTTTAGGCTCGGTTCAAACCTCGCCTCCTCTGCAACACCTTCTTATTCTCCCAAGCAATATTGCCTGCTCTCTGCACCCCCACTTCGTCTGCTACTTACTTGTCACCTATGCATGTTTATGTATCTCTCCTCAAATCTGAAGGTCATTTTTGTATTTTTCTTAATCCGGCTTTCATCCTGAGCATCTAGCACAATTTCTGACACAGCCTAGACCTGTTATAAATTCTTTCTGAATGCAGAAGTACATTTTTTTCTTCACTCACATCCCTGGCTTGCTGGAAGAATACAGAATCTACAAATCTTCTTGCTTGTCTTCTCCTTACAGTGGAAAGTGTGGTGTGTTCAAGTTTTTAATAATAATCTTTCTCAAAAACTTTCAATTCTTTGGAAAGAGATGTTTAAAATCCCAAGGCCATTCCCTACTGCAAATGTCTAACACGCCGTTTGTGAAGCTGGAACGAATGGATTATATCCCTTTAATTTTCTGGCATAAATTCCACCATGCGGTACAGACTTCCTGTTTCCGCCATTTGTTCTCATGACAGCTCCAGTAGGAAGCAGCCTTGTGCCTTCGGGCTTGTATAAGTTTCCATCTTTGTCTGCAAGGCGATACCTGCTCAATGTAGTTCATAGCAGGGACTTAAGAAATTTGAGGGCTTTCAGAGTCTTCCATTTTTCCCTTGCTCTGAAAGGTGCATTTGGTTAATTAAATCATAAAATTCAAAGATTTGAACACGCTCAGAATTCAGTAATGAGGTACATGACATACCATGCCATTGTACAACCTGTTTCAAAAGGGATTTCTGCCTTTAAGCTTCATGGATAATTCTTGTGTCACATTACCAGCCTCAGGTAGGCACATTTAAGGATCACCAAATAAATGTTTGATGACATGAAATTAGAAATTCCTGCTACAACCTTGTGCAGCTCCACTGGCAAAGCGGCAGGACAACAGAGGATGCCTCCTAACGGGTAAACTACCCTATGGTTATGACAGTCATACAGAGTGTGCAGGGAGCAGCCAAGAGAACTTCCAAGAGTGCAGGCTCCTGGTGCCCTTCACCCCTAGCAGAGGTCGGGCACCAGGTGCAGACTGTAAATGCTCAGGCATTGTAAGAGTGGAGCCTTCTTACAACATGTTTGTTTGCTCTTCAGTATCACGAGGCCTGTGCTAAGCTCTAGAGCAAGTAAGATAGACAATCAGGATAAGTCTTCAAGTAATGAACAGATTATTAAAATTCAGAGGGTGAATTCTACTGACACCCAGGGTCTGCTTTCTATACCAAGAGAGATAAAATAATATCTTTAAATAAGTTATTATTATAATCCATTCTCTCCCAAACCAATAGGCTTATTTCTCCAGGTACTTTGTCATTAAACTATTCGCAGCATTTTCATAGTTACTAATATCATAGCTTACTCTGCTAATATTAAATTATTTGACAACATAAGCCAGAGTTTACTCTGGATTAGCTCCACAGAAAATGAGTGTAGAGGCCAGTGAGCCAACCAAATCACTGATCCTTCAATCCAAAGAAGGAAATGTCCTATTAGCTTAACAAATACATGAATTAACATACCTAGAGTATAGCATATTAGCTGTAAGCTGGTGGTTTGAAATCATTCATCTAGATGTGGGACAGTATTGTATACACAAAGCACAGGCTTTAGAGAAAGACTTGGACGTCAGCCCCAATATGTAACCTTGGGTAAGGGAAGGGGGTAATTAAAAGTTCTATGACTCAGTTCCCTCTTATGTAAATAAAGCACGTTCATAATAGCTACCTCCTTGGGTCATTGCAAGTATTCAATGAGGAAACTATGCAAACCACCTAGTCTAGGGCCTGGCATGTCATAAGCACTTGATAAATGTCTGATTATGGTCATAGAAAGAGAGGAAATATATAGAATAAGATCTGGTTTAAAAAATCAAGATAAATAGAAAGTACAAAATAAAATGGCAGAAAAATTTCCAAATCCATCATTAATCAACAAGGAAATGAGTTTCAATTGCAGCTAAGATGGAATAGCAGGGACCAGCGGGGACCAGATTTACCAACCCATCTGAAACAACCAAAAAACTTGACAAAATAAAAGAAACAATGTTTTTTAAGACACTGGATACTGGTAATGAAAGTAATCCCCAGGAGATGGGAAACAAATGAAGAGAGCCCTAAGATTACCTCAGCTTACCACCTTCAGCCAAGCAGAGCCTGATAGATTCTTTGAATTTAGGAGAACAAGTGGGAGTCAGGGGAGATAAAGGCAGCTAGAGTTTGCAGGACAGAGTACTAGAGATAAGTGAGCTGCCCAAAATGAGAATTCCAGGGATCTACACAGGGTCCTTCTTGAATATTCGGGAGAACACTGATCAGTATGTACATATAAGGAAATGACTCAAAGCTAGGGAGATAAAATTACCCTAAAGGATTACAGAGAACATTACCTATGGCTCACACTAGTCCAGGAATAGCGTCTGTTTCTACCAGCCAATTGGAAAAGCTCATAATTAACAGGGCACTGAATGTAGTATGCCGAAGGGCCAGGACCATGTCTCAGTCATGAGAAAAATCAGTCCTGAATTAAATGCTCCCTCATCTAAAAATTTTTAAAGCAAGACCAAAAAGGATCAAGCTGTTTTCAAGTAACTGAACTGCGTGCAAAAACAAAGTTCAAGAATATTTATATGAAAGCAAAAATATACCAGAATCCAACAAAGTAAAATTCACAATATCTGGCATTCAATCAAAAATGTTCAGATGTGTGAAGAGGCAGAAAAATATGATTTATAGTAAGATGAAAAAATCTATCAAAATAGACCCATAACTGGCAAAGATATTAGAATTAGCAAAAAAAATTTATTATAACTGTATTCAATATGTTCAAAGTGTTTCGTAGAGACATGGAAAATATAAGAAAACCCCAAAAAGAATTTCTAGTGATGAAAACTACAATATCTGATATTTTTAAATGTGCTGGATTAGCTTAACATTAGATTAAACATTTCAAAAGAAAGATTCATGAACTTTAAGACATAGCAACAGAAATTATTCCAAATAAAACAGAGAAAAAAGATGAGTTTTTAATTTGTTTGTTCATTTTTTAAGAAACAAGAAGAGCACCAGTGATCTAAGGGACAATTTCAAGAAGCCAAATATAAGTGCAATTAGATTCCCCAATGGAGAAGAGCAAGGAGGGGAATAAAAAATATATATTTAAAGAAATGAAAGTGGAATTTTTTCAAGTTCATAAAAACTATAAAACCTTAGATTCAAGGCTACCAACGAACCCCAAGCATAAGAAACAAAGAAAATTTCAAGGAACATCATAACAAAATTGCTCAAAACCAGAGATAAAGAGAAGTTTTACAGTTAGCCAGAGGAAAAAAGACACATTAAGAACAGAGAAACAAAAATGAAGATGATATCACATTTCTCTTCGGAAGCAATATAAATGAGAAGTTATTGTAGCAACATCTTGAAACTACTGACAGTACAAAACAAAACAAACTCCCAACATGTCTGTACTTAGCAGGAATGTCTTTTTTAAATGAAGGCAAATAAGACTTTTTCAGACATACAAAGTCTGAAAGAATTAATCTCCAGCAGCCCTGCACTACAAGAAATGTTAAAGAAAGTCCTGTAAGCAGAAAGAAAATGATACAAGATGGATCTATGCAAAGGAATAAAGAGCATTAAAAATGGTTAATACATGGGTAAGTATGTATCTTTTATTATTTAAAATTATTTAAAAGATTATTATTCAAATAAAAATAATTACAATATGTTGTGGAGTTTATGTCATGTGCAAAATAAAGTATATAGTAACTGCACAAAAACTAGAAAGCGTGGCCGGGCACAGTGGCTCACGCCTGTAATCCCAGCACTTTGGGAGTCCGAGGTGGGTGGATCACCTGAGGTCAGGAGTTCAAGACCAGCCTGACCAACATGGAGAAACCCCATCTCTACTAAAAATACAAAATTAACCAGGCATGATGGTGCACGCCTGTAATCCCAGCTACTCCGGAGGCTGAGGCGGGAGAATTGCTTGAACTCAGGAAGTGGAGGTTGCAGTGAGCCAAGATTGCGCCATTGCACTCCAGCCTGGGCAACAAGAGTGAAACTCCATCTAAAAAAAAATAAAAACACACACACACACACAGAAAAGAAAAGAGGAAAAACTAGAAAGGGTAAAACCTAATTACAGAAGTATACTATTATAGCATTCTTACACCTATATGAAGTAGTGTAATAATTTGAAGATTGACTATGATAAGCTAATGATGAACAGCATAAACCCTAAAGCGACCTAAGAGTTATAACTAATAAGCTAACAAAGCAGACAAAAAAATAATTAATAAAAGGTACTCAATCCAAAGGAAGTCATAAAGAGGATAAAGAAAACAAAGGACAAATGGGACAAATAGAAAACAAATAGCAAAGTGATAGATTTAAGTCTAACTATATCAATATCTACATTAAATATAAATTATCAAAATACTCCAAATAAAATACACAGATTGTTGAACTAGATAACAAAGCAAGACTACTATATGCTGCCTACAAGAAATGCACTTCAAATATGAAGATACAAAATAGGTTAAAGAACACAAGGTTGGGAAAATGTGCTATACTAGTCAAAAGAAATGTGAAGTGACAAAAGAAATGTGAAGTGTCTAATATTAATATATTAGACAAGGTAGACTTCAGAGCAAAGCATATTACCCGAGACTAGGTAGGTCATTTCATCATCATAAAGAGGCTAATTCATCAAAAGAACATAACAATTCTTAACATCTATGTACCTAATAATGGACCTTCAAAATGCATGGAGTAAACTGATGGAAATACAATGAGTAACAGAAAAATCCACAGTTAAAGCTAAATACATTTCAATACTTAATTGACATGTATAGCATGTTCCACCCCAAAACAACAAAACACACATTCTTTTCCATTGTACAATGCACATTATCAAGATATACTATAAAACAACTATCAATAAATTTAAAAGGATTAAATTTATATGCAGTATGTTCTCTGACCAAATAAAGTTAAATTGTAACTTAATAACAACAAATACAAATCAATTAATCTTTCCAATTAAAACATAAGTATTGTCATATTTGATACGTGTTGCATGCACACACACACACGTATGACTACATACTGTTTGCAAGTGACAAACCTAAAACATAAAGGCTCAGAAAAGTTGAAAATCAAAAAACTGAAAGTATATATGAGGTTAAAAAGAAGATCTTATGGCTGCTTACAAAAATAATAGATACTTTGACACAAACATTATTAGTGAGATAAATAAATTCACTACATAACGAAATGATTTTTAGTTCACCAAAAAGATAACACAGTTTTAAACTTCATGCAACCAAAAAGAAAATATAGAAACATAATACCATTTACATCAATACCAAAAAATAAAATACTTAGGAATAAATCTGACAAAATATATATAATTTCTGTATGAGGATAGTTTTAAAACTCTAAGATATACAAAGATGGAGAGATATTTCATATTCATAGATGGGAAGATTCAATAATTAAGATTCAGTTATTTCCAACTTAATCTAATATTCAGTGTAATTTAAGTCAAAATCCTAACAAGTTATTTTGTGAATATTGACATACTGATTCTAAAGATTATATGGAAAGGCAAAAGACCCAGAATAGTCAATACAATACTGAAGGAGAAGAACAAAGTTTCTCTGACTGGAGAACTGACACCACTAATTTCAAGACTTACCATAAAGCTACAACAATTAAAAGAGTGTGGTATTGGTGAAAGAATAGACAAATAGATCAATGGAACGGAAGTGAGAGTTCGGAAATAGAACCACACAAATACATGAAACTGATCTTTAACCAAGGAGTAAAGGCAATTCAATGGAGAAAGTCTTTTCAACAAACGGTGCCAGAATAACTGGATACTCATATGCTAAAAAAATTACTCTAGACACTGACCTTCCATTTTTCACAAAAGTTAATTCAAAACGGACCACAGACCTGAATTTAAAATGCAAAATTTAAAAACTTCTAAAAAATAACACAGAAAAAATCGGGTTTGGTGGTAAGTTTTTAGATACAATGCCAAAAGCAAAATCCATGAAAGAAAAAATTGTTAAGTTAGACTCCATTAAAATTAAAACTGCTCTGCAAAAGACACTGTTAAGAAAATGAAAAGATACACTGCAGGGTTGGAAAAAATATTTACCAAATACCTGCCTGATAAAGGACTTGTATCCGAAACATACACAGAACGCTTAAAACTCAATAAGAAAATGAACAACCCAATTTTTAAAAGGGCAAAAGATCTATACAGATACCTTATCAAAGAAGACACACACATGACAATTAGCATATGAAAAGATGCTCAAGATCATATGTCATTAGGAATTGCAAATGTAAGCGACAAGATACCATTACACACTTATTAGAACGGATAAAATTCAAAACATACTGACATGCCATATGCTGTCAAGAATGCGGAGCAACAGAAATTCTCATTATTGCTGTGGGAATATAAAATGATAGAATCACTTTGAAAGACAGTTTCTTATAATACTAAACATAGTGTTACAATATGATCCAGTAATTATACTCCTAGGTGTTTACCCAAATGAGTTGAAAGGTTATGCCCACACGAAACCTGCACACAAATATTTTGCAACTTTGTTCATAATTACCAAAACTGGAAGCAGCCAAGCTGTCTTTGTAGGTAAATGAATAAAGAAGATGTGGTACATCCATAAAATGGAATATTATTCAGTGATAAAAAGAAATGAGCATCAAGCCACAAAAAAAGACATGAAGAAATCTTAATGTGTTCTTCCTAGAAGAAGGAGCCAGTCTAAAAGGCTACATGCTCTATGATTCCAACTATATAACATTCTGTTAAAAGCAAAACAATAGATTTTGCCAAAAAAATAAAATAAAATAAAATAAAATAAAATAAAATAAAATAAAATAAAATAAAATAAAAAGCAGTTGCTAGCTAGGGATTTGGAGGAAGAAAAGATGAGTAGTGGAGCCAGGGAATTTTTAGGACAGTGAAATTATTGTGTATGATACTGTAATGGTGGATATATGACATTACACATTTGTCAAAAACCCATAGAGCATTACAAGGCAAAGAGTGAATCCTAATGTAATCTACAGACTTCAGTCAATATAAAGTATCAGTATTAGTTCATCAATTGTAACAAATGCAAAATGTTAGTAATAGGAAAAATTGTGAGCATGGGAGACAGAGGCCATATGAAAACTGTCTGTGTTATCTGCTCAACTTTCAGTAAACCTAAAACTTCTCTTAAAAATAAGGTCCATTAATTTAGAAAATACAGCTTCAACTTACAGAAATAAAAATTTCCATATTTATAAATAAAATCAATAAATCAACAAATATACTGAAGAATTCTAGCATATCTCTGACAATAATTGACAGATTATGCTGACAAAAATAAGTATATCCTATATTTGACCTACACAATTAACATTTGTGGGACATATTTCAAACATGACACTTAACAATAGGAGAATTCACACTCTTTTTAAACACTGACGCATTTATAAAAATTGACTTCACAGTAATCCATAAAGCAAGTCTCAATTTCAAAATATTGATATCATTGGGGTCATTTTAAGTTGGAAATCAATAATCAAAATATATTTTAAAAAACCCATGCACTTGGAAATTTGAAAGTGTATTTCTAAGCAAATCTTGGATCAAAGAAGAAATAAAAGTGGAAATTATAATAATGTCAAAACTTACGGGATACAACTAAAGCATCAGTTAGAAGATAAATTATGGTATTAAACATTTACATTAGAAAAGATTAAAGGCTAGAAATTAAAGAACTAAGTATCCAACTTAAACATGTTGAAAAGAGAAGAAGTACTAAAGAAGCAAGAAGAGGGAAATAAGGACAGAAGTACTCAACTGGAAAAGAAAGATAACATAGAGAATTAATAAAGTCAAAAGTTAGTACTTTCTAAAAGGCTAATTAAATTAGCAGACCCCCTGCCAATATAGATTAAGAAAAAAAATGACAGAAGCAAAAGAAGAAATGAAAGGATATTGTAGATACTTACAATTTATTAGAGAGAATTATAAACAGCTTTATGCCAATAAAATTGAAAACACATGAAATAAACAAGTTCCTAGAAAGTGTATTGCTAAATTTGACCCAAGAAGAGAAAATCTAAATAATCTGATACCTATTAAAGTAATTAAACCAATAGTTTGAAATCTTCCTACAAATATCAGGATAGTGATTATATTCAGGGGTGGGAAGTGAGAAATGGATGAAGGATAGAACATAGAGGGTTTCACAGGTAAAGGAAGACAAGAAATAACCAAAATCAGAGCTGAACTGAAGGAAATTGAGATACAAAAAAACCATACAAATGATCAACAAATCCTGAAGTTGGTTATTTGAAAGTATAAAGTAGAGAGACTGCTAGCTAGATTAATTAAAAAAGCAAGAAGATTCAAATAAACACAGTCAGAAATGACAAAGGAGACATTAGCATCAACCACACAGAAATACAAAAACAAACAAAAAACCCCTCAAAGACTACTACAAACACCTCTATGCACACAAGCCAGAAAACCTAGAAGAAATGGATAAATTCCTGGAAACATGCAACCTCCCAAGATTGAACCAGGAAGAAATTGAATCCCTAAACAGACCAACAATGAGTTCCAAAATCAAATCAGTAATAAAAAGCCTACCAACCACACAAAGCCCAGAATTAGATGAATTCACAGCTGAATTATAACAGATAAATAAAGAAGAGCTGGTACCATTTCTACTGAAGCTATTCCAAAAAACTGAGGAGGAGGAAATCCTCCCTAATTCATTCTATGGGGCCAGCATCATACTGACACACATACTTTTTAATACAGTTTGCCATCTTTTCTTTGGTATTGTTTGTATTTTCTTTCTACAAGTTTTTTTAAGCCTGTTAGATTTGGGTTAGGATTGCATTGAATCTATGGATTTACTTAGGGGTAACTGACAGCTTAACAATATTGAGTCTTGTGACCTATGAACACATTATTTCTCCTTTTAGTTGGTTCTACTTTAACTCAGTGATATCTTGTAGTTCTCCTTTTATAGATCTTTCGCATCTTTAAAAAATATATCCCTAAGTATTTGATAATTTTGATGATACTGTAAATGGTATTTTTTATTTGAATTTCAAGTTGTTTGTTGCTAGTATATAGATGTAGAATTGATTTTTGTATATTGACCTTGTATCTTGCAACTTGACTAACTTATTGGTTCTGTATCAGTTCTAGAAGTGTTTTTACAGATTCCATTGCATTTCTATATTAACAATTACACTGTCTGTGAATAACAACAGGCTTACTTGTTTCTTTCCATAATAGATGTCTTTCCTTTTTCTTTGTTGCGCTGGAAAGAACCTTCAATATAATGTTGAATAGAAGTGGTAAGAATAGACAGATATATTCGTATTAGTCTTGATCTTCAAGGGAAAGTATTCAGTCTTCCACCATTAGGTATAATGCTGCTGTATGTTGCTTGTAGATGCCCTTTATTAGGTTGAGGGAGTTCCCTCTATACCGAGTTGGCTAAAAGATTTTATAAGTAATATATGTTGGATTTTGTTAAGTGCTTTCTTTGTATCTCTTGAGATAATCATGTGTGTTTTATTTTTTATTTGGTTAATATGGCAAACCAGTTGATTTTCAAATGTTGAATGAGCATGGCATTCCTGAGATAAATCTCCCTTAATCATGATGTATATTATGCCTTTCTTAGGTTGTTGGATTCACTTTGTTAAATTTGCTTATCATTTTCACTCCTATGTTTACTACATTACATTATTGTAATTTGTCTGTATTTGCTGTCAGCATAAAGCCAGACCTCCACAATTATTTTGGAAGTATATCTTATTCTTTCATTTTCTGGAAGAATTCATATAGAATTATTTTTTTTTCTCCCTTAAATATGTAGCAGAATTCACCAGTAAAGCCATCTGGGCCTGGAGTTTTCTTTGTGAGAATATTTTTAACTACAAATTCAATTGTAATGGACACAAGCTAATGAGTTTATCTATTTTTTCTTAAGAAGTCTCTAGTAATATGAGTCTTTCAGGATATTTATCCATTTCATCTAAATTATTAAATTTGCTAGCATAAAATTGTTCATAATGTTCCCATATTATCCTTTTAGTATCTATAGAATCTGGAGTCATGTCACCTCTTTTATGCCCTATATTAGTAATTTGTGTCTTCTCTGTTCTTCCTGATTAGCAGAGCTAGAGGTTTATTAATTTTATTAATCTTGTTCATTTTGGGTTTCTTAGATTTTCTGTTTTCTATCTTATTGGTTTCTTCCTTACTCTTATTTTCTTTTTCTTACTTACTCTAGGCTGAATTTTCTCTTCTTTTCTAATTTCTTAAGGTTGCAGTTGAAGTCATTGATTTTAAGATCTTTCTTCTTTTCTAATAAAGATGTTTAGTGCTAGAAATTTTCTTTCTGCTATGGCTTCAGTGTTATCCCACAACTTTTATGTATGTTTTTTCACTTTTATTCAGCTTAAAATAGTTTCTAATTTTCTTTTAGATTTTTTTTTAAATCTACAGGTTATCTAGAAGCATGCTACTTAGTTTCTAAATATTTGCAAATTTTATCTTTTTTTCTATTATTGATTTCTGATTTAATTCCATTGTGGTTCAGAAAACATACTTTCTGTGATTTAAATCCTTTTAAATGTATTGAGACTTGTTTTTAATAAACTTGTAGATGCTTTATTATATGATTGAGAGGAATGTTAACTTGATGTTTTAAATATTTATTGGGGAAGCTTTTTAATTGTGTTGTTAAAATCTTCTATATTTTTACTAAATATTTTTTGTCTGATGGCTTTATTTCTTTTCTTTTCTTTCTTTTTTTTTTTTTTTTTTGAGACAGGGTGTTGCTCTGTCACCCAGGCTGGAGTGCAGTAGCACTATCTTTACTCACTGCAACCTCTGCCTCCCAGGCTCAATTGCTCAATTGATTCTCCCACCTCATCCCCTCGTGTAGCTGGGACTACAGGCATGTACACCCAGGTAATTTTTTTTTTTTTTTTTTTTGCAGGGACAGGGTCTCACCACGTTTACCATGTTGCCCAGGCTGGTTTCGAACTCATGGGCTCAAGCAATTCACATGCCTTGGCCTCCCAAAGTGCTGGGATTATAGGCATGAGCCACTGCGCCCAGTCTGATGGCTTTATTTTTGATACAGGTATATTAAGTTATCCACTATGATTGTGAATTTGTCTGTATCTTTTTATAATTGTTAGTTTTTCTTTATATGTATTAAAGCCATGTTGTTAATGCATACAAATTCACAATTGTTATATCTTCTAGGAAAAACTCCTCTCATAATGCAGTGTGCTTCTTTATCACTAGTGATGATTTTGCTTTTAATTCTACTTTATATGATATTAATATTGCTGCACCAAATTCTCTATTTGTTAGTAGTTGCCTGTTATATCTTTTTCAGTTGCTCCAGGTATTTTTGCTTTCGGTATGTCTTTGATAAACAGCATTTGTTTGTTTGTTTTAACCAAATATGATCATCTTCTTTAGATAGCCTGAGGTTGACCCATATACAATTATTATGATAATTGATATAGCTGGGTTAATTTATACACTTTTGTGCTGTGTTTTCATTGTATAATCTTCCCGTCACCACCTCCCCCAACTTTGTTTTTGCTTCTTTTTTTCTCCCTTATATTCTTTCTCTAGGATTGATGAAATTATCTTTATTCTTTTTATTTCTCTTCTAATGGTTTGGAAGCTATAGATTGCGTTTCTATCATCTTGGTGATTACTTTCAACATACATATAAAATGTTATATTTCCTGACAAAGTCTAAAGAAATTTAATATCCTCATCTTTTTAAACAAAGTGATGATCTTAGTTGACATTGGCCCATTGAATTCCACCTCTTCTATCCTCCTTGTATTTACTGTCTACATTTTATTCCCAACTCTTTTAAGCAAACAAAAATGTTAATCTTGAATTGTCAGTAATTAATTTAACAACATCTTTTTATCTATTACTTTGTTCATTAATGCTTCTTACATCCCATATCATTCCAGGTTTTCTTTTTTTTGAAAGAACTACTAAAGAACGTTCTGAGTTCTTTAGTAGTGCTTTCAATAGAAGTTTGTGGGTGGGTTGAATTTTGGAGGTGGGAGGAACAATATTGAGTCTCTCAATCCAACTGTTATTTCACTTAACATCTTCTTAATATTTTTCCCTCTTTATTTCTTTGTGCTTCTTTCTTGGTAAATTCTTCAATACTATTTTCAAATTCAGTAATTCTCTTTGATTTTTCCAGTCAGATTTTATCCCATTTATTGAGTTTTCGTCTCGATTATTACACACATTTTTTAGTTTCACGTTTTTTTTTAGTAGAGACGGGGTTTCACCGTGTTAACCAGGATGGTCTCGATGTCCTGACCTCGTGATCTGCCTGCCTTGGCCTCCCAAAGTGCTGGGATTACAGGCATGAGCCACCGTGCCCGGCCTAGTTTCAGGTTTTAAAATTGGTTCTTTATATCCATTTATCTTTGATTTCTACCCACTTTTAAATTTCACAAAACATTTTATGGTTATTATTTTTTCTTTTATTTCTGAATAAGTTACACATACTTATTTTAAATTCATTTTGAGAATGTTTAATTTTTATTTTTTCAAGAATTAATTCTCCACACTTTATTGACTTGCTTTCTTAAAGTGGTTTTTCTTTATGTGCTTTATTATTTCCCCTCTCTCATCATGCACTCTTTTCTCGTGGTTTTGCAGCACCTCCACCCAACTCTTGGCACTCCGATGATAGAACAGGCCTTATGTCAACAGCCAAGGGCTTCCATTCTTGGGGCAATTTCACACATTTAGCTATTGAATCAGCAGGTGCCCTGACATAGGTTCTGTCTCCACGGCCTTCTCTGCTCCTTCTGGCCACACTGGCTACACAGCTACTTAGCTTTTCTTGCATTAACTCTTTTAAACAAACAAACAAAAAGCTTTCTTTTAATTGCCAGTATTAAATTAGATATATACAAGCTATAGCCCAGTCATGTCTTCTTCTCAGTTTCTTTTCATGGTAAGAAACCCCACCTCTTTGCTGCTGTCACTCTTACTATCCAGTAGGGCTCAATGTGCTGTAGGTCCTTTCTACCCCACAGAAATCCAAGTTCTGGCCAACTCTGAGCATTTCTAGATTCAAAATCCAGTGGGTTGGTGGCCTCAGCCTGCACTTATGGCTAGAAGCTTCTATTTTGACCTTTGTCTACATAGATGTTTGTTTTTGAGCATGGCTATCTTTGGAGTATGTGCATGTGTGTGTGCGCATGCATGTGCGCTGTATTTGGAGCAATTTAAAACTTGAACTCATATTACCATCTTGAAAAGAAGCAAAGAGCAGAGTCTCTCAATTAAAGTGGCTTCATTCTGTTTTGACATTTATAAAAGTCTTAGGTATCTCGTTTTTGTACATAAATCCTTTTATACTATTTGCAATTTCAAAATACTATAAATGAAATTATGACTGCCTTGACAGGGAGGTTAAATTCTTTCCACAGACTTTTAAAAAATTGCACATGCTACCCCCACCCCTACTCTTCCCAATTCCTAGGTATCCTACTTTCCCAGGTTCAAAACCACTGTCCTAAGAGGAAATGTGCTGCTCTAATCAGATCAGCTTGAGAAAACTCACTCAGAGAGTAGGAGAGCTAACAATCAGGGAACCTGTGTGACTAGAGGAAGACAGGGATGCCTGGAGAAAACAACCTGACCTGCCCGCACAGAGGGACCCTTGTTCCAGAAACCAGGAGAGGCAGCTGATGGGCCCACACAGTCAGCACTTACTCTGGTCAATTTGTTCTCAAATTCTAACCATGGGAATAAACACTACTTTCGGTGAAAACATTCCTTGTATTTCACAAACAACTTCCTGACAACATTTACAGAAATCAAAATAAAAGAACATCAAAACTCATTTATTTACCCAGTAGGTAAATAGATGAAGAATAAGAACAGGTGGTTCTCATAAGAGGAAATAAAAAGTGATCTAACATACACACCTGTTATCCTTTATTGTAATCAAATAAATAAAAATTAATGAAACATTTTATATCTAGGAAGAATTTTTTAAAATAATACTCAAGTATAAGGTTGCTATTAAACTAGTATATTCATACTTACTGCTACATTGGAAATTGGCACAACTGTTTGGAAAAATAACATAGCAATATGTATTGGGAGCTATAAAAATGGTTTTTATCTTTTAGCCAGTAATCCAAACTCCTAGGAATTTATCTTAAGAAAACATCAAAAGGAAAAAGTGTTCACACAGCATTATTTACAAAAGTGTAACTAAATGTTGAAGTGGACAAACAGGCAGTAAGTTTCCCCCAACAGTTTTAACAGCTTTATTAAAGCATAATTGATGGGCAATAAGGTACACATAAAGTGTTTAATTTGTTAAGTTTTGACCTATGTGTACATCCAAGAAACCGTCACCACAATCAAATGAACATAATCATCCTCCAACATTTTTAATTGAGCAGAAAACAGTTAGGGCCAGATACTTGCTAAATGAGGCTACCCCAGCCATCACCCACACCCACTCCCAGGCACCAGCAGACCACCCAGGGACAGGAATTGGAATCATTGGGAGTACAGTGTTCCTGCTGAGGAGGTTTGCCCTCCCCTCTTTCTTATGGTGTTCAAGAAACTGGGACTCCAAAAAATAGAGACTAAAGGTGACTTTTAGGCAAGAGGAGCCCAGCAGCCACCAGCTGACTGGGTAGGTACCAGGCTTCAGTCTCTGCAGGCCCACTTTGAAGATGGCTACCTGGCTGAAGATTTCTGAGGGTGGGAATTTGCCAGGGCAGCTCACACCAGCAGCAAGAAGGGATCATGGTGTAGCTGTTCTTGAGTAAAAGATGGCACTCCACCCTCCAGTCCCCTGTGGCCCTTGCAGGGTATGGAGGAGAAACCAGTAGCTTTCCTGGCTCACATGAGGGAGCTGAGGAGTAAAGAGGGAGGCAGAAACTACGGTGCCCTGGCCAAGGGAAGTAATGTCCTACCGAGATAGGGGGTTGAGGGTGTGCGTCAACGGCATGGCTTAAAAGGGATGCCGCTGTTACTTTCTGAGAGGGTCCTCAGTGACAAAGGGACCAGAAACACATGCCCAGAAAATCACATGAGACAAAGACAATGTCAGCAGAACACACCAACAGCCAACCAGAGTGACCAGTAGAAAGCTCAGGGCCACTGCCCACCACTGACGGGTGACAGTAGGTAGCTCAACCTTCCCCATTCCTTTATTTCTTTATTTTTTTATTTTAAGACACAGAGTCTTGCCCAGGCTGGAGCACAGTGGTGTGATCATAGTCCACTGCAGCCTCAAACTCCTGGGCTCAAGTGATCCTTCCACCTCGGCCTTCTAAGTGGCTGGGACTACAGGTGTGTGCCACCATATCTGGCTAATTTTTATTTTTTTATTTTTTAGAGATAGGGGTCTCACTATGTTGCCCAGGCTGGTCTATAATCTCTGCTCTCAAGCAGTCCTTCTGCCTTGGCTTCCTAAAGCATTGGGATTACAGGCATGAACCACCGAACCCGACAGCTTCCCTTTTTACTCCAATTTCTCCTCCTCCCCACCCAACCCTCTGGTGATAGAGGAGTAAAAGCCAAAACATATTCCCTCCCAACTACAGGTTTCAAAGACCATGATACAGCCAGAGAGAGAAGGGAAAAGAGAAAATGAGATTAGATTTTAAACTGGACCAGATAGAACTTTTAATAATGAGATATGACTTTAAAGCTATGGGATCAGCCCAAGATGTCACTGAAGGACAGGCAAGGGAGGTGGTAGTTGGAAGAAAATAGATTGCTTATGCCTGTACTTCACTGAGTTTAGGAAATTCACTATACCAGAGATAATCACAAAATTAAAAGGAAAGTGTAGCATATCAACTCAATCCATTACACAACATGTAAAAATATAATTATTAAGCACTATGCAGAAAAATGGAGTGTGTTTACACACTATCATCCTAAATAATAACGATTACTTCAAAACAGATAAAAATGCATAACAATGCACAACTATTAAAACAGGTATGTATGGACAAAATCTTAGAGTAAGAAAAATAAAAGTCATTTTGTTAATGTGGTATGATTATTGTTTTTAAATTACTTTTAAGTTTTCACATTTCTTTTATAATATAGAAAAGTGGAAAAATCTAAAACCCTCCTGTCTTACTATTAAGAAAAGTATTTGTATTTCCCATGTTCTTTTCTTTTTTTGTTTGTTTTGATCCAGTACTATTTATGGAAACATCGCCCTTTCCCCACTGCACTGTAAACTTTATCATAAATTAAGTGACTGTGTAAGTGCTGGGTTTGTTTCTGGACTTGCCAACAGATTCCACTGGACAATTTCTCATTTCTTGTGAGAATAGCAAGCTGTTTTAAATTATTATATCCGGCCGGGCACGGTGGCTCACGCCTGTAATCCCAGCACTTTGGGAGGCCAAGGCGGGTGGATCACGAGTTCAGGAGATCGAGACCATCCTGGCTAACACAGTGAAACCCCGTCTCTATTAAAAAATCCAAAAAAAATTATTATATCCTTATAATAATTCTTGACATTAGGGGCTTAAGCTTTATTGTGATTATTTCTTTTCTTCCTCTTCTTTCTCCTCCTTTTCCTTCTTCTTCAGCTCCCAAATCTGTTTTGTTATTTAGATTTGATATCATTTCTAGAATCAGCTTGTGAATTGCAACAAACAACTACTATTATTTTGTTTGGAGTTCCATGAATCTATACATCAATTTGGAGAGAATTGACATCTTTCCAATACCAAGTCTTCTAATATATGATTTCCCTTGTTCTTTTCTCTTTGATGCCCTGACAAATAATTTTGAGCACTTATCTGCCAAGTTGAGGCTGTGCCAGATGTTGTGGACACAGCCCAGAGCAGAGCTGGTGGCCTCACTGCCCTAACATGTACAAACCTGCAGGGATGCAAGGTGCCCAGACTGTGCAAAGCAATGGCAGCTGCATGGAGTCCAGAGAGAGCACCTGGAGGCCTGGAAGGCTTCCAAAAGAAAGTGGTAAGCAAGGGGAGACAGAAAGGTTGCCTAGAGGGTGGTCCGGGGAGGAGATTGAGGGTAAGAATGCTCCAGGCAGGGGCAGAGCTTATAAGAGAAGTTTGCAAGGGCTGGAGCACGTAGTAGGAATTGAAGCTGCAGGCTGGGGGAGCAGGGATGCAGAGACAGAAGCTGGGTCAGGCCTTACAAATCTTGGTGTGAGAAACACTGATTTTAAGATAAAAGCATTTTAAGATAAAATATAGATTTTTAAGATAAAAGCTAAATATAGATTTTAAGCTAAAATTGTAAGCTAAATCTTATTTTTAAGATAATATATAAAAGCATATATATACACATATATAATGCACACACATGCATAACATTCATAATGCTTTTGTAGCTGAATTTCTTAATTTCTGTAAACTAGGACACATGTTTGAATTTGGAATTTTCCAGTCTTCTATAATATTTCCAATTCTACATGCTTATGTTCTTAGAGTTTGCACTCCTCTGAGATACAAGACAAGTATTTGGAAGATGCAGGATTTTACTGAAGTTCTCATGGAAGGCTTTGGGCCCACTGATCCCATCCATGGGCATTTTGTCCCCTCCACAATCCAGCTGAGGGCTGGACTTCCCTGGGACCATTCTCAGGGGTCACAGGCATAACCTGTCCATGCATTAAAGGTTGGCGCAGAAACTTGGGGCACCTCCAGCCATTAATTCAGATTCATCTGTTTCAACGTATTCCCATCCACCCACAGACTACTGGGGGCCACCCAGAGGCCTGAGTTTCCACCAGTTTCTCACATGAGAGAAAGCTGAAGGAAAAGGTATGAAGGCGGATTTCACTGTTGACAGGTTGTCTTTCAAGTGTGGGTCCTGGCGTTTATGAGGCAATGATGAGACACCTAGAAAGAAGCACATCTCTGAGACATGACAGTTCAGTCCCAAAGGCCATTAATAGAGGGCCAGCTCATCAACACAGCTGCAGAAACAGAGCACAGCCAGCCTCGCAGCCCCACACGCTGAAGCCCCCGCTGCAGCATTCCATCTACTCTAGCGCCCATGCAAATTGAAAACCTAAAATAGTTCACTCCCCATAGCCACTGGCTTTGAAGAATCTCTTTTGTCTCCATGAAATAGCTCCAGGAGACAGAACCCAGAGAAAAACTTTTTGAAGTGAACTTTTTCCTTATAATTTTATTTAAATTTGAATATTTTTGTAGAAATAATAAAGTTATCCACTAATTATCTGTGTGACACAAAACAATCTCATTTTAATTATGGCTAGTTGTTATGTACTTTAAATACAATTAGAAAGTTACTGAGTTTAGACTGAGGGTTTTCTGACACAATCACATCTCTGTCTTTTTAAAATTTATTTTTATTTTTATTTATTTTATTTTTTTAAGGGACAGGGTCTTGCCCTGTCTCCCAGGCTGGAGTATGGTAGCTTGATCGTAGCTCACTATAGTCTCAAACTCCTGCACTTAAGCAATCCTCCCAAATAGCTGGGACTACAGGCACATGCCCCTACGCCTGGCTATTTTTTAAATTTTTTGTAGAGATGGAGTCTCATTATGTTGCCCACGCCAACCTTGAACTCCTGGCCTCAAACAATCCTCTTTTCTCAACCTCCCAAAGTGCCGGGATTATAGGCATGAGCCACCATGCCCGGCCTGTGTCTTGCTTTTTTTAATTTATAAAAGTAACACTTGTTCATTGCAAGTTATTTATGTATTATGCACATATGTATATATACACACATGCACATATATAAGTATATATGTATATACATCCATATATATGCACACATAAATATATACATCTATGTGTATACATACATATATATAATCTGAGGAATCAACTAAGCACCAGAAATACTCAGCTTTACTCCCTGCTGGGCCTGCCTGGAAGCCAGCTATTCCCACTGTTGGGAGCAGAGCCAGGCATCAGCATCAGCTCATGAAGCTCCCAATCAAGGTGAGAACTCTCCTGCACCCGTGCCCTTCAGCACTTCTGCTACTTCTGCCTAGTGGGCTCAGAAACATCAGATTGCCCCAAGTGCAAGTGCTGGAAAGACAGCAGCTCGGGATGTCCTACTGGCCCTAGTTTGCCTGTGATTTTCCAGATTTAGAAAGTCTTGCATCCTGGGCCTCCCAATAGAGAGCAGAGAGACCACACCCCACTTTCCCTTCACAGCACCAGATCTGAGTTCCAGGAGGTGCGAACATTTAAGCCTAAATCAGGTGGGAAGTTTGCCCAACACAAAGGATTGATGTTCTATTTTTGTACTGAATGAAAACTGTTTGCAACTTAACATAATTGTTACCAGTTACCTAAAATGAGCAAAGAAACCAGAGTCCTGATATCATTTTTATACAGAGGCAGTGATGGTGGGGACAAAAAATTGTATTTTAATTGTATATATCTATACCTACACACACATATAATTTTATAACAGAATTTTAAAAAATCTTTTAGAAACACAGTTTCATTCTGTTGCCTAGGCTGGACTGCAGTGGTGCTATCATAGTTCACCACAACCTCGAACTCCTGGGCTTAAGTGATCCTACCATCTCAGCCTTCCGGGTAGCTAGGACTATATGTGTGTGCCACCATGGCTGGATAATTTTTCTTTTTTTGTAGAGACGGGCTCTCGTTATGTTGCCAGGCTGGTCTTGAACTCCTGGCCTCTAGCAATCCTCTTGCCTTGGCCTCCTGAAGTGCTGAGATTGCAGGCATGGGCCACCATGCCCGGCCAACAGTATATTTTAAACAGTACTGTCTGACGCTTGCTTTACTTACAGCACATCTATTTCTAAATCTAGATATCCTGTACATTTAAAAAATTATGACGTACTCATATAATTTGATATCCTCCACTTTAAGATAAACCCACATGTAAGAATGTGCAGAGATCCTATACAAGTTTGTGTCAATGAGTACACATTTAGTGGAATATTCCACTAAATTCTAAGGTCCAACAGCATCAGCATCACCTGGTAATTTGTTAAAAGTGCAGGACCTGAGGCCCACCCAGACCTACTGAACTGGAATCTTCATTTTAACAAGATCCCCAAGTGACCGATTTGCACAGTAAGGTATGAAAAGCCCAGATCTGCAACATCGTTTTTAATTGTTGACAATTACACCACTGTATGATTGGGCCATGAGGCTAGAGTTTAGTCATTTGATTCTAACTAGTGTTAGGAGAATTTATCCATCTAGATGGCCAGGAGCCATTTACTAGGAAACCTTGTTACAGTCAATCTCATTGGCCTTGGGTGATAGAGACAATTCCTGCTGGGCTGAGGTTGTAGGAAAACTGAAGTCTGGGTGTAAGGCTATACTGGAGAGGCATCTCACAAATAACTGTTCTCAGAATGGTTTTAAAAAAAATGTTTACTATGTTGTGATAACAGATACTTCCAAACAAAAGGAACAGGAAGTTGTTGTCTTGTCTGTCTGCCGTTCAAGAGGACTGAATACGTTCCATTAAATTCGCCTGCAAACTTTTCCTGAAGAGCCCAGCAAGCAGCGATGAAAATTACAGAGTGGCTCCCAGGCACTTTAGTGGGTAATCAGCTGAAATTGAGCTGTTTTCCATATTCTTTGCTGATAATGCAAAAGGAACCTTTAAAACAAACAGCTCCAAGTCACCACACATCCTACAAGCTGAAAGGGCCCATGTGGTCCACACAGATGCTCCAGCCACACACCAAGCCCTGCTGCAGAGTAATTGGTTCCCACAGCTATCAGAGGTGAGAGCCAGCCGACTGCCTGTGCCTTCACAAATGGCCAGGCTGAGCTAGACGGTTTATGGGTCCAGGGCCAATCATCGGGATAAATTAGCTGTCAGGAAGTAAAAGCAGCTCTAGGGAAATGGCTAGGTCTGTCTAAAATCTCTGATTTTCTTCACACTAGGCGCAGTTTATCCTTGAATGGTGCTTGCTCATGCTGTCCAGGAGACAAGGACTCTGGGTTAAAGTATAGGATTCAGGACTCTAGGTCTAAATAGACCCAGGTGTTAAATGCCCAAGATTATCGACCAAAGTAGAAAAAAGATGTAGGGATTAGAGATTCAGGAAAAGCTATTTCCTCTAAGATTTTCATGGTTCTGAATGGAGCATCTGGGGAGAAAATTCATTTGGGGGTTGGGTTGCTAAGAGGCCAAGAGAAGGGAAAATGGAAAGGACGCTAGCGTGACACATGGTGGGACATGCAGGGAGGGGCAATGGACCCAGGCTTGATTCAGATGCCAACTTGCCATGCCCTGGCTATGTGTAAGCCAAAAATGTATCTGAGACAGGCCTCAATCAATTTATTTTGCAAGGTTAAGGATCATGACCCACGGCCTTAGGAGGGCCTGAGAACATGTGCCCAAAGTGGCTGGGTTACAGCTTGGTTTTGTATTTTTAGGGAGATATAAGACATCAATCAATATGTGCGAGGTATACATTGGATTGGTCTGGAAAAGTGGGACAACTTGAAGCACGGGCTTACAGGTCATAGGTGAATTCAAAGGTTTTCTGATTGGCAAGTGGCTGAAAAGAGTTAAGTTACTATCTAAAAGCCTGGAATCAATAGAAAGGAGTGTCTGGGTTAAGATAAGGGGTTGTGGAGATCAAAGTTCTTATTATGTAGATAAGTCTCACAGAAGGCTGCCCTTAGAAGCAATAGATGGCAAATGTTTCCTATTCAGACCTTTCAAAGGTCCTAGACTCAGCCAGGCGCAGTGGCTCACGCCTGTAATCCCTGCACTTTGGGAGACCGAGGTGGGCGGATCACCTGAGGTCGGGCGTTCGAGACCAGCCTGACCAACATAGAGAAACCCCTTCTCTACTAAAAATACAAAATTAGCCGGGTGTGGTGGCGCATGCCTGTAATCCCAACTAGGCAGAGGTTGCAGTGAGCCAAGATCGCGCCATTGCACTCCAGCCTGGGCAACAAGAGCGAAACTCTGTCTCAAAAAAAAAAAAAATATGCTAGACTCTCAGCTAATCTCTTCAGGATCAGAAAAGGACCTTGAAAGAATGTAAATTCCCACACCCCCTTCCCACAAGAGACAGCTTTGCAGGGCCATTTCAAAATATGTCAGTAAGATATATTTTGGGGTAAAATATTTCCATTTCCTTCAGGGCCTGCTATCTGTCATCTGATGTTATACCTGACTCAGGTTGAAATTGTTACTGTATTGCTACAAAGAGTCTGTTTTGTCAGTTTTAAGATCTCTGTTTGAATGTTAATGCTGGTTTGTTGCATCTAAACTCCAAAAGGGAGCGAGTAGAATGAAGCACGTCTGACCCCTACTTTCCATATAGCCTGGACTAGTTTTTTAGGTTTCTTTGGAATCCCGTTGTCTGAGAAGGGGGCCCATTCAATTACTTAGGGGGCTAGGAATTTTCTTTGTGGTTGACGTTCATAACCTTAATGGCGGCTTAAACTCTCTGACCCTTACTTTCTATGAAATAATGTAAAATCTCACAGGTAAGATACTGTAGATGAAGTCACCTAGGACATAGTAGTTATTTGATAAATTTTCTTTTCCTTCTTTCATCCCCTGAAAATGAACCAAACCTCACACCCTTTCCTCTCTTTACTCACAACCCAAACATAAGAAATGAATGTGAAGGTTCATAAAGAGCACATATCACTTTTAGAAAAGATAAACTCAATATTTTTAGTACCACTTATAAACAATAAATTTTTATTCAAAATATTTACTTGCTATATAAACAGCTACCAGTTTAATTTCAATGGGAAAACCTATTCTTAGCATATGTTTGATGAGCAAAATGTGGACAGAAAAAAAAAGTCCTACTGACTAAGTCCTGGAGAAGATGAACACTCTTGTATACGTTCAACAATGGGTGTGTAAGTTAATTGTAGAGAGCTCTTTTTTAGGGAGCATTGTAAATTACCTTGGATCTGAAAATTTCACTTCTGGAAACGTAAATCGTAATCATAAATATCCACAAGGATGTAGTTTCCATATTATACATTATATAAGCAATATGAAAATGCTTATAAAAACTATTATGTTTATATAATTATACAATACATGAATATATGTCATTGTAAAAAAATTTACGTAACATGGAAATATTACATAAAATATGAAAGTTGCTTTTTACTCTCATTTTCCTCACCCCACTTTCTCTAAAAGTAACCTCTAATAAAGTCTGTTTATACTTACGGATATTTTACTAAGCATTTAAGACATATATGTATGTATGTGTTACATTCTCTGTAATCCCAATGCCATTTATTATGTAGTTTACCTTCTGCTCATGGATTTGAAGTGCCATTCAAAAAACAAACAATTGTTAATTGATACAATGTATGTTATGCAGAATGAGGAACCTCTCCAATGTCAATATGAAAGCTTACTAGGATATATTATTATTATTATTATTATTATTATTATTATTGAGACAGAGTCTTGCTCTGTTGCCCAGGCTGGAGTGCAGTGGCATGATCTAGGCTCACTGCAAGCTCCGCCTCCTGGGTTCACGCCATTCTCCTGCCTCAGCCTCCCGAGTAGATGGGACTAGAGGCACCCGCCACCACGCCAAGGTAATTTTTTGTATTTTTAGTAGAGACAGGGTTTCACCATGTTAGCCAGGATGGTCTTGATCTCCTGACCTCGTGATCTGCCTGCCTCGACCTCCCAAAGTGCTGGGATTACAGGCGTGAGCCACCGTGCCCGGCAAGGATATATTATTAAGTGGAAAAAAGAGTAAGGTATGGAAAGACTGCATATACTATTCATGTAAGAAAGGGAGAAAATATGTATTTGTTTTTGCTTATATTTGCATAAAGAAATAAATAATAAACAAAATCATAACATAAGTGATTATCTGAAGGAGATATGAAGTGACAGAATGGAGTGGATGGGACAGAAATGGGAATAATACTTCCTTGTGGCAGGCAGAAAAATTACTCCAGGCCCTGGTATGACTATTTCCTTATACCCAGAACCTGTGAATGTTTGTTAGGCAGTGTGACAAAGATGGATTTTTTTAACTTTTGTTTTAGGTTAGGGGGTACATGTGAAGGTTTGTTACACAGGTAAACTCCTGTCATGAGGGTTTGTTATACAGATTATTTCATCATGCAGGTACTAAGCCCAGTACCCAATAGTTATCTTTTCTGTTCCTCCCTATCCTCTCACCCTCTGCCCTCAAGTAGACCAATGTCTGCTGTTTCCTTCTTTGTGTTCATAAGTTCTCATCACTTAGCTCCCACTTATAAATGAGCACATGCGGTATTTGGTTTTATGTTCCTGCATTAGTTTGCTAAGGATAATGGCCTCCAGCTCTATCCATGTTCCCACAAAAGACATGATCTTATTCTTTTATATGGCTGCATGGTATTCCATGGTGTATACGTACCACATGTTCTTTATCCAAAGTGTCAATGATGGACATTTAGGTTAATTCCATGTCTTTGCTATCGTGAATAGGGCTGCAGTGAACATTTGCGTGCATGTGTCTTTATGGTAAAATGATTTACATTCCTCTGGGTATATACCCAGTAATGGGATTGCTGAGTCAAATGGTAGTTCTGCTTTTTGGCAGTTTCCTCTTTGAGGAATCTGCAGATGTAATTAAGGTTTCTAACCAAATGACCATAAGATGGGGAAAGTATGCTGGATTATCCAGGTGGACCCAATGTAAGCATAGTGGCCTTGAGATAGAAGAGGGAGAGAGACAAAAGGCGAGGGTCAGAGGAAGAGCTGACTATGGAAGAAAAGCAAGCTCTGAAAGCTGCAAGGTTGCTGGCTTTGAAGATGGAGGAGGGGCCAAGAGCTAAGGAATACAGGCAGCCTCCAGCAGCTGAAGGGGGCAAGAAAACAGACTCTCCTTTAGAGACTCCAAAAAGATATGCACCCTGCTGAGTAATCAATTTCAGTCTTTTGAGATCAAGGTTGACCCTCTAACCTACAGAACTATAAAATAATAAATTTGGGTTATTTAAACCTCCAAGTTTGTGGTAAGTTGTTACAGAGACTGAATATATTCTTTCAGCTTTTATATTGTTTCATTTTTTGAACCATGTCAATATAAAGCCATTATATTAAATCAAATTCTCAGTTTCCAGAAAAATTAAATGCCACCTTTATCATATACTAAATGGACAGTCTGTACATAAGTCTGTTTCCACAGGTCTGTTTATGGATTTTTAAAATTCTATTCCATTGATCCATTTCCCTAACTTCTGACCAATATAACATTGTTTTAATTATTATTATCTATGCATTTATTTTTATATCAGGCATGGAAAATCTCATTATCTTTTTAAAAAATTTTCATCCTTGTTCATATTATTTTCTGAATGAACTTTAGCATTATTTTGCTGAGACTCATTAAAAAATCATATTGGGCTATATTTAATTTAGCAATTAATTCAAGGAGAATTAACTTCATTACAGTATTGAGTCTTTACAGTAAAAAACATAGAATATCTCCTTGTTTGCTGAGTTTTTCTTTATGGCCTTAAGTAAAGTTTTAAGATTGGTTGAAATGCATGCATATCAATCTTTCACTTTGCTGGTTAGGCTTATTCCTAGTATCGATGTAATTGTGGGCTCTTTTTCCCTATCAATTTCTAATAGGAATATAGGAAAGCTATTCATTTTGAAAAATGTTGATCTTCTACCTGTTCAACTTTCTCATATCACTTAAAATTTTGGGTTTTTTTTTCAGTTGATTCTCCTAAAACTTAGTATTGCAATTAATAAGTTGCTTTTAATTTTCCAATATTGCCATTTCTTATCTCTTTTCTTGTTTTACTACATTATCTATGGCTTTTAGTACAATGTTGAACAGCAGAAGTCATAGCTGAAAGCCTTGTTTTGTTCCTGACTTAATAGGAATGTTTCTTTTTTCTATTAAGTATGATGTTTGCTATAGGTTTCTATTAACATTTTCTAAATTAAGGAAGCTTTATTCTATTCCTAGTTTGTCAAGAACTGTTGTTGGTAGCAGGTGTTAAAATTTTATCAAGTGCTCTTTCAGTATCTATGGAAATGATCGTATGACTTCTATATTTTAATATAGCAATGTAATGAATTATAATATCAGATCCCTGATATTAAAATATCCTTGCATTTCAAGGATAATGCATGCTTTGTCATAATGTATTATCATTTCATTTTATTGCTAGTTTCAACTTAAAAATATGATTTATTATCTTTGTGTCCTTGTTCGTAAATGTTTCATATTCTTTTAAAGAATTTATATAAATAATAATTATTCTCAACTTGTGTTTCAGTAGAATTTACTTTAAAAATGATTTCTTGTCTTCTTTAGGAATAGGGCTTATATTTTCAGTTTTTTTTATGGTTATTAGTCTGTAGTTTTTCTATTTCTTTGAATCTATTTTAATTATCTGTATTTTCATAGAAAATCATGTATATCTTATTTAAACATAGTGGTATAAACTTGCACATAGTTTTGTCATTTTTAAAAGGTCTTATTGGTGTTCATATTCATTTTTAATGCTATTTACTAGGGTCATCCATCTTATCTTAATCAAGCTGTTTTATCTGATCATTTTGAAGTATCAGATTTTGCTTCTATTGTTCAAATACACTTTTTATGTTCTGTTTTATTTATTTTTATCTTTAAGCTGAAGACTTAGGTCACTTACTTTCAGTTTTTATTAGTTTCTGATAAATACTTTCATGCCTGTAAATTTCGCATGGGATGCCACTTTTCCCACACACCACAGCTTTTAATATGTAGTGATGTCAGTGTTGTTTATTTTTTAAATGTTATAATTATTAAATTTGTGCTATATCCAAAATATAAAAGACGTTTAAAGGTTTCAAGATAGACTATTTTTGACCACTCTTCTCAAATTCTTTTATTGATTATTTGGCAACCTATTTTGTATTGATTTTAAGTATTCTTCTTCTTCTTTTTTTTTTTTTTTTTTTTTTTTTGACTGAGTCTTGCTCTCTTGCCCAGGCTAGAGTACAATGGCACGATCTCAGCTCACTGCAACCTCCGCCTCCCGGGTTCAAGCGATTCTCCTGCCTCAGCCTCCTGAGTAGCTGGGACGACAGACGCGTGCCACCATGCCCAGCTAATTTTTGTATTTTTAGTAGTAGAAACATGGGGTTTCACCATGTTGGACAAGATGGTCTTGATCTCTTGACCTCGTGATCCTCCCACCTCGGCCTCCCAAAGTGCTGGGATTACAGGTGTGAGCCACTGCACCTGGCCTAAGAAGTATTCTTTTTAAAGCACAAATCTGATCCTGCTTCTCTCATGCTTCGGTGGCTCCTCACTACCCTCAGGATAAAATTTAAATTCTCTCACAGGGCATCTTCACAGCCCTTCACTCTCTCAGCCTCACTCACATCTCAGTATCCTTGTTTATTATTCCTGCTGACTCCTCCCAGTCCCACCCATTCAACTCCACCCTCCAACCCTCCCACCATTTATCTCATTGAATCACAACTGTGTACACTTCAGCTACATAGAATTCTGTGTTATTTCATAAATGGGCTGTGATGTTCTCTCTTGCTTCAGGAATGTAGCTTGTTTGCTTTCTCTGTGGAAAACATTTTTCTCATTTCTACTCCGTTAATTGAATGGTTCCTGCTTATCCTTCAGGTCTGAAAATGCGTGTCAGTTTCTCCAGAAAGCCCCCTGCCAAGGTTAAGGAGCCTCTGTGTATTACTCTGTTCTCACACTGCTGTAAAGATACTACCTGAGGCTAGGTAATTTATAAAGGAAAAAGGTTTACCTGATTCACAGTTCTGCATGGATCAGGAAACTTACAATCATGCTGGAAGGCAAAGGAGAAGCAAGCACCTTCTTTACAAGGTGGCAGGAGAGAGTGAAAGTACGGGGGAAATGCCAGACACCTACCAAACAACCAGATCTCATGAGAACTCCCTCACTATCACAAGAACAGCATTAGGGAACCACCTCTATAATCCAATTACCTTCCACCAGGTCCTTCCTGATAGCAGCAGGAGACAAATTCCTAGGCAGATAGGGGAAGGTCCCCCATGAAAGCCAACCTTCAAGCCAAAGACAACCTGAAGCCTGAAAACCAGGCTTTCGGTTCCGGGTAGAATCCACAACCTGGAGTGAGAGCTTCCTTGATGCCTTTCAGCCAATCAAATGGTGTTTGTTTTCTCCAAGCTCACCCATGGACCAATTAGCACACACTTCCTGCCACCCATGGACCAATCAGCATGCATTCGCTCCATTCTAAGCCCATAAAAACCCCCAGACTCAGCCACACATAAGGACCACGTGCCTGCTAATAGAAGCTACCCACTTAGGGTCTCCTCTCCATTGTCACTCAATAAAACTCTTCTCTGCCTTGCTCACCTTCCAGTTTTCCACCTAACCTCATTCTTACTGGATGCAGGACAAGAACTCGGGACCTGCTGAATGGTGGGTGCAAAAAGGGCTGTAACACTTTTCTGGCTAGCTCACCGAGCTGCAAGTGGGAGCAAAAAGGGCTGTAACATGTTTCTGGTTGGTTCACCAAGATGTGGGTGGTGACACACTCCTGTTTCCCAGAGTGTGGATGTGAAAAGCAGTGACCTTTCTGGGGGCCCAGACCTCAGGAATCCCCTAGCCACAGCTGTAACACTATAGCCCTCCCACCCTCTGTTGCTACTGGGTGGCCACCTCATGTGACAGGAAGGGGCAGTGGGGCTGGGCCAGCCCAGGAGCCACAGGCCAGAGCAAGGTGGTGGGTCTGAACAAACTGAAAACATTCCTCCACCATTTGCCCAGCTGTGCACAGCAGGAATGAGAGCTATAGCACACTGCCTTCCACCCCTTGGGACTCCACAGTTGCTGGCATCTCTGAGTTTTCAGGTGCCATTGCATCCACTGTCCAGAAGTGGGTGCCTGCAGCAGAAGCCACTTGTGGTATGCCTGGTCCAGCCACAGCCCCCAGTGCCAGTTCCTAGAGCTGCCCACCCTGCCACAGCAGCCAACATGCCTGTCTGTGCATAGTGGCTGGACCCCACACTTGCTTGCTCATACACCCCTTACCATTGCATGCCTGGCTACCCTTGGCGGGTGTGGAATCTGGGCCAGTAGCATGAGCCAGGCATAGCCTGCTGGGCCAAGTAAGTAGAACCAGCCACAGAGGTTGCTGGCTGGTGAGGCAACACCTAAAGGATCCTGTGACACTCCCTTGACACGTGGGGATTACAATCTGAGATAAGATTTTGGTGGGGATACGCAGCCAAACCATATCATTTCACATCTGGACTCTTCCAAATCTCATGTTCTTTTCACGTTTCAAACCCAATCATAACTTCCAAACACCCCCTCAAAGTTTTAACTCATTCCAGCATTTACTCCAAAGTCCAAGTCCAAAGTCTCATCTGGGACAAGGCAAGTCTCTTCAGCCTATGAGCCCATAAAATCAAAAGCTAGTTAGTTACTTACAAGATACAGTGGGGGTATAGGCATTGGGTAAATGTTCCTGTTCCAAATGGGAGAAATTGGCCAAAATGAAGGGGCCACAGGCCCCATGCAAGTCTAAAATCCAACAGGGCAGTCATTAAATCTTAAATCTCCAAAATGATTTCCTTTGACTTCATGTCTCACATCCACGACATATTGATGCAAGAGGTAGGCTCCCAAGGCCTTGGGCAGCTCTGCCCCTGTGGCTCTGCAGGGTACAGCACCTGCAGCTGCTTTCACAGGCTGGCGTTGGGTGCCTGTGGCTTTTCCAGGCATATGGTCAAAACTGTTGGTGGATCTTTCTTTCTGGGGTCTGGAGGGTGATGGCCCTATTCTCACAGATCCCTAGGCAGAGCCCCAGTAGGGACTCTGTGTTGGAGCTCCAATCCCACATTTCCCCTCTGCATTGCCTTAGTAGAGGTTCTCCATGAGGCCTCCATCCTTGCATCACACTTCTGCCTGGACATTCAGGAGTTACCATACATCCTCTGAAATCTAGGTTGAGTCTCCCAAAACTCAACTCTTGTCTTCTGTGCACCCACAGGCCCAACACCACATGGAAGTCACCAAGGTCTGGAGCTTCAGCTCTCTGAAGCAATGGCCTGAGCTGTACATTGGCCCCTTTTAGCAGTGGATGAAGCTGGAGCAGCTGGAATGCAGGGTGCCATATCCCAGGGCTGCACAGAGCAACAGGACCCTGGGCCTGGCCCACCAATTTTCCCTTCTAGGCCTCTGGGCCTTTAATGGGAGGGGCTGCTGTGAAGGTCTCTGACATGCCCTGGAGACATTTTCTCCATTGTCTTGGCTATTAACTTTCAGCTCCTTGTTACTTATGCAAATTTCTGCAGCTGGCTTGAATTCCTCCCCAGAAAATGGGTTTTCCTTTTTTATCACATGATCAGGCTGCAAATTTTCCAAACCTTTATTCTCTGCTTCCCTTTTAGACATAAGTTCCCATTTCAAACCATCTCTTTGTGAACACATATAACTGAACGCTTTCAGAATAAGCCAGGTCACATCTTGAATGTTTTGCTGCTTAGAAATTTCTTCCACAAGATACCCTAAATCATCTCTCTCAAGTTCAAAATTCCACATATCTTTAGGGCAGGGGCAAAATGCTGCCAGTCTCTTTGCTAAAGCATAGGAAGAGTGACCTTTGCTCTACTTCCTAATATGTTCCTCATCTCCATCAGAGACCACCTCAGTCTGGACTTCATTGTCCATATCACTATCAGGATTTTGGTCAAAACCATTCAACAAATCTCTAGGAAGTTCCAAACTTTTCCATATTTTCCTGTCTTCTTTTGAGCCCTCCAAACTGTTCCAAGCTCTGTCTGTTATCCAGTTCCAAAGTCACTTCCACATTTTCATATTACCTTTATAGCAGTACACAACTCCTGTTACCAATTCTCTGTGTTAGTCCATTCTCACACTGCTATAAAGATACTATCTGAGAATGGGTAATTTACAAAGGAAGGAGGTTTAATTGACTCACAGTTCCGCATGGCTAAGGAAACTTACAATCCTGGTAGAAGGCAAAGGAGAAACAAGCACTGTCTTCAAAAGATGGCAGGAGAGAGAGAGGGACAATGCAAGGGAAATGCCAGACACTTATTAACAACACGATCTCGTGAGAACTCCTTCATTATCATGAGAACAGCCTGGGGGAAACTGCCCTTATGATCCAATCACCTTCAGCCACGTCCCTCCCTCAACGAGTGGGGATTACAATTTAAGCTAAGATTTGGGTGGGGACGCAGAACCAAACCATAGCAGTCTGATAGTCTCAACGTAGCACATTCTACATCACCTCTCCCATTACATTGCAACGGTCCATTTACCTGTTTGTAACTTCTACTAAAATTGTGAGCAACTTATGGGCAAAAGACTATGTCTTGTTCACGCCACTGTGTTATTCCCTTCTCCTTAGCCCATTTCAAAGTGCCTGGTGCTCAGTGAATATTTGTTGGATATTCACTTATTCAACAAATGCATGTATATAAGTAGGGAAAACAACGGAAAGAAAAATTACATACAAAACATTTTTAGTTATTTATTATGAACTTACTACCTTCCAGACACTGTACTGAGTATATTATATGTACTATTTATTCACACCATGATGATACAGAGGTTATCTTTAGGGAAGATTTGAGAAGATGTTTATTTTATTCATTCTATTTTATTGAATTTTCCCAATTTACAAATATTCTTCATAGAAACCAGAGAAAACAGTTATTTAAAGGTGCTTTTTGCCTGTGGAGGTCATATATATGAGTATAAAATGCATAAAGGGAATGGCCATTCTCTGAAAACTGACCTTGTGGACATAGCTCTAAGCCAATGGGAATGCAGAATGTGTTGTGGCCTCTCTCTAGACCTCCAGAGCTTCAATCTCTGTCAATTCTAAAGGCACTTGTGGGCTCTATGCATGTGGCACTCCTTGTTTGTTTCTCGAACCCCTAAGTGAAGTAGTCCTCACAAACACAGCTGCTGCTTCTTTAGACATTGCTGATCTCTCATTCACTATGAAGCTGTGAATAAATCAAAGACTTGTCTTGCTGTGTGCTATAGAATCACCAATGCAACATAATAAAGCTTAAGTGGGCAGCATCAAGGCCACTGGAAAATATTCTTGAGCCTGCTCACCTCTATTACATCCCCATCCATCCTATGAAACCACATAAAAATTCTAACACATTAATATTCCTAGTTTATGCCCACAATTCTCAGAACCCTCATTTGGGGCCTTTGACTAATGCATAGTTGTTTGAACAATAAAAATTGATTTTTTTAGTTCACAATAGAGCTTTGTGTGAGCAAGTGCACGTGCTTTTCATTCAAACATAAATAGCCCCACTTAGTTGTGAATGAAATCAGCATTTATTGTACTAATAGTTCACAAAATGAATTAAACATACCTAGAGTTGAACAAGCTTTATTCCTACCTTCAACCACGATGTCTCTCCTTTCTCAACCTCTATCTCAAAAGGATACTTAAAAATAAATTCTGGAATCATAAGAAATAAGAGTGAGCAATATAGGTTTATCTATTGCAACCTTAGTAAACATGAATAACACCTCATTAGACATTAAATCACCAGTCTTTATTCCTCTGCCTGTGAACTGGTTTCATATCACACTCAATACTTTTATGGGAAGTTATGGGAAAGGGAATGCAGCATCTGGTACCTTTGTTTTCTTTCTTGAAAACCTCAACCTTCTCAATAATAGAGGTCCCCTTCCAGCTGTGATATTTTATGACTAATCTTTGCAGTTTATAATCATAATGTTCCTCATGTATTACATGATTCCTGTGTGCCAGGTGCACTCATTCTCCTAACAACTCCATGGAGTAGGTATTATCCCCATTCTAAGGAAGCGGAACCCAAGTCTTAACCAGGTGAAGTCCTGTGTCCAAAGTCACAGCTGCTAAATGGAGAAGCCTGGGCTGGACTAGCATCCAGCACTTTGTCTTTCAGCAAAATGACTAGCAAGAGCAAACAACAAAAATCATCCCCAGCACTGCTGGATTGTTTTTCATTTAAAAAAAATGCATAAACAAATAAGCTGCTAGATTATTTTTTCAAGTTCCTATTTGTCTTAGGCTCCATGTTTCTTGAGCATTTAACCCTACTCTCAGGTAAATGTTCAAGAAAAAGCTGCCTTGGCCAGGATCCCCGCATCCTACACAAAATATGATCATGGGGAACTGGGTTTTGGGAGAGGCCTTGGTGTGAACCTTAAGGTAGGAAAGTTGGAGAAATTCAAAGATCAGGAATGTGGAGTACAGGGTTTCAGGCATAAAGGTTGAATAGAGACACCCACTCCCACTGTGTTCCATTCCCCAAACACAAATCTCTTGAGGCCACAAAGCACTGAAATGTTGTCATGACAGGTCATACCTCTGAAAATCACAAAGTACAATAAATTTGTCTTGCATAAATGTTCTACTCATGTCTTCATCAGCAATGCAGTTGGCCACCAAAGGAATGGAGAGCATTGAGCCATGCCTAGATAGTGAGGAGATGCTAGTAAAATAGTAACAAAGCATATAATTCCCCAGTCAAATGGAAGTAAAAATAGCAATTAAGTCCAACTAAGTTAACACAAAACATGTTTTTAATGTGCATATTGATTGGTAATACAGATCCTGTCTTGGTATCCAAGGCTGAAGGTGGGGTTAAAAAAAAAAACAAAAAACTGGAGTATGTTCTTTCTTCCCAAGTCTTTGCTTTTCCATGCCTCAAAGCAAGAGAGGGGTGCACTCCCTTCCACTCAGGAGGTGGGAAGGCAAGTGTAGCTGATAGGTTTCCAGGTAACTCCCTAGCTACATAATGGGATGAAATATTTTCTCACCCAAGATCACAGTAAGTGTCCAAATCTGAACGGCAACGAGATGCAGTCGGTAGTTCCGGCTACTCAGGAGGCTGAGGCAGGATGTTCGGTTGAGGCCAGGAGTTCAAGGCTGTACTGCACTATGATTGCACCTGTGAATAGCCACTGCACTCTCGCCTGAGCAACATAGTGAGACTTTGTCTCGAAAAAATCAAAACAAAACAAAAAAATCTGAAAGGCAAGAATTGCTGACTGGGAGGGCCAGGCATAAGTTGCCAAAAGCAGAGACTAGGGGATGATGGGATGGGGGCATAGCTAAGGGATAGGATCAGAAGCTGGCATGGGGTCCTATGGAGCTAATCATCTGTGAACTAAGATTAAACAGTTTGGGAGTCAACAAGGAGGGTCTGGGTCATCCTCAAAAACAGCATCTCCTCTTTGAGACCCCAAAGCACCAACAACTAGACAGAGCAAAGGGAAGAGGTAACATGAGAGGACTCATGGAATCAATGCTGGAGGGGCTCAGGATCCATCATCATGATAGGTGACATTTAGTGTGTACTTACTTCATGTCACCTTGTGCTACACGCTCTAAAAGTATCGTCTCATTTAACCATTGCAAACCCTATATAGGGAAGCTGACCACAGAGCCCAAGCTTTGAACCATTCCACTTTACTGCTATCTAAAGAACTTCATGCCTCCCTGAGTCCCGGACACATCCTTCTTAAATGGTAGCTTGCAGACTGATCTGAACAAAAGAAGTGACTAATTCTTGAATCTCCTTTAGCTATTACAGCAAATCATTGTACAGATGCTGTACTCTGCAGAGGCGCCAGCACTCTAATTATCCTGTGGAAGGATAATCAATGCCAGCTGCCAGCTAAAGGAATGCAAAATCTCCACTGAGTAACCAAGAGCCCCTGCTGAGACTGACTGGAAGTGAGTTCAAGGAAATCTTTTTAATGTTAAAAATAAGTTTAGGCCGCGTACAGTGGCTCATGCCTGTAATCCTAGCACTTTGGGAGGCCGAGGCAGGCAGATCACCTGAGGTCGGGAGTTCAAGACCAGCCTGATCAACATGGAGAAACCCCGTCTCTACTAAAAACACAAAATTAGCCAGGCGTGGTGGCGCATGCCTGTAATCCCAGCTACTCGGAAGGCTGAGGCAGGAGAATCGCTTCAACCCAGGAGGCAGAGGTTGTGGTGAGCCGAGATCATGCCATTGCACTTCAGCCTGGGCAACAAGAGCGAAACTCCGTCTCAAAAAATAAATAAATAAATAAATAAGTTCAAATCAGAAAGCATGGAAGGGTGGAGTCAAAATCCAACAAGAGCATTTGTAACAACATCCTCAAAATACCCCATCTTCCAGATTAAGGACACCCTGGAAAGGTGACAGATATGCTCATGTGTTCTTAGGAATCTGAACTCCTACAGAGAAAAGTTTTCCTCAGTCAAGAGTTTCTTGCTTCATTTGTTCACTAGCTTCTCTCACTTTTCAGCATTGTTCTTCTTCTCTCTCCCCTTTTTCTAAAGATTTTCTACCACCCCAAAACTTGTTCTCCAACATTCCCCAGGGTCCAAGAAAGTACCCAGGATGATAGCCTGCATTCCAGTTCTTCCCAAATAAAACTCCTGCAAGCCACTATTTTAGATTGGATTCCCTAGAAGCAGAGCCTGAGACAAGGATTCTTGTAGATGTAACTTATCAAAGAAGGAGGGTTCTCAAAAGAGAAATGAGACAAACAGGATGAGGCAGAGAAAGGGGCTAAGCAAGTGTGCCATCTCAGCAGGACCCTGACTGAGAGCCTGGTCTCATGAGAGCTCTGGAACAAGAATGTACCACAGAGCCCATCCCTCTGTGGGGAAAGGGGACCAGCCTTTTGTCCTCCATGTCAGTCAGTTGTTGGCTGTACCCTAAGGGGTAGTACATGGGGAGGGGCATAACCCCCCCAGGTAGGCAGCCTGTGTGTGCTAGGAAAGGGATGGCTCTGGCTTGACTGCTTTCCATTTTCATAGTTGTATTCATCTTGTACTTTGTTCCCAGATGGGATTTCATACTTTCGATTGCCCAGTTTGCGCTGTTTTCTAAAGAGAGTGAAAATCTTGCTTCAGTGGCTCAAGAATATAGCAATTCTCAGTAATCTGTCAAACTATTTACTTGGGTTATGTTTGGGGTGTTTTTTAAAAAATCTATTTTTAAAATTGTAGGGAGAGCCACCAAGTCTCTCCTGACTTGCAGCATTGCACAACACATGAAAGTCTCTTTGTAATTCCTTTCGCATTTTGAATTATGTCTGTCCCCTCACAAAGTATCATTTGTTCTGCCTCCTCTAGTTCTGACACCAATGTAAATGAGGCCTATTTATGGAGATGGTAGAGAGATGGCAGCCATGCAATCTTTACCTTTCCTTATTTACTATAGGAATGAAGCCGATTGTCTTCCAGCCCACAGATGGCACATGTTTCAAGCTCAGAGGATGAAAGGTCTGAGGAATATTTCAACATTGATTTAGAGGCAAGAAGGAAAGGGCAATGAGTTACCTGGGTCCAGGAAGATATCCCAAGAAATACGGAGTTGCTGGGAAGTTTGGTTTAAGAGGCAGAGGTCAAGTATTAATTGTATCATCATGTAGACCCCAGCAGAAAAGAATAGCTTAGAGCATAAGCTCTGGAGTCTGAGTCTCAGGGAGTCTGAGAATTCTGAGTTCAAATCCTAGCCTCTCCACTCTTAAGGCTGTGTGTGATCCACGGTGTAATCCTGGGAAAACTACTCAGTCTCTAAAACTCATTCCTCTTCTGGGAAATGGTGATAAAAATACATACTTCTCAGGGGTAATCCAAGAATTAAGTGAGAAAATAAATCTGTGAAGCTTAGCAAAACCCTTGGTACCTGGTAACTCTATTTGTTCTTTTGGTTGCAAATAACAGTAAATTGCTCATGTGGGTTAAGCATTAAAAATGGAAATGTAAAATTAGGCTACACAGCTCATAAAGCCCAAGAGGAGGATTATCATCAGGCCTCAGGAAGAGACTAGAGCCACTGTGTTAGTTCAAGTCCTCCTGATGCAGATGCCAAGATGGGATTAGCTGTAGAAGAGTTTAATTGGAGGAACTACCCATAAAGGGAGTAGGGGAAGGAGCTGGGGAAGACAAAAAGAGCCTGCAGATCGTGGTGCAGGTCTGACTCCTGTGGAGAAGAGGGGGAAGGAAGCAGGGTTGGGCAAGAAAGAACCTTGGACTGCAGCTCAGCTGGAGAACATCCCAGGCAGGCCCACAAGACACCTTAGAACCAAAGTTTCTGGGTTGAGGAGTCCTGTATCTTGCAGGAATGGACCTGTAACTCATCCTGCTGTGCAAGGTTATTGTTGGGGAGTAGCCCACTGGGGAGCTTTGGAACTGTTGTGGTGGTGGGTCCAGCTGTCAAAAAGTAACTGGGTCTCCCTCTGAGCCCCAATTCCTATTTTATAGGACAAGAGGCTAATCAGCCACATTTGGGTTATGTTCATTGCTGACCAGGGAGGGCAGGGTCATAGATATTAATTATCATGGGACGGGAGGGGTGGAGTAATTTCCAGAAAAGTGACAGAAGAGGCAGAGACTAGTACCAACAGACAACTCAATAGGAAAATATTCAATAAAAGGTGCCAATATTACTCATGGTGTCACTTTAAAATAGTTCCCAGCATAGATAGTGTGACATATGAAATTGACAACTAGTGTAAACATCAACTCTAAGCATTCAACTGTCCTAACAGAAGTCCCACATTTTAAAGGTGGCCAGCTGGCAATACATCAGAAACACCACCCTTTAGAGGAGATGACTACACGTGCTTCAGCACTCCATCTAGCAATCAGTGCCCAAGACCTTGTTAATTAGCAAAGTGAATGTCAGAAACGGGATTTTATTATGAAAATAATGACTTGATAACTAGCGATGATAAATGCTAAAAATGGGCTTTCATCGATAAAAATTACAGGTATTTAAAATATATGGATTAGCTGAAATCCTTAGAGACATATCTCTTTATTTCTTGCCTAGGGTATAAGAGCCCAGTTATGCTGTCACCTGCACCCTTAGGAATGGTGCTTTAGTTCTCATCCCTAAATGGTCCTGTGTCCAGGCCCTGATTGGGAAGATTCTGGTTTTCTGAGTGGTCCAGGACTTTACTGACTTCACAGAACAGGATGTTAACTGATGAGTGCTTGCTGATGTATGTTCTGTTCCATAAATAACTGTCCACGTGGCAGGATTTGGTCTCACTTCCACATCACACAATCGTCAGCTTATGGAAAAGCCTTAGGCCCCACCCACCTCACGGCTTCTTTGGCATCTGTTTTTATCATCCCCAAAAGAACTTTAGGTTTGGAATGTGACTAGACTGAGTTAGATCAGGTTGCAATGATAATGAGAAAGCCATTAAGTCACTGGCTCCTCCATGAAGCTCCTAAACCCCTGTGTCCCATCTGAAAAAAGCTCGGGTGCTCTAAATGCAAACCCCTCAGCTGTCACTCTGCTTGGTGATGTAAGAGTTTTTTGTTTGTTTTCCAAATACATGACTCTCCTCCCAAGATTGTATTAGATGAGAACGTTCTACCCCTCATGTCCTGCCCATAATACATGCCTACCTCAATTTCTTGAATAAATGAATGAATGTCTGAAAAAATGTGCAACATCATTCTACCCTCTTGTGCAGTTCTAAGGAGCAGGCAGATTCCTTGTGGTTTTGTAGCCCTCTCCAGCTTAGGCTGACCTTGTTTCCCCCTTTTTCCCTCTCCCAGAGGCCCTCTCCTGACCTGTGTCAGCACCGCACTCCCTTCATGTTAGCAGAACCAACAGAGCTAGCGCCTCACACAGAAAAATCTGTGACCTTTCAAAGCGTGACAGGTAACAGCATAACAATAATAGTCAATCTCCAGAGTCCTCCAACTTTCTTCCCAACTACTGTGACACTGTATTAAGGTGGCGGCCACAATAGAAAAAAGGAAAAGGATGCTGGATTGGAAAAAGCTATACAGTGTGTGACCTACCATGCAAATATGGAGATGGCAGCCCCTATCCCCCACATGTTCAGCACAGGACTTGGCTTCACTTAACACAACACTAAACACTCACTAAGTTTTCCATTATTCATTTGCCAGTTTGTAGCTTTTTGTGGTCTCCTTGATTCTCATCCCAGAATTGCATGTTTTTAAATGCATGTTAGCATTACTACAGAGGATTTAAAAAACAAGATAAAGGAATGGAAGGAGAAAGGTGTGTTAAGTCAATGTAGCCTTAAATCAAGGTAGTGATTGGGCCTGCAGAGGAAGCTAAACTGAGAGCTGGTGATGGAGAGTGGACTTCCAATCAATTGCATTGGGCCTGTTTCCCATTATAGCAAATAATCGAGAGCTGTCTGTAGAGGCATCAAAATTTCCACTTTAGCATGGTCCAGCATAGTGGCAATGATGAGGGCAGACATAGTCACTGTTCACTATCTTTGACATAGTTCAGACATTAAATATCTCAATTTTTTAGCTATAAAATGGGAATTAAAATAATGCTTTTAATTAACTTACAGGATTGTTATAAAATAAAAGCATGAACATAGACATCTTTGTTAATCATACATACAGGGCCATTCCACCAAGGGATGACCATTAGAATTATTTTTCCTCAATAATACCTACCACCAACATGTGAATCATTCTCCAAGTCTGTGGGCTAGCTAAGGAGTGGTAACTAGTTTCCTTTAAAAATATATGAAAAAGATTTTTATCCATGCCACTCACTCAGGAAAAAAAGTCTCTACAAACATCAGGCTAAATGAAAACTTCACTTCTGAGGATTATATTTAAATGCATAAACTAGTGCAGGAAAAAGACAATCACCTTTGCTTCAAAACAGGGAAGGTTTCCAGGGTCTCTAGGTTTTCGTCCTTCCCTACCTTATCTTACCTTCTCTTAGTTTTCTAGGGTCAGAAATCAACTTTCTTTTTTAATCCCACAGTCTTTAGACTTGATCCTGCTGTTTTAGGTGTGCCACTGTATCCCACCATGTGCAGTACAAAGCATGGGAAGGGGATAGAACGTTTTTTCTCATCAGATGCCACACATTCAGCAAGAAAAGTTAAAACCCTTAATTTCTCCCACTAACGACTGAATTGTTATCCCAAAAATGTATATGTTGAAGCCTTATGTGATGGTATTTTGAGATGGGGTCTTTGGGTCATGAGGATTGATAAACGAAAAACTTCAGCCAAATAAATTTAAATTTAATTGAGCAATGAACAACTTGTGAATTAGGCAGTCCCCAGAATCACAGCAGATTCACAGAGACTCCAGCACAGCCATGTGATGGAAGAAGATTTATAGACAAAAAAAAAAGGGGGGGGGTGGGAAATGACATACAGAAATGGGAAGTGAGGTACAGAATGGCTGGATTGGTTACAGCTCGGCGTTTGCCTTATTTGAACACAGTTTGAACACTCAGCAGTATATGAATGGCCGCTGCATTGCCCAAGACTCAGCTATTGTTACAGGCTCATACTCCTAAATTAGGTTTTCAATCTTGTCTATCTATTAAGCTAGGTTGCAGTTTGTCCACAAGAACTCAAATATAGAAGTACGGAGTCCTTCTCAGGCTATATTTAGTTCACTTTAAATAAACTGCTCACTTTAACTCTTGAGGGTGGAGCCCTCAAGATGGACTGTTGGTGCCCTTGTAAGAAGAGACCAAACAGTTTGCATTTGTCTGCTTGCTCTCTTGCTCTCTCTCCCTTACTCTGTCTTTCGCTCTCTCCCATGTGAGGACACGGTGAGAAAGCAGCTGTCTACGAGCCAGAGAGTCCTCACCATGAACCAAATCACCCAGTACCTTGATATTATACTTCTAACCTCCAGACAGTGAGAAAATAAATTTCTGCTGTTGAAGCCACCCAGTCTAAGGTATGTTGTTATAGAAACCCAAGCTGACTGAGACACGCCCAAGCAGTAAAAGAACAGATGGATTTCACAGTAAAAGGTTAACTATAAACAAAAAATGTTCTTGCAACAAAGGACAATTTTGGGTGAGTGCAAATTACTCTGCTTTCAGCCAGAGAAGCCAGTCCAGGGCACGGCCCCAGGAAGGTCCCTGCACACCCCTTGTCTGTCTCCATAAGCCAAATGGGAGCATTGTAACAAGCTGAGAGAAAGGAACGTTAGGACCCTCAAATCTTAGGATCCAAACTTTAATAAGTATCAATTGTTCCTTTCTCATGTGTATTAGTCCTGGTGAGTTAGCTTATGCTGCAAAAACAAACAAGGCTCCAATTTTATTTCCACTTATGCTACAAGTTCATTGAGGACAACTGGGGACTGTGCTCTGTGTCCTCTCTTTAGGACCCAGCCTGGCAGTCCCTATGTGGAACACTGCCCATTGCTGTGAAAGAAGTAAAATGAAAACTTGGCAAATGATGCATTGGCTCTGAAAACCTCCACCTCGAAGTGGCACACATCACTTCTGCTCACATTTTATTACCAGAAGTGAGTCACATGCCTACACTTAACTCAAGGGGGAGGGAAAGGCAACTCTACCATGTGCCACCTGGAGAACTGGAAATATTTAGTGAGCAGTTTATTGTCTACTACACAGTGCTTAGAGGTGAAGAGAGCATCAAGAGAGGGGTTTTTAAGAGTTTTTCTTTTCCTAATTACTTTCTTCCTATATCTTCCAGATATCCCCACCAGTCAAAACAATCTGCCTCCTAGAGTGTTTAAAATTCTGATATTTCAAACTTTTCAGGACTCAAGGGGTCCTATTTTCTTTTAATGCCCAAATGACACTAGACCCAGCCCCCATTCTACTTGACCTCAGGAGGTCCCACCTCTCACAGGAACTCTGGCCCCAGGCACGTCATTGCATAACCCTGGTTCATGCTTTCCAATCTGGCTCTTGAGCACTGCTCCAGACTGGGGAGAAGGAGAAGGGATGGGACTTATGAAGGAAAACATTCCAGAAAAGTGGCATTGAGTAAGAAGAACATTTAGGAAGAAAATCACTGATCCATAATAGTTTTTTAGGAATGCAGAGAAAAATCAAGGATATATAAAATTATCTTAAACCAAGGAGGAAAGGTAGTAGCATTGAATGTGGATGAGACTGTACTTAGCATTTGCATTTTGTATCCATCAAGATGCAATGGATGGGAGTTCTGATTCCTGCTTAGGATGTTGAAAGCTGGAAAGAGCTTTGATAACATACCAACAACAAGAAAAATCCAGATAATAGAAAATTATAGTTTGTAAAACTCATCAGAGAGCTGAAGCCACAGGCAACCAAGTCTAAGGAAAGACAGGTATCTCCAAGAAGAGATGAAATGTGGGCACAAACTCACCTGTGGCAGAATATGGAAGGCAGGAAAGCCAAGCACCATACAAGTAAGAACTCAGGTGAAATTTTTAATGTATTGCTACAGGCTAATGCTAGCATCAAAGAAGAGAAACCCTGGGAACTGCAGACACAAAGGGACTTTGCAGGTTCTTCAAGCACAGAGAAGGGCAGGATGGGAGATGTGAGAGAACCTCCTCTGGTAGTGAATATCACCCCTTCCAAAGCCCTTCTCCCCTGTGAAACAAATGACTTCACCTTCCTGGAGTAAGGGGAGTAAACCTGTAGCCTCCGGGGCACAGAGAAAGATCCACAGTGTCTGAAGGAAGGAGAAAGAAAGGAAAACCTCTATCCTGGGGAAGGATTGGGAAACTATCAGCACAGAATGTTAGAGAGCTCCTACCATCGAGGAAGGAGAAGGATGACTGAAAAGCCCTGCCTGTGAAACCCACAGGCACAGGGCGCCTGATTCTGAGACAGGGCCACCTCCCGCCCCGAGGCTAGCAAACACAGAGTGACAAGAAACAGTAAATTAATGCTGTGTGAAGAGCAAGAGTACAGAGAGAGACTACCTTCTGGAGTAGGCAGAGAGAAACATTGAGAAAAGCCCTCCAGCAACCCAGTCCTCACCCTAAGCATAATGTAACACTATTAGAGTAGCAGACGGGGTGAACTGACAGCAACCACAGCAACCAAAAAGCCCAAATCCAGCTCAATTCCAGATCAATTCATCTTCACTCCCAACTACCCCCCACCAAACACACTCTTGTGGCCAATCAGAAGAGCCATGTTCATTTCTAGGCATAAATATATTTACTTCAGTCTCTACCATCTCACAAAGTATTCACATTCAATCCAAAATTAAGAGATACACACACAAGGAAAGGAAGAAAAACATTACCCTAAAACCAAAATTAGACAAAAACGTTGCAAAGTAAGAAAACTACAGGCCAGTATCCTTCGTTAATGTTGATGCATTAATGTAGATGCATACAAAATGATAGCAAATAAAATTCAGCAATAATAAAAAAAAATCATGAAACAGTTGGCATCATCCTAGAAATACAAGGCTGGTTCAATATTCAAAAATCAAATATAATGCATGATATCACCTGACTAGAGAAGAAGAACCAAATGATCAGATCAATAGGTGCAGAAAAATCATTTGACAGAATTCAACATCTTGTCATGACAAAAACTCTCAGCAAACTAAGAATAGAACCTCACCCCTAAAAAAGGCATCTACAAAAAATCTACAGGTATCATCATATTTAACAGTTGAAAGACTGAATGTTTTTCCCCCAAAATGGGACAAGAAAGACATATCCACTCATTACTTTTATTTAATATTGTCTATATTCTAGCCCATGCAATAAGAGAAGAAAAATAAATAAAAGACAAATAGAATGGGAAAGAAGAAATAAAACAATCTCTATTAACAGACAACATGTTTTTGTAGAAAATCCCAAACAATCTACAAAAAGAAGCTTCTGGAACTGACTAACTAATGTACACAAAAAGCTCATAGAACTAATGAGTAAAATTAGTAGAAATACAAAGCCAATAGAAAACAGTCAATCATATTCCCTATACAGGCAGTGAACAATTGGAATTTAGAATTTTTAAAAAAAAATACCGTTTACAATAGCACAAAAAATGAAGCACTTAGGTAGGAATTAAACAAAATATACATAGGATCTGTATACTGATGAAAGACCTCTGATGAAATACATCAAAGAAGATCTAAATAAATGGAAAGATCCACCATGTTCATGGATCGGAAGATTGAATATTGTTAAAAAGTCAGTTCTCTCTAATTGATTCAAGGCAATCTCAGTCAAAAAGCTCTTGCTTAGATATCAACAAGCCAATCCTAAAATTTACATGGAAAGACAAAGTAACTAGACTAGCAAAAGCAATTACTAAAATGAAGAACAAAGTTCAAGGACTCACACTACTCAATTTCAAAATTTACTATAAAAGCTATAGTAATCAAGACACTGTAGACTTGACAAAAGAATAGACACATTAAGTAGAAAGACCAGAAGTTGGACCACACAAACACAATCAACTTATTTTTGACAAAGTTTAAAAGGCCACTCAATGGAGAAAGAATAGAATTTAATTTTTTTTTTTTTTTTAGATGGAGTCTCTCTCTGTCACCCAAGCTGGAGTACAGTGGTGCAACCTTGGCTCTCTGCAACCTTCGCCTCCTGGGTTCAAGTGATTCTCCTACCTCAGCCTCCTGAGTAGCTGGTACTACAGGCACGTGCCACCAAACCTGGCTAATTTTTGTATTTTTAGTAGAGATGGGGTGTCACCATATTGGCCAGGCTGGTCTCGAACTCCTGACTTCGTGATCCCCCTGCCTTGGTCTCCCAAAGTGCTAGGATTACAGGTGTGAGTCACCACACCTGGCCAGAATAGACTTTTCAATAAATGGTACTGGATTAGTTGGACACCCATAGGCAAAAAAAAAAAAAAAAAAAAAAGTAGAATCTCAACAACTCAAACCACCTGACACCTTATACTAAAATTAACTCAAAATGAATCAAAGAACTAAACGTAAAACTTAAAACTGTAAAACTTCTAGAAGAAATAATAGGTAAAAATATGTAGTACTTCGAGTTTGGTGATGACTTTTTCAATATGACATAAAAAGCCTGATCGATTTAAAAAAGTAATTATTTGGGATTTCTCAAAATTAAACAGTGCGGATGAGACACTTAAAAGAATGAAAAGACAAGCCATAGACTTGGAGGAAAATATTTGAAAATCACATCTCTGATAAAGAACTTGTATCCAGAATATATAAAGAATTCTCAAAACAAAGAAGTCTCAAAACACTAGAAAAACAACCCAATTTTACAAGGGGGTGGCAATAATTACATAACTATAGAAGGTATAAAAATAGCAAATAAGCATATGAAAAAGTGCTCACATACTACCACATACTTATTAGAAGGGCTACAATAAATTTTTTAAATGACAATATCAAGTTTTAGTGAAGTGGCCACTGGAACTCTTGTTCATTGCTGGTGGGAATGCAAAATCATACGGCTACCTGGGAAGAAAAATAGTTTGGCAGTTTCTTGTAAAGATAAACATATTCACCGAGTCTCCCATTCCTAGGTATTTGCCCAAGAGAAGTGGAACTTACGTCCACATAATAACATATACATGAATGTTTACAGCAGTTTTATTGATAATCACCAGAAACTAGAAACATCTCAAATATCTTTTAACTGATGAGTAGATGAACAAACTGTTGTACATCCACAGTATTCAGCAACAGAAAGGAATGTACTATGGATACCCACAATAGCATGGGTTAATCTCAACTGCATTCTGCTACATAAAAGAAGCCAGGTTCAAAAAGCTACATGCTGTGTGACATCCTTCTCCTTCCTCAATGGTAGGAGCTCACTAAACTCAAAGTACTACATATTTTTACCTATTATTTATTCTAGAAGTTTTATAAAAAAACTATATGACATTTTAAAAAAAGCAAAACTATAGGTACAAAAAAATCAGATTAGTGAATGCCAGGGGTTACAGATAGAGTTAGAGGTGGTCTACAAAAAAAGTTGAACAGGAGAAATTTTTGGAGTAATAGAACTGTTCTATATCTTGATTGTGGTAGTCATTACATGACTATAAGCCTTTGTCAAACTCATTGCAGTGTACTCTAACAAGATTTATTTTACTGCATGAAGTTAAGACCTCAATAAACCTGAATTTTTAATGCCATGAATTGAGATTTAGAGTAATAGCGTCTTTGACTTGCATATCTGATAGGAGACAAGAGGAGAGGATTTTTTTTGTGGGGGGGAGGGGTTGCAGTTTAAGCACTGGAGGCCAATTCATAAATTTCTTTTCTTTCCTTAAAAGAGAATGCAGGCAACCATGCTTTTCAAGGCAACATCTCCACAACAACCACTGAATGTTACCTTTCCTTACACTATTTTGAAGGATGTGCTACTTTAGAAATAAGCAAGCCACCCTCTATAATAGCAATCATTTTTAAAAACTGACTTGTTATCTTTGTTTTTGGTTTTTCATTGACACATAATAATTATACATATTTATGACGCATAATAATTACACATATCACAGTGTGATGTTTTGACACATGTCTACTTTATGTAATGATCAAACCGTGGTAGTTAGCACATTCATCACCTCAAACATTTATAGTTTATTTGGATTCTATATAATTTCTTGGACACAATTTGTAACTAATAGTACAGCTTTTCTCAAGGAAATTATATGATTGAGATTAAAATTCACTCAAGTATACATGGTCATAACAAAGCAAAGATGATAGTTTTCATGATGAAAACATCAATTAGGAAATATTAAGTTTCCATGGGAAATTATATTAGCTGACTTCCTGTACTGTATTTCTGTCATATAGAGCAGAGGTCCCCAACCCCTGGGTCACAGACAACCTGTTAGGGACCAGGCTGCACAGCAGGAGGAGCGGTGGGCGAGCCAGTAAAGCTTCATCTGTAATTTACAGCCCCTCCCCATTACCGTCTGAGCTCCATCTCCTGTCAGATCAGTGGTGGCATCAGATTCTCATAGGAGTGCAAACCCTACTGTGAACTGCACATGTGAGATCTAGATTACACGCTCCTTATGAGAATCTAATACCTGATCATCTGCCACTGTCTCCCACCACCCCTAGATAGGACTGTCTCGTTGCAGGAAAACAAACTCAGGGCTCCCACTGATTCTATATTATGATGAGTTGTATAATTATTTCATTATATATTATAATGTAATAATAATACAAATAAAGTGCATAATAAATGTAATGCACGTGAATCATCCCCAGACCATCCTCACTCCCCACACCCCAGTCCATGGAAAAATTGTCTTTCAAGAAACCAGTCCCTGGTGCTAAAAAGATTGGGGACTGCTGATATAGAGAAATACTTAGAGAATTCCCTTAAAAACTGAACACTATTTAAATGCATAAAGTTTTAAACATTTATTCACTTGTGAAAGTGAAGTGGCCATTTTAAACAGGAATTCTCCATTTCAGCTTCCATGTGAGGACAGGTTACAGCAGATACTCTATTTGCCCATATAGCTCCTGCGTGTGAATTAGAAAGAGAAGCCCTTTCCTTCAGGCAAACATAGTTGACCCTGGGATACCCCAATTGGCCTGCAGAGAGGGGACTGAGCTTTCAGATTCAGGCCCCCCCAACTCAGCTGGGGGCCCTTTGGCATGACACAGTTATACATGTTAGCCCTGTTGCCACTACAGAAATGGAAATCCAGTTTGGAAAGAAGAAAACTGAGTGAATAACATAACGAATACAATCATATGAGTGGGTGAGGGATGGCCACAGATCAGTTCTGGCCCTTCAACAGTAGAATCAAGCCATGTTCCTTGATGCCTCAGAGAGATCTTTTGCAACAAGTTTAAAAAAAGCATTATCCTAATCACAAAACAGGTATATCAAGAGCTGGTTCTAACAGGAAAGAGAATTTGGATCTAGATGAAATGAAATTGTGGATGATCCAGAAAAACTAAAGAAGTTTAAGATACAGACATTATGTGTGACTGAGACATTTCCCACTATTTGATAACCCAAATATTCTCTCTTGTCTCTAAAAATCTTGCAATTTAGCTATAGCTCTGTTTGGTTGAGTGAGCTCACACTGCCCCCTGTAAATGAGTGTAAATGTCTTTCCCATAGCGAAAAGAATGTTTTTTCTTTCACTCATAATCAATGGTTCAAAGTAGACAGCTGGGTTCTGGCTAGGTATTGCCTATTAACCACATTCGTAGATGACTGCAGTCGCCCACTTGTAATCGCTTGCAAACCTCTAAGTTATCTATTGTGGAAGACAAAGGGAACCATGAGAAATGCACAGAAGGAGCTGACAGTCTCTCTCAGGTCCTGGGCTGGTGTGCTATTCAATCTGATCTCAGAGCAGAGCAGTTCCAACGTCTTAGAGCCACTTACCAGATGTTTCAGATGGGAGTGGGGACCCTGGGCCAGTAAGCAATTGCTTCACCAAGAGTCCTCTTCAGAGCCACTGCACGAGGAGTAAGAGACTGGATGCAGAAGCCAGGCTGCCTGTTTGAATTCTAACTGCCATTGTGAGATTTGGGTCAAGTTATATAAAACTGTTTATGCTCAGTTTCCTAATTTTAAAATGGAGTATATAGTGCCTATGTCAAAAGACTGTTAGAAGGATTAAATGGGAAACAATGCTTTTACACTCTTTATAAAGTGCTGTTTGTGTAAGGCAGAAGGACAGTTTGGTGTTGGGAAAGAACACACGACTTGGCAAAGAATCTGAGTTAGGGCTGAGGCAGGAGCACTTATTAGCTTCGTGGTCTTGATCAAATTATTTACTTTCTCTTAGACTTGGTGTCTTCACCTGCAAAATGAATACACACCTTTATTTCCTACCTGTGCCACTACAGCATCAAATAAGAGTGTATATAAAAATATTGTTACCTGAAATCACCTTGTAAAAGTCATCAGTTTAATTTTCAGAAAACTGAAAATGAATCACACAAATATAAAATGGATGTGTGTCAGAGATTTTATTTAATTCATTAATTAATGAAGGGATCGTTATTAGTAAGTCTGGTCCAAAGAACATTTGGGGAGCAGAGTATTTATATATAATTTAATAAATAAATGTCAGAATAAAATTGCTGGGTTAGTTACAAAACTGGTAAAGATACTACAGTGCAATAAGTCATAACCTTTGGGATTATCTTTTCTGGCAGGTAGTATCATTTGTATTTCCACTGGACAAAAAATATTCAAGTTAACACAGTATCTGGGATATAATCAAATAGTTAAGCAAACACCAGTTCATTCCCGTAGATAATTAAACCTTGCATGAGCCTGTTAGCAATGACATGCAAGTCATCTTTTTCCTTATTTCTGAATTCTGGATAATCATTCCTAACCTCATTATTAATCAGAGCACTCCCAAGCTGGACAGACCCTTAGCAATCACATAGTCCAGGGATATTTGACACTGGGTGAATGTTAGAATCGCTTAATGTTAGTTTCTATGCTCTACAACAAATTAACAGAAACTTAGTCAACAATACCCATTGATTATCTCACAGGTCTGTAGGTCAGAAGCCTAGGCATGGCCTGCAGGGGTTCTCTACTCAGGATCTCAGAAGGCTGAAATCAAGATGTTGGCCAGAACACTGGCACACAGAGGCTTGATCAAGAGGCATCAAGCTCCCTCAGATGGCTGGAATGATTCATTTTCTTGTGATGGTTGAATTCGTGGCACCTTGTTTCCTCGAAGCCAGCAATGAAGAGAGAGTTTCTGCTGTCTTAAGTCTCTGACTTCCTGGAAGGTCTAAATCTTCTTGTAAAGGTTACACCCATCACACCTACCCAGGATAATCTCCTTTTTTAATTAGCCCAAAGGCAACCGATTAGGGACCTTAGTTATAGCTGCAAAATACCTTGATTTTTGCCATATAATGTAATGGGAATGATATCCCTTAACCTTTGCCATATTCTATTGGTTAGAAGCAGGTCACAGGTTCTATACACGCTCAATGGGAGGGGATTCCACAGGATGTGACTCATCTTCAGGGGTCACCCTAGAGTGTGTCCTCCACACCTGGAGAGTTTAGTAATACCTGGACCCCCGGAAGACATTCTGATTCAAATGGCCTATGGTAGGAACGTAGGTGGTGTTTTGTAAAAAGCTCTCTCAGCTGATTCTAAAGTGGCTGGCATTGGGAACCCCTCGTCAGGTCCTTTGCTCTCAAGTCACCAGACTCCCACACCCTAGTGCCCTTGCATTTTGTGACCTCAGGCAGAGTGGCTCACAAACACTTTAAAAAAACTAGCTGATGGTGATTTCAGCAAGATCAGATTCTTCGAAAGAGAACTCTGACTCTCTAGGACTGTGACCGCAGGCCACCCTGTGGAGCCTGGAAACATGCCCAGTGAGAACCTTCAGTTCTTGGTCCAGCTCAGTGCTCCATTCCTTTTGCTGCAGTCTCCCCACTGTGCCAGCCGTGGTGAAAACCTGCAGCAAGTCATGATGAAGTGTGTCTGCTATGATGTGCAAACCATAATATGCACCTGATGTAGTGTGCAAGCCATGATGAAGTGTGTCTGCCATGGTATGCAAGCCATGATAAGACATGTCTGTCGTGATGGGCAAGGCAAGGCTGTACACTAAGGTGAGATGCTGGAAATACCACAGAAACACAACACATCCATGCAGGCAGGGCAGGTGGCTGATTAAATTTAGACAACACACCTTCATAGTTCATAGGTGACTCCTTGCCTGTAATAGCAGATCTCATAGGTGTTTCATAATTGGCATGGGGATGGCCAGACATTTCATCTGCTTTGTTTTGGGCACCAAATGGATCATGTGGAATCTGCCAAATTAAGAAGGTGGGAAGTCATTGCCTTCTTGGGGAACCCTGGCCAGTGCCATTTGCACAAATGCCTCTACCCCAACCTCGCCGACCTGGCCTCTCAGCCATGATTCGCATTCAGATTCAGGAATATTCTGTGAATCTTCCACAGAAGTGGGAAAAATAGCAATTCTTCCCACAGAAATGGGAAAAATAGCAAAGAATTTTGCAGCTTACTTTAAACACACACACACATACAAAGCCAGTGTGCTCTCTCTAGACAAATCTCTGTGGAGAGGCCTCTTCAAGCAGGTTATTGATTTTCTAGGAAAAGACTCTACATCTCGTGTCTGCATTACCAATATCTCCAACTGAAGCTGACCAGGCTGCCTCCCCTCCTCCACAGCGGATGAGACCACATGTATCCAGTGTCTCTCACATTCAGTACACACACACACACACACACACACACACCCCTACCTTAGAGATTCGGCATTTATCATTGTGAAGAACTGTCCTACAAAATACAGAGGCTTTGAATACCTGTGGTCCACACTCCCTAAATGCCAGTAGTAGCCCCAGTTGCTGTCAAACCTTCTTAGGTTCTCCAATGTCCCCCTAGAGAGGCTGTGCTACCCCAGAATGAGAACCACCAGCTGGATCCGTGTTGGGAATTTGCCCTCACTCTTCAGGGCAGTGGTTTTCAAACTTGAGTGCACAATGGAATCACCTATCTCAAAACCCCTTATCCCCGGGCACCATCACCAGAAAGTCTCATGTGATTGGTCTAAGCTATGTCTTTAGATTTTAACCACTGAAAGGTTAAAAACTGCCGCAGATGATTCTAATGTGTGGCTGACGTCAACCTTCCCCATGGGTCTGGGACTCCGCGATGGCTGACGGGCCAGCATCTCTTCTGCCTGGTGTGCAGGCTGGCACAGCTCGAGCCAGCAGCTGCCTTGGAGTCAGGACCAACGTTCCGCTCAGTTCCCCAGTGCCCCCACACTGGATCTGACATCCACTTGGCTATTCCGCACCATGCCCCCTGCCTGCCAAGAAATTTATGGATCAGCGAGAAGCTAACTGCTAAATGAAGCAGCCCCCGGCTCATCCTCTTCAGGAGACACCGTGAAAAGGGAAATGGAAAGCCGTGCATACACTGCTTGGGCAGAGAGATAGAGAAGCTCAGATCTCTGGCTTGGGAGCAGGAGTCCTGCCAACTGCCCGGGGGACTTCTGGAAAGGAGTCATCACCAACAATGTGCTGGGGCCAGTTAAACGTCTCTAGGTAGACCTGCTTAATTATGGTGACATTTAGCAACCCCACACTGGGTTATTTAATGAATATCTCCTCCTTCATGGCTCCTAGGAGAATTCACTCCTCTGTTCTTCTCATTTATCTGGCTGGAGTTCCCTGGGAAGCTAGTTTAGTAGGGCAAAAAGGTAAGTATTTGTTGCAGAAAAAATATGTTTTGTTTTGTTTAAATCTTGTGAACTAATGGTCTTTTTTGTTGTTGTTATTGTTGTTTTAGGAAGTAGAAAAGCTTGGATTCTAAGGTAGTGAGCCAAACTTTCAAGAAGACAGCTGAGAAAGCATACCTCTGATTTGCTTCCAGCTCCAACTTCTTTCTTATTTTTAATCCATGCCAGAAATGCCAGAAGACAAGATTGCAAGGGGCACTCTGAATCTGCCAAGTTCCATGATGTTCTGTGACTCCTACCATGGCTGATTTCAATCTACCAACATTTAAATAGCTGGCTGTCTTATCCATTCCATCCTCAAACATGGACAGTTTTACGTCCTCTAAGAGTCCCCATTTACATCTCATGAAGCCACCAGGATTTAAACACCAGAAACGCATGCCACAAAAGGGTGGTGCTGTGTCTAACAACAACTTGGGAAAACAGATAGTAAGAGACTCTAAGAGACCCCGGGAAGCCTGGAAATAGAGAAAAGCCACATCGTTGCAGAGGAGAGACTCAAAGATAGGCATGGAGAGGGATGTATAGATGCCATCATACAGAGCAGGGCACTAAGCTTCCAGAAGGCTTCCAGTTTCATTAGCCCTTTTCTTCTCATTAGAAGAAATCTAGGAAGTGTGAATAACACATTTAAACATCATTTAAAAGTGATCCAGGATCCAGGTGTGGTGGCTCACACCTGTAATGCCAGCACTTTGGTAGGCCGAAGCAGGTGGATCACTTGAGGTCAGGAGTTCGAGACCAGCCTGGCCAAAATGGTGAAACCCCGTCTCTACTAAAAATACAAAAAAAAAAAAAAAATAGCTGGGCATGGTGGCGAGCACCTTTAATCCCAGCTAATTGGGAGGCTGAGGCAGGAGAATTGCTTGAACCCGGGATGCAGAGGCTGCAGTGAGCTGAGATTGTGCCATTGCACTCCAGCCTGGGCAACAAGAGTGAAATGCTGTCTCAAAAAAAAAAAAAAAAAAAAAAAGCGATCCAGGAAAGGAAGCACTCACCTGAAAAGTTACTGTGGGATCCAGAAGAGCTAGGAATGGTGCTTGTTAAGTCCCTGGGCAATGTGGCACAACCATGGGGCCACCCCATTGAGCCATGTGGGTGCAAGGGCCACCTGCCAACGAGTTTCTGGACAGCCCAAGGAAGTATGGTATGGCTTGTGTGTGCAGACACCAACTTGGTGCTATCTCCAAAGGTCTGCTGCATTGCAGAGAGATAACACTCTCTTTATAAAACAAGCTCCAAAGAATAAAAAGACAAGGGAAGGTCACACACTATTGCTTTTAGCAATGAACATGAGTTCCATAGTAATGGGAATTGACCTTTATAACAAGCAGATGTAGATAATAATAACAAAAGGCAACATGGACTGCTCACCAGGCACTGTTTACACACTTTTCATATATTGATATTTACTCCTCCGGACCACTCTAAGAGGTAGGTGCTTATTATTAAGCCCATTTTACAGCTGAGGAAACTGAGGCCCAGACCACCTCAATAACTTGCCTAAGCTCACATGCTAGTAAGCAGCAGAGTGATACTGAAGCCTGGCAGCATGGCTCAGAGTCACGAGGGCTGCACTGTGTATGAGATCTCCCCTCTGCAGCACTTTGCACTGGCCACTGTGCCTTCTGGGCAGAGGCACATTTCCTGATTTTCCTTTTTGACTGCAAGCTCCTCCAGGGCATAGACCCAGAGTGTCTGGCTCTCACTGAGTCCCCAGAGAAGTCAGTTCTTGACTTGTAGTACGGTCTTGCAAGGCAGAGGTACTGTCTGGTTCGAACTTCTGGGCACTGATTCTGCTTTATCCTCTCAGAGGAGGAAGGATCCTTGCCGACGCTGAGTTTACACAAGAATCAGAAAGAGTAACATTTGTAATAGTCACTGAAATGAAAGCAAATAGACTGCTAGTGTGAGTTATTTGCAGTGAGGCTACAAGGGCAGAGACATGGCAAGGAAAAAGGTCTCTAGATCAGTTCAGACCGTGGCAAACAGAGTGTTCCATTACTGACTCTGGGGCCAGAGGATGCTCTACTGAGACCTGCTGCTTCTGCTCCCCACTGCATGGCTGTCTTCCTTCTGGAAAAAATACGTTTGTAACATTGGCTAATTAAGTTAGGGACTTTAAACTTACAAACCCCTCCTGAGACATTGAAGTCGTAATAAGCATCTGTTGGTGGAGGAATGAATGAGTGAATGAATGAATGAAGGTTTCCCTCAACTGCCTGGTACTGTTGGAGAAATTCACTGCCAGTGGACCACAATGGGGAGAAAGACTCCCAGATGCCTTTTCTACAGCTCCCGAGTCTCCCAGCCTTGAAACACTGAATCCTCAAGATTTTATTCCCTCTGTCCAATGCCCTGCATGTACGGGGCAGAATCATTACAAGGGTCCAGTATGCAGCTGAGCCTCGGGGTTTCACATCTGTGACTTACAGAGAAAAGAAGGCTTCAGGTTCTCGGTTCATTGCCCCACAGTGACACACTCTTCCCCAGACCGGAAGAGGAACTCAGTCTCCTCCTCGCATCCTGCCTATGCTTCATCCATCCAGAAAAGTCAGATTTGAAAGAATTTTGACTCACTTCTGAGGATTCTTTTTTTTTTTTTTTTTCTGAGATGGAATCTCCCTCTGTCGCCCAGGCTGGAGTGCAGTGGCGCGATCTCGGCTCACTGCAAGCTCCGCCTCCCGGGTTCACGCCATTCTCCTGCCTCAGCCTCCCAAGTAGCGGGGACTACAGGCGCCCGCCACCAAGCCCAGCTATTTTTTTCTATTTTTAGTAGACATGGGGTTTCACTGTGTTAGCCAGAATGGTCTCGATCTCCTGACCTCGTGATCTGCCCCCTTCGGTCTCCCGAAGTGCTGGGATTACAGGGAGGATTCATTTTTTTACGTGAGTTGCATTTAAAATCAAAACAATATTTTTCCCTCTTTTCTATACTTTCTCTCTTTTGTCCTGGTCTTATTTTGTTTTTCCTTCAAAAAGAAGAAATAACATATAAGCCCTTTATAATAATGTGTTATTGAAAAGCTCAAATATTTCATGGACATATGTTTTGAATAACTAAGAGGTATTACTGTACATTCAAATGCTTCCCTGACATGCTGTAACAAAAGGGGCCTTGGAATGTCTAAACATGAAATTATCACTGTAGTTTTCCTACAGTTTGACTGAACTATTTCCTGCCTCTATATCAAACAATCCCATTACCCCCTAGATGCACCCTATCAGTGTTTCAAACAAGTGGCATTTTGCCCAGTTTAGAATTTGCAGCTGCTAACATGCACAGATAGTCCAGAGCTCAGCCCTGACTGGTGTTGTGTACAGAAAACAAGTTGTATGCAACTTACCAGAAACATAGATGCATTTCTTGAATGTGTCCAGTGACTAATGGTATGAGAAATGCCCACAGGGCTATGCTCAATCTAAGGAAAACTTTTTAATTAAAGAAGAGATTTTCAATAGCTCACATCTTGGGAAGGTCCACTGGGTTTAGGAATAGAAAGTTACTGGGCTATCAAGGATAAGTCATTCCACTCTAGGCTGAGATCCTTTGCATTCACAGAGAAGAAAATATGCAAATGACTAGAATTCACAGAGTGGCTTGATTGATTAAGGGAGAAGAAGGCCTTGGGATGTGATAGCGAAGGTCCTGAGGGTTGGAGACCCGCTCTGCTCATGTCTGACTGGTGACCTCAGGTCAGTTGCTGGGCATCAGAAGCTCAGCTTTCCATCTGTGACATGACCAGCACAGTGCTTGGCATATCAGATACACTGAACTAATGATTGCTGAATTAAGGAAGGAAGGAAAGATTCTCAAGCACTGTTGCAAACTCAGATCTCAAATAACACATGCCCTCTCACCCTTCTCATCTTCTCAAGCCCCTAGATCCTAATCTGACCCCCCATGAGAAGGGGTCAGGCACTGCCCTGGGAAAAATAGCTATACATGGTCCTCTGATGAGCTGGGGAAGGAAGAAGCATCTTTGAGCATAACCCAGTTACAGAAGAGTAAGTTATGGGTTCATAGTCTCTCCTGCTCCAATTAGCATGGCATGGTCTGATGCCTCTTTAAGTCTCTTCCAAATCCTTTCTGCTTTATCCCAGGTTAGGCAGTACTTCCCCAGCCCTAAACTCCAGGCTCGTCTGTCTTTCCTGCCCTCTCTCCCATTTCTGTGTCATGGCCAGAGCTCTTTCTCTAAGAGCCCTTGTTCAGTAGAAAGCCAATGCCTTTGCTCTCCAGCACTCAAGTGTATGCTTGTGAAGGAGAAGCAGCCCTCCCTACAATGACCAAACTCACTGGCCTTCATTCAGAAGCACCCCATGAGGTGCCTGTTCCCAGGCAATCAACCCAGGAGAAAGAGACAGCATGTCTCCTCTGCTTTTATCCCTTTGCTCTTCCTCCTTCTTCTGTACCCTTTGGGACCCCTTGGTTCCTCCAAGATCGATTCACACATCTTCCCCTTAACATGATGAGACACGGACAAAAATTAGGAATGTCTGAAAATTCAGAGGGCATTCTCCCCTCTGTCCATCCCCCAGCTCACACTTCATTGCACACATTGAGGTCATGCATAGTGGAAGAAGATATATTTTGAAAAGGAAAAGAAAAGCAAAAATGTTGAAATAAAAGAAGAAAAAGTAAAACCATCTAGAAATCCTGGGTAACATGGACAGAGAAAAGAAGAGTCATGCAGGATTTTGGAAGTTTGGGCTTAACAGTCAAGGGAATGGAAAGGAGAGATTCAGGAATTAGCTGCATTCTGCATAGAATCAATTGAGAAGGGGTTAGAGAGAGAGAGGATTTTAAGATAGTTTGCTGCATTAGGGACATACTTCCCTCAGAGACTGTGTAAAGATTTGAATTATGGATCGTGACTTTATGATGTCTTCACTATGTGTCTCTGAATATGATCCAGTGTCAAAATTCATCACAGATGGACTCACTTGTATTTTGGGGACAGTTACTCACTCTAAGGAGGCCTTCTCCCCAGGCTGGGTTCCTACATGTTCCTTTCCTGTCCTTGACCTCTACAAGTCCTCATCTACTGATCCATATTCTCCTCCCCAAAAATACAAACTTGAATCACTTATTCTTGCCCCAGGCACACTAGAATTTTGCAAAAATCCTTATTATTTGAGAGGACTGGCTTCCCTTCTTCCCACTTTCAGAAACTCTTTTCCTCCAAACTGATCCCAATTTCCCATACTAGTAACCAGCTTCAAGGTGGTAGCCAGGAGAAGGGGAGATGGTAAAAAGTAGGTGAGGAATGCTGAAGCCCTCAGTGGGGAGGGGAGGTGGCTGGATGACTTGGTAAGGTTTCCCCAGTGCCGACATCAGTATACTTAAATAAGAACATTCCAAAGGCTTGCTTTGTCTTAAAGTTGGGATTAGCAAGGGCACGTGTCACTCTGTAAAAGCCTAGTTTTCCTAGAAGGCACAAGAAGTATAGAGGATTGGAAAACATGCAAGGATGTGGCATTCCACATGCTCCAAAGGGCCTATATTAGAGCCTTAAACTCTCTTCCAATTCTTAGCCAGCAATGTCGATTAGATGGGTAACTTGAAGACAGCCAAAACCACACAATTTCCATCAAAAGGCAATTCACTGCTTTCATAACAGTGGGGATGGCTACCGGTAGTTAAAAAGGCAGAAGTGGCTCATCCATCTCTGGGAATAATTTATATGACTTGGATGACATTTAATTTAACACAGGTCACCCAAAAGGATGGTGATTTAATGCCCCAGCTTTTTTTTTTTTTCAGTGCTGCGTTGCTGTCATTAGGTGAGTTTCACCTCATACTTCTTTGTTTTTATTTGAAGAGAAATCTGTTTGAAAGACATAATTGTAAACTATCACTTTTCCAGCTGTAGGCAGGGAATAAAACCCCCAAGGTGAAACATCTGACCTTGAAACTCAGAGTGAATAAGCCTCTGTGCTCCTAGCAAGGGGAATGAAGGTAGATTTGTGAATTAAAACAACAAAGTAGACTCCAGCTTCCCTAGGAGATGGAGCCCGGGAAGATGGACTTTTCTATTGTTGCCTGCCATGTCCAGGCCTCAGATGCAAATAATATCCTCTCTGCAATTTTGTGAGAAAAAAAACCTGCTGTGGCAGTGACCCTGAAAAAGCACCTCATCATCAATCCCCATTGGTTCTGGGAAATGGCCAAGCCACAGAAAACCTTCCTTCCTCTTTTGAAATGTCCCCAACCTGCTAGCTTGTCCCCTTATAGCCAAACTTGACTGTCAAATGTACCCGAAGGCCAAATGAAGAGTGTTCCCTGCCTTAAAAAATCCCACCCTAATAGAACAGTCGCCAATCAGACACAGCCTTGGTGTTTCCTCCTTTTTACCCTAAAAACCTCACTTTCCTTCAAACACCCTTGAACCCCTGCTGAAATGAAAGAACAGGAAATGGGTGCCCCTGCCACAAGTTTATGAAAAATCAGCCTTGGCTAATTATTGCCTCGGACTGAGTTTTTCTTTGATACCCATAAGAGAAACAGTGTCACTCCCTGAGCACCAATTAATAATAGGGAGTTGGTGAGATATGGGATGGCACAAAGTTCCATGGGAAACTGGAATTTGGACTCAGGTCTGTCTGCCTCCAAGGCCATGCATTGTTCCACACTCACACTTCCCACCTCTCTGGTTTGAACAACACTTATTTCTGCAATCCAGAAAAGTGAGAGAGAGGAAGTCCAGAGGGAGGTAGCCCTGGGGCTCAAATAAGCAAAAGGCCAACCACACCTTAACTCAAAGGGGCTTGGGAGCATGTTTATCTCACTGGTGACCAAGCCACCAATGCCAAGCACATGGGCCGCTCTCTCTCTCTCTGTCTCTCTCTCTGTTTCTCTGTCTCTCTCTGTCTCTCTCTCTCTCTCTCTGTGCATACCTTGGACTGGCTGTTGTCATCACTGAAGCTGCACTTGATGAACATTATAACTTAATTTCACTCACAAAGCAATATTGAGGTATGAGGCAGAGAAACACAAGGCAGGGTTTGGTCTGTCCAATACAGAGCCTTGCAGGTCCTTGAGTTCACGCTGAGTCCTGACTCCAGGGAAGGACCCAGAAACTATCAGCACTTCTCACAGGACTCCCTTGCGGATCTTGCTGAAATGCTGATTCTGGGTCTGCGGGTCTGGGCTTGGGATTGAGATTCTGCATGTCTGACAAAGTACCCAGGTGAGGTCGATGCTGCTGGTCTGAGGTATCAGGCAGTTATTCTCAACCCTTCTTGCATATTATAATCAACAGGGAGCTTTTAAAATAATACTAAAGCCCAGGCCCCAGGCCCAAAGATTCTGATTTAATTGGTTGTGAGTGGGACTTGAGCATGGACACCAATATTCTAGAATCCCCTCAGCAGCCAGGCATGAGAACCACCACACAAGAGCCTCCAGGTAATTAATTCTGGCAATCCCACTCTCAGGTATGAAAGGATGGGATAGCTGCATTTGAAAATGAAAAGCTTCAATAGTGACAACCTTTTCTTAGTTTAAGGTGGCCTTTCTTCCCAGTAATTCCACTCATTATAAACACTTGTGCATTTGTGACAACATGTAAAAACATATGTTTCCTCATAAGGAAGCTGGGTTTTCTCCGTGGTCCCAGCAGCTATTGAGACTCAGCTGTAAGGTTTAGTGTGCCAAGGAAGATGGGGATGTGAGCTGCCCAAATCAGGGGAAGTTCATCGCACAGGGAAGAAAAGTGAGGCTCTGCTGGGAAGGGAGTAGGGGGTAGCCCACCAGACAGGAAGGATGGGGAAAGCCCTACTGTTGGAAAAAGAGCAGTTCAGAGGAGAGCCCGCAGGAGATGGGATAGGAAATAGCCTGTCCCTGATGTGTCCCCTAGAAAGACCAGAAGCTTACCCCAGGGTGGACTATGACAGCAGACACGAGCAGGATACCCAGTGACCAAGGAGACTAATGGCATCCCCACAGAGGAAGAGAAACCCGGCGACCACACAGAAACCCACACAGACCAACTTCCTTCCCCTAAAGCTCCTGCCCTCATCCAGACACCATTTTGACTGAGAGATGCCAGGGTAGAGAAGCCCATAAGGCTGATGTAGATCATTTACTCAATGGAGATGTTCAAACCAAAGAAGGCTAGGATCTTTAAATGGCAAATTTACATTTCCCTGGCCATGGCCCACCACTGGCAGGAAGAAGGGAGGCTTGGTCCCAGAACAGTTGCAGGAACCAGGCTTTTGCTGGTCTTCCTGGCATGACTGAGTTCTCTTGCATAAGTTGTTGATCCTATATACCTACATATATAGCTAAGGCATTGTGAGCACAGAAGACCTGATTTTTTTTTCTTTAGAAATGGCCTAAAGGAGAAAAGAACACAGAGTGATCCACCTTTTCTCTACGAAACCTTAAAAGACACAAGAGAAAGGTCTTTCTAGTAAGAAAAACACAATTGTTGTTATACCTGCTGAGTACTGCATCAAATTAAAAACCCATATCACAGTGCTCCTTTAAATCTGACCAGGTAGAGAAAGTGTTTCTCAGCAATCTCCAAAACTGGTAGGAAAAAGGTTATTATGTCAGTTAATCACCACATCAAGAGTCCTCCTAAGGAAGTCCTTTTCAGACTTTCCACAGCTTCTTAGGCCCCTGTGTGGCATCTGCCCCCTGCCTCCTCCCCTGGGTACTTGCCCCACCTCCTAGGCCTCTAAGCCATCCCAAGATGGGGTCATTTGAGGGGACTTCACAGTCTCTTTAGTATACACTGGGAGGTTGTGTTGACAGGCCATCAGCCTAAGCAGTAGAAATCTTCATTTAACGTGTTCTCTTGTAGTAAGCATGTCCTTTTTATTTTCTGTATTTTTGATGTTTTGACATCTGGGGCCTTGCTGACCCTAGACTAGCCAACTCTAGACCACAACCACCTCCTATCTGGGGCTCTTGCGCTGGACTGCAAACCGTAAATAGTACATTCCTGCCCTTCCCAAAGCAGAAGGGGTTAAAATCATCTCACTACCATGACTCTGCAAGTCCTCTGATGTTCCCTTTCTCCCATCCAAGTACTAGCCAGGCCCTGCCCTGCTTAGCTTCTGAGATTAGAGGAGATGGGGCATGTTCGGGGCAGCATAGCTGTGATAATATCCCCTTACTAATGCTCCTGTAGTAATGTCCTTACTCAACACATGTCTGGCCAACCTAAAGCTTAAATCTGGTTACATGGCATTTTTATGTGGTTCTTTACCATTTACAAGGCACTTTTGCTCCCATCATCTTATTGGATTCTCCCAGCCACCCTGTGGGGTCAGTGGGAATTAAATTTCTGATAAAATCCCTCTCTGCTCAACCGATTCCTGAATATTAAAGGAAATTTCAGCAAAATTTCATTATTGCAACATACTGAACACCAATGGAATTCAAAATCTTTTGAGGCCATTTCTACCAATCTTAGAAAATTTCTCTCTATTCAGCCAAACAGGGCTCTGTTCAATAGGAGCTGAATTCTGACATGAAACTTGGAACAAGGAAACTTATCTGATACCATTTGCATCCATAATACTTAGGTCAAGATCACATGCAAAAAACATCCATATTCTACACATTCATTCATCACTAAGGAAAACACTCAAATGCAGAAGGTTCAGGAAATAGATGTGGGAAAATGTATTCAGAATCCTACTACAGCTAGAGCCATAATTAGAAGTCTTGTGCTTGCCAGCTCTGAAGTGCTAATCTTTAAGATGGTCCAGATATTCAAGAAAACTAATAAATCCTTTTTAGTGCTATGCTTCTCTGTAGAACATATGAAAATGGGAGTTTTAAAAGTTACAAATTGGATGACACTTACAGATAAACTTTGCTTTGTACAGTAGATTCTTTTTTAAATGTGTAAGCTGACTGAACTTTTGTGAGTCAGGTTGCATTTTAAGTAAAAGAATCCAGAAAAGGAAGCGTTTGCTATTTAAGGGGATCATATATATATATGATTCCAGTTATTATTATATATACATCTATATATGTAATACATATAATCACCTTAAAGTTATCTTCTAATTTATATATTTTGTAAATCTGTAATTTTACATTTCAGATTTGCTTGAAGTAGGATACATATGGATTTAATTTGCAAAACAATTCATCTAAACTCCCTTATTTAGAAGATTTTTTATGTATTAGAATATGATTTTGTAAATAGCTGCTGGTGGCTGCATTTAGTAAGGATCTAAATGTCTAGTTCCAATTTTGATACAAACTAGTTGTGTGACTTTAGACAAATTACTTGTTATGTCCGGTTTCTTCTTCTGTAAAATGAGAAGTTTAGATTAAGTTATTTTTTCATTTTCTGATTTTCCATATACACTCATGTGTTCAACTTTAATACTTGACATATATCAGAATGTTAATATATATTAAGATCAATTTTCTAAGAACAATTTTTACATTTTTCCCTGTAGCTTTAATGCTATTAAATTCAAGCCTGCTTAATGCTTCTACCAGGTAATGATTTTGCAAGATGTTTTAAGTATCCAGCCTTGTTTACTCCTGTGAAGCAAGGAATATTACTTGAAAATAATAACTGTGTACTGCTCTCCAATGGAGAATCATTACATTTATGACCTTGAGTTTCTATTGAATTTCTCTCTATGTGTTTATTATCCCATACTCAGCCAATGACCATATGTTCTCCTCAAGACAGCTACTACTACTGTCAGAGATATGCTTATAAGATTTATTTTTGTCATTATTTACTTTTTAATGATATTTATACTCTGGCCATAAATGAGAGAAGACAGATGCATCATTTCCCCAACCTTGCCAGACAAAAAGGAATATATTCAGAGTCAAACAAACAATGTAGCACATACTTACTTCTCTGCTTCAAAACAGAGTGCTAAAATCAGGGTTGCTGTATATGGTTGCTCAGGCTGTACACTGTACAATTCTCAGGAACATCATTCACACCATTTGCATGCATTGTGCAATCTACAACCTGCTGAGCCATATACTGAGACTCCTGCTGCAATATATGTAGGAGTTGGGCCAGTCAGCATATTTCCAAGCAGAAAAGGCAATTCTAGTAGTGTATGCAGTACCATGGGGTTTACACTAGAAAGGCTATAACCAGAGATAAGATAAATCAAACAATCACCCAGTGTCCATAGCTGACATATATTTCTCTTTACTACTAAATTCCTATAATCTAAGAATACACCTGCTGTCTCTATTTTCTCATTTCCTTCAAAACTCCCTCCAGTACAGCTTCTGTTGATCTAACTTACTGAAATTGTGCTCTTCCAGGTCATCAGTGGAACAATATTGACTGAATTTCTCAGTTCTCTCTCTAGCTGGCCACCCTCCTTTTTGTGCCCTTTCTTGATGAATGGTTTCTTCCTTTGGATTCAGTGATAGATGGTGGAGGTCCCACCAGAAGGGCACTCTGAATGGATAAAATCTGTGTTTGTTAGAAAAGTTGCCAACTACATGCCAGGTGAGAGAAAGAAATCACCTGGCTGTTCCTAAAGGGGGCCTCCCTTAGAGGGGCTGGGGGAAAGAGTGCCCATGGTGGGAGAGGTGTGGGTGATCAGGGAGGCAAGAAGGAGTCTTGTACTGGGACTGTACTCTGACCTGGGCCTCTGACTCCTGCTTTGGCCCTGTCAGTAGCTTGATATGTAACCTGGGGGATCTCCTCACTAGTGGGAGAGCATGCAGGATCCAGCTTTCTGGGACTCGAGCACCCTGTGAATGAATGTGATTCTGGAAACTCACTTCTCAAACAATGGCTGAGAGAGCATTTACACAAAGACCAGGACTAGCCTCCAGGAGACGAGGACCAGCCTGCAGCAGTGTGGTCTGAGCCCTGGGTACAGGACGGCTTCCCCAGCATCATGAGTGCTCCCCTCTGTATAGCTGAGAATTTCACTCCACCCCTGAGCTTCAGCCACAGAAGAAAGCTAACACACCTTGCCCGCAGTGTTTCTGAACCAGCTGGGGTGCTCATCCACAGTGGCTCAAACCTCCACAGCCTGCCTTTTCTGAGTCATCAGGATCTGAAGGACTTGAATCACTGGGACGTCACCCAGGTTCTGCTATTTGGACACAACTCTCCAAGATGATTTTCTACTTATTCACAGTCAGAAAAATGAGACAAGACTGAGCCAGACTGAGCCGTCCCCAGCCCTAAAACTCATAAGTACTAGGGAACCCTGAACACTAACAAGTTAAATACTTGAAAGGAGATGGTCAGAACTTTGGGAACTCTATTTTGAAAAGACAGAGATGTGGAGAGGATCTCCGATATTTGTACTCTAGGGAAAAACAGGGCATATTAGTTATTCCAAATTGTAGGGGCACCCAGTTATAATGTTCAACTCTGGCCCTCCTTCTCCTTCCCCTTTACTCATCCTTCTACCCTTTCACTGTCTATTCTTCCTCATAGTCCCATCCCAGATACCTTCTAAGACACAGGCCAGGGTGCACTTATTTGCCCTTTGCTATTCTCTCTCTAACCTCTTTTTCTTACAGATTCCCTAAACCTCCGTAACTTCAACCATTCCCTAGGGCAATAGCTGGGAAAAACCCAGCTAAGAAGGAGCAATCCTGAAGATGTCCTTGCATGGCAAACCCAAACCAAAGTAAATTCTCAGGCCAAAGATCACAGTCCAAGATAAACCCATGGACCTAAAAGAGAGAGGAGATCCCCTCGGTGAATAACTGAACCCGATAGACTCGAAAAGGCCAGAAATGTAAAGACCACACAGCCAGAGAAAGGACAACGATTCCGTTCACTTGAATGACAGGCGAGCCTTAGTATTAAAGCAGGGACAGGCATGGGGTTGCGCTTGAGAGTAATCCTCAAAGGAAGTCTCCACTCAGACAAAATGACTTTCCAAGCTTTAGACATTAAAGACAAATTAATACTCCTCCAAATCACAGAGAATAAAAAGGGATAATGTTTAAAATAAGGAGAAGAAGAAGATCAAACTTTGCCTTGAGTGAGGCGCGGAGGAGGCTTGAGGAGAATGTGCACAAACCAGAAAGTAGGTGCGATCACAGTGCTCGCCAGCTGCCGGCTCTCCTCTCTGAAAGGAGCATATTCCAAGACCTAATGACTGAAATAATTTGACAAGTTCTTACTCTACAAAGACGGCTATAAGAAGCAATGGAAAATTGAAAACAGAAGAAAGGCTATCCAGAGAAACAGAACCAATTACATACATACATATATGTACATACGTAAACATACATATACACAGAGTGATTCTTGGTATCACAGCCATTCAAAGAGGAGAAATGTACGAGAGTATAGACCAAGGTCAAAATTAATAATATGAAGCAAATGAAGGCAATTTAAAAAGTGAGTAAAGAGATTATGGGGGTTAACAATACAATAAATAATGTTGTAATAGACAAATGAGAAGACTTTACTAATAACTAAAGGTATTTGCAAGTATACTCAAGAAACTTTCATGAAAGGGACCATATTCTGGCATGTAATGTGTATTTAATAAAAACAAAAAGTCAAAAATTCAGCTTGCCACATTCTCAGTTCCTAGTGCGATAAAATTGAAAATTTTTAAGAATTAAAATGTGCCTTATTCCATGAACATTAAAAAAAGAGGAAGGAAAGTTCTTAAACAGTACCGAGTCTTGGAAGAAATCCACAACACCTGGCACAAAATGTTTTAACACAAAAAATACAAATAAACTACGTTAATATTTGTGGAACACTGTGATGCCAATAGAGAATTTATTGCTCTAAATGTCTACAGTCTTTTTTTTCAGGGGAAATGATGTTCAATTTTAAAATTGTTAAATGGGGATGAAAAAGCAAGCCAGAATAAACAAGGAAAGAATAATGAAATTAAAAATCAACAAAATGGAGAAATAGAGACAATAAAATGTATCAACAGAACCTGTACTTAGTTCTTCAAAAATATAACAAATTCAAATATATTTCCAGTTCCTGCAAAGATGATGATTAGCTGGTTCCCCAACTTTTGCAAAGAAAACTTGTAATATAAGGAATAATGAAAAGAAATAAACCTAGAAATGGGACAGAGGAAGCTAAAGACTATTTTAAGCTGGTTTGAATGGGACATGCTGGAGCCTGGGGCGAGGGCCTACTTCTTATCTGTGAGAAGGTGAAGGAGGGAGGAGCTGCTCCTGTCCTGTTCTGTCCTCCACCATGCTACAAAAATCACAGCCTCAAGGCAGAAGGAGTACAGATGTCTGCTGGGGTGAAATCACGGTATACTCAAAGCCCTACTGAAGAGAGGACAGGCATAAAATGTATAAGAAAAAATAAAGAGCCAAGAATAATTAAGGCATTTTCAAAGAGGAAAAACAAAGGAAATGTGCTCTACCAGACAGAATTTGTTAAGAAGGTGCAATAGTTCATCAGCATAGCATTGATACAGGGATAGACAAATTGATCAATAACATAGAACAGAGCACCCAAAAATGAGATTCTTGCATATACAGAAATTTGATGGATAATAGAGGTGGCTTTGCAGATCAGTGGGAAGTGTAGGAAATGACTGTTTAATAAGTGGATCTGGGAGGAGTGGTCATCCACATGGAAAAACAAATGAAATAGAACCCTTTCTTCACACCATACCAAAAAATCAGTTCATGTAGATTCAGTGCTTAACGTTAAAAGCAAAGTTTTAAACTTAGTAGAAAAGGTAAATAGGTAAGTAGATAAGATATGGCCTCAAAATAGGAAAGAACACACACAAAAGTACTATGAAGAAATCTACTGATAAATATGATTATCTTAAAATTAGAAATACTCATTTAGCAATATATACCTTAATGAAAGTGAAAATACAAATTACAGACTATACATAAGCAATCTAAAGGTCCATCAACAGGAGAGTAGATACGTAAAGTATAAAATATTTACATAATGGAATATTATATATCTGCCAACATGAATAAACTGTAGCAGTAAGCAACAATATGGATGAATCTTAGGAACACATCTGGAGTGAAAAAAGCAAATCCTAGAAAATTAAGTAATTCTGTTACCCTTTCCTGGCCTTACAATCTGTGCTCAATTATTCGCAATTTGACAAAAACTCCATTCCAAATATATCTCAATTCCTTCCTGACCCATTCACTTAAGCCAACTGAATTAAGTATTTGTAGCACCAGGTTCTTAAGAAAGAGGCCTATTTCTCAGAGTTTCTTGGAAAGTATTGGTGCCACTCATCTGTCCATTATACTTCCTCTCTTGGGTCCAGGCTTTCCTGCTGGCATAGAAATGGTGGTAGGGACACTTCCTGGGTCATGACAGGATCCCCTAACTTCAAGAGCTTATTTGGAGAAAGCTAAAATGTCAAGACAAACGAAACATCCACTCTTTTTCCTGCTCTCTTTGATTCTGCTGCATCAGAAGTGAACCTCACTTCTCCAGGGCTCTATTTTTGCCTAGGGCTGGTTACTTGTATGAGGATCCCAGGGCTTCATTGATTGAGTGTAGCAAAATGTGGCAAGCTAGGAACCATTCATTTTGGCAGTCAGCAATTATAGGTGAGTACAAAGTGACCTTGCTTTTACCTTTCCAAAGTACCTTTAGTACAACAATCCTGCTCAACCCTTGATCTCTTTCTTTACTTCCCTGTGAAAGCACCATGCTCTTCTTGCAGGCTTTGCATTTGCTATTCCCCTGCCTAAAACAGTCTTTCTCCCTGTTTCCTTGTTACCTGGCCAACTCCTACTTGATTTTCAGTTTTCAGATTAGACATTCCTTTCCTGGGGGAGTCTTTCCTTGACTCCTCACAGCTGAGTTAGGAAACTGCTTGGTGTTCCTCTACTTATTAACATCCTAACACAGCTCTGCAGTTCTGCAACCTCACCAGCATAGCACAGTAGACTGAAAGATCCCTGAGGGCTGGAACTGCCCTGAAGATGTCGCCTTTCTTAATATCACCAATGCCTAGCACAGAGCTGGGTGCAGAGGAGGGACACAGTAAATCTGTGTTGAAAAAAAAGTGATATGAATCCAGTATTACAATATACTGAAGTAAATTCCTGCTGAGTTTAAAGACTTCAGCAATTAAGAATGAAAATAAAATTGGAGAAACTATATGGAATCTCTGTAGAGAGGAGAAACTCTTCTACATACTGAAAATATTGAAGCCATCAGAGAAAAGATGGATATTTGTATAAATATAAAAATGAAAACAAAATATGGTAAAATCTATTTAAATAAGTAGAAACGCAACAGAATGGGGGAAATGTGATAAATGTAACTGAAGTTTTGCATTCTGTATACATAATTGGTACATATATGTAAGGCCTTATTCTATAATCAGAAAAGAGAAATACATGCAAAAAATGGCAAACTATAAAAAATGCACTGCCTCAGTAACAATTCAAGAATGCAGATTTTAAAATCTTGGAGGTGACATCAAATTCCTGTTAAAATAAATAAAAATAATAAGCCCCACTGTTCACAATGCTGTGGAAAAATACAACGATTACTGTTGACATTGTAAGTTGCTTCAATCTGGAGAGCAATCCCGCAATATGAAAAAGAGAACCAGGAGATGTTTACATGCAACACTTTACAATTTCACTTTGGGAGGTACATCATGAGGAGTTAACCTAAACGACAGCTAAAGGTAAGTTGCATAAAGAAGTTCCTAGCAGGGCTGTTTATAGATTCTGAAAACTGGAAACAATCCAAGTGCCAATTGATAAAATTAGGGGATATAAATGTAATGGGGATCTATCAGGGTTGCATTAATCTGATAAGCTTAGGGACTGTGTCCAGCTGTGGAAGCCTGATATGAAGTAAGGAAAAAAGAAAAAGACAAAATCCAAAACATGTACATACTGGTTGCAGCCTCAAAAAGGTCAGAAGGTAATTCAGAGATATTACATTCTGCTCAGCTTTTAATCTTCCCTGATTCCTTTGTGAATAAAATTTCTCCCCCTTTCTTCCCCCTTTTATAAAGAAAGTTAAAAAAAATCTGACTATACAAGCATTTTAATTGGTATGCAATGTACATACAGTTTATCACTGGCTATTATGATTACAATCGTTATTATTTAATGCACCAAGGCCAAAACTGTTTTATTAAGTAAAAGCCAACTAATTAAAAGAAAGGGCACACAGTGGCTGCAAAAACACACATTCCAGCTTTCCGTGTACCAGAAAATTCTCTCCCAGCCACACTGCACACACACATCCTAGGGGGTGCCCTTCTGCAACCTCCTCTTGCTCTTCATTTCTGCTGCTCTTTTATAATTATGCAAGATTAGTTCAAATTGGTATGGATTATGCCTTGATATCTTTAAAGATACTTTAAAAGTCTAAAAAGGCAAAGCCAAGAATAATTCGGAGTAAGAGGGAGAACTGCACAGACTCACTAAGGAAGCAAAGGGGTACAAGGAAAGTGGCTGCCCCAGAGGCTGGTTCACCTCCAGAACCAGCTCGGTCCTAAGGGTTCCTCACCTCAGACAAGCTCCTCAGTCTCTCTGGACTTTAGTTTCCTCAGGTTTCATAATGTTGGGTTGGACTACATGACTTCTCAGGTCTTTTCCTTAAATGTTATCCTTCTTAGAGAATGGGGGAAGTGTGGTCTGCCACTTGCTTGACTCATGGTCAAGGAAACATCATTTCTCTAAACTTTGGTCCTACCTTTTTATCCTTTTTGCAATTCATGAGGTGAATCTGTTGATATGACATTATTTTTGGCCATTGTGTTTTCTTCTTTTAGAGTCCTCTGAACCATTTTTTAAAATAAGTTTTATTTTTAGAATAATTTTAGATTTAGAGATTCTGAAGCACCTTGTGACAATAGAGAGTTCTTTTAATACTTATGTCAAACATACAAAATACTCATAATTCTGGCTAAAAAAACAGTTACTTTGTAAAAGCTAAAATATTTCTACATTTTCTTTTACTAGAAAAATAATGGAGATAAAACAGCTGCTAATTAGGAATATACCATCTTGATTCATAACCAGTTTCTGGGCATAGTTAGGCAGCTAAAATGTTTCTTTTCTTTTCTTTTTTGTTTTAATAGCATTTCTCTCCTTTTATGACAGGAAAATGGCATAAAATTAAGCTGTTAGAAATCTCATTATATATAAATTTAATGTCAAATATTTAAATAGAAACAAACATTAAAATGTAAGTGATGAAATTAATTCTTTTAAAATGTTAACTTCTGTGAAAGAAGATCAAATTATTCACCAGTCATATTTCTATTAGATGTTCTCATAGGCTCTTGCTGCTTTATAGGAATTTCTGGAGCCAGCCATTTTGCATAGATTACATTTCTTAGAACTATTAGGGAGTGACACCTTAAAGAAATAGCTTGAAACTTAGGGACTCCCACTTGAGACATAAAGGTAAAAAAAAAAAAAAAAGAAATAAATGACATTTGACATACCTTCAATTAATAACAGTGAGTCTGCATTACTAATTTCCATGTACTATTCCTCACTTGCTAAAAACTTTCTTGCTTACTTTTCCTAGAGCTTCAATAGGATGTTTATAAATTCATTTTGCTTTGTTGTAGAAATTTGCACAATAATGGGCCTTATGACTCAGAGTTCCTAAATCCTGCCTCTGGGAAATTGCCATGTTCCCAAGGGCCCAGAATAACTTGGCTATTTTATAAGAAAAAAAAGTTTTAAATAACCTCTATTCAGCCTACTTGTTGGATATCTCTAAATTCCCTCTTCAACAATGCAGATTAACTCCATCCATCATAACCTCATATCAAAGCATCTACTGCCCCATCTCCCTTCCTCTTACACGCAGCTCACCCCTCTCTCTCCTCGATGCCTCCTGTGCAATTCCAAGGTCTGTTTCCATTTTCCTTGACTTATTCTGAGGCTTTACTAAATTAACTTCCACCCCTTCTCTGCTGTCTCTGTTACCAACTTTTTATATTCCTCAGTTTACTCTTTTTCTAATTATCCCCAATAAGAACATATCAGCTTCCTGCTTGCCTTTCTACCTTCCTGCTTTTCCTGACTGCCTTTCTGCCTTCCTGCTTTTCCTGACTGCCTTTCCGCCTTTCCAGACACTCCAATCCAAAAGCCATTATATGGGCCAAGCAAGGCAAGCATCTGGAGCGTCTGTGTGGAGGGCAGGGTGTGGCCATGGCCAACAGCAGGTGTTGGAGCCTAAATGGGATGAACGGGGCTCCTCCATTGAGGAGGAACATGAACAGGTTGGGGGTCCTGAGGTGGTTTGATGAGGAGCACTGGAGCCTGAGCTGAGTAAGGTGGGGGCCCACATGGTAAAGGGGGGACAGTGGCAGCCCAGAGTTGGGGTTTAGAGCAGGAGAAAGGTCAGGACCACATCTGCATGGGGCAAGGGTAGGAGAAAGTGATGCCTACAGGAGAGAGAGTACATACCAGGTTGGTTGATCCAACAGCGAAATATATTATGGATAACTGGAGCCAAATTTCTTGTTGTTAAATAAGGTGGTTACAAATGTGGTGTTGGATTGGAATTGGAAGTATTAGTATAAACGCATGGGTCTCAGTATGGAGAGATATAGGAACAAATATAGATCTGTGTGTGTGCGTGTGTGTGTGTGTGTGTGTAGCAATGGGCAAGCCCAGTGTGCAGATCTTGGTTTCCAAATACCATTCCCATTAAAAGGAACCAGTGCTACTTGAAGAGATGTCTGATTCTGGGGCCGGGACAGGGAAAGTACAGGATGGGTCTGGAAAATTAAATTATGTCAGAAAGTAAGGAAGAACTCAAAGAATAATGGGTATGTGTCAAAGGGATACAGGAGCCAGACTGAAAGAGCTCCCACTGGCCAAATCTAGAACCATGTGGAGCACCAAAATAAGTAATATCAGTAGATTACAATTCATTGAATACAATAGGAGTCAGATGAATGAATGAATGAAAAAGCTATTTCTTACAACAATATAATGCCAACTGATAACTGTAGAAATACTAATAGGATTAGAAAATCATTATATGATAATTATCATAGTAACAATTGAGCCAAGAAACATATTGTTGCTGAAACTGATGAATACAAATTTGATGAGAAACAAGATTTTTACATAATTTTAAAATTGTCCTATAATCTTCCAGAGTGTCAAGGTCATGATAGCCAAGGAAGACTAGAAATGGTCCTGGACTGAAGGAGATGAAAGAGACATGACAGTTAACACAAAACATGATCTTGGGCTGCATTATTTGCTATGAAGGATGCTATTAGGATAACTGGTGAAACTTCCACAGGTCTGAAGTTTCGATGATATTAATGAATCAATATTAATTTCTTGATTTTGATGGTTGTATTATGTCTATGTGGAAGAATGTTCTAGTATGTAGCAAATACATGCTAAAATATTCCAAAGTCATGGTATCAGGTCTGCAACTTAAAAATGATTCGAGGGGGAAATGTTCTCCATATGCTTCTTGCAAGATTTCTGTACATTTGAAATGACTTCAAAATTAAAAGAGAAAATATGAAAAAGAATGTGCTGATTGGGGATCTTTGGTTGAAGGCAAGGAAACTGATAGTGAGCAACTTGAAAAATACAGAAGTATTTTTACTAGCAGGAGATTGGATAGCCAGAAGGAAGACCTGAATAAAAAGAGAGCCTCGGGAAGGACAGGCAGCAGGCAGCTCTGGGAATCTCAGCCACAGGCAGGCTGGGTCCATCCCATCCTGAGGGCCTCCTCTCAGCATCTCCACCTGGGTAGGCTTGAGCTTCAACCTTGGCTTGCCTCCCGAAGTTCAGGTTTGCAAGATGAGAAGTTCCACTGCTCCATTTGCCTCTCCCAGTTCCTGTTTCCCCTTGGTTTCATGATCTTGTCAGCCCTTCCATACTTTCAAGAAGCTTTTGTTTTCAGCAGGAGGGCTTGTCCAAATAATCTAGCTGACTGTATTCCCAAAAAGAGAAATCACTGCTTTATTCTCCTCAGGGCACTAACCACTTTTGAAAAATTCTGTATATTTGTTTCCGTTCTGTCTCCCCCAGCAGACTGACAACTTGCTCGCTATCATACCTTCTCACAGGGCAGAAACTAGCATGAGCACAGAGGACCTCCTCTATCAGACACCCTGCAAGCCTCCAAAGACTGACCCAGGTGCTTCCTCTTCACGTTTCTCAAGACAGTAAGAATGCATCCATTCTTCCACACATCACTCTTGAAACCATCTTCAAGATCTGGCTTCCCTGGGCTCACTGCCCCAGCTGCTGCCTTTCAGTTTCCATGCACTTCCATCTCCACCCAGTACATGCTGGGAATGGTTCTTCTTTCTTTGGAAAATTCCCCTTTGTCTTTAATACCCTGGTCAAACATGACCTGCTCTGCGAAGCTTTCCCCATCATCCTTAGCCAAGGCCCCATAGCATCTTCTACCTATCTCTACTATTGTATTGAAATTCTTCATTTATTTTTCTGGTCCCCCACTGTAATGTCGTATTCATCATTGTATTCCCAATACATAGTAGAAGGCTCACAAATGTTCACAACATCCTAGAGCTTCAGAGCAGATTGGTGCTCTCTGGTCAAACTCATCTCGAGTATTATTGACTCTCAAATTACCTAGGGAACTCATTAAAAATGCAGTTCCTGGCTTTGGTCCCAGGATATTGCAATTAATCCATTTTAAGTGAGGGCCCCAAAACCTGTATGTTGAACAAACATCCCTGGTGATTCTGGAAGAAATTTTGAGACGTGCCATTCTAGACCATTTTAAACCCACAGCCCATTTCTCATCCACTCCGGCCTGGGTGAGCCACTCTGTGGGATGTGAGCCTCCGTTAAGCCAGGCAGATGTCCCTAACAGTTTCTCTTTGTCGTGCTGATGTTTTGATGCCTGTTGCCACTTTCTTAGTCAGATTTCCACAGCAGCTTACTAGAGGCTTCAATTTTGCTGAACTCTGCTTTAGGTAACTTTGCATCCTGCATCAACTCATACTCGCTTTGACTTTTAGTTTCCAAACTTCATGGTTTCTATTACCAGGTCCAGATATAGCTGAGACTCCCCACTCTGCCCCTGCTCCCCTCCACATGTAATTTCCTATCATAACCCATTAGACCTCCTGGGCCCTGCCAGCCACTCTGCCCAAGGTTTCCAAAGGCCCCGACCTAAACTTCTCATATCCACAGTTCTTTCTGAAACACTGTGACAAAAGTCAAGATGAACGGAAACTTCGAAGAAAAATCACTTCTTTTTCAGTTATAAAATTGGCTTTTTAACTTTCACTGGATGCTGGTTTAAGGAACTGAAATATCTGAGTTCTCAGGCTTCATTAAGCAGTGTCCCTGTCATGTCCAGGGAAAAATCCCAAGGCTCTTTTGCTTCCTGGGCTGTGACACTTTTTATCTTCATCCCCCCATGAACCCCACTAAATTTGTTTTCTTATCTGCTTTCCCCAGGAACATAAGCAAGCTAGATCTGGCATGGTCAACCGGTATCACGATGGTCCCAGCAGCACTCCATTCTCAGGCATTTATTCTCAGGGCCCAGTCAATGTCATAAGTGGTATGATCTGATCTAAGTCATCACGTCTGGGCTACAGGACGCTAAGAAATTATGCTGATTATCATATGGGGAAAATAAATGAGAGTCTCCAACTTGCAAAAAATTGGTTTGTATTGTTCCCAGAAACAAGCTGAAATGTCCACAGAAGCCAGAAGGATAAGACAAATGTGTGAATTCGGTAGATCTAAGAAAATAAGACTTAGTATGGATTGTGGGGAAATGAGAGTAAATCTCACCAAAAGGTATTCAGATTAGAGAAAAAACTGTGCTAGAAGTTCCTACAAAATAAAGTCTGCTGACCTGCCATCCTGCCACATTCATCTATATCCTTAAAAAATAAATTTGTTATGTTTTTAGCTAGGAATTTTAGTTAGATTCTAGGTTAAGCTACAAATGAAAAGACTTTAAAATTCAGTGGCTCAAATATGACAGACATTTATTTTTATAACAGACTAGAAGTAGGTGGACAGTCCAGGGCTGTAGGCAGCTCTGCTCCATGAGTACTCTCAGGTATCAAAGGTACAGCTCAACCATCCTCTATACAGCCTTCCACCTGTATCAGGGTTTGTTCCAGCTGCCAAAGGCAGGAGAAAGGCATGTCCCAGAAGTTGTACACAACACTTCCACCTAATTACACAGGCTGTAGTGGAATACTACTAAAACCCATGGAGGGAGTTGTAATACTAACAGACAGAAAGGAATAATAGATACTGAGGGGTGGCAACAATTTCTGCTGTCCTAAGTTTTTGAGTAAAAGCCAAGTGAATCCCTGGGACTTGCTGGCAAGACGGCTGAATAGGAGCAGCTCCGGTCTGCAGCTCCCAGTGAGATCAACAGAGAAGGCAGGTGATTTCTGCATTTCCAGCTGAGGTACCCGGTTCATCTCATTGGGACTGGTTGGACAGTGGGTGCAGCCCACGGAAGGCAAGCTGAAGCAGGGTGGGGTGTCGCCTCACCCGGGAAGTGCAAGGGGTCAGGGGATTTCCCATTCCTAGCCAAGGGAAGCCATGAGAGACTATACCAGGAAGAACAGTGCACTCTGGCCCAGATACTGCACTTTTCTCATGGTCTTTGCAACTAGCAGACCAGGAAATTCTGTCCAGTGCCTGGCTCGGTGGGTCTCACCCCCATGGAGCCCAGCAAGCTAAGATCCACTGGCTTGAAATTCTCGCTGCTAGCACAGCAGTCTGAAGTCAACCTGGGATGCTCAATCTTGGTGGGAGGAGTAGGTGGTTTTACCCTCACAGTGCAAACAAAGCCACCAGGAAGTTCTAACTGGGCAGAGCCCACTGCAGCTCAGCAAGGCTGCTGCGGCCAGACTGCCTCTCTAGGCAGGGTATCTCTGAAAAAAAGGCAGCAGCCCCTGTCAGGGAATTATATAAAACCCCCATCTCCCTGGGACAGAGCACCTGGGCAAAGGGGCAGCTGTGGGCACAGCTTCAGCAGACTTAAATATCCCTGCCTGACAGCTCTCAAGACAGCAACGGATCTCCCAGCACAGTGTTCAAGCTCTGATTAGGGACAGGCCACCTCCTTAAGTGGGTCCCTGACCCCCATGTATCCTGACTAGGAAATATCTCCCAGTAGGGGCCGACAGACACCTCATACAGAAGAGCTCTAGCTGGCATCTGTTGGGTGCCCTTCTGGGACAAAGCTTCCAGAGAAAGGAACAGGCAGCAATCTTTGCTGTTCTGCAGCCTCTGCTGGTGATACCCAGGCAAACAGGGTCTGGAGTGGACCTCCAGCAAACTCCAGCTGACCTGCAGAAGAGGGGCCTGACTGTCAGAGGGAAAACTAACAAACAGAAAGGAATAGTAGCAACATCAGCAAAAAGGACGTCCACTCAGAGACCCCATCCAAAGGTCAGGAACATCAAAGACCAAAGGTAGATAAATCCATGAAGATGGGGAGAAAACAGCACACAAAGGCTGAAAACTCCAAAAAACAAAATGCCTCTTCTTCTCCAAAGGATCACAACTCCTTGCCAGCAAGGGAACAAAACTGGATAGAGAATGAGTTTGATGAACGGACAGAAGTAGGCTTCAGAAGGTGGGTAATAACAAACTCCTCCAAGCTAAAGGAGCATGTTCTAACCCAATGCAAGGAAGCTAATAACGGTTAGACGAATTGCTTACTAGAATAACCAGTTTAGAGAAGAACATAAATGACCTCACGGAGCTGAAAAACACAGCACAAGAACTTCGTGAAGCATAAACAAGTATCAATAGCCAAATCGATCAAGCAGAAGAAAGGATATTGGAGACTGAAGATCAACTCAATGAAATAAAGTGAGAAGACAAGATTAGAGAAAAAAGAGTGAAAAGAAACGAACAAAGCCTCCAAGAAATATGGGGCTATGTGAAAAGACCAAATCTACATTTGATTGGTGTACCTGAAAGTGACGGGGAGAATGGAACCAAGTTGGAAAACCTAAGTCTATCTCCAGTCTTAAAAATGCATTTATTGATAAATCAATTCTGAATCAATCAGCTTTTGATCTTTGGCAGTTAATTTTAACTCCATGTGAATGAAGAGAACTACTCACAAATTCACCTGAGCACCAGGAAAGGCAAGAATAATGTAAGGAAGGCTGCATGGTAATGAGCCTTAAGAGCCTCATTTGATAGGTGTAATAAAAGCAATTAATTACACTTATTACTAGTACATAACACACTGTGACAATAACTGCACAAAAAAGGGTACAATTCGAGGCAAATGGAAAGGGCAGAAATCTTATTCTTTATTATTTAAGCACTTATTGTTGCTGTTTTTAACCCATCTTATAATACAAACCTAATGGATATACATAAACCACAGAAGGCAACAAATTAGACCTCAATAAGAAATTTTTTAAAACGACGGCATGGTATAATGATATGGAGACAAAAGTGACTCCATCTTGGATGCTGATTCATTATGTTGGCTTCTCATTAGCCGCAGTCCCATGCATGCCTCCTGATTCCTACTTTATTTACTGTCCTTAGTATAAGAACATGTCAACCTTGATGTTATGGCACGAATCATAGTCTATGATGCACACAGCATTCTTGCCTGAATTCTGAAGGGTCACCTTTAATTGTCCCTAGGAGAGCACATCCCCCATTCCCTGCAGCATATAAGCCCTGGATCTGGGTAGTAACAGCACCAGGGTCTACTTGTCTTGCTGCTCATGAACTTCTATCCATAAGTTCCCCAAATAAATGACCCTTTAGTGACAAACTGGATTTCTCTGCCTCATCCTTTGTTTCTCAGCTCCTTCAGCATTTGGGAGCCACTTCGCCACTTTCACCGAAAAGATGGGTCTAAGAATGAACTGACACAGCTTTGATAGTGAGTTTTAGTCGGTGGCTGTGGTTTAGTTGGTTCCTGTGGTTCCTAGACCACAGGAAAGACTGATTGGCTACAAAATCACAGCATTCCTAAGATTCTTTTTATTTGATTTATATTCCCTGGATTTACCTCCCTGGACATGTCTTGCATTTTCATGTACCCATGATTACCCATGATGTTGTCGCTGCCTGCAGAACCTCTGCTATACCTACCTCCTTACCATAAGCTTCCATGTCCGAGGCCTGGTGGTTACTTCTTCTGGGGTTTTCCCAGATTTTCCCCAGCAGTTAGTCACATTTTCCTCCTTGTTCCCACAGTCATACTTATAGTAGATAGGATCAAAACTTATGCTGGATCCCATTGATTTTGTGTTAGTATTCCCTTCAACAGTGTCCACTCATTAAGGGCAAGGCCTATGTTTCCTTTACTAACCTCAGTTTTTCCCTCTTCCTAGGATAGTGCCCCATACATAGCAGGTGTTTAACAGTGTTACCAAGTTTGCAAACAGAAGTTTACATTTCTAGCTGCCCACTATACTGTAAAATGTTCCTAGCTGCCCATTCTAACCCATCATCCACTGAACTTCCCATACCTACCCAGGGAGCCAGGTATAAGGAGGTTCACTGCAGCATTGCTTATTGTTGTGAAAAGCTAACAAAACTTAATTTATCTATTACAAAGGTCATGTTAATATAGACTGTTTAATTCATTCCCTAGAATACTCTATAGCAGTTAAAATGAATAAATTGATCTGCATTTATCAATCAATAAGAATAAATCTCAAAAAAACATTAAATTTTAAAAATCAAGTTCTTGAACAATATGTAAGTATGATGCTATTTGTGTAAATTACATGCATTATCTTTTCAATAAAAACAGGTATTTTTTCAAAAATAAATTTTAAAAATAAGAACATTTCCCTCAATACCATTTTCCCTCCAGCTTCTGTGCTTTTTACAACTCACACCAGTATGAAGTTCAGGAATTGGAAGCAAAATTCCATAAGAAGGAGAGACCAGAGCCCAGGAGGCTCTGTCCCATACAATTCTTAAGTTTCTATCAAATAGGGAAGTTCAAATCTTAATCTAGATACCACCAAGGAATCTCTAAGTAATTCTTCTTTGACTACACATGTGAGATGAAGAAAAAAAAAAACTGAGAAGGATACTAATAGCCTTTGGCCTCCAAAGAAAGTTTAGAGTAGCCAAAGAAATGAAATTTAAATGTACGGATTTTAAAACCTTGGCCATTAACAAAGGATGCATCCATTGGTGAGTGGAAAAGAATCCCCATGCCAGGAAGGAAGGCTAGAAAATCTCTGCTCCTAAAAGGGAGGGCTCAATGTCTGCTTCCCTTTGATGCAGGAGGAGATCTGGAGTTATAACTATTCTCCATTTGCTCCTACCTACAAATCCATTCTCTCCTCTGTTCCAAGTTTGGAGAGGCTGGGTTCTATGTACTATTTCACCCAGTATCCTCCCTGCAGCCTGGCTTCTAGTTGAGTTTGTTCAGTGGGACCTATTAGCAAGAGATGGAGGGTGGAAAGAGAAATTGGGGTATCTCTTCCTCCTTTTCTACCCACTTTGGTGTCATAGTTCCGGTAGTGACTGTGTCCCTGTGCAGGTAAGGTCAGGCTGGGCTGCTCCTGAGACCTGGAATCTTTTGCTAGGTCTACCTGATCAACCATACAGGCATTCCTTTCTCAGCACATTGCCAGGAAGACAGGCACAGGGCCTTCCTCCTAAAGGATTCAGACCCCTCTGCTCTCATCCGCTCCAGGCAGGTAGGATTGTCTTCTGGAGGGAAGAAATCCTTCTCCCTCCATGTTTCCGACCAAGATACATGATCCATGCCCTGAACCTCTCCCCAGTTCATGGCTTAGTCTTTGAAAACAAAAGCCAGGATTTCTGCTTTCTGCCTTGCCACATGCCCCTACTGAGTTAATGAGCACAGGGCCAGGCCCCTGCTTGAATGGAGGAAGAAAAGAGGCAGGGGCAGAGAGGGCAGCAGAGAGGGCAGCTGGTCAGACCCTCCACAGCTCATTTGGGCCCGGTCTACCCTGCTCACTTCCATCCACATTTTAGCCAGTCTCAACCTCCCGACCTTGCCTCCACCATTCCACAGCTTTAGCAATGCGTGCATACATGGTCTTTGCACAGGTCACTTAACAAGACAGAAGCACTGTTTACTAAGTTGCATGGCATTTCCAACATGCACCACATTCTCAACTGGCACTCTGCTGGGCCCCAGACACCCCTGTGGGGGCCTCTCTAAGCCTCCTACACAGCCCTCTCTTAGACAGGCTGAAGGTGCCCATGGAGGACAGACGGCGTGGGGGCAGGGGGGAGCGGGCGGGTCTTGCACGGAGTTTGGATCAAGAGCATAAGCTTTTCTGCAAGCAAGCCCTGCATCCAAACTCCAACTCTGCCAACCAGGAAAAGTGTGATTTTAGTCCTCTGTTCCCTCAAATATAAAATGGACATAACAATAGCGCTCACATCATAGGGTTACTGCCAGCATACATGAGAATGTACATAAAGCTCCATGCCTGGAACTTGGGTAGGGGAATCTGTGCCTTCATTATTGTTAAGACTATCTACTACATATGTCCCAAACTCCCTGGCTCTTCTGGAGCTCTCCTGGCCACTTTCTGCCCCTGCGGATCTGAAAAGACAGGCAGGTTATTTGTGAAAGGGACAAAGTAGGCAATATGGTTACCGTGGTACAATCTAAGGAACCATGACCCCCACACTGTGGTCTTCCAATGGCATACTGGGTGACGGGCCATTTGGCGAGCTGGTATTGAGTGCCCACTACATGCCAGTCATTGCATTAGATGCTAGGGACACAAGGACAGTGGTCTGTCCTCTTGAGGCATTAAAATCTCATGGAGAAACAGACCTATGACAAATCCCCAATTAAAAAAAAATAACTTCGGCTTTTAAATTAAAGTCAAGGGCAATATGATTGACAGGACACAGTATTAAACATATTCCCACTTACCATTAAAATAGATTCTGGGACAAACTCTCCATATTATATGATGAGGCCTCTGACAGAGGTGAGCCCCAAGCACAGACATGACAGAAACATTTCTAACCCCAACCCAGAGGGTCATAGAAAGACCTCAGAAAATGCAGCACCCGAGAAGAGTCTGGAAGAAGGAGTTGAAGGTTACCAGGTGGGCTGGGGGTAAGGGAGGAGAGCAGGGAAGGTGTGAAACAGTTACAGCTGAGCACTGGAAGCAGAAAGTGAAAATGGAAAAATGAGTAAAAGGCAGGGCCTAAGAGTCTCTTAGATCACAATAAAAACTTTAGGCTTTATTCCGAATCTCCTAAAAATGTGAGAAGAGAAGTAAAATGGTTAAATTTTGATTAAAAAGAATAATTCTGATGGTAGTATGAGAAATGGATAGGAAGCAGGAAGCCTGGTGATAGGGAAGACATTTAGGAGGCGACTGCAATAATCCAGGTGAGAGATGAGGATGGCCCAAACTAAAGCAGTGGTGGTGACAAGGGAGGATGCATAAAAATAATTGTTATGATAGTGTTTACAATTCCATATATTATAAACAAAATTATGGTATGAATGTCAAGATTCCATATATATACCCAATGTATATTATAAATTTATAATATATCTATATATTATAAACACATAAATTTATAATTGTATGCATTATTGCAAAATTATTATAACTTACAAAAAATATGTAAGTATAATCATGTTTATAATTGTGATTGTTTTCTGTGTAATGGGCACTGTTCTAAGACTCTATATGGGTTAAGTCCTCTAAACTTCACAATAGTCACTTTGTGGCAGGCACCATTATTATTCCCATCTTCAGATAAGGAAACTGACACAGAATCACATGGATAGTAAACTTGTAGAGCCAAGATTCAAACTCAGGCAATTCTTACTCTAAAGTCATAATCATTGCTGTGTGCTTCCAAGAGATTTTTAGAAAAAAAAAATCAAATTGGTTATGGGGCTTTAGGGGGAGAAATGAAGGATTTCTTCTAGATGGTTAACTGGTGGGTAGTAGAGGGAAAGACTTTCAGAGGATGATGAGCTTGTTTTGGACAAGCTGACTCTGGTACACCCACTGAACACCCAAGGAGGGATGATGTCTAGTGGGCACACTGGCAGCTAGAGAGATGCTGTCTTACTCACCTTTGAGATCTCAGCATCTAGCCTCTTAGATTTTTAATAAGTGTGTGTTCAGTGGTTGCAAATTTGGAAGTCATCAAGACTTTTACAAGAGAGTAATGTAAGAAGAGAAGTCAGTCAATGATGGAGTCTTAGAACCAACGTATAAAGAGTAGGCAGAGGAAGATCAGCCACAGAGGTGCTAAGTCAACACATGTTAAGTCCTCCATGTAAGCAATACTTCTCCCTTTTTATGACATGGTGCTGAAGTGGGAAGGGTGACGGACTGCAAAACAGAAAACTATAAACATTGATCAAAGTTAGCAATACCTAGTTATAATATGTATCTAACCTGTTACGAGAAAATGCTCAGCAAGACCTCTAAATAAAAGGATAACATGGACGATGAGGGACGTGGATGAGAAAGAAGGAAATGGTCTGGTTGACCAATGCAAGCCCCGACCAAGTACTGCTTACCAGACTAGCATGGCTTTCACCTCACTCTTGGCAATGGACAATGTTGATATTCATACCAGAACTTGTATTGTTCTAAGACATTTACAAAAGTATCCATGGTCTTTCTACCTCTCCATGAGTTCTGTCAGCAATAACTACTGATTATCTTATTTTACTAACGAGGCAAAAAGCCAACCCCTACATCACAGAAACATACTGGTGTTGGAACCTAGTCACATAGCTCCGCTTGGTGATGAGCTGTTTTGCTGTTTATGAAACCCTCAAGGCTTTCTGTGCCAACTTATACATCTTCACTGAACATAAAAAGATAAATTGAAAAAAGCCTGGCATTTATCCCCTTGTTGGGTGGAGGTATCAGGTGCTAATTAGTTCCTAATGCTTTGAATAGGAAAATGTTTAAAATAACTTTTCTCCTCCATTTTTTTATTTCATATGGTTTCCTCTATTGCCTGTCCTTGAGATTTTACCAGACCTGTGAAGCCAACTCTCATTCTCAAATATTTTCCAGGATGGTCCCAGTGCCTCAGTTCTTATTGGCTAATAAAACAATTCATCCTTACACCTGCTGTTGACCATTTGCCAACACTATGTGTACATTACTGTTAGAATTAAACCTAAGTATGATTGTAACTTTTCATTCATATAATATGAACATTTTGTAATGCACATGGGGCAGAAAATTCAAATATGCAAGGTACAGAACAAAGACTCCTAACACTTTAAAGAAAAAAACAAAAATACATCATTTTATCAAAAATATAAAAGAGAATAAATGTTTATTGATGTTTAAGTTCAGTTTTCTAAGCTCAGAGAACAGTTAGGTTGATAACTTTGATACAGATGAAAGAGGAGAACATGTTTTCTCTTCTCCCTGGAGAGGAAAATGCATTATCTTCTCTTCACAGCTTTCATGCACCTGACAGCTAAACTTAGCCTTGGGCCAGTGAACAACTCACTTGTTCAGTTAATGTCATAGCAATGAAGGAATCTTTTGCCATATCAGTTGCAAGTTTTTGTCAAGACATTAGACATTAGACAAGGATCCCAGTTGAGAAATGTATGTGGACAGTGCCCCTCTCAGGAACACAGCTCCGAGTCCTGGGGCTCTGTAATGGCTCTCACGTGCCCTTCTCAGAGAGCATGCAGAGGAGCCAGAGTGACAGGATCCAAAGTTCCTGGGCCAGGCTGGGAAGAGCTCCCCCTGGAAGTAGCTATGGCTCCCCAGAACATTCATGCAAGTGGGAGGGGCTGTGGCATGACCAGAACTGGGGAGACCAGGGTATAAAGTCTTACTTAGGTATCAACTTTATTAATTACACAGCTTCAATCACATCACTCAGCCTTTCTGAGCCTCCCTTCTTTACCCTCAAGTAGAAATGAGGATTCTGAACCACCACCTCTCAGCTGTTTTGAAGAGTAAGTAATATCAACAAAGAATGTTCAGAAGGACATGAAATGACAGCTGAGATCACCACCCGTTTGAACTTTTCAGCCCTGCTTTTCCCCTGCCATCCTGGTCCTAAGGCCACTTCACACCCAGAGCACAGCTTGCTCTAGAAGACTTTTCTCCCAGAAAAATTTCTGGGAACACACTGAGGTCAGGTAAAAGAGGAAGTGAGACATTAAGAATATATATTGATATATGCTAATGTAGATACATAAATATGGGTTTTTGTTTTGCCTTTTCTTACTTCTTGCTTTTATTTTTGTTTCTTACTGATATGATCTTGAATAGGTGATTTTTCACCCTTTTTGGTTTCTGATTCTGTATTTGTAACATAAGGAATGTCCATTTGAATGCCTAATGGGATTCTCAAACTTAATTGTCTGGAACCAAGTTCCCCAATCCAGCTCCTACCAATGTCAATAGCAATTCCATTCCCTTGTGGCTTAGACAGTCACTTGGGAGTCACCCTTGACTCGGCTCTTACATTTTACATCCAATCCATTAGCAAATTCTGTTGGCTGTACCTCCAAAATGCCTCCAATCCAACCATATCCTGCAGTCTCACAGCCTTCTCTAGGCTGAGTGGCTATCAGCTCTCCCTGGTGAACTGAATCAGGGCTAACTGTTCTTTCTGCTTCCTTCTCGCTCTTTGCCCCCATCCCCAGTCTATTATCTGTCCAGCAGCCACAGAGATTCTCCTAAAGCCAGTGCATGTCTGCCTAGGGTCCCTGAGGGCAAAGTCCTCATGCCTGCCTAGGACCCATGAGACAAAGGCTTCTGTATGCACATTTTATTTGACATTGTGGTTGCAGGGAGCAGGAATGAGGGGCAGGCACTGAAACAGGAAAGAGGTGGGGCCAATACAAGAAAGTGTAACTTAAGCAAGTGATGCTTTGTCCCCAAGGGACCTCTTGATGAACATTATTAGTATGTCTCAGAGACATGCACCTGAGGGAAGAGAAGGGGAGCATTAGCTTCTATACCCCAGTGATCAAGGATTGCTTCAAGAGCCTGTTGTACCTGTGTGAGTCTAAGGAGATGTCTCTTACTACATACAAGTTCAGAGGAGCTTCCAGGACAAGAGACTAGGCCAGTGGCACAAGCCTGCAGTGAAGCACTTGTGAAATTCAAGGTGGAAATGGTTGCAGCAATTGTGGCTGGAAAAAGAGGTAGGGCCAAGGCTAAGAGGATTATTCCATACCCCTACTCTGCTCTCAACCACCTCACAGCTTCCCATCTCCCCCATGATAAAATCCAAAGCCTTCACCACTACCCACACCAGCCTCCTCACTGTGCCCTGAAGACCCACCAAACATGCCCCATCTCAAGGTTTCTGCTGTCACTCCCTTCTTGCCCCCACTTAAAATGTTCTGTTCAGATGCCACCTTATCAGTGAGGCCTTCCCTGACATAATCTTGTATAGAAAATCCTGAGGAATCTATTCAAAAACTATCAAACAAGTTCAGGGTACAAGACCTATATTCATAAATCATTTGTATTTCTATACACTAGCAATGCAACATTAAAAACTAAATTTTTAAAAAATCTCATGTACAATAACATCAAAACCAGTAACATATTTAAGAATAAGTTTAACAAAAGAAATGCAAGATCTGTACACAAAAACTATGAAACGTCATTGAAAAAAATGACAAAATGCTGAAATAAATGGAAAGCTAGCCAATATTTATGAATTGGAAGACTTTATATTGTTAATTGATCTAAAGATTTAAGACAATTTTATCAAAATCCCAGTTGCTTTATTGTTTTGCAAACACTGACAAGTTGATCCTAATATTCACATGGAACTGCAAGGGACCCAGAATAACCAAAATAATCTTAGAAAAAAATGAACAAAATTGGAATATCTGTAATTCCTGATTTCAAAACTTACTACAAGGCTATAGTAATCAAGACAGTGTGGTACTAGCATTAGGATAGAGATATAGCTAATTAAACAGAATTGAGAACCAAAACCAAACTCACTGTATCTATGATCAATTGATTTTTTACAAGATTGCCAAGAAAATTCAATGAGGAAAGAATAGTCTTTGCAACAAATGGTGCTGGAACAACTAGATATCCACATTTAAAAAAAAATGAAATTGGGCCCCTACATCACACCATACATTAAAAATTAACTCAAAATGTAACAGCAAAACTTTTGAAACCCTTATAAGAAAACATAGGAATAAATCTTTATGACGTAGGATTAAGCAATGGTTTCTTAGACAGTACCAAAAGCACTGGCAAAAGAAGAAAAAATCAGTAAATCTGAGTTTATGAAAATTAAAAACTTTAGTGCTTCCAAGTACACTATCAATACAACGAAAAAAGAGCTGATAGAATGGGAGATGATATTTGCAAATAATATGTCTGATAAGGAACTTGTATTCCGAATATATAAATAACACTTATAAATCAACAATAGAAAGACACATAACCCAATTTTTAAATGTGTCAAAGATGTAAATTGACATTTCTCCAAGAAGATAGACAAATGAGCAAATGAGCAAAAAGCACACGAAAAACTGTTCAACATCATTAGTCATTAGGGTAGTCAAATAAAACCACAATGAGATATCACTTCACACCCACTAGGATAGCTATAATTTTTTAAAAACAGACAACAACAAATGTCGGCAAGGGTGCAGAGAAACTGAAACCTTCATGCATCGCTGGGAGAAATGTAGAAATGATACAGGACTTTGGAAGAGTTTAAAAGTCCCTCAAAATGCTAACCATAGAGGTGCCATATGACCCATCAATTCCACTCCTAGGTATATACCAAAGAGTCATGAAAACATATCCACACAAAAATTTGTGCACACATGTTCTTAAAACTTGTACACAAATGTTTTTGGCATTATTCATAATTACCAAAAGTGGAAACAACCCAAGTATCCATCATCAGATGAACTGACAAATAAAACGTGGTATAAACCCACAATAGAGTGTTATTCAGATTTAAAGAGGAATGAAGTACTGATACAGGCTATGGATGAACCTTGAAAATATCATGCTAAGTGAAAGAAGCCAGACAAAAAGGCTGTATTGTATAATTCCGTTTATAGAAAATATTCAGACTAGAAATATCCATAGGAAGAGAAAGATTAGTGGTCGCCCTGGGCTGGGAGGGGCCTAAGGGATGGAAGATGACTGCTAATGGGTAAAGGTCATTTTTAGTTTTTTGGAAGTGATGAAACTTCTAATATTAAATAGCAGTAATGCTTGCACGACTCTGTGAATGTACTAAAAACCACTGAATTGTACGCTTCAAAGGGTGAATTTTACGCTGCATAAATTGTATTTCAATAAAGCTGTTTTTTTTTAATGACAATAGCAAACACTTGCAAGGATACACAGAAACTGGGTCTCTCCTATATCGCTGATGGGAATGTAAAACGCTACAGCTACCCTGAAAAAAAAAAATGGGTAGTTTCTTTGAAAAATAAACATACTCTTACTATGCTATCTGACAATCACCCGCCTAAGCATTTATACCAAAGAATGAAAACATACCCATACACAGACCCATACATGATTGTTCACAGCAGCTTTATGTGTAATAACCATAAATTGGAAACAGCCAAAATGTCGTATAAGGGATGAACAGTTAAACAAACTGTAGTATATACATACCACGAAGTACTACTGAACAATAAAAAGGAATGAATTATTGATACACACAACAATTTGCATGAATCTTAATGGCATTATACAGAGTGAAAGAAAAGAAGCAGTTTCAAAAGGTCATACACTGAACATCCCAATTACCTTGATGTGATTGTTATACATTGTATGCAAGTATCAAAACATCATATGCACCCCAAAAATGCACCACTTTTTTTTTTTTTCGAGACAGAGCCTTGCTCTATCACCCAGGCTGGAGTGCAGTGGCACAATCTCAGCTCACTGCAAGCTCTGCCTCCTGGGTTCACACCATTCTCCTGCCTCAGCCTCCCAAGTAGCTGGGACTACAGGCGCCCGCCAACACGCCCGGCAAATTTTTTGTATTTTTAGTAGAGATGGGGTTTCAGTGTGTTAGCCAGGATGGTCTCGATCTTCTGACCTCGTGATTCACCTACCTTGGCCTCCCAAAGTGCTGGGATTATGGGTGTGAGCCACTGCGCCCGGCCAAAAATGCACCACTATTTTATAATTTTTAAATGTAAAAAACTTCATATACTATATAATACCAATTCTAGTGCATTCCTTTAAAGAAAATTACTGTTATATGTTTAGGGAGCGCAAGTGGAGATTTCTTACGTGCATATATTGTACAGTGGTGAAGTCTGGGTATACGGCACATTCTTGAGATGACAAAATGGTAGAGACAGAGAACAAATTAGTGGTAGCCAGTGGTTATGGATTGGGGGTGTGGGGGCATTTAAGGAGGTGGGTGTGGCAATAAAGGGGTAGCAACATGAAGAGCTTTGTGGTGATGAAATAGTACTGTACCTTGAATAAGGTGGTTACATAAATCTACACGTGTGATAAATTGACACAGAATTTTACACACACATCATACCAATATCAATTTTCTGGTTACGATATTGTACTAAAGTTATAAAAGAAGTAACCATTGGGGGAAACCAGGTCGACCAGGGGAACCCTGTTCTAGCCTTGTAACTTCTTGTGAATCTATAATTATTTCAAAATAAAAGCTTAAAATAATAACAAAAATTTACAAAACACTGTTCTGTAGAATCTTTGTAAAGTCCTTTCAAGCTCTATAATCATTTTGGTGAAAAGAAAACCGATGTTCCATAACATGAAAAATGGATAAACTGGACTTCAACAAAGTTAAAATCTTTGTCTCCACAAAAGATCCTGCTAAGAGATACAGACTGGGAGATGATATTTGCAAACCACGTATCCAACAAAGGATTAATATCTACCATATGTAAAAAACTATCAAAATTCAGTAAAGAAACAATCCAATTAGAAAATGGGCAAAAAGTATGCAGAAAAAATTCATCAAAGAGGATATACATATGGCAAATAAGCACATGAAAAGATAGTCAACATCATTAGCCATTAGAGAAATACAAATTAAAACTACAATGACATATCGCTACACACCTATAGGATAACTAAAATAAAAAGTAGTGATAACACCAAATACTAGCAAGATGTGGAAAAACTGTATTACTCATACGTTGCTGGTGGAAACGTAAAATAGTAAAGCCAGGCTGAAAAACAGTTTGGCAATTTCCTTTCAAAACTAAAAACAGACTTACCATGCAAATCAGAAATTATACTCTTTAGTATATCTCCCAGCAAAATCAAAACTTATTTTTTACACAGAAACTCACACATGAACCTTCACAGGAGCTTTATTCATAATATCCAAAACATGGAAACTGTTCAATGTCTTTCAATGCATGAGTTTGATTAAGTACACTGTGGTACATACATACCATGTAAAACAATTCAACAATAAAAAGGAACAAACTACTGACAACATGCAGCAATTTGAAAGAAAAGTCAAGAAAATTATGAGTGAAAAAAGCCCATCTCAAAAGGATACAAAGTGTATGATTACATTTATATAACACTCATGAAATAACATAATTATAGTGAGGGAGTACAGGTGAGTGGTTACCGGGATTAGCGTTTCAGGAGGGAGGGTGTGAAGGTAGCTACACAAGGAGATCACAAGTGAGTCTTTTGTTTTGTTTCGTTTTTTGTTTTTTTTTTTGAGATGCAGTCTCGCTCTGTCACCCAGGCTGGAGTGCAGTGGTGCGATCTTGGCTCACCGCAAGCTCCGCATCCCGGGTTCACGCCATTCTCCTGCCTCAGCCTCCTGAGCAGCTGGGACTCCAGGTGCCCGCCACCATGCCCAGCTAATTTTTTTGTATTTTTAGTAAAGACGGGGTTTCACCATGTTAGCCAGGGTGGTCTCCGTCTCCTGACCTCGTGATCTGCCCTCCTCAGCCTCCCAAAGTGGCTGTGAGCCACTGCACCCAGCCACAAGTGATGGGACAGTCAATAATCTTGAGTGTGTGGTCAGGAAGATGGCCAACTAGATTACCTAGTGCTTGTCCCTCCCACAAAAAGGGACCTATATTTCGACTAAGAGTGACTGAAGAAGTAAAGAGCACCAGCGGAATGGCAAAAACTCTGTGGAGCACTGAAACCCAGGATAGCACCATAGAGAGGGGAGTGAGGCAACCTCCCTCTGCCACACTCTCTTTTCCTTCAGGATCAGCTTGGATCCAGGGGGAACTTCTTCCTATGAGGAAAAGGTAAGTTAGAGAACCCCAGCAGTCCTCACTGCTACCACAAATGCCAGCAATCCTTGCTGTAAGAGATCACCTCAGTCTTCACAGATCCCCAATTTAGTATGGAGAGTAGCTAGGAGTCCATGCAGCTACATTGCCTCATAGCAACAGCCCACCTTGGCCCACCCCCATGGCCAAAGCTGCTACTGCTCAGTGCCATCTTGAAACTGGACCTACTACTAGAATGCATCTTGCCCTGGGGGCCAGTAGCAACTGACTCTTTCCATCTCTGAACCCTTGCCATCATTCCACCACTCTCACACAAGGGCCTGTAGCACTACAACCCCAACTGCTTGGAGCCTAGGCCAGACAGAATGACTGAGAACTTAATATTTGAATCCACACAGCAACTATCCCCTTGGTATGGGGAGCAGACCTGCACAGCAGGGAAGCTATCAAACATCCTGTTGGCTGCCATGCCTGTCTCCTGAGCCTGCAAGCACTTACACTTGGCCTCACAGCTGGTCCTGCTGTGTCCCTACCCTTAGGACAGGCTGCTGCCTGCCTAGCCCTACCATGCCTACATGCACCTGTGTGTAGCCTGACAGCCAGTCCTGCAGTGTCCCCAGTTGTACCTCCATGGAGTCACCCAAAGCCATTGAACCCATGAAAGCCCATGCATAGACTGACAGCAAGTCCTGTGGCAACCTTGTCTCCTTAGACTGGCCTCTACAGAGCTGCCCAGCTTCACCATACCCACTAGCAAATGTACCCAGCCTCTGAAAGCTAGCCTGGCAGAAATTTCCTGCAAAGCCTGCCAGACACCTTGTCAGCGCTCTATGGCTGCACTTGATTAGTCCAACATCCAACCTGTTGGGAGTGGGGGCACCCCCACTCCCAGCAAAAACACACCACTGCCATTAAAAACACCCAAAGCCTAGACCACTGAGGTAATCAACACAGCATTGACAAGGATTACAGCTGAAGAAACTACATAAAAACCAGACCACTGAGTCTACCCAGGAACAAAGTCAATGCTTCACACCCAACTGACTCCCTAGGACCTACCTAAAGGGAAAAGCCCCTCCCTAGGGAAGCTACCCCATAAAATTGGAAACAGCAACTATTACACTAGATGCACATATAGCAACATAAGGACACACACACCCTCGCACACACACACAAACACACACAAAACCATAAAAAAGCAAAGAAACATGATACCCACAAAGGAACACTAAGTCTCTAGTAACAGATTTCTTAAAAAAAAAAAAAAAAACTTTGACAAAATTCAACAACCCTTCATGCTAAAAACTCTCAATAAATTAGGTATTGATGGGACGTATCTCAAAATAATAAGAGCTATCTATGACAAACCCACAGCCAATATCATACTGAATGGGCAAAAACTGGAAGCATTCCCTTTGAAAACTGGCACAAGACAGGGATGCCCTCTCTCACCACTTCTATTCAACATAGTGTTGGAAGTTCTGGCCAGGGCAATTAGGCAGGAGAAGGAAATAAAGGGTATTCAATTAGGAAAAGAGGAAGTCAAATTGTCCCTGTTTGCAGACGACATGATTGTATATCTAGAAAACCCCATTGTCTCAGCCCCAAATCTCCTTAAGCTGATAAGCAACTTCAGCAAAGTCTCAGGATACAAAATCAATGTACAAAAATCACAAGCATTCTTATACACCAATAACGGACAAACAGAGAGCCAAATCATGAGTGAACTCCCATTCACAATTGCTTCAAAGAGAATAAAATACCTAGGAATCCAACTTACAAGGGACGTGAAGGACCTCTTCAAGGAGAACTACAAACCACTGCTCAAGGAAATAAAAGAGGATACAAACAAATGGAAGAACATTCCATGCTCATGGGTAGGAGGAATCAATATCGTGAAAATGGCCATACTGCCCAAGGTAATTTACAGATTCAATGCCATCCCCATCAAGCTACCAATGCCTTTCTTCACAGAATTAGAAAAAACTACCTTAAAGTTCATATGGAACCAAAAAAGAGCCCGCATCGCCAAGTCAATCCTAAGCCAAAAGACCAAAGCTGGAGGCATCACACTACCTAACTTCAAACTATACTACAAGGCTACAGTAACCAAAACAGCATGGTACTGGTACCAAAACAGAGATATAGATCAATGGAACAGAACAGAGCCCTCAGAAATAACGCCGCATAGCTACAACTATCTGATCTTTGACAAACCTGAGGAAAAAAAGCAATGGGGAAAGGATTCCCTATTTAATAAATGGTGCTGGGAAAACTGGCGAGCCATATGTAGAAAGCTGAAACTGGATCCCTTCCTTACACCTTATACAAAAATCAATTTGAGATGGATTAAAGACTTAAACGTTAGACCTAAAACCATAAAAACCCTAGAAGAAAACCTAGGCATTACCATTCAGGACATAGGCATGGGCAAGGACTTCATGTCTAAAACACCAAAAGCAATGGCAACAAAAGACAAAATTGACAAATGGGATCTAATTAAACTAAAGAGTTTAATTAAACTAAAGAGCACAGCAAAAGAAACTACCATCAGAGTGAACAGGCAACCTAAAAAATGGGAGAAAATTTTCCCAACCTACTCATCTGACAAAGGGCTAATATCCAGAATCTACAATGAACTCAAACAAATTTACAAGAAAAAAACAAACAACCCCATCAAAAAGTGGGCGAAGGACATGAACAGACGCTTCTCAAAAGAAGACATTTATGCAGCCAAAAAACACATGAAAAAATGCTCACCATCACTGGCCATCAGAGAAATGCAAATCAAAACCACAGTGAGATACCATCTCACACCAGTTAGAATGGTGATCATTAAAAAGTCAGGAAACAACAGGTGCTGGGGAGGATGTGGAGAAATAGGAACACTTTTACACTGTTGATGGGACTGTAAACTAGTTCAACCATTGTGGAAGTCGGTGTGGCGATTCCTCAGGGATCTAGAACTAGAAATACCATTTGACCCAGCCATCCCATTACTGGGTATATACCCAAAGGACTATAAATCATGCTGCTATAAAGACACATGGACACGTAAGTTTATTGCGGCATTATTCACAATAGCAAAGACTTGGAACCAACCCAAATGTCCAACAACGATAGGCTGGATTAAGAAAATGTGGCACATATACACCATGGAATACTATGCAGCCATAAAAAATGATGAGTTCATGTCCTTTGTAGGGACATGGATGAAATTGGAAATCATCATTCTCAGTAAACTATCTCAAGAACAAAAAACTAAACACCGCATATTCTCACTCATAGGTGGGAACTGAACAATGAGAACACATGGACACAGGAAGGGGAACATCACATTCTGGGGACTGTTGTGGGGTGGGGGGAGGGGGGGAGGGATAGCATCGGGAGATATACCTAATGCTAGATGACGAGTTAGTGGGTGCAGCGCACCAGCATGGCACATGTATACATATGTAACTAACCTGCACATTGTGCACATGTACCCTAAAACTTAAAGTATAATAATAATAAATAAATAAATAAATAAAAAAGAAAATGTGGCACATATACACCATGGAATACTATGCAGCCATAAAAAAGGATGAGTTCATGTCTTTTGTAGGGACATGGATGAAGCTGGAAACCATCATTCTCAGCGAGCTATCGCAAGGACAAAATACCAAACACCGCATGTTCTCACTCATAGGTGGGAATTGAACAATGAGAACACGTGGACACAGGAAGGGGAACATCACACACCGGGGCCTGTTGTGGGGTCGGGGGAGGGGGGAGGGATAGCATTTGGAGTTATACCTAATGTTAAATGATGAGTTACTGGGTGGAGCACACCAACATTGCACATGTATACGTATGTAACTAACCTGCACATTGTGCACATGTACCCTAAAACTTAAAGTATAATAAAAAATTAAAAAAAAAATAAAAGGGAAATGCCTGTAATCTCTGAAAAGGAATTCAAAATAACAATCTTAGGGGAACTCAGTGAGATACAAAAGAACAGAAACAATTCAATAAAATCACAAAAACCATTCTGATCTCACTAAGAAATTCAATAAAGACATAGATACCTTTAAAAAGAACCAGACAGAAATCTTGTATTTGAAGAATTCAATGAATGAAATAAAAAATATAATTGAGAGCTTCAACAAAAGACTAGATCAAGAAGAAGAATATCTAAACTTCAAGTCTGTTGAAATATCTCAGTCAGAAGGGAAAAAAAGAAATAAAAATTTTAAAGGATGAAGAAAGCCTACAGGACTTATAGGATGTTATTAAGTGAATAAATTTCACTTATAGAAGTGTCAGAGGAAGTAGAGATAGAGCAAAGCATAGAAAACCTATTTAATAAAATTATAACTGATGACTTCCCAAGTATTAGGAGAGGTATGAACACCCAGATTCAGGAAGTTCAAAGGTCTCCATTAGATTCCACCCAAAAAGATCCTCTCTGAGGCATATTATAATCAAACTGTCAAAAGTCAAAGAAAAAAGAGAACTTTTAAAGCTGCAAGAGAAAAGTGCCCCTAATATAAAGAAATTCTCATGAGACTATTGCCAGATTTCTCAGCAGAAACATTGCAGACCAGGAGAGAAGGGGATGATATACTTGAAGTGGTAAAAGGAAACAAAAAACTGTCAACCAAGAATATTATAATTAGCAAATGTATCCTTCAGAAATGAAGCAGAAAATAAAGAACTTCTGAGATAAGCAAAAGCTGAGGGAATTTATCACCACTAAACTGGCCTTACAAGAGTTGCTTAAGAGAGTGCTACAGCTGGAAATGAAAGAATAATAATTACTATCATGAAAAGACAAGAAAGTATAAAACATACTAATAGAGGTAAATTTTATAAATCAAATTCAGAATGCTCCACTGATGTAATGGTGCCATGTGAATATCTCAACCCTCTAGTATACAAGTTTAAAGTCAAAATGGCAAAAAAAAAAAAAAACCTTGGCCATAATTAGTGGCTAAGGAACATATAACAAATAAATAAGTAACTTAAGGTGACAAAAATATAAATTGTGAGGGTGAGGGGGAAGCCTAGAGTATTTCTATATGAATAAAGCTAAGTTACTATCAGCTTAAAATATACCTATAAAACTCTGTTAGCCCAATGGTAACCACAAAGAAAAAAATTACACCAGATACACAAATGAAAAGAGAAAGGTAACAAAGCTTAGCAACACAGAAAACCATGAAAGCACAGTGGTAAACAAAAAGAGAGGAAGAAAGTAACAAAGAATAACCTATAAAACAACCAGAAAACAATAAACAAAATGGCAGGAGTAAGCCTTTATTTATCAATAATAACCTTCAATGTCAATGGATTCCATTCTCCAATGAAAAGATATAGAGTGGCTGAATGGCTAAAAGGAAAACAAGGCCCAACTATATGCTGTCTGCTTGAGCTGCACCTCACTGTTAAAGACAAACATAGATTGAAAGTGAAGGGACAGGAAAAGATATCCCATGCAAGCAGAAACCAAAGTGACAGGAATAGCCATATTTATATCAGATAAAATAGACATTAAGTCAAATCTATAAAAAGAGACAAAGAAGGTCATTATGTAAAGATAAAGATATTAAAGATATCAACTTGACAAGAAGACATAACAATTGTACATACATATATACTCAACATTTTGAAACACCCAAATACATAAAAGAAATCTTATTAGATCTAAAGAGAAAGATAGACTGCAATGGAAGAATAATAGAGAGCTTCAACACCCCACTCTCAACAGTAGACATATTATCTAGACAGAAAATCAACAAAGAAACATCAGACTTAAACTACACCATACTGCAAATGGACCTGACATTTTCAGAATACTTCATTTCATAGCTGCAGAATACACATTATTTTCAACTGCACATGAAACATTCTCCAAGACAGATCATATGTTAGGCCAAAAACCAAGTCTTACCAAGTGTAAAAAGCTAGAAGTCATATCAAGAATCTTTTCGGATTACAATGGTGTAAAACCAGAAATCAATAAAAAGAAAAACTTCAGATACAAATAATATGTACCTAAATAACTAACAGATCATGAAGAAATTAAAAGAGAAATATAAAAATTTCTTGAGACAAACAAGGAATATATCATACCAAAATCTACGAGACACAACAACAAAAGTTCTGAGAGGGAAGTTCATAGCAACAAATGCCTACACCAAAAAAGAAAGATTTCTAATAAACAACTCAACCAAGAACCTAAAAGAACAAACTAAACATAAAACTGGTAGAAGGAAAGAAATAATAAAACTCAGAGCAGAAATAAATGAAATAGAGATTTTAAAAAATTCAAAAGATAACAAAATGAAGAGTTTTTAAAAACAAAAACAAAAAAAAATACCAAACATTTAGCTAGACAGAATCAAAATTAAAACACTCTTCAGCAAATGAAAAAGAACAGAAACTATAACAAACAATCTCTTGGACCACAGCACAATCAAATTAGAAATCAAAACTAAGAAATTCACTGAAAACTACACGATTACATAGAAATTGAATAACCTGCTCCTGAATGACTTTTGGGTAAATAATGAAATTAAAGTAGAAATCGAGAAGTTCTTTGAAACTAATACAAACAAAGATATAACATATCAAAATCTCTGGGACATAGCTAAGGCAGTGTTAAGAGGGAAATTTACAGCACTAAATGCCCACATCAAAAAGTTAGAAAGATCTCAAGTTAACAATCTAACTTTACAACTAAAAGAACTAAAGAACCAAGTGCAAACAAATCCCAAAGCTAGGAGAGGACACAAAATAACCAAAATCAGAGCTGACCTGAAGGAGACTGAGACATGAAAAACTATTCAAAAGATCAACAAATCCAGGAATTGGTTTTTTGAAAAAATTAATAAATAGACCACTGGCTAGAATAATAAAGAAGAAAAGAGGGAAGATCCAGATAACACAATAAGAAATGACACGGGGGATATTACCACTGACCCCACAGAAATACAAACAACCATCAGAGATCATGAACATCTATATGCACATAAACTAGAAAATCTAGAAGAAATGGATAAATTTCTGGAAACATACACCCTCCCAAGACTGAAACTGGAAGAAATTGAATCCTTGAACAGACCAATAATGATCTCTGAAATTGAGTCAGTAATAAATAGCCTAGCAACCAAAAAAAAAGCCCAGGACCAGATGGATTCACAGCTAAATTCTATCATATGTACAAAGAAGAGCTGGTACCATTCCTGCTGAAAGTATTCCAAGAAATTGAGGAGGTGGGACTCCTCTCTAACTCATTCTATGAGGCCAGCATCATCCTGATCCCAAACCTGTCAAAGATACAACAAAAAAAGAGAAAACTTTAAGCCAATATCCTTGATAAGCATAGATCCAAAAATCTTTGTCAAAATACTTGGCAAACTGAATCCAGCAGCCATCAAAAAGCATATCCACCACAATCAAGTGGGCTTTATCCCTGGAATGCAAGATTGGTTCAACATAAGCAAATCAATAAATGTGATTCATCATATAAACAGAATTAAAGACAAAAACTACATGATTATCTCAATAGATGCAGAAAAGGCCTTCAATAAAATTCAACACCCCTTCATGTTGAAAAAAAAAATCAATAAAGTAGGTATTAAAGAAACATACTTCAAAATAATAAGAGCCGTTAATACAAACACACAGCCAACATCATACTGAATGAGCAAAAGCTGGAAGCATTCCCCTTGAAAACCGGCAGAAGTCAAGGATGCCTTCTCTCACCACTCCTATTCAACATAGTGTTGGAAGTTTTGGCCAGGGCAGTCGGGCAAGAGAAAGAAATAAAGGGCATCCAAATAGGAACAGAGGAAGTCAAACTATCCCTGTTTGCAGATGACATGATCCTACATCTAGAAAACCCCATAGTCTTGGCCCAAAAGCTTCTTAAGCTGATAACTTCAGCAAAGTCTCAGGATGCAAAATCAATGTACAGAAATCATTAGCATTCCTATACACCAACAACAGTCAAACCAAGAGCCAAATCAGAAAGGCAATCCCATTCATAATTGTTACGAAAAGAATAAAATACCTGGGAATACAGCTAACTAGGGAGGTGAAAGGTCTCTACAAGGAGAACTACAAAATACTGCTCAAAGAAATCAGAGATGACACAAACAAATGGAAAAACATTCTATGCTCATGGATAGGAAGAATCAATGTTGTAAAAATGGCCATACTGCCCAAAGCAAGTTATAGATTCAATGCTATTTCTATCAAACTACCGTTGAGATTCTTCACAGAACTAGAAAAAAACTATTTTAAAACTCATATAGAACCAAAAAAGGTCCTGAATAGTGAAGGCAATCCTAAGATAAAACAAAGCTGGAAGCATCGTGCTACCTGACTTCAAACTGTGCTATAGGGCTACAGTAACCAAAAAAGCATGGTACTGTTACAAAAACAGACACAGAGACCAATGGAACAGAAATAAGGCCACACACCTACAACCATCTGATCTTCCATAAACCTGACAGAAACAAGCAATGGGGAAAGGATTCCCTATTGAACGAATGGTGCTGGGATAACTGGCTATCCACATGCAGAAGATTAAAACTTGACCCCTTCTTTATACCATATACAAAAATTAACTCAAGATGAATTGAAGACTTAAATGTGAAACCCAAAGCTATAAAAACCCTGGAAGACAACCTAGGCAATACCATTCAGGATCTAGGCATGGGCAAAGATTTCATGACAAAGACACCAAAAGCAATTGCAACAAAAGCAAAAATTGACAAATGGAATCTAATTAAAGAGCTTTCTGCATACAGCAAAAGAAACTATCAACAGAGTGAGAAGACAACCTAGAGAATGGGAGAAAATATTTGCAAACTATGCATCTGACAAACGTTTAATATCCAGCATCTATAAGCAACTTAAACAAATTTATAAGCAAAAAAAACCCCATTAAAAAGTTGGCCAAGGACATAAATAGACACTTTTCAAAAGAAGACATACATATGACCAACAATCATACGAAAAAAAGCTGAATATCACTGATCATTTGAGAAATGCAAATCAAAACCACAATGAGATGCCATTTCTCACTATTCAGAATGGGTATTATTAAAAAGTCAAAAAATAACAGATGCTGGCAAAGTTGTGGAGAAAAAAGAATGCTTATACACTGTTAGTGGAAGTGTAAATTAGTTCCACCAATGTGGAAGACAATGTGGCAATTCCTCAAAGACCTAAAAACAGAACTACCATTTGATCCAGCAATCCCGTTACTGGGCATATACCCAAAGGAATATAAATCATTCTACTATAAAGACACATGCACACATATGTTCATTGCAGCACTATTCACAATAGCAAAGACACGGTGTCAACCTAAATGCCCATCAGTGATAGACTGGATAAAGAAAATATGGTACATATCTACCATGGAATACTATGTAGCCATAAAAAAGAATGAGATCATGTCCTTTGCAGGGACATGGATGGAGTTAGAGGCCATTATCCTTAGCAAACTAATGCAGGAACAGAAAACCAAATACCACATGTTCTCACTTACAAGTGGGAGCTAAATGATGAGAACACATTGACACAAAAAGGGGAAACAACACACACTGGGGCCTATTAAAGGGTGAAGAATGGGAGAAAGGAGAGAAGAATCAGGAAAAATAACTAATTGGTACTGGGCTTAATACCTGTGTGATGAAATAATCTGTACAACAAACCCCCATGACACAAGTTTACCTATGTAATAAACCCACACATGTACCTTGAACTTAAAATAAAAAGTTAAAAAAAGAAAACCCTAAAAATGCCACCAAAAAACAGAGCTATAAATGAATTCAGTAAAGCTGAAGGATACAAAATCAACATACAAAACTCAGTAGCATTTGTGTATACTAATAGCAAACCATTTGAAAAAGAGATCAAGAAAATAATTTCACACAAAAAAATAAGATACTTAGGTATAAACTTAACCAAGAAGGTGAAAGATCTCTACACTGAAAACTATAAAACGTTAATGAAAAAAAAACTGAGTATGACACAAATAAATGAAAGGATATCATGTATTCCTGAATTAGAAGAACTTATGTTGCTAAAATGGCTATATTACCCAAAGTGATCATCAGATTTAATACAATCTGTATCAAAATACCAGTGACGGCTGGGCGCGGTGGCTCACGCCTGTAATCCCAGCACATTGTGAGGCTGAGGCGGCAGATCACGAGGTTAGGAGATCGAGATCATCCTGGCTAATACAGTGAAACCCCGTCTCTACTAAAAATACAAAAAAGTTTAGCCAGGCCTGGTGGTGGGCGCCTATAGACCAAACTACTTGGGAGGCTGAGGCAGGAGAATGGCGTGAACCCAGGAGTTGGAACTTGCAGTGAGATGAGATGATGCTACTGCACTCCAGCCTGGGCGACAGAGACTCCGTCTCAAAAAAAAAAAAAAAAAAAAAAAAACCAATGACATTATTCACAGAAATAGAAAGAACAATTCCAAAACTCACATGGAACCACAGACAACCCTGAATAGCCAGAGCAAAACAACAAAGCTGGAGGCATCACACTTTCTGACTTCAAAATATGCTACAAAGCTATAGTAACCAAAACAGCATGATACTAGCATAAAAACAGACACATAGACCAATGGAATATTATAGAGAGCCCGGAAATAAATTCATGCACCCACAGCCAACTGATTTTCATCAAAGGTGTCAAGAACAAACATTGGGGAACAAAAATAGTCTCTTCAATAAATGGTACATGGTAAATTGGGTATCCACATGCAGAAGAATGAGACTAGACCCCTACCTCTCACCATCACAAAAAAAACCCTCAAAATTGATTAAAGGCTTCAATGTAAAACCCAAAACTATGAAATTACTAGAAGAAAACATGAGGGAAATGCTTTATAACATTGAGCTGGGCAAGGATTTTTAAAGTAAGATCTTAAAAGCACAGACAACACAACCAAAAAATAGACAAATGGGACTACATCAAACTAAAAAGACTTTGTACAGCAAAGGAAACAATTAGCAGAGTTAAGAGACAACTTACACAATGGGATTTGCAAACCATACATCTGACAAGGGCTTAATACCAAGAACATAGAAACTGAAATAACTCAACAGCAAAAAACAACAACAACAACAACAACAAAAACTCAATTTAAACATTGGCAAAATATGTTAATAGACATTTCCCAAAAGAAGAAATTCAAATGGCCAAGAGGTACATGGAAAAAATGCTCAACATCACTATTTATCAGGGTAATGCAAATAAAAACCGCAATGAGATACTACCTATCTCTAGAGTGGCCATTATTAAAAAGACAAAAGAAAACAAGTGTTGGCAAAGATGTGGAGAAAGGGGAACACTTACACACAGTGGATGGGATTGCAAACTAGTACAGCCACTGTGGAAACTCTATAGAATTTCCTCAAAAAATTAAAAACAGAACTTTCGTAGTATTCAGCAATCTCACTACTGGATATAAAGGAAATGAAGTCAGTATGTCAAAGAGATATTTTCACTCCCATGTTTATTGCAATACTATTTACAATAGCCAAAATATGGAATCAACCAAAGTGTTCAAAACTGGATGAATGGAAAATAAAATGTGATATATATATAATGGAATATTATTCAGCCATGATTTGATCATTATACAATATATATGTATCAAAACATCAAATTGTGCCCCATAAATATGTACAATTACAATGTATTGATTTAAAAATATTAAATAGGCCAGCTGCGGTGGCTCATGCCTGTAATCCAAGCACTTTGGGAGGCCAAGGTGGGCAGATCACTTGAGGTCAGGAGTTTGAGACCAGCCTGGCCAACATGGTGAAACACTGTCTCTACTAAAAATGCAAAATTTAGCAGGGCATGGTGGCACATGCCTGTAATCCCTGCTCCTCGGGAGGCTGAGGCACGAGAATCACTTGAACCCAAGAGGCGGAGGTTGCAGTGAGTTGAGATCACACCACTGCACCCCAGCTTGGGTGACAGAGCAAGACTCCATCTCAAAAAAAATTTTTTTTAATAATAGAGAATATAAAAATAAAATTAACAAATAAGTGAAAATGTATCTTTTCTAGTTACATGGAACTACATGTGTAGTAAAATTGCACAGATACTCACACCCACAAATGAATACTTGTATAACTAGTGAAATCAGAATAAGCTCTATAGATTCTGCCAATGTCAATTTCTTGATATTGATATTATACAATAGTTATATTAAATGTTGACACTAGAGGAGCATGGATGAGGAACTATCCATTTCTTCTAACCTTCTTGTAAATCTATAATTATTTAAAAATAAAAGTTAAGAAAAAAAAAAAAGAAAATCAGTCTCCCTCCTCAACCTCATCTGTGTCCCCCATCCTTCCCTCTCACAGAAAAGAAATTGAAGGTAACTTCTTCAGTTTAAATTTTAAATATCAAACAAAACAGGCCTTTTTTTCTTTCTCATAGGCTTCTATTTAGATTAAATTATATATTAAGTGAAAACAGTCTATTAATATAACCATGGCGGAAATAAATTAGGTCTATAAAATCATGTGGCCCAAATTAAACTGCCTATAATTTACACACTCAAAGAAAACCAAGCACAACAAAAAACTGTTAGACAAATTAAAGTTTCTAATAGTTAAAAAAAAATTGCATGGCAATCAACTGCTTCATTAGCTCTGATATTGTGTACATTTAAATATGTGCATATCATTTCCTATTTAATTTAAACCAGTTGTCTACAATTCAAATATACTTTCTCTGAATTCAAAAACTCTACAAATGGAAAGACCATTTTCCCCCAATAATACACACAGTGAATTAGCTAAGATGTCAGAAAAATGTTCTCCTTAGGACAAACATGCCAAGATCACAGGGAACTCTTCAAAAGTGGGTACTTAACTCTGAGAAGAGAGCTAGTGAGAAGGATAGGAAAAAAGTCTGAGCTGCAAAGTAACTAAGGATGATGCGATAGATATGAAGATGTTTAGGCTCCAAGAGTGAATTATAAGCATAAATATAGAATTCTCTAAAAGGGCTATGAAAATGAATTATAAAAACAAGACTATTTGGAAGCATTACTATTTGTAAATATCCCCTTGGTATTTTAATTTCCCTCACATAAACATTAGCATAGATCTTCATAAATTAGGAGTCTGTGTTCTCATTATATATTCAGCACAATTAATGTCATTCCATCTTCTCAAGCTGTCATTTCCTGATTAAGTTTTCATATTCTTCTTTGGTTTTGATTCCTTTTCCTTAAACTAAGGGTTTTAAACCACCACCATTATATTCCCTGAGTGGAGAGAAAACTCTTTCACAAGTTTTTAAAGAAAGGCAATTCTCAACACAAACCTAATCACAGGGTCTTTGTACCCCATCTTGTTTCAGTCCAGATGACTAAAGCTTCAGAGACCATAATTTCATGTTACAGCTCCTCCCAAGACAGAGCAGGCCCCAGGAACATGGAACTGGAACTCACTTCCAAATCTTCACCACAAAGGTGAAGAAGAAAGCCACCTTTCTTCCCCAGGAAATTACCTTTCTTTCCATTAAATTTCTTTCAAGAAAATTAAGGCTCCTCCCCCTGCTCCTGTCTTCTCAGGGTAGTCACTCTTGGTAAATGCTAGGTAAGTTTCTGTTCCTACCTTTACTGTAACAATGAAAGAGATTAATTTATGACAGCCCCTCCGACCCCCAGTAAAGTTCCCTCAAAGCTTGTGTGAAGACTTTCATGTAAAAAATATTCATAGCACTATTTGCCTCCTTATGCATGTCACACAACTTTAGTATCCACTGAGCATCAAAATACACAATGACCATTGGCCTACGAGGGACATACCTCAATGTAATAAATGCCATCCATGACAAACCTACAGCCAACATAATACTGGAGTGGGAAAAGTTGAAAGTATTCCCTCTGAGAACTGGAACAAGACAAGGATGCCCACTCTCACCACTCTTCTTCAACACAGTACTGGAAGTCCTAGCCAGAGCAATCAGATAAGAGAAGGAAATAAAGGGCATCCAAATTGGTAAAGAGGAAGCCAAACTGTCACTGTTTGCTGACCACATGATCGTTTACCTTGAAAACCCTGAAGACTCCTCCAAAAAGCTCCTAGAACTGACAAAAGAATTCAGCAAAGTTTCTGGATACAAGATTAATGTACATAAATCAGTAGCTCTTCTATACACCAACAGCGATGAAATGGAGAATCAAATCAAGAACTCAACCCCTTTTACAATAGCTGCAAAAAAAAATTACTTAGGAATATACCTAATCAAGGAGTCAAAGACCTCTACAAGGAAAACTATAAAACACTGCTGAAAGAAGTCATAGACGACATAAACAAATGGAAACACATCCAATGCTCATGGATGGGTAAAATCAATATTGTGAAAATGACCATACTGCCAAAAGCAATCTACAAATTCAATGCAATCCCCATGAAAATACCACCATCATTCTTCACAAAATTAGAAAAAAAAAATTCTAACATTGATATGGAACCAAAAAAGAGCCCACATAGCCAGAACAAGACTAAGGAAAAAAAAATCTGGAGGCATCACACTACGTGAATTCAAACTATACTATAAGGCCATAGTCACCAAAACACCTTGGTACTGGTATAAAAATAGGCCATAGACCAATGGAACAGAATAGAGAACCCAGAAATAAACCCAAATACTTAAAGCCAACTGATCTTTGACAAAGCAAACAAAAATGTAAAATGGAGGAAAAGACACCCTTTTCAACAAATAGTGCTGGGATAATTGGCTAGCCATATGTAGGAGAATGAAACTGGATCCTCGTCTCTCACCTTATACAAAAATCAACTCAAGATGGATTAAGATCTTAAATCTAAGACCTGAAACTATAAAAATTCTAGAAGATAACATTAGAAAAACCCTTCTAGACATTGGCTTAGGCAAGGATTTCATGACCAAGAACCCAAAAGCAAATGCAATAAAAACAAAGATAAATAGCCGGGACTTAATTAAACTAAAGAGTTTTTGCAAGGCAAAAGGAACAGTCAGCAGAGTAAAAAGACAACCCACAGAGTGGGAGAAAATCTTCACAATCTATACATTTGACAAAGGACTAATATCCAGAATCCACAACGAACTCAAAAAATCAGTAAGAAAAAAACCAAACAATCCCATCAAAAAGTGGGATAAGGACATGAATAGACAATTCTCAAAAGAAGCTATACAAATGGCCAACAAACATATGAAAAAATGCTCAACATCACTAATGATCAGGGAAATGCAAATCAAAACCACAATGCAATACCACCTTACTTCTGCAAGAATGGCCATGATCAAAAAATCAAAAAACAGTAGATGTTGGTGTGAATGTGGTCATCAGGGAACATTTCTACACTGCTGGTGGGAATGTAAACTAGTACAGCCACTATGGAAAACAGTGTGGAGATTCCTTAAGGAGCTAAAAGTAGAACTACCATTTGATACAGCAATCCCACTAATGAGTATCTACCCAGAGGAAAAGAAGTCATTATACAAAAAAGATACTTGCACACACATGTTTATAGCAGCACAATTCACAACTACAAAATTGTGGAACCAACCCAATGCCCATCAATCAACAAGTGGATAAAGAAACTTGGTATGTGTATATGTGTATATATATGTGTGTGTGTATATATATATGTGTGTGTGTGTGTGTGTGTACATATATATGTATATGTGTGTATGTATATATATGTGTATGTGTACATGATGGAATACTATTCAGCCATAAAAAGGAATGAATTAATGGCATTTGCAGCTACCTGGATGAGATTGGAGACTATTATTCTAAGTGAAGTAACTCAGCAATGGAAAACCAAACATCATATGTTCTCACTCATTAGGGGGAGCTAAGCTATGAGGATGCAAAGCCGTAAGAATAACACAATGGACTTTGGCGATTCCAAGGGAAAGGGTGGGAAGGGGATGAGGGATAAAAGACTACAAATACGGTGCAGTGTATACTCCTTAGGTGATGGGTGCACCAAAATCTCACAAATCACCACAAAAGAACTTACTCATGTAACCAAATACCACCTGTACCCCAATAACTCATGGAAAAAAAATACACAATGACCAAAAAAGGGATTATAAATTCCATATATTTCTAAGTTAATTTGTATTTTATTTACCACAGCAGCACAAAATACTCATAAAATGCTGGTTAATTCATGCATGCATATTTACTTAGTTCACAGCCAATATGTGGTGTATATATGTGCTGACAGGTGTCTTACAATGATGTTTTACCCCATATCCAAGTTGGAAACCACTGCTCTGAGGAATGTTCCTGAAGGAGTGAGTTGAATATGATTCCCTGTTACAACAGCAACTTAGTTTGGGATTTTAGTGATTGGTATGATGATGGATAATGCAAGGAAAATTAAAAATATCATAAAAAGATAAAAGCATGTACAAGTGATTTGGAGGTTTCACTGAGATGACCTGGGGTGTTATTCATGAGAGCCAACTGAACTACCACAGGCAGATAGGTGCACCACACACAGGACTCTTAAGTGAAGGCAAATCTTTTCCAGTTCCTGGAGAGAATCTTATGTTACAATACCACTTTCAGACTCACTCACTCTGTTTCTGTGTTTCTGTTTTTTATTTTTTTTAATGTTTTGTTTCTGAGTCAGTTTGCATTGGCCACCATTTTTTATGATTTTCATTGGAAACCTGGCTTTGGTTATATAGTCCAACAATCTGGTCTCTTGTGGGTGGCAGATGACAGACAATCTGGTATCTGTTCAATGGAAGATGACGAGAAACTGGGTTGTCTCTTTGTGTTTGTTTGTTTGTTTGAGGATTATGACATCTTCTGGCTACCTCCCTGTGGTTTATCTGTTTGTGCACCACTATGAAAAAAGTCAATTAAGAAGAAAAAAAAAAGTTGGTCCCGCTAGAATGGAGAGTAGATTGTAACTCAAGAAACAGATAACTAGTGTGTCTTTGACTTGTTGTGTATCCCTGGTCTTCCTGTTACCCAGCTGCAACCAACCAGTGAATTTTGCTAACTTGTGTTGCAGTTGGGAAATGGAGGCTGCTGGTTCTCTTTATATCGTTTGTGTAAATAAAAAGACTCTTGCCTTTAGTTCAACCATTGTGGAAGACAGTGTTGTGATTCCTTAAGGATCTAGAACCAGAAAATCCATTTGACCCAGCAATCCCATTACTGGGTATATACCCAAAGGATTATAAATCATTCTACTATAAAGACACATGTACATGTATGTTTATTGCAGCACTGTTTACAATAGCAAAGACTTGGAACCAACCCAAATGCCCATCAATGATGGACTGGATAAAAAAATGTGGCACATATACACCATGGAATACTATGCAGCCATAAAAAAGGAATTAGTTCGTGTCCTTTGCAGGGACATGGATGAAGCTGGAAACCATCATCCTTAGCAAACTAACACAGGAACAGAAAACCAAACACTGCATGTTCTCACTTGTAAGTGGGAGTTAAACAATGAGAACACATGGACACAGAGAGGAGGACATTACATACTGGGGTCTGTCGGTGGGTGGGGGGCAAGGGGAGGAAGAACATTAGGACAAATACCTAATGCATGCGGGGCTTAAAACCTAGATGACAGGTTGATAGGTGCAGCAAACCACCATGCCACACATATACCTATGTAACAAACCTGCACATTCTGCACATGCATCCCAGAACTTAAAGTAAAATAATAAATAAATAAAAAGGCCTTTGCCTTGCTCCACAAAAGGAGGGTAACTAGCCCTTTGAAGTTGTTTATGAATAACTGCCCTTCTTTCTATATCTATGTTCATTAATAGTGCTCACTGTCACTCTCTTGCTTTCTCTCTCTCCTGCTCTGTCTCTCAAAAATTTAAAAGTAGTTGGTCATAAAAATCTATAATTTGTGCACATTATAGGATATATAATCCAAGTACAGAGATCTACCCATGTAAGGGAGAAAATGCACAAAAAGCTTAAATTAATGAAACTGATTTGTATGGCTTTGAAGACAGAGATCTGCGACATCTGTAAGAGCTTTGTGTACTTTGAACAATCTTTATAAGAACCATGTGGATGAGCCAGAACCTGGGTTGGAATGGGCAGGGTAGGATGACTGCTGGTTTGTCTGCTGCTTTGTGACCTCCAAAGAAAATGCAAGCGTTCTGTCTTTTTCTCCCCTCTATTTAAAGAAACAGATAATTACATAGATTTCAAATGAGCCAAGTCAAGATATAAAGAAAAATGAACCTTAAGTTGAGCCTTTGGTGTCATTCACAATCTGAACAATCACCACAGAAAACAGCATACAATAAAATAAGGAGAAATTCGGCTAAAAACTCCAGCTTGCCCAGGAATTGATAGATTCTTCAACTGTGTGAGTGCGAAATATTTTCAGAGCAAACGTACTGGTATATCTTGTCTACTTCCAGTGGAAAGTAATAAATTAGATTACAAATTCTCTAAATTTTAATAGCACTTTGTTTTGTCTTATAAAGACTAATAAGCATATATTTCAAAGAAATCCAGAATTTTCAGAAAAATAAAGAACCATTTGACTTCTACTGCTTTAAATTGCTAGCCCTTTGAGAAAGCTTCAGATACTTACTGAAGCAATATCTCAGGGAATAGGGTGGGGGAAGGGGAAGAGTTTAGTTTTAAATTGGTTGCTGATATAGTTTGAATGTTCGTCCAACCCAAATCTCATGTTGAATTATAATCTCCAGTGCTGGAGGTGGGGCCTGGTGGGAGATGTTTGGATTATGGGCAGATTCCTCATGAATGGCTTGGGCCATCCTCTTGGTGATAAGTGAGCTCTTGCTCTGAGTTCACCAGAGATCTGGTCATTTAAAAGTGCGTGGCACCTCCCCTACACACTCTCTCTTGTTTCTGCTCTGGCTATGTAATGTGTCTGCTCCCATTTCAACTTTTGCCATAGAGCAAAAGCTTCCTGAGGCCTCCCCAGAAGCAGATGCTGGCACTATGCTTCCTGTACAGCCTGCAGAACCACGAGCCAATTAAACTCTTTTCTCATAAATTACCCAGTCTCAGGTATTTCTTTATATCAATGTAAAAATGGCCTAATACAGAAAATTGGTACTGAGGAGTGGAGTATTAATATAAACATACCTGAAAATGTGGAAGTGGCTTTGGAACTGAGTAATTGGCAGAAATTGGAAGAGTTTGGAGGGCTTAGAATAAGACAGTAAGAGGAGGGAATTTGGAGCTTCTTAGAGACTGGTTAAATGGTTGGTACCAAAATGCTGACAGTGATATGGACAATGAAATCCAAGCTGCTGAGGTTTCACATGGAAATGAGGAAATTATTGGGAAACTGGAACCAAGGTCATACATGTTATGCCTTAGCAAAACACTTGGCTGCATTTTGCCCCTGCCCTAGGGATCTGTGGAAGTTAGAACTTGAGAGTGATGACTTATAGTATCTGGTGGAAGAAATTTCTTATTTTATTTTATTTTTCTGTAAGTTATTGGGGTACAGGTGGTATTTGGTTACATGAGTAAGTTCTTTAGTGGTGACTTGTGAGATCCTGGTGTACCCATCACCCAAGCAGTATACACTGCACCATATATGTTGTCTTTTATCCCTCGCTCCCTTCCTACTCTTCCCCCTAAGTCCCTAAAGTCCATTGTATCATTCATATGCCTTTGTGTCATCATAGCTTAGCTCCCACATATCAGTGAGAACATATCATGTTTGGTTTTACATTCCTGAGTTACTTCACTTAGAGTAATGGCCTCCAATCTCAATCAGGTCATTGCAAGTGCTGCTAATTCATTCCTTTTTATGGCTGAGTAGTATTTCATCATAAATATATACTGAAATATCTTAAAGCATGTACAAATGATTTGGAGGTTTCACTGAGATGACCTGCGGTGTTATTCATGAGAGCCAACTGAACTACCACAGGCAGATAGGTGCACCACACACAGGACTCTTAAGTCAAGGCAAATCTTTTCCAGTTCCTGGGGAGAATCTTGTGTTATAATGCCACTTGTATTTATCCCTCACTCCCCTCCTACTCTGTGATATCTATCTATCTATAAATAGATAGAGATCACAGTTTCTTTATCCACTCATTGATCAATGGGCATTTGGGTTGATTCCATGATTTTGCAATTATGAATCGTGGGGCTATAAACATGTATGTGCAAGTATCTTTTTCGAATAATGACTTCTTTTCCTCGAAAATGACTTCTTTTCCTCGAAATGACTTCTTTTCCTCGAAAATGACTTCTTTTCCTAAGATACCCAGTAGGGTGATTGCTGGATCAAATGGTAGTTCTACTTTTAGTTTTTTAAGGAATCTGGTGGGAGAAATTTCTAAGCAGCAAAGCATTCAAGCTGTCGCCTGGCTGCTTCTAACAGCCTACGTTCAGATGCAGGAGCAAAGAAATGACTTAAAAATGTAATTTATATATAAATAGGAAGCAGAGCATAAACTCTGGAGATTTTGCAGCCTAGCCATGTGGAAGAGAAAAAGTACACTTTTTCAGGAGAGAAATTCAAACAGGCTGTGGAGTAATCACTCACTAGAGATATTTGCGTAACTAAAAGGGAGCCAAGTGCTAATATCCAAGACAATGGTGAAAAGGCCTCAAAGGCATTTCAGAGACCTTCACAAGAGCTCTTCCCATCACAAGCCCAGAGGCCTAGGAGGAAATAATGGTTTCATGGTCCAGCCTGCTCCCCTGTGCAGCCTCAAGACACTGCTCCATGCATCCAGGCTGCTCCAACTCCATCAGTCCTCAAAGGGGCCCAAGTACAGCTCAGGCAGCCACTTTGAAGGATGCAAGCCATAAGCCTTGGTGGCTTTCACGTTGTGTTAAGCCTGCAGGCATGCAGAGTGCCAGAGTGAAAATGCTTGGCAGCCTCCACCTAGATTTCAGAGGCTGTGTGAGAAAACCTGGGTGCCCAGGTATAAGCCTACTGCATGAGTGGAGCCCCCACAGAGAACCTCTACTAGGGCAGTGCTTCAGGGAAATATGGGGTTGAAGCCCCCACACAGAGTCCCCACTGAGGCACTGCCTAGTGGACCTGTAAGGAGGGGGCCACTGTCCTCTAGACCACAGAATGGTAAATCCACTGGTAGCTTGCACTTTGTACATGAAAAAGCCACAGGAACTCAATTACCCATGAGAACAGCCATGAGGCCTGAACCCTGCAAAGCCACGGGGCAGAGCTGCCCAAGGCCTTGGGAGATGTTGGCACTATGCTTCCTGTACAGCCTGCAGAACTGTGAACCAATTAAACCTCTTTCTTTATAAATTATACAGTCTCTGGTATCTCTTTATAGCAATGCAAGAATGGCCTAATACAGTTGCTAAGTTCCAAGATAAAAAGCAAAGGAAGGCAAGTTGTAGGGGGGAAAAATTATCCTAAGAGGACTTTAGTACTTTCAAACAAAAGTTAAAGAGTTTTAAAGATATGTATGGATATATGTGTATATGTAAATGTGTACACACGTAATATACATATGTAATATATATATGTATAATGAAGATCAGATAATATTTCTAATCAAGGTAAACTCTCAACAAAATAAACGATTCCCAGTTTTATCATTGCATGAAAAATGTTAACATAACATTCTACTTTATACAAAACTTGGTGTTAGTTACCCGTGAAAAGTCTTAACTGTTTTAAGCTATCTAAATTTCCTAAACTAATCATATGAGTCAAATAAATCATCAATTCCACAAAATATTTAAGGTTATCAAAAATAAAAATTGTAAATTCTAAATTAAATTAGGATAAGCAATGTCTTTATTTAAAAAGATTAACAGTTATGAATCTACGTAAAATTTAAATTTCTTCTGTCTAGTAAACTCATAGTACGAACAGGAATTGTGCTTACCTGTTTTGCGTGAGCCTGAACACAGTTTCTGAAATCCTTAGAAATTTTCTAAGGAACATAATTTTCTGAAATCCTCTCAGTTAACTCTGAGAGTTATGACTAATATTAAGAAAAAACAATCTTTTAAATATTAAACTTCATAGAAATAAAGAGAATGCAAAATACACAGCCCAGTTTATGTATATTACCTAGGTACATACACACATCCATCCACATATATACATTCAACATGCACATCTATTCATATATATATACACATATATATACACACACACAACACACAGACACACACACAAATACATATATGTATACATTCCCTTACCTCTTTCTATACATTAGAGAAAAGCTAACAGCTTCAGGAGAAGGATGTGAAGATCTATCTGGGGAATGTGAGTGTACCTGTTTACTTTTTCTGCCTCAAGAAGGGTGAAGTGGAGGTAGGTGACCATGGGTAGATGTATAATATGTGTGCACATGAGGCACAGCAGCCCACAAGGGAGCTCTCCTGCTTTACTTAAGCCTTTGTGTTGATAGACTATTTTCGGCAACCTGCTTCCCAGATGCCTCCATACCTGCTGGGGGAAGTAAGTTACTTTGGTTTAAAGTTGAAGCCAATATAAGAGATTAAGACTACACTAGGTACAAGCATTTACAAAGAAGTGCAAATGCATTTATAAAATAATGGAAATTGCTTGCTGGTTTACATAGAAAAGAGGAGACTAATTTTGGACCCCAGAAACCAATACAAAATTTGTGAATCCTTTAAAGGAAAATGTTACATGTATAGAATACAAAAAGAGTAAAACTAGATTTTAGTTTTCTTCCTGTGAAATGACAAATTGGTCTTTGTGTAACAGTTTGTTAGCAAGAAACAGTACAAACCATTCTATGCCTTCTCTTTACTCAGCAGCCTCTTAACTCTTTGTGTTTTCTTTATTCATTCTTGAAACAATTTTAACAAAAGTCCACTCTGAAGAAGCTAGGATTTCAAATAATTAGTTATATGCTTCTGTGGTTATGTTCTTTCTTGTCAGAAGTCATTCATTTCTTGTCTTTACACACCTATGACTTCAGCTCATAGCTTGTTTCCTTTGAAAAATATTTTGGATATCACCTTTCCCAATTTAGGCCCCCATTCAAAATAATTTATCCTTTATAACCTAAACTGATCTTTAGGATTTTCCAGATTGAATAATTTCAAAGATTTGTTCCCCACTCCCACATTTTGAAAAAGAAGAATTACTAGATATAGTTGAATATATTTGAAAGTCTCCACATTTTTACTTACCTTCACACTATTTATCAAAGCCTGCAAGAATAAAAGAGCTAGTATATCAGAAGGGAAACATAACCTCCCTAAATTAATGACATACAAGTAAAATGTTATTAATCCGAATATGTTTTAGAATTTAGTATCTCTCAGATTGGAAAGAATACACTAATGGTCCTGTAAGACTGGCATAACTTCCAACAAATGGATTTTTTAATTAAAATTTTGTTTCTAGGTTTAAATATTCTTGCTAATTAAGAACAGTTATAACACATTATGGTTTGAATTAAAAGGTATGTTAGGCCGTTCTTGCATTCCTATAAAGAAATACATAAGACTGGGTAATTTATAAAGAAAAGAGGTTTAATTGGCTTATGGTTCTGCAGGCTGTACAAGAAGTACGGCACCAGCATATGCTCAGCTTCTGCAAAGGCTACAGGGAGCTTTCATTCATGACAGAAAGCAAAACAGGAGCAGGCATCTCACATGACAGACTGGAAGCAAGAGAGAGTCAGGGCGAGCGGTGCCACACACATAAAACAACCAGGTCTCACAGGTACACACTCACTATTGCAAGAACAGCATCAAGCCATGAGGGATCCACCCCCATAACCCAACAGTTCCCACTAGGCTCCACCTCTAACATTGTGCATTCCAATTCAACATGAGATTTGGGCAGGGACAGCTCATGCCTGTAATCCCAGTACTTTGGGAGGCCAAGGCAGGCGGATCACTTGAGATCAGGAGTTCGAGACCAGACTGGCCAACATGGGGAAAGCCCACCTCTATGAAAAATGCAAAAATTAGCCATGTGTGGTGGCGGGCACCTATAATCCCAGCTACCCAGGAGGCTGAGGCAGGAGAATTGCTTGAAACCAGGAGGCAGAGGTTGCACAGAGCTGAGATCAAGCCACTGCACTCCAGCCTGGGTGACAGCAAAACTCTGTCTCAAAATAAAAAGATTTGGGTGGGGACAAATACTCAAGACTATATTAAAAGGCTCTGGAAATATATCAATATCTACCCCATCCACAATATATTTTTCCTCTATGGTAATTATTGATTAACTCCTTGTAAATTTCACAATGTATTATATATCAACAGAGGAATCCACCATCCCTCTTTCTGATATTATTTGTTGTAATAAACTAACCCAAGCCATTGAATCTTATTTAGAGGTGAAGCCAGCTGGGCTTCTGGGTCGGGTGGGGACTTGGAGAACTTTTCTGTCTAGCTAGAGGGTTATAAACACACAAATCAGTGCTCTGTGTCTAGCTAAAGGTTTGTAAATGCACCAATCAGCACTCTGTAAAAACACACCAATCAGCGCTCTGTGTCTAGCTAAAGGTTTGTAAATGCATCAATCAGCACTCTGTAAGAGACCAATCAGCAGGATGTGGGCAGGGCCAAATAAGGGAATAAAAGCTGGCCACCTAAGCCAGCAGCAGCAACCCACTAGGGTCCCCTTCCACGCTGTGGAAGCTTTGTTCTTTCACTCTTCACAATAAATCTTGCTGCTGCTCACTGTTTGGGTCCGCACTACCTTTATGAGCTGCCCACCTCGAGGGTCTGCAGCTTCATTCCTGAAGTCAGCGAGACCACGAACCCACCGGGAGGAACAAACAACTCCGGACGTACCACCTTTAAGAGCTGTGACACTCACTGTGAAGGTCTGTGGCTTCACTCCTGAAGTCAGCAAGACCACCAACCCACTGGAAGGAAGAAACTCCGGACACATCTGAACATCTGAAGGAACAAACTCCGGACACACCATCTTTAAGAACTACAACACTCACCGCAAGGGTCTGCGGCTTCATTCTTGAAGTCAGCAAGACCAAGAACCCACCAGAAGGAGCCAATTCCAGAAACATTATTATTGACAGGTATTTTCTGCTTTTTCTTCAAACTTACCTACAGGTTCCTTCCACAAAATGCAGATCAGACATGGAATCTTCTGGAAAAAATATCAGAAGACCCTCGGTAAGTCTCATGTTCTCTTAATTAGGGGTATTAAAGCAATAGACTAAGGGGTGCAGGTTTGCCAGGGTAAGCTGACACTGTCATCACCAACAAATGTCTGTCAATCTGTACCAGGGACCCAGGTCAGTAATTCCAAGACTCTCTTAGTTCGAAAACCGATAAATTTTTTTAAGTAGACTGCTAACTAATCTAAGAAAAATAAGAATTAATTACCTAGGAGCAAATGAAATTAACTCAGGTATGAGTAATGATGTATGTTGATGGACATATGAGAAAGCCCTTTTTATTTCTTCTTGATCTGTCTTTGAACTGCAATTTAATAGGCTATACATATATTAAACTAGAATGAAACACTCTCCAACTGATATCTTCAAACTAATCTCTCAGAATTCAGATAAAAAATTCTATGAAAGATCTTAATAATATTATAAGCTAATAAATGATCAGAAAAAATCTAAGAAGAATGATTCTGTAAAACTGACAAATTGAGTGGCCTTCTCTATAAAACAACTCAAATAGAAATAATAATGGTTAAGTATTATGAAAAGTCCTTTACTAAAATTTTTACCTTCCATGATCATGTTATTTACATAGATTTAATAAGAATATGTCCTGTTTCACCCTTTTCAACAAATAGTGCTGGGATAATTGACTAGCCACATGTAGGAGAATGAAACTGGATCCTCGTCTCTCACCTATACAAAAATCAACTCAAGATGGATTAAGATCTTAAATCTAAGACCCGAAACTATAAAAACTCTAGAAGATAACATTGGAAAAATCCTTCTAGACATTGGCTGAGGCAAGGATTTCATGACCAAGAACCCAAAAGCAAATGCAATAAAAACAAAGATAAATAGCTGCGACATAATTAAACTAAAGAGCTTTTGCAAGGCAAAAGGAATAATCAGCAGAGTAAAAAGACAACCCACAGAGTGGGAGAAAATCTTCACAATCTATACATTTGACAAAGGACTAATATCCAGAATCTACAATAAATTCAAACAAATCAGCAAGAAAAAAAAAACAAGCAATTCCATCAAAAAGTAGGCTAAGGACATGAATAGACAATTCTCAAAAGAAGATACACAAACAGCCAACAAACATATGAAAAAACGTTCAACATCACTAACGATCAGGGAAATGCAAATGAAAACCACAATGTGATACCACCTTACTCCTGCAAAAGTGGCCATAATAAAAAAATAGTAGATGTTGGCATGGATGCAGTGAACAGGGAAGACTTCTACACTGCTGGTGGGAATGTAAACTAGTACAGCCACTATGGAAAACAGTGCGGAGATTCCTTAAGGAGCTAAAAGTAGAACCACCATTTGATCCAGCAATCCCACTACTGAGTATCTACCCAGAGGAAAAGAAGTCATTATACGAAAAAGATACTTGCACACACATGTTTAGAGCAGCACAATTCACAATTCCAAAAATGTGGAACCAGCACAAATGCCCATCAATCAATGAGTGGATAAAGAAATAAAGAAATTCTGATATATATATATATATATATATATATATATATATATATATATATATATATGCCCCACAGCCAAAAGGCATTATATATATATATACTATTATATATAATAGTATATACATGTATATACTATATATATTATATATATATATTATATATATAATTATATATATTATATATAATAGTATATACATATATAATAGTATATACATATATATAGTATATACATATATATAGTATATATATACTATTATATATATATATATATGATGGAACACTATTCAGCCACAAAAGGAATGAATTAATGGCATTCGCAGCTACCTGGATAAGATTGGAGACTATTAAATTCTAAGTAAAGTAACTCAGGAATGGAAAACCAAACATTGTATGTTCTCATTGATATGTGGGAGCTAAACTATGAGGATGCAAAGGCATATGAATGACACAGCAGACTTTGGAGATACAAGGGGAAAGGGGGTGAGGGATAAAAGACTACAAATAGGGTGCAGTGTATACTCCTTGGGTGATGGGTACACCAAAATCTCACAAATCATCACTAAGGAACTTACTCATATAACCAAACACCACCTGTTCCCCAATAAGCTATGCAAATAAATTTTTTAAAAAAGACTGAACTGGTTTTTGTAAGTTGATATTTGCTTTTATATAAATGCATGTGTGCACATACACACACAGCCCACCAAGATATTTTTCCAATCTATGTAGGCAGTATAATTTATGTTCATTTAATTGGATAATAATTCCAACTCACACAAAAGTGTGAAAATTCAAGATTAATATTTTGAAAGTTAACATTTAAATGATGCATAAGATTTAGAAGTAAAAAATGCAGAGTTCATATCCATTGATATTAGACTATTTGAATGAAAAACATCAACCCCCAAAAAGTTTACATACCTTACAAAAGGTTTCAATTCCTGACAGCGTCATTTGGAATATAAATGAGAAAATAAGAATAGAGTTCTTAAGGGGAGGAAGTAGGGAAGAGAGGAAGGATATGTAAAAAAAATCAGAAAATCATAAACTTAACTTTGGCTTAAGTTTAAGTTAACCATTACTTAAGAGTAATAAAAAACACTTAACAACATATAATGTCATTTGTGACTTTGCGTAAAAAGAAAAAGTGTCTGAATTTACTAGATTATTTAAAAAAACAAAACAAAACAAAATACCCATTGGATAGTCATTTAAGTTTTCTCCTGGCAGAGTATTTCACTTAACTAAGAATGAAATAAAAGGAGAAATGTGGGAAAAAAAAAAAAGAGTATGTCCTGCTTTCTACTGGAATATAATTGGAAAAATCAAATTTATAACCACAGTCATGCCATAAATGTCACATGGAAAAACAAATCTCATTTAATTGGATATGATAAGCCTATGACTAAGGAACAGGAACTGTACGTCATATGAGAAAATGATGCCTATAAATTTTCCACAGAAAAATCTGGCCTGGCACATGCTTTGTAGCTTATGAAATCCTAGCCTTATAGATGGTAAAAAAAAATGCCATATTCTGCCTGGCCAGAAGCATGGGAAGCTGTAGGAAGCCCCTACAGTTATAGCTACTGGCAGTGAAACCTGGGAGAGGAGAACTGGACAGGTCTTGGTTCCTGGTCTCAGTAGACAAGTTAATAAGAGCAATAAAAATACTTCTAGCACATAAAATGAATAAAAATTCAACCCTAAAGGCTTTATAAAGCTTTCAGACAGAAACTAGCTCCCAAGCCTTAGTATCCTTTGACTCTAGTTTTATTAACCACATCACAGTAAGGTATTTATACATTAACCAACATCCCTTTTTATACCTAGGTTAGTAAAACCAGCCAAATAAAAGAAAGCAGCCAATTAATGATATGAATCATAAAATTGCTAAGCAAACTTTTATGATCAAGTCAACACCTTTGCAGGGGATTAAGGACTAGGTGTGTCTGTGAAAGCAAAACTGAAACCTTGCTGTGCCTCCTTTATGAGCAACTGCAAACCATGCCCCACGGCCAGAAGGCACTTTGTACCCGAGATCAACAATATCAACAAAACAAGAAACAAAACCAGGATTACCCTGTCAGGATTACTCTGGTTCTCAAAATAAATGAGAACTTGAGCCATTAGGTCGTGGACTCCCTAAAAAATATCAACAGAAAACTTTATTCCTGACTTCTGAAGTCTTGATGTCTCCAGACACATGATCACCCTTTTTTTTTTCTTTTCTTTTTTTTTAGATGGAGTCTTGCTCTGTCACCCGGGCTGGAGTGCAGTGGCACGATCTCAGCTCACCGCAAGCTCCACCTCCTAGGTTCACGCCATTCTCCTGCCTCAGCCTCCCGCCACCACGCCTGGCTAATTTTTTGTATTTTTAGTAGAGACAGGGTTTCACTGTGTTAGCCAGGATGGTCTCGATCTCCTGACCTCGTGATCCACCTGCCTCGGCCTCCCGTGATTACCTTTGAGTATATCTTAATCAAGTGAGAAAACTGCTATTTGCATACTGGGAACATACTACATACAAAGCAGTCTTGGTCATCTTGATTTCTTTTCTTTCAGTAACTAACATATTTTTACTTGGAGATTAATCTTGAAAAGCCTGGACACCCTTGCAAAACCTCTTTGCAAGTAACTCATTTTTTTTTTTCCTAAATGCTTTTGTCTCCATGCCTTCCTACCATGTTTACAACCCCAACGTTTCAACATGTAGTCCCTGCAAAGCTTTGACAAATTCCTTGTAAACCAGCTACCCTGACCCTGGTTCAGGCCGGGGTGCAGCTAGGAGGCAATCATTCTTTTACAGCCCCTGTGCATGTCTGTCCCGAGGTCCCAAGAGACCTGGAACAGCCCTGAGCCTCCACGGTTTGCATCTGGCAGTCACTCGCAGTCATCTCTCTGGCACCACCAGGTTGTCACCCCTTTTCAGCCCCACAAGGTTCATTCCATGGAAGGGAAACACAAATGCCACCTTTCCATGTCTAGAAATGACCCTGAGAGGGAGCAAAGAGAAGGCAGACTTGAAGGAGGTCTTTGGAAATTAAATCAGTCCAAGCGTAGAGAATCCATAGTGGATTAATCTTCTATTTCCTTTCCATGATGAGCCTGTCCCTATGAATAGAGTTGCCCTGCCTCTCAGCGGTTATCTGCCTCTTCAAAAAGTTAATGCAGCTTCCAATTAGATCTTTTTTCTCTCCTGTTAATCTTGGTTCTGAAACCAGACTACTGTTCTTCCTCTGCTGTCAGCCTTGTAAGCCAAGTCTCAATTAGCCAGCCTGGCAGTGATTACCATCTTGTCGCTTCACTGTTCAGACATTCTTTAATTTCCTGGAGTATGCCAGCCCCCTTCCTCTCCTCTTCCCTCCCTCCAAAGCACTTTTGCTAAAACTGCAGCCCATGACGTCCCAAGCTGCATTATCTCTGCAGGGGATGGGGGAGTTGACGGGTAGGGATGCCTTTTGCCGTAGGTTCAAGCACACTACCCTGGTAGCAATCTTAACAGATGAGGCTTTTCTACTGGTGCTGCCATGAGTCTCTGACTGTCCTAGTGGGATTCTCTCATGAACATATGGGCTAACGAAGTTTACGTGAAACTGGGAAACCCCAAAGCAGACTTTAGTTTTTAAAATAAAATGGGCCAGGCATGGTGGCTCACGCCTGTAATCCCAGCACTTTGGGAGGCCAAGGCAGGCAGATCACCTGAGGTCAGGAGTTCGAGACCAGCCTGACCAACGTGGAGAAACCCTGTCTCTACTAAAACTACAAAAATAGCCAGGCGTGGTGGTGCATGCCTGGAATCCCAGCTATTTGGCAGGCTAAGGCAGGAGAATCACTGGAACCTGGGAGGCAGAGGTTGCGGTGAGCCGAGATTGCGCCATTGCACTCCAGCCTGGACAACAAGAGCAAAACTCTGCCTCAATAAATAAATAAATAAAATAAAATAAAAAGAAGGGTGAAGAGGAGGATTCAGGCCCTTAATCTCAACAATGAAAGGTGCTTGGTTGAACCTACTTATAATAAATCTCATCTCAGAAGCTAACTCAAAACTTTCAGAGTTCTATTCCAGTTCTGCCAGTAACTGAGTACCCTTGAGTAGAGCCACATCACATTTTGGCCACAGTTTGTTTATAATGTTAGAAGTCTTCCATTCAACTGCAAGTTAGAGGTCTTCCATTTAACTTATAGTTTAAAATACAAATTTATTCTATTTACTCTGAAACCACATTATAATAAGTATTTGAGAGAAGAGACAAGGAAATTAGGGAAGAGCAGACAGGAGATGTTCACCAAACTTAGAAGCTGGAATATGGACTGAAGAATTAGAAGAGATGTGGAAAGTAAATACCAGGTGGCATCAGAAAGAGATGAAAGTGAGAACAGAGCTGTTTCACACTGCAGAGCCTTAGAAGGACTCATGGACTGGATACTCTAAGAGCCATAGAGGGTAAGGGGGCTGGCATATTGCAGGAAATTAAGGAATGTCTGACAGTGAAGTGGCAAGATGGTAATCACCGAGGAGGCCGAAAAGGGGTGAGGAGCATTAGAATTTGCCATAAGATTAAACCCCAGCCTCCTTCCCCCAGCCCATCTGCCAGACTACCCCCCTTCCCCTACCATGGCAGGACATTGGAGGTTTATTCTAGGGGAAAAAATTGAACCAGAGTGGCTCCAGGTCCCAGAGCACTAGGTGGGGCAAAGACATCTACTGAAAAATGAAGATAAATGGATGACTTCTACTGAACCAGGAAACCACTGTCACCCCACTCAACTTGAAGAACACCCAGCTAAACAGAGGGCAGGAGGACATAAGTGGATTCTTCTCTGGAAAAATGCAATGGTCCCAGAAAAAAAATGACTATAAGGGGAGAAAAAATTCCTCTACCCTCTTAGGTTCAGTGACTGGGCCTATGAAGTTAAATTGACAGCAGACAGATTAACAAGAGAAAAACAGAGCTTATTAATTAATACTTGCATCATACATACATGTGGAAGAACTCGATGATGTGTAACTCAAAGGGGTGGTGAGAACTTGAGTTTTTCATGGCTTCTTAACAAAGCAGAGTAAATTTGAGGAGAAGTGACAAGACAAAGGAAAATGGGCTGAGGCTTTTAGGGGCAGGAAGGCAAATATTTGGAAAAAGGTAAAATATATGGGAGAAGCCAGTGGAAGATAAGGATTATTTAGCAAGATTTGTTATGTACATTTTTCTTAGTGCTTGACACCTCTGGGCTGATAAAAGTCTAGAGTTGTCTCCTGGTGATTAAGAATTCTGCTCTTCCTGGTAAGAGACAGGGAGAAATCTTCCCAAATTTATGTCCTGCTGTTAGGCAGCTAGCAGAAGAGCAGAGAACTTTTCTTGTGCCTGCTTCTTCCCAATTGCCTTCAACTCCAAATAATCCTTATTCCAAAATGGCACATCTTGGGATGCCCAACATGATGCACAAAAATTATCCATAAGTGCAGAGTAGTTGAGTCTCCCAAAGAAATAGCCAGTCATTTTCCATGAGCTCTACCAAATGACAAATTCACACACTCACACACACACACGTGCACAGAGCTTTAACTTTTTAGCACGTAAACATGAAAACATCTCAAAGCATCCTCAGATGTTTGAGGAGAGCCTAACATGAAAGACCAAGAATCAAACATACAAAGAGAAGAAACTCAAAAGAAACAGAGATACTATAGACATTGGCAGAAAACTAAAAATAAATTACAGAACAACACAGACTACAATTAGTATCTTTAGAAGCAGAAGATATTGAATCCCTAAGACAAGATCAGTGTATGGAAGGAAGGGAAAAAGAGAGGAGTTGAGGAAAGGGAGGAGAGGGGAGGGTAAAGAGAGGAAAGGAGAAAATCCAAGAACAAGAAAGAGCTCTGGAAAAACAAACTAATTAAAAATCCCCTGAAATTTTCAAAATTTAAAAGATGAGGAAATCTCTCAGACCCACCCAAAAGACAACAAAAGGGAAAATCAGAAAAAAAGTAAGAAAGTTAGATTATTTCATGACTAAATCTGATTAATAGCTCCTGAAAAAGGAAAACCAAGAAAACAAAGAAATGATAAGTAAATAAGTAAATAAGAAAGGAACTAAAGAACGTTAATTCCCAGTGTGAAAGGGCTCATTGAATGTCCAGTGCAATTAATGAAAAAGATACCTCCTTTAGTACATATCACTATGAAATTTCAGAACACCAGCTATAAAAGAAAAATCTTCGGCTGGGCGCAGTGGCTCATGCCTGTAATCCCAGCACTTTGGGTGGCCAAGGCGGGTGGATCACCTGAGGTCAGGAGTTTGAGACCAGCCTAGCTAACATGATGAAACCCCGTCTCTACTAAAAATACAAAAAAATGAGCCAGGCATGATGATGTGCGCCTGTAATCCCAGCTACTCAGGAGGCTTAGGCAGAAGAATCACTTGAACCTGGGAGGTGGAGGTTGCAGTGAGTCAAGATTGTGCCAATGCACTCCAGTCTGAGTGACAAGAGCGAAACTCTGTCTCAAAAAAAAAAAATTATCTCCATGCACTCTTTCTCAAGAAGCAATTTTATCACTTAGGAACTGTGTAAAGAGCCAACTGTAGTCTCTCTCTAGTAAAAGAAGTCTAGAGGTAAGAATTCCAGCCAGTTTGTGACTCCAAAAAATCATCAGGGACATATTTCATTCTACCTTCTGATTTCTACTGTAAGTACTTTCATCCTCAAAATCAATATAGCTATGAGAGGATCAGCCATCGCATCCATGTGCCAGGCAGGAGAAAGGAGAAGAAAAAAGAAAGCACACAGGGAAAAGAGTTGTCTCAGAAATCCCACGCACTTAAATCTCATTGATCACATCTACCCACAAGGATGCCTACAGAACATAGCTTTATTAGATGAATGCATTGCTGAACCCATAATGTTAAAATAAGGATTCCACTAAGCAGTAGGAATAGAATAGTAAATATTGGTTAGGCAACTAGGAGTGTAATGAAAGACAGCCCCCACCAAAGAGAGCGGGCAAGCCAAGAAAAAAAAAAAAAAGACAGGAGAATTGAGACACAGATGAGCTAACATAGCGGGGAGCCAGTGGGAAGTCCTACTTGGAAAGCTGTACAGGAAGTCAAGAGGGCACCAGTCTAGAGGGAGGCCTCCAGGGGAGAGGGATCTACAACTGATTGGGATGACTGATATGTTTGACCAGGTGTATTCATTGGACAATGTGATGGAAAGCTAAGCAAAGGAAAAAATGTTGTACAAGGAAGGAAATATGATCATAACATGCGCCTTGGTTCATCAGTGAACAATACTCACATTTTCATAATAACAGATATAAGAAAGACTGAATAAATACATTCATTCCATTTATTTAACCCATAATTATGCTTCTATTTGTAGAATGGAAGGAGAAACAGTAGAAGCAATAGGGGTAGGAAGTCTCTTTTATAATAAAAGTTCATTAGATATATCAAAAAGTGGTGAATTAAATAATATAAGTATAAGCATACCACTTAAAAGTAATTACCAAAAGCAACAGCTAAATGTTTAGGAGGAAGAGATACACAGGGAGGATAGATGGTCTTCATTTTAAGCCTTATATTACTTCTTTAAATCTTAATATGTATGTCTTGCTTAGATTAAAATTCAAAAAAATTTTTATGATCTAAGGACTAAGGAAAATGTTCATTAAGTATTTTTCAGGAAAAAATCAGGTTGTTAAACAATCTGTGCAGTAAAATCCCAATTTGGGGAGTTTGGATGGGGTAAGTACATGTGCAGAGAATAATGGCATGACACAGAAAGTACATACTGTTTGTTAATACCTAGGACTATAAATTTTATTTATAGAATAAAGTTTGAATAATGAATGAATAATAAATGAATAATAGAGCTTACCACTAGGCAAGAGACTAGCCTGTAGCTGATGGCAAACGGGGACTTAAAAATTTTAACGGTGTTTGAATTTTTATGAGAAGAATACACTTGTAAGTGAAGAATATATTTGTGCATTTTTAAATAATAGACTTCTTAAAGGGAAGTGGGGGGATGCCTACATCCTATCCTCAGCTCCAGACTTTCTCCATGATTCTATGACCTTCTCCAACCCAAGTGGGACCCAAATCATGCTTTTCCTTCCTTCGTGTGTGTGTGTGTGTGTGTGTGTGTGTGTGTGTGTGTGTGTGTGTGTGAGAGAGAGAGAGAGAGAGAGAGACAGGGTCTCACTCTGTCACCCAGGATTCAGTGCAGTGGTGCCATCAGCCTCCTGAGTAGCTGAGACTTCAGGCACATGCCACCACACCTGGCTAATTTTTCTATTTTTTGTAGAGACGGGGATCTCACTTTATTACCCAGGCTGGCCTCAAGTGATCCTCTCACCTCAGCCTCCCAAAGTCCTGGGATTGCAGGCATGAGCCACCGCACCTGGCCCCTTTTCTTCCCCTTAACCCAGTCCTGACCTTAGAGCTGAGAGCTCAGGCAGGGGTTGCCCAATGGCCTCCCCAAAAGCTGTATGTGTGCAGGCGACAAATACTAGTTTTTAAAGGAGAAGCTATTCTCCTATTTCCCCTGTGTTTTGCTGTAGCTTATATATGGAAAGGAAATTTCAGCAATACACACACACACAGAACTGCAAGGCCCCAGGACAGCACATTCTGCTCCTCCTCTGATTCCTGTACCTGTGGGGTTCATCTACCAAAACAAGTGGCACTTCGGCTTGTTTATCCAGTACTGGGCCTGTCCCTCCAAACCATGTGGGAGGCAGGAGCCTTGGCCATTCCTCCACTGTACTGTTCCAGTATGAGGGCCTGAATTTTCACTTTATAAGCAAATGCACATGTATGTATGTAGACACACACATGTGTGTATATATTAAATTTCTAGAACTGAATTCAAATTCTGTGCACCCAATATACATAATGCAGTATACGGGTGCACAGAATTCTGTGTCTTTTCACCTTCTGCAGCAATGATCTTTGGGGTCACTTTGCCAATTCTGTGTTTTTTCACCTTCTCTAGCAATGATCTTTGGGGTCAATTCATCCACTTGCTTCTGCCAGAGACTGGCTCTTCTCTGCCACTCCTGTCTCCGCACCTCCTGGGTTGACTCAAATGCTTTGATGAACCTATGTTGCTGCAGCCCAGTGGACACCCTCTCAACCTTGGTCAGCACACATAGACGGCCTTAGCTGCTGGGCTCTTCTTGGCCTCATTGGTGAGATTCTGCTTTCACCTCAGTAATCTATTGTAGTTGATCCTCAAAGTGGCCCCTGAGTCACCCTTGGCACCACCAGAGACCCTATTCCTGACCGATGTCTCTCCAAACAAACATGTTTATTCTTTCCCTTGACTCATCTCCATGCCCATGAGGAGACAGCGGAAATGATTGGATCTGTCTTTAAGATGTGGTAGGGTCTAGGATCCCTCACATGTCTAAATGCCCTCCACTTATTTGGCCGTCACCCATGTTTCATGGCACAAATGGAGCTGCCAGTCTTGGAGGGCCCTGTGGGAAGCAGGGCACCAGCGGTCACTCACTCTCAGATGCCCCAAATGCCAAGGAAGAGGTTCCCCTGAGCCCAGGCCCTTGCTCCCTTTCAGCCCCCAAAGGATGGGATAATCGGGGGAGAAAAATCAGAGCACTGCACCTAATTCTTCCTTCTCTTCCACTCCTGAGTCTCCTGCTGCATTCCTCTGGTCTTCAGAGCACACCTACCATCAAATCTCCTGCCCTGTCTGTCCACACTGGTGAGTGAATCCATATTCTCCCACACCAAAGAAAGGAGATTTTGTTTTAACTTAAAAGCTAAAGAATGAAGTGTCTTTGTCTCTCTTATAAACTATTCCTAATGCCAGTTGCCCTCCAACCGAAGGCCACCATGGACACACCTGCAGTTGAACAAGTTGAGTTTATTGCTTGTTCAGTGAAGGAGAAGGCACACAGTGAGGCTGTGGTGCATCTCAGAGACTGGAAAGAACGTACAGGATTTTGGCCTGTGTTCAGCTATTTGGGGGAGGGTTTAAGGTAGTGGGATATTCCTCTGAATTGGATGCTGCAGGAAATGAAGATGGGGTAATTCTATCCTTAGGTATTTTTTTTTTTTTTGAGATGGAGTCTCGCTGTGTTGCCCAGGCTGTAGAGCAGTGGCCTGATCTCGGCTCACTGTAACCTCTGCTTCTCGGATTCAAGCAATTCTCCTGCCTCAGCCTCTTGAGTAGCTGGGATTACAGGCATGCACCACCATGCCTGGCTAATTTTTGTATTTTTAGTAGAGATGGGGTTTCACCATGCTGGCCATTCTGGTCTTGAACTCTTGACCCCGTGATCCGCCCGCCTTGGCCTCCCAAAGTACTAGGATTACAGGCGTGAGCCACCACATCTGGCCTGGGTATCTTAATAAATCTTATCTAGAAGGTGGAATGACTGGACCATGGCTAAAGCTATACTTGGTAAACAACAGCAGTCACTCGCATTAGCCAAAAAAGGGATGTTTGATATTTTGGTTTGGACAATATTCATGTTTTGTGTAGCCTCAGGCATAGTCCTGTTTTGTCTTTGTGTAGATTTTTGTGTATAAATGTATGGGGTACAAGTGTAATTTTGTTACATGCATATGCATAAATTGCACTGTTGTAAAGTCAAGGGCTTTTATATAACCATCATCAGAATAATGTACATTGTACCAGTTAAGTAATTGCTCATCATGCACCCCCCTCACAATCTCCGACTTCCTGAATCTCCAAAGTCTATTATTTTACACTCTATGTCCATGTGTACACATTGTTTAGCACCCACTTATAAGTGAGAATATGTTGTACGTGTCTTTCTGTGTCTCTTCACATTATTTTCACTTAAGATAATGGCCTGCAGTTCCATTCATATTGCTGCAAAAGACATGATTTCATTTTCTATGGCTGAATAGTATTCCAATGTGTATATATACCATGTTTTCTTTATCCAGTCATCCACTGATGGACACTTAGGTTGATTCTATATCTTGGCTATTGTGAATAGTGCTGAAATAAACATACCAGTGCAGGTATCTTTTTGATGTAAATATTTCTTTTTCTTTGGGTAGATACTCAGTAGCAGGATTGCTGGGTCAAAGAGTAGTTCTATTTTTAGTTCTTGATGTTCTGCAACATTGTTCATGTTCAATGGGAGAACACAGGCCTAACTAGTAGACACAGGCCAGCTCCCAGATGCCAGGGGCTGCTTTTCTTTTTCTCACTTGTCAGCTGCGAAGCGGGAATGGTCTGCATCCGCACGTTGTCAAGCAGGAAATGGCACATCAGTTATGAACTTGACGGGATCTGCCACCATAGGCCTAACGCTGGTGCTGCAGGTTGTCCCTGATTTGGCCTCTTTTGTCTGATCTCAATTGGTCAAAACTCAAAGGGGAGAAAGCCTGCAATGGGCAGCTCCAGCACCCCATGTATAAAGGAAACCTTGTAAGTAAACACAAGGACCAGCATTAGAGGTACCAAACACCATGCTAGGACCACAGCAGCCGGCTGGCGTGCATATGGGCCTTGGGCCAGTGTCAGGACAGCAGCTCAATGTGGCTCTGGGTAGTTTGAGCTTAGCCAAGCAGATATTGCATCCCTGGAGAGGGAGTCTCTTCATGCCAGAGAATGCTACCCCCAGAACAGGAGAAGCTTCAATAGGTGGGCCTTTTAGCTACAGGTGTAGGGAATAATTTTTGCAATGAGGGCCTGTTTTCTTTCTTTTAAATGTATCTTAGCCAGGACTGCTGGCAAGGATTATAAACTGCAAAGAGCATCTAAGTTCCCCATGCACCATGGAACATTAACACATGAATCCAATCTTTCAACCCTTGGTGCTGGGCATCAATATGAGGCACTAGACCAGTGGCCCCAAATTATGTTCCTATATTTTAGATCCTCAAGACCTAGATATGAAATGCAGAGGGATGAACTTCTGAGAAACCAGTCACCTCCACCTGTTCCAAAAGTCACCCACGTGAAGCCACCATGAGGATGGACTTTAGGGCCCTCAATTGTAGATTCCACCACAAGCAGCAGCAGCTTTTATCAGTGGGCAAGCACAGAGGAACTGAGTGGCAAGCAAAAGAAAGGTGGGGTTGCTTATCACAGAGGAAATAAGTAGTCTTCTTAGAATGAAAAGCAGGGAAAAAAAAAAAAAAAAAAACCCATGGAATTTATTTCAAGCCCAGAGTCTTAGAAGGGAATTAAAAAGACTTCAGCAAGAACATGCTATATCTACAAATAAGGTTTACTTGGTGACTCAAGGGAGAATCAAATCAGCTTAAGAAACAAGTTTTAGTCTTTCAGTCAGAACACTGGCTGTGAGAAAAGAAGATAAAAAGTAAAAATAAAAGACATACGATTGAACTCCAGGGAGGAAAAACTTGCCTTAGGAGAAAAGTAGGAGATCTCAAAGGCCAAGCTAAACAGATGTGAAAGGAAAAGAAGCTGTACTCCAAACTAACTGCTCACTGAGCTGCGATGAGGGATGCGCCAGACGTTTTCATTATTACCAGATCAGAACAGGTGATGGAGCCAATGTGATCCAACAGAGGAAGGCAGGGGAGACCACAGAGAGCTGAGGGAACGATGGCTTGGGGACACCATCGAAAAAACATCAGGAACCATCAACAGCCAGTCTCTCCAAGCAGCAGGTGGCAAATAGCAATGGGGTGGGGCGCAATGGCTCAGGCCTGCAATCCCAGCACTTTGGGAGGCCAAGGTGGGCGGATCACCTGAGGTCAGGAGTTTGAGACCAGCCTGGCCAACATGGTGAAACCCCATCTCTACTAAAAGTACAAAAATTAGCTGGGCATGGTAGCAGGTGCCTGTAATCCCAGCTACTCAGGAAGCTGAGGCAAGAGAATCTCTTGCGGGAGGCGGAGGCTGCAGTGAGCTGAGATAGCGCCACGCATTCCAGCTAGGGTGACAAAAGTGAGACTCCATCTCAAAAATAAAAAATAAAAAAATAAGAGCAATGGGGAAACCACCCCTTGAAGGGGAGGGACACTTACAGGAGATACATGGGACAGTTGCACTGACTTAAAAGGGACAGGTCCCAAAAGCTAGCATGAAATACTTCAGGAATTAGTAAGTGAATTTCAACATCTGGAGGCAGGCACAGCCTACCCAGTGAGAAAATGGGCCTGAGAAAAACACGGGATGAGGCGTGGGGGAGGGGAAGATGACAGGAAAAATGCCGGCTGGCAGGAAAATGCCAGAATACATGTGCAGGACGTGCAGGTTTGTTCAATAGGTAAACGCGTGCCATAGTGGTTTGCTGCACCTATCAACCCATCACCTAGGTATTAAGCCCTGCATGCATTAACTATTTATCCTGATGCTCTCCCTCCCCCAACTCCCACCCAACAGGCCCCAGTATGTTTTTCCCCTCCCTGTGTCTATGTGTTCTCATTGTTCAGCTCCCACTTACAAGCGAGAACATGCGGTGTTTGGTTTTCTGTTCCTGTGTTAGTTTGCTGAAGATAATGGCTTTGAGCTCCATCCATGTCCCTGCAAAGGAAATGACCTCATTCCTTTTTATGGCTGCATAGTGTTCCATGGTGTATATGTACCACATTTTCTTTATCCAGTCTATCACTGATGGGCATTTGGGTTGATTCCATGTCTTTGCTATTGTGAATAGTGCTGCAATGATGCACATGCCTGTATCTTTATAACATAATGATTTATATTCCTTTGGGTATATACCCAGTAATGGGATTGCTGGGTCAAATGATATTTCTGGTTCTAGGTCTTTGAGGAATCACCACACTATTTTCCACAATGGTTGAACTAATTTACATTGCAACCAACAGTGTAAAAGTGTTCCTATTTCTCCACAGCCTCTCCAGCATCTGTTTCTTGACTTCTTAATAATCACCATTCTGACTGGTGTGAGATGGTACCTCAATGTAGTTTTGATTTGCATTTCTCTAATTATCAGTGATGTTCAGCTTTTTCTCATATGTTTGTTGGGCACATAAATGTCCTTCTTTTGAGAAGTGTCTGTTCTTGTCCTTTGCCCACTTTTTAATGGGGTTTTTTGTTTTATTCTTGTAAATTTATGTTCCTTATAGATTCCGGATATTAGGCCTTTTTCAGATGGATAGATTGCAAAAATCTTCTCCTATTCTCTAGGTTGTCTGTTCACTCTGATAATAGTTTCTTTTGCTGTGCAGAAGCTCTTTCGTTGAATTAGCTCCCATTTGTCAATTTTTGCTTTTGTTGCAATTGCTTTTGACATTTTCATCATGAAATCTTTGCCCATGCCTATGTCCTGAATGGTATTGCCTAGATTTTCTTCCAGGGTTTTTATAATTCTGGGTTTTACATTTAAGTCTTTAATCCACCTGAGTTAATTTTTCTTTTTCTTTTTTTTTTTTTTTTTTTTTTTTTTTGAGATGGAGTCTTGCTCTGTCACCCAGGCTGAAGCGCAGTGGCGCGATCTCGGCTCACTGCAAGCTCTGCCTCCCAGGTTCACGCCATTCTCCTGCCTCAGCCTCCCGAGTAGCTGGGACTACAGGCACCCGCCACCACGCCCAGCTAATTTTTTGTATTTTTAGTAGAGACGGAGCTTCACCGTGTTAGCCAGGATGGTCTCAATCTCCTGACCTCGTGATCCACCCACCTCGGCCCCCCAAAGTACTGGGATTACAGGTGTGAGCCACCGCGCCCAGCTGAGTTAATTTTTCTATAAGGTATAAGGAAAAGGTCCGGTTTCAGTTTTCTGCATATGGCTAGCCAGTTCTCCCATCACCATTTATTAAATAGGGAAACATTTCCCTATTGCTTGTTTTTGTCAGGTTTGTTGAAGATCAGCTGGTTGTAGATGTGTGGTCTTATTTCTGAGATCTCTATTCTGTTCCACTGGTCTATGTGTCTGTTTTGGTACCAGTATCATGCTGCTTAGGTTACTGTAACCTTGTAGTATAGTTTGATGTCAGGTAGCATGATGCCTCCATCTTTGTTCTTTTTGCTTAGGATTGTCTTGGCTATACCAGCTCTTTTTTGGTTCCATATGAATTTTAAAGCAGTTTTCTCTAATTCTGTGAAGAGTATCAATGGTAGTTTAATGGGAATAGCATTGAATCTATAAATTACTTTGGGCAGTATGGCCATTTTCACAATATTGATTCTTCTTATCCATGAACATGGAATGTTTTTCCATTTGTTTGTGTCCACTCTGATTTCCTTGAGCAGAGGTTTGTAGTTCTCCTTGAAGAGGTCCTTCACTTCCCTTGTTAGCTGTATTCTTAGGTATTCTATTCTCTTTGTAACAATTGTCAATGGGAACTCATTCATGATTTGGCTCTCTGCTTGTCTATTGTTGATGTATAGGAATGCTTGTGATTTTTGCACGTTTATTTTGTAGCCTGAGACTTTGTTGAAGTTGCTTATCAGCCTAAGAAGCTTTTGGGCTGGCCGGGCGTGGTGGCTCACGCCTGTAATCCCAGCACTTTGGGAGGCCAAGGCGGGTGGATCACGAGGTCAGGAGATAGAGACCATTCTGGCTAACATGGTGAAAACCCCATCTCTACTAAAAATACAAAAAGTTAGCCGGGCATGGTGGCAGGCACCTGTGGTCCCAGCTACTCTGGAGGCTGAGGCAGGAGAATGGCATCAACCTGGAAGGCAGAGCTTGCAGTGAGCCAAGATCGCACCACTGCACTCTAGCCTGGGTGACAGAGTAAGACTCCGTCTCAAAATAAAAAAAAGAAGCTTTTGGGCTGAGACAATAGGATTTTACTTCTCCTTCACTTATGAAGCTTAGTTTGATCGGATATGAAATTCTGGGTTGGAAATTATTTTCTTTAAGAATGTTGAATATTGGCCCCCAATCTCTTCTGGCTTATAGAATTTTGGCTGAGAGGTCTGCTGTTAGTCTGATGGGCTTTCCTTTTTAGGTGACCTGGCCTTTCTCTCTGGCTGCCCTTAACATTTTTTCCTTCATTTTGACTTTGGAGAATCTGATTATTATGTGTCTTGGGGTTGATCTTCTCATGGAGTATCTTACTGGGGTTCTCTGGATTTCTTGAATTTAAACGTTGGCCTGTCTTTCTAGGTTGGGGAAGTTCTCCTGGATGATATCCTGAGGTATGTTTTCCAACTTGGTTCCATTCTCCCTGTCTCTTTCAGATACCCCAATCAGTCATAGGTTTGCTCTTTTTACATAATCCCATACTTCTCAGAGGTTTTATTCATTCCTTTTCATTCTTTTTTCTCTAATCTTGTCTGACTGTCTTATTTCAGCCAGACAAGATAGTCTTCACACTCTGAAATTCTTTCCTCAACTTGTGGTTGCATTGTGAAGTTCTCGTGTTGTGTTTTTCAGCTCCATCAGGTCATTTCTATTCCTCTCTAAACTGATTATTTTGGTTAACAGCTCCTGTAATGTTTTATCATGGTTCTTAGCTTCTTTGCATTGAGTTAGAACATGCTCCTTTAGCTCAGTGGAGTTTGTTATCACCTACCTTCTGAAGCCTACTACTGTCAATTCATCTATCTCAGCCTCTGCCAAGTTCTGAGCCCTTGCTGGAGAGGTGCTGTGATCATTTGGAGGAGACAAGGCACTCTGGCTTTTTGAGTTTTCAGCATTTTTGTGTTGATTCTTTCTCATCTTTGCAGGTTTATCTAGCTTTGATCTTTGAGGCTGCTGACCTTTGGATGGGGTTTTTGTGGGGACTTTTTTGTTGATGCTGTTGTTATTGCTTTCTGTTTGTTTGCTTCTAACAGTCAGGCTCTCTTTCATAGGGCTGCTGCAGTTTGCTGAGGGTCCACTCTAGGCCCTATTTGCCTGGGTCCCTCCTGCACCTGGAGGTATCACCAGTGGAGGCTGCAGAACAGCAAAGATGGCTGCCTGCTTCTTCCTCTGGGAGCTCCATCACAGAGGGTCACCAACCTGATGCCAGGGGAAATGCTCCTATATAATATGTCTGGCAACCTCTGTTGGGGGTGTCTCACCCAGTTAGGAGGCATGAGATCAAGGACGTGCTTAACAAAGCACTCTATCCGCCCCTTGGCAGAAGGGATGTGCTGTGCTGAGGGGAATCCCGCTCGGCCAGACTGCCCGGATTCCTCAGAGCCAGCAGGGGGAAAGACTAAGTCCGCCGATCTGCGGAGGCCGCCGCCACCCCTCCCCGCAGGGGCTCAGTCTCAGGGAGATCAGAGTTCTGTCCCTAAACCTCTGGCTGGAGTTGCTGAAATTCCCACAGGGAGGCCCTGCCAGTGAGGAGGGATAGGTTAGGGTCCAGCCTAAAGAGGCAGTCTGGCCACAATCTGCCACAGCGGTTGTGCTGTGCTGTGGGGAATACCTCCCTAGTCCATACTGCCCAGCCTCCCCAACTCTGTCAATGGCGGAGCTGCGGTGATGGCAGCCGCCCCTCCCCCTGGGAACTCAGTAGTCTTAGGCTGTCTCCAGCTGCGTGGCACAGAGAATCTGCACAGCTCTGTGCTCAGGACCCAAGACCCTGGTGGCATGGGCTCATGAGGGAGATCTCCTGATCTACGGGTTGCACAGATTGGCGGAAAAAGCATGCTTTCCTAGGCGGGGTAGCACAATCACTCACTGCCTCCTTTGGCTGGTGGTGGGAGCTCCCCTTGCCCCATGTGGCTCCCGGGTGGGCTGTTGGACCACCTTGCTTTTCCTCACTCTCCACAGGTCACATTAACCACCTAGTAAGTCCCAATGAGAGAACCTGGATACCTCAGTTGCTGGTGCAGGACTCAATCGCCATTTTCATTCTCTTGGCAGAAGCCTCCGACCACAGCTGTTTCTAGTCAGCCATCTTGGCCCCTCCTCCTGGCATTTCAGTTCTTACATTTTAAGTGTTAGGGAAAAAACAAAGAATACATACTAGAAACCGCATGTGACCCCCAAAGCCTACAATATTTATTATCTGGCCTTTTACAGAAAAATTGCTGACCTGACAAAACATTTTCCTTCTCTCCACACCTCTACCTCAGCCCACCAGCACTGCCTCTCTCTTTGAGAAGTGCTTGGGAGAGGGCTTCAACCTCCTTCTCTCTCCTTTCGCTGAGAAAGGAATGGCTAAGGATTGGTGAGAAGCACCATATGTTAGGTCCTGTCCCACATAATGAGAGTTGGCATTACTTTGCCTCAAAAGAAGGTTCAGCCAGTCTCCCTCCATCTTCCTCATGCTATGCCTGGTGTGTGGGTTTACAAGGCTCCTGCTGGACTCTGTTCTACAGAGTCAGCTCTCTCCATTTCTCAGGCCCCCAGTGCAGACCCCTGGGGAAGGCAGAGCATAAAGAACCACAATTTTGCCCCAGTCTGAATTCTCCATGCGAGTCTTACCCAGGACCCCCCGGGGTACCTCCTGGCCCATCAATAAAGGTGATTTCAGGACTCTAGGCTGGGGACTGATGGCTTCCTTCACATGACAAGAACTTGGCTTGGTAGGTAGACTCCCTTCTCCACTGGTTTTGTTTATGTTCAAGGGCCTTTGAAGCCCTTGTATAAATTAAAGGGAAAACTGAGGAAACTCCTTTCAGGAAGGCTTTATCTTTCTCTGAGATTCACACCTTGCTACAAAGAACATGGTGATTAAGTAATTAGGGCTCTAGAGTCAGACACACTTGGTCTTAAGTGCCAGTTTTAGTCATTTACTATCCATGCCAACTTTCAGCAGATTCCTTTAACCCCTTCGGGATCCAGTTTCTTCTTCTGTTAAATGGTGTTAGTAATACCATTTATTAACACCATTTAACAGAATACTTTGATAGACAGCATGCTTTTGGCTGTAATTTACAAAAAAAAAAAAACTCAAACATGGTATAAACAGTGAATAATGTATTGAGTCATGTATCTAGTAGTCCAGATTTTAGGCAGACTTCAGGGGCTGTTGATTCAGCAGTGCCATCAAAGACCTCTATTATTATTTTAATTTTTCTGCTCCACCATCAATAATGTTGACAGCTTCCCAGAGCTCATTCCCTTTTGTAGCGCAAATCAGTAGTTGGTAGCAAATATTGCTGCTACCTTCATCATCCTATAGAGATGGAGGTCTGTTCTAGAAACTCTGATAGGGAACAGGTACATCTGGATGGACATAAATGAGAACCTTGGCCGCAGATGCTCCTGAACCCTCTGGGCTGCAAAGGTGGTGTGCAATCCCTTGCTGGAGGATAGCAGCTTCCCCTTGCCAAAAGAATGTGCAGAGGCTATACCTGAGGCAGATACCTTGTAAGATACTTGCCCTCCTCAAGACTGTCTTCCCTCATGCTCCTAGGCTAGTAGCTGGGGTCAAAGATCATCAAGGCCGGAGGAGGGATGTAAAAGAGCTGTAACACCTGGCTAACTTACACCCTCAGAGGCCTGGAGAGCATGCCTGGGGATGATGGACAAGGGCTGGAGGCAGTTCCAAATATAAGGCTGGATAAAGGAAGTTTATACTTTGGGCTCGCACCTTTGGCCACATGGGGATTCTCCATAACCAGCTGATGGAAGATGAAAAAAAATCTAGATGTGGTTCACAAATGGGATGGTTCCATTGTTAGTGCTGCTCTCACACTACAGCCCTGCCTTTCAGGTGACCCTGAAAGACAGATGGGGAAAATGTTAACAGTACAACTAGTCTTTAACTTAGTGTGAAGAGGCATAAGGTTAAAATAGATGTGAACTCCTAGCGGTGGCAAATGGCATTGCTGATTGGTCATGGACCTGGAGGGAAAAAGATCCGAGACAAAGAGTTCTAAGAAGCAGCATGTGGGTAGACATATGGGAGTCAGCCCAACAAAGTGTATATCTTTGTAACTCCTGTCAATGCCTACCAGCAAGCACTCACAATTAAGGAGGCTCTGAACAACCAGGTGAACAGAGTGGCTTTTCCAGTGAAGGTCAGCCAGCTTCTGACTTCAGTCCCCCAGTGCTTATACAATAAGCTCATAAATGGAGTAGCCATGGAGGCAGGGACGAAGGCTATGCATTAGTCCAACAGACCAGGTACTCCTTGCCAGGCTGATCTAGCTAATGCTGCCACTGAATGTCCTACCTGTCAGCAACAAAGACCAACTGAGCTCTCCATATGGTGTCATCCCTCAAAGAGACCCACTAGCAACCTGGGGCTAGGTGATTACACTGGAGCCCTCTCATCCTGGAGGGAAAGTTATATGTCCTTCCTGGGATGATATGCCTTCATGGTATTCATTTTCTTGCCAACACCATCATCTAAGAACGTATACAGTATCTAATTTACTGACATACGATACTACCTAACATCACATCAAACCAAGGGACTCACATTGTGGCAAAGGAGGTGTGAAAATGGGTCCATGATCATAGGATCCTACCATATATTGAATCACTCAGAAGCAGCAAGTCTAATAGTATGTTGGAATGGTCTCTTACAGATACAGCTATGGCACCAGCTTAGAAGTGACACCTAAGGTTAGAAGTTCTATCCTTCAAAATGTGGTACCTATTTTGAACTAAGAATATATCTATGGTTCTTGGTAGCTGAAAGGTAAAATAATTGGATCTAAAAACTAAGGAGAAGAAGTAAGAGCAGCCCCTCTCACCACCATTCCAAATGACCCATTTGAGAAATTTGTGCTGCCACTTTAGATTCTGCTAGACTAGACGTTATGTTTCCAAGGAGTGGGATCCTTCCACTAGGGGACATAGGATTCTACTAAACATACAGCAGCCACTTGGTTATTTAGGACTTCCATTCCAGTAGTTCAACAAGCAAGATTAATATATCAGCTTGAGCAACTGACCCTGATTATCTGAAGGGTTGAGATTGCTGCTGCACAATAGGGGCTGGAAGTTATGGCCTCCTTTGCTACAGTGGATTACCCCTTGAAGCTTGCTAGTGATTCCAGTAAGTAGGCAACTACAGCAACCACAGTCCAACAAGGGCAAAACGACCAGAGGTTCTGATCCCTCAGAGATGAAGGTCTGGGTTATCCCACTGGTCATATACCCTAGACAAGCTAGCCAAGGTGATAGAGAATGCAGAATGGACAAAAGAGGAGTGAGATGATAAACATAGTTGCAGTCTCTGGACTGCTATGGCAAAGGGGAGGGATGTAGATTGTCCTATGACTATTCATGTGGCAAGTCTATTTTTTTTAATTGTCGCTAACTGCCACCTTGAAGTGTCAATGATGGAATAAAGTAAACTTACTGTGGGGCATTTAGCAGGGAAAACGGTGGGCTATAGCAGTCTTTGTCAGTGCCTCACCCACATCCCCTCTTACTATGTCAGGGGTCAGTGGCCCAACTTCCCTCTGCCAGCACATGTGCTTCTTTGCCCGGGAGCTTTCTCTGGCCTCCAGGGCCCATATCAGGACAGAAGAGGTAGGGTTTTGCACATCCATCAACCTACGTCCCTCAAAAGGGATAACATGGAAGCATTCTACACTAGCCCTTAGAGTGTCCCAGGCAGCTTTAACGCTATCACCCTTTGTGCTAGCTGGCTCAGTAACGTGTTCTGGTTGGGCTGCCTTCCCTTCCTGGTCGTACTTCTCCACTCCCCTTGTTGGTGTTTCCTGCACCTTCGGATCCCTGTTTCCAAGTCTGATTTTGCCAGAACTCTACCTAAGGTAGTCACCTTCAGAGGCTGCTAGGAAACCAACTTGTTACTTTTAAAAGCTATAAACAGGGAAAAAGAAACGAGTACCTATCCTGCCTCATCTACAATATTTGTCTTACCAAATATTTGACAAGAAAAAAAATCCTTCATAGAAGTTCTCCACCTAATGGTAAAGGAAAAATGGTAGAATTAAAATATCATCATTTGCAACTACCAAATAATTATTGAATCTGGGCAATAATTATTGACTTCAAACCTTGAAGCAAAGGGACAACTGAACATCATGACATATCTCTTACTGGAAGCACACAGCACCACCTGTGAGGTAGTCTGGTGCCCCAGAATTCAGTGCTGAATCTGAATCAAACATCTAGACCTAACTGTCAATTTACAGAAAATGTAAGAAACAATGTAAAACCCTCCTCCAGGATTATCAGCAAAATCCAAACTGTGAGAGCTGTGTAGAGCAAACCAATCGATTTTTTCTACTAAAAACAATAATAACTGCAATAAAGTAAAAGGAAATGGAGAGGAAAATCAATAGGCTTAAGAGATATATTAACCGATTGCAATGAAGAACCTTTTGAACCATCCATAAAGGTGAGGGGTGAGAGGAATTTGGAAGAAAAGGAGAGGTGAGCAGAACAGAGGGAGAGAGACAAGATCTGTGTCCTGTTTTCAAAAAGCTTGTCTTTTAAAGAAAAGGCTGTTTATTCAATGAGGTTTACCTACTAGTTAATTAGATGCCTAGCAAGACTTTCTTCCCATTAGAGAGGGGAAAAAATAGATGAGAAGCCTCAGTGGAGTGGGAGACAGCTTTGAAAATGAGAACATAAACTTAAAGAGCATTTGGTATTCTGTTTTTAAGTATGTCAAACTTGATTCTAGAACCCCTGGAGCTTATAAAAGTTGGGAGGGAAAAGGAGAAGGGGTGTCTAAACCCTTTATTATTAAAACCTTCTTGTCTTTGCCCTTTCCTCTGCTTTCCTTCTTCCTTCCTTCTTACAGAGAAAAGAGACAATTTATCCCCTTTTCTGTGACTAAGCACTCATTCATCTCTGCAGAAACAGCACCTGTGCCCCACTGAACCTCACGGAGTTGAGACTTGAGGACTTCTTTTGACATCAGAGAGCTTGAATGGAAAGGTTTTCAGCATGCTTATTTGAGGAGCAGCTTATCTGAATTGCGGGCTTGTTTTTGAAAGCAAGAAAGGAGACTCAATTAGTTAGCATAAATACTTGCTTCAGCATTTCACCCATTTATTCTACCTGAGCAGGTGCACAGTCCTTTAATCATAACTGTCAAGAAAGGAAAGCTTGCAATTTCCATCATTTAAAAAGAAAGAAAGACGAAATAGAGGAGAGGGGAGAATGCAACAAATGAACACATACACTGAAAGACTGGGGTCAGGGAGAGGTGGGTGGAGGGGAGAGAGAAGAAGGAAAAGAATGAACACAGGATGTTATATTTTTCTCTGGGCTTTTTGTGAATAACATATAACTCTCTGATTATAGAAAGATGGTTTTAGAAGATTTGTCTTAGAGACAGAGTGAGAAGTTAAGGACCTTTCATAATGTTCAAAAAATGTCAAGGAAAGATGTTCAGAAGAAAAGAATTAAATAAAATCACAAATTATTTACAATCCTCCCTCCTTACCTTCTGAAGAAGGTGGAAATTGTACCACCTCTCTAAGACTCTTTTGAGGGGGTATGGAGGCTCAGCACATATAGGGATGCATATTGCAGATGCCCAGGGAGTGTTAAGCTGCTTTTACACAAGAAAAGATAGTGCGATAGAAACATCTGGAGAGGAAGACTTAGAATGAGTTACCTGGAGGAATACAGGAAGATGTGGAGAAGGTGTGGGAGAGGAAGCAGGAAGATAAGATGGAAAGTGACAGAAATGGAACATCTGCTGTAGGGAGAGAAACACTGAAGAAAGAGATGGGTAAAGGGAATATTTAGAGATTTTGTTGCATGATATGCCATGTAAGAATCCCTTGCACCCCCAACCCCCATATCCTTCCAAATCTTTACTAAAATATTTATCATTCATTGAGGTTGGCACAAATACAGAGGGAGAGAGGAAAGAGAGAAACTAAAACCTCAAAGCAGACCTGGATAAGAGTATGGTAGGAGTGTCAGAAGCAGGTGCTTTTGGTTTACAGGAGTAAAGTACAAAAACCCAGAGAGAGAAACCATAAAAATCTATATAACTTAACCTCCAGCCAGGAAGATGTGACAAAATCATCACTTGTCTTGCCATGTAGAGAACATACTTTATCAGAACAAGAGGGGAAAAAGCCATCCAGTGAGAAGTCTGATCTCTTAGAAAGTAATTGGAATTCTCCGCTATACTCACTAAAACCCTTGAGGCAGCTGACTGGTTGGTTTGTCATCTTATCTTACCAATTATCAACACCAAAATTACTAAATCGCAATTTAGCCAATGAGTCATCAGTGGTTTAGGCAGCTGCCGCATTCGGCTCCAGTCTTCAACTCACTTCCTGTAGTTTCACAGGGAGGGATTTTTACTTGATTCAACAACACTTGAGCTATCAGAACTACATTCCCCATCTGACAATACAAGACACCCTCATTTTAAAAAAATCAATGTACGGAAAAGCAATTCTTTATGTCATTTGTAATAGAAAGATAGCACATCATGTAACCCAAATGTTATTTACATGGCTGTCGGGACAAGTGTGCTTTATTATGGCCCAGTTGCTTCACCTGCCAAAACCTTGCATCATGCCTGGAATGCCCACTAAAATGCCCTTAATAACATTTGCTGTAATTTAAAGTACTAAGTCAAAAGGAATGAGAATATTTTTGAAGTCCTTATAACTCATCAAATAACCTGTTTGGAAATATAGTCACAAATGTTTGTCCCACCATTCAGAAGGAATCACACTACAGATAAGAGAACTCAGAAAAAGCAAATAAAACAAACATACCAAATTGCCACTAAAGTAAAACATATTAGAAACAAATACAAATCCAGTAGAAAAATCCTTCTAGAGGACAGGGATCTGAACACAATACACATATTTATTTACTTTACTTATTTATGATCTACTTCCAAAAACTGTGTCAAGAAGCTTATAATAGGAATCATATATAACCCCAAAAACTATTGTGTAGAAAAGGAGAAAAATTAATATACTAAATATATAAGGTATTGTTAAATAACTCTTTTGAACATTACATATGGTACTGGCAGCAAAGGCAAAAAGAGAATAAGATGGCTTACAAGTTACTTATCTCCTAATATTAAAAAAAGATTAAACAAATACAAGTATAAATCTTTACAGAAATAATATAAGTTCCTCAGGAGTGGAGAACATTTTTTTGTATAAAATTCTAAAAGATATGACCTCATAGTCTTCATACAGAGGGCATAAAACAACATAGTATCTTCAGCATCTTTCTTATTGGATCCATAACTAAGAAGAGATTTTGTCTATCAGAATACTTACTACTGTCCAGGCATAAAACAAATAATTGAAATATTTATAACTCCCAAACTTCAATTTTGGCAATTATACCAAGTATTCCTTTAGCAACAATATGAATTGCTCACTGATTTCAAAAATCACTGATTTCAGTTCTCCCGCCAGTTTTCTGTACCTTTTCACAGAGGGATCCCAGTAAGTAGTGACGTGTCTCACAAACTTGCGGGCAAGGTGGTGAAAGCAACAACACCAAGCAACGGCAATGATGCCCGGAATCCAGGTATTGCAAAACTAAAATTCATGCCTGTAAAGTTTAAAAAAAAATGAGCCTAACATACTTAAAGGAACTTCCTAATTCTAGAAAATCAATATTATCCAAATAATGGAATCAAAGTGTTAGAACTGATTTTCTAGGTGGGGGGAGCAAGTGTTCATTATCTTTTGTCATGGAAGTTCATTCGATAGAGCATGAACCATGAACACCTTTCATCTTTTCCAAGTCTCTACTCAGACACTGTTTAATTAGGTTAATAGAAACATTTAAGGTTTTGACAGTCTTTTAATTCACCTGCGCAAACAGGGACAGTTGGAATTCAATTTTGGAAACAATGATACAAGCCATTTGAAAAAGCTTTTTCTTTAATCTCCCTGAACACGTTTTTGGCATCTTATTAACATTTTCCAAATTGAATGAATCTGTCTCTTTGTGTTAGCAGATAACTTAAGAATAGGGATAGGCCAGCAGTCATTAGCAATTTATCGTGCTTGCTGATAAATGGGAACCTGGGCTGCCCAGAACATTAAGTTATAAGGGCAGCAGAGACTGCAGAGTCAATGATGCAGACTGAATGGTATCACGGCACACTCGGCTTCCTCCAAGTGCATCAGCTGGCGAGGACTATCTTTCCAATCACTTAACTCTGCAAAAGTTGGCAATCACGTGCATTTTTTCCCAGACAGCTCTGCTGAGCCACCATGCCTCAACATGGCTGTAGGCTTAAATCACTCAATAATAATAATAAGGAAGGAAAAATAGCTATGAAAAACAACAAAAGAAAGAAACAAGAGAGGTAACACTTTCTCACACACATATAAAATGCATTCAGGTGCCACAAACATGCCAGAATATACTGGACATTTGCCGGGCACAGTGGCTCACACCTGTAATCCCAGCAGTTTGGGAGGCTGAGGTGGGTGGATCACCTGAAGTCAGAAGTTCGAGACCAGCCAGACCAATATGGTGAAACCCCCCTCTCCACTAAAAACACAAAAATAGCCAGGCATGGTGGTGTGCGCCTGTAGTCCCAGCTACTCAGTAGGCTGAGACAGGAGAATTGCTTGAAGCCAGGAGGTGGAGGTTGCAGTGAGCCAAGATCACAGCACTGCACTACAGCCTGAGTGACAGAGTGAGACTCCATCTCAAAAAAAAAAAAAAAAAAAAAAAAAAAAAAAGGAATATATTGGATATTGGACATTTACTGATTAGAAAGAGCCTTACTATGACTGTCCTATCTCTCCAACTTCACCTTACAGCTCCCTACAGCTCCCTTCTCACTGGTCCATGTGCTCTGGCCACACTGGGCTTCCCTCTGTTTCTCCAACATGCCAACCTCACTCTGCACAGGGCCTTTGCACCCACTGTTCCTCTGCATGGAACATTATCCCCGCAGAGCTTCAAACAGTGCCTCCTTTTCACTATTCCAGTCTCAGGTCAGACGTCCCTTTTCAGAAAATCTAGGCCTGATCCCATCTCTCACCCTAATAACTTTATCTTAACCACCTCTGTAAAGACCTTGTTTTGAAAGGTCACATTCTGAGGTACTAGAGACAAAGACTTCAACATATGAATTTGGAAGGACATAAGCCAACCTATAACATCAGCCCTTACGCACTTTGATGTCAAGAATGCATGTTTTTTGTTATTGTATTTTCAACATGTAGCATAATGCAGGACTTTAAGTTTACTGATTAATAAGGCTCTGTCCTGAGGGCCAATCACCTGTTAAATAAGATCCTATGCTTTGATCTCAATTGTCAGAGCTCAGGTGCCTGGTAAAAGTTCAAACTTTTCAGAACGTGAAATTTACACATAGCCTTGTTCTAAAGGACATTGATTATTCCAGCAAAGCTGGGAAGGTTTAGTTATAACATCCGAAAGCAAAATTTAGAATTCACAGAAGTGTAACAAGGATAGTAATTAAAATACCCGACATTTCAAGGCAGTTTTCTTATACATTATCACATCATGTTCTCAAATCTTGCCTTCATTCATCAAATAATTATCAAGCACCTATTGTTATCCAGGTGTGATATTAAGCACAGGTATAACCCTGAAGAAACTTCTGTCTCCTCCCTGTAGGAGGTAATAGTCAGGGTATGTGGCAAACCAGTCAAGAAGCAATGTCAGGCCTGTGCAAAGCCAGGGCATGTATTTTTATGCTATAAGAGAGATGAATACACCAACATCATGTGCTCCTCTGATGACAAGCATAGGGTTCCCGCATCATCCATCCTTTCTACAAATAAGGAAACCACCAAGGGGCAAAAACGGTGACTCCTTAAAGATAACAAGTGCATTATGTTACAAGAGTAAAACTCAGCTCTTACCTCCCATGAGGTAATTGTGACTGTGCCAATTGCAAGGAGGAAAGAAGGAACTTTCCCCCTACTAGCAACAGCAGCACAGCTCCTGTCACTCACTGACAGCAGTAGCAGTTGTTCCATACCAAAATAATACCTATCTAGAATGGAAGTTTCTTGCAGGAACAATGAAAAATTATAGTACAATAATTTTTCTATAAGTTTTTTTTTTTTAACTTTTAAGTTCAGGGGTACAAGCACAGGTTTGTTACATAGGTAAACTTGTGTTGGGGGGTTTGTTGTACGGGTTATTTCATCACACGGGTATTAAGCCTAGTACCCATCAGTTATTTTTCCTGATCCTCTCCCTTCTCCCACCCTCTATCCTCTGAAAGGCTCCAGTAAGTATTGTTCCCCTCTTTGTGTCCATGTGTTCTCATTGTTTAGCTCCCACTTATAAGTGAGAATATACGGTATTTGGTTTTCTGTTCTTGTGTGAGTTAGCAAAGGATAATGGCCTGCAGCTCCATCCATGACCCTGCAAAGGACATGATCTTATTCTTTTTTATGGCTGCATAGTATTCCATGGTGTATACGCACCACATTTTCTTTATCCAGTCTATCATTGATGGGCAATTTTTCTATATGTCTTTATGCAGTAACCTATCTAGAATACTAAGAAGTGGGACGTAAGTTTTCTTTAACAGCTTTTATGGGTATCAAAACACCAGTGAACTGAAAATTCGTTCATAAGACAGCCCCTACAAATTCCCCTCAAAGCCAATTCAGTCATTTCACACACCACTCTAACAAAAATTGTGTAACATTTACAAACTATAACTTAACTCACCTCAGAGCAGTTAAGAGAAAAGATGCTATAAAAAAGAATAATTTCGAAATAACCTAAGCTTGTTTTTTAATTGAAGGGAATGCATAGCCCTCAGGAATACTTCGTGAAATCCCCTTTCCTCTCCCATCAGTTCTCTTACATACCACAAATGTCTCCAGAATTCACTCTCTCTTCAAAATTTTTATTAAAAAGCAAAACAAAACAAACAAACAAAAACCACTCCTTTTATCCCAGCTCATAGTTATGAAGGGAATCAAAAGATGAAAAGTTAGAAGCATGCCTTCCAAATCTACAAATATTTATAGAGCACCTGCTATGATGACTGGGCTAGCTGATCCTCAAGGTTTCGTCAGCTATTAGCTGATAAAAGTCATGTGTACCAACAGGCATAGTTTGTGACAGAGGGGTGAAAACTCAGTGAGGCACCGTGTGTCATGCCTAAACTAAAGGAATTTTTAGCCTTCTAAATAGCTGTCCCTTTCAGCTGTTTGAGAAAATTGCTTATCACCAAATGATAAAAAACAACAAATTTCCACTTGTTCCCGTCAATGTAAGGGATTTCACTCAACCAAAATACACTTCTATTACAGGAGTTATCGAGTTATCTACCAAAATTGTGAGGCATAACTGTTATTACCAATTCCTCCTGAAAATCCGCTCATTTAAATGCCTGTAGCCTAGGTGGCATGCATTCACTGGCTCTAACTACTACCATACATAACCTGCAATCAGAGATAATGAATGGTATCCACTAAAACGTAAAACAATGGAAGCCTGTCCTCAACTCCTGGCAACAGAAGAACGATGGATGGAAGTTTGGAAGAGGTATGGTGGGGATAAAGTGGGCAGTGACAAATTGTTGGTGGAACTGGTGGTTTCTTGAATCAAAGCTGCATTAAATGTGATCACATTGTGGAAAACACTTGGTTTAAAAAATAAATGTAGCTGGTGGTCCCTTTGTGTCTGAGACGGAATACGTTGTAGATATGGGTCAGAATTCAGAGCAGATAAGTTTCAGAACTATTTTGACCAACTAACATTTTCAATGATTTAACAAAAATTATTTTTCCAAAGCATACACTCTGCTAGGCACATTTACATAAAGTGTATGTTTAAATAAAGTGACTGTGGAAGGTGCACCAGTTATTTATCGCTGCATAACAAACTCTCCCCAACCAGGTGGCTTAAAATAATTTATTATTTTATTTTCATGGCTCTGAGGATTGACTGGGCTCAGCTGGGCACGTCTTGTTTGGGGTCTGTATTAATCACAGACTTGCAAAGGAATAGACCAAAGAGGTATATCTTTGGTCTGTTCCTTTGCAAGACCATGAGTATTCTTAATAAGATTCACCTTGCAATAAGATCTTGAAATAAGATTGCAATATATAATAAGATAATATAATCTTGCAATAAGATTGCAATATATAAGATAATATAATCTTGCAATAAGATTGCAATATATAAGATATATAGTTATATATTTATATATATAGTACTATATATATATTTACACACACATCCTATTGGTCTTTGGTCTGTTCCTTTGCAGTTGCAGTTACAGCAACTGCAGAAAACAAATACACTTACCAATTAGAAGAGAAATAATCCCCCAGACAAAAATATTCAGAGCTCAGAGCTAAGAGATCAGAATATATATGTAAAGAGAGAGAGATTTCTTTTTTAGGAATTGGCTCATGCAATTGTGGAGGCCTGGTAAATCCAAAATCTGAACAGCAGGTAGGCAGGCTGGAGACTCAGGGAAGAGTTGCAGTTTGCATCCAAAGGGCATCTGCTGGCAGAATTCACTCTCCCTCAGGATACATCAACCATTTTCCTAAGGTTTTCAACTGATTGGATGAGGCCCACCCAGCTACATTATGAAGGGTCATCCATTTTACTCAAAATCCATTGATTTTAATGCTAATCCTACCCAAAACAAACAAACAAACAAACAAAAAAACACCATCACAGGAACATCCAGAATAATATTTGACCAAATATCTGGGCTTTCTAGCATAATTGTGTTTCATTTGCATTTTCCTAAATACTAATGAGTTTCCGCATCTCCTCATAAGTATTTCAGTCATTTGGGTTGCATCTAGGAATTGCATGTTGTTCATAACCTTTGTCCATTTTTCCATTGAAAAATAATAACATTTTATTTTTACTTGTTAATTTACAAAATTCTTTTATTCAGACATTAGTTTCTTGTTGGTTTTAGACATTGGAGGCATCTTCTGCATATCGGTCATTTGTTATCATTGTTCATGATTTCCACCTTAGAACAGAAATTTTTATTTTTTAATATAATTGAATCTATGCATTTTTCACCTTACAGATACCCTTATGGGGGGTTAAGAATTCCTTCTCCAACTGTAGGTCATAATGATATAACCTTTATTATTTTTATAGCTTTGCCCTTTACATGAAGTTGGAGAAATCCAGAGTCCAAATGTATTGTGTAAATTGGGATCCCATTTTATTTTTCCCATATAATAAATCAAGTTTCCTAACATGATTTATTAAACAATCTACACTTCTCTGTTGATTTCGTTGCCCCTAATTCTGTTACTATTTTCTATTCTGTTCTTTCTGTAGTTATTTCTCCTTATATATTCTAAATTTCAAATTTATCTGCTTTCTATTTTCTTTGATAAAACGTACCATATCCATTTACTTATTAATTCTTCCAATGTAACAATTTTTGATTTTGTTAATCTTCTCTATTTTTATTGTTGTTATTGTTGTTGTTGTTGTTCATTGTTATTTATTTTTATTGTTTCTTTCTTGGTTTGGGAATTTTGCTCTTTTTAAGAAAATTCTTAGCCGGGCGCGGTGGCTCACACCTGTAATCCCAAAACTTTGGGAGGCCAAGGCAGGCAGATCACGAGGTCAAGAGTTCAAGACCAGTCTGGCTAACATAGTAAAACCCCATCTCTACTAAAAATACACAAAAAATAAGCCAGGCGTGTTGGTGTGTGCCTGTAATCCCAGCTACTTGGGAGGCTGAGGCAGGAGAATCGCGTGAACCCAGGAGGCGGAGGTTGCAGTGAGCCAAGATCACGCCACTGCACTCTAGCCTGGGCAACAGAACGAGACTCTCTCAAAAAAGAGAGAAAAAAAGAAAATTCTTGGATTGAATTATTACTTAGATTAATGTTTTTCTTCCTGATAAAAATATTTAGAACTATAAATTTCTCTGTAAATATCACTTCAGCCACATTCTACAAATGTTGAAATGTAGTATTTTCATTGTGATTCAGTTCTAACTATTCTGTAATTTTTCTTATAATTTCATTTGAACCAAAGAGCTATTTGGCAGTGTGTTAGTTTCCAGTTATAGGAAATATTTCTAGTCAGATTTTTTTTGCTGGTTTCTATTCTTCTTGCATTATAATCAACCTAGGCTGCATAATATTAATTCCTTGGATTTATGATTCTCTGTGGCCTAGTACATATTCAATATTTGAAAACGTTTTTTCCAAATTCAAAAAGGATGCATTTTCTCTGTTTTGTGGGTATCCAGTTCATATATATATAATCTTGGTCTCATTATTTATATTATTCAGATGTATATTACTGCTACGTCACTCATGCAAAATGTACTATTGGATCTTCTATTTTTGTCTGGGAGATTATTTCTTCTAATTGATAAGTGTATCCATTTTCTGCAGTTGCTGTAACAAATTACCACAAATTTGGTGGCTTAAAACTACAAAAACTTATTATCTCACAATTTGGAGGGCAGAAGTTCAAAATCATTTTCATGAGTCAAAATCATGGTGCCAGCAGCACCACACTCCCTCCAGTAGCTCTCAGGGAGAGTCTGTTTTTTGCCTCTTTCAGCTCCCAGTGGCTGCTGGCATTCCTTGGCTTATGGCCACAGCACTCCAGTCTTTGCCTCTGTGGTCACGTCACCATCTCTCCTTCTGTCTTATTAAATCTCCCTCTACCTCTTTCTTATGAGGACACTTATGATTATCCCAAATGATCCAGGATAGTCTTCTCATCTCAAGATTCTTAATTTAATCACATCTGCAAAGTCTTCTTTTTGTTTTGGTTTGGTTTGGTTTGTTTGTTTTGCCATATAACACTGACAGGATCCAGGGATTAGGGTGTAAAAATCTGTGGGAAGGGAGGCATTTTTCAGCTTACCACAGTGAGTATAATCCATATGAACAAATTGTCATTACCATGATATTATGACTTCTTTCTACCATCTCACCTCATCTCATGATTCTCATTCACTGTGCTTTCTTTACTATACTTTATTCATATTTTTCATTTACTATATTTGCTTGCTTTTTAGTGGATGGATCAAATTTTCTTTTGCCGATTTAATGATTACAAATTCTATTTATATTCTTATAATGATTGCCTTTGGGTTCTTTTACCATTTGAGTGACTAAGAATTCACAGCCTGAAGAAAAAGTTTACCCATAAGCACCCCAGCAGCCTATACTCTCCAGAAGCAACGCCGGTCAGGAGCTTCCCCTCTCCCCCTTCCCTTCCTTTTCTAGGCACCAGGAATAAGTCCCACTTGTTGAGCTTACTATGTGGCAGGCACTGTGCTAGGCCTTTAAACTTGTTACCTCATTTATCCTCATAACGACTCCCTGTAGTAGACATCTTTGTCCCACTTTTTCAAACGAGTAAACTAAGAGTTTGGAGAGGTTAAAGAACTTACCCAAAATCACAGAGCTAGTATGTGGCAGTGCTGGGGGTTTAAACCACTGAACAGTACTGGGTCTATTTCAAATTTATGCTTTGTTGTGACAATATAAGATAAGACTGCATAGAGTCATGTTGAAGAGTTGCTTACTTCTTTCACAAATGCAGCTGATTTGCAAATGAAAACACACACTGTGTTCAAAGATGCCTGAAACAATCTTCTTGATTTTCCTATAACAATGCAGTAGTACAGTGGGGATACTACGGTTTTTAGAATCAAAAGAGTTAAATTCATCTGCTTCTTGATTCTGCCTCTTGCTGGAGAACTAAATTTTAGACAAGTCATATAAACCATCTAAGCTTCATCTTCTCATCTTTAAAATGAGGATAATGACAGTATCTACCTCATATAGTTTTTGTGAAAGCACTTTTTATGGACATGTTTTGTAAATGTATATATCTATTTAAATCTTAACTGCTTATTAATAAGCAAAATGAAACATAAAAATATACATGGAAGTCCTTGTTATATTGAAAATATTGTTAGAGGATTGACAATCAGGAAAATGTGGATTCCAATTTTATTTTTGCCTTGGTTTCCTCATCACTCACATGAAGAAACTCAACTAAACAATTCCTAAGGCTATTTCAGCTCTAGTCGTCTTTGAGTCTATTCACACAGACTGTATAGAACTTGAGCTGGCATTGCAATTTTCGCTTTGTTTTAGTGCTACCCAGAAAGAGAGTATTTATGGAGATGAATAACAACAGTGGTAGGTTGTGTGTTTGTCATGTTTTCCTTGACATCAGAATAATGGCCACAGTGAGATTTTATATTCAACTTTATTGTCAAGGTGCTGCCCATTGGTCAGATAGCAACTCCTGGGAAAAGCACTGAGATTATGTGAGTTGAAATATTACCTTTTAGCTCAGCTAAACAAGCGAAGTGGAAGCATCTTATTTAAGTTTTAATTGGAGCAGTCTGTCAGTGCTCCTGTTCACAGAGGCGGCAATGAAACTCAACAGTCGACAGCCCTAAATCATCATCTTTGGAACTGGCTCAAGAAGCATATGCAGTATTATAACATAATTTTAGGTCTAAAAGGTGAAAAATATCTACTCTTTTATAAAACAAACAACAGAATCTTCTTGACTGGTGGGGAAAAGTGAAAAGGTTGAAAGTGGTCTATATCAAGTATATGCAGGAAGAAGTGAGGTTTTTAGGATAATTACAGAGGAACATGCATTTAACAGGCTGAGAAACACTGCTCGAAAGAGAGAAAATAAACTATTCTTTAAGTGTTTTCTGTTTAATTGAGTTAGGATTTTGACCAACCACAGATCCGGAACTAAAAAAGAGCACATATTTAATATGAGGATTCAAAAGAAGTGCCTCAAACTAAATAGAGATGATCCACCTTGAAAAAAACCCGTGACTCAACTCATGGCGGCCAGCACCAAGGGTTTCATTACTAACAATGCCCCCTCATATCCAGAATCCATGCATCCCTCAGCATATTTGTGATTTCCTGTGATGGAAATTTATTTTCAATGTTCCCTTTCTTTCAATGTTCAGAACGAGTCGTACTGGGTACCTGAATAAAAGCCATTTGCAAACATTAAATTTCCATTTCTCTTCTTGGCTGACCATAACAGAATATTGTAAAGAGCTTTTCTCCTGATACCTGCACATTGTTTCTCAAGTTGCCACTTACCGTATTTATACTATGTAACCAGGCAGCTGACTGCTCTGTTCTTGTTGTGCCCTTTGATTACAATAATTACCCTCGAAAAGTGAGGGTAGTTATTCTTAGATTAGCATTTATACCCTACTTTGGGCCATGGTAAACACCTAGTTACTTCTCTGACAAAAGAAATAATTATGCTGCTTTCTGTTTCCACTCCACGTTATGTTTTGAATCCTGAATAGAACACTGATTTCACAGTGTTTTGGACAATATGTACAATTTCGAGGCACAGCATCCTTGTTGACCACTGTTAGCAAGCACATTTATTACGCTTCCCCAAAATGAATTTCAGATTGAGATTGAGCCGAAATTCATGAAGTGCCTTCTCTAAGTTCCCACTGCCCTAAGCACTTTTACAATCATGGATCGATATATTGACAGGATGTTTGGTGATCAACTTAGTGGAGGTAGTTAGATTTGGAAACAGTACAAGTAAGTGGACCTTGTTTTCAAGTGTTGGTTCCAGTGCCTTTAAATCAACATTATCACAGGTAAAATTTAGGAAATCTGAATAAGATCAGTGGATTGTATCAATGTCAATATCCCGGTTACCATATTGTACTACAGTTTTACACATTGTTACAACTGGGGAAAACTGGGTAAAGGGCACATGAGGTTTCTCCGTATTATTCCTTTCAACTGCACATGAATTATCTAAATAAAAATTTCAACTACAGTCCACATTGCCTACATGATTATTTGCATGGCATTCATTGTGTGGAGCTTGCTAATAGACACAGACAGAATCAACCTTCACTTTCTGAACATCTGTTTCTGAGTCTCTGAATGTTTCTGTCATTAGAGAAGATTATCTCTCATTTACTCCTACCTCCAAATACCTGGTACTTTCCCAACTACCATACCTTAACTGGAAATATCCAGGGGATAAATATATTCTTGGACATAAACTTGGTTAGATGGATTACCCATCTAAGTTTATCATGCTGGTATTGTATCATGATTTAGTTTTCTATAAGGTCAATTTTGCTTTTTGTTATTGCTTCTGCTGCCATTTTAAATTCTATTAGTGGTACTGCTTTCTTAAATTATTTCCTTAGTTCTCCATAAGCTCTCTGAATCCCATAGTTTAGGGATTTTTTTTGGAGGCTTCCTCACAAAAACATGACTGGTTATTAATTCAATCTCCAGTTCCTCTCTCCTCCCCCAAAGGATGGGTGGTAGGACTGAAAGTTCCAAGCTTCTAACCATGGTTTGGTGTTTCTGGTGACCAGCCCCATTCTGAAGCTATCCAGGAGCCTACCCAGAGTCATCTCGAGGACAAAAGATGTTCCTATCACCCAGGAAACTCCAAAACATGTAGGAGCTTTGTGTAAGATGCTCTTATCACATCCATCACTCAGGAAATTTCAAAAGTTTTAGGAGCTCTGTGTCAGGAATGAGGGGCAGAGACCAAATATATATTTCTTATTATGTCATGGGCAAGGGGGTATAATGTGGTCTCGCTCAAGATGTCTTCCCTACTTTGGAGCCAAGTGACCATATTACTAAAAGGTAATACCATATCCCTGAGGACTAAGAGTGTTATGTTTTATAAAGGCATATGTGTTTTCTAAACATGACCATCTTAGCTGCTATTTGCCAACATCTCTATAAATAGTCCTGAATAGATTTATTACTTTCCCCTTTTCCAAGGACTACAAAATGTAAGAGAAGATTCTTAGAGAAACAATCAAATCTCTCTTAACCAAGCTAAACTCTTTGCCAACTTGGGGTCTTCCCACATGCCATTCCCTCTTCCTAAACGCTAGTCCCCAACTTTTCTCCTTGCTAATTCTTATGGGTCCTTTGGTGATCAGCTTGCATACCTTTGCCTAAGAGATGCCTTCACCATTCAGTGAAATGTAAGCTTCTTTTTGTTATTTCCTATCAAAAGGCTCCGTTCTTTTTTGTTTAGGTTTATTTGTTTAATGCCCGTCTGCCCCACTAGCTCATAAGTTCCATGAGCATATGGATCGTGTCTGTTTACTTCACTACTGTCTTCCTAATGTTTGTCACGGTGCTAAACACTCAGTAAATATTTGTGGAATGAATGAATAGACAAGCTAAGGAGCCAGAGACTCTGTTGTGTTGACTTTTTCTACGTTTGCCTATTCCCAAATTCCCAAGGAGAACAGATACCAAGTGCTGTGCAAACATTGATTACCATCACTACTATTTTATCTGAACTTTTGGAATAAAATCTCCCCCCAAATTAGGGGCAGTCTGTATTTTATAATGTTTTGATCCAGAAGCCACACAAAGCCTTGTCTTTAGATGGGAATCTTTATAATGTAGTATAAACAGCATGGAATTTATGTCCAAAAACGTAAATGTGGATTTAGACTACTGAATGTGGTTGGGCAACCTATTTAAGTAAACTTAGCTCTAATATGCATGACTGTAAGAAACAATATGGCCTGCTTGAATCTTTGTTACAAGGATAAAATGAAATAAAGAAAATACTAAATATCTACTACTACAGTTAAAAAGGGATTTCATCTTAATTCAGACCAATTGATAGTAGTTTCCTGGAGTGCTGTGCTGAGAATCGTGAGGCCTTATCGGGGTTCAGTGAAAAGAGTGCCCATGATTGATTAGCAATGGTGGCCAAGAGCAAAGAAAAGAGAGCGGTGGAAAGTATACCCTGCATATACCGACTAGCAAATGGTAGATATATAATGATTATTGGTTATTGTCCTTCTTTGCTGCTATAAATTCTAAGTGAGTCTGAAATACAGATAACCATAAAACATCTTAAAACCTAAAGCAAAAAAGTAAGGGCAATTGAAGACTTGTTAAGGTTAGGCCAGAAGGAAACATGACTTTTAAAAGATGGGTAGAGTTACGTATCAGTTCTAATTACATGTATTCATAAAAATCCAGGTACAATTCGGCCCAAGGTCTTTGTGTCCTGGCAGTCAGCCTCCCTCACCCTGTGGAATGGTACAAGTGACTCACAATCGTGAGTGTTCCCATCATAAGCAGCACAAATCTGAACAGCTGTCTTGTGAAAATGGAGCACAAAACTCCAGGCTTTTAGAGGATTCTGCTTCTGTGAAGATAATTGATGGGCTTTTGTAAGTAGGTTAGTAAGTAGTACATTTGAATTTGGCACAGGTGTTTTCATGCAAGCGTAGCAGTGATCAGCCAGATAAGGTAAGAGGGTAAAATATCATTTAGCCCTTGCCACAAACGACAGCTAAACATGAAACCAGCTTGAAGAGTAAAAGCAGGTCATTTAGAGTCGTGGGAAACTGAAATAATTGGTACAATTCTCAAAGGTATTCTGGTGGGTCCTCAAAGGACCCTGAACTAAACCAAATGTCAGTCTGTTAAAATGCCGATATTTATAATTATGCCCTGTCTCCAACTATTTCAAATAAACTTGGTGTGAAAGAAGAAAACACTTATTTTTCTCTCCTAAATCTTTCTGAGCTTTTCCTAGGGTTAATTACTAAAAATTGTATATGACTGGATGAGAATAGTTTTTTGGCTGTTTTGTTCTGCCAGTGAGGGCAGCCCACATCCACCAGAAGACTCAGTCAGCCCTACCTCCAGACAGACCCTATCACCTCATTCCTGCTCCAACACCACCCTCTAGGAAGCTGCTTTGATGTGTGTATTTCAGTGGTCCTTGGCAGCAAACAGTTTGACCACCACAATTTAATGCTATTTGTAACAGTTTGTTGTAATGCCAAAGATAAGAAGTGATTTGAGGGAGATTCAGAGAATGGCACCCCTGAAATAAGCTCCTTATCCTCATTTGGTGAATCTATGAGGTACCGATTCAGAAAGTTAAATAGGGCCCATCATCATATCAAAGGTCTTGCCAGTAGTGACTGAGTTAGAGAACCTAGACGCAAGTCTCCTGATTTTAATGCCATCCTTGTTCCTCTGTGCCTTCCTGCCATAATCAAGTTCAGAAAAGAAGGACAGCCTCAGGCTTACAAAGGAGCATCTACATTTCCAGGCCCAGCTCTGCCACTGTCTAGACTGTGTCAAGCAAGTCGCTTAATCTCTCTGGTTAATGAAAAGGTTAGGACAAGGTGATCTGTGATGTCCCTTCCAAATTGGACACTCTAGTCTGTAAAGATTGATCCAGGTCTCCTGTTTCCTCCTTAACACTTTTTTTCTTTTTCTTTTTTTTTTTTTTTTTTTTTGAGATGGAGTCTCGTTCTGTCACCCAGGCTGGAGTGCAGTGGTGCAATCTCAGCTCACTGCAAGCTCCGCCTCCCAGGTTCATGCCATTCTCCTGCCTCAGCCTCCTGAGTAGCTGGGACTACAGGCTCCCACCACCACGCTCGGCTAATTTCTTTTGTATTTTTAGTAGAGACGAGGTTTCACTGTGTTAGCCAGGATGGTCTCGATCTCCTGACCTCGTGATCCGCCCACCTCGGCCTCCCAACCTCCTTAACATTTTAAGAGAGCTCTGTAGTTTCTAGGTGCTAGCAGTCACACAAGTTCTCTTCAATATGTGGCCTCAAATAGGCCACCCTTGAGACAGCCTTGACTGCGTCCCTTGAAGAAACAACCCTGAATTTTGCAGCTCAGACTCACTTCCATAGAAGAAAGTCAGTTTCATCCAGAGCCTTCAGAGAAGATCAGTAACCTCCAAGAATGCTCCACGGAATCTGATCTGCAGCACTGTTTCCTGTGTTCTCTGTCTTTTACCTGCACACTGTGGACAGCTTTTGTATTAGAAGTGTCTTTGAATTTCCACAAGACATAGATATGCTGTTTTGTTGAGTAGTATCATTTGGAAGGCCATCTAAAATGTCTCATTTGGTATTGCTAGAGGACTACATGAATTTTAGATAGTATCCTAAATGGCATCAATGAACTATTAATGCAGCAATTTAAATCCCAAACATTGCTTGTGACCTTGATGGATGCATGGCACATATCCTAATCACTTATCTAAGACCTTTCTCAAATGGAGCAATAGCAATGAGGGATCTTTACATGGCAAGTATCCAGGCACTGTGTATTGTCAGACTTGTAGGATGCTTGTGTCAAGTCTGCTTTAAGATACCCTCAAAGCATATGAATCACAGAAAGCAGGTTTGCTGACCTCCAACTCTTAATAGACCCCAAAGCAATTATTTATTTTAAAAAAAAAAAACACTGCGTGCACTACAATTCTAAGATGGAGAGAGAATTAAGGTGTTTGTCACTGGTATTTAGGAGATGATTTTCACTTTCAACTGATGTCCAGCTTTGTGGGTTGCTTAAAATGTGATGCCACTGTCATCTCCAGAAAGTCAATGTATGTAGAAATGCTTTAACACCCAACATCCACATGTTCATGAGCACATTCACTTGAATCTCAGCACCCATCTGTACACATAAGAAAGACAAAACAGAAGGAGAGAAGTAGCTCTCACCAGTTGAGCTCTCAAAGGCCTAGCCACAGAAAAGAATGAAAGACCCTTGCGAAAGCAGCAGTGTTTTCACAAGACAATTGTTCCACAGAGGTGGCCTTGATCAGAGCAGGTTCAGGTGTAATATGTAATTTACAATGTCCTCAGCATAGGCCAGGAATTATGTTGGCTGAACCATTAGTTCTGTTATCATCATGGACATGTGAATAATCATACCCCCAGCTTCTGCTGTTGGTTGTTTTGGTTTGTTTCCTCTTTTTCAAGATCTCTGTGGAAAGAGGTAGCTGTTGGCAGGAGCAAAAAGATGTACCAGCACAGCCACCATCTTGGGAAGACACTCTAGTAACAACAGTTTCAAACTTGCATGTTTCATTGATCTACTCTTATACTGATGACTCCTAAATCTTTCTCTCTCACCCTCAACTTTCTGCTATGCTCTAAGTTATTATTTCCATCTGTTTACTGGAATTATTATTTCCATCTGTTTATTACCTAGATATCCTGTAGTCACATCAAAATCAAAATTCCCTTCCTAAACGGGCAGTACCCTCTGTGCTCATCATCTTGGAGTATGACACCATGGCTAGAAAGCTCAACCAACTCCCCCTCTCTTTTACTTTCACTTTCAGTGATTCACTCAGTATGTTCAGTTTATCCCCAAAATGTCTCAACAGTCTCCTCCACCCATCCATCGCTTCTGGTGCTGTGTTAATCCAAATAACATCAGTTCTTGTGTCTAACATAATCATCATGTTTCTGAGGTCACCTATATTCCAGGATGACCCTTCTGAAATGTGGATCTAATCAGGCACTCTCCTGCTGGAAAACCCTCACTGGTCATTCATTGCTAACAGGCTTACATGTCGGTTTTGCTGAGCAACACTGATCATTTTCAGTGCTGGCTCCTTGTCCCATCTTCATCTTCACAAATTGCTTTGTATCTAGAGGGCATTCAACAGATTTGATGACGTAACTTGGCCTATCTCTCACAAACAAGTGGAAAGAGCGTATCTAGAGTTATGATCCCAAGGTGAATCTAAAGGGTTGTAGGTGCTGGGTTTTAAAGCCCAGGAAGGAATGTTTTAAATCTCTTCTCCCATCACCTGTCACTGGCATGGCTCTGATTACCCTGTGAGCCAGGGGCTTTATGTTCCAATCCTAAAGGAAGTTTCCTGCTGAGGAAGAGCAGAAGAAATAGAGCTGGGATTGGAGGTTCCTAGACTGTGACAGTATAGAAGGCTGTTATTACTGACTGTGCTAACCAAAAATGCAAATGCTACTGCCTTGAATATTCAGCAACAAAAAAAGTACGGGGTTGCTCCTGGAAGATTATTTTCTGATGTTAACCTTACACAGTCCTCCACTCCACATGTCTTACTACGTATTTCCTGTTTTTCTACTCCTTAATGAAAAGATATATCTGGAATATTCCAGGTTTGAAATCAACCTACACAATTACATTAAGAAATTCATTACGTAAATGTTGACATTAGAATAAGGGGTTATTGGAAAGAAGGATATACATTTCAAGACAACAGACAGACCACTCAATAGAGACATTTTTCCTCCTCTGGAAAAAGCGTATCCTACAATCTGTAGCCACAGCCATTTATCTGAATCAGAGACTCTTACCCTGCTGGTTTGGAGGTGGATCTCAGGAAAGCAGGGGTGGCCTTTCAGTCTCATCCCAGTCATAGCCATGCTTATTATTAACTCCTTTAAAAAATAAGGAGGAGACTGAGTGCTATGGTTTGAATGTGTCCCCCAAAGTTCATGTGTTGAAAACTTAATCCCAATGCAGTAGTGTTGAGAGATGGGACCTTTAAGAGGTGACTAAGCCACAAGAGCTCTGCCCTTATGACTGGTTTAATGCCAATATTATGGGAGTGAGTTTGTTATCTTGGGAGTGGGTTCCTTACAAAAGGACAAATTTGGTTCCCTTCCCTCTCTCATGCGCATGTGATCTTTTGCCCTTCTGCCACGGGATGATGCAGCAAGAAGGCCCTCACAGGGTGCCAGCACCTTGATATTGAACTTCCCAGCCTCAGGAAATGTGATAAATAAGTTTCTGTTCTGTATAGATTACCCAGTCGCAGGTGTTCTGGTATAAAAGCACAAAATGGATTAAGACACCTGCACTCAGGTTCAACCCCTGTGGACATGCACATGGCCAGACCTGACAGGGTCCATTTGTGAATTACACATAGCTACTATTCTGTTTCATCCCAATTTGAACTAAAGGACCAAAAGCCAAGCCATTAGTCATTTTAGAATATAAATGGAATTTCATGTTCCTATGACTGATTGGTCTTGATTTATGAAAAAAAGAAGGACTCCGTGAGGAAAAACAACAAGAATCAAATATACATCCTCTCCAGGACTCATAAAATGAGATGTAATTGGTCTGGGCCTCTGCTCTTTTAGTGCTCTGTGTAATCTTAACATCTTTAAGAAACTAAAAGCTTCTTTTGTAAACCTGTTTGGGCTTAATTGATTATCTCAAGGTCAACATCAATGTATTTATGTTTCATTTTCCCTTTTACAGACCAAACAACAGTGCAAGCTCAAGTGCTCACACATATATCAAATACCAGATATAAAAACAGCATGTAAGTAACATGCTAGTTAACTAGTAGCTGAGGGGAGGAGCAGAAGCTAGGTACTTGTATGTGCTCAGTGAAATGGGCCCAGGCTCATTCATATACAAAATATGTACACTTCAATTTCCTTAACCTTAAAATGGACCTTGTACAGATATACTACAGAATTACAGTGTATCTTAACTAATGTAGGGCTGGGTGGTTTTTTTTTAATATCAAGTTAACATCACTGCTAAGCAGTACCATGTGTACCAAAAAATATCAAGACCATGTATATAAAATAGAGTCATAAATCTATCTGCCTCCAAAAAAATTATAGTTCCTCTTTGTTTGGACCAAATAACCATATCACTACTTATGAAATTATTGTTGAGCATCTAATATATGCTAAGCATTAGCCAAATAAATCAGTGGACAAAATAGTTATGGTCTCTACTTCCATGGAACTTACATTCAAGTTAGTGTTATAATTCAAAAATTCAAAAAAATAAGCAAACAAAATGATCACAAGTTATAGTAACTGCCTCAAAAGAAACAATGAAGGGGTTCAGAAATCAGAAGCAACATGAAGATCATAGAGTCCCTCTTTTGTATTCTACAGATAAGGAAAGAGATTTCCTTTTTTAAAAAAACAGGTATACTGTAGTTTATTTTCAAACATAATTTTTCTCTCTCCAGTTCCCATTTTTACTAAAGACAAATTATAGGACAGATTTATTTATAAAAATAAGTGTTAGTCTTATTATACTTGGCCTGAGTATTTGCATAAAATCAACAAGCATAATTATTTGCCATATAGGCTCTTTTTTTTAGTTGGTTTTGTTGGAACTTTATTCCATAAGGAATCTTAGTTAGACTTTTCAAAGCTTTTAGCCAAGCCACAGATTTATCTGTGCCTGCAAATACCTGTTGGTGAGGTTACAGAGAAAAGGGAACACTTATATACTGTTGGTGGGAGTGTAAATTAGTTCAACCATTGTGGAAAGCAGTGTGGCAATTCCTCAAAGACTACCATTCAACCCAGCAATCCCATTACTGGATATATACCCAAAGGAATACAAATATAAATTATAATTATTCTACATGCACACATATGCTCACTGCAGAACTATTCACAATAGCAAAGTCATGGAATCAACCTAAATGCCCATCAATGGCACAGTGGATAAAGAAAATGTGGTATATATACATTATGGAATACTATACAGCCATTAAAAAATGAGATTGTGTCCTTTGTAGGAACATAGATGGAGCTGGGGAGTATTATCCTTAGCAAACTAATGCAGGAACAGAAAACCAAACAGCACATGTTCTGACTTACAAGTAGGAGCTAAAGGATGAAACATGGACACAACGAGGAGAACAACAGACACTGGGGCCTACTTGAGGGTGGAGGTTGGGAGAAGGGAGAGGATCAGAAAAAATAACTATTGGGTACTAGGCTTAGTACCTGGGTGATGAAATAATCTGTACAAGCACCTGTGACATGAGTTTACCTAAATAACAAACATACCCCTGAACCTAAAGTAAAAGTTTAAAAAGATATATAAATAAAAAACATTTAATTTTTTTAATTTTAAAGAATCAGAGTTGATTTATAGAGCAAATATAAGACCCTTAGGAAAGCTACCTCATACTTTGTCTACACAGTCCCTGTGCAGCATTCCTAACCTGTAGTAAGTACAGAATGTCACTTTCTGACAGGCTCAGGAGCCCTAAATTGTCTTGGGGCCTCAAGGTAAGGAATTCACCTAATTATTCAGGAAACAGATTTCCTGGTATGCCCAAGGTCATACAATAACCTTACAATCCCCTCATTTGACAGATGAAGTAACTATCAAAACTACATTCCATGCAAACACAGAATTTTAGCACCAACCAAATTACTCACAGTTTTGATTCAAACACATTCACGTGGCATTCTCATGTAATTATGACTCCAGTGCATGGAAAACAGTGTCCTGGACACTGTCACCAACCATCTGGCCATTTCTTTCAGGTCTTACATTTTGTAAGACTCTCATGCATGTCAATAAATTTGTATGCCTTCTCCTATTAATCTGCCTTTTGTTAGTTGATTTTTGAGTGAACCTTCAGATGGAGAAGGCAAAGTTTATCCTTGGCCTCTATACTGCATTTTGCTTATCCACTCATGCATGAATGGACACTTGGGTTGTTTTCATATCTTGGCCACTGTGAATAATGCTGCAATGAACATGGGAGTGCAAATATCAGTTCATGATCTGATTTTAATTCTCTTGGACATATACCCAGAAGTAGAATTGCTAGATCATATGTTAGTACTATTTTAAATATTTTTAAAACCCCATACTATTTTCCATAGCTGCTGCAACAAACAGGTATATTTCATGTACTCTATCCTATACATTGTGCTTAGCACAGAGGACACAAGCAAGACCAATCCTGCCTCAGGAAACGTAAAATCTGTTTATGGAGATATACATACAAATAGGTAATAGCAATTAGAGTGGTAAGATGTTCAGTGATGTTACTTACAAGATGTTAAGGGAGCACTGAAGGGAGTTGGTAAAGGTTCCTTGTAGCTGAAGAATGCACAGGAGCTGGCCAAGTGAAGAAGGGTATGACACTTGTATTAGTAAGAGAAAGCAGATGAGCAGAAAGAGAGTTGTCCAGAACCATGGAGCTCCAGAGAAGACCACCCCCACAAGCACACACTGCTGATTGTCAGTTGTGCCCTTTATGCCTGATTGCATCCAGTACCACCAAGCCCAGCCAGGACACCCAACTAATCTCATGCCTTATACAGCTCTCAACAGCTCACACTGACCTCATCTCCTGCTTCTCCCTGACTCCTGAAACACTTCACTATGGCCTCACTGACACTTTATTCATGTTCAATCATAATCAAAATCCCTTCTTGGAATATTTCCTTCACTGCTTATTTTACTAAAACATGCTCTGCCCAAGATCTGCTTCCTCCATGGCCCTCTCAAGTGGTGGCTATTTCCTAGCTCCCCAGCTGTCCACACTGGGCATGGAGATAAGGTAGAGTCCTTTTTGTTTTTTTGTTTTTTGTTTTTTGCTGTTTCAAGACCATGCTCGTCCCTCCCTCCTCTGCTCTTAAAAAAACAATAAACAGCTTTTGCACTCACATCAACAGGTGATCCCCAACTTTCCCCTCCTTATTGCAATTAGCTACACCTTCCAGGTCATTCGTTCTTAGTGTTCTAAGATTGTAGTTACCAGCTCACTGTCACTCTCACCAACACAATCTTGTTACTTTTTTTCCATTGTTATCATCCTTGTGTGTCTTAGTTCATCCTTGCTGCTACAACAAAATACCACAGACCGGGAAATTTATAAATTTATTTCTTACAGTTCTGGAGGATGGAAGTCCCAGATGAGGTACCAGCAGGTTCAGTATCTGGCGAGGACCTGTTCCTCATAGATGGTGCTGTCTAGGTGTCCTCATATAGGCAAGTACGGAAGGAAGTGGGAGGCAGATCTCTGAAGCCTCTTGTATAAGGCATAAACCCTATCCATGAGGGCAGAGCCCACATGACCTACTCACCTCCTAAATGTCCACCTCTTCATCACATTGGTAATTAAGTTTCGATGCATGAATTTTGAGGGACACATTCAGACCCTAGCAATGTGGATGATGCCCTAACACCAAGTGCTTTCATGTCTAACCTCTTTAATGACCTTGTTCTCCCCCATATCAGCAACCCATTTCCGTGGTCATTGCCTCAGCCTTGTCATTACCAATAACAGAAACCTCTTCATAATCTCAGTTTCAACAATCTCCCTCTCTGACCATCACCCACTACCTTTCTTGCTCACTAGGCAACCCTCCTCTAACAATTTTTCAATCCCACTGGCCCTTCAGGCATTGATCTTATTCTCCATGTCTTCATGTTCTCACTTGCATCCTTTCCTAGCTTACCTTTCTCAGTCCGTTGTTATCATCACTTCACTTTCGGCTTTCTTGAACTCACACGGAAAAACTCCTAACTTGTTTAGATCTGAATTTCTACTTGTTCTATACCTGCATCCAAGCAAACCAAGCCTTGTTGGAGAAAACCACATGATCATGCTGACTCGTCTATTAAATTGGTGACTACAAACCTTAAGTAGACCCTTAGAGTTGCATAACACTTCTATGACATTTACTGGGTCTATTCAATCTTCCCATCTTCCAGATGAAAATTTTATACCTTCTCTTCTCTCCTCAAATCTCTAATATTTCTTTCCATCATCACTCTCAGCTAACTTTGTTCCTGTTTCACTAGAGTCAGCTAAAGAGAACTTCCACATCCTCTCTCCACCACATGTACTCATCTACCTGTAGCTGTACCACATATTATATGTTTCATTGCGTTCCTAAAGGAAATGCCCCCACTCCTATCTAAGGCCAAATCCTCCACTTATTCTCTGAATCCTACCCACTGTTGTCTACTTAAGGACATTGCCAAAGCAGCTATTCCCCTCTTCTACTGTATCACCAAATTTTCCCTCTCCACTGAGTCATTCCAAAAGGACACCTATTTTAACTTCCTCCAATTTGATTTCATATCCACTTCAATCCACCATTCTGCTTCTCTACTCCCATTTGCAGCCAAACAGGAAAAGCTGTCTATATGCATTGTGCCCAATTCCTCTTCTCCCATTATCTTTTTCATTGACATAATACTATAAAATTCATAATTTTAAAGTGTGCAATTATGCAGTATATTCACAAGATTGTACAACCATCACATTAATTCCAGAACATTTTAATTGTCCCAAAAAGAAACCTCATACCCATCAGCAGTTACTTCTTATTTCCTCCTTCCCCCAGACTCTGGCAAGCCCTAACCTACTTTCTGTCTGTATGGATTTGCCTAGTCTGATCATTACATATAAATGCAATCATACAGTCAGTCACCTTCTTGTTGCAAAATCTAGTGACTAAGTCTCAATCCTCATCTTATTTAACCTGTCAGCAATATTTGACACAGGTGATTCTCCTCCTTGAAACACTTTCTTTGCTTTGTTTCCAGGACCCCACATTCTTTTGATTTTCCTTCTATTTCACTGGTCATTTCTCTTTATCGTTCTTCATGGGGTCCCCATTGAGTCCCTGATCTCTAAATGTTCAAGTACCTGTGGGCTTGATCCTTGGATCTGTTCTCTTCTCTATCCACCCTTATTCTCTTAGGGATCACATCCACTCTTGCGATTTTAAATTACATCTGCATTCTGACAATCCCCAAACTTCTATTTCTCACAAGAATCTCTCCCTCAACTCCAGAGATGGAACTTTCTCAAGGTGTCCATTTGAATGTCTAAAGTCATTAGACTCTGCAAATCTAAAACCCACTACTGAAGTCACCACCAAATCCTGCTCCTCCTCAGTCTTTCCCATTTCAGTTCATAGTAACCCTATCCTTTTTACTGCTCAGGCCAAAATCTTTGACTTCTGAGATTTCTCTTTCTTTCACATATCCATGCAAGAAAATCTTCTTGACTCAACTTCTAAAACATATACACAGTTAAAAAAATTCTCACTACCTTCACCCCCCCTTTACTACTCAAAAGCATTGTTCTGGATTATTGCAATGACCCTGTAATTGGTCTCTCTGTTTCAAACCTCTGCCCATTCCTCCCAATACTATTTTCAACATAGCAACCCAAACAATCCTTTTAAAAAATAAGTTGGATCATATCACACTTCTGCTCAAAATCCTCCAAATGACTTTGCATCTCAGAGTAAAACCACAGTTCTTACAATGGCTGACAAGGTCCAAAACAAAATGACTTTTGTTACCTCTCTGACCTCATCTCCTGCTCTTAGCCACCTCCCTCACTCCATTCCAAAGTTGCTACTCTTCAAATATTTCAGGCATTCCCCTGCCTCAAGACCATTGTATTTAATGTTCCCCTTGCCTGTTCTCTTCCTCCAGATTACCTGCATAGTGTATTCCCCTTTTCAAGTCTTCACTCAACTCCTCCTCAGTGAACCATCTTTGAAATTTCTATTTATTCTCCAGCCCTCCCTGTACCATTTCCCACCCCACTTTTCCCCATGCCATGTTCACCATCTTATATACCGTATATTTTACTTATTTGTTTATTGTATATCTGTCTGCTCTAGAATATCAACTCCACACAGGCAGGAGTTCTTATGTGGTTTGTTCACCAACATATCATAGTGTCTATCCTGACACAGTCAACACTCAGTATGTTCTTATTAAATGAGCAAGCAATTGAGGTTCTCAGCCACCAGCTCAAACTGGAAACCTTAAATTTACACTCTCATGCTTTCTCCTCAGTCTAGGGAGACAGTGAAGGTGGACTGTAGAATGGATTGAAGTAGTTGCTGGACAAGCATGTTACAAAGGGGAAATATATGCGAGTTGTGGTTATTAGTGATAAAGTCATTCATGGGATCACCATGGGAACCAGTCTTGGTAAGGAAAAAAAATGAAGGCACAAAAGGGGATGACAGACCAGGTGAAAATACTATATTTTAGGGTATGAAGAGTTCTGTGAGGTTGAAGATTAAAGACTTAGAAAGATACAAAGTTGTGGTCACAGAGTGAGATTCAGAGTTCAAATATCAGAGGTATGTCCATTATTGATGTTGACAAGGTCCAATGTATCCAGATATGAGTGACTGAGGGGTGTAGGATGAGGCATCTCTGCAGACAATGAAGTACCTCAGGTTCCTGGAAGAAGTCTTCATCTCTTTACTTGTCTTCTTTTCCCTCTGGAAAATCAGTCATTCCTGAGCCATAACTGCTGTTTGTGGCCTGAAATTCCCAAATCTGCACCACAGTAAACTCCAATTCCATATTTCCAATTGCTCCCTTATAGATGAGAATTTTCCTTACTAGTCCCTAAGCTCCCTGAGGAAATAAATGGTAACTCATTCACTAACATTTATACTCCAGCACCTAATCTACTGCCTGCTTAGTGATAGGTAGTCAGTAATTTTTTTTTAATGAATGCCTCATATGTACATCCATTTCATGTACATGTCAAATAGTTTATAATTTTTCCAAATATGTTTATAAGCATACATAAACAAGCATGTCTGTGTATGTGAGCCAAAATGCAAACAATCATTATTGAGGTGTGTTAAATCATGTCAATTTTTAATTTTTTCTTTATAATTTTTGGTATTTCTTGAATCTTTATGATTAGTATATTTTGCTTTTAAAATCTGGTCAGGAGCTATTTTCATTTTTTTTAAGTAAAGAAATGCTAAGTTTATTATCGTCAAACCAAAGTCACCTCCATTCTTCCTGTACCTGGACTGCAAACTTCGGCATTGTCTTCAAAGCCTGCTTCTCCTACATAATCATATTCTATCATTTATGAAGTTCTACATGTTCCTCCTTAGTCTTTATCTCTTGCTTCCCATTTCCTCTGCCTCCATTATTTGCCTAGGCTGTCAATACCTCACACTTGGTATCTCAGCCAGGGCAGGCTATGTTCTCCTGCGCTAAGCAATTTAAACTCCCAGTGGCATAGAACAGCAAAGGTTCATTTCTCCCTCATGATACATGCTCATTATGGGTTGGTTGGGAGTTCTGCTCCTTGTCTACATACTCTGGGACCTAAAGCTGATCAGGCAGACAATATCTGGAGCCTGACAGTCACTGGGGCAGAAAGCAAGAGAGCTCAGGAGGCTCTCATGCTGGCAGGCAGTCACTTTCACCTAGGGGTGACACACATCTGCTCACAACTCATTGGCCAGAAGTACTCACATGGGAGCCAAGAAGTGGAATCATGCCATGTGCCTGACAGGAAGGAGAAATGAAAATATTTAGCAAACAGAATGAATATATACACTTGCAGAGAGCCTACACTTGAAAAAGCCTCCTGCCTCAAAACTATCCTGTCTACCTGGCCTCCTGGGTCACTGGTTTAGAGTCACAAAGATCAGGCTCCAGATTTAACCCCTCACTTATTAGTTGAGTGACCACAGTGATTTAATTTCCTCAGAGCATTGTTTAGTAATAACTTCTCCCTACCTAGAGTTCTGAGAATACATGAAATATTGAATGTGAACTCTTTTAGAAATTTATAGTAATAAGTTGAAATAACCTAATGCAACATTAATTCAATGGCTGGCTCAGGAAGCTGATGGCATTTTTGATACCACTTATTATGATGCCTGGGGTGTTGGAGGTGGGAGAAGATTATCTCCAATGGGCTCCTCAGTGCTGTAAAGCACTTCCTTTGCTGTAATCTGAGGAGGTGCTTTTGGATGGCCTGGGTCATGCCTTACTTAGAATGCTACCCCCTTCAGTCAGCTATGTGTACCCTGCCTCTTACCGTGAAACCCTCAGGTCACATGGCCTGAACTCCTTGCAAAAACCGTCTTTTCCCCTTTGTACTGTTCTCTTCTTCTCTTCTCTCTCTTAGGACATTTCGCTTGCTACCTAAAGAAGTACCCTCTTCCCAAAGGCATCTGGCCTCCCTCTCCCTGTTATGGAACATCTCTGTGTCATCTCCCACCACAATCCATGGCAATGCTGTCTGATGTCAACCCAATGCTGACACTCCCTTGCCTCTGAACTTTGCTTATGCTAGTCTCCACTCCATAAATACCATCCCGCATCTTCTCTTGCTTTTCAAGCTCCACTTCCTCTACATTTTTCCCTGCTACCACAGTAAACACTACGGTTGAAAGTTGATCTTTCTGCACTTAATGCTTACATTTTGGAATTTATTGCTTCCTTCCAAATCATTTCACATGTGTCTATTTTGCATCTCCAGAAATCGTGCTAGAGCTTTCTAACACATTCCATTCCTGTGGGCTTCTTCAGTTCCCTCTCCTAATCCTCCCAACTCCCACCTAGGTGCAGAGGCTGGACTGGGGAGACTAAAGCACAGGCTCAAAACAGAAACAATTTCCTTCAGTCTCTGAGTACAAAAGCAAAACTATTCAGGGACCAGCATGCTCATCCCGGGGGGGAAAGCATTTTAAACATCACATGTCATTTGAAACTTAACCCAACAACTGTACCAAATGAGTCATCTTTGAAATACAAAGGAAAGTTTAGTTGCTTCATAGGGCACCAAGGCCTTTATGCTACCACCAGTGATTCTCACAGGTCAGGATTAAGAGCAGATATTCCTCAGTTTTCAAGGCTAGGTTTAGCACCTGGCTATAGAGTTCAGGCACAGAGTGAGGAAACAGATTACTGAAGAATACCCCCCTGAAAGAAGCCATTTGTCCATGACACAAACCAAAAGAGACACACTCGTCTTTGCTGAAACTCACTCTAGAGGAACACAACATGCATAACTGGGGGCACTGCAGAGACAGACAGATCATGCCTGGGGCTCCACCCCCTAATGCAATCTGCCCAGCTGGAGGAGACACAGAGAATTGTTAAGGCCCTAAATCTGACGATACACCAGCAACAAGATGAACACCCAGAACACAGTGACTGCTGGAGGGTTTGAAGGCACCCAGGCTGAACAGATGGAACACGGAGTCATGGAAGGGCAGAGACACACAAACATCACGGCTTCCTGAAAAAGAAGCCTTTTATGTCAGCCTCAGAGGCACTGCATTCTTGAAAAGTTGTCCGTGTCACTTTGAAGTTTGTCCCATTTAAGAGAAGCAAAGAAATATATGATGGGTGATTGCCCATTATTTTCAGGGGAATTGCATCTCAAACTATGGACCTTTTATCTCCCCTTCGTAGCTAATTTCCACTTACCATCTGCATGGATTTCTTGTGCCAAACAAAAAGAGAAGTGTGGGAATGTGTGAGTGCTTACTAAGTTGATGGGCTCTTCAGGGAACTAGCCACACAAACACACTCTTTCTAACAGCTGCCATCTCTGTTCAAGGGGAAAATCTAAAACTGATACTACCTTGAAACTGATTCATTGTAAACATGTTCCCTTCATGTTTTCTTTATGTTTGGGGGCATATTAGCAGTTTAATTTTTATTGAATTATAATTAGTGAGAGGTGATTTATTTTAGAAACTTTCCAAATTAGGGAAATTAAAGATTTTTTTCCCCTGTATTTTTTGTGTGTGTAATTTTCTTTGAGATTTCATTTATCTTTTAATGCTTCAGCAAATGAACAAACAACTTTTAAAAATTCCTCTTGTGGAGAAGCAACTGTTGACAAATTTCTACTAATGTGACAGAAATCACTCTGCAAAAAGTACCATAAATTACGGATGGCGGCTTTTGGATGCTATGTCTCACTAAAGATGAATAATCAGTTAGAGAATGGAGATACGGAAAATGAAAAAGAAATAAATCCCCACTTTCAGTTTTTAATTTCCAGTTAACTGACACAAGAGTTCTTTTAAAACAAAGGTTAATAAAAAGAAGCATAGGCCAGGCGCGGTGGCTCACACCTGTAATCCCAGCACTTTGGGAAGCTGAGGTGGGCGGATCATGAGGTCAAGAGATCAAGACCATCCTGGCCAACATGGCGAAACCCCGTCTCCACTAAAAATACAAAAATTAGTTGGGTGTGGTGGCGCGCGCCTGTAGTCCTAGCTACTCGGGAGGCTGAAGCAGGAGAACCGCTTGAACCCGGGATGCAGAAGTTGCAGTGAGCAGACATCACACCACTGCACTCCAATCTGGAGACAGAGTGAGACTCCATCTCAAAAAGAAAAAAAAAAAAAAAAAGGCTGGGCGCTGTGGCTCACACCTGTAATCCCAGTACTTTAGGAGGCTGAGGAGGGCGGATCACCTGAGGTCGAGAGTTCAAGACCAGCCTGGCCAACATGGTGAAACCCTGTCTCTATTAAAAATGCAAAACTTAGTTGGGCGTGGTGGCTGGTGGTGGGTGCCTGTAATCCCAGCTACTTGGGAGGTTGAGGCAGGAGAATCACTTGAACCCAGGAGGTGGAGGTTGTGGTGAGCCGAGATTGCGCCACTACACTCCAGCCTGGGCAACAAGAGTGAAACTCCATCTCAAAAAAAAAAAAGCATACATAATTTTTATTCTGTGAATCTGTGAAGCCATCTTTCAAGTTATGGTCCCCAATTCTTTCTGTTTCCATTTGTAAGTCATGAAGACCAGATACATTTGGCAGTAATAATCTTTTATTTATATAAATTGTGCAGAAAAGCTTATAGGTGGTAATTGATCCTTTATCCTATGAGCCACAAAAATTGAGCCTCAAAGTTGAGCCACCATTCTGTCTAAAAGGCAAAAACTTATTTTAGAAATGGCCCATATGGCTCCACTTTGAGCTTCTAGTACTGACAGGCAGCTATGGGGAGCCAGATGGTGACATAGGTAGCATTCCAACATCATACATCTTCTTCATTAAATTAAATTTTCAAATAAGAAACTTAAAAACTAAATATAATGGGATACAATTATCTTAGGAATCACACATGCAATGTGCCTTGCTGTTTATTTTATTTTATTTTATTTTGACCTATTTTGGTACATAATTATTAACTAGAATTGTGGAATACATTAGATGCAATCATATACTTGATAATATTGGTGAAATGTTAATTACCTATTGTATGATTATTAAATGAATTTCTCTGTGTTAGGCAAATATAAATGGAGAAAAGACAAATATAATCAAAATATTCCAACCTAGAGAAAGAGGAGGGTTAGCCAATCAGGACTAAGTTTTGCTGCATATATTAGAAACCTTAAATAATGGTGCATAAAGAAGATATTTTTCACTGAAGAAAAAGAAATTCAGAGGTTGATGATCCAGGACTGGAAAGGAAGCCCCAGGGTCTTTGGGGACCAGCCTTCTTCAACTCTCCGTGCCATCATCCTTAGTGCATGGTTTGCATCCTCAAGGATGGCATCATGGCCCAAGATGGCTGCACGTACAATGCTGTGCTCTAAGCCTGAAGAATAGTGGTAGGCACGGCTGAAATGGCACCAGTGTCGTTAGCAAGGCTTCCTCAGAAGTTCCAACCAATGCCTTCTGTTTATATTTCATTGGCCACTCCTTTCCCAGCAAAGAATACTGGGAAATATAGTTGTTTCAGCTAAGGATTTGGCTGCCTTCCAAAAACAAATGCCCTACAGGAATTCTGGTAAAGAATGGAAGGAGAATGGATATTGGGGAGAGAACAAAAAGTCCCTGCCACAGGTTTAAAGAATCCCATTCAGGAAAATGAATATGGAGACAGGGGCCAGAATAGCCAGATATTCTTGTGGAGCAAACATCAAAACAAGGCAAGGGAAGTCTTTGGGCCAATATGAGGAAGGACAAAAGAATTTCAGAGTTCGAGGGTCAGAGGATTTCCAATAGGATAGGAAGGAGTCACTGATCAATTGCTAATGGTCACCTTGCCTTTGTGACAGCTAAGAAAAGAACTATTTGCTGATTCTTAACCAACATCCACAACATCAAGAAACAGAGTCATAAAACAATGAAGTCTCCATGCCAAGTAAGGCATTCCTCAAGCATCTGGGAAATGGCAAGCAGGCCTGACCCTGCAGTTCCATGCCTTCTCTAAGAAGGCCACTTTTAGAGACTATGTAAAGGCCAGGCATCTAGAATGGGTCTGAAACAGGCACCTGTCATTGCACCCATTGTTTTCTATACTGGGTGACCCTCAGGCCTGCAGAGCATTCACTGAGAAGTAAAAGCCCATGAGTCATGGGGTAAAGACGGTCTTCCCTATCTCCTGGCCGCCATCACACTCCAACAGATGGACTTCTGCCTTAAGAGCTTGGATGTCAAAAATGCATACCTGAGGAGCCTGTCTGTAGTGGGAGGTGGGGCCACGTAATAGGGGGTTGGAATAAGCTCTTCCTGCTGCTCAAGCAGCTATGCCCTTTCTTGGAGTTCTCTAATGTTCTTAGAGTCTGAGTTGAAATCAAAGTCAGATGCCCCAGGTAGACCAGAGTTGCAGGGTCTCTGAGCCCAAACAAAATGCAATGATGGAGGAGAGGCCTGGAGTACCCAGAACATCTGGCATTCAAGATCAAGCAGTTTAGAATAAGATGAAAACTACATCTTGAGGGGTTTAATCACCACATGGGGCTCATTTGTACATTTTTCGAAAGTGGCTTACACCTTCTCAAACTTTGCTCAGATCTCCTTTCCTGCAAGTCAGGGCTTCCCTCCTCACTCGCCTCTCCCAGGGATTATTCCAAGCATCAAGAATAGTATTTGTTTCCTAAGGCTGCCATAACAAAATACCATAAACTAGGTGGCTGAAAACAATAGAAATATATTCTGTCATAGTTCTGGAGGTCAGAAGTCCAAAATCAAGGTGCTGGCAGGTGTGGTTCCTCCTGGATGCTCTGAAGGAGAATTCTTTCACACTTCTCTCCTAGCTTTTGGTGGCTACTAGCAAATCTTAGTATTCCTTGGCTTGTAAACATATCACTTCTATCTCTGCCTCTACTTTCATCCAGACTTTCCCTTTCTATGTCTCTAAATAACCCTCTGTCATTGAATTTAGAGCTCACCCTAAATCCAGGTTGATTTAATCCCAAGAGCCTTAACTTAATACTATCTTCAAAGACACTGCTTTCAAATAAGATCACAGTCCCAGGTACTGGAGGTTAGAACTTGGACTATTCAACCCACTATGAGAAATAAAAATAAAATAGAAACCAGAATAAGCCAAATTCTCTCATCTCTCAAAATTTTAAAGTGTGAGATGCCCAAAATTGTGATTTCAACAGTGTTAATGCTATGAGTCTCTGATACAATCTTTCCTTTCTGCTAAAATACATATGGAGACATCAGAAAAACATAAAAATTAAAAACTAAATTACATAACCACAGAGGCAAAAAACAAGTTAGCAACTTTTTGCCAGAATCTGGGAGCATGCCCACCAGCTTCAAGGCCTATGGAGCTTGCTTGAGAAAATTGGCTGGTGGTTTACAAACACTCTGCCCTTTGAAACCAACAGCCATGCTAGTCTGAAAGTGGCAATATGTCAGGAGGTCCTAAAACCTCCCCTAGATTTGACAATTCACTAGGAAGACTCAAAAGACTCAGCATATAGTTGTAGTCAGAGGTATGATCTATAACAACAAAACGGTACCAAGCACATTCAGCAAAGTCAAAAGGCCCCTGGGGTGAAGCAAGAGGGAAAGCAGGCACAGGCTTCCAAGATTTCTCACCCAGTGGAAATACACTGGGCATGTTTAATTTCCGCAGCAACAAGTCATCACAACATGTATGAAATGCAGCCAACCAGGGAAGCTTGTTAGACTCAATGACCAAGGCTTTTATTGGGGGATGTCCCCAGATGCAACCCCCTGCCTGGCACATACCCAAACTGTAAACTCTCAGAAGGAAAGGAGGTGTCCGGCGTAAACCACGCTGTGTGTAAAAACAGTTAAATGGGCACAGTGAGCCACTCTTATCAGTTCATAGTGGGAATCTAAGCTCCCAGATGACAGCCAAGGGCCACCCTTTGAAGCAGGCCTTTTCAAGGACAGCAGTTTAGTTCTACTCTGCTAACTCTTTTCTGCATAGGGAGGCTGAGAAAAGACTGTGCCTTCCTTCCCCCTCTGTCTTCCCTGACCCAGAGAAGCAGAGTGTCAGAAAACAACAACCACCCCCAGGCTCTGCAGGATGCTTTGAGACAGGTAGGGTTTGGATCTTGCCTTTATACCCTCAATGGCACCTTTTAACCTATATCCATTTAGAAACCAAGACTGCATTACTCAGAAGTAAATAGAAGAGAAAGAGGAAGGGGAGCATAGAAACACCTTGCATTCCAAGAGGTAGGGTCCCTACACATGACAGGGTCTAGGTAGAAACAGGGATGGTAGGGTGCTGGGAGCAGCATAGACTCTTTTCCCCTGTATCGCATGAAAAGATCATGACCAGGTTGGTGGTGGGGAGCAAGTGGTAAGAGAGAAGAACCAATGTCATCCCTGCAGAATCAGTGTTTTTCCTTTTTTTTTTTTTTTTTCCGACAGAGTCTGTCTCTGTTGCCCAGGCTGGAGTGCAGTGGTGCAATCTAGGCTCACTTGTAACATCCGCCTCCTGTACTCAAGCCATCCTACTACCTGAACCTCCCAAGTAGCTGGGACTACAGGCACACGCCAAAATGCCCAGCTAATTTTTGCATTTTTTGTAGAAACAGAATTTTGCTATATTGCCCAGGCTGGTCTTGAACTCCTGAACTCAACTGATCCACCTGCCTTGGCCTCCCAAAGTGCTGGGATTACAGGCATAAGCCACCCTGCTGGGCCAGAATCAGTGTTTTTTAAACATGCTATGTGCCCTGAGATTCCCCAAAAATATCTCCCACTACAGGGAGAAAGGACAGGTCAAAGAATGGGCTCAGCACATCTCCGAAATTCAGTCAGGGCGAGTCCGCTTTTTCCTGTTTGCAATAACAAGCTTATGCATAATTTTTCATATATGAAATAGGCTTCTTGAAAAAAAATAAGCAATTTAAAATCATTGCACTAGATGAGTGTCTGCCAGACAGTGGGAAGTGTTTTAGTTACTGAGACATCAACTAGGCTGCAGGTATAGAACTGGGAGGGAGATTGTACTAGCACCAAGCAGACAATGAAAGCAGACCGCTCTTACCTTTTCTTTGGAAAACACCAAATCTGATAACCTGGTTACCCACAGAGGAAGTAAACCATCTCTTCTGCAAATACAAATGCTAGAAAATGACAGAAAAATAACTGGTGGTTTTTAAGCTCTTAGACATGAGCTCCATCAAGTAGATGATGAAAGCTATAAACTACAACAAAAATGAACACACAATTGTGCAACACTCTGGCATAACAATTACAAAAGGTTCACAGATCCTCCTGAAGCTCATATCCATGTTTAGAACCTCGTAGAGCTTCAGAGCCCATTTTAAATGGAAAGACAGACCTAGTCCAGTTGTTATTCAGTTTTGAAACCAAAAGAAAGACATTCTTATAAATGCAATTATATGAAAATGTTTATTCATTCAACAAATATTAAATATCAATAATGCTTTAGGGGCAGGGAAACTGTGAATAAGCAGACAAGCCAGTTTCTTTTGTAGAGCTTATGTCTTTTAAGAGGGAAAACAGATGTAAATAGGAAAATAAATAAATGCCTGAGATAATTTCAAGTAACTGCTATGAAAAAGGGCCTACTTAACAAGATGATCAAGTCTGAAATAAGATCCAAATGACTAGAATGAGCAAATCAAGTGAAAACCTACATCCAGAGCATTCCAGTAGTGGAAACAGCAAGTACCAATGCCCTGGGGTGGAAATGAGCCTGTTGTGTTAAAAAATAGCAAAGAAGTCCAGAGAGTGAGGGTCAGCGAGGAGGAGATAAGGTTGCAGAAGAAGCAGAGCCAGATTCTGAAGGGCTCCAGGGGTCATGGTAGCCAATTAAGCTTACATCCTAAGAACAGTGGAAAGCTGTTGAAGAGTTTCAATAAAGAGCAACATTCTCTGATTTGCAATTTTTTCACAATTTTTTTTCTTGTGGTAAATATACATATAAAATATACTGACTTGACTATTTTTACATCTCTAATTCAGTAGTGTTACATACATTCATAATGTTGCACAACCATCACCACTGTCCATCTCTAGAACTCTTTTCATTTGCAGAACTGAAACTCTGTACCCATTAAACAATAACTCCTTATTCCTCCCTCCTCCCAGTCCCTGGCAACCACCATTCTACTTTCTGTCTCTACAATTTTTTTTGAAAGGGTCTTGCTCTATCACCCAGGCTGGAATACAATGGCGCATTAGCCTTGAACTCCTAGGTTCAAGCAATCCTCTCACCTCAGCCTTGCAAGTAGCTGGGACTACAGGCACACACTACCACACCAAGCTAATTTTTTTAAGAGATGGGTCATGCTATGTTGCCCAGGCTGGTCTCAAACTCCCAGCCTTCAAGTGATCCTCCTGCCTCAGCTCCCTGTCTCTGCAATTTTGATTGCTCTAAATATTTTATGTAAGTGGAATCATGCAGTATTTGTCTTACTGTGACTGGCTTAGTTCACTCAGCATAATGTCTTCCAGGTTCATTTATGCTGTACTACGTCAGATTTGCCTTCCTTTCCTTTTTAAGGCAGAATAATATTCCACTGTGTGTATATTTACTGCTGTCATTTTGCTATTTGTTTTCTACATACCTTATAGCTTCTTTTTGTCCTTCATTTCCTGCATTACTTTCTTCGTATGTATTTGTTTTTTTTATAGTGAAGCATTTACATTTCTTTCTCATTTCCTTTTGTGTATATTCTATAGCTACTTTCTCTGTGGTTACCATGGAGATTACACTTAACATTCTAAAGTTATAATACTCTAATTTGAATTTATACAGCTTAACTTCAATAACATACAAAAACTCTGCTCCTTTACAGCTCAGTCCCCACCTCTTTCAGTTGTTGATGTCACAGAATTTCATCTTTACACATAATCCATACAAAAACATAAACTAACAATTCTTTTTAATGCATTAGTCTTTTTATTGTAGTAAGAACACTTAACTTTAGATCTGCCCTGTTAATAAATGTTTAAGTGCACAATATAACATTGTTAACTGTAAGCACACTGTTGTATGGCAGATCTGTAGAACTTACTTGTCTTCTGTTACTGAAACTGCATACTCCTTGGACAGCAATCCCCCATTCCTCCCTTCTCCTAGCTCCTGGCAACCTACTACTCCATTCTCTATTTGTATGGTTTTGCATATTTTAGATATTTCATATAAGTTGAATAATGCAGTATTTGTCCTTATGTTCCTGGCTTATGTCACTTAGAATAAGGTCTTCCAGGCTCATCCACTTGTCACATATTACAGGATGTTCATTTTAAAGACCGAATAGTATTTCATGTATGTATATACCACATTTTATTTATCTGTTCATCTCTCAATGGACATTTAGGTTACTTCCATATTTTGGTTATTATGAATAATGCTTCAATGAACATGAGAGTGCAGTTGTCTCTTTGAGAGACTGATTTTAGTTACTTGGGATAAGAATTAATTAGCTTCTCTTTTGGAAACCACCAATCTGATAATGGCTAATTCAAATTCTCATCCAAGATATGGAATTTTTTGGTCATATGGTAGTCCTATTTTAATTTTTTTGTGGAACTTCCATACTACTTTCTATAGCGGCTGCACCAATTTACATTCCCACCAAAAACGTACAAGAGTTCCCTTGTCTCCACATTGTTGCCAACACTTGTTATTTTTTGTGTGTTTTTTATGTAACAGCTATCCTAACAGGTATAAAGTGATATTTGATTGTGGTTTTGATTTGTAGTCCCAGATAATTAGTAATAGTGAGCATCCTTTCACATACCTGTTAGCCATTTGTATGTCTTCTGTGGAAATATGTCTATTTAATTCTTTTGTCCAATTTTTAATCTAGTTATTTGGTTTTGGGTTTTGGTTTGTTTGGGGTTTTTTGCCATTAAGTTATAGGAGTTCCTTATGGATTTTGAATATTAATCCTTATCAGATATGTGGTTTGCAAATATTTTCTCCCATCCATAGATTGCCTTTCCAGTCTGTTGTTTCCTTTGCTGTGTAGAAGCTTTTAGGTTTGATATAGTCCCACTTGCCTATTTTTGCTTTCGTTGTTTGTGTTTTTGGAGTCATAGCTAAGAAATCATTGCCAAGACCAACATCAGAAAACTTTTTCCCTATGTTTTCTTCTAGGAGTTTTATAGTTTCAGGTCTTACATTTAAATATTTAATTCATTTTGAGTTTATTTTTGGGTACAGTATAAGATAAGGGTCCAAATTTATTATTTTACATGTGGATATCCATTTTCCCAACACCATTTGTTGAAGAAACTATCCTTTTCCCCTTGCACATTCTTGGCACCCTTATCAAAGATAAGTTGATGCCATACATGTGGGTTTATTTCTGGGCTCTCTATTCTGCTCCATTGAACTTACGTCTGCTTTTATACTAGTATTACACTGTTTTAATTACTGTAGTTTTGTAATATATTTTAGAATCAGGAAGGATGTTGTCTCTAGCTTTGTTCTTCTTTCTCAAGATTGCTTTGGCTATTTGAGGTCTATATATGATTTGAGGTCTATATATGATATATGATTTTGTGGTTCTATATATGATTTTTTTGGATTGTTTTTTATTTTTAAAAAATTGTCATTGGGATTTTGATAGGGATTACACTGAATCTGTAGATGGCTTTGGGTAATATGGCCATTTTAATAATGTTAATTCTAATCCATGAACATAGGACATCTTTTCATTTATTTGTGACTTCTTTAATATTTTCATCAATATTTTATAGTTTTCAATGTACAATCTTTTACCTCCTTGGCTAAGTTTATTCTTAAGTATTTTATTCTTATTGTTAATGAGGTTGTTTTCTAAATTTTTTAAGACAATCACTGTTAATTTATAGAAATGTAACTGATTTCATATGTTGATCTTGCATCCTGTAATTCTCCTGATTTCACTTATTAGTTCTAACAATTTTTGGTGAAGCCTTTACCATTTACTACATATAAGATTATGTCATCTGAAAAGATAATTTTACTTCTCTCTTTCTGACTTGGATGTCTTTTATTTCTTTTTCTTGACTAATTGCCCTGACTAGAACTTCTAGTACTATGTTGAATAGAAGTGGCAAGAGTAGGCATCCTTGTCTTGTTCCTAACTTTAGAGGAAAAGCTTTCAGTTTTTTTACCATTAAGTATCATGTTTTTGGTCTTTTCATATATAACACTTATTATGTTGAGATAAATTCCTTCCAACTTGATAAGACTTTTTATCACGAAAAGATATTGAATTTTGTTAAATGCTTTTTCTGCATCTACTGAGATAAAAATGTGATTTTCATCCTTCATAATATGTGATGTTATTCTTCTGTTAGTATGGTTTATCACATTTATTGATTTGCATGTGTTTGATCATGCTTGCATCCTAGGGATAAATATCACTTGGTCATAGGGTATGATTCTTTGTTTTTTCTTTGAGACAGAGTCTCGCTCTGTCGCCCAGGCTGGTGTGCAGTGGCGTGATCTCAGCTCACTGCAACCTCCGCCTCCCAGGTTCGAGCAATTCTCCTGCCTCAGCCTTCTGAGTAGCTGGGATTACAGGCATGTGTCACCAGGCCCAACTTATTTTTGTATTTTTAGTAGAGACAGGGTTTCCCCATGTTGGCCAGGCTGGTCTTGAACTCCTGACCTCAGGTGATCCACCGGCCCCGGCCTCCCAAAGTGCTGGGATTACAGGTGTGAGCCACCGCCCCCAGTCGGGTATGATTCTTTTAATGAGCTATTGCATGCAGTTTGCTAGTATTTTATTGAGGATTTTGCATCTATGTTCATCAGAGATATTGGACTGTGGTTTTCTTTTCATGTAGTGTCTTTTTATGACTTTGGTCTCAAGGTAATGCTGGCATTATAAAATAAGTTTGCAAATATTCCCTCTTCCATTTTTTTTGGAAGAGTTTTAAAAGGATTTGTATTAATTCTTTTTTAAATGTTTGATGGAATTTACCAGTGAAGTCACCTGGTCCTAGGTTTTTCTTGATTAGGAGGTTTTTGATTACTGATGCAATCTCCTTGTTTGTTAGTGGTCTGTTCAAGTTTTCTATTTCTTCATGATTCAACCTTTGTAGGTTTCATGATTTTAAGAATTCATCCATTTCTTCTCAGTTATCCAATTTGTTGGCATCTAATTGTCCATAGTAATACCTTCTGATCCTTTTCAATTCTCTGGCATCAGTTAAGGTCTTTTTCATTTCTGATTTTATTTATTTGAGTCTTCTTTTTTTCTTAGAAAAAAATTTCAAAAAAATCAAATCATTTTCATTTCAAAACATCCACTCTTAATTTTGATTTTTTTCTCCCCTCTATTTAATTTACATTTGCTCCAAGCTTTATTATTTTCTTTCTTCTGCTAGCATTGGGCTTAATCTATTCTGTTTCTAATTTCTAGGGGTATAAAATTAGGTAGTTTATTTGATGGCCTTCTTTTTTACTGTGGACATTTATTGCTATAAACTTCCCTCTTAGTACTGCTTTTCCTGCATCCCATAAGTTTTGATATGTTTTCATTTTAGTTTGTCTCAAGATATGTTCTAATTTCTCTTTTGATTTCTTCTTTGATTCAGTGTCTGTTAAGAATGTGTTATTTTCACACATTTGTGAATTTTCCAGTTTTTCTTCTGTTACTGATTTCTAGTTTCATTCCACTGCATTTGGAAAAGATATTTGGTATGATTTCAGTCTTCTTAAATTTGTTAAAACTTTTTTGTAACTAGCATATGATCTATCCTGGAGACAGCTTCATGTTACTTGAAAAGAATGTATATTCTGGTGCTGTTGTGTAGAATGTTTTGTGTGTGCCTGTTAAGTCTATTTGATCTATAATGTTGTTCAATTTCTTATTTCCTTATTGATTTTCTGCTTGAATATTCTAACCATTATTGAAAGTGGAATGTTAAAGTCTCCTAGTATCATTGTATTGCTGTCTGTTTTTCCTTTCCAATCTATCAATGTCTACATTCCGATGTTCTGGTATTGGGTGCATATATATGTTTATAATTATTACATCTTCCTGATAAATTCACTTTTTAATTATTATATAATAATCTTCTTTGTCTATTGTCAGAGTTTTTGACTTAAGCTTTAGTTTGTCTGATATAATTAAGCCACCCTGCCCTCTTTTGATTACCATTTGCATAGAATATCTTTTCCCATCCCTTCATTTTCAGCCTATGCGTGTCCTTAAAGCTAAAGTGTTTTATAGATAGCATCTAGTTGGATCTTGGTGGGTTTTTTAATCCATTCATCCACTCTATGTCTTTTTATTGGAAGTTTAATCCACTTGCATTTCAAGGAATTATTGCTGGGTAAGAACTTAGTATTGCCATTAAATTAATTGTTTTCTGTCTGCTTTGTAATTCTTTTGTCTTCTCTCTCTCATCTGTTTTCCTTTGTGACTTATTATTTTTTTAAGTGAGCAGGTTTTGATTCCTTTCTCTTTTTGTGTGTATATCTATTCAAGGTATTTCTTAATGGTTTCCATAAGGCTTACATAAAACATCCTATAATTATATTAGTTTATTTTAATCTGATAACATCTTAACTTTAAGTGCACACAAAAACTCTAATTTTATTTCTCTCCTACCTCACATTTTATACTATCGATATCACAATTTACATCTTTATTGTATATTTATTAACAAACTTTATAATTATAGTTATTCTTAATACTTTTGTCCTTTAACTTTCATACAAGTGGTAAAAGTGATTTACACACTTCATTACAATATTACAGTATTCTGTATTTGTCTACACATTTACCTTCACCAGTAGGTTTTCATATGCTTTTATGTTGCTCTTTAGTATCTTTTCATTTCAACTTAAAGAACTCCCTTTAGCATTTCTTGTAAGGCAGGTCTGGTGGTGATGAACAACCTCAGCTTTTGCTTTCAGGAAAATTCTCTACATCTCTCCTGTATTTTTTTTAAAGGACAGTTTTTTCAGGTATCATTTTCTTTCTCCACAGTGTTTTTCTTTTAGCAATTTGAATATATCCACCCACTCTATCCTGGCCTGCAAAGTTTCTGCTGGGAAATCAGCTGTTAGTCTTATATGTGCTTTCTTATATATAATTAGTCACTTTCTCTTGCTACTTTCAAAATTTTCTCTTTTGTCTTTGACTTTGGACAATTCAATTGTAATGTGTCTTGGTGTAGACTTCTTTGGGTTTATCATATTTGGATCTCTGGGCTTTGTAAATCTAGATGTTCATTTCCCTCACAGATTTGAAACACTTTCAGCCATTTTTTCTTTAAATAAGCTTTATGCCCCTTTTTCTCTCTCATTTCCTTCTGAAACTCCTATAATACGTATATTAGTTCACCTGATAGACTCCCAGAAGTCCCTTATGCTGTCTTCACCTTTTTTTGTTCTTTCTTCTTTTTACTCCTTACAATAGCCACCTGCTATGTTTGAATGTTTGTCCCCTCCAACACTAATGTTTAAATTTAAGTGGCATTGTAACAGTTTTAACAGGTGGGAATTTTAAGAGGTGATTAGGCACTTCCAGTTTTAAAATGGCAATGTAGAAGCTGGCTTCACTCACCCCACAGAAAACCTAAAACAAATATACAGTACTGAGATTTTCACCAGCAACAACCCAGAACTCACCTATGAGGGTGAGACAGAACCTGAGGCCAAAAAGAAGTGAAAAAATTCCAAGCAGACAGCAACAAGTGCATAAAAAGTCTACCCCCAACCCACAGTTTCCACAGTGGAAAAAAATGAGATTGAGTTGATCAATTGCTTTCTCATTATTTGGGTTCCCTGGAGACCTGTTCTTGCTTTAACCTACAGGAAGCATTGTGAGTGCCTGAAGGAAGAAATATCCCTGAGAATAGGCAAAGACGAAGACAGGGAGGCAGTAATATCATCTCCAGCACCAGAAACTGCTCTGTAACATGGCCAAAGGAGATGCCAAATCAAAGTGGCTGTTCAGCAGCACCACACTGTAGGAGGTACATTTCACAGGTCACTTAAGTATGAACTCTTAGACAGCATTCCCATACAAGAATAATCCCTTTGGGACCTCCTGCATTTGTGAAAGGTAGCACTTTAATCATTTATTAGCTTAACACTAAGGTAAATCTGGGCTTAAGTCAACCCTCGAGCCAAAAAGGAAGCAGCAAACTAGTGGTAAAGATTTGCTAAGCAAACATATGCAATAAAAACAAAAAACAAGCCAAACAAAGAAGACTGAAATAAGTAACTAATCCTTTCATGCAAAGACATAGATGTATACCCACAAGAAACAACAGCAAACAGCAAACAGCAAATCATGACCTCCCCAAAAGGGCAAAGCAAAAATCCATTGAAGACTCTAATGAGACAGTGATTTGTGAGCTCTCTAAAATTTCAAAATAGTAGTTTTAAGGAAACTCAGTGATCTCCAAGATAACACAGAAAAGCAACTCAGAAATTTACAGAGATATTTTCTTAAAGGACTCAAATAATTTAAAAATCAAACAGAAATGTTGAAACCAAGAAATACATTTCCTGAACTGAATAACTCCCTAGAGGTTCTCAAGAGCAGAATGGACCAAGCAGGGAAAAAAATTAAGTGAGCTTGAAGACTACTATTTTAAAATACACAGTCAGAGAAGGAAAAACAAGGAAAACGAACAATGACTGCTTACAAGATACAGAATTAAAGACTTAAACGTAAGACCTAAAATCATAAAAATCCTAGAAGAAAACTTAGGCTATACCATTCAGTACACTGGCATGGGCAAAGACTTCATGACTAAAACACCAAAAGCAATGGCAGCAAAAGCCAAAATTGACAAATGGTATCTAATTAAACTAAAGAGCTTCTGCACAGCAAAAGAAACTATCATCAGAGTAAACAGGCAACCTACAGAATGGGAGAAAATTTTTGCAATCTGTCCATCTGACAAAGGGCTAATATCCAGAATCTACAAAGAACTTAAACAAATTTACAAGAAAAAAACAACCCCACCAAAAAGTGGGTGAAGGATATGAACAGACACTTCTCAAAAGAAGACATTTATGTGGCCAACAAACATATAAAGAAAAGCTCATCATCACTGGTCATTAGAGAAATGCAAATCAAAACCATAATGAGGTACCATCTCACACCAGTTAGAATGGTGATCATTAAAAAGTCAGAAAATAACAGATGCTGGAGAGGATGTGGAGAAATAGGAACACTTTTACACTGTTGTTGGGAATGTAAATTAGTTCAACCATTGTGGAAGACAGTGTGGCGATTCCTCAAGGATCTAGAACTAGAAATACCATTTGACCCAGCAATCCTATTACTGGGTATATACCTAAAGGATTATAAATCATTCTACTATAAAGACACATGCACATGTATGTTTATTGCAGCACTGTTCACAATAGCAAAGACTTGGAACCAACCCAAATGCCCACCAATGATAGACTGGATAAAGCAAATGTGGCACATATACACCATGGAATATTATGCAGCCATAAAAAAGGAGGAGTTCATGTCCTTTGCAGGGACATGGATGAAGCTGGAAACCATCATTCTCAGCAAACTAATGCAAGAACAGAAAACCAAACATTGCATGTTCTCACTCATAAGTGGGTGTTGAACAATAAGAATACATGCACACAGGGAGGGAAATATCACAGACCAGAGCCTGTCAGGGGATGGGGGGTGGGGGGGGATAGCATTAGGAGAAATACCTAATGTAGGTGACGGGTTGATGGGTGCAGCAAATCACCATGGCACATGTATACCTATGTAACAAAACTGCACGTTCTGCACAGGTACCCTAGAACTTAAAGTATAATATAAAAAAAAAAAAGAAAATTGCCTTAAAAGACCAAACATGCTATAGGATGTTTGTTTTTATTGGATATGTTTGCTTGAATGTGCTATAGGATATTTTATTAGATATGTTTTTCAAGAGAGAATTAAGCAAAAGCAAATGGTAAAAAACTTATTCAAAGAAATAATGACAGAAAACTTTCCAAAACTTGAGAAAATATAAATATTCAGGTACAAGAAGGTCTGAGAACACCAAACATATTCCATTCAAATAAGACTACCCCAAGGCATATGATAAGCAAACTCTCAAATGTCAAGGACAAAGAGAGGATCCTAAAAGTGGCAAGAGAAAAGAAGCAAACAACATATAAAGGAGCTCCAATTTGTCTGGCAACAGGCTTCTCAACAAACTATACAGGTTTGTTATACAAGAGAAATAGAAAGAATCATTAGAGACTATTATGAACAACTACTTGCCAACAAATTGGAAAGCCTAGAAGAAATGGATAAATTCCTAGACACACACAATCTGTCAAGATTGAACCATGAAGAAATAGAAAACCTCAACAAACCAATGTGTAATAAACTCAAAGCCACAATAAAATGTCTCCTATCAAAGAAAAGCCCAAGACTGATGGCTTCACTGCTGAATTCTACCAAACATTTAAAAGACAGTATCAGTCCTACTCAAACTCTTCAAATAAACTGAAGAAGAAGAAATACTTCCAAACTCATTCTATGAGGCCAGCATTACCCTGATGCCAAAACCAGATGAGGTCTCAGCAAAAAAATACAACCACAGGCCAACAGCCCTGATTAAAACAGATTCAAAAATCTTCAACAAAATACTAGCAAACCAAACTCAACAACATATTAAAAAGATCATTCACCATGTTCAAGTGGGATTCATCCCAGGGATGCCAGCACAGTTCAACATACACAAATCAATAAACATGATACATCACATTAACAGTATCAAGAACAAAAACCATAGATAATTTCAATAGATGCTGAAAAGCATTTTATAAAATTCAACATCCTTTATGATGAAAACCCCCAACAAAATGGGTATTGAAGGAATATACCTCGAAATAACAATGACCATATGTGACAAACCCACGGCTAACATACTGAATGAGGGAGAATTGAAGGCCTTTCCTCTAAGGGCTGGAACAAGACAAGGATACCCACTTCCACCACAGTTACTCAGCCTAACACTGGAAGTCCTGGCCAGAGCAATTAGGCAAGAGAAAGAAATAAAGGGCACCCAAATTGGAAAGGAAAAAGTCAAATTAGCCTTGTTCACAGATGACATGACCTAGACAAACATAGACTCCACCAAAAAAAAAAAAAAAATCTGTTAGAACTGATAAACAAATTTGGTAAAGTTGTAGGATACAAAATTAACATACAAAAATCAGTAGCATTTATACACACCAACAGCAAAAAAACTGAAAGAGAAATCATGGAAGCAATCTCACTTACAATTGATTCAAAATATATATAATACCTAGGACTCAATCTAACCAAAGTAAAATATCTATACAAGAAAAACTACAGAACTCTGATGAAAGAAATCAAAGACACCCCAAAATAGAAAGATATACCACATGCACGGATTGAAAGAATTAATGTTGTTAAAATGACAATACTACCCAAAGAAATTTACAGATTTAATGCAACCCCTATTAAAAGAACAATAACATTCCTCATAGAAATAGAAAAAAATTCTAAAATTTATATGGAACCACAAAAGACTCAGAATAACCAAAGCAATTCTGAGCAAAAAGAACAAAGCAAAATATTCTACAAAGTTATCATAACCAAGATGCATGACACTGGCATGAAAACAGACACATAGACCGATGGAATAAAACAGAAAACCCAGATAGAAATCCACACATTTACAGCCAACTCATCTTTGACAAAGGCACCAAGAACATACAATAATTCTAAAATACAAGAACATACAAAAAAATGGCCCTAGGAAAACTGGATAACTATATGTAGAAGAATGAAACTAGACCTCTGTCTCTAACCATACACAAAAATCAACTCAAAATGGATTAAAGACTTAAATCTAAGACCTGAAACTATAAAAATTACTAGAAGTAAACAATGGGGAAATACTCCTTTGGTCTGGGCAAAGACCTTTTGTAAAGCCTTTAGAGGCTTTATAAAAGCCTCTAAAGCACAGGAACCAAAGCAAAAATAGACAAATGGGGTTAATTCAAGCTGAAAAGCTCTGCACAGCAAAGGAAACAAGCAACAATGTAAAGAAACAACCTACAGAATGGGAGAAAATATTTGCAAGTGACCTACCCAGGGAGAACTTAATATCCAGAATATATACAAGAAGCTCAGATAACTCAGTAGCAAAGAAACAAATAATCCAGTTTAAAAATGGGCAAAAGATCTAAACAGACACTTCTCAAAAGAAAACATTCAAATGTCCAACAGGTATATGAAAAAATGCTCAACATCACTAGCCATCAAAGAAATGCAAATCAAAACTACAATGCAATATCATCTCACCCTAGTTAAGGTTTGAGGTTTGTATCAAAAAGGCAGGAAATAACAGATACTTCCAAGGATATGGAGAAAGGGGAATCCTCATCCACTGCTGGTGGGAATGTAAGTTAGTATAGCCACTGTGGAAAACAGTATGGAGGTTCCTCAAAAAATTAAAAATAGAACTAACATATGACCCAGCAATTCTGTTACTGGGTTATATCCCAAAGAAAGGAAATCAATATATGAAAGAGATATCTGCACTCCCACATTTATTGCAGTACTATTCACAATAGCCAAAATATGGAATCGACCTCAGGGCCCATCAGTGGATGAATGAAGAAAATGTAGTACATATACACAGTGGACAATTATTCAGCCATAAAAAGAATGACATCCTGTCATTCTGGAGGCTACTATGTTAAGTGAAATAAGCCAAACACAGAAAGACAAATATTGTATGTTCTCACTTATATGTGGGAGCTAAAAAAAAAAAAAAGTGGATCTCATGAAAATTAAGACAGAGAATAGATTAGTGGTTACCAAAGGCCAGGAAGTGTAGAGTGAGAGAGGGATGAAGTAGGGGGAAGATTATATATGTAATTATTGCCACAGAACTGTGAACTTAAAAATGGTAAATATGGTAAATTTTATATGTATATTTTACCTGAATAAAAAAATTAAATTAAGAAACTATTGCCAAACAGATGATTAGGCCAGGAGGTCTCTGCCCTCATGGGTGAGATTAATGCCATTGTAAAAGGGCAAGTTCAGCCCCCCTAGTGGACAGGCAGGGGGAACAAAACAAATATAATTGTAATGAGAAATTTTAACACACTATTCTCATCTTCCACAAACCAAATAAAAAGTTAAAAATGCGCAGGAATCTGACTAATTAGAATCACTCATTAGATACATATTAAACTTTCAGCCCAGCAGAGAATAAACCATATAGTCAAGAATAAATAAAAGATTTATTAAAATGTATCAAATATTGAGTACTATAGGAGAGCTCTATAAATGCTGAAAAGCAAAAAATACACAAGCCACCTTTTCAGGCCACAATGAAAGAATACCATAAATTTTTTTTAAGAGTTTAAACAAAGAAACAGTTGGATAAAGAGTCAAGACCCATCAGTGTGCTGTATTCAGGAAACCCATCTCACATGCAGAGACACACATAGGCTCAAAATAAAAGGATGGAGGAAGATCTACCAAGCAAATGGAAAACAAAAAAAGGTAGGGGTTGCAATACTAGTCTCTGATAAAACAAACTTCAAACCAACAAAGATCAAAAGAGACAAAGAAGGCCATTACATAATGGTAAAGGGATCAATTCAACAAGAGGAGCTAACTATCCTAAATATATATGCACCCAATACAGGAGCACCCAGATTCATAAAGCAAGTCCTGAGTGACCTACAAAGAGACTTAGACTCCCACACATTAATAATGGGAGACTTTAACACCCCACTGTCAACATTAGACAGATCAATGAGACAGAAAGTCAACAAGGATACCCAGGAATTGAACTCAGCTTTGCACCAAGAGGACCTAAAAGACATCTACAGAACTCTCCACCCCAAATCAACAGAATATACATTCTTTTCAGCACCACACCACACCTATTCCAAAATTGACCACATACTTGGAAGTAAAACTCTCCTCAGCAAATGTAAAAGAACAGAAATTATAACAAACTATCTCTCAGACCACAGTGCAATCAAACTAGAACTCAGGATTAATAATCTCACTCAAAGCCGCTCAACTACATGGAAACTGAACAACCTGCTCCTGAATGACTACTGGGTACATAACGAAATGAAGGCAGAAATAAAGATGTTCTTTGAAACCAACGAGAACAAAGACACAACATACCAGAATCTCTGGGACGCATTCAAAGCAGTGTGTAGAGGGAAATTTATAGCACTAAATGCCCACAAGAGAAAGCAGGAAAGATCCAAAATTGACACCCTAACATCACAATTTAAAAGAACTAGAAAAGCAAGAGCAAACACATTCAAAAGCTGGCAGAAGGCAAGAAATAACTAAAATCAGAGCAGAACTGAAGGAAATAGAGACACAAAAAACCCTTCAAAAAATCAATGAATCCAGGAGCTGGTTTTTTGAAAGGATCACCAAAATTGATAGACCGCTAGCAAGACTAATAAAGAAAAAAAGAGAGAAGAATCAAATAGACACAACAAAAAATGATAAAGGGGATATCACCACCGATCCCACAGAAATACAAACTACCATCACAGAATACTACAAACACCTCTACGCAAATAAACTAGAAAATCTAGAAGAAATGGATACATTCCTCGACACATACACTCTCCCAAGACTAAACCAGGAAGAAGTTGAATCTCTGAATAGACCAATAACAGGAGCTGAAATTGTGGCAATAATCAATAGTTTACCAACCAAAAAGAGTCCAGGACCAGATGGATTCACAGCCGAATTCTACCAGAGGTACAAGGAGGAACTGGTACCATTCCTTCTGAAACTATTCCAATCAATAGAAAAAGAGGGAATCCTCCCTAACTCATTTTATGAGGCCAGCATCATTCTGATACCAAAGCCGGGCAGAGACACAACCAAAAAAGAGAATTTTAGACCAATATCCTTGATGAACATTGATGCAAAAATCCTCAATAAAATACTGGCAAACCGAATCCAGCAGCACATCAAAAAGCTTATCCACCATGATCAAGTGGGCTTCATCCCTGGGATGCAAGGCTGGTTCAACATACGCAAATCAGTAAATGTAATCCAGCATATAAACAGAGCCAAAGACAAAAACCACATGATTATCTCAATAGATGCAGAAAAAGCCTTTGACAAAATTCAACAACCCTTCATGCTAAAAACTCTCAATAAATTAGGTATTGATGGGACGTATTTCAAAATAATAAGAGCTATCTATGACAAACCCACAGCCAATATCATACTGAATGGGCAAAAACTGGAAGCATTCCCTTTGAAAACTGGCACAAGACAGGGATGCCCTCTCTCACCGCTCCTATTCAACATAGTGTTGGAAGTTCTGCCCAGGGCAATCAGGCAGGAGAAGGAAATAAAAGGTATTCAATTAGGAAAAGAGGAAGTCAAATTGTCCCTGTTTGCAGACGACATGATTGTTTATCTAGAAAACCCCATCGTCTCAGCCCAAAATCTCCTTAAGCTGATAAGCAACTTCAGCAAAGTCTCAGGATACAAAATCAATGTACAAAAATCACAAGCATTCTTATACACCAACAACAGACAACCAGAGAACCAAATCATGAGTGAACTCCCATTCACAATTGCTTCAAAGAGAATAAAATACCTAGGAATCCAACTTACAAGGGATGTGAAGGACCTCTTTGAGGAGAACTACAAACCACTGCTCAAGGAAATAAAAGAGGATACAAACAAATGGAAGAACACTCCATGCTCATGGGTAGGAAGAATCAATATCGTGAAAATGGCCATACTGCCCAAGGTAATTTACAGATTCAATGCCATCCCCATCAAGCTACCAATGACTTTCTTCACAGAATTGGAAAAAACTACTTTAAAGTTCATATGGAACCAAAAAAGAGCCCGCATCGCCAAGTCAATCCTAAGCCAAAAGAACAAAGCTGGAGGCATCACACTACCTGACTTCAAACTATACTACAAGGCTACAGTAACCAAAACAGCACGGTACTGGTACCAAAACAGAGATATAGATCAATGGAACAGAACAGAGCCCTCAGAAATAATGCCGCATACCTACAACTATCTGATCTTTGACAAACCTGAGAAAAACAAGCAATGGGGAAAGGATTCCCTATTTAATAAATGGTGCTGGGAAAACTGGCTAGCCATATGTAGAAAGCTGAAACTGGATCCCTTCCTTACACCTTATACAAAAATCAATTCAAGATGGATTAAAGATTTAAACGTTAGACCTAAAACCATAAAAACCCTAGAAGAAAACCTAGGCATTACCATTCAGGACATAGGCGTGGGCAAGGACTTCATGTCCAAAACACCAAAAGCAATGGCAACAAAAGCCAAAATTGACAAATGGGATCTAATTAAACTAAAGAGCTTCTGCACAGCAAAAGAAACTACCATCAGAGTGAACAGGCAACCTACAATATGGGAGAAAATTTTCGCAACCTACTCATCTGACAAAGGGCTAATATCCAGAATCTACAATGAACTCAAACAAATTTACAAGAAAAAAACAAACAACCCCATCAAAAAGTGGGTGAAGGACATGAACAGACACTTCTCAAAAGAAGACATTTATGCAGCCAAAAAACACATGAAAAAATGCTCATCATCACTGGCCATCAGATAAATGCAAATCAAAACCCCTATGAGATATCATCTCACACCAGTTAGAATGGCAATCATTAAAAAGTCAGGAAACAACAGGTGCTGGAGAGGATGTGGAGAAATAGGAACACTTTTACACTGTTGGTGGGACTGTAAACTAGTTCAACCATTGTGGAAGTCAGTGTGGCGATTCCTCAGGGATCTAGAACTAGAAATACCATTTGACCCAGCCATCCCATTACTGGGTATATACCCAAAGGACTATAAATCATGCTGCTATAAAGACACATGCACACGTATGTTTATTGCGGCATTATTCACAATAGCAAAGACTTGGAACCAACCCAAATGTCCAACAATGATAGACTGGATTAAGAAAATGTGGCACATATACACCATGGAATACTATGCAGCCATAAAAAAGGATGAGTTCATGTCCTTTGTAGGGACATGGATGAGACTGGAAACCATCATTCTCAGTAAACTATCGCAAGAACAAAAAAACCAAACACCGCATATTCTCACTCATAGGTGGGAATTGAACAATGAGATCACATGGACACAGGAAGGGGAATATCACACTCTGGGGACTGTTGTGGGGTGGGGGAGGGGGGAGGGATAGCATTGGGAGATATACCTAATGCTAGATGACGAGTTAGTGGGTGCAGCGCACCAGCATGGCACATGTATACATATGTAACTAACCTGCACAATGTGCACATGTACCCTAAAACTTAAAGTATAATATAAAAAAAAGAAAAGAAAAGAAAAGTAGAAACAGGTGAGATTTATTATAATAAAACATTTTATTTAACCAGAAAAAAAAAAAACAAAGAAACAAAAAGGGAGTCCTGACTTCTTGAACAAGTATTGTAAAACACTGCATGTATAATCATTGGTTCAATAAGGAAAACAAAACTGTAACAGAAAACACAACTATCCTTCTGGAGCCCGCTGGCATTGAACTATTCTCATGGCTAGACTGCAGAAGCTTGGAAACTAAAAAAAAGCTATAATGACCACGAGACTGAGTGACCCCCACCAATGGACTGCCAACTAACACCAATTTTATCTATATTGTGCTCATCCTCCACCAGTTAATTTGACAGAGTAGGCATGCAACACACACGTAGACACACATACACACACATACACATTGAATTAACTGGATATGAGAAAAAAGAAATACACTTAAGGTAGAGAGGTGATGGCAGAACAAAAATTGTTTGTGGCCATCTGCAAACTAAACACATTAAATATTGTAAAAAATCTTTTTGTCTTAAAAAGTCATAAGGGTGATAAATCTTGGAGAGCCTGAAGTTGGCCATTAGGCTTGATGAAGTGGGCAAATTCTTGGGTATATGTACCAGGTGAGCAGGAATACAACAGGTGAGGTAATCAGTTTTGGAGCCTAAATAAAACTCGGGCCATTTCTTTTTGCTAGCTTTACATACCAAAGGCCACTGCCTTGATGGTGGGTATTTTGGCACGTGGGTATTCTTTGTGTAATTTTCTACATTTTCCTATATGTTTGAAATATTTTTTTACTTTCAAAATAAAAATACTTATTATATTACTTACAAGAATGCTACAAAATGGACTCCTATTGTACTGATGGGAATGTATATTGGAAAACAATTTTGAAATACTTATGGAGAGCCTCTGAAGTGCTAATACCCTTTAGCTCAGTAATTATATTTGGGGGATCCTATCCTTAAGGGGAAAAATATAGTCAATATATTCATTGGAATATCATTTATAATAATAAAAAATGGGGAAATCAAAATTCACAAATAGAATAATTATTATTTAACTCAGGGGTAGGCTGTAGACAGCAGCCTATGAATCAATTCCAACCCACTGGCTATTTTATTAGCGCATAGGCATGCCTATTTGTTTACATACTATCTGTGGCTGTTTTCATACTAAGTAGGCAGAGTTCAGTAGTACCAAAAGAAACCATACGGTTCAAAAGCCGAAAACATTTGCTATCAGATCCTTTGTAAAAAGTTTGCCAACGCCTTGCTTAAAGTATGATATATCTATATAATAAAATATAATGCAGCAATTTAAAATTATGCTTATTACAGAAATTTTAATGACATGACCAAATATTTAGACTATTAAGTTAAAATGTATGTACACCATAATTTCAACCACAGTACAGAATATAAAGGTAACTTATTTATATCTTCAAGAAATATTTACTGAATATCTGCTATGCCTCAGGGCATGCTTTAAAAATGCAACTCTTGGCCAGGGGAGAAATTCCGAATACGGACACCTAAACAGGCGATTACAATGCAGTGACAGAAGTGCTTTGAAAGGTGAGTCAGAGGATTCATGAGAGTACATAGAAGGGGTGTCTGACCAGTGCTGGGACCAGGGGAGGCATTCAGGGGAAAGTGATGTTTCATTTAAAATCTAAAGGGAAAGAGTCAGCTAAAGAAAGGTAAAGGTAAAGAAAGAAAGTGTTCCAGTAGACAACACAGCAAACCAGAGGGAAAAAACAGGCAAAATGAAGGCCTAAAGATGAGAGACGGTGTGATACTTTGGGAAATCTAAAAGTAGCCCAGTATGACCAAAATACAGACTCTAAAAGAATACCAAAGAAACCTTAATCCTGAATGGTGTGATTATAGATCACACTCCAAGGTTATTAGGGTAAAATTTAACACTAATATTCACACCTCCGCTACCCACATCACCATCATCTTCTTCTCACCCAGTGGCCCCCTCCTCATCTCAAGAAAGAGGGCTCAAGTTGATGAGCCACTGAGTCATTGTACATAATAAGAGGGTGGGAAGAGTGAGGAAAAAGGGGAGTGTTACTAATCTGTGTGTTGGCAGAAAATTAGAGGGGGTTGGGAAACCAGTAGTGATCACACACACTTTTGCTGTTCGATGAGAAATGCAAGTAAAATATTTTAGTTATTTTTTAATACCTATTGAACTGTGTTTCCTTAAACAAAACACGGGAGCTGAACAACTTGGACTCCTGGAATTATAAAGATCAAGTGTGCTACAAAGAGTGTATTTATTAAGTGTGCTACAAAGATTTATTAAGATACAAAAAGGTTTTTTTAATAGGATTTATTTCTATAAATAGCAAACTCTTCATCTCGTAAATCCTTTTACAGACTTTAAAATTAGATACTCTTTCAGTAATTCTTGAGGGATCATTTTCCTTAATGGAATTTGGGTGGATAATCCTTTCTACTGTTTACTTCACATCTAACTATGAATCACCTTGACGTGCGGTTAGTATCTGGACAGGTGGATCTACCCCACATCCCCATCCTCATTTGTCCTTGTTTCTATGTTGTCCCTAACTAGGGAGACTGTAATTTCCTTACACGACTTTGTTTAAGTAATTCTATCTATCTTATTCTAGTCTCATTTCATTGTTGTAGAAAGCATTCAGAAACTGTGGCTCCATCTTTCTAAGAATAATCTATAGAGTATTGCTGTTCCCATTACTAGATTTAAACCTTGGCACTGAGTCCCCAAATCTAGCACTGATTGTAAATAACAATATTGAAAGCTCTTCCAGATCCATACTTGTAGGCTGCTAAAATCATGCCTTCTGTGCATGTGTGTCTGTGTGTGTGTGTGTGTGCCACACACACACATGCATATTTCACCCCCCATTACATCATACCTAGATAACTGCAGTCACTTGCTAAGTTATTTACCTCCTCTAAGCTATCTTATATATCTTTCAATAATATCTCTTTTGCAATTACTCCTCTGTTTCAAAAGCCTTCAATGACTTCCCTTTAGCCACTGGATAAATTCCAAGCTCCTTACCCTAGTACTTCAATATTCTTCAAAATCAGATTGCGATCTATCAGTACATTCTCACATTGCTATAAAGAAATACCTGAGACTGGGTAACTTATAAAGAACAGAGATTTAATTGGCTCAAGGTTCTGCAGGCTCTACAAGAAGCATGGGGGCATCTGCTTCCAGGGAGGCCTCAGGGAGCTTTTACTCACGGTGGAAGGCAAAGCGGGAGCAGGTGTCTTAAATGGCAGGAGCAGGAGCAAGGAGAAAGGGGGAAGGTGCTGCACACTTTTACACAACCAGATCTCATGAGAACTCACTATCACGACAACAGTACCAAGGGCGATGGTGTTAAATCATTCATGAGAAACCCACCCCCATGATCCAATCACCTCCCACCAGGCCCTACCTCCAACACTGAGGATTACAATTCAACAGGAGATTTGGTGGGGACACAGATCCAAACCATATCACAACCTATCTGTGAATCCATATTTTGCACTAGCTCCTATTACTATAATTGAACCAGGCTACACAGACTCCTTTAGGCTTTCCTATTCCCTCTCTCTGTCCCTACCTACAATGCCCCCACCTCTCTTCCTCCATCTGAATCCAGTCCTGAATCCAAGGCCCAGCCAAACCCTGAGCCACACTGAATCACGGGGTTCTCATTCTCCTTCACCCATCAGCTGTACTACTTACTTGGCACATTTTACATTCTGACATATCAAGTTTCTTTTTCCTGTGTGTTGGTCTTATCCCTTCCAGCTAGATCTTAAATTTCTTGAGGACCAAACAATGACTTATTCCACTTGTACCAAGTGCTCAAAAACTACACCTGGTCCTAGATCATTTATTTTATTTTATTTTATTTTTTTATTTTATTTTATTTTTTTATTATACTTTAAGTTTTAGGGTACATGTGCACATTGTGCAGGTTAGTTACATATGTATACATGTGCCATGCTGGTGCGCTGCACCCACTAACTCATCATCTAGCATTAGGTATATCTCCCAATGCTATCCCTCCCCCCTCCCCCCACCCCACAACAGTCCCCAGAGTGTGATATTCCCCTTCCTGTGTCCATGTGATCTCATTGTTCAATTCCCACCTATGAGTGAGAATATGCAGTGTTTGGTTTTTTTGTTCTTGCGATAGTTTACTGAGAATGATGGTTTCCAGTCTCATCCATGTCCCTACAAAGGACATGAACTCATCATTTTTTATGGCTGCATAGTATTCCATGGTGTATATGTGCCACATTTTCTTAATCCAGTCTATCATTGTTGGATATTTGGGTTGGTTCCAAGTCTTTGCTATTGTGAATAATGCCGCAATAAACATACGTGTGCATGTGTCTTTATAGCAGCATGATTTATAGTCCTTTGGGTATATACCCAGTAATGGGATGGCTGGGTCAAATGGTATTTCTAGTTCTAGATCCCTGAGGAATCGCCACACTGACTTCCACAATGGTTGAACTAGTTTACAGTCCCACCAACAGTGTAAAAGTGTTCCTATTTCTCCACATCCTCTCCAGCACCTGTTGTTTCCTGACTTTTTAATGATTGCCATTCTAACTGGTGTGAGATGATATCTCATAGTGGTTTTGATTTGCATTTCTCTAATGGAGTGGGTCAAATTCTAAATGTTTTTATTATAAAATAAATGATCTCTCTGATGAGAGAGATCATTTATTTTATAATAAAAACATTTAGAATTTGACCCACTCTCAGCATGGAGGTTGGCCTTCTTTCTACTACTATTCCCTAAAGTTGCAGGAGCCTTATGGCTGGACTTTCTCCAGGCTGCTGTTCAGGCGAAGCTAATGTCTCTCAGTTCTGTCTGAGCTGCTCACTTTACCTCGGGGCTGAGAGGGCAGCTGGTACTGACTGGCTGAGAGCTAAGGGGCAGTGGGTGCAGTACACTCAACTCTAATTTGGGAGAAAATGTACATAACCCTAGAGGCAAATAATATTTACTGTATAACTGGATAAAAATGCTAAATATTGAACCCTCATCATATGTCTAAATGACAGGTACTGTACTAAGTACTTTATATACATTCACATACATTTAATTCTCATAAGAATCCTATGAAGCAGGCATCATGAGCCTTCATTTTACAAATACAAAAACCACATTTCAGAGAGGCTAAATAGTTGCTAAAAAGCACACAGATAGAAAATGGAAGAGCTGGGACTCAAATCCAGGTCACTTGGACTCCAAATCTTGGAGTATCACCCATTTCATGATTTGCCTCCCAATCATAGCCCAGTCTTCCCTCTTCTGGCTCTCTCTTTGATGAACATATCATTTTTTAAGAGCCATATAAGCTAATACAATCTCACTTTATATCAGATGTAGTCTGATCCGCTGAGCTGAGAATCAGTAACTTCTTAGCAGGGTCATCACCTAGAAATCTATGCTATTTAAACACGTATGGTACTTCACATTTGTGATCTCATGAGCGGAAGGCAAATTAAAGGTGGCAACATGATGGAGACTCTTACCTTTCCCCCTCCTCCTGTCTTTAGTGTGAACATAAGTGATCATGATGATATGTTGGAGAAGGGGTGGAACATACAGGAAGGGGGCTGATAAGTTGTTTCATAGCTCAAAGACATGAGATTGTGTAAAAAGATTCATGTCTGAGGCAGGTGTGGCCCAGGACACTGTTTGACTCCTATGGTTTGGGGTTGACTATGTAGCCGATAAAAATAGTTTTGAGTCTGCCAAGCAACTTCAGCCTTCCATTTTCTTTTCTTTTTTTTTTTTTTTTCATCCAAGGACCTTAGAAGCCATAGGTACAAGTATACCTTGTGAGGTTGGATAGAAAGGAGTCTTGCTAGCTATAAAAATGTGTATAGAAATATAGCTGAAAAGGGTGATTTTTGTCCTGAGCCTTGTCCACGAGTCAGATTCCACAGGGCCTAATTTTTCTGCAGCTCTTCCTCATCTCTCCTATGACACATGATAGATTTGCTGATAATGAGCCACATGACCCCTGAACACTGAGTGGTTTCTTGACTCTAGTGACTTCTTTAGTCCTCTATGTGGTCTTTATTCTGGTAGAATTTCTTCTACCCACATTGTAAGCAGCCACCTTCTTTGGAAAACTTATGGTTACCAGTTGCTTGTCAGTATAACCAAGTCAATGAAGTTGAATTGTGCTATGTCTGAAAATTGCAAACAAATCCAGTTTAACTTCAATTTCTGGGAAGAAACAAGAACAAATCATCCCACATTCAATTGACAGACACCTAGGAGACCCATTCCCAGAGCCATTGTTCTAGCCATATTCTAGTATTTCATTATAGCTGTCCTGGTGCTGACATTTGAGGTGAAGCATGACGGGAAGGTGTCACCTCTAAACCTACTCTTCTGCAAACTGGAATTGTATGGAAAGTAGCCCATCTCTGAAGGACAGAGTGAAGATTAACGAGACACTCCTGGTAAATTGGTCTCAGAATCTAAAATGACACCAAAGGGGAAACAAAATAGCTCAACAGAGACTTGGCACCTACAAAAGAAAGTCTTTTTAAAAATTCTTTCATAAGTCTAGTTTCTGAGCTAAACACTAAAATACATTGGACTCAGGAAAGTTGAATTCTTGAACAATTATCTAAATGTTGTATAGCTATTTCCATCTTGTTAAATGATAATATTGTCCTCAATGTCTATTTCATTTACTATTTTTCATTTCTTCATTTGTGCTTCTTCCTAACCAGGTCTTCCTGAGACTATTTTATCACCATTTTATTTTATTGTATGGTGTCAAACTCCACAGTTCAGCATCCTGACAACTCCCTTGCAAACACCCTCGCTGCTTTGCCCGTTTTTCCTTTTATTGAACTCACCTAGGAAAAATACCAACCCTGGTTAATGCAACAACCCATTTACTCTACCCCTGTGCCAAAGCAGCTCCTCTTGACCCAACTTATTTCCAATTTATAACCACAGATTTCAAGGAGGCACCGTGTACTGCCATAGATAACCCTATTATACTTTCCTAGTAAAATCATATTCTCTGACATGATTACTTCAGATTTAGTCTCTTTCCTCAAATCTTCAAAATCCCTACCCATCTCATCCTTAAAGACATCATTTTATAGAAAAAATAGATGCAACAGAACAAATCTCCCTCATCTGGCCACTCCAAACACCATCAACTAACCTTCATTTTTTTATTTTAGTAAAATATGCATAACATAAAATGTGCCATTTAACCATTTTAAGTGTGCAGTTCAGTAGCATTAAGTGCATTCTTTTTTTGTGCAACCTCACTACTATCCTTCTCCAAAACTTTTTCTTCTGCACTTATTTTTTTAAAGAAAATAATAATAGCTGCTTTTATTGACTACCTACTATTTGCGGAGCATTTTTTCCTAGGAATTTATATGCATGAACTCATTTAATCCTCACAACCATGAGGTGGGTATCATTTTCTCCATTTTATAGAACTGAAATTTAGGGGCAAAAAAGTAGAGAAATCGCTCATGACACTGAGATATCTCACACCTGTTAGGATGACTGCTATTAAAAAAAAAAACAGACAAGTTTGGCAAGAATGTAGAGAAATTAGAATCTTTGTACACTGTTGGTGGGAAAGAAAAATGATGCAACCCTCAAGGAAAACAGTATGGAGTTTCCTGAAAAAAATAAAAATAGAGCTATCATATAATCTAGTAATTCCATTTATGGATATTTATCCAAAGGAATTGAAATCAGGCTCTTGAAGAGATATTAGTACTCACATGTTCATTGCAGCATTGATTCACAATAGCCAACAAGCTGAAACAACCTAAATGTCCATCAGTGGATAAAGAAAATGTGGCATACAATGGAATATTATTCAGCCTTAATAAAACAGGAAATCCTGCAGTATGCATATACAACATGGATGAACCTGGAGGACATTATGCAAAATGAAATAAATCAGTCACAGAAGGACAAAGATGGCATAATTCCACATATATGAGGTATCTAATAGTCAAACTCATAGAAGCAGAGAGCAGAATGGTGGTTGCCAGTGAGGGGAGGAACGGAGAAATGGGGAGTTGCTGTTCAATGTGTAAGTTTCTGTAATGCAAAATGAATATGTTCTAGAGATATTCTGAATTACATTGTGGCCATGGTTAACAATATTGTATTGTATACTTAAAAATATAGAAGATCTCAAGTTAAGACTTATTACTACAATAAAATTAAAGTTGACCAATAGGGCACAAAGTTAATAATTGTTATGGCCACACATTCTACCTTTCATCCTGTAACAATGGCTAAACTGTGTATACTACCATCTAAGGGTGACCCCTCCACCCATTTTCTCTGGTCCTATTGCTTTTCACTTGCTCAAAGACTTCACTCCAAGCCATTGTCTTATTTCTCTTTCACATCTTCAGTTTCTCCTTTCCTACTGCATCTTTTCTGATGGCATACAAATATGCTTATTGGCATCCATTTTTAACATCAAAAGGAATACTCTCTTTTGACTCCACATCCTCCTCTAGTCCCTGCCCTGGGTTTCTGCTAATTTTCACAGTAGACATCCTTGCAAATGGTGTCATACTTGTCTTTACTTCCTTTCATCCCATTCGCTTCTCAGCCCTCAAAAACTTCACGTTTGGTTTTCTGCACTGACATCAATATATCATGATTTAAATTCTACCAGTGATTTATCTTACACTTTTCAAAAACATTCCTAAACCTTTATCTAGCTATAAAGATCATTAATCAAACAACTTTCTGTTTCCTACAATGACAGCCAAGTAATTAAGTCCTTTCACTTTCTCTGTGTTCTTTGCAACTTCCAGGTCTTCGTTAATTTAATTTGAGGTTTTAAATCCCATCGTTGTTCTCTGTAACATTCTCTTTATGATTTTTAAGTTGTTACATTCCACATTGCAACTATAGTCATACTATCACACTTATTTCTGTGTATTTATTTAGTGTCACAGTATGACTTTTTTTCTCTTAACACTCCTCACAATTTAATATGAGTTCAGCTCTTATTGAACAGAAGGACAGGTACAAATACATTTTTCAGGAAGAATACCTAGGTGGTACATTTTATAAAAATCTTAAAGATATGGGAATGTCAATTTATTGCTTTCACACACAAATTTAGGAAGGCTTAGAATTTTTATACCATAATCTTTTTCTCTGACAAATTTTGTAGAACAGCAGATCTTAAAACTGGCAATGTGATCCTATTTCCAGGTTTAATCAGTCTAAGATGGGGCTCACTCAACTGTGACGTTTATAAAGCCCCAAAAGTGACTGTGATGAGAAGACAGTGTTCAGAAACACTGTAATTGTCATTTCTCCAGTTTCTGTGGTATTCTGGATTGCAAAAATGTTTTAATAATAATGTGAATTGTTTCCTTTTTAGGTAATTTGTTCATCTTCTTGTATGCCCATGTTTAAATCCAAAGTCTATCACCTAGTACTGCTGCTGAGGTGTGGATGAGGTTATGTAACTTCTCAGAGCCCCAGCTTCCTCATCTCATTGCTTATAAATGTATATTTATGTCTTATATCATCATTGTGAAAGATGATAATGTTTAGTGTTCAGCACATGATGAATGATCAATAATTTTTTTTTGCTTACCTTTAAAATTTATAAATTTCAGCAGGATACATACAATCGTGGATTTGTTTTGTTTTGTTTTGAGACAGAGTCTCACTCTGTCCCAGGCTGGAGTGCAGTGGCACAATCTCAGATCACTGCAACCTCAGCCTTACAAGCTCAAGCGATTCTCTTGCCTCAGCCTCCTGAGTAGCTAGGATTACAGGCACATGCCACCATGCCCAGCTAATTTTTGTATTTTTAGTAGAGATGGGATTTCACCATGTTGGCCAGGCTGATCTTGAACTCCTGAGCTCCTGATCTGCCCGCCTCAGCCTCCCAAAGTGCTAGGATTACAGGTGTGAGCCACTGCGCCCAGCCGATTTTTTTTTATTTCAATAGCTTTAGGGGTACAAGTGATTTCTGGTTACAAGGATGAATTGTATAGCAGTGAAGTCTGAGATTTTAGGGCACCATCATCTGAGTAGTGTACACTGTACCCAATATGTAATTTTTTATCCGTCATTCCCCTCCTGCCCTCTCCCCTTCCAAGTCTCCCACACCCATTATACCACTCTGTCTGCCTTTGCATACCCAGAGCTTAGCTCCCACTTATAAGTGAGAACATAGGTTATTTGGTTTTCCATTCCTAAGTTACTTCACTTAGAATAATGGTCTCCAGCTCCATCCGAGTTGCTGCACAATACATTATTTTGTTGCTTTTTATGGCTGAGTAGTATTCCATGGTGTATATATGCCACATTTTCTTTATCTGCTCATCAGTTGGTAGGCACTTAGATTGGTTCCGTGTCTTTGCAATTGTGAATTGTGCTGTGATAAACATACACAGGCAGGTGCCTTTTTGATATAATGACTTCTTTTCCCATGAATAGACACCCAGTAGTGGGATTGCTGGATCAAATGATCTACTTTTTGTTCTTTGAGACATCTCCATACTGTTTTCCACAGAGGTTGTACTAATTTGCATTCCGACCAGCAGTGTGTAGGCTGGTCCCTTTTCACCACATCCACCATCCACATCTATTGTTTTTTGACATTTTAATAATGGCCATTCTGGACAAGGTAAGTGGTATTTCATTGTGCTTTTAATTTGCATTTCCCTGATGATTAGTGATGTTGAGCATTTTTTCATATGTTAGCCAGATGTACATAATCTTTTGAGAAATATCTGTGCATGTCATTGCCCGCTTTTTGATGAGATCATTTGTTTGTTTCTTGCTGTAGAGTCTGGATATTAGTCCCTTGTCAGATGCATAGTTTGCAAATATTTAATACCATTTTGAAGGTTGTCTATTCATTCTGCATGTTGTCTGATTATTATTTCTTTTGCTGTGCACAAGCTTTTTAGTTTAATTAGGTCCCATTTATTTATTTTTGTTTTTGTTACATTTTGCTTTTGGGTTCTTAGTCATTAATTCTTTGCCTAGGCCAATGTCCAAAGAGTTTTTTTCCTAGGTTTTCTTCTAGAATTTTTATGGTTTCAGGTCTTAGATTTGTCATTATTCTATGTTGAATTGATGTTTGTATGTGATGAGAGATAAGGATCCAGTTTCGCACTTC